>NC_000008.11:94464222-95714222 GCF_000001405.40 Homo sapiens | reverse complement strand
TGCCCAGGCTGGAGTGCAATGGCATGATCTCAGCTCACTGCAAACTCCACCTCCCGGGTTCAGCGATTCTCCTGCCTCAGCCTCCCGAGTAGCTGGGACTACAGGCACCTGCCACCACGCCTGGCTAATTTTTATATTTTTAATAGAGACAGGGTTTCACCATGTTGGCCAGGATGGTCTCAATCTCTTGACCTCATGATCCATCCGACTTGGCCTCCCAAAGTCTTGGGATTACAGGCATGAGCCACCGCGCCGGCCTATGTATGTAGATTTCTTTACCAGCAGACCTTGAAATTCTCAAGGCCACCAGTGATAATCTTATTTAATCCCCAATATCTAGGTAATGTCTGGCATAATGGATACACTTACTAGAGATATGTTACATAAACCACATTGAGGAGCATTCAGATTCTGACCATTCCAAGGAAGATGGCTTCATGCAACCTTAGCTCCTGAGATGAAGGAGTGAGCCTGGGAGAAACGCCCTGGCATGTCCGACATCTGGCAGAATGACCACGAAAACACCGAGGAAGAAAGCATAAAAAAATCAAACAGACGGCAGGCCTTGGCATGGGCTATTTGCACTCTCTACAGATTACAACTGGGGGCAGAGCATTAACAGGACTTGATGGGCAGCAGAGTCCAATAAATGAGAGAGCATAGACCATGGGTTCAGCCTGGCCCCTTGATCTCATGTGAAATAACATGCTTGGGCAGAATCACACTTGATTGTGATCTTGGGGAAATAACTGAAATCTTTGTGCCCACTTTCTCAACTATAAAATGTGTCTATTGTGAGGATGAAATACATTCGTAGGTGTAAATACTAATGGTAGTTCCTGGCATGGAAATAGACAGTTTCATAACTCACTGCACCAGTGAAATTCTAAAATCCAAGTGGCCAAGGTAGGAGCAGAATCCAGCTAAGGCACAACGTTCAACAACTCACTCCCAACCCAGATCCCCTCTGCTTATTTTCTTTGGGATGATATGGACCTAAGCTGTGTGAAAATTCAACTTTTAAAGGTGAATCTATGTTTGGGGCCTAAAGAATAAAAAAGCTATATAGAAAATGAAACAAGTAACATGACCTGCCAGTACTTTGTGGAACTTACTGAGTGTTGTAAGCATAGAATAAACTGTGGGCGTGTGTTACGTGCCTAAGAGGCTTCCATGCTCCAGATGATATTGCTGAGGAAAATGGGGGTGTATACTTCCCAGTCAATAGGAAAATTGCTCTTGTTTCCCCTGGTACACAAATTGAACTCAGGGCAGCCAAGGCTGACATATTGAATGAGGTTCTTCACTACTTCAGAACAGGTTTGTGTTTACACTTCATTGTGTGATTTTTAATGGTTTGAAATGACACAGGGGAAGTTACATAATGTTTATGGAGACACGTGCTGGAAAATAAACCAGGAGCCACAATGGTAGTGTTAGAGGTAGCTCCTGAGTAATCATTCTCATTTATTTACAAAGTGTGTTTTAAATAACAAGCAAGTAATTAGAAGAGTTCTAGTTCTGTTCATGGCAGAGTAGCTTGTATTGGACTAGCCCTCTTGCCAATAACAACTATAAATTCTGAATTTGAAGCCTTGGAAGGCACTGGAGAGAACGTAAAATCAGGAGTACACTGGATGAGACTTGCTGTGAAAGACAATATACAAATTAGCTGAGATTCACATTTATCCAACTTTTCCCCTAAGGGCATGCCCTAAGTTGCATGGAAGTAAGGGATAGAGCTCAGACCAAAAGCATCAGTCTGACTGCACTGGGGAGTCAGAGATTGGATCTTGAGCTGCCAGCACAGCTAGGAATTAAATGATGGTTGGGGGAGGTATTCCAGAAAGGAGTTAGTCATGTATGAAGGAGCACATTTCTACATAAAAATTCTTCTTAAATATTTGGCTGACTCTAAACCTATGAATGCCAGGGTAAGCCTCCAAGGAGAAGTCAATCAAATGCACAGCTGGAAGCAAAGAATTGAGCAGAGATGTCAGTAGGCTAAGTGCTGGGGAGACAGAGTTTGGAGTTCAAGTCCTACCAGGTTAGAGTGAATTAGTAAACAGCTAAGGCTTCCCAGTAAAACCTCTGAAGGGTCATGCCTTAGAAGTAAGGACCATATCCCAGAATTAAGAGCTGTGTCTTTACAGAACCAAAATAAACCTTCCCTAATAAAGCCCTAAAACTAAATCTTTTCAGAAATGAGATAGTGTCAGTAACTTAGCATTTACTGAAACAAAAATCAACACTCTAGAGGAAAATAATAAAAGCCAGAATCTCTATGATATGTCTTCTACAAGAAAACATACTGTTCAATTTAAAACAAAAAGTTATTAGAAAAACAGAAAAAAAAGACCTGTATTTCAAGAGAAAATATAGTCTGCAGGAGGAGACCCACAGATGTTGGAATTAACAGATAAGAACTTTAAAATAATTCTGATAAATATGTTAAGGAATTTAAACAAAAAGATGGATTGCCAATGACTTAAGAGATGGGCAATTTCAAGAGAGACATGGAAACTCTGAAAAGAACCAACTGGAAATCCTAGCACTGAAAGATAAAGTACTAGAAAACAAAATGTTGTTAATAAGATTAGAAGCAGATCAAAAACTGTATCAGAAAGGAGCAGTAAATTTGAAGTCATGTAAATAGATACTATTAAAATCAAAGCACAGAAAGAGGAAAAATATTGAAAAATGAAGGAAGAAAGCTTCAATGACTTGTAAGACAATCAAACAAACTTTTGTATAACTGGGATCTCAAATGGAGGGCAGAGAGAAAATGGAGCAGAAATGTATTTGAAAATTCTTCAAATTTGATAAAAGCCAAAATCCACTGATCCAGGAAGTTAAGGGAACTCCATGCAGGATAATTACACAGGAAGCCACAACTAGGCATATCATGATAAAATGGTTGGAAATCTAAGATATAGAAAAAAAATCTTAAAAGCAGCCAAAGAAAAAAGACAAATTATAAAGGAACAATGATAAGAACAATGCCTGATTTCTCACTGAAAATCATAGCAGCCAGAAGCAATGGTACAATATCTTTAAAATGCTGAAAGCAAAAAGAAACTGTCACCTTAAAAATTTATAGCCAGTAAAAATATCTTTCAGAAATCAAAATAAATTAATGACAGCTTTAGATTAAAGGAAGCTGAGAAAATTCATTTCCAGTTCTGTAGATAGAAGGGAATAATACCTGGTAGAAATTTTGGATCTATGGGAGGAAATGAAAAGCACTAAAAATAGCATATATGCAAATATAAAAGACCTGTTATTTCTCACGTGGTATTTTTAGAAAGATGATTGGTTAAGGCAAAAATAATGACAGTGTACTGTTGAGGTTATAGAACAGTAATAGCACGAAGGATGGAAGGGTGTTAAATTATATTGTTTTAAGGGTCTTACATTATAAATACAGTGACTTAATATTAATTTAATGTAGACTTCATATTAAGGATTCATGTTTTAATCTCTATCTACAGCAATCACACACATACACACACACAAATATTCAGAGTTATCCTTAAAAAGAAAGTAAAGGAAGTTAAATGATACTAAAATATATTTGATTAATTGAAAAGAAGACAAGAAAGAAAGAACCAAGAAATAACAGGAAAGACAAATAAAATGCAAGTAACAAGATCATGGAATTAAACCCAATCATATTAATAATTAATTTAAAAAACATACAATAATGATAAAACGGTCTATTCAACAAATGGACATAATAATCCTAAGTATGTAATGCCTAAAACAAAGCTTTGATATATACTAAGCCAAAACAGAACTAAATAGACAAATCCATGATTATCACTGGAAGTTTTAACACTTCTTTCCCAATAATTGATAAAACAAATAGAAAAAATTTAGTGATGATATACAAGATTTGCATTACACTATCAAGCAACTTTATCTATTTTATGTTTATAGAATATTTCATCCAATAATAATATAATACATATACTTCTCAAGTAAACCTGAAATGTTTGTTAAAAATATTGTATATTGGGCCAGAAGAGTATTTTCTCTCACCATAACGGAAGTTAATTCGAAATCGATAAGAATAAGATATTCAGGAATTGCCCAACTATTTGGGAATTAAGGAACACAGGTAAATGATACATTTGTAAAGAAGAAATCACAAAATAAATTTGAAAATGTTTTAAACTGAAAGATAATGAAAACACAATAAATCACAATTTGTGACATAAAACAATGCTTGGAGAAAATTGTAACTTTAAAAGCATATATTAGAAAAATAATAAAAACCTATACTTTATTAAGCTGTGGCAGAGGAGAGCAAATTAAACTCAGACTCAATATAAAACAGGGTTGACAATCAATGAATTAGAAAATAGCTTATCCCCCAAATTGAGAAAGTATAGAAGCTAAAGTTACTTCAAAGATAAGATTAATAAACTTGATAAAATCTACCAAGAATAATCTAGATACAGAGAGTGAGATAAAACACAAACTAGCAATATGAAGAATGAAAGTAGGGTTCATCACTATTGATACTATTGATAACTATATAAATTATAATAAATAGAGGGATATTATGAACAACTTTTCAATAAATTTGACAATAATATGAAATGAACAAATTCCTAGAAAAACACAACACAAGATATAGAAAATCTAAATAGCCCTGTTCTACTAAAAAATACATTTTATAATTTAAAAATTCCCACAAAAGATAACTCCAGATCCAGATGGCATCACTGGGGAATTATACTAAAAAAAAAGGAGAAATAATAGCAATTTGGCATCAAAAGTAGAAGAAGAGAGAATACTATCTAACTTATCTATGAGTCCAGCATGACTCTGATACAAAAAACCAAAAACCCCAATACAGAGAACAAAACTACAAACCATTATTTCTCATGAGCATACAAGCAAAAATCCTTAATAAAACATTAGTAAATCAGACACTGCAATATATAAATACACACACACACACACACACACACAATATAATATTAGTAATATCAAATCCAGCAACATATCAAAAGAATAACAATACATTGACCTTAGAATGCAAGTTGGCTTAACGTTTGAAATCAGACAACTTGCCATATTAACATAATAAAGTAGAAAAGTATAAAGTCAACTTGTTTGAGGCAGAAAATGCATTTGAAAAAAATCAACACACATTCATGGAATAGAAGGAAACTTTCTCAATCTCATAAAGAACATCTATTAAAAATCTATAAATAACATCATATTTAATGGTGAAATATTAACTGTCACCTTTAAACTAGGAGAAGGATAAGAATATCCATCTTTACTACTTCTACTCTCCATTGTCCTGAAAACCCTGGCCTGGCAATAAAGAATAAAAGAGGAAAAAAAGAAAAGGAAGAAAGAACACTGTTGTTATTCACAGATAACATGTCCCAAATAATCTACAAAAATGTAACTAGAACTAATAATATAGCAAAATTATAGGATACTGGATTCACACAAAATGTATCTGTGATAGAAACAAACAGGTAGAAAGTAAAATTTCAAAAATACCATTGACGGCTGAGCGCAGTGGCTCATGCCTGTAATCCCAGCACTTTGGGGGGCCAAGGCCGGCAGATCAACTGAGGTGAGGAGTTCGAGACCAGCCTGGCCAACATGGTGAAACCCAATCTCTACTAAAAATACAAAAATTAGCTGGGCGTGGTGGTGTGTGCCTGTAATCCCAGCTACTGGGGAGGCTGAGGCAGGAGAATCACCTGAACCTGGGAGGTGAAGGTTGCAGTGAGCTGAGATCATGTCATTGTACTCCAGCCTGGGTGACAAGAGTGAAACTCCAAAAAAAAAAAAAAAAAAACCCACCATTGACAACCATAATGAAAATAAAAAATAATTAGAAATAAATTTAAGGAAACTTTTGCAAAATTTCTACATGGAAAATTATAAGACACAACTGAGAGTTTTTCAAAAAAACACTAAATACTTTGAGAGAGACCAAGTGTATTGATAAAAAGAAACAATATTAGTAAGATGTTAATTTTCTCCAAATTAATCTGTAGATTCAACCCAATTGTAATCATCACCCAAGCAGGCATTTGGTAGACATTTACAAGCTGGTTTTAAAACTTAAATAGAAATGTTGAGGGTTTAGGATAACCAAAACAATCTTGAAAAAGAACAAAGTTGGAAGACTACTGATTTCAAGAAACACTATAAGTCTTCAGTAATGTAAACAATATGAATAGACATGTAGACAGATGGAACAGAATAGATTATCCAGAAATAGACTCCCTCTATTGATTTTTAACAAAGGCACTAAGATAATTACATAGAGAAGAGATGTATTTTTAACAAATGATGGTGAAAAAAACTGGATATCTGTATGGGAAATAATGAATCTCAATCTTTTCTTCACAACATACACAAAAATTAATTTGAGTTGGAGGATGGATCTAAACATAATAGTTAAAATAATAACATTTCTATATGAAAATATAGGAGAGTTCCTTTGTGACTTTAGGCTAGGCACTGTTTCTTAGACAGGACAAAACATAATAACAATAAAAGAAAAACTGATAGATTGGACTTACTTAAAATTAAAAACTCTTATTTACAGGAGACTTGTTAATAAAATGAAAAGGCAGGTACACAAACTGGGAGAAAGTATTTGTAATGCATGTAACTGACAATGTATGTGAATCCAGAAAATGTAAAGAATGTTTACCACTTCTAAAAAACATGAAGGAATTTTGAGTGCATATTACCAAGTGAAAGAATCCAGTCTGAAATGACTACAAACTCTATGATTTCAACTATCTGACATCCTAGCAAAGGCAAAACTAGAGAGACAGTGAAAAGGTCAATGGTCGCCAGGCATTTAGGGCGAAGGGGAAAGGGATGGACTGGGATGGACTGGTAGGGCACAAGGCATTTTTAGGGCGGTGTGAAATTCTTCTTCCTGATACTGGAATGGTGGCTACATGACATGGTACATTTGTTAAAATCCATAGAACTGTACACACAGAGAGTGAACCCTAATGTAAACTATGCACCTTAATGAATAATAATGTATCAATATTGGTTCATGAATTATAACAGATGTACCACAATAATGCAAGATGTTAATATTAGAAGAAACTGTGTACTGTGGAAAAGAGGGTAGATGGAAGCTCTTTGTACTTTCAATGCAATACTTCTGTAAACCTAAAACTGCTACAAAAGAACAGTCTATTTGTTAACAATAGAGAGATCGGTCTTTTGAGTAAATCATGTTTGGGAGATGCTAGGTTAAACAAAATTAAACCAGTTTTTTTACTGAAGAGCTTTCCAGAGCCTTTTACTATGCTGATCTGTACTGGATTCTCCATGAGGGAAATTGTGAGTGCAGCCTTTCACATAGTTGCTTGACTGAAAAACTTGTCTTTTTAAAGTAGTTAAGGAACTTCTATTCTTCAGAACACATTTTTGGGAGTAATGGAATGTAGCAATGAATTAATAATTTTTAAATACATTTTCTATGTATGCCTGAATAGAAAATTATGCCACATATAAGGCAATCTCTTCTTTTTCCAGTAACAAAAGTCTAAAAAAATTATTATTTTGACCAACTTTAAAACATCAAGTTTTGGAGAATATAATTGAAATAATCAACTCTTGATTTATAATATTTAATTTCTTAATTTACTTATAAGTATTTACATGTGAAAATTGATAACTATATTACCTTATTTCACTCATCTTTAATAAAACAACTTTATTCAAATTTTTCACATGCATCTTCAACATTCACCTCTCTGACTGTGGGTATCAAGAGGCAAGGTGACCCTAGATGTAACATGTTAAAGATGGTAGAACTTCCCTCAATCTCAGCCTCTGAATGATGCTTGCAGAAGAATCATCAACACACAAATACCCCTCAGGGCTCTTATGAAAGCGAGTCTCATCCCAGATTCCATAATCTAAATCAGGTCTGTATGCAGTGGAGTCTCCTTGGGTCTACCTCCTCAGGTACAGTTCCTCTCAGTCTGACTATTTGTGAACTAAAGAGTTTTCTGCTCCCTACCCACCAGACAAAAAATGGTACCAATACAATAATCAACACAGTCATCTTGGAAGTAGCGTTTACAGTTTTCTACAATGGAATTGTCATTCTCACTTTCACCTAAGTTGTTTGAGATAGAGGACTAGCACTTTTTTGGATTTATATATAATATTGTCACTGGAAATTTTATCGTGAGCCATATTCTTCCAACCAATTCATATAATAGATATCCATTCTATTTATTCTGCAAGTGCATGCTTTATCTCTACAACATAACCACTTAAGGTATTGATTTTTAAAGAACACTTTAAAATCAAATTAAAAAAATAAAATTTAACATATACATTGTGAGATTGTACACTAAGAAATAATTATGAAATAATTTGTTTCCTTTTGTTATTAAGACTTTTTAAACCAGTTTTGTTAGGTGACCTCCATACAACATCCCAAACTAGCACTGATTATAGTCATTTCAAGCTAGTGTTTTTCTTCCGAACTGTATCACATTGTCTAATATAAAATGCTTGTTTGAATGTTTTGTAATGTTCGAAGGATTTGACTATAAGGCATGTTCTTCCTTTCTGAGTACTAATCTTGAAGAAAACAACTTGCTTTTTATTAAGACATTGTATTAGTTTGCTAGAATTGCCATAACAAATACCACAGACTGGGTTGCTTAAGCAACAGAAACTTATTTTCTCACACTCCTGGAGGATGGAAGTCCAAGATCAAAGTGTTGGCAGGTTTGGTATTCTTCTGAGGCCTTTCTCCTTGGCTTGCAGATGGCCTGGAATCTCAGAATGTGACCATATTTGGGAAGAAAAGATCTTTGTAAATGTGATTAAGATAAGAATTTTGAAATGAGATCATCCTGGATTAGGATGGACCATAAATCTAATGACAAGTGTTCATAAAAGGGAAAAGAATGGAAGAAGACACACCAAGAACGTTATGTGAGGACAGAGGCAGAGATTGGAGCAATGCACCTACAAGACAAGGGGCACCAAGAATTGCCAGCAGCCACCAAAGCTGGATCAGAGGCATGGAACAATTCTCCCCCAAGGCCTCCAGAAAGAGCTGGCCCTGCCAACACCTTGACTTTGAACTTCTGGACTCCAGAACTGTGAGAGAATGCAATTCTGTTGTTTTAAGCCTCCTCGTTTGTGGTAATTTGCTGCAGTTGCCACAGGAAACTAATATACCTGAACATCATATTCTGGAGTCACCACAATTGATTCCCTTTCTCTTACTTTCCATAAAAATGTGGATGCTCACGATGTTCACTTCAATTCCCCATATGGTCCTAAATCATCCCAAAGAGATGCCACTAAATTCTGTCTACTGAAGCAAAAAATTGGGCCAATTCATTTCATCTTGTGTTATTTTAATTGTAAAAGAAACCCATTAGCAATGTAGTAAGGTAGGGATCTGGAGGATGAAAATGGAATCTGTTTTAATGTCACTACAACTTATCACAATAGGTTACTTGTATATTCCCTTCTAGTCATAAACATACAGATGCATATATAATGCAAACATGTACTCACAGCTGCAATCATGTCATCATAGCTTGCGCTTAAAGAGTACTCCAAGATAGTGTTCTTACCACAAAAAAATAAGTAGGTGATAACTTAATTAGCTTGATTTAATTATTCTACAATATATACATGTATCAAAACATCACATTGTTCCAAACAAATATATACAATGATTATTTGTCAATTAAAAATAAATTTTTAAATACTGAACATAAAAGAGTACTCCAAGGTAAAGGCTTAACTGAGTTTGTTGCATCTTTTGTATCATAACTAGTGAAGATACTAATTTTACACATTTAATATAAAAAACAGAGCTTGGTCTAGTCCTTTGAGAACATTAGATGTTGGTTACATGAGTACAGTATGTATATAGGAGATGGTTGAACCTTATAAAACAGTTATTAATAAATAGCACATGTCTAAGTTGTCAGGCACTTTTGTAAAAAGACCCAATTCGAAACAAAATTAGCAGGAAGAGTTGATAACTAGGGCATAATTGTTTAAAAATGTGAGTTTTTCTCAACTTAGGAAATAGTCAACATTTTATTTTTGCTGTCATCAGCTAATTGTGATATATGTAAAGAATGTCATAAATTTTCCCATTGGGTAACTGTGAAACATATCATACATGAAATTATATTTTATGGTTCCTCTAACAATACCAGAACCAGAGATTCATGGGCTACCAATTCGCTGCAAGCCTTGCTATCTGTTGACTATGTTTACTTTTTTGATACCTGGAAGTAGATTAATAAATCCTCATATATGCTTTTTCAATCGGCACACTGAAAGAAGTCAGCTGCCTGGCAGGCATGCACAATCCATGTGGTCTGATGTGATTATTCTGTGACTCATCCTAGAACTCTCACTTCTGCTGCCATCAGTATGGTCCCGTCCTTCCTGCAGTAGTCATTACCCATAGCAATGAATCAAAGAATCAACATAAACTATTCTGTAAGCCAGACTCACAGCATTTGGTGTTAGACAGTTCTTGGCTTTAATAGGCCTTTCTCCTACTTTATAGCTGGTAAGTCTGTGTCTGGGTTCTTCTGGCTCTCCTATGAGGCTTGAAAACATTGACACTGATCCCTGAGAAGACTTGTCAACACTCACTGAAAAATCAGGTTGCACTCTGTGAAATGAATGAAACAAAAGGTGACCCCTTCCTCTCGTCACTCATTCCATAGTACAGTAACTAATATTTTGGAATAATGTTTGAATGCTAGGAAACGTGCTAAAGGTTTCATGGTCATGATCTCATTTAATCCTCACAATGACCCTAAGGATTGTCTCCATTTTACAAAAGATGAGAACGGAGTTTAGAGAAGTTAAGAAATTTGCAGACTTAACAAGAAGTGGAGACAGGCTTCTGACTTGAGTCATTTTTGCTGCAAAGCCTGTGTCCTAGCTGCCACCCCATGTTGCTTCCCCGATGAACCAACTAAAAGACCACCTGAGTATCCACTTGTACTTTTCCAATTTTGTCATCTAATTGTACTAATGATCATTCATATCTTGCTCTGGGAATGAATAGGAGATCACAGGACTTGCCATAATACATCTTTGGTCTGAAAGGAATTAAAAAGTGTCTCTACTTTTAGATATTGGCAACCATCTTAAAGTCATCAAGAAATAAATGTTTCCATGCAGCTTTGTAATTATTGTCTACATATTCTTAAAGGATTCTTCATGTTCTATTTGGGCAGGTGATGCATTTTTCTTCAAACTTCTTCATCTGGCTTTGTTTATTTATTTAGGGACATTTTCTCTTTATTATGAAACTCCTTTAGGTGGCCTACACTGAATAATTAGAGGCTGGCATTTGACACCATGTAAGACTCTACCAACAAGCTATCGATTTCTGGATTTTCCTATGTACAAGGGTATCTTAATCCCAAGCATTAGTCTTTCTTTGCACATTTGTGAGAGCTGTCTGATAGTGAAAGCAAAAATGAAGCCTTCACTTCCTCTATAAATATTTGTGCAGTGACCTCTGACTGTTGGCCAGCCTGCCTGCCAACACCCCATTAGAAGTCATCCCTTTTACAATCAACTACTATCATTTGATAACCTCTTGGGGTTAAGAGTACAGATGTGAGATCTCGGAGATTCCTGATGGGAATACTTCATATCCCAAGTATGTTTTCCCTTGAAAATGACATCACCACAGGGATACATTTTTCACATAATTTGGCTACCATGTTATGAAAGCTTCCTTAGAAATATAAAGAAAGAAGTACTCTGCAGCTCAAACCAATTTTTTCAGAATCCAGGAATAAAAGAAAAAAATCTTAGCATATAATAAGGCTTAGATGGTGTTGGTGTGGCAAAGTGACAAGGACAGGCCCAAAATAGGTCATTAAAAAGACTGCATTATACAACTTTTTGTATCAAATTCTAATGTTATAAAAGCTGACAGTAAATAGTTTTTGCTTAGAAGATAGTTTTTAATACTTCTGGGTTGGAGCATAGCATTGATTAGAGTTATGTGAAAACTTGCTCCTAAACAGAGCAGTCAAATGGCTGCTGTGGGTTCAGATTTTCATCTCCAAGTTTCTTCCCACCTGTTATTGCTTTATGGATAAATGTCACCAAGGTAGCTCTATAGCTACCTCTTTGATTTAAAGTACTGAATTCCTCCTAAAATGCTGCAGCAGTAAGATTATAGGACTGAGAGACTGGGCTATGAGGACAACCTTCCCCTTTGAGAACTAGAAACAGATTGCTATGATAGAAGAAATATATATGACAGGTAAATTTCTCATCTTCTAGTCCCCAGGGCTGTATGTGTGTGCGTGCATGCATGTGTTCTAACATAGTTTTCTTGCAAAGTGTAAAGTTGGAAAACATGCATTAAATATTTATTAAGGACCTCCTATATACTATCTTCTTGGTAACACACTCCCCATGCAGAGATAATAGTAGTTACAATAGTAATAATAGATCACTTTTACTATGGAATTACTATGTGTCAGGCTCTGCTCTAAGCACTTTACAGGTGATTCTTCATCTGGTTGTTGTGCAGACAAAGAAACTGAGGCTCAAAGCCATAAACAAACCAAAGATACACAGCTAAGAGAAAATAGAGCCAGAATTCAAATCCAGGCCACCTGACTAGAAGTTACATTCTTAACCACGATGTTACACATCCTTGTTCATGCTTCTCAGGAGCTCAAAGCCTGGTGAGAAGAGAGGTGAAGCTGGAAATTATTTTAGAGATCTGCAGAAAAAAAGTGAATGCACAAATAAAGATGCTGTCTCTCTTCCAAGGGCAGGGGCCCAGAAGGACTTACAGGATTGAGGTTAAAGCTAAGGCATGGAGGGGAGAAGCCTTCTCAGGTGGGCGAGCTGAGGAGGGGGCTTTTGGATAAAGGGAAATAGAGAATACAGATGTGGATGTGTGAGACTGAGTAGAGTGCAGAGTCACTACAATGGGTCAGTGTTATTAGAATGTGGGGCATGTAAAAATGTGTAGCTGGTCTGAGATGAGCTGAATGGATGGGCAAGAGTAAAAGAGGGAAGGGCCTCACATCCTATGCCACAGAGTGAGGGGTTTTCTAACCTCTAAGAGTCTATGAAGGACTTGAAGCAGGACATTTATATGACCTGATTTTTATTTTAGAAAAGTAACCCTACGGTCCGTGTGAGCTCAGATTTGAGGGGGCCAAGGCTGAAGGCAGGAGAACAGTTAGGATGTCACATAACTATTCAGGTACGGGACACAGGGTTCTAAACATAGCAGTGGTAACAGGAATGAAAACATATCTTTTAGAAATGTTTTGTGCTAGGATCCATAGAAATGAGAGGCTGCTGGGTTTAGATGTGAGGGTGCAGGAGAGGGTGAGATCATGGTAGGCTCTCAGGCTACCACCTTGAGTAACTGAGTGGATGGCGAGGTTGTTCCTTTCTATACAGTAAATAGAATGGAGAGCAGGTTTGGGGGTGAGAAGACCCTTGAGTTCTGCTTTTGAACTCACCTCTTCACTTCCTTCTCTTCACCCATCTCACTCTCTTCTGAGCTCCAATGTCACCTCTTGATGTGATTATGTGAATCTTTACCTTCTTATATAATCATTTAGACCTGTCTTCCATACGCGACTATGACCTCCTTGGCAGCAGAAATTATCATGTATTCATCATGCAGTAAATTTCTGTTCAATTAGTGAATGAATAACATAACCTTTTTTAATAAATGATAATGGAACATTCAAGGGAAACTACCATGTAATGGCCAACCATTTATCCCTACTCTGACATCAAAATACTTAGAATAAAATGAATTATTCTTTTACAAAATATATTATGGGTTTGAAAGCATTGATTGTACTACCCCTCTGAATCTAATCTGTTATGTTTCAGTTAGAAAATCCCCATTAGCTAAAAATGTTTCACATGCAACATAATTCCCATATACTTTTATCTTGCTATTTGCCCTCCTCTGGGCATGTTCCAATTTCTCCATGTTCTTCTTAAATTGTGATATTCTGCTAATCTGACCCACACATAATACAATATGGCCATTACTTCTAAAGAGGGGTGAAAATAAATTATTTTAATCACAATCCACAATTATTTTTTAAAAAGAAACTGCATTTAGGAAATTAAATCAGTAAGTGTCTTGTGGTATAAGGTAAGATTTTGAAGGTGTGGGTTAGTGGGAGTCAAGTAGCCAAAAGATGTAACTAAACTGTTTTATCTTGGAAACTCATAGAAATTGTGGATAGAGGAAAAGTAAGGATGGTTAGTCTAAGGAATTATTTTTTGGGAAAATTTAATTGAAATATAACATACCCTAAAGTGCACAAATCCAAATTGTACAGTCAATGAATTTTTACACAATGAAGACACTCAGACTATGAAATAGAAACATTATCAACACGTAACCCGTTTTGTCCCCTTCTAGTCATTTACCCCCACCAAAGGATGTACTAACTGTTAGAGGACTTTTTTCTCTGTCCTCTAACAATAAGCCTTCACTAAGGTCCTAGCATGGATTCTCCATTCATGATGTCTCTGATAAGCAAGTTGTCTTAGGGTAAAAGAGTTGTGGCTCACCAATGCTAACTGATTATTAATCTAGGGCTTCAGATTCTCACCAGATGTTAGCAGGTTTCCTCCCTCCGTGGGGCTTTGTCTCCCATGCAATGGGAAGTTTTGCTTTGCAAGGCTTTAGCTTAGTCTTTAGCCTTATGCTGCACCCACCTCTGGAATCCAGGGCAAGATGCTCCTCAGCTTGCCAATATTGTTGCTTCTGTCCCATGTGACCACCAAAATCTCTGCTGATTTATTTGTCCTCCATCCGGGATTCTCTACCCAAGCCAAACCTGGATCCCCACACTCACCTTCACCAAGAATCAACAAATGCCCCCAGGACCAGCTGTATTTCCTCAACTTTTCTCTGAATATTTCTTCCCTCTCTGAAAGTATATACCTTTTAGTCTTCAACACTTCTGATCTTCTCTGCCTTTAAATATCTAGAATCAGCAAACTTTCCCGTCAAGGCCAGAGAGTAAATTTTTTTTTTTGGCTTTGAAGGCTATAACAGCCTCTGTCACAATGGCTCAACTGCGTGCAAAACACCAAACAGCCATCAGGCACACAAAAAATAGGCATGGCTAGAATGGGCCTGTGGGCCATAGTTTGCTAACCCTTCACATATAAAATTATTTTACTTACTAGTTCTAGTTCTTCTCAATGAGATTACTGTCCCCCATGATCTATTCTACCCTAGCTGGGAGAAGAACACTGCCAAAGGACGTTTAAGAAGAAGCATGTCTAATATGTAATCTGAAGTTCACATGTGGCTATAATGTAAAACCTTCTCTTTATTTCCCTAAACTTTCAGCAAACTTTTCTGTACATGAAAATACTTCTGTGAGTAGGATTTGTGTGTGTGCTTGTGTGTGTGTTTGGGGGAGGGTGGGCATGTGAAAGTAAAGGGGCTGAATTCAATTTGAGATTCATAAACTTTGGTGCTTTAGGAAGTCAATAAACAATACTTCATTTTTCTCCACCTGGTATCTAAAATAATTGAGAGGTAGACACAGGAAACATGAAAATGGAGCTCAAAATATCACTTTCATTAGTGATAAGCTAGTTGTATGAGGTTTTTTGGTTTTTTGTTGTTGTTTGGTCACGTGTTTTTTGTGCCTTCTTTTGGATGAATTGAGTGCTCTTTCTGATTTCTACTACTTTATGATCTCTGTTGTTGGTTTATTAACTGTGTGCGTGTGTTGTGTATGTGTGTGCTGTTTTTATAAGTAAACTTTTATTGGAATACCACTACACCCATTTATTTATTTATCGTCAATAGGTGCTTTTGTACCACAACAGTAGACCTGAGTGGTGTGACAGTGATCATATTGCCTGCAAAAACAAAAATATTTGCTATCTGGCTCTTGATAGAAAAATTTGCTAATCCTTACTATTAGGTTTACAATTTGTACCTTAATTCATCACAGTCTCCCTATGACTATGGATTTTTCCATGGATCCTTTCATTTCTGTCATTTTTTTGTTTTATGTGTGTTGAAATTATGCAATGGGGTACACACAGATTTAAAAGTGTGATTACCTCATTTTATAATGATTTCCTTATCATTATGAAATGTCCCTGATTATCCCCAATGAAGTTTGTCCCTTTAAAGTCCAAATATTCCAATATAAGTATAGCTACCCAAAATTTTATTCAGTTAGTTCTTACATTATGTGTTTTCATCCTTTTATTCTTAAATTTTCTGATCTTTGTATTTAAAGTACATCTCTTATTAACAGCATATTGTGAAGTTTTACTTTTTATCCAGTTTGACAATCTTATTCTTTTGCTTATTTAGTCCACTTACATTTAATGTAATTACAGATATTGTAGGGCTTGTACCTACCATCTTGCTAGCTTTTTTCCTCCATTTTTGGTCATCTATTTTATGTTACTTTAGTTTTTGTTTTTTTGTCTCCTTATAGGTTAACTAAACATTTATTATTCTATATTCTATTTCCCCTTCTCTAATTTGTTAGTTATACACACTCTTGTTTTCTTTTAATAGTTACCCTAGAATTTATGATGTGACTTATTAGAATCTAATACAGATTTCTAACTTTCCCACTTCCCAAATACTTTTAGACCTTTTAAACTCAGTTGATGCCTTTCTCTTTTATTCGTTATTTTATATATATTAGTTGTAAATGTATTTGAAACTTCAAAAGACATCATTATAACTGTTTTCTACAGCCAATATATACTTGCATACCCACATATATATTTATATATAATATTTGCTTATTTACTCACATACATATCTTTTCTGGTATTCTTCTTTTTTTTTTTTTTTCACTCCTGCCTTTTGAGTTATCCTTCTGGGGTCATTTTCTTTTGCCTGAAGAAGTCCCTTGAGTATTTCCTACAGTAAAGACCTACTGGCAATTAATATTTTGGGTTGCTGCTTTTCTGAAAATATTTTTATTTTGCCTTCATCTTTGAAGAATATTTTCACTTCCCCTCCCCCTCCACCATTTGGGCCTACAGAGACAATACTCCATTTTCTTCTGGCTTCTCTAATTTCCTTTGACAAATCAGATGTAAGTCATTTCTGTTTCTTTGAATTTGTTTTTCTTTTCTCTTTTCCCAATGCCTCTAAAATCCTGATCATACATTTAATTTAAAAGTTTGATAACTATGTGCCTACATGTAGTTATCTATGTGTTTATACAGCTTGGGGCATGCTAAGCTTCTTGAATCTGTGGATTAATGTCTTTCTTCAATTTTGGAAAATGCTTAGTTATTATCTCTGACATTCTCTCTCCCTTTATTCTAGAAGCCATTTATACACATATTTAAGTAGTTCTCACTTCTCTCTCACGCATTTTTTTTATCCTTTTTTTCTCCCTGTGCTTAGGTTTGAGTGTATTTTTATTAACATGACTTCTAGGCCACTAATTCCTTTCATCTGCCGTGACCCATCTGTTGCTAAACATCCAACAAGTTTTTAAATAATAAAATGGCTTGCGATGGTCATCTCAACTGAGTAGTCCTCCACTCTCTCGAATTTTAGTTCATCTGTTCTTCACAGTTTTCACAGCCCTGCAATGTCTTTAAAACATAATTCTTGTAAGTTACCTTTTTTCCATTGTTACAATAGAAAAATTGACCTACCGCAACCTATTTTATTATACTCGAAGTCAGAAATTTCTTGAAAGACTATTCTTTATTAGTGAGCAAACTGTTGCAATATGTTTAATCCAGTACTCAATAAATATTTACTGAGTATCTTTGTATCTGTAAGGAATCCATCTGGCTGTGGGTAACAGAAAACCTGACTATAGAGGCTTAAAGAAATAAGGGTTTCTCTTGCTCACCTAATAAGAACTCTGGAGTTAGGTAGTTACTGATATTGTTTCAGCAGCTCAGTGATGTCAGTGTTGATGTCTTTGAAATTATCCTGGCCTTTTCTTAGTACATCTCATCTCAAGGTCACCAGATAGCTGCAGCTCTAAATAATATTTCCACATTCTAGTCAACAAATAGGTAGAAGGAAGGAACATGACAGTCAGCTGTGTTTGGGTTTTTTGTTTTTCAGGAACACAACAGCTATCCAAAACCTCTGAGCTAAATTTGGATTTTGTTTGACTGATCAGGCTGTATCATATAGCCACCACCAGTAGTAAGGGAGGGTGAAAAATTTGGTACCCACCTAGGTAGAAGTTGACTGGGTAAAGAGTAAGTGGGTAGGCAAAGAAAATATAAGTTCAAAGGACAATAGGTGAGGAAACATATCAGGCTTTCAGAAGCAAGAGACAGAAAACCAAGTTAGTATGCTTCAAACAATAAGGTCACTAATTATCTCACATTACAACACACCTGGAGGAAAGGTAGAGTAATTTAATAGTTCCACAAGATATTATTTTATCTTCCCATTCTGCCACTCTCAACAGTGATCAGTTCCACTCATGATCGTAAGTTGGCCCTAGCAGCTCTAGACATCATATCTTTACTCATCAAATTCCAGAGGTAATGATAGGAATCATTCCTGTCTTTGATCCCAAAAACCTTCAACAAACTTCCTCTCAGTCAGTGGTGACACTAATTGTCAGAGTAAAAATCTGTCAAATTAGTGTCACATAATTAATATCACTGATGTGCTTAAATCAGCTATTTTGAAAAGGTAATGAGTTGAGTATAATTAAGGTTTACCCCCAATAACTAGGAAGAGGCCCAGCCTTCTCTGAAGATATTTATGCCGCAGAACCAGTAAATACATTTAGGATTCTTTAACAAGGAAGAACGGGAAAATTACTAAACATTCTGCAGTGTTTGCTACAGAGGGCATGAGACACTCAGGAAATTCAAATAATTCAGTATGTTTGAAATATAAAGAAGAAGATTGGAAATGAAGTGAATGGAAAATCAAGGTCAAGCCAGATCTTGATGGGCCTTTAAAGTCACCAGTCTGAGTTTAGACTTTCTCCTGAAGGCAATGGGAAGCTATTGTACCATTGTAAGCAGGGAAATGACACAATTCGACTGGAAATAAAAGTCTGGATTTATTATGAAGAATGAATGGATGGGACAAGATTAAAGACAAGAGGGCATAAGGAAACATAAGGCATGGCTGTCAAGTAATGAGATGGTTTCCACATGACTTGCAAATAATATTATACTAGCTAACATTTACTCGAATTAGCTCATGCAACCTTCACGATAACCTGGTGAGGAAACTGAGACACAGAGGTTAAGTAACCTGCCCAAAGTTTAAAAGTTATGGCAGAGTTGGGGCTGAAACTCAGGAAGTCTGTCTCCAGAGCCTGTAAGCTTAACCGCCATGCTGTAAGCCTTACTGTGTTAGCTTGGAAGTAAGTCTCTAAGAACTCTTGCATAGTCCCTGATTTTAGGCCACTGACTAATACTCCTAAGAAAATAAGATAAACTTAAGGAGGAAGTATGGCTGCATAGGGCTCTGGGTTCAAACCTTGGTTCTGATGCTCATCAGCTGCAGCCTTGAATGAGCTTCCTGAGTCTTCTGAGGCTCAGCTTCCTCACCTATATAGTAAAGGAGGCCATTTCACTTTGAATATTTGTGCAGATTGAATTAAATGGGAAAATGTTTGAAAGCTTTCAGCACATGGAAGACTCTCAAAATTGTTCAACCCTTTCTTGTCTTTTTCAAATAGCAATACCATGGTGAAGGAGACATTCCAGATTATTTGATATTCTAGAAGGCAAGAAGTGATGTGTGGTTGCTAATGAGGAACACAGAAGACCAGCACTAGAGCAGGAGTTTAAACCTGGGCATCCATGAGCTTGAGGAAAAAAAAAAAAAAAGAATCACATCTTGTTTTTTATCAGTGTCTAACTGAAATTTAGCCTTTCCTTCATTCTTAACTATAGGCAACAAATCTGAGTGGCACTAGGAATACCTGTGCCTCAGGCCAACAGAAATCAAATAAAGTGCCTTCAAATCACATTTCAGTTATTACAGATGTCAAAACATTTTTGACACTCATCACTACTTTGAAATTACATCAGTTATTAGCTCTGCCATTAAATCTTGTAATTTAACAAATTGATAAGGTATACACACGTTTCTATTGCTCATAAATGAAAAAAGTATTTTGATAATTCATTTTCAATGAAATGGGTTTCCATTGTAATCCTGTGTTTTTTATTTTATGTATCTAAAAACATTATTTTGAGAAGTCCATGGGCTTCACCAAAGGCAAAAGGGAGTCCATGGCACAAAATGAACTTCTGCACACGAGGACCTCAGCCAGTGGTGCGGGCGGACTGCAGAGGGAGGAGGGCAGCATGAATCCTATCAGTCTCATGCACCAGGAGTTTGGGGGAGGAAAAAATGCGCAACACTATCCCGCCTGTGACCCTTGGTAGAGCTGAGGCAGGATGCAGATGACCCGGCCCTGGCAGCTTCTGAGACTTTTTCCCGAGCATTCTTGTAAAACAGCAACCACATTGCCACATGTGCCTGGAATTTGATTTCCAGGCCAAGTGTCAGCTTTTCCATGCTTAGACTCCCTCAGGTTTTGGCCCAGGTCCTCCCGCTGTCAAAGCCCAGCCCTTTCAATATCTCGACCACCTGCCAGAGAGAACAGATTCATGGAATTTTGGCCGGCACTTCTGAGTCACGTCCTCAGCCACAGGATTCCACCTGCGGCCCCTGGAGGCCTGGACTGCAAGGTGCCTGCGGATGTAACTGGCGCTGACCCGGCCCCAGTCAGGGCAGCGTGTCCTTCCCTGATGGGTCAGGAGACTTTACAAATTGGGCCAATTTCCTCCTCTCTGTTCCAAAGAGGCATTTTCTTCTCAGAGAGCGTGTCTGGGTTGTTTTAATCTTATCTAGAAATCTTAGTTTCTACCAAGTTATTCTTTTTTCTAGAATCCAACAACAAATTTACCACAGGAAATGGTAGGGAGAAAGTCTTACGCAATGGGAGGATATTGTTATAAATAGGAGTCCTTGCTGTGACTTTCTTAAATAAACACGTTGCTAATGTTTTCAGGCAGTGGTAGAGCTACTGTTCAGAGACTGGTAAGAATGTTCTCCTTGTAAAACAGAATCACTCTCCTTCCAAACTACTGCTTCTACAAAAGTAAAATGAACCCCATTACAAGCTTGGTTCGGGGAAATGGTCCCACTTCACCTGACTAGATGAGGGAAGTAGGCCAACCTTCTAGAGATAATGACATAAGAGGTTTGTGTTGCACAAGTGAGAAAAACGCCCCCTGCCTCCCATTCCCTTCCCTCAGCCTTGCAACTAGGACCTGAAATTTTATAGATATACTACCATGACATATATTTACCTATTATTAAAACTTCTAATGTTTCCAAGACAGGAATACATTAAATTGTTCGATTTGTATTCCCTTTATACTATTTATCTGATCCTTTTCAGTTAAGAATGAACTGACTGATAGCAAGAGAGAAGGACAATTTCATTAGATCCATTAAGAAGTCTTACAAGTCTACATCCAATGAGAAGAAGAGAGACCAAAGCAGACCCCTGGAAGAAATCAGCCATTTTTAAAGGGGTGGATCAAGGAGGAGTCCATAGAGATGAAAGAGAGCCATCCAGGTTCTGGCATCTAGTAAGCAGTCAATAAATATTTATTAACTGAACCAATAAAAAATGGAAGAATAAAACCATTGCTCCATCTTATCATTCTTATGTCAATAACTCCCTCCAAGCTCCATTTGAGGAGGAGCCACGTCTTGGCTAAAATTTAATAGAATCTCTAGAATTGATTGTTTCAAAGCTTTTCCAATCTTTGGGTGACTAAGGGAATATCCATTAACAGGTAACTGACTCAGCAAGGGGTCTACTTTAATAACTTCCAGGCCCAAAGGAGTACACTTTAAAAGTAAAAGGGGGTAAGAATTAAATTTAAAACTAGGAAAAGGAGAGAATGAAGAAAATGAAATCACATTGCTTTTCATAACATGAAGTATTATTAGGTTGGTTGGTGCAAAAGTAATGGCGGGTTTTGCCATTGAAAGCTATATTTGCATTGCAGATAGAGTTGTAAATTATAAGGCAGTTAGAAAACTCTATTTGTTTATAGTCTATCATTGCCTCTAAGAATTAAAATCTGTCCATCAGAGTTGTACTTATACAAGGGTTTCAACATGGCAAGTGAAGATCTTTCCAATTATGTTGGATAGCTAGATGAATGGAGAGGGCTAGATGGATGAATGGAGGAAAATATGAAGGAGAGCATATGTTAATTGAATTTCTACCAAGAACACTGTATAATATTAGTATTGATGAGTTCTTATTCATCACAGATTAAATGCAGTATATAATTATGAGGAATTACATTTGTATTTTAGTATTAGCAGAAAAAAATAAAAGTCCAAAAGTCTAAAACATGCAGTAGAAATATCACTTCATTAGCAATTCTTGGATACTTTTAGTTGAGAGCTAGGCAGAAATAGTCCCTGTCAAATTTTTGGGTTGCTAACAATTAGGAATTAGAGTTTTCATTTTCCATGCCCTGATAGTTCTACAAATTGAAAATATAATTTCTCTTTCCATGGGTAAATTCTAACTGCTGTTTTTGAAAAGAAAAAAAAAGCAATAAAAGTAGAGAACAAGGGCTTTCTGACTGTGGTGCTCAATGTCCTGCCAATTGTATTGCACATCGTTCTTCAAAATGCAGTTCAGTGTTTAATGCTAACTTAAAGTGATTTCATATGGTGTTACTTGCTCCTATGATTTTCAAAGATTTATAGATAATCTAATGTACTCTTATTAGACAATTTAACTTAACAAATTTAAAGGAGGAACTGTTTTTGTAAATTCTTGTAGACCATTAATACCATTCACAACATTTCATCCCCAGATTATTTGAGACTTTGGGAACATGAGATTCTATGCGGGTAAATTTTCTAATTTAGCTTCTAATATTTTATCTATTGTACAAAAGTGAAAATATGTGATTCAATTAAGGGGTAGCTTCAATTTATATAGCCTTAATAAAATTAGATTTAATGAATTAAAAAGTGGCTTACATCTCAATTTGTTACAATATTTAGCTTGTTACTTTAATATGGACTAAGATGTTCAGAGCTGTGAATTTGTCATTAATTTCCCCAACATCCCAGTGAGGAAAAGTCAGATCATATCCATCTTACTGATGGGGAAATTGGGTCATATAATGCTAAAATGTTTTGTTACGTGTCCTACAACTGTTTAGTATCAAATTTAGGAATAGATTTCTCCACTAACTGGAAGTGAACTCATTGAAAAATGACATTTTTGATTATGTGTTCTGCATGTTCCAATGAGAAAATGCTTGCAATTTAAACTAGAAGTATTTGGCTACAGTATGTGCACAAGGTCAGCGTTGCCCCTTGAATCTCCGCTATTTGATGGTTGCTCCTCATCTGTTCTGGGGATGGCTCAGATGCAAGTTGTTGTTACAGGTTCCAGAGAAGAGGGAAAGAATAAATTACTAGTTTCATTCCAGGGATACATCTATTTTCCTCATTCAATTCTTTAGAATTTGTATGGTCCTGGCAAAAATAAAAATTCTACTCTTATTTTGGCATGGGAAGAATCAAGAGAAATTCCAATTATTACTAGCAACTTAAAGAAAATCTGCTTGCAAATATCATTGGTATTTTTAATCCAGAAATTTTAGGAAAAACAAATGTAATTTTTTCATCAACTAGGCATCTGGCTCAGTTATTCAAGGTGGCTTTTTGAGTATATGTGGAATGTTGTGGAAAATTCTACAGGGTTACAAACATGTCATAGCTTTACTATATGCAGAGGCAGGAGAACAGAAATAGAAGCCACAACTTGGATTCCATACCACCCTTACCTTTATGATCCTTGAATATGTTATTTCAGTTTTGAGGGAGTTGATATTTTCATTTGTAAAATGAAGGCATTATGTGAAAATAACTTTAAGTATCATCATCTCTAAAACACTATTATTGTTAATCTAGTTCTGTTTGTTTGTTTGTGTCCTTGATGTGTTCGGTAGGCTTTAATGACAAAAAGACATTTCTGTAATAGTGTGAACATCTTTACAGTAACTCTTATGTTTTATTTCCACAGTTTGAAGCACTCTGTAAGATGGGATGAATTACAAACTTCAGGTCAAAATGAGAATTTTCTGAAAGCTCAAATCAGGCCTTCACCATACTTATTTGAGAAGAAGAAAATGAAAAAATATAATAATATTTCTATTATTAGAACACTAGTAACAAAACCTCCATGGAGTTATAAAAGTCTTTATCAGCAAATATTTTAAAAAGCCACACTTTGGGTAATTACTCCATGAAAATGTCTCTTTGAACCTGCATGAATGGCTCTTTTTGGTGATTTTTAAAATTTTTTTCATTCTTTCTTGCCTTCTCTTTATCTCTCTTCTCCTATAACCTTTTTTTTCCCCTCAAATGGAAACCAGCAAATTACTATTGTTCTTATTAGGTTGGTGCAAAAGTAATTGTGGGTTTTGCCATTATTTTCAACTGCAAAAACCATAATAACTTTTGAACCAATCTAATATTTATAGTACTTTCGATAGGCATATGTTTTCTAATCTTATTTTTAAAAGTAGACTAGCCCAAATTTTCTCTTTAAAAAGCCCCTGAAATCACATCACTCTTTACATGTATGGTCCTTGATTGCCTGTGGGTATGTTGTTCACCCTGGCATTTGGCTGTTCTGATTGAGCTTCTCTGCATGGCTACATCTCCTGAAACACATCACAATTCACCATGGAAACAAATGAGTAGTAATGATGGTTATGTTTCAGCCCCAAAATTGCTCCAAACAACCAGGCCATGGCATCTTGTTTTCCTCAGAATTTAAGGAAAATGAATAAAACAGCATTAGTGTTACACTAAGCATGCTGTAGCTTTAAGCATGTCGTGATTCTGTAATGCCTGACAAAAGGCTAATACCTGACTCATTTCACTGGAAAATTCAGTATTTTAGCAAAACAGATTCATCTAAATGTGGCCTGAAACTACAAAGGAACTGAAAAACCAAGAAGCAGCCCCTTTCAGTTGTGAAGTACAGATGCCTTTGCTTTTTCATTGGCAAGGGCAATAGTTTTTGCCATTAGATATTTTATTTTCAAGAAACAGCTGTCCAGTTTGGACTTGTCAGTTCTGTGACTATGATTAGTTAGAGATGTTAGAAACAGCAAAGTGACTCAAAGAAGTGGAGCCTACCAAGGCAGCGATCCCATACCCACCTGTAAGTATTTGGGCGGGGTGGGGGGGAATTACTTAATGGAAACTAAGATAATAATTTTCCTTCTGTGAGGGATTGTCTTGATATTTTCCTTTTCAGAATAAAAGCCTATTATAATTAGTAACTATTTTTAGACATATGATTAATTGCCATATAAGGGGTGGGGGAGCATTTTGTTAACTCCTTGTTGGTTCAGAAATTCAGAACAAATGTGAAACAAGCAATCAATGGCCTTTATGGCTTATAGATAATAGTGATAATTCCTTCATATTTGTTTTACTTTGCATTTTATGAAATCATTCTATGCCTTGTATAATTTTTATCCTACTGGTAGATAATGAGAGTATCTCTATTCTAACTTCACAGATTATTGCTAGCCCAGGAGTGGGGAAAGTCCCACATCCTCAACTACCCAGCTATCCTGCCTGCACTAAGGGTCCTGTTTCCACAGCTTCGATGACAGTTAGCATCTGTACATACAAAAAAAAATACTATTTACTCCATCAAATTGTTTCATCTGTTAGCCTTTGTTCTTTGAGGAATGGGAATCAGTCTTTTATTTCTTTATTTATACCAGCTGTTAACTGAGAACACTGTAAATGCTCAATAACTTCTCCTTGATCATTTGATTCAATTGAGTCTAAGGTTGATGTAGAAGCAGTCAACAGAGGCTGAGTTTCCCAGGAAGTTATAGCCTAGCCTATAGCTGTCACTTCCTTATCTACAAGCCACTTGCTTTGCCCCTGCTGTGGTTTGAATATTTCCCAAAACTCATGTGTTGAAACTTAACCCCATTGTGCTGATATTAAGAGATGGGGCCTTTTGGGAAGGGATTAAGTCCTGTGGGTGGCGCCTCTTGGATTAGTGCTTTATGAAAGGGCTACCAGGAACTAGCTTAGAACCTTTTTGCTCTTTCATTCTTCTGCCATGTGAGAATGCAGTGTTCATATCCTTTTTCTCTTTTCATCGCTCCCACCATGTGATGATACTCACATGGCACCAACCAGGAGGAACAGGCCTTGACCAAACATGCAATCTGCTGGAGCCTTGATCTTGGACTGCCCAGCCTCCAGAAATGTAAAAAAATACATTTCTATTCTTCATAAATTACTCAAAGATATTTTGTTACAGCAGCATAAATGGACTAAGGCATTTCCATTGTTTACCTGCATTTATTACCAGAGCTCTTTTTTTAGGTTTAATTAACTCTTGCCCAATATTTATCAGAAACACTGTATCTCAGATATGAAGACACAGCCTCTACATTCCAAAAGAGCAGAAATGCATACGCAGACTTCATCAAATGGTGAGGGTAACAAAGCAAATTTTTACAGGGCAAATGGGAAATATGCCCAAGATCAAAGTTTGTTCTGAAGTTAACATATAGTGTACACACACACACACACACACACACACACACAGAGAGAGAGAGAGAGAGAGAGAAAGCATTAATTCTGACTGCCAATTGTCTTTTAATATCAATTTTCCCCTTCTCACTCAGAAAACTCTTAGGTTTTAGCTGGGCATAGAAGCCATGGAGAATAAAGACAACATTTCCAAGGTTTCTTTGTAGCTAGGTATGGCCATGTGATTAAGTTCTAACCCACGGGATGTAAACAGTTATGCCACATGCTTCCAGACAGTGTTCTTAAAAGGAGCACCTTCTTTAACCTCTTCTTGCTTTCTGCTGGTTTGAATGCAGGTGTAATGATTGAAGGTTAGCACTGTTTGGAACCATTATGTTGGTTCTTCTTGCTAAGGTTAGATTCTGAGTCCCTCATACCACAAACACCAGATCTTCCATGGACAATGTTTTACTGAGACAAAAATAAACATATCTTGTCCAAGCCACTATTATTTTGGGTTTTGTGTCACCTGCAGCTATACCTAAACCTAATGGAATCACTAAAACTAGATTAGAAAGAGCATTACAAATAAAAGTATGTGTGAACTTTCAGTTTCAGTTCAGACATAAAAAGAACATGGACATTGTCATTCCCATTCTTACAATAACAAAATGTTGGGGGATAAAAAGACTTTTCTTAGACTCATCAAAGAGCTAAGGTCACAGAGAAAATTACCTCCCATTATCTAGAGAGAGAAGTACCTCTAGGGAGACAAAGGACCTGAGTATTTGCTTACCTGAAGCAAATGCCTCTGGAATATTAAAATAGAACTTTTGATGAATTCTGGAAGCAAACTGTGAGATAGCATCAAAGTGAGAAGTTTCTGGGGGCCTCCATATATAACTAAACTTTTCTTTCAGAATCTCATCAGGCTGTTAGGGCAGGTCAAGGAGACAGTCCAAAAAGTTTCCCTTGGTGCTCTGACAGGAGGAGGGGAGAGTAGCCATGGTGAAATCCACTAAATTGTTTCACTCTCAGGCTTAATCTCCATGGAGGACATGTCAGACAGCAACAGTAAAATTCCATTCCAGCTGGGCTTAGGGAGCTGTGTTCTACTCTATCCTATTTTACCTAAGAAAGCAAAGGAACAATCTACAGGGGAGAAGTTCTCACAAATGAAGACTGGGAAGACTGGAGAACACCTGCTGAAGGCTGGAAAGGGATAAAGAGCAGAAAGAAGAAAGCTCTATTCCTACAGAAGGGACAGAAACACCTGTAAAGGCCACAACCCTAAAACACAGGCCCAATGTGCACTCCAAAGACTGAGGCTTAATCAAAAGATTAGAGAGTGTGTGGCCCCCAAGACACACATGCTACCATTATGCTAATAATCCTCCAGTGACAATAGCATTAGTTTACAGCTAAAACAGCTACAAGAGAAATATTATCTCTCAGGAACAGCAAGAAAGGGAAGCCCCAAAGCTAAGAGTCAAGACAAAATAAAGTTACTAGAAGAATTTGAACCCTCTGGTATCCATAGCTAAAATAAACAAACTTAGCCCAAATGCAGGTCAGATTGACATAAATCCTCATATAAAAAATCTCTTTACCTTATTATCTATTTCCTTATACAATATGTCCAAGTGTCACCAATAATTTAGAAGACGTTCCAAAAATATAGCCTGAAGAGACAAAGCAATCATCAAAACCAAACTCAGATATGACACAGATGTTGGAATTATCAGACAGAGAATTTAAAAATAACTAACAATTAAAAAGTTAAAGGCTCTAATAGAAAAGGTAGACAACATGTGTAAGAGAAATGGCTGCACCTCAGTCAGGAGTAGGCCAAAGCAGCCTTCCAAGGCAGCGTGACTCAGCGGGTTTGGAGTGCAGGCACACGACCCTGCACAGTATGTAACCATGCCATGCAAGGCACATGAGATGACCACTCACATGAGCTCATGCTTGGCTTGGAGCCCCTATAGTCTGTAAAAGGTATAACTACCCTGCTGATGCTGTACAGGCAGTTTGGCTCACGACCAGAGAGAGAATAAAGCCATGTCAAGACTGCCTATGATTCCACAAGTGTTTTTCCAGCTACACCCCACCTGCCCACCAACTCCCCTCAGACCTCACTTTGGGCTAGAATCTGACAACATGCAAGACCACATGGGTAATGTCAGCAGAAGTAGGGAAACTATAAGAATCAAAGGATATGCTAGAAATCTGAAGATGAGTGACAAATAAAGAATGCCTTTGACAGGCTCATCAGTACACTCAATACAGATGTTAGAAGAATCAGTGAACCTGAAGATAAATCAATAGAAATCACCCAAACTGAAATATGAAGAGAAAACAAACAAACAAACACAGAACAGAATATCCAAAGCTATGGGGCAATATGAAATGGTATAGCATATGTATGATTGAGGTACCAGAGATTAAGGAGGAACAGAAACTAATAACGGCAGAAAATTTTCCAAAATTACTGAGAAATAACAAACAATGGATTAAAAATCTTAGAGAACACCAAGCAGAATAAATACCAAACACACACACACACACACACACACACACACACACACACACAGAGTCATATAATATTCCAGCTGCAGAAAATCAAAGACAAACAGAAAATCTTGAGGGCAACCTGAAGGGTATAGAAAACTTCTTATTTACAGAGGAATGAGGTTAAGAATTATAAAAATTAAAATGTGATCTAAGGTAAAAGCAGGTGGTTGGTTTGGCCCTAAATATTTGAAGTGCCAAATAATAACTTTGTCACACTTGTAAAGCAAGAGCAGGAAACACCTTATTACATGGTTGATATATTTAATTGAGCAGCAGGACTTAGACACTGAATTATAAGGGTAGGGTAAAGATACATCACTCTGCAAGGTCAAATTGTTCATTTATTTTTAGTGATTCAGTCGATCCTCATCTGTTATAGAATTATCTATCTGCTTTACTTTTTTCCATTTTTTTTTTTTTTTTTTTTTTTTTTGGAGATGGAGTCTCACGCTGTACCAGGCTGGAGTGCAGTGGCACGATCTTGGCTCATTGCAACCTCCGCCCTCCAGTTTCAAGTGATTCTTCTGCCTCAGCCTCCCAAGTAACTGGGAATACAGGCACCTGCCACCACACCTGGCTAATTTTTGTATTTTTAGTAGAGATGGGGTTTCACCATGTTAGCCAGGCTGGCCTCAAACTCCTGACCTCACGTGATCCACCTGCCTCAGCCTCCCAAAGTGCTGGGATTACAGGCGTGTTATTTTTCAACTGCAGTACTGTTCCTGAATCATGGAAGTTGTCACATAGTTTCTAAGTAAAGGTCTAAAGGGAACTTACATTGCAGTACAGAGCTTTTTGTATGCCTGTTACATGACTTGAGGAGGTCTTCAGAAATGTATTCTAATCATAGAATATACCCTCTTCTCTGAAATTAAATAGAATTATGGTAGAATATGTTTATCAGCAAGCTGGATAGAATTCAGTTCTGACTGCTTATCTACCCCACCCCCAGAAAAACCAGTTAGCTCAGTGTGGCAGGAGCTTAGGACCAGTTTATAGAAGTATATTTACGGGTTTTCTTGAGCTCAGACCTTGCACACAGCTATTGCATCTCTACTTTGTGACTGGAACACCTTCCCTCTTTGAGAGTTTTGTACGTTATCTACAGAATGAATGAGAGCAATGAGCTTGTACCTAAGCAATATCTGTCCCATGGAAAAGGTGCCATCCATGAACTCATCATCAGCCATTTAAGATGGCAATGAACGAAGTGAAAGTTAAATCTTCAGGTGTTATACTTGAAAAGTCTCTCATTAATTTCAAGAAATGAAAAAACAAGGTCTTGGAATAGATAATGGAAAAAGCAATTTCTGAACAATTTATACGCTAGTGTTCACATAATTGGACACATAAGACAAATTAAGCAGTAAAGAAATTCTTCTGACAGATTGATTTTTATCTGAGAAGTGAATGCTGTGCTTTGTCCCAGACTGGATTTATTCACAGGGAACGTTCTCTGCTGCAGTTTATACAAGTTATCTCACTTGACAGGCTCCAGAGAGACTTGGGACAAATACAGAAATCCCAGTGGAACAGCATAGAAAGCAAGAAATATTTCAATATGTAACATGGACATTTACCTTTACGTAAGTAGGCACACTTCTTTTCCAAAGAAATCAGAGGATTAAGGAGTTAATAAACTTGATTCCATAAAATTTAGGTTTACACAACCAAAAGAACTTAAAGCCAAGATTTAATGTGCCTACTGTGTTTCAAATGTGTTTACGTTTGCTCACTCTCCCAACTTTGTTACCGGCTATGTGTCATGTAATAGGCATACAAATAACTCTGTACTACAACATGAGTTTTTTTGTCTGGTGGACAAAGCCTCATCTGAAAGATAATGGGTTTCGACTAGATCTGGGAGGACAAATAGATATTCTCCCGCATTACAAGGCTGATCAATTCATAGGAGCTGCCTGGAAAGCTGCAATGAAAAGGATCATAAAGCCATGTCCAGACCCAGAGAAGACAAATAAGTAGATAAGTAATGTCGTTCAAGGCCCCAGGAATAACAGCAAACATAACATATATTTCCAGACCCCAAATTATATGATCTCTAAGGCCAGATGTTATTCAAAGTTTGTAACAACTGGTACAACATAAGACTGGCTAATCAGAACAAACAATTGACCAATCAGATGGACACCACTTTAAAAACTGGCATGACCATAAATAATGTGGCTGTATTGGTGCATACAAGGTGAGATAAAACCTGACTCTACACTAATATTCAACAGCAACATTCTACAGTTATATTAATTCTCAGTGGCTTATTAAAATGTTTAAGAAGGATAGTTGGGATGGCCAAAATCCATTTGTAAGAGGTTGCAATTTCTAAAATTATGAGTAGTTATTTTCTTTCTAAATAGGAGACTGGAATTCGTCTCTGAGGCCTGGTAGTGGCCCCTTGGTTGAAGTTGTTATCTCCATGCAGAGATAAAGCAAGGATTTTATGCTGAGATGGACAGATTCCAGGGATTATACGGCTATAGTATCTGTGTTATAAGGTTAAATATTTTCATCATTATGGACAGAATTGCATCTCTGAAGCTTATAGTCTTTTTATAAAAAAATTGGAGTTTCAATTTCTCCAGGAATCTCAGAGCTGTGATCATTTAGCTTCCAAACAGAGGACATGTGCTACAGGGCAATTTCAGAGAAAAGGAAGGTAGGCTGACCCCTGGAGCATGGCGACTGGCTAAAGCTAATGAATGAAAAGAGAAACTTCTAGGGAAGTGGCCTGTGTGTTAGGGGAGCATAGTGTCTGGTTTTGGTGCCCATGTTACATTACATTGTTGTCATTGATGTTGTTTCCTGCATTGTAACTCCATTTGTTATCTGCAAATTTTCAATAACCTTCTCCTAATAGTTTGCTTATAGCTGTTTTCCTCTGGGAAATTAAGGGTCTGGTTTGCATGCATACTTTGGGCAAACACAAAGGGAGGGGAACAGCAGCAGCATGAGGAAAGCTGGTTTCCGCATAACAAAGACGACATCCAGAGAAGTGAAGTTGTGGTCAGGAGCAAGGCCGAGGGGATCAGACAACCAAGATGGACTTTGAAACTTAGGGAACTGGAAAAAACTGGGCTGCCTGTCATAAAATCAATGGGAAATTACACTATTAATTTTCTATTAAAGGATAGTGTGATTCCTTAAGACTAGAAATGCTAAAGAAGGTATTCGTTTAATATCCTCAGAATATTCTGTGCACAAGGACTGGAATATAGTAGACATTGAATGAAATATGAGAATGATTGAGTGAACACAGAAATGAATGCTGTTAATTCCACTCTTTTGTTGCTCCCCCTAACTCCTGCTCATTCTTCAAAACTTGGTTCAAACAACACATCCTTGATTCCAAGCACTTCCTGACATCCCCAGACTGAATGAGTCACATCCTCCCCTGTGGTCCACAACAGGCTGCATATGCCTCCATTTGATTACGTGATGTTGTGGTCATGTTTATGTGTCTGTTTATTCCCTAGACTGTGAGCTTCCCCAGGTTAGTTTCTGTACACTTTCCATCTGTGCATTTCCAGGGCCTAGTGCAAAGTAGTTGCTCAATAAATTTCAAAGGAAGGAAGAAGGGAAGAAAGGAAAGCTATCCTGCTACTGTCTTCTAATAGGATTGTTAATCAATAGCAATATTCCTATCTTCTTCTTACTCACTTTCTGAGAAAATTATGTTTCAAGGAATGTACTCCAGCTCCCAATTCTTCTTTCTGCTCACTGATATTTCAAAGGAAGAGCAAGCTTGATTCTCAGTCTACCTTTTCAAGAGCTGAAAGGCTGTCCCCAGCTCTTGCCAATCTTATAAATGCAAAACCTCCACAATTTTCTTTCCTCATATTTATACCACTCACTGTTGTCACACAGGCAAGCAGAAATACTGATAAACAGGAGGCACAGCATTACCTGGAATGAACCTATCTGGGTTCAAACCCCACCTGTATAATTTCTCACCCTGTGATGTCAGACACAGTTCCTCATCTCTCCATCCCATTTCCTAGATTCTTCAATGAGGGCAATCCTAGCATCTACCTTCAAAGTGTTTCATGAGCTTCCAAAAAAAGTCCCGATGTATGGTGCATAGCCTAATTTCTGGAAATTAGTAAATGTTCAATAAATATTAACTATGATCACACATGTATGATTATAGTAAATATGATAGATGTACATACATATGTATATATATGTAATTGTGTGTGTGGCGAGATAAACATACATGTGTGTTTGTGTGTGTGTGTATATATATATAAATATATATATAAACTTGAGTTCTCCTAATAAAAAAATTCCCACAAGTTTTTACCATCCATAATCATAATCAACATAACCATTCCATTTGTAATTTTTTTTAGAATTGCAAAGATAAAAAGTAGAACTTGCTATACTTTTTCACTTTAAAATTAATTAACAAGTCGCCTATTGAGCATGTACCACACTGGAATAACTAGGGACACAACAATGTAGAAGGTAGATAAGGTCACTGCCCTCATGGAATTTATAGCTTACACACAGCATTTTCATTCTCACGTTGAACCAGAGGACGAGCCACTGCTAAAAATAGCACAGACGGGTGTTACTTAACATTTCCCTCAAATAAAAATTTAATTAAAAATGACATTTTGAATTAACATTTTAAAACATGGGAAATGAAAGGGCAAAAGGAAAAAGTACATTGTGATCTTTTTTGTTGTTGTTTTGTTTTGGAGGTGGAGAGGTTAGGTCTCTTGTTTGGTGACTCCTTTGCTTTTTATACCACCTATAACTCTGTGCTTAATAAAAGTTATTAACATTAACAACAGTGATAAAAATCGGCAATGGACACAGAGCATTTTGTTCCATGAGAGATGTGGAAAGATTGATGCTGACTTGTAGAGGAAACAAATATAAATTACCCACATAGTTCAAGCTCCGAGAACCTGGATGGTCCCACATACAGCAGCCAGGACAGGTTTAAAGAGGGCTGAGGAGGAGATGTTCCTGGGCACCTTGTTTTATGGCACAGAACTGCCACTGTTAGCTCAGAACAAGCTCAAAGCCAAACTTGGGAGCAATAGCAATAACAGCGCTCATTATGGAGCAAATATTATACATATAATAACTCAATTAATTCTTATAAAAACCCTAGGTTGGTAGCTACTCTTATTGTATCCATTTCACAGATAAGAAAACTGAGGCAGAAAAAAAATTAATAATTGCCAAGGTTGCACAGCAAGAAGGGATGGAATAGGGATAAGAAATAGGCTGGCGCAGCCAGGCGCAGTTGCTCACGCCTATAATCCCAGAACTTTGGGAGGCCGAGGTGGGTGGATCACCTAAGGTTGGGAGTTCAAGACCAGCCTGGCCAACATGGTGAAACCCCATCTCTACTGAAAATACAAAAATTAGCTGGGCATAGTGGCGCATGCCTGTAATCCCAGTTACTCAGGAGGCTGAGGCAGGAGAATCGCTTGAACCGGGAGGCGGAGGTCGCAGTGAGCCAAGATCACGCCACTGCACGTCAGCCTAAGTGGCAGAGTGAGACTGTGTCAAAGATAAAATAAAAAATAAATAGGCTGGCGCAAGAATGTGTGTGATTAACCACTAGAGCAAGCTTGTCCAACTGTGGTCCAGGACAGCTTTGAATTTGGCCCAACACAAATTTTAAACTTTCTTAAAACACTATTAGACTTTTTTACAATTTTTTTTTTTTAGCTCATCAGCTATTGTTAGTGTTAGCGTATTTTATGTGTGGCCCAAGACAATTCTTCTTCTTCCAATGCAGCCCAGGAAAGCCAAAAGATTGGATACCCCTTCACTAGAGGCACTGCCTCTCTTTCCTCACTCCCTCCCTACCAGCTGTTACCCTCCCAGTGAAGTAACTTCTCTCAGCACCCTACCAATGGTATCCTGACCCAGTACAGAGAAGTCTCCATATTCTAATATCCCTGTCCCCACTCCTAATCCAAATGGTCTGCAGTGGCCATGACCTAGGGACCCACTTTCTGTTTAAGTTGTAACAATTTTTTTTAATATAAGACTTCCCTAATTGTAAAATAATATTTCTTCATGAAAAAGTCAAAAGAGGTTTTATGGTTTTGATGGCAGTGGCGATCTGTCTGGAGCAGCCACTGCCATGATGCCAGTTGCAGTGGGGGAGGCACGGCCGGGCTGTGTGCTTCACGGAGCCAGCGGGAACCAGGAACAGGCAGAAGCCCTGCCCCACTTCTGAGTTGGCAGGGCAAGAGCCTCACATTCCCTGGGCAGAGCTGTGGCTGCCCACCCATGGCTATGGACCTGGGCATCCCTGTGCTCTTGGGGGCTGGGAGCAGGCAGGAGCCCCACCCTCCCAGGTGCAGCTGCAACCACTCAAGCCACAGCTGCGGGCCTGGGCATCTCTGCACTCTCAGGAGCCCAGGAAGTCCCCCTTCCCCCGCAGGCTCAAAGGTATCTGCTCCCACTGCCTGCTGTCTCCCTGCTCCTGGCACCCGCTCCGATCTCGGAATGGAGTTGAGGCCAAGCCTGGGTGCTTTCACAACCTGGCTGGCTGAGCACATGCTTGGGGCAGTGCTGATATGCCAGCCCCATGCCACCTCAGCCAGCTCTGGACTTCTGGTGCCAAGAAGCATGGGAGTGAGGCCGAGGGGGGTGGTGGTGAGGGCAACTTGGTGTGGGTGTGCAGATTCACCTCAGCAGGAATAGCCTGGGTGCCATGAATAGCAGCAGGAGGCAGACAGGCCCCTGGGCAGAAAGGGTTGGGTCCCAGGTGAATCCCTACCTTCAAGCCAGGGAAGGCCTGAAGCCTGGAGGCCAGGCTGCCAGTCCCGTGAACCAGAGTGGGAACATATGGTGCTTTTCCCAGGCCAGCCCATGGCCACCCATAGACCAATCAGTGCACACTTCTGCTCCTCAGAAGCCTAAAAAGCCTTGGACTCAGCCAGACCCAAAAAGAGACAACAGGGCAACCAGCTGTGGAGAGGAGCTACCCACCCAAGGGTCTCCTCTCTGCTGATGACAGGATGACCTGCCTGTGGAGAGGAGCTACACATTCTAGGGTCTCCTCTCTGCTGAGAGCTGAACACTCACTGGGACACCCTGGCTGTGGAGAGGAGCTACCCACTGTGAGTCTCCTCTGAGCTGTTCTGTCACTCAGTAAAGCAGCTCTTCACCTTGCTCACTCTCCACTTGTCCACATACCTTATTCTTCCTGGGTGCAGGACAAGAACTTCAGATCTGCTGAATGGCGGGGCTGAAAAAGCTGTAATACAAACAGGCTGAAATATGCCCCTTGCTCATCATGTTGCAGGAGACAAGAAGGAGAGAAGAGCTGTGGCCCTTCTGAAAGCCCAGACCTAGGAGTTCCCTGAGCCAGGGCTGTGATACCCTCTTTGGGGCTCTGTGGTTCCTGGCATCTCCAAGCTTCCAGGTGTAACCACATTCCCCAGTGCCAGCCATGGAAACTGCTTGCTGTACACCTGGTCCACCTGCAGCCTTGCAGGGAGCTAGCACCTATAGGTACCTACCCCACCACAGCTGGTGTGCTTGGCTGTGTGCAGTGGCCAGACCCCACGCTTGCTCACTCACACACCCCTTGCTGCTGCACTCACCCTGGGCAGGCATGGGATCCAGGCTGGCAGTGCAAGCCAAGTGCAGCCAGCCAGGTCGAGTAGACACAGTGGGCCCAAGCAAAACCTGGGCAAAGGCACCACTAGCCGCAGAGGATTCTGGCTGATGAAGCAACACCCCAAGGATCCCATGACAGTTTCATAACCTAGATATTATTCATATATATATATATATATATATATATATATATACACACACACACACACACACACATTTGTACATTTTGTACATTTTTAGTTTACACACAACAATGGTTAAAAACATTACCCATTTTAATAGCTACACTGGAACCACCAGAGGATGTGAATTTGAGCCAGTTAGCATTTTGAGATATATTAGAACAGCAACTGTCATCCTAAGTAACACAGAAAACTAATCTGCACTTATAATTAGCTTACAAGCTGAATTACCCCTTCCAGGTACATAAGCATTTAAGTCAGTGAGGATCACGCAGTTCTTCAGGAAAATCCTTACAAGCCAAATGGGGAAGGATTTAGAAAATAAGTATAACTTTCAGGTATCCAAAAACTGTACCACATGAGTGATTTCCTTGTCAGTTTATGGTGGAATCTGAACAAAAGCACACTACCTTTGATCCAGCTGAGCCACTGAGTCCCCAATTTCATGTGGCTTATGCATATGGGTATAGTTATATATCAGAGTTCAATTAAAAAGATCAGAGCCATTATATATGCATTTTTACAAGAATTTGACCTAACAAAATTGTGGGAACAATTTTCTCCACATCTAATACTGGAGCATTGATGGGCCTCTCAGTTCTCATGGTAATAGGGTGACCCAAGGTCAGTTTCCATTTTTACTAAAACCCAGTAATAATCCAAAAGCTTGTCTCAAAAGAAGAGTAGTTATCTGCAGAGAATGGCATGGCTTTGCTACAAAATCCAAAGAGTATGAACTATGATTCAACCATAGAGAACCACAAGAGGCTCTTACAGCATCCCTCCCTGACACTGACATTTTAAGTACCATCAGATTTGTTGGGTCACACAGTCCAGGTAGTAGAGCAGCTTGCATACAGCCTGGACCAATTCCAATGCCTTTTCTATTCTTATCCCTACTCAAAACAGGCTTCTTTTTGGGTAATGAGGTAAGTGGCTTAAAGTAGCATGCCTGAATAGATTATACGCTGCCTCTGAAATACAAAAGTATCCACTAGGTATTGTGCCTCTTTGTTAGTGGTAGGAAAGGTAGGTAGGAGATGCAGTGACTTTTCTTTCACCATTGAAGGAATAACTCAAAGTGCTCCAGCCTACTGAAATCCTAGAAATCTCACCAATATGGCAGATCCTTAAATTTTTGAGGTATTTCTCATTCTGAAGCATACGGTACCTTAACAATGTGTCTAGAGTAGTTTTTACTTCCTACTCACCAGATCTAAGCAGCATGATACTATCAATATAATAGGGCAGTATTATGTCCTGTAGAAAGGAAGGCAATCAAGGTCCCTACAGACGGTATGATGCTATAGGGCTGGAGAGTTCATATTGCCCTGAGGTAGGACAGTAAAGGCCTTTCAGCTGGCCTTGCTAACTTCAAAAAAACAAAACAAACAAACAAACAAAAAACCTTCTTCCAATGGTGTTTACTAACAGGCATAGAGAAAAAAACATTTGCATATTAATAGCTGCATATGAATTGCCAGGGAATGGGTTGATTTGCCCAAGAAATAAAACCACATTGGAACACCAGCTGCAATTGCAGTCACTACCTGATTATGTTTACAGCAGTTCACTTGTCTTAGTTTGGGCCACTCTAGCAAAGTACTACAGACTAAGTGGCTTATCAACCACAGAAATTTATTTCTCATAGTTCTAGAAGTTGGGTGTCTGACATCAGGGTGCCAACATGGTCAAGTTCTGGTGGGTGTCCTCTTCTGGGTGGCAGATGGCTGTACCCTCTCAGGGTAGAAGGAAAGCTAGAGCACTCTCTGGGGTCCCTTTTATAAGGACACAAATCCCATTCATGAGGGCTCCATTCTCATGACATAATTATCTCCCAAAGGCTGCACCTCCTAATACCATCAACTTGGGGGTTAGAATTTCAACATATGAAATCCTAACAACTTTCAGTCCATAACAGCCACTATCATTCTCTAAGATCTGTCTTCTACACAGGTCAATTATATGAAATTCACAAAGATAAAGTGGGAATCACTAATTTCTGAAATTATTCAAAGAATTCAGTACTGATTTTGATTTACTATTTTGATAGGTAGAAGCAGTTCTAATGGCTTCCACTTGGCCTTTCCTACCATAATAGTCCCCACTCCACAGGTCAGTTGTGGGTATCTACCAGTTGCTGACTGTGTCTATTCCAATTATTCAAGAACCAAGAAAATAATCACAGAGTGGATTCAGGATCCAGTGGTCCCACAGTGAGATGTAGCTAACCAAAATTTCATTGATCACCTGATCTCCATAAATCTCTACTCTGATTGGTGGACCACATTCATTTTTGGCAGTAGAGCAGGCTTCTTCCTCAAGGGGACCCAGTTTCCTCCTTATTCAGGGGCTTCTGGGTCTACAAAGTGGCTGAAATATAAGAACAAATTGTGGGGTTGTTTAATGAAAATGAACTTCCTTGATATGCTGTAGAGGAAGTATGCAAAGGCTTTGAGAAATTGGAATGTCACCATGGATTTTTCATGTAAGATCTGCTCACCCACCCTCACTGTATCTTTGGGAGAGTTCAGAGGATGCTTCCTTTACCAAGATCTGAATCAAGGCCCAGAGTGGAGCAGCTAGTACATATGCTATGGCTATTAAGTCACATGAAAAGCTGTGAACTCAGCTAGTTCACAAAGATACAGAGCCAGAGAGCAAAGCTCGGAAATAGTCAAGAACCAGAGATGTGAACATTCTCACACAGCCTTCCTGTTATGTGTCTGGAGACAGAATTTTTCTACATTATCAGGGTAAGGTAAACACTCCCAGGAGATTTTATTAATAGGCAAATCTAATAAAAATTAGACCTGGGGTACTGAAGTATCTCTACTGTGTTCAATAATTGATTTCAGTGCACCAGATATCAGGCTAAAGGGAGAAAACACGGGATCTACCTGGTAATAAAGTTTTTGTAAAACCCTTCTGGCTGGGTGCAGTGGCTCACGCCTGTAATCCTAGCACTTTGGGAGGCTGAGGCGGGTGGATCACGCGGTCAGGAGATCCAGACCATCCTGGCTAACACAGTGAAACCCTGTCTCTACTAAAAATACAAAAAATTAGCCAGGCGTGGTGGCGGGCACCTGTAGTCCCAGCTACTCCGGAGGCTGATGCAGGAGAATGGCGTGAACCTGGGAGGCGGAGCTTGCAGTGAGCTGAGATGGCGCCACTGCACTCCAGCCTGGGCAACAGAGCGCGATTCCATCTCAAAAAAAAAAAAAACAAAAACAAAAACAAAACAACCTTCTTTTGGGCCTTTATAATTAGGAGATGCATATAGTCTTTTCCCATTCATAGATAACTTCTCTACCAGCAAAATGTGTGTTAATTTTGGTAAGTCTAGCCATGGCAGGGAAGAAGTAACCCTTTAACACAGTGATGAGGAAAGAGGTAAACAGAGTGGGACATAACTATAGCCATCAGAAGACTGTTGAAGGTAAGAGCTGGAGACACAAAAGATTTGGCAATCAAAACTGACACTCCAAAATGCTGTGCAGGTCTTACCTATTCTATATTTTTTCCCTGTGACATCTTTGGATTGTTTCCATGATCCCTCTCCCTCTCTCTCTGTCTCTGTCTCTCTCTGTCTCTCTTCTCATTCCACCATTTAGTTCTCTTTCACAATAATCTTTCTCACATGGTTTCTCAGTTTAGTACCATTTCCTGCTATCTGCTTTGAATTTTCAAGTCTGTTTCTGAATACCTATTAATCTTACTATCAATATCAGATGAAAATATTACTGGGGTTCACATTTTTCCCATGAAAGGAATTCATGATCTGAAGTTAAGTTTTCTCATTCTTTTATATCACCACTTCCCAATTCAAAATAACCTGCTATTCACCAAAATTAATGTAGGCCCATAGTCACCCAGATTGAGTTTGGACTGCAGTGGACTTCAGTGCCCTGCATGATATTATTTTAAGGCAGATGCTGGCTTCTCGTTGTTCAGATATAAATATTCCCTACAGAATGATTTTTCCTTTGGGGATTAACCTCAGTGTCAGTCACTGAATGTCTTCCAATCCAGCATTTTTCTCTTTGAGTCTGAAATATCATGAGATCTTTCACAATGTCCCAGTCATAGAGCTGCATGAGCTCTTCTTTTGTTGTATGTAACCATTTAAAAACACGAAAGTCACTCTCTTGTGATAATCACTTCTTTACACAAGTTGCTGAGCCTTTAGCTTCAGGTTGTCAATATAGCTAGTGTTGGTTTTCCTCAAATTAAAAATGTTCTCAACCATATTGCTTATCTAGTGATATAAGATTGTAATTGTGACCAACTGTGCAGGCAAAATTCTTGATCCAGATAAAAGCCACAGCCTTCAGAAGAACAAGCTACTCGTATGTTTGGGCAATTTGGGGGTTAAGTATAAGTTTTTTACCACACACTGCTTCAGTGTTAAGTTTGGGCATCTCAAAAACAAATCTGAAGTACCTTAGTCACATGTCATGATTCAATTGATTCTGAAATAATACTTCTAGCCACTTGTCTGCAAAGACATTACATCTTGAAAAGCAATCAAATAGTGTTCTCATTTCTAAAGCTAGTAACTTGACCCCTATATTCTGTGGGAAATATATTCTCAAACAGCCAACTTTTCCACCTCTTTACACAGATAACAACCTAAGCAGCTCTTTAAAACATCTCCTTTCCTAGATGATCTCCTTAGGGTATTAACAATTTTTCTATTGAGAGAATATGACAACATGGCGAATCCCCCCTCTACAATGATTTCTTTAGGGTATTAACAATTTTTCTATTGAGAGAATATGACATGTATTGTAATGTTCTTGTCAGAGACCCAAGCATTAAATGTCTGTAAAAATGCAAGAAGGTCTTCAGACGCTCATATTTTATTTTATATAACTGGATTTAAAACATAGTTAAAATATTATTCCAAAATGTAAAAATGTATAATTTTTTAAAAAATTGAAATCCATTAATTCTTTAATGCTAGACAAAACATATTGTTACTTGAGAATACATGTACACACATACACAAATCTGAGAGCATTTGTGCATGATAGTTATCAACTAAAAGGGTCAACATCTCTTTATCAAGTGCCTCAACGAATAAAGCACACTATGTTTTAGTTGAGAGATACAGATATAGAAAGATAATAAAATGTTTTCCAGAAAGTGGACTCGTATCATGAACCACAGCAGTTGCCATTATCTTTGCCATTGAATGTCTTGCCCCAAGCTTTTCCAAAAATAAAAATAATTTCCACCTACTTTGACACAGGATAGAACATCTATCAGCTCCTCAATTTCAGCTGCATATTGTAAGGAAACTTTTTACTTTTAGTTCTATATATATATATATATATATATATATATTCCTTTAGTAGATTCATAATACCTGTTTTAAGTTCTTATCTGTTAATATAATCATCTCGATCATTTCTGAGGATTTTTTTCCTCCTTGTTACATGTCACATTTTCATGCTTCTTCATATGTCTAATAATTATTTATTTATTTATTTATTTTTTGGAGACAACCTTTCACTCTGTCGCCCAGGCAAAGGTACAGTGTGGTGCGATCATGGCTCACTGCAGCCTCAATCTCTTGGACTCAAGCAATCCTCCCACCTTAGCCTCTCAAGTAGCTGGGACCACAGGCGCGTGCCACCACACCTGGTTAATTTTTGTATCCATTGTAGAGAGGGGGTTTTGCCATGTTGTCCAGGCTGGTCTTGAACTCCTGAGCTCAAGCAATCCACCCACCTAAGCCTCCCAAGGTGCTGGGTTTATAGACATGAGCCACCACACCCAGCTGATGTCTGGTAATTTTTGGTAAGATGCAGACACTATATATTTTACATGCTTGAGTAATGGATGCAGTAGCCTTTCTTTAAACGTTGGGCTTTGTTCTGGAAGACAGTTAAGTTACTTGCGGATCAGCTTGATATTTTGAGGCTTGTTTTTAAGCTTTCTTAAGGAAGGTACAGACTATCTCTTATGCTAGGGGCTGGTACTAAACTAGCATCTCTAAAGCCTGGCCCATCTGGAGTCTCTGTTGATTTCTCTGAGTACTCACTAACAACTCTCCATTATGGCATGTCACACCTGGATGTCTCCAAACCCTCTGTGAGCTCTAAAAATTGTTCAGTTTACTGCTACTTGGCAGTTTTGCTTAGGCTTGTATTGTTTCTCCTTATACATACATGGCTTAATATTCAGCAACAGACTGAATTCAAAAGAAATCTTACACAGATTTCTCTATGTAGTTTCCTCCTCTCTGCTGCTCTGTCCTAGACATTCCGTCTGCTTCAGCTTTCCTGGACTCTTATTTTTATCTCCTTTCCCAGATGAACTCAGCTTCAGATCCCCCTTTCTCCGTGTAGCCAGAAGGTGTCTTCAGGCAGGAAGCTGGGAGATTATAGTGCTCATCTCTTTCATTTCCCTTCTCTCAGGGATCACAGCTTTGTGCTTCCTATTGTTCAATATCTGAAAACTGTCCTATATTTTGTCAAGATTTCTACTTGTTTACATCAAAAGGGAAGATCCAGTTCCAGTTACTACACATCACAGATAGAAGTTTGTGGTACTTCTTAAATACTGCTATGGCCAGGCTCTTCCACAGAGAATCTGACTTTCCTAGTAGAGATGAGGCCTGGTTTTGGTGTTTTATTGAAAAGCTCCCCAATTTGTCCTAATGTTTACTCTGGACAGAGAGTCACTGAACATAGAAAGTTCCCCAATCAATCTTGTAGATAAGATGAGGTTCACATGGTTAGAGTAAGAAGAGGCTGAAGTCAGAGAGAGGTTATCTTCAGGAGGGAGTCATGCCTTGAGGACAAGAAGTTGTAAGAGGCATAAGGAAGAGCAGTCCTTCGACCTCCTCAATTATAATTTAGTATGAGCTGTTCTAGATATTCTTTTTATGTTTTCCTTCACTCCTCTACTTTTCTCTTCTCCTTCTCTCTTCTTCCAAGAGTGACTGGGTCGAGGGAGGCCCAAGTCAGATGTAGATCAGGTATTCTCATTAGCTGCACAGTAGAATCACCTGGTAAGGATTAACTTGTATTTCGCCCCCACCAAAGACATTGAAGTCCTTATTTTCAGCACCTGTGATTTTGACCGTCTTTGAAAATAGGGTCTTTGTAGACGATCAAGTTAAGACAAGGTCATTAAGATGGTCAATCCAACATGACTGGTATCCTTACAAAAAGGAGAAATTTGGACACGGAAACATGCATAGAGGGAAGACCATGGGAAGACAGGGGGAGAATATCATCTGTATCCAGGACAATGCCTGAGGCTACCAGAAGCTAGGAGAGAGGCATGGAATACATTCTCTCTCACAGCTTTCAGAGGGTACCAACCCTGCCAACACCTTGATCTTGGACTTCTAGCCTCTGGAACTGTAAAGCAATAAATTTTTGTTGTTTAAGCCACCCAGTCAGTGGTACTTTGTTATGGCAGCCCTACAAAACCAATACACCTAGCGAGCTTTAAAAATACATATATCAGGAGCCAGTCCCAGAGATCCAGATTTAGTTGATCTCCAGAGCAGCCTAAGGAACAGTAATTTTTATATCCTGACCAGGTGATGGGCAGCAAGGTTTGAAAACCACTGTTCAGGGGATATAGGTTGGTGTTGGTAGAGAAAACTCATTACAGTTTATTGGCTTCCTACTTCATTCTTCCCCAGCAGAAACTCAATACCTTCTATTTCTTCAGTATCACCAAAGTTGAAAATCATGAAATATCTGATTATTTCTGGGGTTTCTGGGATTATTTCTGGGGTCTCTTACATAATAAAGCCAGCAAGAATCCACTATTGTGAGGCCCCAGGAGTTAATACATGAAATGTAGTCACATCACAGCTGCAGCAATCCCTCCCTCTACTAGCTTTATGTTAATAGAACTTTGTTTTATATGGCCAGGAAACCACTGCCAAATCATTCGCCTCTGTTTCCACTTGAGTGCTGTGTGTACTATTGATGTCCACTGGCTCACACCCAGAGAGGCCTTGGCTCTTCAAGAGCTGTTATTTTTGGGAAGCCCTCCTTGACCCTGAGGTCCTGTTTGTGTCTGGGATTTCCAGCCCTTTTCCATTATGTCCCCCGACCTCATGCACCTGTGTGGGAACTGAGACCAACATTAACTTTCTAAGTTTAGGCAACTGAGATTCCACACCTCATCATGTTTGGATATTACTTCTAGGAAACAGCTTTGCCAAGGATAAAAGGATAACATGAGTTATTATCATTTTTCTTTGATTAATAACTAACTATGGAGACGGATCATCCTAAGACACTAGGAGTGGCATTTCCTTTAGTAAAGATGTCCCAGGAGATGTTGGAAGGTAAGGGACAGCAGGCCAGATAGCTAACGAAGTGTTGTGCTTGTCTAGAAACATTTTGCAATATTTAGATGCTTGTTTTTAAATTTCATATACAGAATGCAACCAAATGTGTACCTCCAAAGGGACAAATCTTCAGATATGGCACAAAAGCAGATAACCTCAATGAAAATGCTTCCCCCTCAATTCCTCCCTACTTCACTTCATGACATCACTATTCCTCCTGACAGCCTGGCTTGGGCTTCAGTTATCTTTTTCTCTGCCATCTCTCTTCATTTCCACATCTCAACAAGTATTCAGTTCAATCCAACTTGTATTAGCTGAGTACCTACTGTGTGCTCATAGTTTCTAGTGCTAGGGATGTAATTTCATGTACTTTAATTCTTGCTAAGGAAGTAAATAATAAATAAATTTACAATATGCTTGGTGGTTGTATCTGCTATGAAAAAATACATTAAGGATAGGAAATAATAGGTGGGTGCTACTTTATTTACAGTGAACAGGGAAGGACTCTCTGATGTGGTAACACATGAACAGAGAAGTGAAGGAAGTGGTGGAGTGAGCCACGTGAATATTTAGGGAAAGAGCCTTCTGGGCAGAGAACATAGTAATTGCAAAAGGCCTTTTAAATCCTATTGAGAACAGACACACAGTTTCCTCAGTACCAAAGCCAGGTTCTTGAACATAATAAATGCTCAACATGTATTCATTTATTTAAGTGGAGAAAAAACAATGAAAAATAAGACTCCTTAAAAAGTAAGCAAGTATTCACCTACTATATATACTGTCAGCAATATGACTGTATCAGATAAGGTCAGCTTCTGATCTGATTGGCCAGTGTGCAAGCCAAAGCAAATGTCAAGCATCTTGAATATCAATCTATTAATAAGTGAGCAGTAGTCACACTATACCTGCAGCAAATATCCTCTTGGATCAAGGATAAAGACTGTAGATATTTAAAAATACTTGTTATATGAGAATAAAAGAAAGAAAGGATCAAATTTCTATGAAGTACCTCACGGTAAGAATATGATGGAAATGAACTTGTCAAAATTCAGTTATGAATTGAAGAGTCACTAGAGCATCTAACACAGTGCCTGACACATAGTTTTGGCTGTCAGTATCTGTTGCTTGAATAAGAGGAACTAAGGTGATATTCTTCAAACCATAATGGTGATGCTATATAGGGTAACCATGCTCACTTGATATCCTTTGATTTGCTACAAGATAGTGACCACTGAACAAACTTAGTTTGATATTGTGGCAGACAGTATCTTCCAAAGATGGCCACAACCATATATCCTAAGCCACATGTTCTTTAAGACCCTTGCTGTCTCCATCAAAAGGAGGAGTCCATGTCTTCTCTTCTTGAACTTAGGTGAGTTTTTCTTACTTCCTTGACCAATACAGTATGGCAGAAGAGGTGCCATGTGACTTCCAAAGCTAGGTCATAAAAATAACAAGCACTTCTGCTTCCTGCTTGGGTCACGTTCAAAACCAAGATAATATGCTGTAAGGAAATCCAGGCAACTTGCAAGAAGGCTCAGAGGAACTGAGAACCCTTGGCTCAAGTCCTGGTTCAACTCCCAGCAGAGATCCAGCATCAATTTGCCAGCCATGAGTGAACTAGCTTGAAATGGATCTTCCAGCCCCAAGTAGCACTGCCCCAGCTAATGCTGCGTGGAGTAGAGCTGGACCATCCCTGCAAGTCCTACCCAAATTACAGAACTATGAGAAAAATAAATGAATAGTGTGGTTTGGAGACATAAGGTTTGGGATGGTTTGCTGCACCTCAATAGATAACCAGAACTACTGGAAACAGATGGCCATTATGAACCACTTTTAATAAATTTCAATTAGAAACTCATATTAGTGGACCAGACCAAAGGAGGTACTAGGGAGTTGTTAGGAATATTACTAGATTAACGTGATGATAGAAAATTCCTTCCTCAATGGAACCAGTCTGGAGAAAACCTAACAAGGAGTAAGAAAGCATTTGAAGTGTCTTATAAGTTGATTAACAGACCAGTTAGATATTTAAAGAAGTCAATCTACCTAGATTGTCAGCCCAATCTGCACTGTTTATACTATACCTAATTATTTTCTTCACTTATCATACCTTCATATATCTTAAAAGTGCTAAATCTGATTAATTTTGAGCAATTTATTGTTGAAATGGAAATAATAACAATGTAAGAATGTTGTAAGAATTAGGTGCCTTAGAGCAGGGATACAGATCAAGGGTCAACTCTGATTGCCTGGTGGTAGATGTAGACCCCCAAGTATTGAGGAAGAATGCAAACCATGGAAAGAGTACCTCGACTGATTAGTGATGCCAGCCATAGGCACAAAACTGAGACATGGAGCTGCCACAGTCAGATGTCTGCAATCACAATCATAGACCCTGGGGCCAGCAGACTTCATGAGTACCAGAGGAGAGATAACTCAGCTGTGTGAAATGATATAAAAGTAGTTCCAGGGGGTCAGGCTGTTCTCCAAACCATAATTCTGACTAGGAAATTGCAAGTGATTCCAATGAGGAAGAAATGGGAGAAGTAGCCTAAAACTTAATGGCTACACAGAGAACTTTCCAAGTAGCTTAAAGTCGAAAAGGAATGTACAAAAGATAGAAATAAAGACACATAACCAAGGATCAACAAAAGAATGCAGCAAGAATGGTGTCCAGAAGATTCATGCTGGGAATAAGCTGAAACTTGCAAATGTAAAAAGAACACTGAAATAATTTTTTAGTGTTGAGGACAAGAATAATAAAGAAAGGATAGAACTGGAATTGTATAGATGACAGAAAGGTAGTAAAAATTATGAGGTATCCATCTTCTCTACCAAAACAATTCGTCTTTCAACTGGAAAGGATGAGACAGATATTGGATAAAGACAGTGAAACTGAAGCTCAGTGCAAGCCTGGAGCTTGTAAGAACAAAACTAAGTGTTCTAATTGAGTTCAGGGACCCTAATGAGAATTGCATCCTGGAGACTACAAGGCAATCAGCTAACTTCTATCAGTTATCTCTGTGGCATCACTAACGGGGAGAATTCAAATATTTCAAAGTGATAAAAAAAATATTGATTGTACAAAGCATACATCAGTGAGTTTCATGCCAGTATGAGGCAAGGTTTTATAAGACATAATTAAAAGAAGTAGAATGAGTTTTGTTAGGGTAAGCCTTTTTGGAAAAGCCTCACTTCATTTTGTCATAGGGTTTCTAGAGCAACAGATCAAGGAAACAAACAGCATAGTGCCTCTGGATTTTAGTGAGCTTCTCAACAGTGTCTCAAGGCGTCCTTCGAGACAAAACAAGAAATGTGAATGGTTAGATGGATTTATTAACTTGTTTAATGACTGCTTTTGCTATTTCCCTTCAGGGATGCTTCTCATGGAATGCAGTAGGGTCTTTTCCTCAACCATATCCCACTAAATTAATGGCACGCTGATCACAAGTGTAATGAATAGAAGCCAAGGAAACATCTTAACTTTGCATGAATTTTGTAAGTATCATAAAAAAACTAACATGATGAGATAAATGTGGCACAATTTAATAGGCACATGTGTATGGTTCTGTGTTCTGAAAATGTCCACTGAATGAGAGAAATGAGAACATGTTTGGTTGTAAACTCAGTGATGAAGGTTGAAACTACAGTATCTACCTAATTCTATGTCCTTTGAGGTCTAAAGTAAATATACAGTCCAGATTTGAAAATCAAAAGTTGAGCCTTCTGTCATTTATAAATCACTTACTTTATGCACCTTTTCTCAAGTAGGCAGACAGCCTCCCTTCAGGCTTTTTCACTAAATAGTTCCTTATGACAAAAGGAGAGATGTGTGGATGAAAATAAAGCTTCAGATTGGTCCTGGTTAATTGAGATTTGGATTGATTTTTACCAGTGACTATTTTTTTACTCTTCTTTAATACATTGAGTGAAGCTTCAAAAATTAACTAAGGAGACCAAGGGCAGCAGTAAACAAAGACTCCGATTTCAGAATAATTATATTCCCTTGATACTTAAGAATCACCATAATTAAGTGATATGGTTAGGCCTTGTGTCCCCATCCAAATCTCATTTTGAATTATGCTCCCCATAATCACCACATGTCAAAGGAGAGACCAGGTGGAAGTAATTGGATCGTGAGGGCAGTTTCCCCTATGCTGTTCTCATGATAGTGAGTGAGTTCTCATGAGAACTGATAGTTTTATAAAGGGCTCTTCCCCCTTCACTCAGCATTTCTCCTTCCTGCCACCTTGTGAAGAAAGTGCCTTGCTTCCCCTTTGCCTTCCACCATGATTTTAAGTTTCCTGATGCCTCCCCAGCCATGCTGAACTGTGTCATTTAAACCTCTTTTCTTTATAAAGTAGGCAGTGTTGGGCAGTTCTTCGTAGCAGTATGAAAATCCTTATCTAATACACTAAGCAGTATCTAATACACTAAGATAATTGGATTTTACTAAAGTTCTCACAACTCTATTTGATGCCCCACCAAAATCAGTGAGAATCATTACATCATTACTAATGAGATCCCTTCCTTTCTTAATTAATTAATTCATTAAAGTAATTGTTACAAGCAGTATGTGTCTTGTAGAAAGTTAGAAAATACTGATCAATAAGAGTAAGAAAATAAAAACACGAGACTTTTACAATAACACTAAGTATTAAGTATGTTCCCAGATTTTTCTTGCATTTAATATATATGCATATATGTATATGTGTGTGTTAAAATACATGTGTATTTTAATACAATTTAGATCATATCACACACGCCATTTTGTAATCTACATGTTTCCGTTGCTAATCTCTACCTTTCCATACCCCAAAATGTGTACTTTCCCTAATTCCTAATCTAGTTTTGAGTTTGCCCAATTGTGTCAAAACATCCTTTGCAGATGAGCAGTTCAGACCGGGTCCAATCCAGGATCACATGTGACATCTGCTTGTTCTGTCCATTACCCCTCTTCTAATCTAGCACATCCCCCACTCCAACTGGGTTTTATGACATTGACTCATAGGACTGATTTCCTGCAGCTAAAGGCTTAAAGGATTAAAGTTAAACATTTTTGGCTTGAACACATCATAGGTGATATATTGCATCACAACAGAGACATACACTATCTGGTTGCCTAATAAAAATATCAAATTTTTTAAGTAGAGGGGGTTGATGGATAATAAAATGGTTTACACTGAGAAAAAATATAACAAAAGAAATCACTGAAAGATTTGGAAACAAAATTTAGTGATGAAGACAGAAAAGAGAGTGACTGGAGGATTAACAACTCAAAAGTGGAGATATAAAAATAGCTCTTACATTTTTCCTATGTCTGTGTTCACAGCAATGTATCAGACATCAAACAGAAGAAGCTTCTCAGATTTATCACTGGAAGCAGTGTTTCTTCCTGAAGATGAAATAAGTCTACGAAGGATTAGGAAGACAACGGCTGTCCAAGCCTGTCTACATAATTTATAAAGAAGGATCATTAATTTTTAAAAATAAATTTTCTTTGATAGTGAGAGTTAAGGATCTGGTTAGAATGTAAAATGCTTGCCATGTAAACCTGGGACAGAGTGACCTCAGTAACAGAGAACCCAAAGTGAGGTTTTCTCTTTTACATGCATGCATTTGTTGTCAGGCAGAAATTATGTTCTCTGAAATACCAGATAAGTTCAGAGGATGTTATAAAAGATGATTCCATAATCCTTTCTCCAATCTATGAGCTTCAGTAAGCTACAGAGTTTCAGCAGTTCCCCAGTGGTCTAGGTCAGGACTTAATGTGTGTAGGAAAATGAGCCCTACATGGCCTGAGCTGAACTGGGACTATTGTCTCTGCTTGGTTAGGCTTTTTGCCTGCAAGGACTTCAGATGCTGGGTTAATAGGAATAGATCCAGGAAGCCAAGAAGGAGGCTGCTGTTTAACCTGAAAAAATAAAATAAAATAAGGTAATAGCTTCAGGGAGGAGGAGGCAAGAAAAGATAAGGTAGCTGTGTTTGGAAGAGCAAGGCAAGAGTTACACAGCTGCACAGCCAAGCAGCCATTTGTAATAACTCCATAATACACGTGCCAGAGACACACACCTCCCACCTAGGAGAAGAGGAGAGTAATGCCCCTGGAGACTCAGAGATACATGTCTCACGTCAGAATTAAGGAATAAGAAGTTGATTGTACATTAGGTTGGGATAAATGGATGAATGCAACAACAAAGAAGATTTTCCCTTCTTAAAGTTGGGAGCAGAGTTATCACTCATCTTTATTTCCTCCTGACTTTCTCAGTTTGTTTGGAATGCTGTGCCTGGCCCAAAAACATTATTTATCATTCATGAAAAGAGGAAACAGATCTCTGTCCTGACCAGGCTGATAGGTCTATGGACACAGCCTAGGGATATCAGAGACACCAGGAAACATTTTTAAGAACCCACATGTGCTGAGGGTTGTCCCAAGTTAATGAAATAGATGCTCTTCCTGCCCCTGAGAAGGTTACATCTAGAATCTCATGACAGTCTATAGGTCTTTATGTAGTCTATAGGTCCCTCATACATCTATCTGAAGTTATTTCATGAGTCTGGGAAACAACATTTGAAAATTGTGAGTTAATAGTAAAAGAGTTTTGAAAATATTTTTTAATGCATTGGAATGATATCTTTGAAGATTTAATGGATATCTTTACTCAGAAATTTTCTACTTTATCTTCTTTAACTTCACAAGCAGCTAAGCCATTCCAGGCTCATAGAATCAGGGGAAAGAGGCAACAAGGAAGGAAGCCAAAGAATTCTTCCTGGCTCTGTTTGCAAAAGCCTCATCCCTTGGAAGAATAAAAGCATTTCTAGGGATAGATAAAATGCTTGAGATAAATATAAGAGGAGAGAGAGTAGGACATTTTCTGCCTATCAGACAAAGTGAAATAAACAGGTAGAGGATGCCCCAAATGAAATAAACAGGTAGAGGATGAAATAGATAAGGAATTAAGGAGAACAGAGAGGTGAGGGAGTCATTTGACAGAAACAAGAGTGTTTTAGCAAAGAGCTGTTTTAGGGAGCTTGTCTGAGCACCCAGGAGCCATATGGGAACTGATTCAGCATCCAGGTTAGCCTACCCTTCACTGCAATGAGTATTGCATAGGTGACCCATGCATAGGTATCTGCAGAGGACTGCACTTTGTCCATATCTAACACCTCTCTGGCAATCATCAAAGAGAAGTGATGCCAATCCATGCCTGAAGAAACTACTCCTTTGTAATTTCCTAGGACATCTATAAATCTTGAAGAATTACAGGAGTAGTAGTAACAGTGTTGGGGAAAAATTGTCCCCATGACCCAATCAGGAGCTGAGCAGAGCCAGCTCAAGATCTTTTCTAAGCCATGATGGTGAAGAACACAGCCTCACTACAGTTGGCGCTCATCAGATTAGGAACTTGTGAATCTGGTATGATGTAAATTAGAACATGAGCTGGTAGCTCCCATAGCCTAGAGGCAAGCATTTCTCTCTCATTCTCTTAGCATTATTTGGGACAGGCCTTACATTGCTAGAAGATTAATACAACAGGATAGAAATCAATACATTCTAATGGTAAGGATTCCTATTGGGTTTGATGAGGCTAGAAGAAGGTCAGAGACTTTATTAAAACAAATTAGAATGTGCAGTTCTGGGCTAGATGTACCAGCAAAGCAGTGAATCAAATAAAATCTGCTGTGAAGTCTGCTCATCTACTGACCCTAAAATAAACTGGTCCAAGAGAGAAAACATAGCCATCTTGAAATGCTGACTAGGGCACACAATATGGATTGAATTCATAATATTTTATAGCTGGTTTGGCATAGACAGAGAGGTGTGTTAGTTTCCCAAGACTGCCAAAACAAATTACCACAAACTGGTTAGCCTAAAACAATGGAAATTTATTCTCTCAGAGTTCTGAAGAGTAGAAGCCCAAAATCAAGGTGCCTGCAGGGCTGTGCTCTCTTTGAAGGCCCTAAGGAAGACTCATTTCTTGCCTCTTCCTAGCTTCTGGTGGCTCCCAGCAACCTTGTCATTACTTGCCTTGTAGCTGCATCATTCCATTCTCTGCTTTCATGTTCACATGGCCTTCTTCCCTGTATGGCTCTGTCTGTGATCTCCCCTCCCAGGCCATGTAAATCTGTTCTTATAAGAACACGTGTCATTGGATTTAGGGCCCAACCTAGTCCAGTATGACCTCATCTTAACTAATTGCATCTGTTAAGATCCTATTTACTAATAAGATCCTGTTCTGAGGTTACATGTAGACATGAATTTTGGGGGTACACCATTCAACACACTATAAGTAGATAACAGCAATAGCACTGGAATAGATCCTTAGGGGCCCTCTTATGTGCCCATTTTACACCTTAGTCATTGTATTGTGGGTCCATGAGCCAGGCATGCAGGAAGCATGTAGAAGCTGGAAAAGGCAAGAAGGACAAATTATCTCCTAGAGCCCTTGGAAGGAACGCAGTCCTGCTGACACCTTGATTTTAGCCCCATGAGACCCATCTCAGACTTCTGAGCTCCAGAGTCATAAGAATAAATCTGGATTATTTTAAGCTACTAAAATTTGTGGTAAATTGTTACAGCAGAAATAGTAAACTCACACAATAAAAAAACTTAAGCCAGTTGAGGTCCATTTTGCTGTCACTAAACTAAAAGAATCTTAACTAATACACTGCTGAAATCACATAATTTACAGGTAACAAATAAACCACCTACTGATTGATATCTTCTCCACTTTCCTCCCATGATGCTCTTTCAAAGATTTTGGCTAACGAAGGCTCTGCAGAATCATGAAGCAAATGAGAAAGATGATAGAGCTACCTTGGCGGTGAAGCAGATATATTGAGAAGGTAAGGAATTTACTGTATAGAAAAAAGAGTAGTTCATCCAAAGGCAGACAGGAGAAAAGAACAAGAAGCTGGGAAAGAAAGGGTATGTGAGGGGTGATAATACATCACTTTGAATGACATAAATGTTATGTCAGCATTGTAGAATAGTTTTAATAATAATCATTTCCCTTAGTGATATCATCACAACATTTTGGCAAAAAAGTCATAACTCCATCTCATCAATGAGCATTTTCAGTATCAAAGAGGTTAAGAAACTTGCTCAAGTATATAGATAGCTAACAAGGGACAGCTTAGATTCAATCACAGCCTAACCCCAAAGTCTGTAGACTTAACAACTTGTTATGCTGTCAACATAAACACATGTTCCCAAGCTTTCTAACCTCCAACCACTAGATTCTCACATATGCACACAGAGTTCAATGATAATGATGTATCTTTCCATGTTCTGTTCACTGAGTTGCGATTAAGGAAGCACATGTGCTTTAGGGAAGATAAACTTTGGCCAGTGGTTTGACCTCCTTCTTGCCTCCGTTCCCAGATTTGCTATGTATAGCTGTGTGGCCTTGAACAGGTCACTCCACCTGTCTGGATTTCTACCTGTTGTTCTCTCAGGAGAATGAACTTGGGGATTGTAAAACTCTTGCAAGTTGTCGTATCCTTGGTGTTTTCATCTAGCAAAGCTGAGGAATTTGAACACCTGGATGAAGTGTTTACATTTCCCAGAGTAGATAGTAGCTCCTGAACAGGGATATGATAAACCATCTGAAAAGATTAATCAGCAGTTGAGCATAAACATGAACAGGTAGATGCCAGAGGCAGGAAGATGACAGAGGAAGTCATTGGATTCCACTCATATTTTCTTCATTGAGATAATCACATGCGACAAAGAAAGCTTTCCACTGTAGCACCTCTGTATACCTGACGGCTCTCTCATTCTAGCAACTCAGAGTACAAACGTTTACATGCACTCAGGTGCTATGAGTATCTGGGAAAGGTTTCATGTTGAAACGCTGGCCTTTAGCCACCTGGGTGAGAAAGACTAAGCTGGCATTAGCACTGCCTATTGGCAGCCAGGATAAGTTCTCAGGTTGAAAGAGTGGGCCACAGGCAGGGTGGAGAAGGAAGGGAAAGTGGAGGGTGCAAAGGTAGATTCCTGGGAGCCATGAACAAAGGCGCCAAGGCAGGGAGCCAGGTATATCACTCCCACCTGTAAGGACATGGCAGGGAGACAGGGACACAGCATGGCAGGCATTCTCTCAGCTGCTGCTTCTGAGCCAAACCCTTCTTCTGTTTCGCAGATGAGAATAAAGACAACGTTGAAAACAGTCCAGGAAAATAAAAAGCCTGGACAAATAGGATAGTTTGCTGCTGTCCTTATTACTCTGCCATTGTCTTCATGATAATCAGTTCTTCATGGCTTCTTCATGCCTCTAATCAACAGACTTACTTGTGGACATACAAAACCAAGAATCTAGTCCAGTAAATTTGAGGGGCTTCTTGGTACCTCACCACAACTACCTTCTGTTAATTAATGTGCAAATCTTTGAAGAAATTATTTGAAACACTTGTAAAAGTTATGATTGGGAAAAATAAACAGTAAAAAAAAGGGAGGGAATTTTGAGTTTATGTTGAAGTCACTAACTACAATGAGATGAAAAAAATAAGTTAACCATTAAATAGGTGGGGGAAGCAGTGGGTATTTGGGTCGCCATGGATCAGCTATCAGCTATTGTCAGTCAAGAACCTCCAAGCTGATGATACACTGCGTGAGTTGACATTGTAAGTCTACAGAGTTGAGGTACTCTCACATTGGCCATTCCCTGGGTCAACGAAATCTCTGCAAAAAAAATATCTAACAAATATTTATTGAGTCCTTGCACAGTGCATGGCACTGTCATGGGAGCTGTGGGGCAATGCAAAGATTAAAAAACAGAAAACAAAAAACTTGTTCCTAGAACTCAAGAGATTTACAACTGTTGGAGATGATCTTTGCTTTCCCTAAGGAATTCACGTGTATTTTCTTTATGGGCATATATAGGAAACAGGTAATTATTATTTGTTTTGCTCTGACCACTAGAAACATTTAAGTTCACCTTTGATAAATGTCAGATCTTCTGGCCTACAAATCTGTTTTAATTTCCCCACCTGTCTCGTAGATTTTTTTTTAAATTTCAACTTTTATTTTAGATATAGGAGGTACATGTGCAGATTTGTTACATGAGAATAGTGAGTGATATTGAGGTTTGGAGTATGGATCCCATTACCCAGTTAGTGAGCATAGTACCCAACAGGTAGTTTTGGGTATATACCAACCTGTTTCCCTCCACCCTCTAGTAGGCCGCAGTTTCTAGTGTTCCAATATTTTTGTGTATATGTGCTCACTGTTCAGCTCCCTCTTATCAATGAGAACATGCAATTTTTAGTTTTCTGTTCCTGCATTCATTTGCTTAAGATTATAGCCTCCAGCCCCATCCATGTTACTGCAAAGGACATGATTCCATTATTTTTTATGGTTGTATATTGTTTCATGGTATAAATATCCCATATTTTCTTTATTCAGTCTACCACTGATGGGCACTTGGGTTGATTCCATGTCTTTGCTATTGTGAATAGCCTAGGAATGAACATACAACTTCAGGTGTCTTTCTGGTAGAATGATTTGTTTTCTTTTGGGTATATACCTAGTAATAAGATTGCTGGGTCTAACAGTAGCTCTGTTTTAAGTTCTTTGAGAAATTTCCAGACTTCTTTTCACAGTGGCTGGACTCATTTACATTCCCACCAACAATGTATAAGCATTCCTTTTTCTCAGCAGCCTCACCAGCATTTGCTGTTTTTTGACATTTTAAAAATAGCCATCCTAACTGGTGTGAGATGGCATCTCAGTGTGGTTTGATTTGCATTTCTCTAACGATTAGTGACACTGAGCATTTTGTCACATGTCAAAGGCTCCTAGAATTGATAAATGACTTTAGTGAAGTTTCAGGATACAAAGTCAATGTACAAAAATCAGTAGCATTTCTATACATCAACAACATCCAGGTTGAGTGTGAAATCAAGAACATAATACCACTTACAGTAGCCACAAAGAAAATGAAATACCTAGGAATATAAGTGAAATACCTAGGAATATAGGTGAAAGATCTCTACAAGGAGAACTACAAAACACTGCTGAAAGAAATCAAAGATGATACAAATAAATGGAAAAAATATTCCATGCCCATTGATAGGAAGAATCAATATTATAAAAATTGCCATGCTGTCCAAAGCAACTTACAGATTCAATGCTATTAATATCAAACTACCAACATCATTTCTCACAGAATTAGGAAAAAAAACTATTCTAAAATTCATGTGAAACCAAAAAAGAGCCCAAATAGCCAAAGCAATCCTAAGCAAAAGAACAAAGCAAAAGGCATCACACTACCTGACTTTAAGCTATACTATAAAGCCACAGTAATCAGAACAGCTTGGCACTGGTACAAAAAGAGACACATAGACCAATGGAACAAAATAGAAAACTCACACCTACAACCATCTAATCTTTGACAAAGCCAACAAAAACAAGCAATGGAGAAAGGACTCACTATTTAATACATGGTGCTAGGATAACTGGCTAGCCATATGCAGAAGATTGAAGCTGGACCCCTGCCTTTCACCATATTAAAAAAAATCAACTCAAAATGGATTAAAGACTTAAATGTAAGACCTCAAACCATAAAAATCCTGGAAAACAACCTAGGAAATACTCTGTTCAGCATCGGTTTTGGCAAAGAATTTTTGGCTAAATCCCCAAAAGCAATTGCAACAAAAACAAAAATAGACAAGTGGGACCTAATTAAACTGAAGAGCTTCTACTATGTTGATAGCAAAAGAAACTATCACCAGAGCAAACAGACAACCTACAGAACGGGAAAAATATATTCGCAAACTGTGCATCTGTTAAAGGCTTAATATCCAGAATCTGTAGGGAACTTAAACAAAGTAACAAGCAAAGAACAAATAACCCCATTTAAAAATGGGACATGAACAGATACTTCTCAAAAGAAGATATATATAAGTGGCCAACTCCCAGATCTTGATCCCTATTTTATCCATGACTTTCTGCAATTAATTGTTCATCTGCAGTCATGAGAATAGAAAAGCACTTATGCACACAGAAGGCTGAGACATGTTCTTATAGAAAGGTATAAGTGCCACAATAGAGGTTCACATCAGGAAAGGGGAAGGGCTTAGACGAGAAAAGTACTGGGTTAATCGGGATAGAACCAGGGACGTCCTATAGAGGATATGACATTTAGAATAGAGGTTGCAAACTCAGATACCTAGAGGGAACTGGCAAGCAACGTCAATAAAATAATTAGGCATGGAAGAGACGGGGGTGAATGGTAGGGTTCATAAATGCTCTAAAGATGGTGGTCACTCTGCAGCTCCAGCTTTTAAGGAACAAATTGCCCATAGATCAAATTATGCTTGAAAATGCATTAAATCACTTAAAAATTTCAGAACCAGTGCTTGAATCCCAAAAGAATAATGCATATGTAAGCATAGGTGCTGTGACATCAAGTTTGGTTTTCATTACTTTATGTCATATCCTTTTCCCAGTTTTGTGCTAGTTGGTGGAGCTGGGAAATTCAAAAAAATGATTTCATAGTCATTACTCTTGAGAACCAAGGAAGTTGGATCCCTGTGAGTTAAAGTGCATTTTATGCTATTCTTTTGTATATTCCATCACCAAACTACAACTGAGGTAGAGCATCTCCCGCAGAAAAACACCATAGGTCCCATATGGATGCCATCTGCCATTAGCAGATGACTATAGGAGGGCTTCAGGTTTTATCCAAGATTGCTATGGTGGCAAGTCAGAAATGTATCAAGTCATCATCAGGCAATTTCTAATAAAATAGCGTCCAAAAATAGACGGGAGAGCAAAGAAAGTAAGAAAAGCAGCGGGAGCCCCCAAAAGGATATTGTTGGCTTGCAACAATACCCTGGGATAAACTGAAACAACATTTGGGGTATGGGCAGTAAATTCCATTTTGGCAGCCTGGTCAGGGCCTGAAATGTTGCGTCTAAATATCAAATTAGCAACAAACCTTGGTCTCCAGTTTCTTCTGAACTTCACTCCCCTAAGTTTCACATCTGACTGTTTCACTACACCAAGGCGTTTGGGAAACAGAAGCTTCTTGATGGCATTTGAAATCTAACATTTTACTCAAATGCGCACTGTACAATTCAGTCAATTGTTTAACAGAAACCAGGTACAAGGGTCAGCAAACCTGGCTCAGCTATGAGGCTACTGAAAGAGTCCAAGTTTATAGATTAAAAAAAAATCTAAAATAAACTGCGATTGGATTTCAAGGGTTTAAATGAACTCCACAATGAAGCAACCTGATAAAACCACCTTGAGAAAGAAAAGCAAGAGAGGAATCAGAATTCTCTAGTGATAACTGAAGTCATTTTGTGCCAGAAAGAATGATCCAGTGAAACTGTTAGAATCTAATCAGGATGAACATTTGCATGTTAAAGGGCTCAAATCCACAGTTCCCTTCTGTAAAGTTAACATTTTCTGTCTTTTAAAGGGAGTACTGGGTCACAAATAGAGTAATAATAAAATAACTGTTCTTTTTTCCCTGACTGATCCCCAACTCTCAGCCCCCACCTTGTTTTCGTGACAGAGTCCTGTGCAGTAAGAAGTGGGAAGCTTGTGAAAAGACATTCCATGAGAGGAGAAATTTGCCTGCATCTGGTTGTTTAATTTTTTGGCTTCTATTCACCCACTACAATTGTGTGGTCTGTTTTTAGAAAACTGAGGAAGACAAAAAGATTCCCCAAAGTTAGAGCTCTGGTGTCTGAGGGCTGGAGTCTGATTTCTATGGACAAGGGAAGGCAACTTATTGTCATATATGTGTTATGATCAAGCCGTCTGCGAATAAAGACCACACTGGACTATAAAGAAAACTGTCCCAAATCCAGGGAAATTAATCTGTGGTGCTGGTAGGGGAGGGGGAAGTACTCTATTATACTACTGAGGAAACATCTGTGGCTCATACAAATTGGTTTAGAAGACTGAGTAGTGGTAGAGTCCCTTAGGAACAGATTGATCTCACAAGCGATATATTTATTTTAAAAAGAAAATGTTTACTAAAGTTTCCAACTTCTGCCACTTTACAAGGCATAGCCCTAAAGGTGGCAGGTACAAGTGGAACAGACACAAATAGAACAACTCACATAACTTCAAATGGGAGGATAAGCAAAACTCCAAAAGAACAAGGTGTGCTGTGGTTTGGCTGCCTTTCCTAAGAGATTATTCCCACTCTCCCACTTATGTTCTGAGCTGAGCCACTGAAGAGGGAAATGAAATTTTTTGGTGACAAAGGCAGGGAGAAGGAAAAATATAAATATTTCCCAAAAGACTGATAGACTGAATGTGGTCAATGAAATTATGCTGGGTATTGCTTATTCAGGCTCTTGATTTGGCTTTCTCCTCTCCTGCCTGCCCTTGAATCAGATCAGTGCTTCTTCTGCCATCACCAGAGAAAAGGCATGGAAAACTGGGAAAATCTGGAAGTGAAACAGAACTGGAAGTGTGGTCCTGTGGAGCAAACCTAAAGTCTAGGTCCTTATGTAGCTCTTAAGTGTTTCATAAGACCTGTGAAAAAATATGAAGAGAAAACAATACTGTTACAAATTAGAGTTATGTAATTGTCAAAAGCAATATTGTCATTTGAAAAAGTTTAAATTGGAGTACAATTTCAAAAGTCTTTACCCAATCAAACATAGGGATAGTTCACTAGGCATGAAATTCATCGTTAAAAACTTATCAAAATTTTAGGATAGAAAAAGAGTTCCATCTTTTTAATCAATAACATTGCTGTATTCTGGCTCCAGCCCATTTTCTTGTCTGGAAAAAAATGAGAATTAATGATACATTTGGAAAGTGCTTTGTAAACTCTGAAATGATACTGATATAAAGTAGGTTTATTATTACTATTAATTTATTTTTTTTTGAGACAGAGTCTCGCTCTGTCACCCAGGCTGGAGTGCAGTGGCTCGATCTTGGCTCACTGCAAGCTCCACCTCCTGGGTTCACGCCATTCTCCTGCCTCAGCCTCCCGAGTAGCTGGGACTACAGGCGCCCGCCACCAGGCCCAGCTAATTTTTTGTATTTTTTAGTAGAGACGGAGTTTCACCATGTTAGCAAGGATGGTCTTGATCTCCTGACCTCGTGATCCGCCCGCCTCAGCCTCCCAAAGTGATGGGATTACAGGCGTGAGCCACCGCGCCCAACCAAATAGGTTTTTTAAATAAGTTTTGGTCAGGTTGACCACTCTAAATTTAGTTTCTTGTTATCAGCCTTATAAAACACTTCTGGAAGAGGTTGTTCCAGCTTTCTATGATTCTGTGATATTTACTGAGCAGTGACCACATGCCAGCTATTGCTGTTAGTCCTGGGAATAAACAAAACAGGTGAGTCTTCTGCTCTTGTGGAGTTTGCATTTAATGTGTGTAAGAGGGGGGGAGAAATACACAAGAAAACCAACACGAATAAGCTGAATTAGAAGAGTGTTAAGTGCAATAGGAACATCAAACAAGGTGATGTGAGAAAGAAGGAGTGGGATGGACTACTTTACTTAGGTGGTCAGGGAAGGCCTCCCTTATAAGATATCATTTGAGCTGAGATTTTAATGCTAACAGGAGTCATCAGTGTGACAATGAAATTACTGTTTTGAAAGGTATCAAGTCTAGTGTAACTAGATTCTAGTAAACAAGAGGAAGAGTGGCATGAGAAGAATTCAGAGTTATGCAGTAGCCAGATGGGATAAGATCTGGTAAAGTAGAATAAGGGATTTGGGTTACTAAGAACAATGGCAAAGCCACTGAGCATTTTAAGCATAGGATAATACAATTTGATTTATGTTCTTTAAAGATCAGTTTGGACGTACTTTGGCATGGGTAATTAGGTTGTTTAGGATCAGTCTTCCTACTGAGAAGAACTAGAAAAGGAGCAATACGACTAACCCCTGACTTCTCAACAACAAACACACGAAAGCCAGAAGAAAATGGAATGGTACCTTTAAAATGCCAATACACAATAATTGTCATCTTTGAATTCTATACCCACTTTTATTCCACTTGTAGGTATATACTCAAAAGAAATGCATACAGCTGTACACATGTGTACACACACATTCATAGCACATTCTTCATAATATCCCAAACTGGAGACAAACAAAAAGGTCCGTTATTAGTGGATTAGATAAATAAATCAAAGTATATGCATATATAAGAACATTATTTAATGATGGAACTAAATAAACTTCTGTTATACACAACATGGTTGAATTTCATACACATAAAATTCATCAAAAATGAAGGAAAAATAAAGACATTTTGAGCAAGCAAATACAGAAATAATTTGTCACCAACCAAACAATGTTAAAAGAAATACAGAAGGTATTCTTCAGGCAACAACAAAATAATTGCAGAAGGAAGTTCAGAGATGCAAGAAGCCACATAGAGCAATGGAAATGGTAAATATGTTAATAAATTCAATGAACATTTATAGTGTAAAATAGTAATAGAAATGTCTCCTAAGTTCACATATATATAATTAAAATGAATAACACTTAACAGTACAAAAGTCTGAAGGGGATAGAGATAAGATGTTCTGAGGATCTCACATTGTTCATGGCCAAAAATAGACAAGATATTCTTGAAGAATAGGAAAAAGAAGGGGGAAAATGAGAAAAAAAAAGGAGGAATGGAGAGAGAGAAGAAAAAAACAGACTGGGAGAACTTAATTTATTGAATCAAGACTTACTCTACAGGTATAGTAATTGATATAGTGCGGCATAAGTTCAAATATAGACAGATAGACAACAGAGCAGAACAGGGTGTCCAGAAACAGACTGATGGATATAAAGCACTTGATTTTATGATGAAAGTCATGCTGCAGGGCAGTGGGGAAAGAATGATCTCCTTGGTAAGAATGATGGTTCAATTGATATCTACAGGGAAAAAAAATTGAAATGACCTCTTATTTCACACCATATATGAAAATGAATTCCCATGTGGATTGTTACTCTAGTTTCGAAAATTAAAATTATGAATTTGGAAATAAATAGGATATCTCTACAAATTTGAAATAGGAAAACATTTCTTAAATAGGCATTTAAGAAAAAAGCTCTAACCATCTCACAATGACCCATAGTTAGAAAACATGAAAGCTGAGACTGAAACAAAGACTAAATCTGAAGTCATCACCTTTAACTACTATGTGACACCACCTCCCCAAGAAGAGGGGAGAGAGGCGTTCCGGTTATGTATCGCTGCATAAAAACTTAGTGAATTAAGACAGCAATCATTTTATTATGCACAGGTTTTATGGGTCAGATACACAGAAAGGCTTTTGGCTCAGGATCTTTCATGCCATTGTGGTTGAACAGTGCCTGGAACTGGGACAGCTGAGGTGGAGTTGGGGGAACTTAAGTAGTTGGAGGTTGGGCAAGCACTTCTATCTCTCTAGGTTGTCTCAGGGCCTCTTTGTGGGATCACACCACATGAACTATGTTGCTCTCCCTTACAGAATGAAAGTTTTGGGATAGTCAGACTGTTTACATGGTAACTGAAAGTTCCAAGAGAACCAGGTGAAAGCAGTGTCACTTTCTGTGACCTAGCCTCAGAAGTCACATAACATCACTTTTGCTGTCATCACAAGCCTACCTATATTCAAGGGGAGGGAACATAGTCTCCTAACTCTTAATGGGAGGTGTGTCACCATAACATCGTAAGAGCACGTGGGACAGGAGATATTGTTGCAGCCATCTTTGAAAAATAAAATGTGCTAAACAAGAAGATACTAAACAGTGAAGAAAAAGGAAGAGATACAAAAGGGGAGTGCAAATTGCATGCAACTAATATAAAAGTCATTCAACAAATAATTGTCAAACACTGCTTGAGTTGAACACTACGAAGAAGTAGGAGTACATTGGTAAGCCCAAAGTGGTCCTAGCCCTAAAAAAGCCAGAATTTTCTAGATGAAAACTTTAGGCATAAAACAGAGAGGAAGGATTTTGGCGCTCTTATACAAGGACAACAAGATTCATGGCATCTTATGGTGTAGAACAAGAGCTGGCATACTACAGTCTGCAAATCATATCTAGTCTACTACTTATTTTTGCAAATACAGTCTTACTGGAACACAACCACACCCCCTCATTTACATATTTCCTCCAGCTGCTGAATGCTACAAAGGCAGTGTTGAGTAATTGGGACAGAGACCTTATGGCCCTCAAAGCCTAAAATATTTACTATTTGGCTCTTTACAAAAAAACATTTCTCCACTTCTCAAGTAGAATATTGTGCATCCACTCCAAAGAGTGGATAAAGAAATAATTCCTTTCTTTATCTGTAAAAGAGTGGATACACAATGTTTTGCTCCAGAAGTGGACAAATGTTCAGAATGGAACTGAAGCCAAAAGGGAAAGTCCCAGATTTGCAGCATAGTATAGAGGAATGCACATGGGTCCCTGATTTAGGATAATGATATTATTGGCCAACCACTGGGTTGCTCCATGACTTTGAGGAAGTTTCTCCCTCTTTCCAAGTCTTAGTTTCCTTTCCTAAGGAAAAATCTTAGTTGTCCTTTTAGTGCCTGGGATTATGTTGTGAATCAAGTAAGACAATGTGTAAACAAATGCTTTGTACACTCTGAAATGCTGATAAGCACATATTCTATCACCTTTTCCACTCTTTTTTTCTCAATAAAGCTTTGTTGATGGTCTTTTATTTCATCTGTATTTTTACAGTCAAGACGTAATTTTCTTCTTTTATAACTTTCAATGAGCACTTTTTTTTTCTATTTTTGATAACCAAAATTCTCATTCTCTGATCTTTGGTACTTTCTTGTTTCAAGACACTAGAAACGATTCTTTACAAATCCCGACTTCTACAACTACTCTCATTTCTCTAAATCCTTCTCTAACAGAGACCTCACTGTTCTCTCTTTCAGCCTGAAATGATTTTCCTTGCCCCATTTCAACATTTATTCCCACTTTTCTACACATCACTCTGCTTATATACTGGAGATAGAGGTGGATACTGGTGGAAAAAGGCCCCTAAATACTCTTATTCTTTTTGATATTCTTCATTTTAAGAAGTCCTGAGAAGATCCTCCCACAGATATCCTTGGGAATCTCTTGCAAGTCTATGAACCCATGACACGTTGATCAGGACAATTCAACTAAACTCATCACATTCCAATGAGTCTAAACCACACTATCATTAATTATACCTTCCTTTGCTACATTCTTTCGTGTCACCATATTAGCTGCCAATCTGCCTTCATCTAGGGAACATTGGCACCAGTAATCTCCTCCTTCATCTCCCTCTCACTGAGCATCTTCTATGCAATTTATAACCTCCAAAGGATTGGACTAGTCGGGGAAATCTGGCCACATGGAATTTGAGTAGTTATAAAACAATCATATTGAAATTTCTCATTCAAAGGGGTACTAATTTCACCCCTCGGTTCAGTTGAAACTTTCAGCTCTTGCACTTCTGAGCCAGCTGGTCATTTAACACACATTCCACACACAGACAATGTTCCCATACCAGAAACCTCACTAAATAACTATGACAATAAGCTCAAGAATGTTATGGCAAAGGCACAAATGGAGCAGGAGGATTTCAGGAGTTCTTCCAGGGAGAACCACAATACGATCCCTGGTATTTCATGGTGCAGAATAACTGGAAAAGTAACTGGAGGATAGTACAACAGGAGAGTGCCAAAATTTAGACAGCACTGCTACCTAGTTGAGTAAGTGAATGATAAATAATAAGACTCTTGTGGGCAGAATGTCGTATCAGATTAAGGCCGTTGGGAAATGGGTAGCAATGTATTTATGTGAACAGGGTAAAGAAAAAGGATGTAGGAAGAGTTTAAAGGGGAGCTAGATCAGATGTAGTGTGTTTTTAAATGCCTTAAGTAGGAAAAAGCTTAACTTATGTAATAAACACACTGTGTTGCAAATTCCTCATGAAATTTCTTTAGAAGAAACTCTTTTTGGTTCTGGCCACATTACAGGATTGAGCCACACTTTTAACTTGAAGCAACTTTTATGAAATTGGACATTTATTGGACCTTGAAAATGGCCAATTACACGCTTTGTTGAATGAATGAATTTGTGTCCTGGAAAAAATAAAATAAAATAAAATAAAAAATAAAAAAACAAACCTAGGCCAAGAAGGAGAAACACTCATGGAGCAGTGCAATATCTTTATATGTTTTCTATTTTTCACTTGTGTGTGTTACGTTTAGTAATGTCTGTGTGTTTTAGTTCTGTGAGTCATGACTCTGTTGCTTGAGATATTCATGGGGTATGCAAGAAAGAGAATGATATGATGTCAGATTTATTAAATTACAGAATCTTAGACCTCAGGCAGCCCTAGAAATTACCTAGCTCCATGGTTTCAGAACAGTCATAAACTTACCAGTGCTGTCTAAGATTAAATCTTAACAAGCCCACAGCAAAATAAGAAAAATGAGGAGGATATGTGTGTGTGAACATTCGTGTGTGTGTGTGCGTGTGTGTGTGTGTGTGTCTGGCATGTTTGCCAATTCTTGTCTCTTGTAAAAGACTATTATATTAAAATGCCCTTTCTCTTGTGAAGTGGTCATTGTAGCAGATGTTAGTTGTGTGTGTGTGTGTGTTTGTAACATCTTCATTTGGCAAACTAAAATGATGGCAATACTCTGTTTGCCCTACCCAACCCCCACCAAGTTTTTGAAATGTTACCAGTAAAGTACATGTAATCTGAAAATCCTACTTTCCTTCCTTCCCATATTATTCTGTCTAACTAAAAGCCTGTTGTACTAATAAAGAAATCTGGAGAGACAATTTGGGAAAGACCCTCCTTTAAAAGTTAGCAGGACAAAAACATATAAAATGTCTCCCCTCCCCATTCCTATTCTCTTCTCCCACAAAGACTCAGAATCCTTTCCTAAATTTTGAATTTTTTCCTTTGGAGAAACTCTGGGCATGACCGCCCCTCCTTCACATTCCTGGAATCAGCTGCAGTTTTTTGTGTGTGGGTAGGAGACTATGGCCTTCCTGTTGAATCAGCGAAGAGGCAATTGTTAAATGGCACCCAGGCTCCTGGGAGGAAGAAAAGCATGACATATCCAGAGCTATTCCAGGGATCAGGCTCAGCTGGTATCAAAAATTCAACCCTGGTGGGCCGGGTGCAGTGGCTCATGCCTGTAATCCCAGCACTTTGGGAGGCCAAGGTGGGCAGATCACCTGAGGTTCTGAGTTCGAGACCAGCCTGACCAACATGGAGAAACCCCATCTCTACTAAAAATACAAAATTAGCCAGATGTGGTGGCGCATGCCTTTAATCCTAGCTACTCGGTAGGCTGAGGCAGGAGAATTGTTTGAACTTGGGAGGCAGAGGTTGCAGTGAGCCAAGATTGTGCCATTGCACTCCAGCCTGGGTAACAAGAGTGAAACTCCATCTAAAAAAAAAAAAAAAAAATTCAACCCTAACTGCTTCTGCTCTGCAGCAGGACATTGATGTTGGAGACCAGGTCATCTTTTCTGTCACTTTCTTTACCTACATTAAGTATGTTTACAAGAAGATAGTATTCAAGAGCACTCTCTCAATGCTAATGAAATGCTGTCATTGCATCCTGAATGATATGGGAGCAGAGGGCAAGGAAAGAAAATTAGAAGATGTTTTTACCTTGGTTCAATATTTGCCAAGTAACAGTGGACCAATATGTATATTTTAATTTTTACTTTTTGAAAACATGTTCAAAGATGACAGATTGCTAAGGACCCAAAAGAACACATTATGGATAAACTAGTAAAAGTAAATGGGAGGTGATCCACTCTCTGAGAGTAGATTATTAATTGTTATCCTTCCTATTCAAAGATGACCTTGTGGTGTTTATCACAAAGTGCAAGTGTGACCAATCAGAAGTTCCTCCACATGGTGCTTCAGAAATGCAGTTTGTAGTTTTGTAGCTGTTAGCACTCAGCACCCAAACTACATAATGTGTTATCTCTGGTTCTGGGACACCAGAGTTTTCAATGTCTCATTTAGTTATTTAGCAATTGTTTATTAAATAACTATTATATGCCACTATATGGTCACACAACAATTCATAAGACACAGTCCTTCCACTAAGGATATTAATCTACTTGAAACTTATTGAATATCTACTGTATATTAGTTGTTATGGACTAAATTTTGTCCCCCCCAAATTTATATGTTGAAGCTTTAATCCCCAATGTGACTGTATTTGGAAATAGAGTCTTTAAAGGGGTAATTAGGGTTAAATGAGGTCATCAGGGTGGGTCCCTATTCTGGTAGAACTGGTGTCCTTATAAGAAGAGGGTCAAACATCAGAGCTCTCTCTTTCTCCATATACACACAAAGGGGCCACGTGAGCACACAGCTTGAGGGCAGCCACCCCCAAGCTGAGTAAAGAGGCATCAACCTGAAACCTACCTTGCTGACACCTTGCTCTTGGACTTCTCAGCCTCCAGAACTGTCAGAAGAAAATTCTGTTGCTTAAGCTATCTAGTCTGTGGAATATTTTATAGCAGCTGTAGCAGACTAAGACAACTAGGCAATGTAATAGGCATTTTTTTTTAACATTTCCATAGTATGCCCCAAGGTGCTATTGCTTATCTTGTTTAGAACTGTGCTTTAATGTGTTTCCTCAGTTGTAACCCACACTGGTTCTAGTTTGGGGTTTTTTCGTTTTATTTTATTTACAGGGCCCTTTTGTGTATCTCTTCTAGTGCCTGGCTTCCCTCTATAAACCTATTCGCAGAGAATTCAGTTCTCTCAAACTGCTGTCAAGCTGCACTGAAGCTTTTCCTGAGATCCCTCTTCTGAGACAAGATGATTCTCTTTTTATTCTCTCTCCCTTATTTCCATCAAGACCTCCATTCAGAGGATAGTGTAAACAGATACACCCAATTATACAAAAGTGTCCATGAATGAGAACTGTTACTTCTCATCTGAAGATTGAGTACAAGGCTACCTCGCTATTCAAGGTGTGGTCTGCAAACCAGCAGCACTGGCGTCACTTTGGAGCTTGTTAGAACTGCAGAATCTTGGGCCCTTCTCCAGACCAATTTGCATGTGCAGTAGAGTTTGAGGAGCTCTGCGTTACCAATAGTTAAAATAATTAGTTAGGCGTGTGTCTATGAGCCAGGCAGCACCTGACGAGACTGAATTTCCTCACCCTTAAAATGGAAACAACCATTCAAATGATCTTCCACTCCACTCTTCCCTTTCTAGTCATCTTGATATGCTCCTGTGAAGTTCACCTCCTTGCTAAATGTTGCCATTCTCTGCCTCCTTTCAGGAACATAGCAGCACACATGCAATCTCCTAACCCATCTGCCTGGGGCTCTCTCCTTCTATTCTGTGACCTGGTCTCCTCATTCTATTTAAAGAATGAGGAAATTCCTTCCTCACTGGAGATCCAGGCCTGCTGCTATGCTGTCCCTTAGATCCCAAGCCTACTGGTCACCAATTTCTCCCCTTCCACTTTACTCAGCAAATTAACACCAGCAGAAACTCTTTCTAAGGCAAGAAGACCTAAGCCTTTCAATCCTTTGAAACTTTTCTCAACTAGAGCTAAAATTTAAACATATTCATATGTGCACACACACAACCAATTAAACAAAAAACCAGATACCAAAGTCACAAAGAGAAATAAAGAAAATAGAAAAACTTTATCAAGGGAATAATATGTATTCAACAGAGCATTGGCAGCAAATATCCTGAGTCAGTACGATTTAATGGTTAATTATTGTGGGATACTGGAGTAAGACTACCTGAGTTCAATCCCAGATACACCACAGAATAATCAGAGAAATATAATGAACTCTTAAAAATGTTCTAAGATTGGCAGTATCTTCGCAACATCTAGCTATTGAAACTTTCACAGATGCAATTGTTTTTCCTAGCTAATATTGAAGTGCTGTGAAAGTTGGTTTTGCCCCAAGGATAGGAGAATATTACCACTCCAAGAGTATGATAGTGTTATAGTACAAATGTTAAAGCATTATAGCATAGGGTATGGACCCTGACTACCAGAGTTTGAATCCTGGTGCTGCCATTTACCAGCCATGTAGCTTTAAACAAGGTACTTAACCTCACCATTAAGTTTTCTCAATGCCAAAGAAGAGATAATAATAATGTCTACAGTATAGGGTTGTTATAATGATTAAGTGAGTTATTCCACATAAAAGTACTTACAATAGAGTCAAATAATAATACCAAAAATGTTAGTTATTATTTTAATATTATCATCTGTTGAGTACAGATGCTTTTTAAAAATAAAGTCTTTCATTTCCTACAGCAATCACTAAACCCAATTAAAAAAAATGTGACCTTATATGCAGCCCTTATCTGTGGTAGCCCATCTGCCCGGTATTCTTCTATGGTGTCCCTGTATCTTAGAGAAATAAAAACACTGGGTAAAATTGATGAAGGTAATAGATAGGTAAATTCATTTATTCATTCAATGAATGCATATTTTTTCCTGAGTGCCTGCTAGGTGTCATGTATGATGTCTTCTTGGAGCTAGCAGTACAGGAGCAGAGATAAGCATAAACAAGTCGATCCAAAAATAAACATATAAGTTCAGACTTTGGTAAGTGCTCTGAAGAAAAAAAAATCTCTCTATTACAGAGAATCATAAGGGGACCTGCTTGGGGAATTAGATCATAGTGGCAATAGAAAATTCTAGAAAAAGAAACTTTTTGTACTTAATGCATTTCCCAATGTGATTCAAAAGAATACAAGCTCCATGTGGTCAAATCCTTCTCAGAGAAATTCTTTTAAATTCCTCTTGAAGCTTCACAATTCATGTGGTCTTAGTAAATTTAGAGGCCAGGTACAGCAGCTAATGCCTGAAATCCCAGCATTTTGAGCAGCTGAAGTGAGAGGATCACATGAGCCTAGGAGTTCAAGATCAGCCTGGATAACATAGTGAGACCCCTACAAAATTTTTGAGATCTCTACCAAAAAAAAAGAAAAAAAAGTAAAGAAAAAAAATTAGCTGGGCACAGTGGCGCACTCCTGTAGTCCTAGCTGCTTGGGAGGCTGAGGCAGAAGGATCGCTTGAGCCCAGGAGATCGAGCCTGCAGTGAGCTGTAATGGCACCACAGAACTTCAGCCTAAGTGACAAGAGTGAGACACTGTCTAAAAAAAAATTAAAAAAAAAAAAGGTCCTGGAAGAATCTGTAGTAAAGATAACTGTTCTAAATTACAAACTTGGTTTTTCTGATGTGTTTACCCTTTCATCTTCAGCACCTAGGGTAGTGCTAAGTATACTAGAAGAATTTAGTAAACACTTGGTAAATAAATGAATGAGAAAATGAATACATGAACAAACAAATCATGAAACCATTTTTACATAACATGTGTTAAAACTCTTCGGAACTAATGACCTAGAGACCACATGGAGTGGTGGGGGTGGGTCACCAAGGAAACACTGTAATGCGGAGAGAAACAAGGCTCAACCCTCCCCAGTTTGTGCACTTTCACAATTAGTCCAGTAGAAGAGAGGACACAGGATCAGGACTAAGTCTAGGATTGCTAAAGAATTCTTCTGTTTTGATTTTGTACAGAGACATTACAAAATCTCTGGGCTTGGTATTTAGAAATTTTCTGTAGGTTCCTCTCCTCAGTCACCATCCAGTTTTTATGTTTTCCCTGTGTTATTTTGGCATCTTTTTCCATGCTGATGACTAACTTCAGTTAGTCCTTGACAGCTTATTGCTAGATCTTCAGTCAGGGCTGGGAGGAGTTGAATTTTTTTTTTTTTTTTCTCACAGTGTTCAAATTGTCACATGTTAAATCTGGTTCAAGAAGTTTGGGCCATGTCAGATCCAGGTCCAATCCATCATCCACTGCAGAGCACAATGTGTTAGTGCCATCTTGTTGCCAGACAGTTGTGGCTTCGAGACCTTCATCACTCAACCGTGGAAGAAACCACATTCAGAAGTTGTTTGAATGAGTAGTATGGCTGACACTTCCCTCCAAGAAATAGGCCCTTCTTTAGAGACAGAAAGCAGATAAGTGGTTTCCAGGAGAAACCAGGAGATAAGGAGAGAGGGAAATGGGCAATGACTGCTTAATGGGCATGGAGTCTCCTTTAAAGAGTGATGAAAATATTTTGGAAGTAAATGGAGGTGGTGGTTACACAGCACTGTGAATGTACTAAATACCACTGAATTGTACATTTTAAAATGGTTAATTTTATGTTATGTAAATTACACTTCAATTAAAAAAAAATACATGGTCCTGGGAGATCTTCTGAAATTTCACTCCTTAACATGATGTGAAGAGGAGAATGCTCCATTAACAGAGGATACAAGCTTCTGCACCTAAGATTCTGGAAATGCTCTGAACTATGGAGCTCACTCTGCTCCACTTCAGTGTCAAGAAGGAAGATGGGAAATTGTCTTTGTTAATGCAAGGAAGAGCTGTGGCCACCAGGCATTTGTCAGCAGGACTTTGATATTCACATGACTTTGATACATGTGAATATATCTGTTCAAGTAAGTTTCTGGATTTTGGTATGAAACCACAGTATCAAGACACTTGTGAAACATAAAGAAAGCTTAGTTACAAGATCCAGTATTTTTAAAATTTTTCTTTGAGGTCTGGAACTAAAATATGTATAGGTAATAGGGATAGAAGAGGAATTGCTAGGGTGGGAAAATACAGCTATGAGGAAGGAAAAAAAAGGGAGAAATGACTGTTTCTTTAAACACATGTATTAATCACAGTTCAAATGCAATTCAAAGTAGGAAGCCACAGCTGTGGAGGGCAGAGGGAGCACATGATTATTATTTTAAATACATTTACATTAAATCATTACTGAAAATGGGGAATAAGACTAGGAATTTGCAGCTGGGAGTAGTATATGGGGAACTTAGTCCCCATCCTTCGAAATGGATGAGTTAAATGGGTCTCAACTAGGTCAAAGGGGGCACCCTCTGCAGCTGGAAGTGGGAGGACCACTGGAGAATGCTAGTTTGTCTCCCTGTCACTTTAAAATATGTTCCTTCCCTCTCAGTGTAGGAGCTGCTTACAAAATAGAGAACATAGGAAAGTGGGAGAAAACCAGCTTCCTAACTAGGCTACTTTGATTTCTCAGGTTTAAAAACTCCATGGATTTTGTAAGACACGGTTATTTTTTTATTTCCCTGGGGGAGGAAGTACCAATGTCTTTATACTATGTTTTCATCCTGAGATCCATTCTTGACATTCTTTCAATGTTAGAAAATTTCTTTAGGGCAGAGGCTATTAACCTCCCACATTAATTTATATATTCCAGAACCTTGCACAGTGTCTGGCACTATTATGGATGGATGGATGGATGGATGGATGGATGGATGGATGGATGGATGGATAGACAAATGCTCTCAAGAAACCAGGGCTAAATATGCATCAAAAAAGGGACATGGGCAACACCTAGGAAGAAAGTAGATTTGGGTTTAGAACTCTGGAGTAAGCTTAGGAAACTTCATAGACAGAATAAGCATGAGAAAATATCTGCATGAACTTGGATGACCCTTCTCGGAAAGGCATAGTAGAGCCAAAGGAAAACAAACCAGAAGAAGTTAATAAGTGAAAACAGCTTATGGAATCACTTGGAAAGAAAATCTCCACTATGTCCACAATTATTCCACCCTCTCTAGGGAAATTGAGTCCATCATACCACTCAGGAAATAGTACAGGCTAATCTGGAAAATCACTGGCTTTGGTAATCTCACAAACCTGATTTCAAATATTGGTTCTGCCACTTGCTGACTATGTGACTTTGACTGAGTAGCTTTATCTTTCTGAATGTCAAGTTTCTTATCTATAAAATTGTAATCCTGGTAATAACATTCGGGCAATATTGTTGTGAAAATTAAACCAAATGGTATAAATAAAGTGCCTAGCATGTACAGATAGTCAAAAAATGTTAATTCTCTCAGCTGGATATAGTGGTGTGCTAAAGCCAGGTTGTACCAGCTCACGAGAGTCAATTATACACATCTCTTCTTAATTCTTGAGTTCAGTGTCATCAAGTTGGGAACTCAAAATTGGCCATAGTGGAAGTGTCTATGTCACAGAAATTGGCAAACAAAATGATCAGAACCTTTTTTTCAGAAATATAATCGTTAAACATTTGACAGCATACCACTGACTAACATTCCAAACGAAAGTGTGGGTGATGGAAAGAATTCTGGTTTGGAAATCAGGAGAATTAAATGCTAATCCAAGTTTTGCAAAGTGCAATTTGCATGGCTTTGAATCATTTACTTTACCTACTTCATCTATTAATATAAAGTGAGAGCTGTTGAAATAGATTGTTTTTTATAATGAAGTATTGCTATTTGGATAATGCTCCCACTATAAACTAGAAATGCTAAATAAATACAAATAATATTTGTAATTATATATACAAAACTATATGCAAATAAATATATAAATATAAACTATATGGAAAAATATTTTTTAAAGATCAAAGATCTAAGAAGAAAGTAAGGAATTACTAGGACAAAACTGAAGGGAAAAATGGAATGAATGCAGTAAGTAGGAAAGAAAATGTTTTTGCCTTGAGAGCATTTGCCTATTTCAACAAATGTGAATTTTTATTTTGTTGGCCTCACTTAGCATGGGACATAGAAATTTAAAAGCCTAAACCCACATAATTGAGTATATAATAGGGTAATCGCTTCACAGTAAACTAGAACTTTAAAATAAACCTACTCTCTCATGTTGTTTCAAATTCACTTTCTATGGCTCAAGAAATCTGAAAACTTCATCTTGGATAGAGGTGACCCTGGACTTTATTCCCTCATGTACCTGAGAGAAGCAAATAGAATCCCTTAATCTTTGGCCTCAGGTTACTCCTACAAATAAATTTTTCAAGTATAATGAACATATTAGAGTCAAAGATAAGCAGACCTTTAAGAAAAGAAGGCACCGTAAGTAATAAGCAGCAGAAATAACAAGCAACAGAAAACAGATTCACAAAGACTTAGATAATAAAATTAGACAAAATACCACATTATAAAACAATCACACCTAAAAAATAAGCTTGGAAATATACACAGGGAATAAAGTAACTATAAAAAGTAACATAGTAGATTTAGAAAAGAAAACTAAATAGAACACCTAAAACTATAAAATGGAATAACTAAAATTAAGTAAAGGAACTTAAGTCATAAAATGGGAGTCTGAGGGCCAAATCTAGCCTGAACACATATGAGAGATACTGAGAGTTTGGACTACAATGTTTAAGTAAGAGTTGAACCAATCTTTTAAAATAGGAAGATTTCACATAAAATTTAAAATTTGAGTTTCTCTTACAAATGGAGATCTGGCAACATTTATAAGATGGAGCTGACGCTCTCCCATTTGCTACAGTACCACTACTTTCTATCTCCTCATCACTGAGGCTGGGTGAGTTACCATTTTCAGGGAATTGGCAAACTGTTTCTGTAAAAGACCACGTATATTTTAGGCTTTGTGAGCCATCCTGTCTCTGTTGCAAGTACTCAACCCCATCATTGCAGCATGAAAGCAGCCATAGATAATATATAAATAAATGTGTTGTGTTCTAATAAACTTTATTTACAAAAACAGGCAATGGACTAAATTTGACACTGGGCTATAATTTGCTGACCTCTGCCATAGATCTTTGCACTTGCACTACTGTTTTTCTCAGAGAAATATTTCTCACTACTTATGTCATTGTCAACAATGGAGAAAAAATATATATATACATACACACACACACACACACACACACACACGCACTCTAAGAGGACCTTTTATTTCAAGAAAAATGAATGACATCATAAAATTGGCCTACATCAATCATTTGCATTACCTCTCTGGTCTCTGTAGGCCTTTGTGTTTGTGTCACCAAGTCTAAATAATCTCTATAATTCCTTCCAACCCTGTACATTTATTGTTTGATGGTGATTATCAGTGTAGCCAAAAGTCAGAACTCCTGGGCACCGTGTCTTCCCCACTTATCTTATCCACGTTATAACAGATATGTAAGACAGGCATTCACAAAAGGCACAAAGGCCTGTCAATGCAGAAGCAAAAGGATAAATATGCTCATATCTCCTGGTGTTTCCTCTATTATCATCTAGTTTTTATAGGTTTTTGCTTACAAAGTACAAAACAGAGAGAAATATAAAGATAAACCCTACTCAAGTTTTTTGAATGTCAAGTAATTTTTTTTTTTTTTTGAGACAGAGTTTTGCTCTTGTTGCCCAGGCTGGAGTGCAATGGCACAATCTCGGCTCACTGCAACCTCCGCCTCTGGGTTCAAGAGATTCTCCTGCTTCGGCCTCCTGAATAGGTAGGATTACAGGCATGTGCCACCACGCCCGACTAATGTTTTATATTTTTAGTAGAGATGGGGTTTCTCCATGTTGGTTAGGCTGGTCTTGAACTCCTGACCTCAGGTGATCCACCCACTTCGGCCTCCCAAAGTGCTGGGATTACAGGCGTGAGCCACTGTATCCGGCTGAAATTCAGGTAATTTTTTAAAGTATTAATAGTCAAAGGCAAAAGTAGATTCATTCCAGTTTAAAGTCAACTTCCAATCTGTAAGCAAGATTTTGAGTCAGTTAATGATAGAATGTCTTTGCCTTTTTCTCCACTCAAATTCTAATAAAATATTTTTTCTTTTTAACAAAATAGTAATCTCAATAAAAATGAATACAGAAGTAAACCAGATTTTCTCTATGACTTTATTTCCTGAATTCATTCTCAAAGATGATGCCATGTATATAACCCCTTTATAGATGGAGACCTCTTGTTTACTTCAGACTCTGAGCTTCTTGTATAAACTACAGTAAAAATTATCTAATCCCAGATTCTTCTCTAAAGTATACTGGATTATGATATTAACATATTTTATCAATTCTAAGAGGTTAATTTCTTCACATTTTAATATCTTCATATTTGGGATTACTCTCACAATTACTGTTACCTAGTTGATGGTTGTAATGAAATCAGCCATGTAGGTACATGAACAACTTTAGTTGTTAACCCTGATGGAATTTATTGTAACAATGACAACTCCTCAGCAGTTTAGTTAACAAACCGTTTAGGAACTATTTGAATGCTACTGACTTTTGGACATTGATTTCGTATCCTGAAACTTTGCTGAAGTTTTTTATCAGCTCAAAGAGCTTTTGAGCAGAGACTATGGGGTTTTTTAGGTATAGAATCCTATCATCTATAAACAGGGGTAGTTTGACTTCCTCTCTTCCTATTTTGATGCCTGTTATTTCTTTCTCTTGCCTGACTGGTCTGGCCAGGTCTTCCAATACTATGCTGAATAGGAATGGTGAGAGAAGGCATCCTTGTCTTATTCCAGGTTTCAAGAGAAATGCTTCCAACTTTTGCCCATTCAGTATGATGTTGGCTATGGGTTTATCATAGATGGGTCTTATTATTTTGAAGTATGTTTCTTCAATGCCTAGTTTGTTGATGATTTTTTAACATGAAGGGATATTGAATTTTATCAAAAGGCTTTTCTGCATCTATTGAGATAATCATATGGTTTTTGTTTTTAGTTCTGTTTATGAGATGATTCACATTTATTGATTTGTGTATGTTGAACCAACCTTGCATCCCAGGAATAAAGCCTACTTGATCATGGTGGATTAGCTTTTTCCTGTGCAGTTGGATTCAATTTGCTAATATTTCATTGAGGATTTTTCCATCCATGTACATCAAGGATACTGACCTGAAGTTTTGTTTTTTTATTGTGTCTCTGCCAGGTTTTCATATCGGGATGATGCTGGCCTCGTAGAATGAATTAGGAAGGAGTCCTTTCTCCTCAATTTTTTTGGAATAGCTCTTCTTTATATTTCCGGTAGAATTTGGCTGTGAATTTGTCTGCTTCTGGGCTTTTTCTGGTTGGTAGGCTTTTTATTACTGATGCGATTTCAGAACTCATTATTGGTCTACTCAGGCATTCAATTTCTTCCTGACTCAATCTTGGGAAGTTGTATATTTTCAGGAATTTATTCGTTTATTCGAGTTTTTCTAGTTTGTGTGCATAGAGGTGGTTTGCAGTAGTCTCCAAGGGTTTTTTGTATTTTGGGGTCCGTGGTAATGTCCCCTTTGTCATTTCTGATTGTGTTTATTTGCATGTTTTTGTTAGTCTAGCTAGCAGTCTATCAATCTTATTTTTCTTTCAAATAACAATCTCTTGGATTCATTTATCTTTTTATGGTTTTTTTGCATCTCAATTTCCTTCAATTCAGCTCTGATCTTGGTTATTTCTTATCTTCTGCTATCTTTAGGGTTAGTTTGCTCTTGGTTCTCTAGTTCCTCTAATTGTCACGTTAGGTTGTTAATTTGAGATCTTTCTAACTTTTTAATGTGGGCATTTAGTGCTATAAACTTCTCTCTTAACACTGCTTTAGCTGCGTCCTGGAGATTCTGGTGTGTTGTATCTTTGTTCTCATTAGTTTCAAAGAATTTTTTGATCTCTGCCTTAATTTCATTCTTTACCTACAAGTCATTCAGGAGCAGGTTGCTTAATTGCCATGTAATTTTATGGTTTTGAATGATTTTCTTGGTATTGATTTTTATTGTTCTGTGGTCTGAGACTGTGGTTGGTATAATTTCAGGTTTTATTTAATTTGCTGAGGATTGTTTTATGTTCGATTGTGATTTAGAGTATGTGGCATTGTAGAGATGAGAAGAATGGATATTCTGTTGTTTTGGGGTGAAGAGTTCTGTAGATGTCTATTGGGACTGTTTAGTCAAGTGTCGAGTTTAGGTCCTGAATATCTTTGCTACTTTTCTGTCTCAATGATCTGTCTAATACTGTCAGTGGAGTGTTGAAGTCTCCCATTATTACTGTTTGGTTATCTAAGTCTTTTCATATTTGGTCCAGCAATCCCATTATTGGGTATATACCCCCAAAGTATACAAATCATTCTTTTGTTTTTTGAGATTGGGTCTCAGTCTGTCACCCATGCTGGAGTGCAGTGGTGTGATCATGGCTCACTACAGCCTCGACCTCTCAGGCTCAAGCAATCCTCCCACCTCAGCCTCCTGAGTATCTGGGACCACAGGCATGCACCACCACACCCAGCTAATTTTTTGTATTTTTGGTAGAGACAGGGTTTCACCATGTTGCCCAGGCTGGTCTGAAACTCCTGAGCTCAGGCAATCCATCTTCCTTGGCTTCCCGAAGTGCTGAGATTACAGGCATGAGCCACCATGCCCGGGCAAAAAAATATAAATCATTCTACCATTGAGAAAATGAACACGTATGTTCATTGCAACACTATTCACAATCGCAAAGACATGGAATCAACCTAAATGTCCATTAACAGTAGACTGGATAAAGAAAATGTGGTACATACACAACATGGACTACTACATGGCCATAAAAATGAATGAGATCATGTTCTTCGCAGCAACATTGATGGAACTGGAGGCCATTATCCTAAGTGGACTAATGCAATAACAGAAAACCAAATAACGTATGTTCTCACTTATAAGTGGGAGCTAAACATTGAGAACATATGGACACAAAGAAGGAAACAACAGATACCAGGGCCTACTTGAGAGTGAAGGAAGAAGAGGCTGAGGATTGAAAAACTACCTATCAGGTACTATTCTTATTACCTTCGTGATGAAATAATGTGTACACCAAACCCCTGTGACATGTGGTTTACCTATAAAACAAACCTGCACGTGTACCCTTGAACCTAAAATAAAAGTTTTTAAGAAGGAACTATTTGAGGAATATGAGCATGGTTTATTTTCTGATCACCTTTTGTCGATACCCTATGAGCAGATCAAAACATTTTCATAATCATAACTTGCACAGCAAGCATCAGTAACCAGAAGAAAACACTAGAGATCATACTAGAGCATTCTTTTAATAAATAACATGTTATTAATACTCCCAATGGTACAGAGAATCATATTGCGTAGAAAAATATAAATATCAACAACTTTGAATTTAAAAATTATTCAGGATGGGACTTCCAGTTACAGCAACGTGAAGAGGCTGGGAAATCCTCTGCCCCCCAAAAATAAGTTTAAAGTGACAAATTTTTCAAAAATATGCATTTCAGTGCTTTGGATATTGACCAAAAACAAACATTATCTTAAGAAGCACTAATTCATGACAAACTACTATAATTTTGAATAATAACACTGGGAAGCTTCAGATTGCTTGAGTGTGGCTGCTTTCTCTTACCAGGGTGAGTCTGAGGAAACCATCAACTTCCTGCCAGCAGAGGCTATTTCAGAGTGGAGAGTGGAAATTAATGCCTAGCAGTGTATTGTCAGTAAAAGTAAGAGTTGTAGGCAGCTCTACCAGCCTAAGAGTGTGACTTCAGCCAGGAACTTAATAGAAGAACCTGGATATGAGAGAGTTATAGAATGGCTAAACAAGTTCATACTTATCTCTGGTTGATTGGGAAACTATAGGCAGGCATTGGGAAGATCCAAGGGGAGTCAGCAGAAAGTAAAAACTGAGGCAGGACTGAAAATTATCAGGACTTTAAATGTGCACCTTAACACAAATACAAATTACGTGGCAGAGAGTGGAAGTCTTAAGAGCTGAGGGGTTGAAGCATAGCCTCTGCCTGATGACTGGCTGACAAAGAAGCTACACAGACACAGGGGCAACTTCTTGAAATCCAGGATAAAAAATATAAATATGATTTTCTAAAAAAAAAAAAATTAACAAAAATATCTGTGGCTGTACATTGTGAAGGAGACAGGTCCTGCAGATTAAGCCCAGGCATGTTACTAAAAATTGTAACAACAAATCTTAGGAAAAGAAACTCAGAATCCAGAGTTACTATAATACATTATATAAAATGCTCAATTTTCAACAAAAAAATCATGAGACTGCAAAGAACCAAGAAAACATGACCATGCAAGGGAAGAAAAAAATAGCAGTGAATAGAAACCGACTCTGATGGGATCCTGACATTGTTTGGATGTTTGCCCCTGCAAATCTCACATTGAAACGTTGCCTCTAATGTTGGAGATGGGGCCTAATGGGACGTATTAGATCATGGTGACTGATCCCTCACGAATGGCTCAGCACCAAGGCGTTAGTTATGAGTGAGTTCTCATTCAGTTAGTTCATATGAAATCTGGTTGCTTAGAAGAGCCTGGGACCTCCCCCTTCTCTCTCTTGCATGTGATGCCTACTCCACTTTCACCTTCCACTATGAATGTAATCTTCCTGAAGTCCTCACCAGAAGCAGATGCTGATACTATGCTTAGTGTATAGCCTGCAGAAACATGAGACAAAATAAAACTTCTTTTCTTTATAAATTACCCACTCTCAGATACTTCTTTATGGCAATGTACAACAAACTAACACAGACTTAGATGTTGCAGGTAACAGACAAAGACTTCAAAGCACCTATAAAAAATATGTTCAAAGAATTAAAGGAAAAACGTCTTCAAAGAATGAAAGGAAAATATGATGACAATGACTCCATTAATAGGGAAGTACAGTAGAGAAACAGAAACTACAAAAAGAACCAAATGGAAAGTCTATGATTAAAAGGTACAATAACCAATTAAAAATCACTGGATGGGCTCAACAGCAGATATGAGTTAGCAGAAGAAAGAATTTCTACTGATCCAATCTGAAGACCAGAAAGGAAAGAGATAGAAGAAAAATGAAAAGAGCCTCAGAGACCGGTGGGACAGCATCAAACATATCAATATATGTGTAAAGGGAGTTCTGCAGTACAGAGAGAAAGAGACAGAAAAAGTACTTGAAGAAATAAGAGCAAAACACTCTCAAACTTGATGAAAAACAAGTTCAATGAACATAACATAGGTAGACTCAAAGAGATCCACTTTTAGACTTGTCATAGTCAAACCACTAAAAAAGGAAGAAAGTCTTGAAAGCATCAAGAGAAAAATTCATATCCTGCAGGGAAAGAATATGATTAGTAGATGACTTATAATCAAAAATCATGGAGGTCAGAAAATAGTAGAATGACATATCCAAAGAAATAAAAAGAAATTTCAAGCTAAAATTCTGTATACACTAAAACTATTCTTCTAAAATGAAGATGGAATAAAGACATTCTGATATAAACAAACTGAGAGACTGTTTTTAAGAGGCTCATGCTAAGGAATACTAATTAAAGTCTTTCTAACTGAAAGGAAATGACGCTAGATAATGCTAAAACACAGGAAAAAAATGAAAAGCACCAAAAATGATAAACATGTGGTAAGTATAAAAGTCTGTCTAAATATTTTTATGTTCTTCTCTTTAATTTTTTTAGAAACATGAAATTGTATAAAGCAATAACTATATTACAATATTGTTAGATTTATAACATTAATAATTATATACAATAGTAGCACAAAGGTGGGTGATCTTGGAGAGCAATATTAGAGCAAAATTGCTGTCTTTTACCAAAGTAATCCAGTATTAACCTGAAATAGATTGTGATAAGTTAAGATGAGTACTGCAATCCCTGGAGCAACCACTAAGAAAACAACTCAAAAAAATTAAAAACCAATAGAAAAATTAAAATAATATACTAAAGATACTTGTTTAATACAAAAGAGGAAGTAAAGGAGGAAAAGAGGGAAAAATTGAATGAGACATATAGACAACAAAGTGGCAGATATAAATCTCACCATATCAATAATTATATTTAATATGAAAGGACTAAATGTTCTAATCAAAAGGCACAAATCATCAGGCTGGATGAAAATACAAGAGTAACTATATGTTACCCAAAAGAAACACACTTAGATGACTTTAAAGAAACTGTCAAATAGATTGTTAATAAAAGGATGTAAAAGGTATAACATGAAAAAATAACTACAAGAAAGCTGGAGGGATGATATTAATATTAGTCAAAATATACCCTAGTACAAAAAATATTGCTAAAGACAAAGAGAGACATTTCAAAATGATCAAATGGTCAATATGTCATGATGGAATATAAATATATATTCATGTATAATACATGAAGTAATAATTGGTAATTGAAAGTAGAAATAAGCAATTCAAAATTGTAGTTGGAGATTTCAATATTGCATTCTGAATAACTAAAATAAATAACTAGAAAGAAAATTATTAAGGGCACAGAGGACTTCAAGAATACTACCAATCAACTTAATCTGACATTTACAGAACACTCCATCCAGTAGCAGGAGCATATATATACATATATACATATATATGTATATATACACATATATACATATATATGTATATATACACATATATACATATATGTATATATACACATATATACATATATGTATATATACACATATATACATATATGTATATATACACATATATACATATATACATGTATATATACATATATACACATATATACGTATATATACATATATACACATATATACATATATATACATATATATACACATATATACATATATACATGTATATATACATATATACACACATATACATATATACATGTATATATACATATATATACACACACACGTATATACATATATATGTTCTTTTCAGTATAGAACATATGCTAGGACATAAGACATGCCTTAATGAATTTAAAATGGTTGAAATCATTCAAAATATGTTTTCCTACCACAATTGAACTAACTCATAAATAATCTACAAAAAGAAATTTGAAAATCCCCCAAATCTTGGAAATTAAATAATATTCTTCTTAATAACCCATAGATTAAAGAAGAAATCACAAGGATACTTAGAAAATATTCTGAAATTGAATAAAAGTAAAAACAATGCTACCTTATTTCAAAACTAACTAGAAAGCTAGAATAATAATCAAGACAATATGGTACTGGTGTGAGGACAGATATATAGATCAATGGAACAAAAAAGAAAGTCAGCAGATACACTCTTACATTTTTGTTCCATTGATTTATTGACAAATTTTCCAAGAAAATTCAAGAAAGGATAGTATTTTCAATAAATTGTGCAGAGACAATTAGATATACAAACACAGAAAAAATAAAATTAGACCAGTACTTCAGATCACACATAAAACATTAATTCAAAATGAATTAGCTAAAGCTTTCTTTGTAGCAAGCATCAATAATTTTTTCCTTTCTATTGTTGAACAGTAAAACAACAAAAATATGATTCTTAAAAGAAAGGGTTGATACTGTAGATTTCATCAAAACTGAAAACATTTGCTCTTCAAACCATTAAGAAAATGGAAAGAAAAGCCACAGACTAGGAGAAAATATTTACAAAGTATACCTCTGAAAAAGACTTGTATACAGAATACATAAATAATTCTTACAACTTAATGATAAGAAAACAGATAACACAATGGACAAAATGTTTGATAGATATTTTACCAAAGACAATATATAAGTAGCCATTATATGCAGAAAAAATGCTCAACATCATTAGTCATTAGTGAAATGCAAATTAAAACCACAATGAGATACCACTACATAATCACCAGGATGGCTATAATAAAAATAAAACTAACAATACCACAAATAGGTGAGGATGTGGAGAAACTAGAATCTTCATACATTGATGATGAAAAAGTAAAAATATACATCCACACTGGAAAATGTTAACAGTTTCTTTAAAATGATATATGTAATTCCCACATGGCCAAGCAATTCCATTTTTAGGTATCTACCCCCCAAAATAAAAATGTGTTCACACCAAGCCTTATACATGAATGTTCATAGCAGCATTATTCATAATAGCTCCAAACTGGAAACAAATATTTTAAAACACAATGTAACATAGCCATATAATGGAATACTACTCAGCAAAAAAAGAAACAAACAACTGATACATGCCACTTATAGATGAATCTCAAAAAATTATGCTAAGTGAAAGAATCAAGCACAACACAACTACACACTGCATGATTCTATTAATATGTAATTTCCTGAAAAAACAAAAAGAAACAGAAATTAGATTACTGTTTGCCTCAGGATTGGGATGGAAGAGACTGAATACAAACAGGCATGAGGCAACTTTTGGGTTGATAAAAATGTTCTAAAACTGGATTACGGTAACCACCATAAGACTCTATGTCTTTTCTGAAGATTATTAAATTGTATACCTGTACAAGGTAAATTTATGTTACATAAATTTTGCTTCAATAAAGCTTCTTTTAAAAGTGATTCAGAAAAATTGAAATCTAAATATAAAAAGGCTTTGGAAGTTTTACACTTATATTTTCCTTTTTATATAGACACAAGAAGCTGAAGACCAGGGAGATAAAGTAATTTGCTCAAGATCACGGAGCTAGTTAAGTGAGTGCCAGAATCAGAAATAAGAATTCCTAATCAATGGACTTTTCACTGTGAAGGTTATAGGGGATTACACAGGTTAACTGGAAAAAAAAATTCAATGGAGTAATTGCTTTAAATCATTTTTTCCAAAAATGTGAGCATAAATTGATGAATGAAAAGAAACAGAGTACTCCTGGTAAGAACTGGAGTCTTCCACAGCTTTCCTTGAAGTCAGCTGCCAATCTATACAGTTTACTGAAATTACTAATAGCAAATTAGAAATTACCCAAAAGCACTATCTTCAACCTCTTCACTTTTCCTGATTCTAAGGAGATCTCAAGATTTGTCAAGGAAATAAGAATCTCAACATCACACACACACACACACACACACACACACACACACACACACAATGATAGAAGCTTGTAAGATGCTTTGATTTTTTTTCCCTTTACCTCCATAGGGGAAATAAAACTGCCCTAGAGACCGAAAAGCAAATATTTTTCTATATATTTTTAAAACCAGAAAAATGGAAACCTACATTTTTGCCTTTAAGCTATGGTCTATGGCTTGGACAGGTGGAATGAGAAAAAAAATGTAGTACCAAGACTCATCTCTTCTTTCTCTCTGGCTACATTCAAGAAAAAAAACGGAGCCCTCTGGTGGTAGAATTACTATATTCACAATTAAGTTTCTAACATAAACCCTTTTCAGTAATCTAGTGGCAAAAACTTAAATTTTATATCCAGAAACTTGGCAACTCTTAATCTTCAAAGAACATTTTATTAAAATGAGTGTAGCTCTTTATATAGTCACTAGTTTTATATAGCTCTTTATTTTATGTAGCTCTTTGTGGTATATGTATGTTTGGGGGAGCAGGGGTGGTCCCTGGCAAGGGGTTTAAAGCTAATAAATATTTAAATTCTAGAAATGGCACTTCTTAAGTTATGTCGATTAGAGGTTAGAAATAAGTTCCAGAATCACTCCAACAATTAGATCATTTTGATAGTCCCTCACCCTCTCAAATATAAAATAGTTTCAAATATCAAAATATTTGGTAACCATTGTGGTTTATTTGGAAGTTTTACCACATCCTATATCTAACATTTAAACTTCTTCATTGGTAGTTACAATTGTTCCTTTGCAAAGCACCATGGAAACATGTAGCTTATAAGACCAATGAGTTTATGAGAGGTAAATTAGGCTATCACTTTTATAAGATGCCTTCTAGTTCATAGGAATTGTCTTTTGGAACTTAATCCTGTTGACTTTGGTGGTCGATGGGAGGCAAGAAAAACTATTCTTTGGTTCCCACATTTTTCCCCCTCACTGCAGGGAAACAAGAAAACACAGATGCCAGGAATGCAGTCATTAGCAGAAAAAGTTCAACTGCCTGGTAAAATTAAGGAAAAAAAGACAACAATTGCCTAATTTGATTCTGAAAGTTTTTGTTTTATTTTTAATCATCTAGAGTTCAGTTTGAAATAAGTTGATTGATCTAGTACCAGCTAAAAGGTACTGCTTTACTTCAAAGGCTTTGTTGGGAAATATCATTTAGTAGTGTGAAAGGTCAGAAGTAGGGTAGACACACGTTTTATATAACTCACCACATAAGCAAACTTTACCTAGCCATTACTTCGTTTATTTCCTTAGAGCTCACTCTGGATAATTCTCAGACTCGTGTTTTATTTTCAGAAAATCGAGTCTCCTCTCTTCTTCAGTCACACAAATTGCATCGGTTCTTAAAGAAAGCCATACCTCAGGACCTCACAAAGAGGTATCTATTACCAGGAGCTCTAAGCAAATGTTCTTTTAATTAGCTACATTTATCTTTAATCCCTGTTTTGACAGAAACTCTAACATAAACATACATTACCAATACATAAAACCCAGCTCAAAGTATGGTTAATTTTTATATTTGACAGAGCCAGTTGGAAAAAATAACTTTGCCCTTTCTCCATCTTTGTGTGATGTCACTACAACCTAGTCTCAGAACCAAAGACAGAAACAGTGGCATCTGCAGCTACAGCACAATCATGACTCTTAAACTGCTCCTTAAAAGTGGCAATAAAAACCCTAATAAGACCTCTGGGCCTTATGTTGAAGCAGCTGCAAAATCAAGTTAAATAATTTTTGCAAAGACTACAGTAATTATAAAACTGATTAAAGTTTACCTACACTTCATTCCTAGAGGGTTTTCACCAAGGACTTAGAAACCAGATGGTTCAAGACTATGCATGATGGATATATTCCATGAAGCATGTCCGTTGTCATGGAAACAACAGAAATAACATTATCTTTACTGTCTATTCCTTCACAAAACCATGCATTCAAAAGTTGCCACCAATTTAAGTAAAATTCAAACAAATATTGGATACCAGGTCAAAAACCAGCACCTCTACCCACATTTAATCCTAAGGCCCGACTGCTGGATTCACTTAAATGTCTTTAGTGAATACAGCTACTTTCTATAGGAGTGTTCAAAGATAGTCTTCATAATTTTCAGAATTTTAATACTTTTTGAAGAGAATTGGAAAAACTAAAGATTCTGAGGGATGGGAGCTGGGGCTCAGAGATTACCCCTCTCCAAGACGGGAGAATTGTTAGAGAGAGATCATCTGCCCCGGATGGCCCTGTGGCAAAGCAGCTCTGCTTCTCCCTAAAGCTAGCTCTTCTGGCTACATCCAAAACTTATCCCTACTTTCCTGCTAAGGAATTATTTTATCAAACTTATGCTTTCTTTCTGCAGCATCTTCAATCATAGCAATAACAACAATCAAATATGTATTGAGCACCTAGTATGTGCCTGACATGCATCATGCCATTGCATTCTCACAACTGCTCTACAACATAGGTATCATCATTGTCCCTTGTTTTTGTTTGTTTTGTTTTGTTTTGTTTGAGACGGAGTCTCACTCTGCCTCCCAGGCTGGAGTGCAGTGGTGCGATCTCGGCTCACTGCAAGCTCCACCTCCCCAGTTCACATCATTCTCCTGCCTCAGAATCCCCAGTAGCTGGGACTACAGGCGCCTGCCACCACGCCCAGCTAATTTTTTGTATTTTTGGTAGAGACAGGGTTTCACCGTGTTAGCCAGGATGGTCTCGATCTCCTCACCTTGTGATCAGCCCGCCTCGGCCTCCCATAGTGCTGGGATTACAGGCGTGAGCCACCACGCCTGGCCCATTGTCCCTGTTTTAAAGATGAGGGAACTAGAATGATAATACACACATGAATCCTCCAGGCATCTTTTCAAAATACACAGACCTGAGGCAAAGACCAGGATTCTGCATTTCTAACAGGCTCCGGGTGCTACAAATGAATGTTAGTCTGTAGACCACACTTTGAGTAGCAAGGACTTGGTTGGTTAAGAATCGTTCCCCATCTGTACATGTATCCCAGGACTTGAAGTAAAAAAAGAAAAAAAGAAGCATGTCCCAAACACCCACTTCTGTACACTGAGGTCCAGTTCTTAATCACTATGCTCTCTTGTCTCTCAATCCATTATTCTTAGCAGCCTCTACTTAAAAGTAAACAACTGCAGCAACTAAAAGTTCTTAAAAACCCTGACAACTACCAACCCACTCTTTCTCCTCAACCAAGCTTTTCAAACCAAGAGTTTGTACCTGGATCTCTGGTGTTCCTATACTATCTACTTCACTGCTGCTCTGAAATCTCACTTCTAAACCTATGACTTCCTCAAATGTGCCATATCTTTCTATCATGAATTACTCTTGAAAAATAACCATGGCCTTATTTATGCCCAAATTGCATACATGCCTTTTTACAGTGCTGTGTATGTTGAGATGTCAATTGGATTCTTACACATGTAAATGTTAAATAGGTAACTCAGACAAGCTACTATTAGGAATAGCTCTAAGCAGGGAAATGAACCAAAAAGTAGTTTGGAAAATAGAAGATAAGAATCAAGACAAAAGTTAGCTCAAAAGGACTTTATAATTAAAGGGACCTGAGTAGACCTGGGACTTCAGGCAGATGAGATGTGACTCTCAACATTTAGGGGGTAGAAGATGGAATGCTCCAGGTATGACTGAAGGTCTAAAAAGAGAAACTAGACTAATCAGAAAAGGCCTGAGCTAGAAAATGAAGTTTTCAGGGAATTAGACCAAGAGGCTATAGTAGCAATACAACCTTTCTCTCAAACTGGACCAAGCAGGCCTCTGTGACTCCACTATGTACCTGGAATTTGCTCACCTGTATTTAGAGTTTGCACCTTCAGAATTTTCAGTCAGTGATAAAATGTTCTGGGCTGAGTTGGGGATAAAAACCACAAAAGGATCTTCCTATGGGGTTAATTTTAAGGAGTTCAAAAATTGTCTCTTAAAATGATTCTTGTCCCTCCAGATGTCTCTCCCACTCTAAAAATTTCCTATAGTCGAAGAGGGTTTGGGAGTCAGGTAAATGAGGTCAAATCCCAGCTCTACCACTGAAAAGCTGTGTGATCTTTGGCAGGGAAATGAATCTCTCCTAGCCTCAGTTTCACCAACCTAAGATGTCAGTAACATTTTACATTGCAGGGATGCTGTGAGAATTAAATAGGCTAACATATAAAACATGTCTAGTACCACCTAGAACCTCTGGGAGTAGACTCAGACTCTTAGTTTTTTCAATTTCTTCTTTGAGGCACCTGCATCTCTTATCCCTTGCTTCTGTAATATTGGACCTCTGCGACTGTTTTGGTATACCTCTGATTGCTTGTTGATAGAATTTGGATCTGTGTCCCCAACAAATCTCATGCCTCAAACTGTGATCCCCAATGTTGGAGGTGGGGCCAGGTAGGAGGTAATTGGATCATGGGGGATTTCTCATGAATGGTTTAGCACCATCCTCTTGATGGTGTCCTCATGATAGTGAGTTCTTGTGAGATCTGGTCATTTAAAAGTATGTGGCACCTCCTCCTCCACTCTCTCTCTCTCTTGCTCCTGCTTTTGCCATGTGATGTGCCTTCTCCCCCTTTCCTTTCCCCCTTGAATAAAAGCTCCCTGAGGCCTCCCCAGAAGCCAACCAGATGTTGGCACTGTGCTTCCTGTACAGCCTGCAGAACCATGAGCCAATTAAACCTCTTTTCTTATAAATTACTCAGCCTTGGGTATTTATTTATAGCAATGCAAGAACAACCCAGTATGTTTGTTTTCAGTCTCTTTCACTGATTGTTTTTCCTTTCCACTTAAAATTGTTTTTCCTTTCCACTTAAAACGTCTTGATCTCATTTCCTTATCTATAGATAGAGTGAAGTGAATCAAATGATCTCAAAATTCTGATTTTCGTGCCAAAATTTATGTGCAAGTACTCTTCCTCCTTTGGGTCTCACCCAAGTCACACACTTTTTTTTTTTTTGAGACACACTTTCACTCTTGTTGCCCAGGCTGGAGTGCAATGGTACAATCTCAGCTCACTACAACCTCTGCCTCCCAGGTTCACGAAATTCTCCTGCCTCAGGCTCCCAAGTAGCTGGGATTACAGATGCCTGCCACCACACTCAGCTAATTTTTTGTATTTTTAGTAGAGACGGGGTTTCACCATGTTGGCCAGGCTGATCTTGAACTCCTGGTGATCACCCGCCTCAGCCTCCCAAAGTGCTGGGATTACAGGCGTGAGCCACTGTGACAGCCCCCAATTCACACACTCTTAAAATGTAAGCAAGCCAATATTCTAGTGACACCTGAAGCCACATGTGCAAACTCAACATTTTTTTTTTTTGAGATAGAGAGTACAGTGGTACGATCATAGCTCACTGCAAACTCAAACTCCTGTTTCAAGCAATCCTCCTGTCTTAGCCTCCCAAGTAGCTAAGACATCAGGATGTGCCACCATACCTGGTTAATTTCTTAAAAAATACTTTTTAGAGATGGGGCTTTGCTATGTTGCCAAGGCTGGTCTTGAACTCCTGATCTCAAGTGATCCTCTTCCCTTGGCCTCCCAAAATATTGGGATTATGGGTAAGTGAGCCACTGTACCTGGTCAAGCCCAACACTTCAACTGATTCTAGCCCCAATTTCAAATTTCCTAAAGGAAATCTAAAAATAAACCAAAAATTTGCCCCCAAACAGCTCCTTTTCCTAAGTCTCCATTTGGTACCACTACTTTTTGAATAGTCTCTAGGATTCAAACCTTGCAGCTGCCTTGACTCTTTTTAAATCCATTCCCTATGAAAAACTCAGTTACCAGGGTATTCAATTAGGAAAAGAGGAAGTCAAATTGTCCCTGTTTGCAGACGACATGATTGTTTATCTAGAAAACCCCATCGTCTCAGCCCAAAATCTCCTTAAGCTGATAAGCAACTTCAGCAAAGTCTCAGGATACAAAATCAATGTACAAAAAACACAAGCATTCTTATACACCAATAACAGACAAACAGAGAGCCAAATCATGAGTGAACTCCCATTCACAATTGCTTCAAAGAGAATAAAATACCTAGGAATCCAACTAACAAGGGACATGAAGGACCTCTTCAAGGAGAACTACAAACCACTGCTCAATGAAATAAAAGAGGATACAAACAAATGGAAGAACATTCCATGCTCATGGGTAGGAAGAATCAATATCATGGAAATGGCCATACTGCCCAAGGTAATTTACAGATTCAGTGCCATCCCCATCAAGCTACCAATGACTTTCTTCACAGAATTGGAAAAAACTACTTCAAAGTTCATATGGGACCAAAAAATAGCCCGCATCGCCAAGTCAATCCTAAGCCAAAAGAACAAAGCTGGAGGCATCATGCTACCTGACTTCAAACTATACTACAAGGCTACAGTAACCAAAACAGCATGGTACTGGTACCAAAACAGAGATATAGATCAATGGAACAGAACAGAGCCTTCAGAAATAACGCCACGTATCTACAACTATCTGATCTTTGACAAACCTGATAAAAACAAGCAATGGGGAAAGGATTCCCTATTTAATAAATGGTGCTGGGAAAACTGGCTAGCCATATGTAGAAAGCTGAAACTGGATCCCTTCCTTACACCTTATACAAAAATTAATTCAAGATGGATTAAAGACTTAAACATTAGACCTAAAACCATAAAAACCCTAGAAGAAAACCTAGGCATTACCACTCAGGACATAGGCATGGGCAAGGACTTCATGTCTAAAACACCAAAAGCAATGGCAACAAAACCTGAAATTGACAAATGGGATCTAATTAAACTAAAGAGCTTCTGCACAGCAAAAGAAACTACCATCAGAGTGAACAGGCAACCTACAAAAAGGCAGAAAATTTTCGCAACCTACTCATCTGACAAAGGGCTAATATCCAGAATCTACAATGAACTCAAACAAATTTACAAGAAAAAAGCAAACAACCCCATCAAAAAGTGGGCAAAGGACATGAACAGACACTTCTCAAAAGAAGACATTTATGCAGGTAAAAAACACATGAAAAAATGCTCACCATCACTGGCCATCAGAGAAATGCAAATCAAAACCACAATGAGATACCATCTCACACCAGTTAGAATGGCGATCATTAAAAAGTCAGGAAACAACAGGTGCTGGAGAGGATGTGGAGAAATAGGAACACTTTTACACTGTTGGTGGGACTGTAAACTAGTTCAACCATTGTGGAAGTCAGTGTGGCGATTCCTCAGGGATCTAGAACTAGAAATACCATTTGACCCAGCCATTCCATTACTGGGTATATACCCAAAGGACTATAAATCATGCTGCTATAAAGACACATGCACACGTATGTTTATTGTGGCACTATTCACAATAGCAAAGACTTGGAACCAACCCAAATGTCCAACAATGCTAGACTGGATTAAGAAAATGTGGCACATATACACCATGGAATACTATGCAGCCATAAAAATGATGAGTTCATGTCCTTTGTAGGGACATGGATGAAATTGGAAATCATCATTCTTAGTAAACTATCGCAAGGACAAAAAAAACCAAACACCGCATGTTCTCACTCATAGGTGAGAATTGAACAATGAGAACACATGGACACAGGAAGGGGAATATCACACTCTGGGGACTGTTGTGGGGTGGGGGGAGGGGGGAGGGATAGCATTAGGAGATATACCTAATGCTAAATGACGAGTTAATGGGTGCAGCACACCAGCATGGCACATGTGTACATATGTAACTAACCTGCACATTGTGCACATGTACCCTAAAACTTAAAGTATAATAATAATAAAATAAAATAAAATAAAAAAGAACAAACAAACCAATGTTAATCATTTAACAAAAAAAAAAAAAAAAAAAGAAAAGAAAAACTCAGTTACCAAGCCCTGTGAATCCTTCCTTCACAGAATCTCAGAGGACTGGACTTCACTGCCAGGCTACTCTTTCTCTCTCCTCATGCCTAGCTCCTCATCTACTTCCTGATCATCTACTGAGGTTCCACTGCCTCAATCTTCCCATAGTTTGCACCAGAGTATTTTTTTCCCTTTCACAAGAAGTCTAATAGGACAGTAGTTTTCTGCAATAATCAAACTTGTTGGTTGAGGGCTTAGTGTAGCTTAGCAATAGCAACCACAAAGAGACTACCATTTTTTGAGTGTGTACTATGTACTGGGCACTGTGCTATGCTCTTTATCATTATTATTTCTAATGCAGCCTTTCCAGATGAGGTTCTGGAGATATGCCAATAAAACATAGAAAATAGAGGCCCTGCTATCTAACACATTTGGAAACCACTGTATAAAAACTCTTGTAGTCAATAGTATTTGTCTGGTGGTTGGGTGAGCTACCAGCATTAGAACATACTTCTTGTGTTCTCATGAGTCTTAGTGACAGCAGAGCCCATTTCCCCAGTAGAGAAACTGAAAACATACACTCATTTTTCCAGTTTTCCTATTTGGAGCTTAGACACATAGCCTAGACTGTGCCAATCAGATTTAAGAATCCTGTATTCATCTTCCATGGCTGCTATAACAAATTGCCACAAACACAGTGTCTTAAAACAATTCCAGTTTATTTTCTTACCACTCTGTAGGTCAGAAGTGCAAAATGGGTCTAAGATACTCTCACATCGCCTCCATTAAAATACCTGTATCATTATAATTAAAATTACAAATGAAGTAATGTATTTCTAAATATTTTAGAATGTCATAACTCTTTTTTAAGTGTCTAGTCCTCTGAGATTTTGTGAAGGAAGAATTCACAGGACTTGGCAACTGACTTTGTTATAGGCAATAGCTTATTACAATTATTTAGTCTTTTCATGTACTTATAAGTCACTGGATTTTCTAATATGGTAGCACTACTGAGAGAATGATAAATGAAGGAGAGATAGACCATTTTGTGATTATCACACACTTTCCATAAAGAAAGACAGATTCAAAAAGGTAATATTTTAGTCAAATCTCTATGTGAGTGGCTCCATTCCTCACTTTCCATCCCCAACCCCCAATTCAAGCAGCAGTAATGTCTTTCAACATGCACTTACCTTAGGGAAGAGACTTGGGGAAGAGAATAAAACATTACATTCTTGGCTGTTTAGTTCTGAAATCAATTTTTTATAAATCTAGAGCAGAGACAACAATCTTAAAAGCTACATCTTTTCAGTTGCAAGAGTCAGACACTTAAAGGAGAAAAGTTTTCTTTTTTTAATTCAAGAGGTTGGATTCAGTATAAAGCACCAAATCCTGGAGGACCCACATGATCTAAACCATGGAGTGGATGAATGCAGGGTAATGTAATACCATCACCCACCCAGAGGAAAAAGAGGGCTCCATCCCTTGTCAAAGAGAGGAAAGAGAGCAGCAGCACCAGGATCCCAAGCCAGCCCCCAGAAGCAGCAGGATAACAGAAAGCTCAGAGAAGATCCCCAAGCAGAACAGAAGATTCCCAAGCAGCCCCCTTGAAAGGCTGGGGCATAAACTGAAAGGCTGCAAGCCACATAGGATTCTTCTAGAATCCTCATTTGGCTCATTAATTACCACCCCCTCCCTACTAAGGGACAAAATGTTAGACTAAAAGTCAGTAAATTTTCTGGAACTGACAAGATTAAGTGTTCTACTACCAAGCCAACATGGTACCTAAAACAGTAAAGAAGCAATGACTGAAGAATATTTCTAAGAAGACAGACCTCAAAGAAAACTCCTAGAATCCTGAGCATACCAAAGTGCTGTACGGAAAGCCTTTGGCCTCCATCCTCTCACACTCTTTCCCCCTCCACCCTGCCACTAAGTATGCACACAAGTGGCTGAGGGACTGATAGTCCAGAAGAGGCCTCATGGCTGTTATGAGGGCAGCACAGAGTCAGGAGAGAACAGAATAAGAGAAGCCAACCCCTGGGAGCCATGGAGAAATGGCTGACATCAGCAGTAGGTGATGCAGACTTAGGTAGTACAGCCCAAGGCTTGAAGGGACGAATTCCACCTCAGAAGAGGCAAACCAGCATAGAAGGTAATCAGAAACACATGCCAACCTCCCCACACGACAACCTATGACATATGTGATTTGGATTTGGACCCCAATCCAACCTAGGAGAAAGAGAAAAATCCAGACAGTGGAGAACACTCATTTGGCTAATTACCACTCTTTCCCTACTAAGGAACCAAGTGCTAGACTAGAAGTTAAAGAATTTTCTGGAGCTGGCAAATTTTCTACTACCGAGCCAAGGCAGGTTTTTAAATCTAGGCTGAGTTTACTTATTGATAAATAAAACCATGACATTTTGCAAGGTGATTTTGAGTTTGTGACTGAGTTCATACTTGGTTCGCAAGTCTTAAGGAAATGTGGACTTCCTATTGGTATGGTGTGAGGTGGTAGGGCATTTTTTTATTATTCAGATTACTCTGATATGCTTCATTTATAACGTTATGAGTCATAAACTTGAATGAAGGGTTTTTTTTTCCATGGTGGGAGGAGAAACTGCAGAGCAGGTGGGTTTGGGCCCTACCAGTTGCTAGGAAGCATGAGAAGGCCTCGTTGGTGACCCACTTTGCTTGTGAAGGCTGGGCGGTGAGCTGACAGGAGACTTATGGGCCACCTGAAACAGGTTTGTGAGCCACTCATGGCTCATGAGTGAACAGGTGGGGAACCACTGGAGTAGGGGAGGAAGCTATAAAAATGCATGACTATAGAAGAGAGTTGGAACTGCAAAAAGAAGAAATCAGCTATAGTTTCATAGAAAAAAATGCAAGCATCAAGAAATAGATTCTGTGGATTCATAAGGGACTCTTCAAAGATATAAAAGCAAAAAGAACTCATTCTTTTGCATTAAATAAAAAAAGGAAAGGAAACCAACTGAGAAAATAATGGAACGGGGCTTTTAGCAAATGGCTGAAGATCATTCTATATAAATGAATGCTATTCAGATTAAGAGAAATTAAAACCTCCAGAAAACAAACAAAGATAAAAAGAAGAAAGACACAAAATGGGTGAGAAAATAAACAAAACAAAAGTTCTTGTAAGAGAAAGTGCTTCATGTTGCTAATTTTCACAAGAGAACACAGTCATTAATGCAGCAGAAAGAGACTAAGAAGTGACATAAGTCAAATGTACTAAATTGTCATTTAAATTGCTTTACCATTTTAAAGAAATATATAATCAACTTAAATATAAATACTCTATAGGCCCAAATAGTATGAATTTTATTTAATATTAAACAGTACCTTTGATAAATTAAACCTAACCCATCAACTGTCTTAGTAGTCTATTATCCTCTCCATTGTAGAGACATTCCACCTACAACAGTTAAATACCTTCTTTAAGGCCTGAGTGAGGCAGTTATAGACAGACACTTTTCCCTTGGTTTCTCATTTTTAAAAAGGCATTGTATATGTATACAATGTGATGTATGTGATATTGACACAGTGAAGATCCATAGAGTAACAAAACAGAATAGAGAGCCTTAAAATACACTCACCCAAATATTGACTCTTGATCAATTATAAATGCCACATTATGGATCAAGAAAGGACAGATTTTTAAAGATGATGGTAGAAAAATTGGACATCTAAATTAATTAACATGTGAAATCAGCTGCCTACTTCACACCAAAAATAACTACAAATTAAACGTTCGAATGAAAAACTATAAAGCTTTTAGAAAATGATAAAGGAGAATATCATCTATCATCATGATCATGGGATGTATGGCAGAGACAGTGCTTTGGGTTCACCAAACCAATGTCCTTTTTATCGTGAGCGCTCTGAGCATATTTCCGAACCTCACTTGTATTTCCCCGGGACCATATAATTGGCATCTGGCCACTGGAATTTAGGCGGAAGTGACCGATATACAGCACCGATATACAGGCCTGACTCCTGTAAAACTTTCCACATGATCCTCCTCCTCTTACGTTATGTCTCTCCTCAGATGCTGGCCAAATGTGGAGGATCTGGTGAAGGATTCCAAGGTTCCAGGAGGTAATAGAACTACTGACTGGAAGAGCCTGGGTTTCTGAATGACTGCATGGAACACAGCCCTCCTCACTCCTACCGCTCTGTGATATACAAATCTCACATGAATCAATGGAAAAAAAGCAGGTACCCAAGGGGAAAATGGACAAACAGCTAATCAAAAGAAGGCATCCAAATGGCACATAAACATGTAGAAAGACATGAAACCTACTTAGTTATCAGTAATACACACATTAAAAGGATAAAAAATATATAGAAGTCTAATAATATCAAACATTGGCAAAAATGCTGAGCAATGGGAACTCACTGCTGGTAGAAGTGTTCATTGATACAACGACTTTGTAAAAGAGTTTGCCATTATCTAGTAAAAATAAAGGTATAAATGCCCAATGATCCAACAAAATTAAGCCTATATATCCAAGAGGGACTCATGCACATATACACCAGGATATATGCCTGAAAATATACATCTAGAAGCAACCCAAATTGTATTCCATTAATAGTAAAACAGAAAAACAAATTTTAGAAATAATCTACAAATGCATTCAATAACTGGTAAGTCTTTAATATTGAATAAAAACAAGCCACAAAAAATATATACAGCATTTTTCTGTGCATGTAAATTTCAAGAATAGGCAAAACTAAACTATATCATTTAAGTATACATAAATGAATAGTAAAGAAAGCAAGGAAATCTTTTTTTTTAAGTCAGGATAATGGTTACTTCAAGAAGTGACTAGCAGTTACACAAATGTTTGTTCTATGACGAGTTTTTAAATGGTATCTGTAAATTTCATGCACTTTTTAGTATGTGTGATATTTGCAATAAAAATGAGGGGAGAAAAAAATAGAGTTAAGTGATAATCTGTAAGGCAACCAAGCTAAAATTATGAAAACTTAGGGGAAGGAAAAGTGAAAAAGAAATCACCACAATGTAAAGAGAAGAAACTCAATACCAGAGAAAAAGAAAGAATCATTATTGAAAAAGAGAAAAAAATTATAGTGTCGTTAATGTCAGTCAGAAACAGAGATGATTTTTAAAAAAATCAACAATAAATAAATTTTGGTTTGGTCACAAATGACAACAATTTCTCTTTGGTTCAACTTTAAAATTCTAACTTTTACAAATCTCTTTTAGAGGCAAAATACACACAACGTAAATTAAGTCAAAGCACAAACAACTCCTGTGAAGGGGAAATATTTAAGCTGAGATCTGAGGGATAAGTAGAAATTCACCCAGCAGAGAGTGTTCCAGGCTCAGGGAACAGCAAATGAGAAGGTGCAGAGGTGCAAAAGACCCTGACCCTTGCCAAAAACTGAAAGGAGACTAGCTTGGCGGAAATGCAATGCCGACCTTCATCTGGAAAGGGCTTCCTGAAGAGGAATGGTGGAAGAAAACCAATTCTGTTGATTGTGAAGATTTTCTCCCATTCTGTGTGTTGTCTGTTTACTCTGCTGACTGTTCCTTTTGCTGTACAGAAGCTCTTTAGTTTAATTAAGTCCTACATATTTACCTTTGTTTTTGATGATTTTCAAAAGAAGATATACAAATGGACAAAAAACATATGAAAAAATGCTTAACATCACTAATGATCAGGGAAATGCAAATCAAAACCACAATGCCATACCACCTTACTCCCTCAAGAAAGGCCATAATTGAAAACTCAAAAATAATAAATGTTGGCGTGGATGTGGTGAAAAGGGAACACTTCCACACTGTTGGTAGGAATGTAAACTAGTACAACCACTATGGAAAACAGTGTAAAGATTCCTTAAAGAACTAAAAGTAGAGCTACCATTTGATCCAGCAATCCCACTACTGGGTATCTACCCAGAGGAAAAGAAGTCATTATAAGAAAAAGATACTTGCACACGCATGTTTATAGCAGCATAATTCACAATTACAAAATATGGAACCAGCTCAAATGCCCATCAATCAAAGAGTGGATAAAGAAACTGTGAGAGAGAGATATATATATATATGAATTTTATATATATATAATATATAGAAATATATATAAACTGAGAGAGATATATATGAATTATATATAATATATAGATATAATATGAGCTATATATACACACATGTGTATATATGTATATATGAGATATATATGTATATATACATATAATACACATATATAATACACATATATCATACATACATGTATATCAGTTTCTTTATCCATATATACACATATATGTATATATACATATTATCCATATATACATATATTTGTATATATATACATGTATATGTATGATATATATGTGTATAATATATATACACACATATATATGATGGAATACTTCTCCGCCGTAAATAGGAATGAATTAATGGCATTCACAGCAACGTGGATGGGATTAGAGACTATTATTCTAAGTGAGGTAACTCAGGAATGGACAACCAAACATCGTATGTTCTCACTCATAAGTGGGAGCTAAGCTATGAGAATGTAAAGGCCTAAGAATGATACAATGGACTTTGGGCACTGGCAGGGAAAAGGGCAGGAAGGGGGTGAGGGATAAAAAGCTACAAATTGGGTTCACTGTATACTGCTTGGGTGATGGGTGCACCAAAATCTCACAAATCCCCACTAAAGAACTGACTCATGTAACCAAACACCACCTGTTCCCCAAAATCCTATGGAAATAAAAAATTTAAAAATTTTTTAATAAAAATAAATAAATACATAAAAGATTATTATTAAGGATTTAAAAAAAGAAATTCTAGAAACTTGTGCTTTGCTAAAAGGTTACTGGTTGGGTCTCCATGTTATCACCTCTGATAACTGCTACTTCCTCCCCACAGAGAGTTTTAAGGTGAACAGGAAATTTGCATTCATAGAGAAAAAAGTACAATGCTGGACACTAAATTAATTCTACCAAGATGTTTAATCTCTGATTTCTGTGTTGCTGTAAACTTCATACATACTCAACCAGCACTGAAAAGAAGGAAGAAATTTAAATGAGACAAAGAACATAACAAATTCTTTCCCTTGACTCTGAGTTTAATGCTGAACAACTATAAAAGCTATTGGTAGGACTTGGGTGTTCCCGAACATACAAGCCCTATGACTACTGGGAGAGATAGTGGGTTCCGTCAGAACTGAAGTTACCCCTTTCCAACTGCAATGTCTGTAGTATTTCCAATAAGGTGTTCAAGATTCAAGGCAATCGTTTTCCAAACGGGAGCAGACAGATTTTTGAGGTGTGATCTACTTACCCTCCTTATTGAAGAAGAAAAAAAAAACAAACAAACCAATAAACAAAAAAAAGCCTGACTCTTTATATTTACCTAAATTAATAAATTGTATTCTTGTTGACAATAGCTTTGAAGTAAATATGCACACTGTGCTTTAAAAGTACACTCTGTCTCCCTGCTTTATTTTCATATACAATACATACATTATTTCAGATATACATTCAAAAGGACAGCTATGTACTGGTACTTTTAAAGAAATTATACATTTTCTGGTGCCAGAGCACACAGATGGTCCATTTACCACTTCAGGGAACTTGCCACTGTTTTTTAAGCAGTAAAAGTTTCATTTTCTCACTTTTTTTTTTTACTTCCTATTCTCTTTCATGATATTCACTAATACTATGAAATTATCCAGACATTTTGGAAGCCATTAAAAGTATAGAAAATTTCTGTTCTCTATAGAATGTAGATCTTATATTTGTTTTTAAACCAAACAGGTGTGTTGAAAAAGGAGGCACAGGGATTTACACTTCTACAGTAACAAGGCCTTCAGTTCAAAGGCAGGCACACCAATGTCTAATCACTTCGTCCAGTCACTTTCACATAGGAGGAAGTCAAGGCCTGTTGGTTAACTGATTCATTAGTTAGTTAATGTAACAACTTCAGCTTGCCTCCTTTCTATGAGACCCAAAAGTTCAATGGAAATTAGAAAAATATAAAGAATCCAGAGACTCTTAGATAGTACAGACACAATTATCCCATAGAAAATGTAGAATGTCATATTTTGTAAAAATTCTTTGTGAAGTAGTTGAAGATGCTTTTTCAGAACCCCAGGTACTCTCTCAAGTTCATTGTATAAAATGCTTAACAATGCTTCATCAAGAACTTATATAAAATATAAAATCTGGGGAAATACCATTCTGGTCATAGGCCCTGGCAAAGATTTCATGATGAAGCAATTGCAACAAAAACAAAAATTGACAAATGGGACCTAATTAAACTAAAGCACTTCTGCACAGCAAAAGAAATTATCAACACAGTAAACAGACAACCTCCAGAATGGGAGAAAATATTTGCAAACTATGTATCAAAAGAGGTATAATATCCAGAATCTATGAAGAATTTCAACAAACCAACAAACAGAAAACAAGCAACCCCATTAAATGGTCAAAAAAATGGTCAACCCCAAAAAAATGGTCAAAGATCATGAACAGACACAAGAAGACATACATACAGCCAATGAGCATGTGGAAAAATGCTCCACATTACTAATCATTAAAGAAATGCAAATCAAGACCACAGTGAGATATTGTCTCACACCAATCAGAACGGCTATTGTTAAAAAGTCAAAAAGCAACAGCTGCTGGCAAGGTTGAGGAGAAAAGGGAACATGTATTCACTGCTGGTGGGAATGTAAATTAGTTCAGTCACTGTTGAAGGCAGTTTGGAGATTTTTCAAATAACTGAAAACAGAACTACCATTCAACCCAACAATCCCATTACTGCATATATACCTAAAGAAATAGAAATCATTCCAACATAAAGATAACGTGCATGCATATGTTCACCATGGCACTATTCACAATAGCAAAGACATGGAATCAACATAAATGTCCATCAATGGTGGATTGATAAAGAAAATGTGGCATATATACACCATGGAATACCACACAGCCATTAAAAAGAATGAGATCATGTTCTTTGCAATAGCATGGATGGAACTGAAGACCATTATCCTAAGTGACACATGAACAGAAAACCAAATACTGCATGTTCTCACTTATGAGAGTTAAACATTGAATACACATGGATACGAAGAGAACAATAGACACCAGGGCCTACTTGAGAGAGGAAGGTGGGAGGAGGATGAGAAATGAAAAACTACCTATTGGGTACTATGCTTATTACCTGGGTGATGAAATAATCTGTACATCAAATCCCCAAAACACACAATTTACCCATGTAACAAACAAATCTGCACATGTACCCCCAACCCAAAATAAAAGTTAGAAAGAAATAATAAAAATAAAATATATATATGTGTGATTGATCCATGTCTACTTATGAATGTATCTACACCCAGATTTCTAGAAATACATACACAACACAACAGTTCCAAAAGATTACAGGAAAACAGGAAGATATTTATGCTTCAGAAAACAAGATTTAATAAACATCTATTTGGTAACTATTGTTTTTCAGTCATGGTCTGGCTAGTGAGGACACTACACTGAATAAGTCAGACATAATACCTGCCTTCATAGAGCAAGAAGCAGATAATAAAAAGTATGAAGAGAGTAACAGAGATGAGAAGGGCTAAAAATGCACCAGGGACAAGATAGCAAAGGCAGAACAACTTTTCTTGTTTTCAATAACATTGTGTTTCATAAAATGACAGCAAGAATTATAATCATAAATTAGAAATTCATTATAAAAGTAGTTGAGATCTCATAAGTGGTTGGTGCTTTAAAAAGTGGTAAAATGGAAACTAAGATTTACCTTACCGCATAATCCTTGAATCCCTCATGGCCATTGTTGCTGAAAAGGAAAACAAGAAAAGAACAGTAATGAGATGAAGGAATGGATGGCTAATTGCAATTGATTGGTTGATCTTGTCAAGGTGGAGTGAACTACACAGATGATATGAAAAACCTTTTGAGTATCTAGTTACCAACTAAAAATAATTACCTCATCCTAGGTCAGCATTTGATTGGGTTCCAACTGGATGGCAATTTAATTATTCTAAGTCTCATCATACAACATCCTGCCAACAAATACTTAGAGATCATCTCTAGATGCTATTCACACTTATACCAAGGCTTTAGTCCAAACATATTTCCCTTTTGTTCCTCTGTGGTCCTTTTACATATGTTGCTTCTTTACTAACATTTTGCTTTATCTAGGCATATCAACTTGTGAATAAATATATGTATATATTTTATTTTGTTTCCATATTTTTAGGAAACAGGTGGATTTTTGTTACATTGGTAAGTTCTTTAGTGCTGATTTCTGAGATTTTGGTGCACCCATCACTCAAGCAGTGTACACTAAACCCAATGTGTAGTCTTTTATCCCTCACCCCACTCCCATCCTTCCCCCTAAATCCAGAGTCCATTATCTCATTCTTATGCCTTTGCATCCTCATAGCTTAGCTCCCACTTATAAGTAAGAAATACCACCAACATGGCACATGTGTACGTATGTAACAAACCGGCACGTTGTGCACGTATACCCTAAAACTTAAAGTATAATTTTAAAAAAATACAATATTTGGTTTTCCATTCCTGGGTTACTTCACTTTGAAAAATGGTCTCCTGGGCCAGTTGTGGTGGCTCACACCTGTAATCCCAGCACTTTGGGAGGCCGAGGTGGGTGGATCACCTGAGGTCAGGAGTTCAAGACCAGCCTGGCCAACATGGTTAAACCCTGCATCTACTAAAAGTACAAAAATTAGCCAGGCATGGTGGCATGCACCTGTAATCCCAGGTACTCAGGAGGCTGAGGCAGGAGACCTGGGAGGCGGAGGTTGCAGTGAGACAAGATCGTGCCATTGCACTCCAGCCTGGGCAACAGAGCAAGACTCCATCAAAAAAAGAGAAGGAAGGAAGGAAGGAAGGGAGGGAGGGAGGGAAAGAAAGAAAGAAAACAAAGAAAGAAAGAAAGAAAGAAAGAAAGAAAGAAAGAAAGAAAGAAAGAAAGAAAGAAAGAAAGAAAGAAAGAAAGAGAAAGAAAGAAAAGAAGGAAGGAGAAAGAAAGAAAGAGAAAGGAAGGAAAAGAAGAAAAGAAAAGGGAAGAAAAGGGAAGAAAGAAGGGAGGAAGGGAGGAAGGGAGGGAAGGAAGGGGAGAGAGAGAGAGAGAGAGAGAGAAAGGAAGGAAAAGAAAGGAAAGAAAGGATGATCTCCAACTCCATCCAAGTTGCTGCAAATGCCATTATTTCATTCCTTTTTTATGGCAATATTTTTGGACAGAAACACTGTTACTTGAATTGTCCGGTGACTAAAGAACATTCTGTCAACAACAAAAATTAATTCATGATTAACGTCAACCATAATAACATATTGTAACAAATTTCTAACAAACTGATAGCAAAAATATATATATATTATATTCAACAAATTCTACTCTTTGTAAAATCTGGGCAATTCAGTAGTCATTCAAAGGCCAAAGTAGGAGAAAACTCAGATAGTTCATCTAATTAAGTTTAAAAAGCATGTTCTTTAATTCTCTGCTAGAACTTCCCCCTTTCTCTTCCTTCGGCCAATACAGCCAGATTAGGCAAGGGTGGGTTTGGTCTACCATCAGTCCTGAGTACACAAAGGGGAGACAAAGCATGAAATATTTACAACTGGGAAATATTTGCATTAGTGCAAATTGAGGGGCTTAGTACAGTCATAGACTTAGGATAAGAAGTCCTCTCTTAGAAGAATCCTCAAATTTTCTCAAAACTATTCTTTCTTACCTAGGACAAAGCCCATCATTAATCATGATGTATCTGAAGAGGTAATGCCTAGCTATGCTATCTAAAATAATAGCCACTAACCACATGTGGCTATTAAAGTTAAAATTAATTAAAATTAAATAAAATTTAGAATTGTTACCCAGACACACTATCCACATTTCAAGTATTCAGTAGCCACATGTCATTAATGACCACAGTCTCAGGCAGCACAGTTCATTTCCAACATCTCAGAACATTCTACAGACAGAATTGCAGAGCCTTCCTAGAAAGTTCTTCTCTTTACTTGGAAAAGAGGAATTGAGTCTTGAACAAATCCTGTTGGATGTAAAAAAAATTATATTTGCTTCTCTGTAATTGTTGCCAGCCCTCAGGATACATCCCCACCCTGGAAACTACTGTGTTAATGTCAGTTATTCCCTTCTCTTTGTCTTTCATTTCAAATTTATCTGCTTGGACTGCCCAGTCCCACTTCTTTGAGTTTTACATCTCAAACACTTTACCACTATCCTTAGGCCAGGCTCAGACCTGCCTCCCAGATTTACCTACACTTTCTATCAGATCAGCCTTGTTCTTGTTCTATTTTCTCATCACAACAATACATTTTTACATTTTGAAAGGTTCTTCATATGGAACTCAGTACACACCCATCCAGAGAAAAAGGTAGAACGCAGACCTTTCTTTAGAGAAATAGAATTAATTAAGCCATTTCAGATCAAGTATTTTTCAGAATTCTCTCCTCTTTATCAACTGTATCTACCCCAAATATCAAGTGAATACTTAGTCATAATATCTCAACCTAATGAGAGATAAATTCATGATTACATGAAAGTCAAACTTTTCCCTTAAGTTTCTTGACCTTGACATAAAGAAAATGTTAGAACTAAATTTCAGATTGTGTTCTTCTGGGCAAAGGTTTCTCTTATTCAAATATACCTTTTGAAGCCAGTCAAAAGGACTTGCTGATAAACATTTCAACACCACGCTTTATTACAACAAGTTATTTCTGTTGTTTACTACGTGGTTCGACCTTGATGAAAAGCAGATCTTCACCAGTGCATTTTTGTGCAAATTCCTTACCTTTCTGTTTACAAAAGAAAGTGAAGACCTTTCAGGGCTGTTTGTCACCATGCCCTAGTAGCCAACAATGCACATTGTCAACTGCTTAAGTTTTCACTTCCTAATTAACTTTCCTAGAAGCATAAGAACTGTCTGAAAACACAAAGCTCTCCCATTAACCTTCCTTCATTGCACTCCACTCAGTCCTGGATGGATGATGAGTGTATTGAACAATGAAGTCCTCCAGTGGGGTAGGAACCATCTGCACACAAAGAGAGTAATCTGAGAAAGCTCTCTGCAGAACAAATTAGTTATCTACTTCAGTTAGAACCTTTTTAAAGGATTACGACATTAAGACAGTCCTGCCCCAAACCCATGCATGAATGTTAAAGTTATTCTCAAACATATTTGTTTCCTTCATTCCCAAAATGAGATTCATTTTCACTTAATCACTAACAATATTTCCCAGCCCTTAGCTGAGAGATTCCAGATCACACATGCACACAAAATCCCAATGTATTAGTGATGGGGAACTTTAAATACAGTCATTATTAAAATAAGTGGAATTTTATTTTAAATCCTTGTTTGATTAGGCATTTGTAATAAAATGCACTCCACTAAAGAATTAAATAACTACTTGAGTATCCTACAATTATTGTGCTACCGTTCATTTTAATTGAAGAAAATTATTTTGGCAAAATTTTTGGATTATGTTTTTAAAAAATGTAATACTGCAATCATTTTACTTTGTCATAGATGCAGGGATTGTTTTGCCCATTTTATACGAAAAGGAAATAAGGAACAGAAAAGTAAAGTCACAAACCTCACATTGCACAATCTGTCAGCACGGAAATCAAGAGCACACTGACTCAAAATAAGGTACATGTGTTTTAAAGGAAATCTCTTATCCTCACCATGTCAGCATAGTCTACCCATCTTAGAGAAGAAACTCAGATAGTTTCCTAAGCAGCAAGCTGTTATTCATCTCAGAATATTCCTAAATCTTTGCAATCCTTTTTTTTTTTTTGAGAGGGAGTCTTGCCCTATCGCCCAGGCTGGAATGTAGTGGCACCATCTGGGCTCACTGCAACTCCGCCTCATGGGTTCAAGAGATTCTCCTGCCTGAGCCTTCCGAGTACCTGGGATTACAGGTGCCTGCCACTACACCCGGCTAATTTTTGTATTTTAGTAGAGACGGGGTTTCACTACGTAGGTCAAGCTGGTCTCGAACTCCTGACCCCAAATGATCCACTAATCTCGGCCTCCCAAAACACTGGGATTACAGGCGTGACGGCCACGCCTGGCCAATCTTTGCAATACTTTTATAGCAACTAGAAATAGGGAGAGAAGAGTAACCATGATATATCTGGCATTTCTTAATGCATGATTCTGACCTCTTTCTTGTAAGACCACTCATTTTTACAACTCTGCCTTTTCTCTAGACCATATTCAGTCAACATTATTAAGCAGATAATGTATCTCAGGATACATTTCCAAAGCCATGATATCCCCAACTAAACTGGGCTGACTACACAAACCACCATTGATTACATAAACATCTGCTTTCCACTACTAAAATTCATTTTGCATAGAAGGTAAAAAATTCAGGTAACTTCACTAGTTCTTCCAAATAATCTCTTATATCTACCAAAGAGAAAAGTGGTGAGGGGATCCTGAGTTTGGTAGATGAAAGCAGCTGGAAGACTGAAGGCAATGCATACAAACTCCAGTAGGGAGTGATTGTCACTGGGTCTTATTGCCACGTGGTCATAAGGAAAAGCCCAGATGAAGTCCAGAAGAGCTAATCTCCCTCCTATGACTCAAATATAAAAAAGAAATGCCTGTCTTAGTAAAGCTCCTGGGGACCAGTGGCTGGGATCAGCACACAAAGCCTTTTCTGAGACAGCTCTTCTTTGGCAATTACTTATCCACCGAGTAGGAAATTTAAGGGCAAAGATAAAATGAGTTAAGAAAACCCAGAAAGAACATTCTGATCTTAAAAGCAAATGAACATGGTCTCTTCATTAAAGGACATTTAGAAAGGCTGGCTGCCTCTAAGTGCTGCCTGCTTGCTGCTCAAACATAGCAGCCATTTGTACAGTGGAAGAGTCAATGACACTAATAATTTGTAATTCTTGTACAAGCAATCTGGGCACTTGCCAGGTCAGCTTAAGTTGACTGTGACCAGGTTAAAAAGAAAAAAGGACTTTCAAGGACCATCAAGAACAAACTAGCCTGCTGCATATGAGAATCTGAACCATTATTTATGTAAACATTCTCATGCAGAATAGTGGCACTGATTTCTTACTTGAGGCCTTGCCTAGCTAAATATATAAGAAAACAGGAAATCCCACCTGAACCTCGTGTTATTCCAACTTACACACATTGCCAAGATGTAAAGAGATAACCATGTGTAAAGTTGTTGTGCAGAGCCTTGAACTAACCAAGCAGCAAAGGGAAAGGAAAATGAAATAATTTAGAATCATGTGGCTGATTAAATAATTGCCAAAATAAAGTTTGCTTTCCAACATCAAACTCTTCTTCCCGGTGGAAGTTCAGTTTGGACTGTAAGTTTCACTCTCAGATGTTCTTTTCTGCAGATCTGAAGCAGGTGAAGTAAGTAAGTAAACGAGAGAGAAGGTCCCATGTGCTAAATCTGTGTGCAGCAAGGGGAGGAAGGCAGCCTCTTTTCAGTGACAGTGACATATGCTCGGTGTCAGAGACCAGGGACAAACCAGGTTGGCGAATGCGAGGAGGAATCAGAATGCAGATGAGTTGAGGCATGGTGGGCAGGCCACTGAGCCCTCAATAGACCTGCCAATGAGAAGGCCTTGAGAACATTCAGAGGAAGGCAGGAATCCCAAGTGCAAACATAAGGTTAAGTTTGAAGCCAATGGCGATCTGATCTTGTACAACATGAAGGGATCAGGCACCAATTTTCCATGAATGATTTGCTGCTGTGTCCATGAGCTTCTGTGAACCCAATTTAGAACCCATAGCTCTTTTTAAGAGAAACAAACTAATAACCGATTATCAGTTTACCTGTAGAAACAATGTTGTCCACTACCAAGTAGGAGACAGAAAAGAGGTAGAATCAAAATAGTGACTTCTGAGGTCAAGTAAAAATTTCATGTGCTAGTATACACTGTTAATATACATAACATCTTTTCCCCCCAGGAGCAACATAGATATATATCAGCTCACATAAATTAATAACCACATCCTCACACTTTACATAAAAATCATGATGGAGAAAGAAAAAGTCAAGGGTATTAGGATATGGGGTTTTGGAATTTTTCAAGGTATGAATATTTGCCCTTCACTATAATTTATAACTGCTTTTTATAAAAAGCACTCTGTGTGACAAAATGTAAGTGGTGATTCTGAAATGTTGAAGAGAAACAACTGCAGGTTTTATGCAGGTGAAAAATAACACAGAATTGTGTTGCTAGAGAGGGAAAGGAGGGGAGAACAAAAAGTAGACAGAACATGATAATGGCGTCAAAGGTCCAAAGAAGAAGGAAAAAATGTAAACATATTATTAGTCACTGCTACTTTAGGCATTCTGCTAAAATCGCTTTGGAACTATTATATTTTAAAAATCACAAACTGTAATATCCCCACTGAAAAGTTTACCCATTTTAGTATTTCCTTCTTATAACATTGATCACCCTTTATTATATTTGCATGCTTAATGTCTCTCTTTATAGCTAGGTGCTGTGCTCTCTGAGGTCAGGTTCCTCATTGACTTTGCTCACAATTATATTTCTGAAGTCTGGCACTTTGACACTGGAAGTGCTAAATAAATATTTTAGGGATGGGGAGGGAGGAAGGTAGGGGAAGGAAAAAAGAGAGAGGGAAGGAAAGAAGGGAGGAGGAAATGAAGAAATTACATGTAATTTTAAGTAATAATCAAGGTACTTAATGTCTAAATAGTATAACTTGATCTGAATAGAGTTATTGGTAAATGATTCGAGTGAGCTTCAACAATTTGTATCCCCAGGGTTATGGACACATACATAAGAATTTAGATAGTAGGATGTAAAATACATTGTAAAACTTTTGAAAAATAAGAATTCATGGGGGATGCCAACTTCCCATGAGTAAGATTTATTTATTTGATTATTTATTTATTTTTGACTTTTAGGTTCAGAGGGTACATGTACAGGTTTGTTTGTTACATGGGTGAACTGCATGTCACTAAGGTTTGGTGTACAAATAATCCCGTCACCCAGGTGGTGAGCATAGTACCTGATAGTTTTTAAACCCACAACTTCTCACCCTCCTACCTCAAGTGCCTATTGTTTCCATCTTTGTGTCCACAGATATTAAATTTAGCTCCCACTAACAAGTGAAAATATTCAGTATTTGGTTTTCTGTTCCTGCATTAATTTGCTTAGGAAAATGGCTTCCACCTGCATCCATGTTGCTGCAGAGGACATGATCTCATTCTTTTTAACAGCTGTGTAGTATTCCATGTTGTATATGTACCACATGTTCTTCATCCAGTCCACTGTTCATAGGCATCTAGGTTAATTCCATGTCTTTGCTATTGTGAATATGTGCTATGTATTCACTGTGCTATGATGAGCATATGCATGCATGTATCTTCATGGTAGAATGATTTATATTCTTTTTGGTATACACCCAGTAATGGGATTGCTGAGTCTAATGGTAGTTCTGTTTTCAGTTCTTTGAAAAATCTCCAAACTGCCTTCAACAGTGGCTGAACTAATTTACATTCCTACCAGCAGTGTATAAGTGTTCCCTTTTCTCCACAGCCTCACTAGTATCCGTTATTTTTTGACTTTGTAAAAATAGCCATTCTGACTGGTGTAAGATGATATCTCATTGTGGTTTTGATTTACATTTCTTTAGTGATTAGTAATGTGGGGGATTTTTTCACATGCTTGTTGGTTGTGTGTATGTCTTCTTTTGAGAAGTGCCTACTCACATCCTTTGCCCTTTTTTAAATGTGGTGGGTTGTTTTTTGCTTCTCGAATCATTTAAGTTCCCTATAGATTCTGTATATTAGATGTTTGTTGGATGCACAGTTTGTGAATATTTTCTCTCATTCTGCAGGTTGTCTGTTTACTGGGTTGATAGTTTCTTTTACTGTGCAGAAGCTCTTTAGTTTACATCCTATTTGTCAATTTTTGGTTTTGTTGCAATTGCTTTTGGGGACTTAGCCATAAATTCTATGCCAAAGCCAATGTCCAGAATAGTATTTCCTAGGTTTTCTTCTAGGATTTTTATAGTTTTAGGTTTTACATTGCAGTCTTTAATCTATCTTGAGTTGATTTTTGTATATGGTAAAAGAAATGGCTCCAGTTTCAATCTTCTACATATGGCTAGCCAGTTATCCCAGCACCATTTATTGAATAGAGAGTCCCCTTTCCCATTGCTGATTTTTGTCAACTTTGTCAAAGATCAAATGGCTGTAGGTGTGCAGCTTTATTTCTGTGTTCTCTGTTATGTTCCATTGGTCTATGTGCCTGATTTTGTACCAGTATCATGCTGTTTTGGTTACCATAGCCTTGTAGTATAGTTTGAAATCAGATAGTGCGATACCACCTGCTTTGTTTTTGTTTTTATGCTTTTGTTTTTTGCTTAGGATTGCTTTGGCTATTTGGGCTCTTTTTTGATTCCATATGAATTTTAGAATAGTTTTTTCTAATTCTGTGAAAAATGTCCTTGGCAGTTTGATAGAAATAGCATTGAATCTGTAAATTGCTTTGGGCAGTGTAGCCATTTTAATAAGATTGACTCTTCCTATCCATGAGCATGGAATGTTTTTCCATTTGTTTGTGTAATTTCTGATTTCTTTCAGCTGTGTTTTATAAATTTTGTTGTAGATATCTTTCACTTCCTTGGTTAGCTGTATTCCTAGGTATTTTATTCTTTTTGTGGCTATTGTAAATGGGATTGTGTTCTTGATTTGGCTATCAGCTTGTACTTTATTGGTGTATACAAATGCTACTGATTTTTGTACACTGATTTTGTATCCTGAAACTTTTCTAAAGTTGTTTATCAGTTCTAGGAGCTTTTTTTGGCAGAGTCTATGGGGTTTTCCAGGTATAGAATCATATTGTCTGTGAAGATAGTATGACTTACTCTCTTCCTATCTGGATGACTTTTATTTCTTTTTCTTGCCCACTTGCTGTAGCTAGGACTTCCAGTACTATGTTGAATAGCAGTGGTAAAAGTGGGCATCCTTATCTTGTTTCCATTCTCAAAGAGAATACTTCCAGCTTTTGCCTATTCAGTATGATGTTGGCTGTGGGTTTGTCATAGATGGTTCTTATTATTTGGAGGTATGTTTCTTTGATTCCTAGTTTGTTGAGGGTTTTTAACATGAAGGGACATTGAGTTTTATCAAAAGGCTTTTCTGCATCTATTGAGATGATCATGTGGTTTTTGTTTTTAATTCTGTTTATGTGGTGAATCACATTTATTGATTTGTGTATGTTGAACCCAACTTGCATCCCAGAAATAAAGCCTACTTGATCATCATGGTAACTTTTTGATGTGCTGCTGGACATGGTTAGCTAATATTTCATTGAGGATTTTTGCATTCATGTTCATCACAGATATTGAAGCTTTCTTTCTGTTGTGTCTCTGCAAGGCTATGGTATGAGAATGATGTTGGCTTCATAGAATGAGTTAGGGAGGAGAACCCTCTCCTCTTTTTTTGGAATAATTTCCATAGAATTGGTACTAGATCTTTGTATGTCTGGTAGAATTTAGCTGTGAATCTGTGTCATCTCAAGGTTTATTTTTTCATTGGTAGAGTTTTTTTATTACTAACTCAATGTCAGAACACATTATTGGTCTGTTCAGGATTTCAATTTCTTCCTGGTTCAATACTGGGAGGCTCTATGGTTCCAGGAATTTATCCACTTCTGCTTTGTTTTCTAGTCTGCATGCATAGAGATGTTCACAATAGTCCCTGAAGGTTTTTATATTTCTGTGGGGTTAGGTGGTAATGTCACCTTTGTCATTTCTGATTGTACTTAGTTGGATCTTCTCTTTTTAGTAATCTACTTATTGGTCTATAAATCTTGTTTATTCTTTCAAAAAACAAATTTTGGTTTTGTTGATCTTTTGTGTGGATTTTTACATCTGAATTTTGTTCAGTTCAGCTCTGATTTCAGTTATTTCTTTTTTTCTCCTGGCTTTGAGGTCAGTTTGCTCTTGTTTTTCTAGTTTCTCTAGGTGCAATGTTAGGTTGCTAATTTGAGATCTAATTTCTTGATGTAAGCATTTAGCACTATAGATTTTCCTCTTAATACTGCTTTACCTGTGTCCCAGAAATTCTGGTATGTTCTACCCAGTAGCAGAATATACATTCTTCTCATCTGCACACAGCATATACTGCAAGATTCATCACATGCTCTGCCATAAAGCAAGTATCAATGAATTAAAAAAAGTCAAAATCGTACCAACCACATTGTTTCATTAGTTTCAAAGAGTTTTTTTTTTATCTCTGCCTTAATTTTATTCTTTACCCAAAAGACATTTAGAAGTAGATTGTTTAATTTCCATGTAATTGTATGGTTTTGCAATATCTTCTTGGTATTGAATTCTATCTTTATTGAGCTGTGGCCTGAGAGTGTGGTTGGTATAGCTTTGGTCTTTTTGAATTTGTTGGTACTTTATGGCTTAGCATGTGGTCAATCTTAGGGTATGTGCTGTATGCAGATGAGAAGAATGTATATTCTGTTGTTGGCTGGAGTGTCTTGTAAATGTCTATTAGGTCTATTTGGACAACTGTGGGTTTTAAGTTCAGAATATCTCTGTTAGTTTTCTGCCTCAATGATCTGTCTAATGCTATTAGTGTGGTGTTGAAATCTCCCACTATTATTGTGTGTTTATCTAAGTCCCTTCACAGGTCTCTAGAACTTATTTTATGGATCTGGGGGCTCCAATGTTGGATGCATATGTATATTTAGGACAGTTATGTCTTCTTGTTGAATTGTACCCTTTATCACTTTGCAATGTCCTTCTTTGTCTTTTTTGATCATTGTCTGTTTTGTCTGATATAAGAATAGCACCTCTGCTTTTTTTTTATTTCCTGTTTGCCTATAGATCTTTCTCCATCCATTTACTTTGATCTTGTATGTGTCATTGCATGTGAGATAGATCTCTTGAAGACAGCAGACAGTTGGGTCTTGCTTCTTTATCCAACTTGCCACTGGTAGCAGGTATTGATCTTTTGTTTCCATGTTCAGCACTCACTTAAAGACATTCTGTAAGGCAGGACTAATGGTAACTAACTCATTTAGCATTGTCTTCTCTGAAAATAATTTTATTTATCCTTCTCTTATGAAGCTTAATTTGGTGGGGTATGAAATTCTTGGTTGGAATTTCTTTTCTTTAAGGATGCTGAAAATAGGCCTTCAATCTCTTCTGGCTTGTAAGGTTTCTGTTGAAGGGTCCACTATTCACCTGACAGGCTTCCCTTTGTAAAAATAAGGAATGCTTCATGAATTTCTGTGTTATCCTTGTGCAGGAGCCATGCTATCTTCTTTGTATCATTCCAATTTTAGCATGCGTGCTGCAAAAGCAGGCACATGAATAAGATTTAAATTCTGAGTATACTGGGATGAATGAATTAACAGAATAACTTAAATGATGTGAGATTCAATAAGGATAAGGACTATTTGGGTACTCATTCTCTTCTTGTATGTTTTTATGCTTCTGGAGAGTTCTTGTAAAAGAGTAAATTGATATTAATAATACAGCAGCCGTTGGTAAACAATAACTAAAGCATTAAGTCTAGGGAAGTATGGTGTTAGGGTAAAATCACTGATTCAAGAGACATGGGGATTTATCCCTAATAAATCCCATAATCTAACTAGGTTACAGTTTTTCCAACTGTTAAATGAAAGTAGTAAATCAAATTATTTCTGAAGACATTTTGATTTATAAATATCTTTGTCTTTATACATAAGTTTCATACTTTAGTGAGAGTGCCAGAAAAGCAACAACAATAAATAATATGTCCTCTTAATACCCAGATATTTTTATGGTACTAATTCTTTGTGGCTGTTAGGCAAAACTGTAAACTTCAGGATTTAAAAAACAAAGTTGTTAAACAAAGGTTTAAGCATTTTTTTAGCTCTCAGTTTTATGTAAATGTTCTCACCTGATTATTTTCTCCATATAAGTAATCACATTTTTCTGCTTGAAAAAACTACCTAACTGAGCCAGAAGGCTTAGACAATAGAATTAGATATTTGATGTGTGACTTAAGAAAGCAAAAGCCTCAGGCAAGGTGTCCCCTTGAATGCAGGTGGTCTTTTATAGTCACCATTGTAATATTAGATGTTTGGCAATGTGCTAACATGGTTACACTTTATCTTATCTGTTTATCACCACAATCCTTAAGAATAGAAATTTTTGTTCTCATTTAAAACATTTAAAAACAGAAATTTAAAGAGCTTCAGTAACTTGATCATGGTTACACAGGTAATAAATGGTAGAACTGGGCTTTGAACCCAGGTCCAAATGGCTTTTCAATCTGTGCTCCATGCTGCCTCCATGTTCTCTCACACGCTTCAGCTTACTGAAGAGCAAAGAGCCAAAAACAAAAAATGGGATCCAAATTGTTACAGAAAGTCCTTGAATCACTGATGGATATTGCTACCAATAGCTCTAAGTAATATATATGTGGGTGGTAGACATCAAAGCTCACACAGCAATCCCGGTCAATTGTCCCTTCAGAAGAATGTCCATAACCACTGCTGGAAAATTACCAAGTTGCCACAGCAAAGGAAAATAAGGATCTAATAAATGGTCTCTCTTTTGTGGAAGTGGCACATAGACTTTCACTCACAACTCATTGGTCAGAACTGGTAACATGACTCCTAATGACCAAGGGCCAAGAAGTCAATCCTATCAAGAATAAGGGAAACCAGAACTATTTTGGAAATAACACAAATGGCTACCACAATAACTATAGCACCAAGTGATGTGAGCTGTATGTGTGTAAGAAGTGTTAAAGAAGGATATTGGAGGAGCAGAGAAGGTTGCATAAAGAAGTAACATTTACATAGCCCTTTAAAATATGCTGTAAATATTATCTTTGTAAAGAAAAGTAAGGGCCAGGCACAGTGGCTCATGCCTGTAATCCCAGCACTTTGGGAGGCTGAGGCAGGCAGATCACCTGAGGTCAGGAGTTCAAGACCAGCTTGGCCAACCATGGCCAACATGGGGAAACCCCGTGTCTACTAAAAATAAAAAATTACAGGTGGTGGGCACCTGTAATCCCAGCAACTCAGGAGGCTGAGGCAGGAGAATCACTTGAACCCGGGAGGTGGAGGTTGCAGTGAGCCGAGATTGCACCAGTGCACTCAAGCCTGGGCAACAGAGCAAGACTCTGTCAGAAAAGGAAAGAAAGGAAAGGAAAGGAAAGAAAGGAAAGGGAAGAAAGGAAAGACAGGAAAGGAGAGGAGAGGAGGAGAGAAAAAGAAGGGGAGGGAGAGGAGGGGAGGAGGGGGAGGGGAGAGGAGGGGAGGGGGAGGGGAGGGGAGGGGAGGGGAGGGGAGGGGAGGGGAGGGGAGGGGGAGGGAGGGAAGGGAAGGGGTATTCCAGGAGAGGAAAAAGAACTACCAAACAAAGGCTTCTATGTGACGGTAATTGCATATTCAGGAAAACAATGAAATAGCTGGTGAAGATATGGCAGAAATGCTTAAGTTTTATTAAGCTTAGCTTAAGAATTATCTGAGGAGATCCAGATCTCACCTGCCCCCATAGATATTCTAATGCTGCAGATTTGGGGCAGGTTGTAGGTATATCCATCTCCACCCTCCCTCTCATGCTGTGGTTCCAATGCAGAGGTCCATGGACTACACTGTGAGATATACTAAAATAGGAAGTATGATAAGAAGTGGCCTATGAAGGTCTAGAAAGGAAGAATTGGATCCAGAACCTGAAAGTGTTAGTTTTTCTAGCTAGACAATTGTCCTTAATCTTTAGGGAAGGCAAATGTGGGTACCTTTAATCAGAGGAGGTGATTGGTGGCAGTACGAAGGATAGATTGAAATAAAAAGAGACTACAATGAGAACAAGTGGTCTAGGAAGCTACTGCTACATTGATGTAAGGTATAGCTGGTGAAAACCTGAACTACAAGTGTTACTTTGAGACTTGCATGTGTATTATTGAAAAATAAATAACGGCAACAATTGTTTTGAATTTAGACTAATGAAAATTTTTTGAGAAAAGTGATTTTCTCACTGACATTGTTTCGAATTACTAATACATGGGGATAATAAAAATCAGATTGACTTTTAGTCAGTTTCATTATTATTTTAAAATCTCTGCAGACACTGCATGCCCCTACTCTGTGTAGCTTGGAGTGCCCTGCTCCCACCACCCTACCTTTGCTGTGCCTCTGGTGGGGAACCAGTTTGCAGTTCAAGGAGTTTTGACAAATACATACATCTATGAAACCACCATTACAATCAATATATGAAAATTTCTGTCATCTCCAATGGTGCTCAGTAACCCTTCCCAGCCAGTTCCCAACCTCCACCCTTGGCCTTAGTAACCATTGATCTACTTTCTATCACTATAGATTTGATTTGTCTTGTCTAGAGTTTTATATAAATTGAATCATTCAATACGTATTTTGCATGTCTGGCTTCTTTTTCTCAGAAGACTGTTCTTGAGATTCATCCAGGTTGTTGCATAAATCAACAGTTCATCTCTTTTATTGCTGAGTAATATTCCATTGTTTAGACGTACTAGAATTACTTATCTGTTAACCTGTTAACAAACACTTGAGTTGTTTTCCATTTGGGGCTATTATGAACAAAGCTAATTCAAACAAATCTTTGTGTAGACATGTTTTTTTACTTTTTCTGAGCAAATACTTAGGGCTGCTAAAATTTCTATGTCATATGGCAAGTGTGTGCTAAATTTTATAAAAAACATTCAAGCTGTTTCCAAAGTGATATCATCCTATATTCCCACCAGCACTGTATGAAAGTTCCAGTCACTTCAGACCTGGTGTTATTACACTTTCTAACTGTAGCCATTCCAGTAGATGTAATGATATATCATTACTGACCCTTCCCTTTGGCTGTAAATTTTTTGTAATATTAGTGATTTGTACAAGATCATTCCAATTATTTTCTTAACACTCTCAGACCTCAACTGTAGCTAAAGGAAGAATTCAAGCCATGATTATTTATAAGGATAAATATAAGGATTATATTATAAGGATTACTCTTCAATAAGAATAGGTAGACTCAGGGTTTTAATGATGATGGAAAAACAAAGTTCTATACATCACTTTTTGGTGAGTTCTACATTTTACCTAGTACTCATTCAAAGAAAAGAGGCTATTCCTGAAGTCCTGCAATACTTCCTTTTCCTACCTCATATAGAAATACCCATACAAAGCAATGGCTTCTCTTTATAAGGCTTGTTTCGTTTCCATATTCCAGGTTAAGTATTATTTTTTTCTTTTGAACTAAGATTACGTAACAAACAAAAGACACTGCAGAGAAAAATCAAGTGACACATCACATGATTTTTTTTAGGTTTGGAAGAGGTTTCTTATGGAAGATCAGGACCAAACTGCTCCAGGGTGAGAAAGAAAACAGAGCTACAGTTATACAGCTGCAAATCAGCTAAGGACATTTATTTTTTCTTGTAACTAACTTAACACTTCTGAATGGTCATGATTGTTCATGTAACGAAGCTATTTTTTTTGAAGGATCACTTCCTCAGCTGAAGATGATTTTGTTCCGAAGGGAAAACGCACATGTACACACAAACACACGCTCCAACACACACTCAGCTATTGTTGCTAAGGTTTAGGTATGAATTTGCACAATCCTGTATTTAAACATCTGGTTGGGGGTAAAAAGTTATTGACCATAAGCATAAGCAAACTGTGATATTATTTAATAGTAAGTAGTATCCATAAGCAATAAAACTATTCATTTTATTTTACAGCAGAAATTCTGGTAATTCTTATAATTCTAGTGATTCTATCTGAATATACACCCTTTGTCCTACCTATAAGTGTCTATACATAAACTCAGAAATTTAAAGCTAATGGAGTGAAGGTAAGATGCTATCTCGCACCAGTTAGAATGGTGATCATTAAAAAGTCAGGAAACAACAGATGCTGGAGAGGATGTGGAGAAATAGGAACACTTTTATACTGTTGGTGGGAGGAAAAATTAGTTCAAACATTGTTGGAGACAGTGTGGCAATTCCTCAAGGATCTATAATCAGAAATACCATTTGACCCAGCAATCCCATTACTGGATATATACCTAAAGGATTATAAATCATTCTACTATAAAGACACATGCACACATATGTTTCTTGCAACATTATTCACAATAGCAAAGACTTGGAACCAACCCAAATGCCCAACAATGATAGAGTGGATAAAGAAAATGTGGCACATATACACCATGGAACGCCATGAAGCCATAAAAAAGGATGAGTTCATGTCCTTTGAAGGGACATGCATGAAGCTGGAAACCATCATTCTCAGCAAACTAACACAGGAACAGAAAACCAAACACCGCAGGTTCTCACTCATGAGTGGGAGTTGAACAATGAGAACACATGGACACAGGGAGGGGAACATCACACACCAGGACCTGTCAGGGGTTGGGGACTATGGGAGGGATAGCATTAGGAGAAATACCTAATGTAGATGACGGGTTGATGAGTGAAGCAAACCACCATGGCACATGTATACCTATGTAACAAATCTGCATGTTATGCACATGTATCCCAGAACTTAAAGTATAATTTCAAAAAGATTATCTAGTCCAATAACCTCATTTTCCAAATTGAAGAAATTGGGGGCCATATGCCCACAGAGCCTTGCTCGCTGCTAGTGCAGCAGTCTGAGATCAAACTGCAAGGCAGCAGCCTGGCTGGGGAAGGGGGGTCTGCCATAACTGAGGCTTGAGTAGGTAAACAATGCAGCCTGGAAGCTCAAACTGGGCGAAGCCCAACGCAGCTCAGCAAGGCCTGCTGCCTCCATAGACTCCACCTCTATGGGCAAGGCATAGCTGAACACAAAGCAGCAGACAACTTCTGCAGACTTAAACATCCCTGTCTGACAGCTCTGAAGAGAGCAGTGGCTCTCCCAACGTGGTATTTGAGCTCTGAGAATGGACAGACTGCCTCCTCAAGCGGGTCCCTGACCCCCATGTAGCCTAACTGGGAGACACCTCCCAGTAGGGGCCAACAGACACCTCATCTGGGCAGGTGCCCCTTTTGGATGAAGCTTCCAGAGGAAGGATCGGGCAGCAATATTTGCTGTTCTGCAGCCTCTGCTGGTGATATCCAGGCAAACAGGGTCTGGAGCGGACCTCCAGCAAACTCCAACAGACCTGCAGCTGAGGGACCTGACTGTTAGAAGGAAAACTAACAAACTGAAAGGAATTGCATCAACATCAACGAAAAGGAAATCTAAAACAAAACCCCATCTCTAGGTCACCAACATCAAAGACCAAAGGTAGATAAAACCACAAAGAGACCGAGAAACCAGAGCAGAAAAGCTGAAAATTCTAAAAACCAGAGTGCCTCTTCTCCTCCAAAGGATCGCAGCTCTTCACCAGTAACAGAACAAACCTGGATGGAGAATGACTTTGACAAGTTGACAGAAGTAGGCTTCAGAAGACTGGTAATAACAAACTTCTCCAAGCTAAAGGAGCGTGTTCTAACCCAGCACAAGGAAGCTAAAAACCTTGAAAAAAGGTTAGACGAATGGCTAACTAGAATAAACAGCACGGAGAAGTCCTTAAATGACCTGATGGAGCTTAAAACCGTGGTACGAGAACTTCATGACACATGCACAAGCTTCAATAGCCAATTCAATCAACTAGAAGAAAGGGTATCAGTGATTGAAGATTAAATTAATAAAATAAAGCAAGAAGACAACTGAAGATCAAATTAATGAAATAAAGCGAGAGCAGAAGTTTAGAGAAAAAACAGTAAAAAGAAACAAAAAAGCCTCCCAGAAATATGGGAATATGTGAAAAGACCAAATCTACATTTGATTTGTGTACCTCAAAGTGATGGGGAGAATGGAACCAAGTTGGAAAACACTTATGCAGGAGAACTTCCCCAACCTAGCAAGGCAGGCAAATATTCAAATTCAGGAAATACAGAGAACAACACAAAGATACTCCTCAAGAAGAGCAACCCCAAGACACATAATTGTCAGATTCACCAAGGTTGAAATGAATGAAAAAATGTTAAGGGCAGCCAGAGAGAAAGGTCGGGTTACCCACAAAGGGAAGCCCATCAGACCAACAGTAGATCTCTGAGCAGAAACCCTACAAGCCAGAAGAGAGTGGGGGTCAATATTCAACATTCTTAAAGAAAAGAATTTTCAACCCAGAAGTTCATATCCAGCCAAATTAAGCTTCATAAGTGAAGGAGAAATAAAATCCTTTACAGAGAAGCAAATGCTGAGAGCTTTTTCACTACGAGGCCTGCCTTACAAGAGGTCCTGAAGGAAGCACTAAACATGGAAAGGAACAACCAGTACCAGCCACTGCAAAAACATGCCAAATTGTAAAGACCATCGAGGCTAGGAAGAAACTGCATCAATTAACGGGCAAAATAACCAGCTAACATCATAACGATAGGATCAAATTCACACATAGCAATATTAACCTTAAATGTAAATGGGCTAAATGCCCAATTAAAAGATACAGACTGGCAAACTGGATAAAGAGTGAAGACCCATCAGTGTGCTGTATTCAGGAGACCCATCTCATTTGCAGAAACACACATAGGCTCAAAATAAAGGGATGGAGGAAGATCTACCAAACAAATGGAAAGCATAAAAAAGCAGGGGTTGAAATCCTAGTCTCTGATAAAACAGACTTTAAGCCAACAAAAATCAAAAGAGACAAAGAAAGCCATTACATAATGGTAAAAGGATCAATTCAGCAAGAAGAGCTAACTATCCTGAATATATTTGCACCCAATACAGGACCACCCAGATTCATAAAGCAAGTTCTTAGACACCTACGAAGACATTTAGACTCCCATCCAATAATAATGGGAGACTTTAACACCCAACTGTGAATGTTAGACAGATCAACGAGACAGAAGGTTAACAAGAATATCCAGGACTTGAACTCACCTCTGCACCAAGTAGACCTAATAGACATCTACAGAACTCTGCACCCCAAATCAACAGAATACATATGCTTCTCAGCACGACATAACACTTATTTTAAAACTGACCACATAATTGGAAGCAAAGCACTGCTCAACAAATGTAAAAGAACACAAATCACAACAAACTGTATCTTAGACCACAGTGCAATCAAATTAGAACTCAGGATTAAAAAAACTCACTCAAAACCACACAACTACATGGAAACTGAACAACCTGCTCCTGAATGACTACTGGATACATAACAAAATGAAGGCAGAAATAAAGATGTTCTTTGAAACCACAGAGAACAAAGACACAACATACCAGAATCTCTGGGACACATTCAAAGCAGTGTGTAGAGGGAAATTTATAGCACTATATGCCCACAAGAGAAAGCAGAAAAGATCTAAAACTGACACCCTGACATCACAATTAAAAGAACTAGAGAAGCAAGAGCAAAGACATTCAAAAGCTAGCAGAAGACAAGAAATAACTAAGATCAGAGCAGAACTGAAGGAGATAGAGACACAAAAAACCCTTCAAAAAATCAATGAATCCAGGAGCTGGTTTTTTGAAAAGATCAATGAAATTGATAGACTGCTAGCAAGACTAATAAAGAAGAAAAGAGAGAAGAATCAAATAGATGCAATAAAAAATGATAAAGGGGATATCACCACCAATCCCACAGAAATACAAACTACCATCAGAGGATACTATAAACACCTCTACACAAATAAACTAGAAAATCTAGAAGAAATGGATATATTCCTGGACACACACACCCTCCCAAGACTAAACCAGGAAGAAGTGGAATCTCTGAATAGACCAACAACAGCCTCTGAAATTGAGGCAATAATTAATAGCCTACCAACCAAAAAAAGTCCCGGACCAGACGGATTCACAGCCGAATTCTACCAGAGATACAAAGAGGAGCTGGTACCATTCCTTCTGAAACTATTCCAGTCAATAGAAAAAGAGGGAATCCTCCCAAATTCATTTTATGAGGCCAGCATCATCCTGATACCAAAGCCTCGCAGAAACACAACAAAAAAAGAGAATTTTAGACCAATATCCCTGGTGAACATCAATGCAAAAATCCTCAATAAAATACTTGCAAACCAAATCCAGCAGCACATCAAAAAGCTTATCTACCATGATCAAGTCAGCTTCATCCCTGGGATGCAAGGCTCTTTCAACGTACACAAATCAATAAATGTAATCCATCACCTAAACAGAACCAGTGACAAAAACCACATGATTATCTCAATAGATGCAGAAAAGGCCTTCGACAAAATTCAACATCCCTTCATGCTAAAAACTCTCAATAAACTAGGTATTGATGGAACATATCTCAAAATCATAAGAGCTATTTATGACAGACCCACAGCCAATATCATACTCAATGGGCATTCCCTTTGAAAACTGGCACAAGACAAGGATGCCCTCTCCCACCACTCCTATTCAACATAGTGTTGCAAGTTCTGGCCAGGGCAATCAAGCAAGAGAAAGAAAGAAAGGGTATTCAATTAGGAAAAGAGGAAGTCAAATTGTCCCTGTTTGCAGATGACATGATTGTATATTTAGAAAACCCCATTGTCTCAGACCAAAATCTCCTTAAGCTGATAAGCACCTTCAGCACAGTCTCAGGATACAAAATCAATGTGCAAAAATCACAAGCATTCCTATACACCAATAACAGACAAACAGAGAGCCAAACCATGAGTGAACTTGCATTCGCAATTGCTACAAAGGGAAAAAAAATACCTAAGAATGCAACTTACAAGAGATGTGAAGGACCTCTTCAAGGAAAACTACAAACCACTACTCAATGAAATAAAAGAGGACAGAAACAAATGGAAGAACATTCCATGCTCATGGATAGGAAGAATCAATATCGTGAAAACGGCCATACTGCCCAAGGTAATGTATAGATTCAATGCCATCCCCATCAAGCTACCAATGACTTTCTTCACAGAATTGGAAAAAACTGCTTTAAAGCTCACATGGAACCAAAAAAGAGCCTGCATTGCCAAGACGATCGTAAGCAAAAAGAACAAAGCTGGAGGCATCATGCTACCTGACTTCAAACTATACTACAAGGCTACAGTAACCAAAACATCATGGTACTGGCACCGAAACAGAGATATAGACCAATGCAACAGAACAGAGGCCTCAGAAATAACACCACACATCTACAACTATCTGATCTTTGACAAACCTGATAAAAACAAGCAATGGGGAAAGGATTCCCTATTTAATAAATGGTGCTCGGAAAACTGGCTAGCCATATGCAGAAAGCTGAAACTGGATCCCTTCCTTACACCTTATACCAAAATTAATTCAAGATGGATTAAAGACTTAAATGTTAGACCTAAAACCATAAAAACCCTAGAAGAAAACCTAGGCAATACCATTCACGACATAGGCATGGGCAAGGACTTCATGTCTAAAACACCAAAAGCAATGCCAACAAAAGCCAAAATTGACAAATGGGATCTAATTAAACTAAAGAGCTTCTGCACAGCAAAAGAAGCTACCATCAGAGTGAACAGGCAACCTGCAGAATGGGAGAAAATTTTTGCAATCTACCCATGTGACAAAGGGCTAATATCCAGAATCTACAAAGAACTTAAACAAATTTACAAGAAAAAAACAACCCCAAGAAAAAGTGAACAAAGGATATGAACAGAGACTTCTCAAAAGAAGACATTTATGCAGCCAACAGACACATGAAAAAATGCTCATCATCACTGGTCATCAGAGAAATGCAAATCAAAACCACAATGAGATACCATCTCATGCCAGTTAGAAAGGCGATCATTAAAAAGTCAAGAAACAACATTTGCTGGAGAACATGTGGAGAAATAGGAATGCTTTTTACACTGTTGGTGGGAGTGTAAATTAGTTCAACCATTGTGGAAAACAGTGTGGTGATTCCTCAAGGATCTAGAACTAGAAATACCATTTGACCCAGCCATCCCATTACTGGGTATATACCCAAAGGATTATAAATCATTCTACTATAAAGATACATGCACACCTATGTTTATTGTGGCACTATTCACAATAGCAAAGACTTGGAACCAACCCAAATGCCCATCAATGATAGACTGCATTAAGAAAATGTGGCACATATACACCATGGAAGACTATGCAGTTATAAAAAAGGATGAGTTCATGTCCTTTGCAGGGACATGGATGAAGCTGGAAACCATCATTCTCAGCAAACTAACACAGGAACAGAAAACCAAACACCACATGTTCTCACTCATAGGTGGGAATTGAACAATGAGAACACATGGACACAGGAAGGGGAACATCACACACTGGGGCCTGTTGGGGGGTGTGGGGCTGGGGGGAGGGATAGCATTAGGAGAAATACTTAATGTAGATGATGGGTTGATAGGTGTAGCAAGCCAACATGGCACATGTATACCTATATAACAAACTTGCATGTTGTGCACGTGTACCCTAGAACTTAAAGTATAATAATAATTAAAAAAAAAAAAAAAAGAAATTGGGGCCCATAGCAGTTTAGTGATTTGTCCCCAAGTTCCTCCTGTAGTCAGAGGAAAAGTTGAATCTAGAGCCAAGATCTTCGTTGCTCAATCTGGGTATACCATCCTATGTCCCATGAATAGCTAAAACATAGAGTTGAAGCATGAAGTTTTTTTTAAGTGTACCATATTTGTAAAACCTTTAAATAAATGCAATTTCCTAATGCCCTAGCAAAATGTAAGCAAAAAATTCTAAAACGAAAAAAACTAAAGTTACTTCTAGATGGCATCAATGTATTCCTCTCTCAGTCTCCATGATAGAAAACTAAGGAAGTCAGGGTTCTATACCATCTCCAACTTTCTAACAGTTACTTCAGTAAAAACATTAATTTTTTTTTTGCAATCGAACATTGCAAAGAAAGAATGGTGGTGATCTTTTCATTCTAGGTGAACTCATGGGCCTTGGCTTTTTCTACATTCAAGACTATATGGGGGAACAGACAGGCTAATGTCCTGCAAAGCCCTAGATCCACAAAGCCTAGATTGACAAAGCAGATAGAAGAATTTTACTGGGGAGGGTTCCCCATGAATTTATATTTTCTAGACTCCCCCCATTTTACAGTTTGGGATCAAATAACTAATCCTAAAGTAAATGATCTCCTCATGCCTCCTACCTGACATTCCATACAGCCCAGGTCCCTTCACAATTTGGCTCGAATTTCCTGGAAATTCAGCCGAAATTCAATCTCAGTTTGTGAACCTTGGCAAAGCATTCTGCTGGCCGGCTCCAAGATCCCCCGGGCCGGCAGCATGCACTCTCTTCCCTGTCAGGAGGACCCAGGGGCCAGCTTTACTGTGAGTTTGTGTTGGTTGGCCTCCCCAAGTCCAGGGTGACGTCTCCCTTCCCAAAACTCCACGACTACCATACCCTGAGGTTGATCACCACACTCCAGAATGAAAATAAAAATCGTGGGCCCATACTAAAAGTGAAAAAAAAATTTTTTTTTCAGCTACAAATAAACTTTATTTGATGTAATGTAATAAAACATTTTCAAGTTTAACAATATGTATCTGACCATAAATAATCATTTAAATTATGAATATAATATATACGGTCACTTTAGCAAATTTGCGGTTCAGGAATTTGTACAAGCTTTGTCTGAAAGGACAGTGCCCTCCTCCCCTTTCAGGAAAGGCAGCTTTTCCCCATGTCTGGTAAGAAGCAATCTCAATGGGAGTTAGAAGTCCATAATCCATGTCAGAATTCCACTTTATCCTGTGAGAGAACAGCTTGCTTTATTGTAGGAAAATAATATTCTCTTTCAGTTCACTCTTATCAAATAAAGAATTGCATTCATTTTTCCCCTTGTAGGTACAGGTACTCTTCTATTCTCATCTACTGTCTTTCTGTCTCCTTAGCTCTTAATTACTACATAGTGCCATTTAAAAAAATATATATCTGCAAAAAGACCTTTTCTGTTTCCTTACCTGCCTTTCATGTCTACCATTTTTTGGTGGGTAGGGGTGGGAATCAGAGGACAGAATTGCTTAGGCACACATTTGATTTAAGATACATAGAACACAAAAACAAATTCTCTAGAAGGAACAGACTGGTGAAAAATTTTATAGCATCCTTCAAAGTGTCCAGTTTAGTCTTACACTCCCTCCCTTAAGTGCCTTTCCTGTTCTCCACCTGTCTCTTCCCCACCCTTAAGAATATTCTTACACACAGTTTCACCATCCCTTGAAATTATTTTATTCTAAAAAGCCCTCTAGCCACTCTGCCCTTTACCACAGATTTTCACAACACTATGTGAAAATCTACCAAGTGTATAAAGACTGTGAGAAAGTCTATAACGTGTATATCACTCCATTTTATCATTTGGTTATTCCTGCAATTAAGTTAAAATGGTTTTCTATATAGTATCTCTCTACACATGAAGAATTCCTATCAAGAAATTTGCAAAATTAAACCTAATTCTTTTTTCAAAATATTATCTGCCATCTCCACAAATTAACAGTTATATTTCGAGCAACTGCGATTGTAATTTTGTGATTGTATTAAATCCCAAAGTGACTTTCCTAATGTAATGACTCTAAAATTTATAAAATCTATGGAAAATTAAGCAAGTGAAAACACGCCATAAAACTGGGGTTGGGGACAAGACCGCCATAACTTAAAAGCATCAAAAAGCGATAATAAGTAAAACATTTTTGTGACAACATGGTACTCAACAGACGGACTATACATTTTTTTAAAAATCCAAAAATACATATTAATTTAATAAATGTCAAGGGTGAAAATTCATACTGGATCATTTGTTCATTCGGAGAAAAATAGTTTTCTATCTCACAGCATGTACTAATATGCTACATGGATTATAAAGTTAAACAAAAACAGAAAAAGAGGAAATTTTTAAAACTCAGGTTTTATTGGTCTAAAATTCAGTATTTAGAGAAATAAAAATTAAAATAAGATTCAATGTTTTACCTACTAGCTTTACAAAATGAAAGAAAAATTGAATGTTGACAATTATATAGAAATAGGCTTTCTTGGCCAGGCACGGTGGTTCACACCTGTAATCCCAGCACTTTGGGAGGCCAAGATGGGTGGATTACCTGAGGTCAGGAGTTCGAGACCGGCCTGACCAACATGATGAAACCTGTCTCAACTAAAAATACAAAAATTAGCCCAACATGGTGGTGCATGCCTGTAATCGCAGCTACTCGGGAGGCTGAGGCAGGAGAATTGCCTGAACCCGGCAGACAGAGGTTGCAGTGAATGAGACTGCACCATTGCACTCCAGCCTGGGCAACAAGAGCGAAGCTCCATCCCCCCCCCAAAAAAAAAGAAAAAGAAATAGGCTTTCTCATTTGATACTAGTAGGAATTTAAACTGGTAATTTCTGAAGAGCAATTTCAAAAATAGGTATCAAGAGCCTTACAACTGTCATACATACCTAGATATTCAAATACTAGACATCAGGCCTAAGACAATAATCAAAAATTATGTAAAGGTATGGGTACAAGGATGTTCATCATAACAGCATAATTTATAATAGAGGTTGTTTTGTTTTTTAATGGAAATACATGGCCAAATCAATGTATAAGTGAAGTATCATACAGTTCCATAGGAATGAAGGGGCTGAACGTTTAAAGTTAAATGTGGCCCTGATTAAGCTAGATCATATGAAAGACAATAAAAGATGAAGGTTTGAGATAAATGAGAAAAAACTCTATATTAAGATCATGTTGATTCCAGATCTCTGAAATTTCAATATGCCTGATTGGCTCCACAGAAATGTTGATTGCCTGGAAAGATTGGTAGACATTCACAAACAAGGAGGCATTCACACCTTCTATAATAGACACAGAGTCTATTATAAACAGGTGACACTTAGTTCCATTCTGCTTTACACAGACCTGGTTTACACCCATGGGCTGAGTGTAAATGGTTAATAGGCATCTCCTTTTACTCTCACAAGTGCCTAAGTATTTAGACAATAAATTATATGGTAACCTTAATGATCCATTTATCTTAATTAAATATATTCCATTTATTTTAACAAAATGGTGTTTTGACACAGTGGAATATATTGAACAGCATTATGTGAAATAGCTCAATGTAATTCATTACAGTATTTGCTAAGGGTGCTGTCCATTATATTATGTTGTTGTTCTGTTTATGAACTCCTGAGAGGCATTTCTCTCTCGTCTCAGCTGCAATGTCACTGTTTCTCTTGAGTATCTGGTGTATTTTTGTCTCCTGGACTCTAAATCACAGAATTGGCCATGTTTCCCACTTTGTTTTCAGTCCATTGCTAGATTCATGGAATCAAATGTGTGATTCACCTTCGGTGCAATCATGGCCCTCACGTTCTGGGAGATAAATAGTTAGTTCCCTAATTTCCATTTGACCTCTTGGTCAGAGTTCAAATACTTGCTCTCATCACATGGGTTAAAAAATAACAAAAGTATCATTCCAATCACCCACGTCACATAATAATAGCAGATTTCTGTACTCCAAAAGATATATGTATGATAAAAATGTAATAGGTACCACTAGCATAGATCACATGTGTCGTGTCATGCCTTTAAACACAGCCCATGTCTTTCCTTTGCTGCATCAGTGATACACCCTCAGAGTTCAGACAAAACAGGAAACCCAAGGCTTATATTCTGATGATGATTGACAGTTTATTCCTGTAACTGGCACCTCCCACCTGTTTTTGTGTTTGGATCAGTTTTATGGGTTCTACAGAAAGCTGTCACTCCAAATGCTACCTGGTGACTTTAGTCTCTTATCATTCTAAGAATATGACATAATTCTTCCTTTGACTGCTAGCAGGTGGCAGAGGCAGCTCTTGGTAGACCCTCAAGTAGAGGACAAGCCTAGAATTGACTGCTGCATTTGCAATATTGGTTGGCAGAAGGTAGGCACTTAAAACAGTCAGAAAGTAGAGAGGTTAGGCAACAATATACTCTGGTTTTATTTTCCTTCCAGGTATCTTTTTAAACTGAGCACTACTATTTTATCAATTATAAAGACACATTTTAATTTTTAAAAAATTGTCATACATTCTTTATAACTTTTCTGTAAATCCAAAACTATTCCAAAATAAGTTTATTTCTAAAAAAGGATAGTGGATAGTGTCTTTAAAAAAAAAGTTCTGTGTGCTAGCTGTTAATGATGCTAACCAAATATTTGCAGGTCTCCAGACTCCAGGCACATAGTAGGATTGCACTTCCAGGAGTCCTGGTAATGTCATGTGACTACCTCTGGCCAATGAATTGGGGCTGCAAGTATTTCCTGACATAGCAATTAGTTCCTGCTACAAGATACTCCTTTCCCTCTGCCACAGGGATTGAGAATGTTCTAGATAGTGGATGTTTCACCACCATGTATCTTGAGTAATGATGAAGAAACAGAGGAAACTCCCAGCTGTCCATCAATGGACATGTGTGTGATTAAGGTATGAACCTTTATTTTTCAAGCCACTGAAGTTTGAGAACTGCTCTTTCCCACAGCATAACTGAGCATATGCTGGTGCAGCGTGCCAGGACTTTAGAAAGAATGAAGTCCAAGTTTATTTGAATGTATACTGTATCTACATATGTGTGTGTGTATGAGACAGAGAGAGAGAGGGGCTTATTAAATTAGCCCTTACGCACTATTTTTTTTTTTTTGAGATGGAGTCTCACTTTGTTGCCTAGGCTGGAGTGCAATGGCATGATCTTGGCTCACTGCAACCTCCGCCTCCGAGGTTCAAGCAATCCTCCTGCCTCAGACTCCTGAGTAGCTGAGATTACAGACGCTCACCACCACGTCCGGCTAATTTTTGTATTTTTAGTAGAGATGAGGCTGGTCTTGAACTCCTGACCTTGTGATCGCCCACCTCGGCCTCCCAAAGTGCTGGGATTACAGGTGTGAGCCACCGTGCCTGGCCCACTCTATTTAGTATAACTGTGTGTTCCTGTTCAAAAAACTTCAAGTTAACATCCATTGTCCTAGAGTAATTAACCAGAAAGTTGCCTTTCGTTAAGTGCCCCCATTTATGCAACAAATTATGCAGTCACACTAGGACTAGTCATCTCTAACAAATGTGTTAGATGTCATAGTATACATTTTCTGCAAAAATCTCAAAATAAACCTCCATCTTATTTTCATAACTTAATTTTTACCTTATCTTTCTGATTTATTTAGAAATTTCTCCACTTTGTTGTATTACCTTTTAATTTTCCATTAAGAAACAAATGTATGTATACAATTCATTTTAATTATCTCATTCCAAACTAAGTTTAAGTTATTAAAATTAAATTTTTATTTTTACAAATATGTTTGAAGACTTATAAGTAGATTTCTCTCTTTTACTCTTATTATGTGCCCTCCTCCATTTCATATCATTACCCTTCACATTCCAGAAAAGCAGCTCATTCTGGTGACTAGATTAACTAGATAGTGTGCTATGAGTGTTGTATTAGAGCTTTTAGTCATAAGCAACAGAGGGTAAATTCTGGCTAAGAAGAAAATTGAAATAATTAAGAAGATAACAGATAATTTACAGTATTAATAGAAGAGCCTGAAGTTCAGCAGCTATGTAAAATCCCCCAATCTAGAGCCCAGTGAGGAAACAGATTCTACTGATTGGCCCTATAGCCATAAAGAGAGGGTTCTTTTTATTTTTTCAGTTACTAGATCCTGAATTAAATTCTGACATAGGTATTACTGACTGATTTGTTAAGTGACTGTGTTCTACTGCAAATAGGTTGGAAAAGCAAAAATCTAGCATTTTCAGCTTCAGTAGTATAAGACAGTCAGACAGTCTTTAATCCACACCAAGTCACATAGGATGGGGAATTAAACAAGTATTCCCTTGACCTTTTACTAAGAGTTTATATGCTAAACCAGGATGAGTGAAGAGCCAAAATTAATGGAAAGTGTCTATTTTAGGCAATGAAATTCAATACAAAAACGCAAGTGATCATTATGTTGTGTACACATGTGATGTTGATCTACTTTGTGGTCAAATATCTACAGACCTATACACCTGGACCACAGCTACTAGATGAAGAGCCAGATGTATTCATGCGCCTTACACCAATTTGCAAATTCTTCCTCCACTAATGACTGTGTAGAAAATGACTAAAAGCAAGGCAAATATCTTTCTCTCTTTTCACAAACAAACAAACAAACAAACAAACAAAAAACCACTCTGCAGTAACATCACCATCCACATATTTAGGAGAAGTAACAGCAAATCTCATGGGCAAAGCTAGCCCCAGAGTTAGTAACAAGCCCACTTGCCTACTTGCCCAGGTCATTTCCACTGTGAATCCCAAAGTACTAGCTAGCTAAACATGAATATGTTAAATAAAAATTGTTACTCGTTACTCCTCAAGCTGCAGTTAGAAACCACCTTTTATTTTTTATTTATTTATTATTACTTTTTTTGAGACAGAGTCTTGCTCTGTCACCCAGGCTTGAGTGTAGTGGGGCGATCTTAGCTCACTGCAACCTCCACCTCCTAGGTTCCAACGATTCTCCCGCCTCAGGCTCCCGAATAGCTGGGATTACAGGTGTGCACCACCATGCCTGGCTAATTTTTGTATTTTTAGTAGAGATGGGGTTTCACCATGTTGGCCAAGCTGGTCTCGAACTCCTGACTTCATATTCCACCTGCCTCGGCCACCCAAAGTGCTGGGATTACAGGCATGAGCCACCGTGCCTGGCCAGAAACCAGCTTTTCTAGTCAGTCACAATGTGCCTTTAGATATCCGCTGGTGACGTTTTTACCAACTATAAAATAAGGCATTTGACAGCAATAAGATCCTCAAAGTCCTTCCAGATCTCAAATCCTATGATACAGCAAATCCCTTTCTTAGACAATTAGGCAAGATTGGGCCCAGGTAAAACCTCTTGACCTAAGCATGGTATTAGTACATGGCAGACACTAAACAAATGTTGGCTGAATTAACGAATAGTGAATAGATGAATAAATGAATGAATGATGAATGAATGAATGTTTCTTTGATTCTTTGTTGAATGAAGTATAACAAGGCCAGGAAACAGCCCTCCACTGAACTCCCTATGATTATCTTTTACCCTTCCAATTATCCATAGGCCTTTCCCTTTTTCCAAACTAACGTTATCGCTAAGAACTGCTTAGCTGAGATGTTCTAACCATACCTTCTTTTCCCTTACTTTTAATAAAGCCTATTAAGATATATTTCACACATCATACCATTCACCCATTTAAAGCATACAATTAAATGATTTGTAGTATAATCACTCAGTTGTGAAAGTATTACCACGATCTAAGTTTAGGACATTTTCATTATTCCTCCTGAAAAAAACTTCATATACATTAGCAATCACCCTCCATCCCAATCCCCAGCCCTAAGCAACCACAAATCTACTTCAGTTACAATAAATTTGCTATTCTGTACATTTCATATAAATGGAATCATAAAATATGTACTCTTTCTAACTGGCTTCTTTCAGTTAGCATAGTTTTTTATTGGTTGTTCATGTTGTAACACTTATCAATGTGTCATTCCTTTTTATAGCCAAATAACATTTCATCATATAAACACACCATTTTTATTTCTTTATTCATCAGTTGAGCATTTTAGTTGTTTCCACCTTTTTTACTAATATGAAATATAGCTATCATAAAATATATAATGGTGCTATGAACATTACCATACCAGTTTTTGTGTGAATGCATATTTTCATTTATCTTAGGCAAATGCCTAGGAATGGAATTGCTGGGTATTATGGTAACTCTAAATTTAACCTTTTGAGGTACTGCCAGACTGTTTTTCCAAAGTGGCTGCACCATTTTACATACCCATCAGCAAGATATGAGAATTCCAACTTCTTCATGTCCTCACCAGCACTTGTTATTATCTGTCTTTTTGATCATAGCCATCCTGATGGGTGTGAAGTGGTATCCCATTGTGGTTTTGATTTACATTTCTCTGATGATTAATGATGTTGAGCATCTTTTCATGTGCTTATTGACCATTTGTATGGCTTCCCTGGATAAATGTCTATTAAGGTCCTTTGATCATTTTTAATTGGGTAATTTGTCTTTTTATTAGAGTTATAAGAGCTCTTTATATATTCTATATATAGGCCCCTTATTAGATTCATGATTTGAAAATATTTTCACTAGACAGGCTGAGGCAGGAGAATTGCTTGAACCTGGGAGGCGGAGGTGCAAGATTGCACCACTGCACTCCAGCCTGGGTGACAGAGCAAGACTTCATCTCAAAACAAAACAAAAAATATATATTTTTTCACTCGTTCTATGGATTGCGTTTTCACATTCTTTATGGTATCCTTTGAAGCACAAAAGTTTTTTATTTTGGTGAAGTTCAGTTTCTGCAAGTTTCTAGTATTCTAGGAATTTAATTTTGGGGGCATACAGTTTCTCATAACATCCTTTATAATGCTTTTTATTTCTTTAAGGTCAGTAGTGATATCCCCTCTTCCATTCTTAATAATTTGATTTTTCTTCTATCTTAACTTTTGTTGATTTTCTTTATTGTTTTCTAATCTCTGTTTCATTAATCTCCACCCTAATCTTTACTATTTCCTTCCTTATACTTTAGACTTAGCATTCTCTTTTTTTTCCAGTGTTTTTAAGTGGAAAGTTAGGTAATTGATTTTATTTATTATTATTTTTTTGAGTCTCACTCTGTCACCCAGGCTTGAGTGCAGTGGCACAATCTCAGCTTACTGCAACCTCTGCCTCCCAGGTTTAAGTGATTCTCCTGCCTCAGCTTCCTGAGTAGCTGGGATTACAGGCACGTGCCACCACGCCTGGCTATGTTTGTATTTTTAGTAGAGACGGTTTCACCATGTTGGCCAGGCTGGTCTTGAACTCCCAACCTTAGGTGATCTGCCCATCTCAGCCTCCCAAAGTGCTGGGATTATAGGCATGAGCCACGGTGCTCAGCCTCTTCTTTTTAAATATGGGCATTTACAGCCATAAATTTTCTCATAGACCTAAAACCATAAAAACCCTAGAAGAAAACCTAGGCAATACCATTCACGACATAGGCATGGGCAAGGACTTCATGTCTAAAACACCAAAAGCAATGCCAACAAAAGCCAAAATTGACAAATGGGATCTAATTAAACTAAAGAGCTTCTGCACAGCAAAAGAAACTACCATCAGAGTGAACAGGCAACCTACAGAATGGGAGAAAATTTTTGCAACCTACTCATCTGACAAAGGGCTAATATCCAGAATCTACAATGAACTCAAACAAATTTACAAGAAAAAAACAGCCCCATCAAAAAGTGGGCGAAGGATATGAACAGACACTTCTCAAAAGAAGACATTTATGCAGCCAAAAAACACATGAAAAAATGCTCATCATCACTGGCCATCAGAGAAATGCAAATCAAAACCACAATGAGATACCATCTCACATCAGTTAGAATGACAATCATTAAAAAGTCAGGAAACAACAGGTGCTGGAGAGGATGTGGAGAAATAGGAACACTTTTACACTGTTGGTGGGACTGTAAACTAGTTCAACCATTGTGGAAGTCAGTGTGGTGATTCCTCAGGGATCTAGAATTAGAAATACCATTTGACCCAGCCATCCCATTACTGGGTATATACCCAAAGGATTATAAATCATGCTGCTATAAAGACACATGCACACATATGTTTATAGCGGCACTATTCACAATAGCAAAGACTTGGAAACAACCTAAATGTCCAACAATGATAGACTGGATTAAGAAAATATGGCACATATATACCATGGAATACTATGCAGCCATAAAAAATGATGAGCTCATGTCCTTTGTAGGGACATGGATGAAACTGGAAACCATCATTCTCAGCAAACTATCACAAGGACAAAAAACCAAACACCGCATGTTCTCACTCATAGATGGGAATTGAACAATGAGAACACATGGACACAGGAAGAGGAACATCACACACCAGGGACTGTTGTGGGGTGGGGGGAGCAGGGAGGGATAGCATTAGGAGATATACCTAATGCTACATGACAAGTTAATGGGTGCAGCACACCAACATGGCACATGTACACATATGCAACAAACCTGCACGTTGTGCACATGTACCCTAAAACTTAAAGTATAATAATAATAAAATTAAAAAAAAATTCTCATAGACATTGCTTAAGCTGCATCCTATAAGATTTGGTATGTTTGTCTTCATTTCCATTTATCTAAAAGTATTTTCTAACTTCCCTTGTGATTTCATCTTGACTGACAGTTACTTAAGAGTGTGTCCACTAATTTCCATATATTTTTGGATTTGCCAAACTTCTTTCTATGATTGATTTCTTTTTTTTTTTAATTTTATTATTATACTTTAAGTTTTAGGGTACATGTGCACAATGTACAGGTTAGTTACATATGTATACATGTGCCATGCTGGTGTGCTGCACCCATTAACTCGATTGATTTCTAAGTTCATTCCACTGTGGTGAGAGAGCACACTTATATGATTTCAATATTTTTAAATTTATTGAGACTTGTTTTATATCTTAGCATATGGCCTATTATGGAGAATGCTTCATGTGCACCTGCACAGAATACATATTCTGTTGTTGTTGGAGATGTTCCATACATGTCTGTTAGTTATATGTGCTTAATAGTTTTTATCTTCTGTTCTATTCATTATTGAAAGTTGGATACTGAAATATCCAAATATTATTAAATTGTCTCTTTCTTCAATTCTATCAGATATTGCTTTATGTATTTTGGAGTTATGTTGTAGGGCATATATAGGTTTACAATTATTATATTGTTCTGATGGATTGACTTTTTGATCATTATGAAATATCCCTCTTCATCTCTAGTAACTTTTTTTGTTTCTAAGTCTATTTTGTCTATTTAATGTAGCCATTCTGGCTTTCTTTTGGTTGTTGTTTGAATGATATATCTTTCTATATTCTTTTATATTAAAACTATTTTTATCTTTGAATTTATACTATGTCTCCTATAGACAGCTTATTGCTAGATCCTGTTTATTTATGCAATATGACAATCTCTGACTCTTTTTAGTCCACTCACATTTAGATTCCTTATTCCATTCACATTTAATGTTATTATTGATATTAGTTGGGTTTACATGTCATTTTACATTTTGTTCTCTGTATATTGCATGTCTTTTTTGATCCTCTCTTCCACTTTTATTGCTTTCTTTTGCATTAAATGAATTAGCACTTTTGCTTAACTGAATTAACATTTTAATTCCTCTAATAATTTCTTCACTACATTTTCCTATTTTCTTAGTGGTTGCTGTAGGGATTATTACACACACTTTAATTTATAAGAATATACTTTAGATTATACTAACTTAATTCCAGTAAAATATAATAGTTTTTCTATATACCTCTATTGTACTATTATTATTATACATTTTAAATCTAGGCATGAACTTTCCTACACTCTGTTTCAAATAACGTCAGTTCCTCTGGAGAGAGCTTGGAGCACTCTGTTCATATGATCTTCTCTGTCCCTGGGCAATACCTCTGCACCACTGCTCCAAAACTTGGGGCAGGGACAACAACCTACTTCTTTCAAATGACACCACTGCCTTATGAACAGGGCACTAGGCTAGGGCAGCAGCCTCTGGGTTTCTCAGCTTCCTCTCCTCTCCCACTGTGTAGCCTCCACCCTACAAGCAAGACTGGATAAGGAAAATCAGGACTGCAGTATTCTTGGGCTGCCATGCCTGGGGTAGAGATTTTACCCTATGAGGGATGACTAGGGAAAGTAAACTCCAGGTCCCTCGGCCACTCTTTCTGGGAATAGAACCTCTGCAACATTGACCTGGGACAGGGAATGAGAAATTCTGGTGACCTGCATCTCCCAGGAAGATAACATAGCCCTCAATCAGGAGCTAGGGAGAGGGAGAGAGATCCCCGTGTTATTGGCTACATGCACTTGGAGTAGAGATTCCATCATGCTGGACTGGGAGCAGTAAGAGAGTTAGCAGGTTGTGACTCAAATACCACAGACTTCTGCAATGCTTACTGAAACAGAGTAGATGTTATTGAATACATTTTTATTCATTTATTCTTTAATTATAAATGTACTTTATCCAAACACATTTATAATTATAAGATCTTAGAACAATTTCCAAAGACTTTACTTTTTTAGTAATTTTTATGAGTTATGGTTGCTTCATTGGACAGAAGGTCTACAAAGCTCATCACGTCACCATTTCATCAGTCATCTCTCAAACATCCTAAATAATTATTTGAACTTCAAAAAGTTTTGATTGCTATGTCATACAATTTGTATTATAAAACCTTCCTAAAGTTAAAAAAATGCTGTTTTTCTTGCTTTCTTCTTCACTCTCATATTGTTCACTCTACCAAATAATCAAATTGAAAGAATCAGAAAAATCAGTAATGTTGATTTTTATATAATACCATAGGAGCCACTGAGTCACTGACCTACAGCAGTTTCTGAATAATTTTTAGGATGTACACAGGCTATCTTGTTTCATATAAGATAAAAAATTCAGCTTCAATGTTCTTCCAATTTTTTTGTCTTTAGTTTTAAGCATGCTTGCAATGACATGCTTTACTCTAAGCTTCGCTTCTCCCTTACAAGAATTGGGTGTACAACATATTCTCCACACATATGACCAGAAATGTGATACTGTAATGGTCTAGTAGTGTGACATCAACTCTAACACTGTGAGACACATCCACTGTAATGCAGCCATCAAATCTTGGCCAATTACTTGATATCATCATGTGCTTACTGAATAGTTGGCAAAATCCAGTTTTGTCAACAGTTTAAACACATTCATCGCAATGTTTTTATTGTTTCCTACATTTTGCTTGTATTAGAAATGGAATAGCAAGCATGCTTATAATAATACGGTCTTTCTGATTATTAATGCAGTTATGTAAGGTCCTAGACAACTTACCAATTGTAAATTTAATGAGTATATTCCATCCCATCTCATTAGTCATGACTCAAACTAGTAGGACTAGCTCCAGTAGAATTACACCTGATCTCCTCTGCCTTTTAGTTGATGGAAAACCACTGATAAATCACTATGAATAACACTGTAATCAGTTGTGCCTTTTAGTTGATAGAAAAACCATTGATAAATCACTGTGAATAACTCTTTAATCAGTTTTGCACTCTCTTGGCAGTTGTTTGATCTAAACTTAATTTTCGGGGATTCTGAGTGAATCTATCCAGGAATTCTCAGCCTTACCCAAAATTTGGGGATTCCAATATATAGCTGGTCCGAGGAAATGTCTTTTAAGCATTTATATATATATATATGCCTTTGTGTTTAAAAATTATAATAATAACATTCGTGTCTCTTTGTGGAGCTCCACTCCTGTCCTCAGGCCTAGATGAGAATGAGATGATAATCAATTTAATCTACAGAAGAAGAGATAGAATCTATCTTGGGTGATTCAGGCAGACTATGGATGACATACTAATTTAATTTTGAGGCAATCTCAAAATATTATTATTAACTTTCTAGAACACTATGTTGAGAAATAGTCTGAGTCTATGTCTAGAGTTAGTGGGAAACAGTGTTGCATGATTAGAAGGACCCATAAGGAATTTAGGAGGAGAGATAAGTAGTACTCATGCTGTCTTTGTGTTGTCAACAAAGTCTAGATTAAATGACACTGATGTTGCTTTCAGGCACAAGGTGCTATGCTTAGTAACATTGCCATTATTCATGCCATATTTCTCCATGGGGTGACAGTCCTCCTGAGGCTGAATTTCTTAAAAATGATAAAAAAATTTCATATGAACATGCTACAAACCATCCTGCTGCTCTCAGTTTCTCTTACTGGAATCATGGTTAAGCTTTACACTGTCTGCCTATGAATAACAACATATCAGAAAAATCCTTTTAAGTTCTATAACAAATGTTTTGAATATTAAGAAAGCCTATCAGGAAAAAAAGTAAGGAGAACTTTCAACTCAACTGATGAACAAACTGAGGGACATGCCAAAGTAAGGTGCTAAACATAATGAGTAGGTCCTGGTTGTCTATGCAATATGACTATTTTAAGAAAAAAGCAAAAAAAAATCAATGAGTGATGATTATGAACAGAATAAGTGCTTCCAGGAACTTGGTATGTCTGTACATATGAATTCCTTTGTGACTTTCCATTCATTTATCTAAATTCAGGAATAGAGATTCTGCAAGGTGGTATATTGGGAGATTCTAGTCCTTATACCTTCATAGAAACATCAATTTTTACAGTCATCCATGGATGTAAATAACTCTGTGCCCACATGACTTATGAGATAACATCAAACAAAACAACATGAGCAATATGACCGTGCCAGAAAGGACAGGGAAAGAGAAAGGGGAGGAAGACTTACTTTAAAAAATAGTGACAGAAAACTTCTCAAGTCTGGGAGACAAATTAACATTCATAACTTTGATATCCATAGAACCAAAAATAGACTGAACAAGAGATATTCACCAAGACACATTGCAGCCAACGGAGAAACTCATAAGACTATTGAAATGGGAGGAGTTTTCTCTTACCCATCCCAGGGGGCATGCGATGGGGGTGTGGCTCACTTCTTCAGTGCCCCACAGCTCAAACCCCTATGGGCAAGTCATGGGGAGCGTGGGCTCTGACCCCACAGCAGCGTCTAGGGTTGAGTGTTTATAGCTCCTGAAGCCCCAGAGGGTGTGTTTTGCACTGTGCTCTTTCAGCTTAGCCATCCAACAAGCCATTGAGCTTATGTTAATCAGCTCAATTAGACCCTCTGCCTTATTGCAAGGACACAGGGTTTTCTGTATCCTGGGGTTCTTGCCCTAGTGTACCCGAAAAATCAGATCACATGTGGGCTTGGAGAATGAGTGTAAGGTTTTATTGAGTGCTGGAAGTAGCTCTCAGCAGATGGATGGGGGGATGGAGTGGGAAGGTGATCCTCCCCTGGAGTCGGGCCACTCAGCAGCCACTCCTCCAACTGCCCTCAGCCAAATTTCCCTCGGCATCTGCATCGTTCCACCATCGATGGCCTGCCGGTGTCTATTGGTGTGTTCTTCTGCCGGTGTGTTCCTCTCAACATCCAGCCACTTGTGTCTGTGCCTGCTAGGGTCTCCGGGTTTTTATAGGCACAGGATGGGGGGCATGGTGGGCCAGAGTGGTCTTGGAAAATGCAACATTTGGGCACAAAAACAGGAGTGCCTATCCTCATTTAGGTCCATGGGCACAGGCCCGAGGGTGGAGCCCTCACCAGGGACCCCGTCTTTCTCTACCCAGTACTTCCCTGCCCCACTCGTGTATCACTATCAGCAGATTTCTCAGCATAAACCTTCCAGGCTAGGAGTGGGATGATATATTCAAAGTGATGAAGGAAAAAAAAACCCTGCTAACCAAGCATGCTTTACCTGGCAAAGCTGTCCTTCAGAAATGAAGGAAGATAAAGACTTTTCCAGATAATGAAAGCTGAGGGAATTCATCACCACTAGATCTACCTTACAAGAAATGCTGAAGGGAGTTCTTCACGTTCCAATAAAGGAAACTAAATAGCAATATGAAAATATATAAAAGTATAAAACTGACTAGTAAAGGTAAGTATATAGTCAAATTCAGAATACTTCATACTGTAATGGTGGTGCATAAATCACTTTTAATGATAGCATAAAAGTTTAAAGATAGAAATATCTAAAAATAACTATAGTCACAATAATGTGTTAATGAATATATATTATTTTAAATAGTGACATCGACAATTTCAAATGTGTGTGTTGGAGAGGGGGGTAATAAAAACAGAGTTTTGTGTGAAATCAAAGTTTTTACCAGTTTAAAATAGTCTATGTATTAGTCCATTTTCACACTGCTATAAAAAACTACCTGAGACTGGGTAATTTATAAAGAAAAGAGGTTTAATTGACTCACAGTTCCACAGACTTATCTGGAAGCATGACTATCAGGCCTCAGGAAACTTATAATCATGGTGGAAGGCAAAGAGGAAGCAAACACATCTTACCATGGTGGAGCAGAAGAGAAAGAGAGCAAACGGGGAACTGCCGCACAATTTTAAACCATCATCTCTTATGAGGACTCACTTACTATCATGAGAACAGCAAAGGAGAAATCCACCCCCATGATCTAATCACCTCCCACCAGGCCCCTCTTCCAATTCAACATGAGATTTGGACAAGGACATAAATCCAGACCATATCAGTCTGCTAGAATTATAAAATGTTTAAACAAACATTTTATAACATTATAAACATTATATAAACATTTTGTAATTATAAAATGGCAATCACAAAGAATTATAAACGGTAATCACAAAGAGAAACCTTTTAGTAGATACACAAAAAATAAGAAAGGAATCAAAGCAGAACACTACAAAAAAAAATCATGAACTCAAAAAGGAAGACAGCTAGAGAGAAAGGAACAAACAATAAAACATTTGAAAAACAACTAACAAAATAGCAATAATAAGTATTTAGTTATCAACACTTATTTTAAATGTCAATGGATTACATTTTCCAATCAAAAGACACAAAGTAGATAAATGGATAAAAAATAAGACTCAACAATATATTGCATACTAGAAACTCACTTTACCTTTAGGGACACACATTTGGCTGAAAGTGAATGGATGCAAAAGTGTATATATTTCAAACAAATAGTAACCAAAGTAGAGGAGGGGAGCTATTCTAAGACAAAATAGGTTTTTTGTAAAAAGAGACAAAGAAGGTCACTATATAAATGGTAACAAGTCAATTAATCAAGAGAATATAAAAATTATAAGTACGTATGCACCTAACATTGTTGCACCAAAATATATAAACCAAATATTAATAGATCTGAAAAGAGAGACCAAATGAAAGATAATAATGGTTGGGGACTTCAATATCCTCCTTTCAGTAATGGATAGATCATCCAGACAGAAAATCAATAATAAAACAGCAGACTTGAACAACAACACCCAATAGACCTAGCAGTCATAGGCAAAACATTCTATCCAACAGCAACAAAATACACATTTTATCAGCCACAAACAGAACATTCTCCAGGATATATCATATGTTAGGAAACAAAAAAAAATTAACAACTTTTAGAAGACTAAAATTGTAAGACTAAGATTTTCTAACAATGGTATGAAACAAATGTTCCTTCCCCAGTAGTATGAAACTAGAAATCAGTAGCAAAGAAAATTGAAAAATTCCAAATACTTGGAAATTAACACACTCCTAAACAACTAATGGGTCAAGGAAGAAATCAAAAAGGAAAACCAGATAATATCTTGAGACAAACAAAAACGGACACAGAACATACTAAAACATATGGGATGCAGCAAAAGCAGTTCTAAAGGAAAATGCCAAATGCTTACATGAAGAAAACAGAAAGATCTCAAACAACATAATTTTATACCTCAAGGGAGTTTAAAAAGAACAAACTAAGCCCAAAGTGAGCAGGAGGAAGGAAATAATAAAGATCAAAGCAGAAATAAATAAAATGAAACCTAGAAAAGCAATAGATCAATAAAAGTAACAGTTGGTTTTTTGAAAAAAATAAACAAAATTGACAAACCTCAGCTAGCTTAAGAAAAAAAGGAGATAACTCAAATAAATAAAATTATAAATGAAAGAGGAGACACTACAACCAATACCACAGAAATGTGTCTATAATACAAATAATTAAAATAATAATTATAATAATACAAAGAATTATAAGTGTCTAAGACAATGTATTATCCTATAAGAACTATTACAGGACAACAAATTGGATAACCTAGAAATAAACAAATAAATACCCAGAAAAACATAAGCAACCAAGATTAAATCAAGCAATAGAAAATAGGTTGAATCGGTAATCAAAAATCTCCCCAAAAAGAAAAGCCTAGGATCATATGACCTCACTGGTGAATTCTACCAAACATTTAAAGAATTAACACTCATCCTTATTAAACACTTCCATAAAACTGAAGAGGAGGGAAAACCTCCAAACTCACTTTATGGGGCCAGCATTACCCTGATACCAAAGCCAGGCAAGGACTCTCCAAGAAAACAAAACCATAAGTTAGTCTTCCCGATTAACATAGATGCAAAAATTCTTGACAAAATATGAGCAAATTGAATTTAATAGCACATAAAAAGGATCATACACACGATCAACTGGGATTCATCCCTGGGATGCAAGAATGGTTCAACAATCAATAAATGTGATATGCCACATTAACAGAAGGAAAGACAAAAATCTTACAATCTTAATGAATGCAGAAAAAGAATTTGACAAAATTTGAAATTATTTTATGATTTAAAAAAAAAACTCTCAACAAATTTGGGAGAGAAAAGCTGAAAGCCTTTCCTTGAAGCTCAGGAACACAAAGATGCCCCTTTTTCACTTCTATTCAACACACTACTAGAAGTCCTAGGCAGAGTAATTAAGCAGCAAGGAAATTAAAAGCATCCAAGTTGAAAAGGAGTAAGTAAAATTATCCGTTTGAAGATGACATCATTACATACTTAGAAAATCCTAAAGACTCCACCAAAAATTGTTAGCACTAATAAACAAATTCAGTAAAGTTGCAGTTTACAAAATCAGCATACAAATATCGGTAGTGTTTCTATACTAAAAATGAACTATCCAAAAAGAAATTAAGAACGCTGGCCCATTTATAACAGTATCAAAAAGAATACTTAAGAATAAATTTAACCAAGATGAAGAATCTAAACAGAAGCTGTAAGACATTGATAAAAGTAATTGAAGAAGACACAAATAAATGGAAAGATATGTTCATGAATGCAAAGAATTAATATTGTTAAAATGTCCACATTCCTCAAAGCTATCTTCAGATTCAATGCAATCTCTATCAAAATTCCAATGGCATTTTCTACAGAAATGGAAAAAAAATTCTAAAATTCTTATGGTACTACAGAAGACCCCAAATAGCTAAAACAATCTTAAGCAAGAAGAACAAAGGTGGAAGCATCACATTATGTGATTTCAATTTATATTACAAAGCTGTACTAATCAATGCAGTATCGTCTGGGCATACAAACAGACACATAGACCAATGGAACAAAATAGAGAGACCAGAAATAAATCCAGGCATAAACAGTCAACTAATCTTCAACAAGGGCTATAAGACTATACAATGGAGTAACATTAGTCTCTTCAATAAATGTTGTTGAGAAAACTGGATATCCTCATGCAAAATAATGAAATTGGACCCTTGTCTTCCACCATACACAAAAATAAATTCGAAATAGATTCACACATTTTTTCCATATACCTGTTGGCTATTTATTTGTCTTCTTTTGAAAAATGTCTTTTTCCTTTTGAAAAATCAGGTTGTTTCCCTGCTATTGAGTTGAGTTCTTTATATATTTTGAATATTAACTCTTTATCAGATGTATAGTTCGCAAATATTTTCTCCCATTCCATCAGTTTTCTCTCTTTACCATATTGATTGTTTCCTTTGCTATGCAGAAACGTTTTAGTTTAATGTAATTACAGGCTCAACGTCACTAACTATCAGGGAGAACCAATTAAAACCATGAAGAGATATTACCTCACGCCTGTTAGAATGGCTATTATCAAAAATATGAATCATAACAAGTATTGGCAAGGATGTGGGAAAAAAAAGGAACCCTCATACATGGCTAGTGAGAATGTAAATTAGCTAAGATTGGAAACTGTACTCTGGTTCCCTCAAAAAATTGAAAATAGGACTATCATATGATACACCAGTCCCATTTCTGGGTATATATCTGAAGGATATAAAATCAGTGTGTTGAAGAGATAACTGCACTCCTGAGTTCATTATAGCATTACTCACAAAAGCTAAGAGATTAAACTAACCTAAGTGCTCATCGATTTGTGAATGGATAAAAAAGAGTGGTACATATACACAATGAAATACTATTCAGCATTTAAAAAGAAGAAAATGCTGTCAATTGCTAAAACATGGATGAATCCGGAGGACATTCTATTAAGTGAAATAAGTCAGGCACAGAAAGACAAATACTGTATTATTTCAGTTATATAAGAAATTTTAATAATTAGAACTCACAGAAGCAGAGAGTAGAATTACAGTTACCAGATGCTGGGGAGTGAAGAGACTGGGGAGATGTTGGTCAATGGATACAAAATTTCAGTTAGACAGGAAGAATAAGTTCAAGAGATCTATGGTACATCATGGTGACTATAGTTTATAACCATATATTGTATGATTGGAAATTCCTAAAAGAGTAGTTTTAAGTGCTCTCATCACAAAAAGTAAGTATATGCAGTAACTCATATGTCAATTAGCTTATAATAGCTATTCCAAAACATATACATATATCAAAGCATTTATATACCATAAGTATATACAATTTTTCTCTATTAAATAAATAAGCAAACAAAATGGATGAAAAGACTTAAATCCCAGACAGAAAACTGTAAAACTCATAGAAGAAAACACAGGGAAACATTCCTTGACTTTGTTCTTAGCAAGATTTTTGGATATGACACTAAAAGCAGAAGCAATAAAAGCAAAATTAAATGAATGGAACTGCATCAAACTAAAAAGCTTCTTCACAGCAAAGGAAACAACAAACAAAATGAAAAAGCAACCTGTGGAAGGAGAGCAAATATTTGTAAGCCATATGTATGATAAGGGGTTAATATACCAAACATATAAGGAACTCATACAACTCAATAGCAACAAACAGAAGAATACCTGATGTAAAAACAGGTAAAATATCTTTGGACATTTTTGGACAGAAAGACAAATAATGTATTATCTCACTTATATGTGGAATCTAAACTTGTCAAATTTAAAGAGACAGAGAAGAGAATGGTGGTTACCAGGGGCTGGAGGAGGAGGCAATGAGGAGATGTTGGTCAAGGATACAGTTTCAATTATGGAAGATAAGTTCTGGAGCGTTCATGTATAGTATGGTGACTACAGGTAACAATACTGTACTGTATACTTGAAATCTGCTAAGAGAGTAGATAGATCCTAGACATTTTTCCAAAGATGACTTACAAATGGCCAATAGTTTTATGAAGAAGCACTCAACATCACTAATCATCAGGGAAATGCAAATCAAAATCACAAAGAGATACCATTTCACACCTGTTAGGATGGCTACTATTAAAAAATACAAAAGGGGCCGGGTGTGGTGGCTCACGCCTGTATTCCCAGCACTTTGGGAGGCCAAGGTGGAAGATCACGAGGTCAGGAGATCAAGACCATCCTGGCCAGCATGGTGAAACCCCGTCTTTACTAAAAATACAAAAATTAGCTGGGCGTGGTGGCAGATGCCTGTAATCCCGCTACTCAGGAGGCTGAGGCAGGAGAATCACTTGAACCAGGGAGTCGGAGGTTGCAGTAAGCCGAGATTGTGCCACAGCACTCCAGCTTGGGCCACAGAGCGAGACTCCGTCCCCCCACTTCCCCGCCAAAAAATAAAGGTGGCAAGTGTTGGCAAGTATGTGGATAAAAGGGAACCCTGGTACACTGTTGGTGGAAATGTAAATTGGTACAGCCATTATGAAAAACAGTATGGAAATTCCTGAAAAAATTAAAAATAAAACTATCATGTGACCCAGATATCTTACTTCTGGGTATATATCCAAACGAATTGAAATCAGGATCTCAAAGAAATACCTGCATTCCCATGTTCATTACAGCATTATTCACAATAGCCAAGATATGGAAACAATGTAAAGGTCTATTGATGAATAAGTATACTGTACTGTATACTCAAAATATGCTAATAGGGTAGACAGATCCTAAGTATTCTCATCCCTCAAAAAACAAATAAGGTAAACATGTGAAGTGATGGGTATGTTAATTAGCTTCATTGTGGTGATTATTTCACAGGGTATATATATAACAAAACATCAAATTGTACATCTTAAATATATATAATCTTTAAGTAAACTGATTAAGAGCTGGGGGCAAGCATGGTGACCCACTCCATGTTAGCATCAGGTGGTCAATTTAGGGCAAAATTTTCACTTGTTTGAGAGGATCTATGAATTAGTAATATTCTCTAGACTCTCAAGGCACGAACACTCAAGTGTCATGATAATATTTTAGTCTACTTCTGTTAAGCTCATATAAAGCCACATTCTCACTTTGCTTTTTTGTAAATTTTGTTTTGATTTTTGTGGGTACATAATACATGTATATATTTATGGGTTACATGAGATATTTTGATACAGACATGCAATGTATCATAATCACATCAGGGTAAATAGGGTACCCATCACCTCAAGCTTTTATCCTTTGTGTTACAAACATCCAATTATAATCTTTAGTTATTTTAAAACATATAATTAAATTATTTTTCACTATAGTCACCCTGATGTGCTAACAAATACTAGGTCTTATTCATTCTTTCTAACTATTTTTTGTACCCATTAACCATCCCCACAACCTCCTGCCAACCTCCCACTATGCTTCCCAGCCTCTGGTAACAAAACTTCCATGCAATATCTCCATCAGTTCAATTATTTTAATTTTTAGTTCCCACAAATCAGTGAGAACATGTGAAGTTTGTCTTTCTGTGCCTGACTTATTTCACTTAACATAATGACCTCTATTGTGTATATGTACCACATTTTCTTCATCTGATCATCTGTTGATGGACACTTAGGTTTTTATCATGAAGGATGTAGAATTTTATCAAATATTTTTTCAGCATCAATTGAAATAATCATATGGTTTTTGTCCAGCATTCTGTTGATATAATGTATTATATGAATTGATTTTCAAATGTTGAACCATCCTTGCATACCTGACATAAACCCCACTTGGTCATGATGAATGATCTTTTTATTTGTGTTGTTGAACAGTTTTCTAGCATTTTGTTGAGGATTTTTGCACCAATATTTATCAGTGACACTGGCATGCAGTTTTCTTTTTTTGATGTGTCTTTGTCTGGTTTTGGTATCAGGGTAATACTGGCCTCATAGAATGAGACTGAATGTGTTCCCTTCTCCTCTATTTTTCAGAATGGTTTAAGATTGGTATTAGTTCTTCTTTAAATGTTCGGTAGAATTTAGCAATGACGCCATTGGGTGACAGGCTTTTCTTTGCTGGGAGACTTTATTACAGCTTCAATTTTGTTACTTGTTATTAGTCAATTCAGGTTTTGGATTTCTTCCTGGTTCAATCTTGGTAGGCTGCATGTGTCTAGGAATTTATCCATTTCTTCTAGAATTTCTAATGTACTGGCATATAGTTGCTCATAGTAGCCACTAATGATCCTTTGAATTTCTATGGTATCAGTTATAATGTCTCCTTTTTCATCTCTAATTTTGTTTACTTGGGTCTTCTCTCTTTTTTCTTAGTCTGGCTAAAGGTTTGTCTATTTTTTTTATCTTTCAAAAACTAAATTTTTGTTTTGTTGATCCTATCATTTTCTTCATTTCAAATTCATTTATTTCTGTTCAATCTTTATTATTTCTTCTACTTATTTTGGGTTTGGTTTGCTCCTGGCTTTCCTAGTTCTTTAAGATGCATCATAAGGTTGTTTACTTGAAGTTTTTCTTCTTTTGTGATGTAGGCACTTACAGCTATAAGCTTCCCTGTCAGTACTGCTTTCCCTGTATTCCATAGATTTTGGTATGTTGTGTTTCCTTTATCATTTGTTTCAATAAATTTTTAAATTTCCCTCTTAATGTCTTCATTGACCCACTGGTCATGCGGGAGCATATTGTTTAATTTCCACGTGTTTGTTAGTTTCCAAAATTCTTCTTATTGATATTCAGATTTATTTCATTGTGGTCAGAGAAGATGCTTGATATTATTTCAATTTTTTTTGAATGTGCTAAGACTTGTTTTGTGACCCAACATACGGTCTATTCTTGAGAATAGATCATGTGCTGAGGAAAAGAATGTGTATTCTGCAGCTGTTGGATGAAATTTTCTGTAAATATCTATTAGGTCCATTTGGTCTATAGCACAGATTAAGTCCAATATTTCTTTGTTGATTTTCTGTCTGGAAGATCTGTCCATTGCTGAAAGTGGGGTGTTGAAGCCTGCAGCTATTATTGTGTTGGGATCAATCTCTCTCTTCAGCTCTAATAATATTTGCTTTATATATCTGGGTGCTCCAGTGTTCGGTGAATATATAATTGTTGTATACTCTTGCTGAATTAACCCCTAAAATTCCCTACTTACATGTTTCATAAAATATGATTTTATGCTCTGTGTTAGCTTTATATTCCCATGTAACAAAGTATCACGAACTTAGCATATTAAAACAGTACCCTCTTATTAGAGCATTCATCTTCAGGTCAGAGGTCTGGCATGACACAGATGGGTTCTCTGATCAGGGTATCATATGGCCAAAATCAAGATGTTGGCTGATACACACCTCCTGACTTCTTGTCTAGGCTCTAAAGAAAAGTTCACTCCCATGTTCGTTCTTGTAATTAGCAGAATTTTGGTGTTTTTGCAGTGATGTCAGCTCCCATTTCCTTTCTGGCTGACAGGCAGAGTCTGCTTTCAGCCCCTAGACAATGTTCACATTTTTTTGCCACTTGGCTTCCTCCGTCTTTAAGCTAGTGACAGTGCACCAAATGCTTCAAGTCTCTCACTTCCTCTTCTATGACCAGCCAAAGAAAGAGCCTTTATGGTTAGGTCAGGCCTATATAGATAATCTCTCTACCTTAAAGTCAACTGTGCCATGTGACATACCTAATCACAGAATAGAATCCATCATATTCACAGTCCCAGGGATTGCACAGCCATGGGGAGTTGAGGCAGAGGAAATCTCTGAGGCCATCCTAGCATTCTGCCTACCACATGCTCTATTGAGCTTCATATCTGAATTTGGCAATTGTTTTCCTTGAATTCTGGAACTTTTTTTTATCCTTTGTTTGGAGGGAGTCTGTCTTTGTGTAAAATAGGTAAAAATTATTTAATTTCAATGGCCAAAATAATATTCACTAAATACCTCCTGTTTTTTTTTAAAAAAAGTAGCAACTGCACCTGTGTACTATATATTATGGATGTTTAATTTCAACATCTCAAATTTCACAGGGAGTAAAATAAAATTACTTTCTTTAAAAATTTAATTTTAAACATGGTTTTTTGTTGTTTCCCATTGAGTTATTCCAAAGGAATGCCTGTGGTTTCTGCTGACTTATTATAGATCCATCCTTTTATAACATAAACTAAGGACTGTGTGATAAAGCATTCCAGTTGAAATATAAACATATATATCATAGATAAGTAATGATTTTTATTCCTGTGAATACAATTTATGTCACTTAAAAGCTGGATTCAAAAGAAGCTTATGTTTAGAGATATTTAGAGTTGGGAGATATAGCAAGCAATAGCAACACTAGCTAATTAAATCAAATACCATTCACGGTCTCTGTTAGCATTTTAGGTTCAAGATGAAACAAGATGGAAAAAGTGTATGATCCCTTGATAAGTATAACTTGCAACAAGTTGGCAAACGGGTTAGAATTAGAAGCCAAAAATAGCAGTTTTGCTGTGTAATTTTTTTTTGCAATGACTTTATAGCTCCACGTCCCAGCTTGCATTACTCATTTTGTAAAATAAAGAGAAAACTATATTTTAAAAAACTTATTTTAAATAAATTACTCCACCAAATTGACCAGTTTAAAGAAAATATCCCATGGACTGATGGCATTTTGAGGTTCTATATGGGAAAAAGAGAACCAAACTTTTTTGACACAGAATAGCAAAGCCAAATATAAAGTAATAACTGCAAGTCAACGCAACTTAACTGTTTAGTATCATGGCTGTTTTAATTAAGGTGAAAATACCTAAGGTAGTACCTTGTTTCTGAATTCTAGTTTAAGCAATATTTACATTGTTTTTCCATGTCGATGTTTCTATATGGAATCCATCTTAAAGCAATGCAATTAAGAGACTTCAAGAACTACAGTTCCCAGATATAAGAATAAATGGCTGATGCAGAATATTGTGAGTCTTAAAGAATGTGCTTTACTTTGGGGAAAGACAGGTGTGTGGAGATAGAGCAGGATGTGGTCAGTTTTTTCATAGGATAAGCTTAGACTCCTGATCCTTGCTTTGTGTCTGGGTCATGAGATGTTCTTCAAAAATCTGAGGATTGGAAGGTCAATTCTATGCCTACTGATTCCTTATTCTGGCTATGTATTGGCTTTCCATGCATCTGTAGGTGAGTATCCCCAGAAATTTGAACAGGCTTTTGACCACTGGATGAGCCAAGCACTGGTCAATACCCTGAAGTCATGAGTGTGCTCAGATTCTGATAAACTCCTATTCGCCCTATTGGTAGAGAAGGGATCTCCCACACTAAATAGTATGAGATGGCTGAACACACAACACTTGACGTTAAACAGATGAAATTGATAGCAGTTTTTAGTCACATATACCATAGCCTGAGGGAGGAAGACATTGTATGCCATGGAGGCAGGGCCACACAGGGGTTGCACATGGGAATAAACTAAGCAACCAGGGGCTCTGAGAGGCAGCCTTTATAATATCAAGACTTGGAGGTGTCCCCTGGTTCCCATGGATTGTTGGAGTAATTTTTCAGTCCAGCAGGGAAATGAAATCTGTTAGTTTGAGAACTGGGTTGGGTGAAGCTGGTCTGGCTAATGGGGGAAATAATCACAGGTGGGTGAAGAGGGAGAGCCTTTTCCACTTAGCAGAAGGCATATCTAGGAAGTGCAGAGGAATTCATAGTTAGGCTTTGGGGGACTTGTGAGGTTCAAAGATGTCAAGGCAGCACTTGAAATGTTAGGTCTTACAATACAGCTTGCATGAGAAAACAATTTAACAAACCAAGACCCCACACCAGCCCTATCAGGACAGAAAACAAACCCTAACCACTAGCCACTGTAAATTTTCTCTGTAAATAATAATAATAATTACAACAACAATAATTCCAGAATCTTATCTTAAAGTTGTGGGAGGAAGGAAATTCCTTAACACATTTCTGCCTGGCTGCTTTATTCTTTCTTCTGACAACTACTGACTATGATTCTCATCATAATATTTATTCACACATTTGCCCTCCTTACTTTCCTTGCCTGAATAATCTCATTTTTTTTACCCGGGGTAAGACCAGACTACTCCAGGAGGTGACCTGGTGCATGTTCAAACTGCTCCCTGCTCACTTCCCTCTTGGCCTGGAGACTGTCGTTTCTATGATGGGCTGTTTCTGTTTTTTTCCAGAAAAGTACTATTGAAGTTTTATTTACATGAAGTGATTCATTTCCACCTTTTTGTCCCCCTCCCCGGTAGCTTAGAAAATGCCAAAAAACTCAAAGTACCTCATGCTGATGCTGAATCATCTTTAGATGTTCTTGGAGTACGACCCTGAGTTCACGAATGTGCCTATCACAGGAGAAGCTGCCCCTTGGCCTCACCAGACACCAAGTCAAGTCACCTTCTATACACAAGCTCAGCACCACCATGGAAATACAAAGAGTGCGTGTGAAAGAGAGGAAGGGAAAGAGAGAGAAAGTGACAGAGAAAAATAAAGATAGCAAGAAAAAAAATTGCAAGATTCAAGTAGATTCCAGGAACCAGTGCCATCAATAACATGTGTCACTCTTGATGACATTAGGAGCCAAATTCTGGACTTCACAGCCAGCCACCGGGGGAAGTTTTTGCTGGTACAGTCACTACATAAACTCCCATTTGGTCTTTTTGGTACCCCCTGCTCAGCAGGCATCCTGTAAATTTTCTTGACTCTATTTCACAAGATTTCTGAACCTGCACGTCCTCCCTGTGCGGTAAGTGCCAGCAAGACTGAGGTCACAGCAACACTCACTCCTGGAGTTTTGAGGAAGGTGATGGGAAGCAGCTGTTCTGTGCTCGGTTACTGAAAATCACCTGCTGCCTTGGAAAGGCTAAAAACCAACCACTCCAGAATAATTCCCCCTTCCTGCTTTTATGCCATCCTCATTCATTCATTCATTCATTCATTCATTCATTCATTCATCTATTCAAAAACGATTCACAGAGCATCAACTATGGGGCCAGGCATTCCCACCACCACTGCTTTGGTCCAGTAGGATCTGCTCAGAGAAAGAGGAAGAAAGGAATGATGGAAACACAGGCGCACAAAAGCCATCCCTAACTTCTTCTCAGCCAGTTCATTCTGGATAAAATGGAACATAAATTTCAAAACAGCTGAAGGCGTTAAATAGAAATAATTTTTGAATTGGATGGTTTTCTATAGGGTGCTATTTAAGTCAACACTATATCAAATTGGTTTGGAGTTGAAAAATTAACCTGAAAATAGAGAAATCAATCTTGTCACCTCATTTTGACCAGGTAATAGTACCTATTAATAAAATCTGTAGAAGGCCATTGGTTTCAACTAAACTCCCACAGCAGGGCTCAACAGACTAAACCAAAATGGAGTCACTTGTGCTAAGGTTCCACACCACTAAATCAAAACTGAGTTGTTTATCTTAACTTCCAAGAAATCAGGAGAGAGAAGCCAAATCCCCAAATGGGTAGGTTTTAGCTGTCATGATAAGGAAGTCCACCACCCCTTTACAAGGAAAGTAATTTTGTAATGACCAATCTGCTTTTTGTTCTCCATTTCAGCTTTCTTTAGCCCTGTTCTATCTATAAAGCCAACCTCCTCCACTCAGCAAAATGGAACACTCATTCTCCTTTATAGAATGAGGTGTCACCTGATTCTAGAATCATCTATAAGAGCCAATTAAGATCTGTAAATTAAGTTTGTCATAATTTTGTCTTTTAACGTACCTAACCCTGTGAATATTATTTTTAAACAACCATAAATATTGCTTTGGTTTTCTAAGAACTCTGTTATCTAAGATTGATGTTGTTCTCAAAGTACATGAATCAAATTTTAGTTTCTAGTAAATGTATTTTTTAAAGTTCCATTTATATAGGAGAACTATTACATCCCCAATGAGTCTGAGAGGCATTTTTTCTAAAATGCTAAGAAATAAATAAGTCCTAATTGCAATCCCATATTAAGAAAAAAAAGTGGTGTCCTCATTAGTTGGAAAGAAAATTAAAGGTTATTTTCTTCTGAGCAGTATGTTCACAAATGTTTAATCACATATTTGGTATAATCATTTTGATCAGGTAATAGTGAAAATTCTCCATCATTTTCAAATGTTAACCTCAGAAATAAAAATTAAAATTAGGGAACTCCTGAATCCACTAAGAAAAAAAGTGGAGAGTAAGAAAACCTGGAGTATATGTAAAGAGTTGAAAAACTGAGACTTATTTTTAATAATTTTTGTAAACCGAATAAGAAAAGCCTTCTTGAAAAAAACAGGGGGAGGAGCCAAGATGGCCGAATAGGAACAGCTCCGGTCTACAGCTCCCAGCGTGAGCGACGCAGAAGACGGGTGATTTCTGCATTTCCATCTGAGGTACCGGGTTCATCTCACTAGGGAGTGCCAGACAGTGGGCGCAGGCCAGTGTGTGCGCGCACCGTGCGCGAGCCGAAGCAGGGCGAGGCATTGCCTCACCTGGGAAGCGCAAGGGGTCAGGGAGTTCCCTTTCCGAGTCAAAGAAAGGGGTGACGAACGCACCTGGAAAATCGGGTCACTCCCACCTGAATATTGCGCTTTTCAGACCGGCTTAAAAAACGGCGCACCACGAGACTATATCCCACACCTGGCTGAGAGGGTCCTACGCCCACGGAATCTCGCTGATTGCTAGCACAGCAGTCTGAGATTAAACTGCAAGGGGGCAACGAGGCTGGGGGAGGGGCGCCCGCCATTGCTCAGGCTTGCTTAGGTAAACAAAGCAGCCGGGAAGCTCGAACTGGGTGGAGCCCACCACAGCTCAAGGAGGCCTGCCTGCCTCTGTAGGCTCCACCTCTGGGGGCAGGGCACAGACAAACAAAAAGACAGCAGTAACCTCTGCAGACTTAAGTGTCCCTGTCTGACAGCTTTGAAGAGAGCAGTGGTTCTCCCAGCACGCAGCTGGAGATCTGAGAACGGGCAGACTGCCTCCTCAAGTGGGTCCCTGACCCCTGACCCCCGAGCAGCCTAACTGGGAGGCACCCCCCAGCAGGGGCACACTGACACCTCACACGGCAGGGTATTCCAACAGACCTGCAGCTGAGGGTCCTGTCTGTTAGAAGGAAAACTAACAACCAGAAAGGACATCTACACCGAAAACCCATCTGTACATCACCATCATCAAAGACCAAAAGTAGATAAAACCACAAAGATGGGGAAAAAACAGAACAGAAAAACTGGAAACTCTAAAACGCAGAGCGCCTCTCCTCCTCCAAAGGAACGCAGTTCCTCACCAGCAACGGAAAAAAGCTGGATGGAGAATGATTTTGACGAGATGAGAGAAGAAGGCTTCAGACGATCAAATTACTCTGAGCTATGGGAGGACATTCAAACCAAAGGCAAAGAAGTTGAAAACTTTGAAAAAAATTTAGAAGAATGTATAACTAGAATAACCAATACAGAGAAGTGCTTAAAGGAGCTGATGGAGCTGAAAACCAAGGCTCGAGAACTACGTGAAGAATGCAGAAGCCTCAGGAGCCGATGCGATCAACTGGAAGAAAGGGTATCAGCGATGGAAGATGAAATGAATGAAATGAAGCGAGAAGGGAAGTTTAGAGAAAAAAGAATAAAAAGAAATGAGCAAAGCCTCCAAGAAATATGGGACTATGTGAAAAGACCAAATCTACGTCTGATTGGTGTACCTGAAAGTGATGTGGAGAATGGAACCAAGTTGGAAAACACTCTGCAGGATATTATCCAGGAGAACTTCCCCAATCTAGCAAGGCAGGCCAACGTTCAGATTCAGGAAATACAGAGAACGCCACAAAGATACTCCTCGAGAAGAGCAACTCCAAGACACATAATTGTCAGATTCACCAAAGTTGAAATGAAGGAAAAAATGTTAAGGGCAGCCAGAGAGAAAGGTCGGGTTACCCTCAAAGGGAAGCCCATCAGACTAACAGTGGATCTCTCGGCAGAAACCCTACAAGCCAGAAGAGAGTGGGGGCCAATACTCAACATTCTTAAAGAAAAGAATTTTCAACCCAGAATTTCATATCCAGACAAACTAAGCTTCATAAGTGAAGGAGAAATAAAATACTTTATAGACAAGCAAATGCTGAGAGATTTTTGTCACCACCAGGCCTGCCCTAAAAGAGCTCCTGAAGGAAGCGCTAAACATGGAAAGGAACAACCGGTACCAGCCGCTGCAAAATCATGCCAAAATGTAAAGACCATCGAGACTAGGAAGAAACTGCATCAACTAACGAGCAAAATCACCAGCTAACATCATAATGACAGGATCAAATTCACACATAACAATATTAACTTTAAATGTAAATGGACTAAATTCTGCAATGAAAAGACACAGACTGGCAAGTTGGATAAAGAGTCAAGACCCATCAGTGTGCTGTATTCAGGAAACCCATCTCACGTGCAGAGACACACATAGGCTCAAAATAAAAGGATGGAGGAAGATCTACCAAGCCAATGGAAAACAAAAAAAGGAAGGGGTTGCAATCCTAGTCTCTGATAAAACAGACTTTAAACCAACAAAGATCAAAAGAGACAAAGAAGGCCATTACATAATGGTAAAGGGATCAATTCAACAAGAGGAGCTAACTATCCTAAATATTTATGCACCGAATACAGGAGCACCCAGATTCATAAAGCAAGTCCTGAGTGACCTACAAAGAGACTTAGACTCCCACACATTAATAATGGGAGACATTAACACCCCACTGTCAACATTAGACAGATCAACGAGACAGAAAGTCAACAAGGATACCCAGGAATTGAACTCAGCTCTGCACCAAGCGGACCTAATAGACATCTACAGAACTCTCCACCCCAAATCAACAGAATATACATTTTTTTCAGCACCACACCACACCTATTCCAAAACTGACCACATAGTTGGAAGTAAAGCTCTCCTCAGCAAATGTAAAAGAACAGAAATTATAACAAACTATCTCTCAGACCACAGTGCAATCAAACTAGAACTCAGGATTAAGAATCTCACTCAAAACGGCTCAACTACATGGAAACTGAACAACCTGCTCCTGAATGACTACTGAGTACATAACGAAATGAAGGCAGAAATAAAGATGTTCTTTGAAACCAACGAGAACAAAGACACCACATACCAGAATCTCTGGGACACATTCAAAGCAGTGTGTAGAGGGAAATTTATAGCACTAAATGCCTACAAGAGAAAGCAGGAAAGATCCAAAATTGACACCCTAACATCACAATTAAAAGAACTAGAAAAGCAAGAGCAAACACATTCAAAAGCTAGCAGAAGGCAAGAAATAACTAAAATCAGAGCAGAACTGAAGGAAATAGAGACACAAAAAACCCTTCAAAAAATCAATGAATCCAGGAGCTGGTTTTTTGAAAGGATCAACAAAATTGATAGACCGCTAGCAAGACTAATAAAGAAAAAAAGAGAGAAGAATCAAATAGACACAATAAAAAATGATAAAGGGGATATCACCACCGATCCCACAGAAATACAAACTACCATCAGAGAATACTACAAACACCTCTACGCAAATAAACTAGAAAATCTAGAAGAAATGGATACATTCCTCGACACATACACTCTCCCAAGACTAAACCAGGAAGAAGTTGAATCTCTGAATAGACGAATAACAGGCTCTGAAATTCTGGCAATAATCAATAGTTTACCAACCAAAAAGAGTCCAGGACCAGATGGATTCACAGCCGAATTCTACCAGAGGTACAAGGAGGAGCTGGTACCATTCCTTCTGAAACTATTCCAATCAATAGAAAAAGAGGGAATCCTCCCTAACTCATTTTATGAGGCCAGCATCATTCTGATACCAAAGCCGGGCAGAGACACAACCAAAAAAGAGAATTTTAGACCAATATCCTTGATGAACATTGATGCAAAAATCCTCAATAAAATACTGGCAAACCGAATCCAGCAGCACATCAAAAAGCTTATCCACCATGATCAAGTGGGCTTCATCCCTGGGATGCAAGGCTGGTTCAATATATGCAAATCAATAAATGTAATCCAGCATATAAACAGAGCCAAAGACAAAAACCACATGATTATCTCAATAGATGCAGAAAAAGCCTTTGACAAAATTCAACAACCCTTCATGCTAAAAACTCTCAATAAATTAGGTATTGATGGGACGTATTTCAAAATAATAAGAGCTATCTATGACAAACCCACAGCCAATATCATACTGAATGGGCAAAAACTGGAAGCATTCCCTTTGAAAACTGGCACAAGACAGGGATGCCCTCTCTCACCACTCCTATTCAACATAGTGTTGGAAGTTCTGGCCAGGGCAATCAGGCAGGAGAAGGAAATAAAGGGTATTCAATTAGGAAAAGAGGAAGTCAAATTGTCCCTGTTTGCAGATGACATGATTGTTTATCTAGAAAACCCCATTGTCTCAGCCCAAAATCTCCTTAAGCTGATAAGCAACTTCAGCAAAGTCTCAGGATGCAAAATCAATGTACAAAAATCACAAGCATTCTTACACACCAACAACAGACAAACAGAGAGCCAAATCATGAGTGAACTCCCATTCACAATTGCTTCAAAGAGAATAAAATACCTAGGAATCCAACTTACAAGGGATGTGAAGGACCTCTTCAAGGAGAACTACAAACCACTGCTCAAGGAAATAAAAGAGGACACAAACAAATGGAAGAACATTCCATGCTCATGGGTAGGAAGAATCAATATCGCGAAAATGGCCATACTGCCCAAGGTAATTTACAGATTCAATGCCATCCCCATCAAGCTACCAATGACTTTCTTCACAGAATTGGAAAAAACTACTTTAAAGTTCATATGGAACCAAAAAAGAGCCCGCATTGCCAAGACAATCCTAAGCAAAAAGAACAAAGCTGGAGGCATCACACTACCTGACTTCAAACTATACTACAAGGCTACAGTAACCAAAACAGCATGGTACTGGTACCAAAACAGAGATATAGATCAATGGAACAGAACAGAGCCCTCAGAAATAACGCCGCATATCTACAACTATCTGATCTTTGACAAACCTGATAAAAACAAGCAATGGGGAAAGGATTCCCTATTTAATAAATGGTGCTGGGAAAACTGGCTAGCCATATGTAGAAAGCTGAAACTGGATCCCTTCCTTACACCTTATACAAAAATCAATTCAAGATGGATTAAAGATTTAAACGTTAGACCTAAAACCATAAAAACCCTAGAAGAAAACCTAGGCATTACCATTCAGGACATAGGCGTGGGCAAGGACTTCATGTCCAAAACACCAAAAGCAATGGCAACAAAAGCCAAAATTGACAAATGGGATCTAATTAAACTAAAGAGCTTCTGCACAGCAAAAGAAACTACCATCAGAGTGAACAGGCAACCTACAACATGGGAGAAAATTTTCGCAACCTACTCATCTGACAAAGGGCTAATATCCAGAATCTACAATGAACTCAAACAAATTTACAAGAAAAAAACAAACAACCCCATCAAAAAGTGGGCGAAGGACATGAACAGACACTTCTCAAAAGAAGACATTTATGCAGCCAAAAAACACATGAAAAAATGCTCATCATCACTGGCCATCAGAGAAATGCAAATCAAAACCACTATGAGATATCATCTCACACCTGTTAGAATGGCAATCATTAAAAAGTCAGGAAACAACAGGTGCTGGAGAGGATGTGGAGAAATAGGAACACTTTTACACTGTTGGTGGGACTGTAAACTAGTTCAACCATTGTGAAAGTCAGTGTGGCGATTCCTCAGGGATCTAGAACTAGAAATACCATTTGACTCAGCCATCCCATTACTGGGTATATACCCAAATGACTATAAATCATGCTGCTATAAAGACACATGCACACGTATGTTTATTGCGGCATTATTCACAATAGCAAAGACTTGGAACCAACCCAAATGTCCAACAATGCTAGACTGGATTAAGAAAATGTGGCACATATACACCATGGAATACTATGCAGCCATAAAAAATGATGAGTTCATGTCCTTTGTAGGGACATGGATGAAATTGGAAACCATCATTCTCAGTAAACTATCGCAAGAACAAAAAACCAAACACCGCATATTCTCACTCATAGGTGGGAATTGAACAATGAGATCACATGGACACAGGAAGGGGAATATCACACTCTGGGGACTGTGGTGGGGTCGGGGGATGGGGGAGGGATAGCATTGGGAGATATACCTAATGCTAGATGACACGTTAGTGGGTGCAGCGCACCAGCATGGCACATGTATACATATGTAACTAACCTGCACAATGTGCACATGTACCCTAAAACTTAAAGTATAATAATAATAAAAAAAAGAAAAAAAACAACAACCAGAAAGTTTATTGTTGATGTGTTCACATGTTAAATACACTAAATATTCCAGATGGCCCTGGCCTTGAGATCATTGAGAAAAGGCAATGGGTCTTACCATCTCAATTTTCAGTGAGGTGAGGTCATGAAGTTATAAGAATTTAATTTAAACATAAAATACACAAACCTATAAGATTCTATGTGTGTGGTTTTTTTTAATAAACAGAGAATGGGCTACTATGTTAAGTATAAGCCTAAACCATTGTTCAATCTGAGAAAACTAGTAGAGAGACCGTGTTCATTCTTGGTACAGCCACAGTGGAAAAAACTGCAGATAAAGTAGAAATCACCCCCATCATTTGAAGACAGTCTTTGCCTCTATTTTATAACTTAAAATGGTAATAAAACTGGTAGTTGATTTCCCTAGCCTCTAAATAAGATCCCAGGCTGGCCAACACCTTGACAGCCCTGTGAGAGACCCTGAGCAGAGAACCCAGTCAAGCTGCCTGGATTTCTGACCTGCAGAAATGTGAGAGAATAAATGAATCTTGTCGGAAACTGATAAATTAGTAGTAATTTGGTAGTTTTCTGTTGCTGCATATGAAATTAAAGAAAGTGATCAAACATTGATTCTCTGCTTCTAAATGAAATTCCAAAGGATCAGCCGGAGTCATCACTCATATCTGCCCCATCTAATTCTCAACAATCCTAGTCCCAACTGTACTTCCTTTGGCCCATTCCCTACTTGCCACGTGCATGCTATGGGATGCTTTTTCTGATTATTACTTGTATGCCAAATACCATATTGTTGTATATCTGCCTGACGCTGCATCCTTGGACCTGCCTCATAAGAAGCATTTTACGGCACAATGCTGGACTCCATACCCTCAGAGCTGCTAACACCTCCCTCTCGATTTGCCCCATTACAGAAGGCAGGACTCATGTAAATTCCAACCATATATTTGGCTTGTTTTGTCACAGAGGGCTGACCCCCTAGAGAAAAAAAGATTGAGTATGGAAAACATTTCAGAAGAAAATTAGTCCAATTTGAAACTGACTACATATGGAGGCTAAAGAAAAAGGGCCAAGTGTCGAGACTGGGGGGCATGGGGAATGGTGAGGCCACTGTCAGACATGGCAGGACCCCTGGGGAGCTGGCTGTCAAAGGCAAGAAGATGAGATCAGTTTTATCATACTGAGTATAAAGTGTTAGAGGGGCCTCCAAGCCTAGCATATCCTCCTTAAAACCATAAGCTTGTTGAGGCCAGGAGTGCTACCCATTTTATACACCTTCTATAATGTCAGCAGCATTTTAAGTCCTCATTAAATAGTCTTCATTGAATTAGTGGAGATATAAGTTATTCATTTAGCAATTTTAAGTATTCAATTAGGGTTTGGAGGGAAGGGTGTTGGAGTTTATATCTCTAATAAATAGTAAAAGTACTAGTCTTAAGCCACAAATTAATGTTAATTTAGGAAGAAACTTTACAGGAAGCTCAGAAGAGATGAAAACCAAACACACATTGAGTATTAGATGGTATTACAGACTGACTGTTAATTTGGGAGGAAGTGATAATGGGATTGTGGTTGAAGATTTCTTAAAAGTCCTCTTCTGTTTGCAATATAGACTAAAATGATTGTGAGTGGAAACAAACAATGTCTGGGTTTTTATTTAAAATATCCCCTCCAAAAAAGTGTGAGGCAATGGGGGTTGACAATAATGGTGGAAAAATATATAGTTATGAAAGATGGTTGATAGATGCATGGAGATTCATTGGAAAATTCTATGTTTGTGTTTCTTTGAAAGTTGTCGTAATGAATGTTTGCAATACAGAAGGAAAGAAGGAAAGCCCTGAAAACAATAGCTGCACCTAGTTGTCAATTATTTTTTACCAGCATCCAGTTTGTTGGGTTGTGGAGATTTGCATCTATTTCTGTCTTTAGAGAGTTTTCATTCTTCTATTCATCAAATGTTTACTACATAGTGACACTATAGTGCACCATACTAGAATTGGGTTGACATTAGAGGTAAACATGTTATGTGGGAAACCAATATAAGGTGTAATTTTTACCAGAAAATGTAATTATTTTGCAATTCAACATGAAATCATCCTCATTGAATGGCTGTAAAGTACATGGGCAAAATACTTCCTTCTTTTGTTCTAACGTCCTGAAAACAAGGACTCACCATTATTACCCTATTGTGTCAATACTTGAAGTAGGGAATCTGATCATTCTGACTCCATCAGGAGAAGCCAGATTTAGGAAGAGTGACCCCTGCTCCAGAGAGGAGCTAGAGGGGGGCCATGACCACCCAGTCAGAAGAGGCACCAGTCAGCCACAAGTGGCCCCTGACCTAGTGCTGTAATAACAACCCCAACAGAGAAGTTAATCTCCTTAATGGAAAACAGATACTTTTTTTTACTTACACCTATTACTGTTCTGGTCTTAAGCGTTTCCTGCCTCTACTCTGCTCAGTTAAGTGGAGATAAAGAAATGGAGATCCATGATGTCCCCAAGCACAGTCAAGGTGAAGCACAACAGACAAGATTACTTGTAAAATGCCTTTCTTCTCTTCTCACCTCTTCCCATGGATACCCAGGGAGTGGAAAAGGAAGAAAGGAGCTTGGCAGGTAATTGAATAAAATGTGGTGGGTAGGCAACAAGCACTTTGCTCTTTGTTTCTGGGTAATTCTCTTTCTCTGGTGGCACAGGACTGTGAGCTAAGAAGGATGAATTCTGCTGGGTTTATTAAAGGTCAGAATTGTGTTTGGAGGAGCCATGAGGCTTTTCTGACGTGCACAGACTCCCCAAGCCTGGAACCCTATCCACTACATTGTGATTTATTCTTTTTCGTCGTAATAGGAGGAAATGGCACCATGTTAAGGACAAGGTTTCAGAACAAATGATCTAGAATAGTCTAATTTAGTTATCATCTGGCCCTAATATCTTGAAAATAAATCACAATGTAGTTGATAGGGCTCAAAGTTTGAGAACAAGTCCCCAAGATCAAATCTTCACTTTGCTAATTACTGGTGTGAAACAGTCACTTAACTTACTTGGCCTTGAGATTCCTGGCTTGAAAAGGGGCTAATGATGCAGTCCAGGGCGGTTGCTGAATGGTTACATGGGGCATTCATGTGCATGGGTAAGGTGTTCTCCATTCCACTGAATGACCCAGATACAAATTTCTCAAACCAAAGCTCAGGTGTATGAAAACATAAGCTTCTATTTTTTCTGTGGTTGAATTTAGATTATATCTTAAGCTTCCAGTAGCAGAAATTAGTTATTCCAGATAATCAGGTTGCTTCCAGATATTCAATTCAAGAGTGTTGAACACTCATTTTGGTTGTATGAGCATGAGCCTTCTTCCTTTGGGTGAGGCAGAGGGTATGGGATGCCACAATGAAGAGGAGCAAAACCCACCCCATCAGAATCAAAGCCAAAAATAACTGCAGAGTGGGCACATGACAAATGTTGGCCAACAGGATAGTCCTATCCAGGACATGAAGTCTGCAGTGCATGGGAAATGAGAGACCCTGGAGGATTTATTCTGGCAGCAGCATCAGTGGCTCCATAACCTATTCTAGGAGTGGCAGAGGTTGACTGCAGTGATGTCCTGTGTCCATTTCTGAAGTAGTCATGCCAGTAGTTGTGTCATCAGCATCTAACCAGAAGCTTCCTGTGCTGTGGTTTTGGCTGAAGGCAGTTCTGCCCTTTTCGAGCCCATTGATTCTGAGGACTCTCTGGTGTCCTTCCCGTAAATTCCTTTTCTGTTCATGTTAACTAGAGTTGGTTTCTTTGCTTGGAACCAAGTCCTGACAAGTTCAGCAAGTGTTTCTCCCTAAATCTCCCTAAGAGGGTGGTGGGGAGAGGCTTTCAAGATCCACGGAGCTTCACAGAGCAGGATCTCACCCAGAGGCATCTTCTCCCTGGGTCGTGATTTGTTCCACGCAGATATCTGCTGAGCTGTACGTTGTTCTATTCAATCCTTAGTGATCATCCTATCTCCAGGCTGGCCAAACCTGATATGTTGTTCTTCCCATTTGGACTTATGGGTCCATGGACTTGTGGATCACACCACATCTACAATGGCATTTCCATCCTCCAAGTCTTTCAGTCTCAGGTGCTGGACGATGTCAATCACATGTAAGGAGTTTTCATCCCTTGCACCAACTAAGGCACATGGAGGATTGATGGATTTGCCTTAGGTCTGCCTGCCTTGGCACCTATACAGGTGCTACTATTTGTCTAACTCATAGTGGCTCAAGAAACTCTGGGGCTTACTGCCTCCCAAGGTCCCCAACAAGAAGTGAAACATAGGACTTCTCTATATTTGGATTATCAAATATATCTGGGACTTTCTATGGCAATTCCCAGGGATTCTGTCCAGGATAGGGCAGGCTGCAGGGCATATTCTTGAGGACTTTCACCAGAATCTAACTATCCTGGTGTTCTCTAACTCTCCCCCAACCCCAGTTTGTAGGGTCTTATACTTCTTTGAGAGAAGGGGGGAAAGTGGTCTAGATATGTCATGTATTCTTCCACATTTATTCCATACTTTTTTTTATTATACTTTAAGTTCTGGGGTACATGTGCAAAACATGCAGGTTTGTTACATAGGTGTACATGTGCCATGGTGGTTTGCTGCACCTATCAACCCTTCATCTACATTAGGTATTTCTCCTAATGCTATCCCTCCCCCAGCCCCTCACCCCCTAACAGGTCCCAGAGTGTGATGTTCCCCTTCCTGGTCCATGTGTTCTCATTGTTCACCTCCCACTTACGAGTGAGAACATGTGGTGTTTGGTTTTCTGTTCCTGTTTTAGTTTGCTGAGAATGATGGTTTTCAGCTTCATCCATGTCCCTACAAAGGACATGAATTCATCCTTTTTTATGGCTGCATAGTATTCCACGGTGTATATGTGCCTCATTTTCTTTATCCAGTCTATCATTCATGGGCATTTGGGTTGGTTCCAAGTCTTTGCTATTGTGAACAGTGCCACAATAAACATACGTGTGCATGTGTCTTTATAGAATGATTTATAATCCTTTGGGTATATACCCAGTAATGGGATTGCTGGGTCAAATGATATTTCTAGTTCTAGATCCTTGAGGAATCGCCACACTGTCTTCCACAATGGTTGAACTAATTTACACTCCCACCAACAGTGTAAAAGTGTTCTTATTTCTCCACATCCTCTCCAGCATCTGTTGTTTCCTGACTTTTTAATGATCACCATTCTAACTGGCATGAGATGGTATCTCATTGTGGTTTTGATTTACATTTCTCTAATGACAAGTGATAATGAGCATTTTTTCGTATGTTTGTTGGCTGCATAAATGTCTTCTTTTGAGAAATGTCTGTTCATATCCTTTGCCCACTTTCTGATAAGGTTGTTTTTTTCTTTTTTTTTATTATTATACTTAAAGTTTTAGGGTACATGTGCACAACATGCAGGTTTGTTACATATGTATACATGTGCCATGTTGGTGTGTCGCACCCATTAACTCGTCATTTAGCATTAGGTATATCTCCTAATGCTATCCCTCCCCCCTCCCCCCACCCCACAACAGTCCCCGGTGTGTGACGTTCCCCTTCCTGTGTCCATGTGTTCTTATTGTTCAATTCCCACCTATGAGTGAGAACATGCAGTGTTTGGTTTTTTGTCCTTGTGATAATTTGCTGAGAATGATGGTTTCCAGCGTCATCCATGTCCCTTCAAAGGACATGAACTCATCCTTTTTTATGGCTGCATAGTATTCCATGGTGTATATGTGCCTTCTTGTAAATTTATATTCAGACAGGAAGAGAGGAAGTCAAATTGTCTCTGTTTGCAGATGACATGATTGTACATTTAGAAAACCCCATCATCTCAGCCCAAAATCTCCATAAGCTGATAAGTAACTTCAGCAATGTCTCAGGATCCATGTACAAAATCAATGTGCAAAAATCACAAGCATTCTTATACACCAACAACAGACAAACAGAGAACCAAATCATGAGTGAACTCCCATTCACAATTGCTATGAAGAGAATAAAATACCTAGGAATACAACTTACAAGGGATGTGAAGGACCTCTTCAAGGAGAACTACAAACCACTGCTCAAGGAAATAAAAGAGGACACAAACAAATGGAAGAACATTCCACGCTCATGGGTAGGAAGAATCAATATCGCGAAAATGGCCATACTGCCCAAGGTAATTTACAGATTCAATGCCATCCCCATCAAGCTACCAATGACTTTCTTCACAGAGTTGGAAAAAACTACTTTAAAGTTCATATGGAACCAAAAAAGAGCCCGCATTGCCAAGACAATCCTAAGCAAAAAGAACAAAGCTGGAGGCATCACACTACCTGACTTCAAACTATACTACAAGGCAACAGCAACCAAGACATCATGGTACTGGTACCAAAACAGATATACAGACCAACGGAACAGAACAGAGGCCTCAGAAATAACACCACACATCTACAACCATCTGATCTTTGACAAACTTGACAAAAACAAGCAATGGGGAAAGGATTCCCTATTTAATAAATGGTGCTGGGAAAACTGGCTAGCCATATGCAGAAAGCTGAAACTGGATCCCTTCCTTACACCTTATACCAAAATTAATTCAAGATGGATTAAAGACTTAAATGTTAGACCTAAAACCATAAAAACCCTAGAAGAAAACCTAGGCAATACCATTGAGGACATGGGCATGGGCAAAGACTTCATGACTAAAACACCAAAAGCAATGGCAACAAAAGCCAAAATAGACAAATGGGATCTAATTAAACTAAAGAGTTTCTGCACAGCAAAAGAAACTATCATTAGAGTGAACAGGCAACCTACACAATGGGAGAAAATTTTCACAATCTATCCATCTGACAAAGGGCTAATATCCAGAATCCACACTTATTTTTTAAACCAGGATTTTTAAATTTATAAATGTATATATAATTTTTAAGTAGTTCTGTGCATATATATATATATGCTTATATACATATGTATAATATGCACAGAACTACTTCCAAAATTAAGTCGTCATTTAAAACATCTAATTATATTAAAAGGCATGTAATAAAAAAACAGTAGTTTTCCCTTACTTTTACCATTCTCCAAGCAACTAATTTTAAATATTTTCGCTATTTATTCTATAATAAGATTATGGAGTTTCACTCTTGTTGCCCAAGCTGGAGTGCAATGATGCGATCTCGGCTCACTACAACCTCCACCTCCTGGGTTCAAGCGATTCTTCTGCCTCAGCCTCCCGAGTAGCTGGGATTACAGGCATGTGCCATCATGCCCAGCTAATTTTTTGTATTTTTAATAGAAATGGGGTTTCACCATGTTAGCCAGGCTGGTCTCAAACTCCTGACCTCAGGTGATCCGTCTGCCTCAGCCTCCAAAAGTGCTGGGATTACAGGCATGAGCCACCGTGCCTGGCCAATAAGGTTATATTTCTATTTATTAATTTTTCTGTTATCTTGCCCTCATTAAAGATGTGTATTTAGAGCTCTTAACATTTCCCTCCTCTCCTACTTGCCCTTCCACTAAAATCCTCATTAAAACACATTAAATACCTAAAGATATAGCACTGAAAGATAGGACAATTATTTGGTTGTCAAGTAAGCCATTGCCAGAATATGGAAGAAACTGTTCTATATTTATGTAGCTGAAATGAGAATTATAGTTAATAAAAACTGAATGCAAATATCAAAATAATTATTAAAAGAGAATATAAATAAAACACATATACTGTATTTATAAAATTATACAAATTTAAGAGGGAGGAAGGGAATATGTGGGAGAAGGATAGGAGAGAAAACATGTCACATTTTACATAGAAAAGAATCAAAACACATACATTATTGACTTTGTTTAACAGAAAAAATAACACTCAGAAGAAATACTTTTGAATATCTTAAGGCTAACTATCAGCTGAATTGAAATAGGATTAAAATTTTCTAAATGATTGGAGAAGAGAAAAACATTTTTAAAGCCCTATTCCATATGCAAAAGAAGAAATTGCAGAAAATAAGAAAGGGTAGTTGACATGAGTACAGAAAGACAATATCAAAAGATTGTAGAAAAACAAACACAACAGTTTTAACAATAAGTATAACTGGTTTAAAATTTCTTATTGAAATTCAAAGACTCAGATTTGGTTAAGAAAACAATTCAATCCTATGCTATTTCTAAGTTTATTTAAAGTCAACAGGCCTATTTTAAAATTCAGGCTGTGCCATATTGTAGCTGTGTGATTTAGGCATGTCTCTGAACATCTTTGTAACTCAGTCTTTTCATCTGTATATAAAAATAAAATGCCTACTTCAGGTGGTTATTGAAGGATTAAATGAGATGACATAAATCTCAGAACCTCCTCCTGCACAAGTGTCAATGTATTTTCACAGTCAAAGTAGCACAGTCCAAGATTCAAAAGCAATTTAATTTTTCTTTGTACCTTTTGGAAAACATAAAGGAAACTTCATTTATAACTTAAAAACATGACTTTTCAAATTTCTGCTTTCCATAATCCATAGCTTCTCTACAGTCCCCTTCCAAGTCCCTCACTAGGTGACACTTTTGCCAAGCTCTCCTCAATATTGTCTGTACTAGCTTTTGTTTTCTTGTTTCCTCCCCACTTTCTTCCTGAATTGTCCAGTATCCACTCTCTCTACCTTCTTTCCTCATTCTGGGTTTATAAATTATAAGAACCTGGCCACAAATTCAAGTCTCTTCTTACAAGGGAGATGAAGAAAGAAGTTGCATTGACTAAGAGGCAGAGAACAAGAAGGAAGGAAGGGAAGTTGGAATTATGCTTTAATAATTTTTTTCTCCATAGCATATATAAAGTGCCTTACACATAATAAATACTTAATCAATACCATTTCCCTTCTCAGTGTTTCACAAATGTTTCACAAATGCTTAGTCTTTGTTTTTGACATATCTTCCATAAATAAAAATACTTAATCCTTGAACACTAAATTTCTCGACACTCTCTTCCCCAACTCTACCAAATTAACAATCTGAAAATAGGCACTGATTCACAGGAAAGAAACTGCTTTTTTAAAGCAAATCCGTGATTGTGATTCAGATACATTTAAAATGCATATTATAATATGAATAATCACCTCCTAAAGTCTCTATTCTATGCCTGATTTTTTTCACAGCATTTTCTTAAAGGCACACCTGCACCCCTACCATCCCCAGGGGGTTCAGAGTGAAACTAGAGCCCACAAAAGACCCCCTTGGTTGTTTCAACCTTTCTAAAAGTATGATTTTTTTCTCCTGACATTTTAGAAGTGTTATTAAAACTCACTGGATTCTTGGGATTTGGAGAGGGAAGAAAAGAAACAACTGAAACCTTGATTTTCCTCCCCTGGATATCATGTTTGTTTTGACATGTGGGTGTGGTGTGCTTTTCTGGCAATGACTGCACAAATTCAACCCTGAGTGTCTACAGGACACAGCCCAGCCATGTCTGCATTGCTTAGACAAGGAGTATTGCTTTTCTTTTTGCAGGTCATTCACACACAGCTGTTAGACTCAGGTGTCATAGCACCAAGTTGCTTTGCTCTTTCATTAAGATCTTAGGCTACACGCTTATGTGTCTGATAACAAAAAGCAGGGAGAGAGACTAGTTAAAAGTTTAATGTGGTGGATATGGATCTGAGCTGTCTTGGGTCTGCAGGAGGGTACAGGTTGCAAGTTTGCGGGCTTCTGGATGTGTTTCTAATTGAGTGTCAGGATGCCATCATTTCTGCCACCTCTTTTCTTTTTTACTTTTAAGTTCAAGGGTACATGTGAAGTATGTGCAGCTTTGTTACCTAAGTAAACGTGAGTCATGGGGGTTTGTTGTACTGATTATTTCACCATCCAGGTATTAAGCCTAGTATCCATTAGTTATTTTTCCTGATCCTCTCCCTCCTCCCCACCCTCCACCCTGTGACAGGCCCCAGTGTGTGTTCTTCCCCTCTATGTAGCCATGTGTTCTCATCATTTAGCTCTCACTTATAAGTGAGAACATCCAGTATCTGGCTTTCTGTTCCTGTGTTAGTTTGCTAAGGATAATGGCCTCTAGCTCCATCCATGTCCCTGCAAAGGATATGATCTCATTTTTTTTATTATTTGCTGCATAGTATAGGAAGAGAGGAAGTCAAACTATCCCTGTTTGCAGATGACATGATCCTATATCTAGAAAACCCCATCATCTCAGCCCAAAAGCTTCTTAAGCTGATAAGCAACTTCAGCAAAGTGTCAGGATACAAAATCAATGTGCAAAAATTGCCAGCATTCCTATACACCACCAACAGTCAAGCCAAGAGCCAAATCATGAACAAACTCTCATTCACAATTGCCACAAAAAGAATAAAATACCTAGGAATACAACTAAAAAAGGAAGTGAAAGATCTCTACAAGGAGAACTACAAACCACTGCTCAAAGAAATCAGAGATGATACAAACAAATGGAAAAACATTCCACGCTCATGGATAGAAAGAATCAATATTGTTGAAACGGCCATACTGCCCAAAGCAATTTATAAATTCAATGCTATTTCTGTTAATATGCCATTGACGTTCTTTACAGAACTAGAGAAAACCATTTTAAAATTCACATGGGACCAAAAAAGAGCCCAAATAGACAAGGCAATCCTAAGCAAAATGAATAAAACTGTAGGCACCACACTACTGGACTTCAAACTAGACTACAGGGCTGTGGTGACCAAAACAGCTTGATACTGGTACAAGAATAGGCACAGACCAATGAAACGACAAAGAACCCAGAAATAAGACAGCACACCTACAACTATCTGACCTTCGACAAACCTGACAAAAACAAGCAATAAGGAAAGGATTCTCTAACCGTATGCAGAAGATGGAAACTGGACCACTTTCTTACACTGTATACAAAAATTAACTCAAGATGGATTAAAGACTTAAAATACCCAAAACTATAAAAAACCCTGGAAGACGGCCTAGGCAATGCCATTCAGGACATAGGCACAGGCAAAGATTTCATGATGAAGATGCCAAAAGCATTTGCAGCAAAAGCGAAAATTGACAAATGGGATCTAATTAAGCTAAAGATCTCTGCACAGCAAGAGAAACTATCAACAGAGTAAACAGACAACCTATACAATGGGAAAATTTTTGCAAACTATGCATCTGATGAAGATCTCATATCTAGCATCTATCTATAAGGCACTTAAACGAATTTACGAGAAAAAAAACCATTAAAGTCTGCCACATCTTTTTTTCTCTTTCTGCAGTTCTTTCTGCTTGATATTTCAAAGGGGAGATCTTCTCAGACATCTTTGAAAGTTTGAGGTTGCATCTCTCTCATCTTGGCACTCTGTAGCTGAGTGACATGTTTTTTGTTACAGAATTCCTTCTGTTTAAATGAGTTCTGATCTTGTCTCTCCCTCAGACACCATTCTTCCTGTTATGAATTTTTCTGGTATGCCCATATAGAATACATTTTTTGGAGTTAATGCACTTATTATATTATTTCACACCTTCATATCTTTGCATGTGCTGTTCCCTCTGCCTAAAATTTATTTTCTTCATTTATCTATTGCCTACCTGTCCTTCAAAACTCAACTTAAGTGTCACCTCTTCCCAGAAATCTTCCTTGACTCTTCCATTGTATTCTCGTTGTAGCTTGTACATAGCACTTTCATCTTTAAAACCAGTATTTGCTGAGCATTTACTGAGTAAGCATGTAACCTCTATTCATTCACTTAATCTTAATGACAATCGTATGTTTTAAGAACTATCACTTAGAACCATTTTACAGACAAGAGAGGGAAGTGTAGAAATATTAAGGAACTTGCCCCAGGCCAACTTGCTTATGAGTGGTGAAGTCCAAATTGAAGTCCAGGTCTATCTGGCTTCAAAGCCTGTTCTCTTCAGCACTAGCTTATTCTACCTTTTCTAATAACAAAAGTATATTTGCTGATATACGTTTATTATGGATAAACTTTGCTGTTTCTCCCATTAGTTAGAAAGTTCCTTAAGGTGAGAACTAAAATCTTACTCATATTGGTAACTTCAGTGCATACTAGCCAAGTCCCTGGCATAGATCGAATTCTCAAGAAAAAACTGTTGCACATATGAGAGAGGGGGGTCTCTATTCTGTTACTTTCATGTTCAGCTTACATCAGAATGCCTCTTTTCTCAGTGAAATTGAAACTCAGCTTCACTAGGTCAGACCATACCATATGCTAGTGAGGAAAAGCAGAAGGAATCCAAGGCAACTGGTATATTGGCAGCTCTGAGTGGGGTGAGCAGGAAAAACAATGTGTAAGTGCACAGGGAAGCCAAACTCCAGGGATGAATTAGTTTGTGCAGCTGGGAGTCAGTGGCAGCCAGCCCACCAATTTCACATAAGAAGCAATCATCGATAGAGCAACATACACTACGAGCAGGAGAAAGATACCCTGTGAGACCAAAAGCTCATGGAGGAAAATCCAAGAAAGCCCAAATAAAGGACAAAATGGCATAGACCAGAGGAAAGGTAGCACCTACCTCAGTACTGGTGTTCTGTGACTACAGGATGTGTCCAAGCATCTATTTGCAAAAATCCAAATTACCTCCAGTTAGGACTTGACAGTGACTCCCAGAGCAACAAGAAATAGGATGTGTTTAGAAAAATTGTACTGAGGAAAGAAAGGAGTTGCACTCAGAAAAGAACTATGCAGAGATGTACCTGAGTGGTTTTGGACCCGGCCCCCCCGCCCCGATCACTTACTTAAAGAATAAATGAAGCAGTGAATAAAAGCAATTATGTGACATAATTAAAAAGATAGGATTTTGTATTAACAGTCCCACTGGACTTCCACTGGAAGTAACAAGCTGGAGATTTGTATGAGGAAAATATGATTGTGCGTGAGATCTATGATGACAAAAAGGGAGGGTTAAATATTTGCCAGGAATTTCGAATGTGAGCATAAACGGGGTCGTGTATTATATGCATAGCTGGAGAAGTCATACAAATGTTAACACAGAAAAGAGGGGTTACGTAGTAAGTCAGACAAAAAAAATAGCACCACAAAGTGTTGCAGATGAGACAAAGGGTAGGAATAGACAAATACATATTTCAGGTTTTTATATGGAGAAGAAAATATAAAATTGTTAGGAGTAAACGTGAAATGCATCAAGAAAACAGTGGAGAAAATTAGAAAGCTACTTCAATATCAAAACCCTGGAGATCAAAATTTTGGCTTCCAAAGAATCAATTTTAGGACAAGAGGTTAAGGCAGCAGAAAAGATTCAGGAAAATCAATGAAAGGAAAAAAATGAAAATAATAAAAACAATAACTCTCTGTAGGAAACTCTGACTCCAAGTCTACAGAAAGATGCAGTAACACAACCTGAGACAGCAAAAGACAAAAAAGAAGGGGGCCCCCACAGAGTGGGGGGCAGGGAGATGAAATAAAGCATGAATACCACAAGTACGGAGAAAACACATCTTCAAGCTGGAACATGGGGTTTAAATAGAAGCACATGGAACCCTAAAAGGAGCACTGAGCAAAAAGAAAAGCTCCTATTTTAGAGTGAGAAAAAAATATCAAAAATTAATACTGATTTGGGAGCTCTTTATACAAATCAATGTAGTAATACAGATACATGGGGTTTAAGATATTTGATGAAAGTTTGAAAACTATGTCACTTCTGGTAACCAATATATAACTTTGAATTGTGCAAAAAGAGCTAGTATAAATAAAATTATCCTAAAAGATATATGAGAGAAAAATTATGGAAGGAAACGGTATTTGTCCTATAGAACACTTTTCATCTTGGCTGAAGGTTAGACTCACACGGGAGCGTCTTCAACCATACCAATGTCTAGTTCCCTGCTTCAGATATTCTGAATGAAGTTGTTTAGGGTGAGATGCCAGCATCAGTATTTTCTAAAAGCCCCTCCCTCCAGGCAAATCCAACATGTAGCTAGGTCTCAAACCACTGCTACACTCCCACAGGTCACTTAGTGGTGTAAGAAGGAATTTCATCTGTATTAGCTAGGAAACATGAAAAGTAACTGTCTGAAATTAAAAATTTAGGATCATTCTGTAAGAAAACCTAATCGAAAAGTGCTTATTTATATAAACCTGTTTACCATGTAAAATGCCATATCAAACAGAGAAGTGAATAGAGGGTATATTTATGTATCAATAAGAACAAAAGTATAATTTTAAAAAAATAAAATAAAATAAAAATACCTGTAAAAAATTGAGAGATTTGGGAGGGGCATACAAAGAGTCAGCAAATTTTGTCAGAATATGAGGAAATTTAAAATAAAGTGAGATGAATTCACAGAGAGAAGGAAGCCCATTCTCTCTTTAAGGAAAGGATCTATGTCTGTGTCTCCTGTCTAGTGCAGGGCTTGGCATGAAGTTGGAATCCATAAATGTTTGCTGAATAAAGGAAATATGCACCAGAATAAGCATGAGATAGGAAATCAGGGAGGCAGTGTAACGGAAACATGAGAGCAACAAACTGGGAGTCAGCTGGGCCCCACCCACCGGAATGGCGCCATGTGACTGGACAAACCTATACATTTCCAAGGCTCATTGTTGGGTTACATGAACTCAAATATCATCTAGCTCTAAAAGCTTATGACCATATCATAGCCTTAAAAATAAATAAACTTTCAAGTGGAAATGAGAAGTCAAAAGCCTTAAATAGCAAAATGGAGTGCTCCCAATGGCCTTAAAGGAATTCACAGATAGACAAACTGAATATAGGGAAATGAAAGCCAAAACACCAAAAATGGCAGTAAATAACAGGAATTTATTGGCACATTAAAATGGAAGCTCCCTGAGGGCAGAGACTTGGTCTGTCTTGCTTCCTACTGTATCCCCAGTACTTAGACTGGAGAAATGGTGCCTAACTCATGGTGGGTGCTGACTTAACTGAAAAGATATGAAATGCCAGATTTTTACATAGGCTCAAACCAGGAACTGGTCTGGAAAGCATTGTAGGGGAGACAGCCAAGAGGAAAAGATCTCCAAAAAGTGCACACTACTCACAAGCCATCATCATCATGTCTCTATATAATTTACCTCTTACTAGGAGATTTCCATCAACTTCTGTCATTGTCACACCATCTGTAATAATTACACCAGAGGATTTTTCATATGAAATAGTAGCTTGAAGCTATGTGTGATGACAGAGAATTAATTTGGATATTGAGAAGACTTTAAAGCAGTACAATTCCTGCCAAGTTACTTTTTTTTTCTTTAGCCAAATGCGTGTGCTTTTCCATGGAAGAAAGCCAACAAGCCTTGATCTGAATCCATATTGGTATTGTGGGAACATTCCCTAGGAAGCACCTCAATTGTAGGCAAAGCCTTGCCCACAGCTACCATGCCTCCAAGTTCTAGCTCAGTATTTTTTCAACAAGCAAATCTGGTCCTCTAATTTATAACTCACAACTTTCCAAAGAGTAGTAACTCTAGCAAGGAGTCTGCATTGACCTACCTTGAGTTTGAAGACTATGTGGACTTAAAATTAAGTTGCCCTGTCTCCCTTCATCACCCTCAAGCCAAAGGCTTAGATGAAAGATTGGAGCAAACCAAACAGAGGCCCATATGCATTGTCATAGGAGCCTGGTCAGTAAGTTGTGCCAAGTTTTCCAGGGCCTGACATGGCATTCCTTTGATCCAGCATCCAACACCCTTGTATTGAACAGCTGTATTGCGTACTGTGCTAGAGCTGGGAGCTAGAAAGATTCATGTCAAGGCATCTCCCTGCAGGGTTTCATGATCTAGTGGAAAGAGACAAACAGGTTTACATCTAAGCAGGAAAAGAAAAGAAATGAAACTGACATTTGTTAAATATCTGCTAAAGGCAAGGCTTGTGCTTTATGTATGATCTGCTCTCCTCTATGTAATCTTATAATCTCTCATACAGATAAGAAAACTGAGGTTCAGAGAGGGTATTTACTCACTCAAAGTCTCAAACCTGAACACAGAAGAGTAGGTTGGATACCCAAATTTGACCTTCTTGAAAATCCACCCTCTTGCCCTTCTACCATACTCAAATGCAATTTCTAAAATGTTAAAATGACAATAGGTGACAAATGCTATACTAGTAACTTGAACGAAGGGCTGTGGGAGCACAAAGGGTACAGTTAAACTGTGACTAGGAGAGGAAAGGGGTCAGAGAAGGCATCACCGAGGATGTGACATTTGAGCTGGGCCATGTTAAACAGTTGGAGTCAGTCCTGCTGGATTACTAATGTGTTGATTTTTTGACTACACCTCTTGGGCACTTACCAGAGCCACAAAGTGAAGGAAGCAATAATTCTTCTCTGGCCACCAAAACTGCTGAAAGGGAGTCACCTGCTATTTCTACACCCACTGGTTTCACACAGAGAGTTTCTCAAATAAGGTTGCAGGGTAGAGGATGTTAGCTTAGGGCACAGCAGGTGTGTGGAGTGGAGAGGGGTGCCGGCCATACCCGATGGGAGGAGGGAATGCTGTGCTCCTGTGGAGGCCCTCTCATTTGCATTGCTGGGATTAGAGATACCCTGATTAGACAAAATGGAAGTAAAGAACTCCAAATAAAATCTGCAAAAGCATACGAAGCAATTTTTGTCTGAGAGTTGTTTAAAAAAGAAAGATCTCAAGCGTGACTTTTAAAAAAATATAAGGAGTTTCTGTTTACCTATTGATGATAAATCAACAGGGTTGCACAGCAGCCAAATGGGTCTTTGAATGTGCTGCTTCATTTTTCCCATTAAGACCAAGGAGAGTCCCAGAAATGGAAAAAATAAGGCATTAAACTTCAGTGAAGCAAAATTTGGAAAAATGTGTGTGATCCACTGAACAAAAGACACTGGTTTGGAAATAAATGGAAAGTGCCTTAGAGTAAATTATGGAAAGTTTAGTTACTAGGTTCTCTGAAAATGAAGGTAAATAATGGAATGCCTACATAAAGCACACAGAGTCACCAAATGGAGAAGGAAAAGAAAAGAAGCGAAAACATTTTTAAAGCAATATGTTTCTCTATACAATACAGTTAAAGGATACTAAAGCAATAGCTGAGTAACTGAAAGCCAAAGGGGTGCAGCGAAATGACTGAGCGTGTCTTTGCTGGTCTCCAAGCTCCCAGCATTGGCCCTTCGCCCCCACTGTAACCAGACGTCAGTTGCTGACAAACTAGCCATTTAATATTTCCCAGTCTAGTGGTGTGAAATAGTATGTCATGCCAGTTTTCATTGACATTTTCTTCCTAATCACTAATGAGGTTGAATATCTTTTCATTTGTTTATTAGCCATTCATATTTCCTTTCCTATGAAATGCCTATTCATGACTTTTGCCCATTTTCTCATGAATTCCTAGGAGTTCTTTACATACTGTAGATATTAAATCTTTGCAGTTTTCTTGCAAATATTTCCCCCCAAAATGTGACTTCTCTATCTATTGATGATTTACTTTAAGGAACAGAAGTTTTTTTATCTTAATGTGGTTAAATTTAGCAATTCTTTTATAACTTATATTTTTGAGGAATAAAATCCTTCCCTCTTCAGAAGTTATAAAGATGATATTAGGCTATACTTTCTCCTGAAGGCTTATCAATTTCATCTTAATCTATCTGGAATTAAATTTTGAATATAATGTGAGGTAGGCATCTGACAATATTTCTCCTATAGATAGCCAGTCATCCTAGCACTGTTCATCTACAATGCCAGCTCTGTAAGATTTAAGGTTCCAAACAAGTGTGACTTTGCTTCTATTCTCTCTGTTCTGATCCACAGATCTAATTTTCTACACCTTTGCCAAAAATATGCTGTTGTAATCAATTGTGAGCTTGGAATAATTTTTTATATCACTTATGCTAAGTCCTTCTACTTCATTCTTCCTCAGGACTATCTCAACTATTCAGCGCTCTTTGCTCTTCTGTTTATATTTCTAGAATCCATCAAATTCTAAGAAAATCCCTACTGAGATTTTGATTGGAATGAGATTGAATTTGGATATGAATTTGAGTTGATATCTTTATCATATTGAGCTTTTCTCTCTGTGAAAAATGAAGTCTTTTTTATCTGGGTCTTATCAATATATTTCAATAGATTGTCATAATCTTCTCTCGAAAGGTTCTGCACGTCTTTCATTATGTTTATTTCCAAAACGTTATTTTTTTTTACCAATGTAAATAGTATCTCTTAAATATACATGTTTTCTAACTGCTTGTTGCTGATTATAAAGATGCTGGCTCATAAATATTGACCTATATCTAGCACCCTTGCTAAACTCTCTTACTAGTTCAAAACAAATAATCGGTTTATTTTCTACATGGATAATTCTATCATCTGCAATAATGGCAGTCTTGGTTCTTCCTTTCCAAATCGTATACATTTTATTTTTCTTCTTTTACTGTGTTGGTTAAGATAGCAGTAAACAGTATAATAGAAATGGTAATAGCATAATTGGTTTGTTTCTGATTTTAAAGGGAATGTTTTGACATTTCATAATTTAAATAATATTTTCCGCAGTTCTTTGGTAGATGCTTATCAAAGATGTTCATTTTTATTCCTAATTTACTAAGTTTATTTTGAATATGAATGGATTTGAGGTCTTAATTATTGTTCTTACTTTGCATCTATTAAGATGATTATATATACTTTTTCTCTTTAATTTGTTTTTTTGTTGTTTTTGTTTTTTGTTTTTTGAGATGGAGTTTGCTTTTGTCACCCAAGCCGGGGTGCAATGGCGCGGTCTCGGCTCACTGCAACCTCCGCCTCCCAGGCTCAAGCGATTCTCCTGCCTCAGCCTCCTAAGTAGCTAGAATTACAGGCATGTGCCACCATGCCCAGCTAATTTTGTATTTTTAGTAGAGACAGGGTTTCACCATGTCGGCCAGGCTGGTCTTGAACTCCTGACCTCAGGTGATCCACCTGCCTCAGCCTCCCAAAGTGCTGGGATTACAGGCATGAGCCACCGTGCCCCTCCTCTTTAATCTATTAATGTGGTGATTTTCTAATATTGAACAAACATCCTAACTATGAAACTCAGCTTAGTAATTATATATATTTCATTGGGTTTAATTTGCCTATTATTTTCCGTAGAATGTTTGCATCTATATTAGTAAGTGAGATTGTCCTGTAATTTGTCCTTTTTCATACTACCATTGTCTGGTTTTGATAATAAAGTTTAATAGCCTCATAAAATAAATTGGAGATTTTTCTCTCTTTTCCCATGTGCTGAAAAAAATTGTGGAATTACCTGTTATTTAAATATTTGAAAGTATTTACATGAACTTACTTATAAAATCATCTGACTCTGGCATCCTTTTGTGAATAGATTTTAAACCACTGATTTATTTTATGATAACAAGACTATGCAAGTTTTCTCTTTCCTCTTGAGAAAAGATGTTATATTTTTTTCAAGAGTGTTAACATTCCATTCAGGCTTTTAATTTATTGACATGTTATATATAATATTATATTTTTAATTTCTTCTGCATCTTTATTAGGAATAAAAAATCTGTCTCCTTTTTTATTCCTAGTATTTTTGGACTTTTATCTCATTTCTTAAAAATTAATTCTAAGCCAACACTGAGTAATTTTATTTATCACTTCATTTAAAAACCAACATTGTTTTGCTGATTCTCTGTTTTCTATTTCATTAATTTCTGCTTTTATTTTTATTCTTTCTAATTTCTTTGGGTTTATAATATTGCTATTTTATTTTAATTTTTAAGTTGTAGGGTTAGCTTATTAACCTTCAGTCACTGTTTTGTTTTCTGATACATTAGAAACTTGAATAACATAGGTTTGAACTGCATTGGTCCACTTATACATAGATATTTTTCAATAAATACATTGGAAATGTTTTTGGAGATTTGCAACAATTTGAAACCACTTGCAGACAAAGCACATAGCCTAGATATACTGAAAAAAATAGGAAAAAGGTATTTCATGAATACAAAAAATATATGTAGACACTATTCTATCATTTGCCACCATAAAATATACACAAATCCATGATTAAAAGTTAGAATAAAAAGTAAGTGCATACACAAACACTTACAGACCATACATGGTGCCATTTGAAGTCAAGGAAAATGTAAACAAATGTAAAGATTCTGTATTAAATCATAACTGCATACAATTAACTGTAGTACATACTAATAATTCCATAGCCACCTCCAGTTGAATTGTGGTGAGCTCCAGTGTTGCGAGTATCTGCTTAAAACGCTGTATGACACTAATCAACTCCATGTGAGCATTTTGCCTCTAGTAAATTGTATATCACAGTAAAGAGTGATATCTCATGGTTGTCACTTATGCTTTCATAGTGCTTGGGGCAATACTCTTAACTTTTAATAACTCCATGAGACCCATACAAAGTGTCACTAGCGATGCTGAAAAGTCCTCCCAAAAAGCAGAGAAAAGTCACGATGTTAGAAGAAAAAGTTGAATTGCTTCATATGTACTGTAGATTAAGGTCTGCAGCTGCTGTTGCCTACCATTTCAAGATAAATGAATCCAGCGTAAGAACCACAATAAAACAAAGAAAAGGAAATTCACTAATCTATCACTGCAGCTACACCAGCCAGCACAAAAACCTTGTACTTTTTGCAAAATACCTTTTTATCTCATATTAAAAATGTAGCTTTTATATGGTTACAGGATTTCTATAAGAAAGGCATACCTATAGATTCTAATACGATTCTAGAAAAACAAAGTCATTATGTGACAACTGAAAGCAAAAGGAAGGTGAAGGATCTAAACCTAGAGAATTTAATGCCAGCAAAGGATGGTTTGATAATTTTAGGAAGAGATTTGACTTAAAAACTGTCAATATAACAGGAGAGGCTGGGCGCAATGGCAGACGTGAGTTCCCAGGCACCATTAAGGAAATCATTAAGGAGAAAGGACATCACACCCAGTACCCTATGAAAAGAATTGTCAATCATTGAGGAGAAAGGACATCTATCTAAACAGGTTTCTAACACAGGTAAAAGCAGCTTATTCTGGGGGAAAAAAAAAAAAAAGCAATCAAAGACATTTATTGCTAAGGAAGAGAAGCAAGCACCAGGATTTAAGGCAGGAAGAGATAGGATAACTGCCATTTTGTGCAAATGCAGTAGGTTTATAATCAGGACTGCCCTTATCTCTGAATCTGCTAATCTCTGGGCTTTGAATGGGAAAGATAAACACCACCTGCCAGGCTTTTAGTTGCACAAGAAGGTCTGAATAACAAGAACACTTTTTCTGGATTGGTTCCACTGATGTTTTGTCCCTGAAGTCAGGAAGTACCTTGCCAGAAAGGGACTGACTTTTAAAGTTCTTTTCATATGAGACAATGTCCTTGGCCACCCAGAACCCCATGAGTTCAACATTGAAGGCACTGAAGTGGTCTACTTGCTCCCAAACATAAGGTCCCTAATTCAGCCTCTAGATCTGACGTCATATGGACCTTTAAGGCTCATCACACGCAGTACTCTATGAAAAGAATACATGTACCCTAAAACTTAAAGTATAATAAAGAAAAAAAAAAGAATTGTCAATGCTATGGAAAAACCCCTGATAGAGAGAACATCATGAAGTCTAGAAAGATTACACCAATGATGATGAAAATGTCATTGTTCTTATATAATGGAAAAAGCTGTGAATGTCATCAAGCCTGAAACAATAAATTCCTGCTGGAAAAGACTGTGTCCAGATCTTGTGCATGACTTCACAGAACTTATAATGGAGCCAATCAAGGAAACAATGAAAAAGATTGTGGATAGGGCGAGAAAGGCAGGGCCTGAAGGGTTTCAAGATACAGGTCTTGGAGAAATACAAGAGCTAACAGATACCACACCAGAGAAATTAACAGAAGATGACTTAATGGAGACGAGTGTTTCAAAACCAGTGCCAGAAGAGCAGGAAGAAGACATAGAAGAAGCAGTGCCAGAAAACAAATTAATATTAAACAAACTGGCAGAAAGAAGGGTTTCAATGATTCAAGGCTGTTTTTGACTTCCTTTACAATATTGACCCTTCTATGATATGGGCACTGAAGCTAAAGCAAACAGTGGAAGAAGGATTGGTACTACATAGGAACATTTTTAGAGAAATGAAAAAAATAAGTCAGATAGAAATTATGATGTATTTCCATAAAGTTACATCGAGCATGCCTGTCTCTCCTGCCTCCCCTTCCACCTTCTCCACTTCTTCTGCCTATGCCATTCCTGAGATAGTAAGAGTAACCCCTCATCTTTTCCGTCTCTTCCTCCTCAGCCTACTCAACGTGAAGATGACAAGAATGAAGACATTTATGATAATCCACTTCCAGTTAATGAGGAGTAACTATATTTCGTCTTCCTTATGATTTTCTTAATAGCATTTTCTTTTCTCTAGCTTATTGTAAGAATACAGTATATAACACATATGACATGCAGAATATGTGTTTATAGACTGTTTATGTTATTAAAGCTTCCAGACAACATAAGCTATTAGTAATTGAGTTTTGGAACAGTCAAAAGTTGTACACTGATTTTCTACTGTGGAAGGAGTTGACACCCATAACCCCCATGTTGTTCAAGGTTCAACTGTATAAATATATAAGTACTGCTTTATCTGCATTGAATAAATCTGATACATAATATTTTCCTTTTTATTCCATTCTATTTTCCACATTTCATTTTTATTTTTCTTTGACCCATGAGCTATTTTGTCTTTAAATTTTAAAACGTGTGATTGTACTTCATTAATCTTTTTGTAGTATATTTCTAACTTAGTTGCATTGTGATCAGAGAATACAGTCTGCATAACAGTTCTATAAAATTTAATCAGACATATTGCAGTAACTAGTCAGTTTTCATAAATGTTCGGTGGATGCTTGAAAAGGATAATTTTTCTCTAATGGCTTGGTATTGGAGTCAAAGTATCAAGTCTGATGACTGTGTTGGGTAAATGTTCTTTATCCTAATTAATTTTTCTGTTTGAGTTATCAGTTGGTAAGCGTTATTTTAATATTGCTTATAATGATGGTGGTTTTAAGAATATGTATCCTCATTGTTCAGCATTTTTTATATGATTTAAAGTTATGCTTTTATGTACATGCATGTTTTGAACTGTTATTCCAAAGGAATTCAACCTTTTATCAGTATGCAGTGATTTCTTTTGTTTATAATAGTAATTCTTGCCTTAAAGCTTTATTTTGTCTGATATTACCACACTAATTTACTTTTCATAAATATTTTCCTAATATATCCTCATTTAGCCTTTTATTTTCAATTTTTATAATTTAGGCAGTCCCCTCATAAACAACATAGAGCTAGATCTTTCTAAGTACAGACTGACAAACTTAACCTTCTAACAAAAAAGTTTAGTTCATTGAGATCAATTGAGTTTATTGCTACATTTGAATTTTTATCATCTTATTTTTGCCTTTTATTTACATTACTGCTTCTGCTTATTTTTTCATTGTCTTTTTTTGGATTGCCAGAGGTTTTCATAATCTTTCCATTGTTTACCTTTGCTACAAGTTTTATATTCTATTTCTGTTATTTTAGTAGCTGTTTAGAAATTTTAATATGAAAATGTATTAAAGTCTAAAATGCTCATATATTAATCACTCCAACATATATGTTCTTATCATATTTTACTTGTATACATGTTTTCTGAAATCCCACACATTAAACATTACCATTGTTATTGTTAAGTATTGTTGGATACAGTATTTATGTCAATTACTCACATATGTATTCACTCTTCTTTCTTGCTTGCTTCCCAGATCTTCCTTCTGGGATCACTTTTGAACTCCTTGAAGTATATTCTTCCGAAGTTTCTCTACTGATGGTGGTAAATACCCTGCTTGGTGATAAACAGCTTTTTGTTTGTCTGAAAATGTCCTTATTCTACTCTGATTCTTAACACATTGTTTTGCTGGCTCCAGGTTTACCTCTATTTCCTCTCAGACTATCCTATTTTTCATGTTTAATCTACCTAATTGTTACTTGTTTGTTGCTAGTCTATCTTGTCTGATTACTCTTCAGATTTTTTTTTTAATCTTTGTTGTTCTGCAGCTTCACTACAATGTAACTAGGTGCACATGTCTTTGCATTTATTTTCCTGGAAATTTAGTGTGATTCCTAAATCTTAAGATTTGTGTCTTTCATTAGTTTGGGAACATTTTTACTATCATCCTTTAGAATGTTACCTATTTTTTATTCTTTCCAGTCTCTCCTTCTGGACATCTGATTACATGTATGTTGGACCTTCTCATTTTATGATCTTTGATTTGCGATGTCACTTTCATAGTTACATTTCTTTGACACCTGTGCATTCTATTTCTTTAACTTCACCTTCCAATTTAGTTTTTCTCTTGAGCTGTTTCTAATCTGATTTTAAAGCTTAGTTTTTCTTTACTTATGTTTTTCAAGTCGATAATTTTCTTTTTCAAATGTGCATTATTGAGAGCCTCTGAACCTTACTCATACTTCCTATAGCTTTTATTTTTCCTTAAACTTAAAAACTGTTCATTTTTTAAAATGCCATAATTTGCATATGTCTTTGTGTGTTTAAGTCAACTATTGGATATTTCTGCTGACTCTTGGCTATGTTTCTTGTTCTCACACTTGTTTTGTGATTTTTGACTGTTGTGTACATTAACTGATGCAATTTTATCTGACAGTACTCTCAGAGGCCTGAAGTTGACATTTCTTTCAGCCGGAGAAAATTTTACTTCCTTTTGCCAGCCACATTAAAACTATTTTTCTTTTTTATTTATTGAGACAGAGTCTCACTCTGTTGCCCAGGCTTAAGTGCAGTGGTGCGATCTCAGCTCACTGCAAACTCCACCACCCGGATTCAAGCGATTCTCCTGCCTCAGCCTCCCAAGTAGCTGGGATTACAGGTGCCCTCCATGCCTGGCTAATTTTTGTATTTTTAGTAGAGACGGGGTTTCACCATGTTGGCCAGGCTGGTCTTGAACTCCTGACCTCAGGTGATCTACCCACCTCGGCCTCCCAAAGTGCTGGGATTACAAGCATGAGCCACCACGCCCAGCCTAAAACTATTTTGTTTCTACAACTTTGTTTTTCTCTCCACCTGGAGCTGAAGTTAAAATAGGTAAGTTCCCCTTGTAAAGTAAGATTTCCCTCTAGTTTGCTGTTCACTGAAGTTGTGGCTCTTTTGGATAGGTAGGGTCTTGGCTTCACATGGAGGTCTTTAATCTGACTCCTTCACTATATGGACACTAAAATTTGTTCTGTGCCTGCTATGAGGCCATTAAAACCTAATCTCTGGATCTCCAGAAATCCGTAGATGCCCTGAGAGCAGTCATAGGCTTCTCTCACAGGATTTATGCTTTTGCTTCATGTTTGGCTGCTGGAGATTTCCTTACTCTGTTGCCAGCTCAGCCGTGCATTAAAAAGTTCTTCCAAACACTTTATAAAGTATCTTGGATTGTATTTTAGTGCAAAGCTTTTTGGGGTATCAAATTTGTAATATTGCCAAAAATGAAAATCTAATTTTAAAACATTTGCCTAAATTATAAATGTTTCTTTAGACTATTTATTAAAAATTCTTTTTATAATTATACAAATTGAATATGTTTCTGCAAAAGTGGGAAATTACAAAAATTCATGGAATATTACCGGAAATTTTATCACTTTCCAAAGATATTCATGTGTTAGTATCAGATTGAACCATGTGAAATAGTTCTTCTATAGGTAAAAATCGGCAACTTTATATGGTACAACTATATATTTCTTCTTAGGCTTTTTTCAATGATTATTTTACATAGTTGAAATGACAATTTATACATGATTTTGTGTATATACTTAATATACATAAATTTTGCATATAATTTTGTATTTTTTTCTCTATCTGGAAATATTTTCTCATTTAACTTTTCATAATATGTTTATACAATATTTATGTGAGATTTAGCATCATCTCAATTGTTTCCTATTTGGGGAAATTTAAATTGTTTTTCTTTCTGTTACAACTAACACTATGGTAAGCATCTCTGTGCAAAGACCATTTTCTGAATTTTATATTTTTCTTCAGAATGAATAAATAGCAATGAAGTTACTGGTTGAGAATATTGAGGTTTTTAAGAATCTCGTTACCTATCAGCAAATTACACTCTAACTTGCAGGTTTAACATGTCAGAAGAGAAGTATTTGGGGCCTCTTTTAATTTTATAATTTGGTATTTCAGTAACTTAATAGAAAATACATGTGATACCTTTGCTCTAACCTGCATCTCATCTATTGTGATATATTATTTTCCTATTATCTATTCTTAGTTTAAGTAACTCTCAGATTCTTACCACATTTTGTGCAATGACTGGAAGAATCTCGTTCAACTTCCCTTGGAAAATTGTTCAACAGTGCTATAAAAGTGAAATTGCATAATTTTGTGAAAATTAATTATTCAAAGAGTTATGCCAATTCTTACTGAATAACTAAAATTTAGTTTCAAGCAAGTGTTCAGATCCCATTTTATTTCCTTTAATGGAAAAACCCATTTGTTCCTCTCTCCCAAGTGCCTGTCTGATAAAAATAGCAAATAACTTCTACATTTTTCTCTCACTAGACTGTTTGAATAATAATAATAAAAGCTACCCTTTATTGACTGTCTACTTTATGCCAGAACCTATGTTAGGCAATTTATATATCTCTAACTCACACAGTAAACTTGCAAGGTATTAACATGACAATTTTACAGCTGAGGAAAAATTGAGGCTCAGAGAGGTTAAAGATTCACAAAAAATAAATGATGTGATCAAAGCTGAAATATATTTGACTTAAGTCTAGTCTGCCTTTATAGAAATATATACAGACACAACCAGTCAAAATAGGGCTCAAACAAATAAATATATAAAAATAAGAGTCTCTTTTGCATAGCATACCAGGTGTCTTGGGGCAAATAAAAGACCGAGGGGCACACTGGCTTATCTTTTGTGCCACGCATGGAGTTTAAAGACTGCAGTAGGGAAACCCAGCTACCTACTTTGTGAAATTTTTGCAGAGAAACAAACAAACAAAGCTGAGAAAATGAATGGATGGCCCCAGAGATAATTTTCCCCGTGGCTCTAGTTTAATCAGCTACTAACACCCAAGAGCAGCATAGCTAAGCTAGTTCTTTCATTCAGTGCCATATTCAAGTGATGTTGTTTCACAACTTTAATAGTCTTGTCAGTGTTCATCAGGAAATCAGTGCAACCCTCCAAAATCCTGCCATAAAAATACAGTGGCTTTTATAATTAGAGCTGTGCAACCTTCAACACAACCCTACTCTATGTTGAATTGATGTGTCTCACTCTCACCTTAAGCTCACCAAATTCAGATGAATCCAAGGGAAGCAGAAAAGGTTCATTGTGGTTCCAGCTGAACTGTGTTTTCATAGGTTTCACAGTAAGCTTTTAATTTTTGATGCTATTGCCTTTTAAAAAGGAATAAATTATTATAGGAAAATCTAACTCTCAGCAACGTAAGAATTATAGGTAGCCTATATACTGGACGCAAGTTCTGTGAAACATGGAAAAGTAGATCTAAATTCAACATTCAAGGTTACTATATTTGTATATATCTGCACAGCAAACTGTTTTTCAGGCAGGAAATTGGGAGCCTAATTTAATTAGCTGGTTTCATTATTTCATCACAAGTTATATTCTTTACCAAAAGCTTCACATCTGCATTGTTTTGAAAAATATACTGAGTCTTCTATGATTATCACCCCTGGCTTCTGGAAAGACCTGTGTACTCACTGAAAATTTGTAGCTGGAGGACTTGATAAAGAGCAGGAAGATTCAACAATAATGTATAGACATTTGCTGCTTTTACCAAAAATGTAAGGATTGCAGGCTTCTGGATCTTTTCCTGTTGAAACCACAATACAATATGGTGATGTTCACTGCTGGGTTTGAAGCTTTCATTGTTCATGAGATAAATTTTAGAAGTTTGTTCCTTTTTCATCTTACAATATATAAGATATAGCCAGGTCCTCATACAATATCTAGGACTTGTAATCTTGACCAAAAATATAATTTTGTGTTTAAAACTACATAGCTTTTACAATGACAAGAAGGAGAAAAGTACCTACTTTGAATCTCTACCTACTATTGATCTTTTTGCAACTGCCATTGATTTCCATAAGATAAAACCATATGTTAAATATGATATGAATTGGTCTTTCAAAAAATTACATATTTATTATAACTTAATCATCTTGGATTTGACTTCAAATTAAAATTCTTTCAAATAAACGTATACAGTACCAAGTAGTATAGATATAAGAAAAATTCCTCAAATACTCCACCAGAGAATATATTCATGCCAATCATAAAATTAAAACTCTTTTTTAGTATTTTTATAAAGCAAACATTTAGTATAAAATATTGGTTTCCCAAAATTCATGTACAAATTTTGACCTCACTTTTGTAATTTGTCTTGGCAAAATTTCTGGAGCAAATTAATAAAATGCAACCTTCCGTAGGAAACGCACTTCTGAGAAACAGCTTCCTTCACTGAAATGGGGTCTGTAGAATGACAAGCAAGCTCTTCACTTTACAATGTAAAATTTAATGCTTATTTGCCAAAATATTTATTTTTAATGATAAGAGGAAGCTTTGATCAGAGATTTATTAGGTGTGAAATAATCCATTTCCTGTTATGACCCCAAATGCTCAGGTACAAATAGAGCTAAATATCTAGAATTGATGGGTTGGAAAGAGAAGAGCAAATTTGTAGTCATATTTTCACTCCGGGTAATAATCTAAGAGTCCTCCTATATTTTGGCAAATTAGGTTTGAGGCCAAAGTGGAATAAAACAGGTAAGGAAATTAAACTTGTTAAATTTCTTGTAATCGTTGTAATGGGAAGTGACATCTCATAAACTTGCCTAGGAAGAAAATCCTACTCTCCTGTAATAAAATCACTATGTGCAGAGAAATGGCATGAGGGCCAAATTGAGGGTTTCTGTGCCTTCCCTAGAAGAAATACCAGGGCACCTTTGGTCAGGACTAACTGCATACATGGGCCTCAGAGAAAGATACCCAAGCTGCATGTTCTGAACATGCTGGTAATACTGTCCCTCCCAAAACACCTTTTCAAGGTCTACTACTGATACCTGAAATTCCACCATTAGAAGTGTATTCCCCTTCTTTCATGTTTTTCCCATGATAAAATGTAAATACTAAAGACAGGAATAATGCACAAAGCTTGTCCGTCATTTCTGCCCTCATGGTGAAGAGTTTTTAATATAAGGGAAGGTGAATAAAGCTGGAAATAGTCATCTTGAAAACAGGAAGGGGAATGCCAGTGGAAGGGTCACGTCTTGGAAGATGTGGGAAGACACTAGGGGACTCAAAAAGGCACTAGGAGATGTGGAAAGGCACTGGGGAACAAGGAAGGCAACTGTCTTGCTTAGGTGGCTGTTGGAAAGCCCGACAGTTTCTATTTAAATGGAGTTTTAATGGTCCTGGAGCAATAGCTGTATGGAGGAAAGTGTTGATGGCTGGGTCCCAACTCTACTTCCAATAGCTAGAAACATACATGCAAAAAGCATGAATAAGGTCTTCTCAAACAGAAAATTAAATATAACTGGCTAAGAAAATACACCATCTCTGGATTTGAAAATATGATCCCCAAAAATCATTCTCTACAGCATTTCTTCTTCTGTTTCTCCAGCATGGTTGGAAGGCAGGAAGCCCAAAAGCAACCATTTAAGAGGTGGGTGCAAGGGAAGAAACACAACATAAGCATTTGTCAAAGGGTGTCCCATGGAATAATTGAGTAGACAGAAGTTAGAATGATGGTGGGAGAAGATCTGTGGATAAGTGAGTTTGAGAAAGCCTTATACTACCAGCCTCTCTTTTAGAGAGTTAAAGTGTGTGTGGCAGAGACTATGTGTTTGCTACAATCCATTTCCTTGTCCTCCTAGGCATCTATCCAGATCACATTTCCCAGTATTCATTGCAGTTAGGTATGGCCATATGACTGAATCTGGCCGAGGAGATGTGACTTCTGCATAGAAATCATGTGCACCACTTTCTGGCCTGGTCTATTAAAAACCTTCCGTGTACCATCTTCCCTGCTCTTTGTTTTTTCCAGCTGTCTAGAATGGATATAAACCTAGGGTGACTTTGGGAGCTACTGTTGAGGATGATGAAATTCCAATGAATGAAGTTTGGCTTTATAGATGACCTCTTATAGGCAGCCTCCTAAGCAAGAACCCTAGCACTGGATCATGTCATGAACTAGAAATACATCTTAGTATGTTAAGCCACTGAGATTTCATGTTGTTTAATTTTACAATATTTATTATAGCAAATAAAATGTTTTACTTTTCAGATGTCTGAAAGATATTGCAATTAAAAAAGCATAATTACATATATTAAACCCAATTTTTTCTAAACTACTTTGACCACAAAAACTTTATGGCTTAGTTTTGTTTCTAACATAACAACCATTAGCTAGTAGAAGTTGTTTTCTTGTTTGGGGAAAACTGCACTATGTTGTTCTTAACTTCCCCTCCTTTCCAGAAGTTTATTCTATCTGAGAGAGAAGGTCTAAAAATCAAGCTAGGGACAGGGCTATAAGGAGGCTATAGCACCAGAGATTTCAATTACAAATTCAGAGCTATGTTGCAGATAAACATCATTATTTCAACACAGAATTAAATCGGTGAGCTCAAAGAACCGAAGCATGTTCTCTGAAGCTCTAAAGTGAAAGGAGAGAAGAACCAAGAATTTTGCATTGTAGCTGAGGATTAGTAAGAAGGGCCCAGTGTGCTGGCTGAGCATGGTGGCTCACACCTGTAATTCCAGCAGTTTGAGAGTCCAAGGCAGGAGGGTCGCTTGAGTCCAGGACTTCAAGACCAATCTGGGCTACATTGAGACCCTATCTCTAAAAAAAATTACTTTAAAAAATTAGCCGAGCATGGTGGCATGTGCCTGTAGGTCCCCCAGCTATTTAGGAGGCTGAGGCAGGAGGATTACACGAGCCCAGGAGTTCAAGCCTGCGGTGAGCTGTGATCACACCACTGCACCCCAGCCTGGGTGACAGAGCAAGACCCTGTCTGGAAAAAAAAAAAAAGAAGGGTCTGGGAATTTTGCATTTTTTTCTACTTTCATATTATATCATCTTACAGGATTAGTAATTACTAGTAATGGCCTGATTCAGCGATTTTAATAAAGATATTGATATGGTTTGGATCTGTGTCCCCACCCAAATCTCACGCTGAAATGTAATCCCCAATGCTGGAGGTAGGGCCTGGTGGGAGGTGATTGGATCACAGAGGCAGAGTTCTCATGAATGGTTTAGCACCATTCCCCCTTAATACTGTATAGTGATAGAGTTCTCGGGAGATCTGGTTGTTTAAAAGTCTGTATCACCTCCCTCGACCCTCTTGGTCCTGCTTCTGCCATGTAAGACACCTGCTTCCACTTTGCCTTTGCCATGAGTAAAAGCTCCCTGAGTCCTCCCCAGAGGCAGATGCTGCCATCCTTCCTGCACAGCCTGCAGAACTGTGAGTCAATTAAACCTGTTTTCTTTATAAATTACCCAGTCTCAGATATTTATTTATAGCAGTGCAAGAACAGGCTAATATAGATATGTATTTTGATCTTGTATCAAGAAGGACTGTATGGGTCTCAGGACCTGCCCTGCCAACAGTTTCATAATATCTTCAAGGGTTGGCTTTCTTTGGTCTCTCTATTCTTCCTGTATGAAATCAGCAACATCTTCAGTTTGCCTCCCATGTAGTAGCAAGAACTTAGCAGCTCAGGGTTTGCATCAATATATCACAAGACACCTTATTTCCCCAAAGCTCCAGAAAACCTCCACTCACATTTTGTTGGGATTACCTAGGTCAACACCCCTTCTTACAACTGCATAAATTCCATTGTTCAGGAAAATGCCATCTACTGATTGACTTACATCTGGATTACCTGGACCAGTCACTAGGGATTCTCCTAATTAGATTGTATAAATCAGGGCCCTTACTTGTATTTGTGGGTAAGAGGACAGACTCCTCCCCCACATCCTATGGCTGCCACACACCAGGGAGGAATTGCTTTTGGGAGGATAATCACAGATCAACTTATTTATTTATTTTATTATTATTTTTTTTTTTTTTGAGACGGAGTTTCACTCTTGTTGCCCAGGCTGGAGTGCAGTGGCATGATCTCGGCTCACTGCAACCTCCACCTCCTGGGTTCAAGCGATTCTCCTGCCTCAGCCTCCTGAGTAGCTGGGATTACAGGTGCCTGCCACCATGCCTGGCTAATTTTTTGTATTTTTAGTAGAGACAGGTTTCACCACGTTGGCCGGGCTGGTCTTAAACTTCTGACCTCAGGTGATCCGCTCACCTCAGCCTCCCAAAGTGCTGAGATTACAGGTGTGAGCCACCGCACCTGGCCACAGATCAACTTTGGAATAAATTATGTAAATAAGAGTTAACATTTATGTAGTTATCATATACCAGGCACTATGCAAAGCATTTAAATATATTAACTCATTTAACTCTCACAACCCTATGAAATAGGCTCTATTATTAACCGCATTTTACAAATGAGGAAACTGCTTTGCAGGCAGATTACATAACTTTCCAAAATCATCAGGGCTAATAGATAACAGAGCTGGGCTTTGATTCCACACAGTCAAGATCCAGAGTCTATCCTCTTTTGCCACCATGTTAAATTTTTGTAAAGCCATCATGTATTACATAAAGTATATGCACACACATATATGCATATACATATGTAAATATACATACACTAAGGGTGCATAAATACATTTATACACACATACACACTCATATATTACATGAGAATTCCAGTTCTTCAGACCTTATAACAAAGGTGCCATCTGGCGTTAGAACCCTCTAATTGCAGAAAAAGCACCCACACGGAAATGAAGATTCACAAACAATACAAACTCAACTTGTAAAGTAGTCTAAAATCCTAAAAACATTAACCTCAGGCAGTAGCTGTCCTGCCTTGTCTTGGAGGTATCCTTCCCATGCCTGAAAGCACATCTAAGTAATCTCACAGTGCTGCTTCCAGCTGGCCCTGCACACTTATTCTCTATCTATCCTGCAAACAATCACTCCTGAGTCGGAAGCACTTCATTCTCATGTTAAGGGAGAGAAGACAACATGGACTTTTTTTCATTTGTGGAAAAATGAGTTGTCTTACAATCATGACACACCAAGTACCGCGCCCCCACCGCCGCCCCCCGCCACTTTTAGCACTTAACCTTGCCCTTCGCTCACATCTGCCTGTCCCAAGTGGCTAACCTTGGAAGCAACATGGTCTTTTTCTTCCCATTCTAATCAGGGGGTAAAACGTGATGGTTGCAAATCTTGCCCAAGACATGGGAGTACATTGTGTCAGGCTTCCTGTTCAATTGTCTGCCTGCTTTGGATCTGAGGCTCCTCTGCCTCTACAGGGAACTCTCCAGGGATGATACCTTGTATAGACACCCAACTCTGAGTTTGCTCTTCCCTTTCAAAATAATTCTAGATTTTTGAAACTACTTTCATAATTAACCTTGAACTGAAGCAAGATCACCACCCGGAGAAGTATCCTCTAGTCTAGATCTTTTTACCAGCCCTTTTAATCCACCGTTGCTTACCCAGTCAGAATTTCCTCCAGTTAATGCTTTGATGAACCTGCTGGTAAACTGGAGGAACAGCTTAACTTGCTCACATTGACTTTTCTCCTAAATAGCTCTGTATAAATCTAAGTGATTGCTGCACTCTCAAGTGAGCACTCCCTTAAAAATAAAAGATGAGTTGCTATACACACACACACACACACACAACTCCAACACTGTAAGGTTTGGAAGTCCAAACCTTAACCTTCGGGCTACTAAATGTGAAGTTTCTCATAGCACATAAGGTGTTAATAGTGTGGTGTTATTTCATTGCATTTAAGCTAGCCGAGAGTTTTTGGCAAAATAGAACATCCTCTTAGTTCAGATTCAAGTAACAAGGGTTACATAAATGCAGATTACACAATTTCACAGCTGTATAACATCAACATGGTCAAACATATAAAAAATAAGACATGGAAAGAGAAGGTGCTGAGCAGTTCACTGATACACAGCAAGCAGCATGGGGCTGGTTTTCCTTTGAATCAGTGTTTCATGACTTCGTTTGGCAATAGGGATTTATCATAATCAGCATGGATTAGAAACATTCTGAGATCATTTAGCTTTTTGGTGGGTAACAAGTGTCATGGAAGGAGCCTGAGCTCTTCTCAAATGCTGCCTCTGCTCTACTGGTCCATTAGTAGCCACCAAACATTTGCCTCCTAAAGCTCAGGTCAAGAGTTGAATAAACAAGCCAGGGACAGAGATGGAGTGATATTTATGTACTGCTTCTTTACATAATCTGGAAGACTGAGAGCTCAAACTACCCATTCTGGAAAGAGATCATGAAGATATTTCTTTGACACCAATGGAAATGCTACATCTAATTAAGATTCCTTATTTCTTACTCTTCCTAGTTTAGCTGAGTTTTTGTTGGTGGTGGTGGTGGGGTTTTGTTTTGTTTTTTGGAGTAAATTCTTCTCCTTAATTATAAGGGCCATTGATGAACTCACCTGTCAGGGCAGTCTTTAGCATTCTTCTGTGGGCCAAGATACCACACATCACACCACTACCTGCTCCTGCCCAGCCCAGTTCCACTATCTCTTTTTGCCCTAGACCTCTTGTACAGTAGCCAAGGTCTGAAGACATGGATCCAGTTTTAAAATGAACAAATAATGAAGGAACTTTCAGCTGTGACAGAAATATTAGCTAACTTGCTTTAAGTGGGAAATTAGTGTATAGAACTTTCAAAACACATAGAAAACACTAATATCTGTATTCTCTTTGTAATGTAAATTATGTTTTATTTTTAAAATGAGTGAAGAGCCCCTAACCTTATTAGGCAATTCTCTTTGGATGGCATGATTTTATTTCCTTCAACGTAATACTCATCTACCAAGGCAAATCTGAGGGAAGCACAAGTCCCCATTTTCACACTGGGCTCTCTGAATATGTGTTGGTGATGAAGGTATCTGATGAGAAACCTTAATGACCCAGGACTCAATTCCAGAGCTGGTGCCACACCAGGATGACAATGTCCAGTGTGCATGATTGCAATGTCTCCTCTCTAAAATGCCTGACTGTCACATACAGAAGCATGATTCCTTCGACATAGTAGAGAAGGTAACTTCTGCAGAAGACTCAGTCTCCTAGCACTCAAAAGAGTCATGTGAAGAGAGGGCATAAGGAAGGATCTAAGTCTAATGATGCCCCCATTTCAGGGACCTGCTATAACCAGATGGCCTAACTCTCATTCTGATTATCTGCAAGTAATTGCCAGTATTGGTTAAGTACTTACTATGTGCTAAATGTAGTTCTAAATATGATACTTGCATTAACCCACTTTATCTTGACACTTTTAGTTGTTACAGAGAAGAGCAACGGACAAGGAGGAAGGTAGTATATGGAGTAACTGCTTTATCTGCCATGACACCCTGATCTTCTTTCTCCTTTCCTGCCACGTCTTCATGGAAGTAAAAGAAAGGGTTGGGGATAGGCATGATCTCTAAAGGGCAAGATAAGAACAGAAATGGGAGGACAAAGACATCCAGCTACATAGGCACCTTCCAATAATTAGAATCAGAATGAACACTGGCAGTGGCATGCAAAAAGCAAGTGTATCTAACTGGTGCACTGGGAACATTTTCTGTAGAGGATGTAAAAACAGTAATAAAACTGACTAAAAAGTCAATCTGCTTTTTATTATCACCATGTGCTGGCAATTCTAAACAATGTCAATGAGAACCTACTGTTTCCTAAAAAAAATCCTTAGTTGGTCTAAGTTCTAAACAATTATTACAATTTCCATTTAATTTTAACACTAATATGCAAGCCTCAAATTAGCACATTTTCATTTGTTATTTAATATTATCTTATGCACGAAGGTTAATTCAGAAAACTCCTAGTTATACAGCCAAACCTCAACGCATGCAGACTCAGTGACACACATTTGTTTGGAGAGTAGGTTGGTCATAGTTCAGAATCTTTCAAGCTCACTTTGGGTACAATTCAGCTCTCCAGCCCTGTAGTTCTACATATTCCTGTATTTATTCAGTAGATTCAAAACAAACAATAATAGCACAGTGATTGTGAAGGCACAGAAATAGAGCTTGAAATACTTCAATTTGACATTCTGTGTGACTACGTAAAGTTCTTACTTTTTTGGAACTTCAAGCAAGAGTAGTTCATTCACTTCAGTATCACCTCGTTGTTGGAAAATTCTGTGTAATGTAGGTATAACTATGAGAAAGCTTTTCCAGACAAGATGAAGCTGTGTCCACAGGAAAGACAAATTTCGTGAAGTTAATGTCAACCTTTGAAGTACTATGCAATCTAAAAGAAAATGTGGCACAAAAAGATCAGCTCAAGTTTTATTCTTTCCTTTATATAATTATTTTTCTTTTCCAAGTAATTTTTTTTATTTCTGTTGTGAAGCTTTGGATGAGTGATGTGGTTTGGCTGTGTCCCCACCCAAATCTCATCTTGAATTGTAACTCCCACAATTTCCACGTCACGAGAGGATCCTGGTGGGTGGTGATTGAATTATGGGGGTTGGTCTTTCCTGCACTGTTCTCGTGATGGTGAATAAGTCTCACAAGGTCTGATGGTTTTAAAAATGGAAGTTTCCCTGCACAAGCTCTCTTTTTGCCTGCTGCCATCCATGTAAGACATGACTTGCTCTTCCTTGCCTTCCATGATTGTGAGGCCTCCCCAGCCACATGGAACTGTAAGTTCATTAAACCTCTTTTTCTGCCCAGTCTCAGGTATGTCTTTATCAGCAGTGTGAAAACGGACTAGTACAGTAAATTGGTACCAGTAGAGCGGGATGCTGCTTAAAAGATACCCGAAAATGTGGAAGTGACTTGGCAACTGGGTTACAGGGAGAGGTTGGAACAGTTTGGAGGGCTCAGAAAAAGACAGGAAAATGTGGGAAAGTTTGAAACTTTCTACAGACTTGTTGAATGGCTTTGCCCAAAATGCTGATAGCAATATGGACAATAAGGTCCAGGCTGAGGTAATTCTCAGATGGAGACGAGGAACTTGTTGGGAACTGAAGCAAAGGTGACTCTTGTTATGTTTTAGCAAAGAGACTGGTGGCATTTTACCCCTGCCCTAGAGATTTCTAGAACTTTGAACTTGAGAGAGATGATGTAGGGTATTTGGCAGAAGAAATTTCTAAGCAGCAAAGCATTCAAGAGGTGACTTGGGGGCTGTTAAAGGCATTCAGTTTTATAAGGGAAGCTGAGCATAAAAGTTTGGAAAATTTGCAGCCTGACAATGTGATAGAAAAGAAAATCCCATTTTCTGAGGAGAAATTCAAGCTGGCTGCAGAAATTTGCATAAGTAACAAGGAGCCAAATGTTAATCCCCAAGACAAAGGGGAAAATGTCTCCAGTGTATGTCAGAGGCAACGGCAGACCCTCCCATCACCGGCCGGAGGCCTAGGAGTAAAAGAATGGTTTCATGGGCCAGGCCCAGGGTCCTTATCTATGTGTAGCCTAGGGACTTGGTGCCCTGTGTCCCAGCTACTCCAGCTGTGGCTAAAAGGGGCTAATATAGAGCACAGGCCATGGCTTCAGAGGGTGCAAGTCCCAAACCTTGGCAGCTTCCATGTGGTGTTGAGCCTGCAAGTGCACAGAAGTCAAGAATTGAGGTTTTTGGAACCTCCGCCTAGATTTCATAGGATGTATGGAAATGCCTGGATGTCCAGGTAGAAGTTTGCTGCAGGGGTAAGACTCTCATGGAGAACCTCTGCTAGGGCAGTGCAGAAGGGAAATGTGGGGTTGGAGCCCCCATACAGAGTCCCTACTGGGGCACCACCTAGTGGAGCTATGAGAAGAGGACCATCAGACTCCAGAATGGTAGACCCACTGACAGCTTGCACCATGCAACTGGAAAAGCTGCAAACACTCAATACCAGCCCATGAGAGCATCCAGGAGGGAGGCTGTACCCTGCAAAGCCACAGGGGTGGAGCTGCCCAAGACCATGGGAATCCACCTCTTGGTGGGAATCACCATGACCTGGATGTGACACATGGAGTCAAAGGAGATCATTTTGGAGCTTTAAGATTTGACTGCCCCAGTGGATTTTGGACTTGCATGGGGCCTGCAGCCCCTTTGCTTTTGCCAGTTTCTCCCATTTGGAACAGCTGTATTTACCCAATACCTGTACCCCATTGTATCTAGGAAGTAACTAGCTTGCTTTTGCTTTTACAGGTTCATAGGCAGAAGGGACTTTCCTTGTCTCAAATGGGCCTTTGGACTGTGGACTTCTGAGTTAATGCTGAAATGAGTTAAGACTTTGGGGGACTGTTGGGAAGGCATGATTGGTTTTGAAATATGAGGTCATGAGATTTGGGAGGGGCTGGGGTGGAATGATATGGTTTGGCTGTGTCCCTACCCAAATCTCATCTTGACTTGTAACTCCCATAATTCTCACATGTCATGGGAGGAACCTGGTGGGAGGTGATTGGATTATGGGGTTGGGTCTTTCCTGCACTGTTCTTGTGACAGTAAGTCTCACAAGATCTGATGGTTTTAAAAATGAGAGTTTCCCTGCACAAGCTCTCTTTTTGCCTGCTGTTATCATATAAGACATGACTTGCTCCTCCTTGCCTTCTGCCATGATTATGAGGTCTCCCCAGCCACATGGAACTGTGAGTCCAATTAAACCTCTTTCTCTTGTAAATTGCCCAGTTTCAGGTATGTCTTTATCAGCAGCATGAAAGTGGACTAATACAATGAGATTAATCAGATACAAAAATATTTCCAAACAACCAGAATCCACCTTGAACAATGTATAGCAAGACAGCAAGTTTTGAAACTGATCCTTTAGATCAACTCACATAGATAGTAGAGAGGGCCATTTACTATGCAACATTAAAATGTAAGTAAATGAATTTCCTTACATTTCCTAGAAAAAAGAATCAAATTTTGAAGGATGCCAGAAGAAACCACAAAAGATGCTGGTCTTACACTGCCAAAAGCAATTAAAAGGCAATATGTGAATCCCTTAAATGTTTTCTCCAAGACCTGGGCACTAGTTCTAAAATCATGAATCAAAAAATGTCAATATTCTCTGTCATTCAGCCATTTTTTAAATGATATTTTGCTTAAGAATTAAAACGTTGGAAATTCTTACCAGAAATAATAGAGATTTCTAATGAATTTTCTAGTGAAAGTAATTTAATGGAAATGTTTCTTCTGAGAGATATCTGAAAGACACTAGAAATGTGCCTTTAAAAAAGACACGACCAGTATTACAATTTCTGGAATATTATGATTAAGATCTTTGTGACTCTCTATCAAACTTGGTTACGTATGAGACTTTTCCTATTTATATATTTGTTGCCTTACATAAAAAAATCATTGAAATTAATAGAAAGTTTTCTTTCCATCAGCTGTGAGTGAAGATAAGTTGATGAATCTGGCCATAGTGCCTATTGAACATGAATATGCAAAGAAGATAAATTTGTCATTGACAAATTTGCAGAAGTTTCAATAACAAACTGTAATATTATTATTCATTACTGTTTCTGACTAAGGATTTTTCCCTTTTCTCAAAAAAACACATTAATATGTTAAAAGTATTCATTTATTACTTTTTCCTTTTTGTACTATAATATTTATTTTATATTTTCATTGGCATGATTATATACACAAACATCAACAAAATAAAATTTCACTTTTTTTTTCCTGGCCATTATTATTACTCAGTTCATTAATCAGTTCAGTATAAATGGGGAAAATATTTTTAAAAAACAACCCCCCTAGGCTGGACGCAGTGGCTCACGCCTGTAATCCCAGCACTTTGGGAGGCCGAGGCGGGCAGATCACGAGGTCAGGAGATCGAGACCATCCTGGCTAACACGGTGAAACCCCGTCTCTACTAAAAATACAAAAAATTAGCCGGGCGCGGTGGTGGGCGCCTGTAGTGCCAGCTACTCGGGAGGCTGAGGCAGGAGAATGGCGTGAACCCGGGAGGCGGAGCTTGCAGTGAGCCGAGATAGCACCACTGCACTCCAGCCTGGGCGACAGAGCGAGACTCCGTCTCAAAAAAAAAAGAAAAAAAAAATCCCTATTGGTGCTTAAGATACTATATACATCACTGGAGCCAAGTGTAAAAAGAAGTTGAGAAAAATGGAGGTGAACTACGAGTAGCCCGTTATCTCATTGTCCTTCTTTATTATTTAATGTCTGGTATATTATACACTTCTCTTCACTCCTAATGTATCCTTTGCATTGCTGCCAGATTCATCATTCAAATCCTCATAGCGCAAGTCAGTGATAGCTACATAATTTCTATATGGAGGAGCTTACAAGTATCCATCTTCTTGGAGGGGAAGTCAGAGGCCTTGTCTAAGGCTAAGTTTGCTTAGCAAAGGCACAGTTGTACTTGCGTCTTCATCCATTTAGTGCTGCTCTAACAGAATACCTGAGACTGGGTAATTTATTAAAAAAAAACAAAAATTTATTTCTTACAGTTATGGAGGCTGTGAAGTCCAAAGTCAAGGGCTCTGCATCTGGCAAAGGCCTTTTTCCTGTGTCACCTCATGGCAGAAGGCAGAAGGCCAAAACAGTATGCGCAAAAGCAAGAGAAGACCAAACTCGCTTTTCTTAATAACCTACTGTCTGGATGAAAAACCTCTCCCACAATAATGACATGAATTCATTCATGAGGGCAGAGGCCTCGTGGCCTGTTCACCTCTTAATGGTCCTACTTCTTAATATCATCACAATGGCAATTAAATTTCAACATGAGTTTTAGAGGGGACATTCAAACCACAGCAACTTGTATGTTAATTTGGAAACACTGGGGATGGGGAGAGGTAAATCAAGGACAGGAAGGGTCAACAGCCACCCAAACACACAAGCCACCCATTCCTGACTACCACTAAGTAACAACAGTGTGGTGGTGTACTAGCTCCACAGGACTGGAGATCAGGGAAACCCAGGCTACATCCAGTGATGTCAGCTGGTCATATGATCCTAGGCAAGTTTCTACTCTCAGTTTCCTCATCTGAAAAATGAGGGAGTTGGCGTAGATGATCTCTAAAGCCACTTCCAACCATAACATTCAATGGTTATGACTCACTGGCAATGGCAGTTTCAACTATGGATGGCCCTAGATTTGTGCCAAATTTGCATTGCATCAAAGTGAAGAGACAAACAGCCACTGAGCCAGAGACTATGAGTTAATTGCCAAGTCACATTTGGATAAATGAGAAAGTATCAGATTCCTGTTTAAGGCACCAGGTGTTTTACATAGCGTGTGTTGTTCTTCCATAAACGTTGGCTTCTTAGATCATGTCTATGTTCATAAGTCCTTCTGTAAACCTGTGTCACTATCAATAGAGACAAATGCTGATGTCTTATCTTTCTGTGCAGCCTAGAACTCCTTTCATTCCATTGGACAAAAATTAGGTATAAATAATTTTTTGAAATTACTGCATATCAATCTAGTTTACAAAACAAATATTCCCATATGGACAGGAGCCAGTGTTCTGGTATTTGGAGGACAGACAAGATCTTGGAGTGGTCTTTTAAATCAAAAGCCAAATGTGGGGTGAGCTCATTCACTGGAACTTCATTAAGAAGAATTCATTTCACTTCCTTGGCATAAATTAAGCTGTAGCGAGCTAGTGAAAGATTCCACCACCTCTGACTGAAATGGTAAATTGAGCTTGGCAATGGGGGTCAAAGAGAGACCTAGGCTCCCTGGAGAATGTGAAGAGAGAGAAACACAGATGGTGGGGTGCATTGGCCTCAGCCTAAAGCAGGGGGAAGCAAAGAAATGGTGGCAGTGAGACTTCAGGACTGCAGCCTTCAGTAAGAGAAAAACTGGGAGAATCCCTGGATCCTACTGAGGCTGCAGGCAGGGAAGAGGGGAACGGAGAGAATTGTCTGCAGGAGATGGGGTGGGACTCCCATCACAGCCCTCTTCTCAGACTGAATGCCCCACACCAGGGCAAACAGCTGCCCACTGAGGGCCCCTCTGTTGCTGGTGAGTGTAGGCTGCCGTCTGCGGCCTCAAGCCAAGAAAGAGCCTTCATTACCAGCTCATTTTCTCAGTGAACTCTACAAATGTGGATGCTCACAGCCTTCCTCTTCAGACCCCTGCACCCCACAGAAACTGCATTCCTTCAGAGCAGCTTCACTCACTCCATATCTGCAGTCGCCATCTGTGAACTGCCACGTCCTCGCACCTGCTCCTCAGCCCAGCCCATTCTCCTGTGTGCTACACCCCAAGACCCAACAGCTTATTGAGCCTCTCTACTTAGACATCCCTTAAATACCCCAAACTCCTATTCAAATCCAAACTTCATACCTCCATTCTCACATGCCCTCTCAGTAAGTGCCACCAACAGCCCCCTACTCACCTGGGTCAGTAACCTGAAAGTCAACCTCAATTTCCCTTGCAACCTCCATTCAGTCAGTCACAAAGTCATATACATTTTCTTCACAGTTACAAATCAATTTTCCCTCACATTTCCCACTGCCACTGACTTAATTCAGTCCCTCGCCATTCACTTCCTGGAATAGTGCCCTCCTACAAACTCCTAATAGTTGCCCTGCTAATTGTGTTCCTTTCCATCAATCTTCCACGTGCTTGCAGAATGGACTTTCAGAAATGGAAATACAATCTGTTACTCCCTTGCTGAAAACCTTTTGGTGACTCCAAAAACAAAGTCAAAAGGCACATGATAAAATGGGAGGAAAAATATGCAGTACCTATATAAAGAGTTCATATGCCTAATGTATACAGAGTGCCCATACACTAGAGAGAAGATTAACGATACGACAGAAAAATGGTCAAAGGTGATTCATTTATGAGGAAATGAAATACTCAATAAACATACGGAAATATTCTTGAGGTCTAGTTCTCTGGTAATCACAAATTTTAAAGAACAATAGTTATATTTTTTCACCTATAAGATTGGCAAAAATTAAGGAGATTGTGAACATCAAGGACTGAAAAAGTGTGCGGACTTTTGCATGCTCATCTATTGTCACAATCTGTTTGAAAAGCTGTCTGCCAGTGTATATTAAAATTTTAAAAAGAATGAACCTTTAGGGCCAGCTGTCCCACCTAGAACCCCATCCAACAAAAAAAAAGCACCAATAAGAATATCAGTCTAAGGATGTTCATTGCAGCACTGTTTGTCACAGCAGAAGAGCTAGAACAGCCGGAGTAATCATCAATAGATGAAGAGTTAAATATAGTACATCTTTATTATGGAATAATATTATGCAGCAATTTAAAAGAATGAACTAGTTCTAAATGTATTATCATGGAAAGAATCCAAGAGATAGATAATACACACCCTAGAAAGAGACCTGCTTTTAGACATGGAATCAACCCAAATGCCCATCAATGATAGAATGGATAAAGAAAATGCAGTACATATACACCATGGAATACTATGCAGCCATAAAAAGGAATAAGATCATGTCCTTTGCAGGGACATGAATGAAGCTGGAAGCCATCAACCTCAGCAAACTAACACAGTAACAGAAAACCAAACACTGCATGTTCTCACTCATAAGTGGGAACTGAACAATGAGACCACATGGACACAGGGAGGGGAACAGCACACACTGGGGCCTGTGGTGGGGAGGAGGCAGGGAGGGCATCAGGATAAATGGCTAATGCATGCAGGGCTTAATACCTAGCTGATGGGTTGATAGGTGCAGCAAACCACCATGGCACACGTTTACCTATGTAACAAACATGCATGTCCTGCACAAGTATTCTGGAACTTAAACTTGTTTAAGTGACGTGCTCTAAAAAAAAGCTTAACAATAATATTAATATGAATATTATTGTTAAAACTTAATAATATTAATATGAATATTATTGTTAAAACTTAATAATATTAATATGATTGATAATAATATTATTGTTAAAACTTAACAATATTAAAAACAGGTCACTTTCTAAGGTGTGTATTTTCTATCTCTTTCCAACCAGAATACAAACTCCATGAGGCCAGAGACCATACCCATCTTGTTTACCAATGTGTCGCCAGCATCACACAGGGTTTAGCATTTTAAAATATTTGTTGAATTAAGGCACCAAATGTTTTACATAGCATGTGTTGTTCTTCCATAAGTGTTGACTTCATTATTGGCTTGAATTGGCTTCAACTGAATTATTCATTAATAATTCAATACTTCTGTAATTTTAAAAGAAAATAAAAAGTGAAACTCCTTCACAATAGCAGAGACTTAGAACCAACCCAAATGCCCATCAATGATAGACTGGATAAAGAAAATGTGGCACATATACACCATGGAATACTATGCAGCCAGGAAAAGGATGAGTTCATGTCCTTTGCAGGGACATGGATGAAGCTGGAAACCATCATTCTCAGCAAACTAACACAAGAACAGAAAACCAAACACTGCATGTTCTCAATCATAAGTGGGAATTGAACATTGAGAACACATGGACACAAGGAGGGGAACATCACACACTGGGGCCTGTTGGGGGTGGGGGTCCAGGGGAGGGATAGCATTAAGAGAAATATCTAATGTAGATGATGGGTTGATGGGTGCAGCAAACCAACATGGCACGTGTATACCTATGTAACAAACCTGCATATTCTGTACAGGTACCCCACAACTTAAAGTTTAATTAAAAAAAAAAAAAGTGAAACTCCTATAATGGTCTTCACAGTTGCTGAAATCAAAATTCGAAGCACATTTATTCACCATCTGGTTCCTGCCTTCCCCTGAACCTCGTCTCCCAGCTCCCAACACCAGGGCTCCCATCCTTCCCCAGGAGCTCTTCTCTTCAGGGCTGAGATTCCTTGAGGGCAGGGACCGTGTCTTATTGGGTGTTGGATCCCCATGCCTTGTCCAGGGCCCAGTGTGTTGTAGTTCCTTGGGGAATGTTTGCTAAATGGTTGCCTCCATTGCAGATGGAGGAAAAAAATGAATGTGATCGCCCAGACCTGAAGTATGGGATCCCCTTTTGCAAGTGGCAACAGCTAGAGCTGCCTTGCCCATTATAAGCTCTGGGACCTTGGGAAAATCACTTATAAAGTGGATATAACCTCAACATTAACCCCTTTATAGGGTTATTATAAAGGCAAAAGGAGATAGCAGGTGTGACTGTATAGTGTACACTTTAAGATCTACCCATGTACTGTTAGTCTACTATCTTTTTATAATGATAGACTTAATGTCACATTTCTTAATATTTCTCTAAATCAAATTTAACCTGCTCCAGATGCCAATGAATTGGCAAGAAATTTCATTTTAGTTATTATCGATGTCCTCTTCCGCTAGGGGACATCGTTCAAAGGTGCTGTGGGACTTTCCCTGGTCCTAACATGTAAAGAGGGCCCTCTCATCTTTGGTCCATACAGCTCTACTGCAAACAAGCTTAGGGTTCAAAGCCAGGTGGCTTCATGAAGACAGGAGGCGCTGCGCTTACATGTTATGCTAGGACATGTGCTTTTGCCTTGGTGGGGTGCTCTGGCATCTGGAGGTCAAGTGGCCCAGCTGGACCTTCCCTTCTGGGGTTCCCAGCAACAAATGTGAGGAACCCCAATGCTGTTTATTGCTCAAGAACCTAGAGCCTCACACCCATTCCCAGCTCTGGAAATACTTCCTACTTTCCCAAGTTGTCCACGTCCAACTCCACCCTCCAAGCCATTTCTTTCCTCTTGGAACAAACCTGGCATAATCCCTTCACAGAGGGGTCTTCCAGCAACTTCTGAGGTACCTGAAGCAAGAGAACGCAAAGGCCTAGTTACCTTCCTAAGGCCAAGATACAAATAAAGCACAAAGTAACGACCCTGTAAGTTAGTCAGACACTTTATTGTTTTCAAAACAATAACTAGACTAGAGGAATAATAGGAAACTTAATACAATGCAGTTAACAACAATTCCTGGGAAAGCTTTCAGTTTAATGACTCCCAAAGCTATAGTTTAGGAATTTGAAAGGGACCCTCAAAAGGGCTTACCTAGTTCAAAGCACAAAGTTGAGGTTGAGCATCCATAATCCAAAAGATCAAAATCTGAAATGCTCTAAAATCCAGAACTTTTTGAGTGCTGGCAAGACACTCAAAGGTCATGCTAAAAGCAAATGCTCTTTGGAACATTTTGGATTTTGGATTTCTGGATTTTGTAAGTATAATGCAAACATTCAAAATTTGAAAAAGTCCAAAATCTGAAACACTTCTCGTCCCAAGCATTTCAGAAAAGGGATACTCAGCTTGTACTGTCTTCCAACTTTCTTGCTACCATTATTATGAAGCGAAGAAAACGCCGCATGCAATCTGACTAGATAATTCTGTTCTTAAATAGGATTTAAATCCACTGAAGAAATCTGTTGTCATCAGTGTTCCATTTTTCAGAGGGGAAAACTCTTTACCCCTCCCTTATATAATACACCTCAGCTTGTTGTGCCAGATATTCTCTAGGAGACTGTGTGCTAGGTCTCTGCTGTCTGCGAGCTGTAGTAGCTTCATTAGCACTCTAAGACTCCTCAGGCAAGATGCTGGTATCATCAGTGGTGGAGCCCACTATTTAATGAGTCAGTTATCCAGCAGCTCACCTGCCATGGGGTCTCCTGCAGAGACTTACTATCTGCTTTTGTGTACAGGGATCCCCTCAGTGTGGGACTTCACTGCTTTTCTGATAACTGAGGAGACTGCTGTTTGCCTGCAAGCACAAATCATTTCATTTCACGTCACATCTCCCCTGCAGATTCAGAGTGGAAGTTGGAATACACAAGTGAGTCTGGATGTTCTAGAACCAGACCTTAACTGATGTACAGTAAAACTTCGGAGCAGCTCCCCTGCCCCACTGTGAAGTGTGTATGCTGCCACCAAAGCGTCTCGGCCATGTGACCTTGGCCAAGTTGCAAACCTGCCAGATACCTAATCTGCAAAACAAGAGAGTAATACCACACACCTTAAAGTGGCACCTGGATCAAAAGACTGCTCAATCAACTACATTATTAAGCACATCTAATGAGGCTTACAAAAACAGATATCATCTCATGGGATTCCTTCCAGCTCTAAAATCTCATATATTATTTCTTTGGCAGATTTGAGGGACTTGAGGATTTGTTTGAATGTTTTCAGTCTTAGTTTGTTCTTGAGTAAAACACAAATAATAATCCTTGCTTGAATCGTAACATTATGGTAAGAAGATCAAACAAACTATGCAAACATATTTTAGTAAGAATAAGGTTTTGGCCAAATGTGAGATATCATTTTTAGTGACTAAAGATCTTCTTTAAGAATTGGTAAGCAGGCCAGGCGCAGTGGCTTATGCCTGTAATCCCAGCATTTTGGGAGGCCAAAGTGGGCAGATCCAAGGTCAGGAGTTCAAGACCAGCCTGGCCAGCATGGTGAAACCCCAACTCTACTAAAAAATACAAAAAATTAGCCGGACATGATGGTGCGCAAGTCCTAACTATTCAGGAGGCTGAGGCAGGAAAATTGCTTGAACCTGGCGGCGGAGGTTGCAGTGAGCTGACATCGCGCCACTGTGCTCCAGCTTGGGTGACAGAGCAAGACTCCATCTCAAAAAAAAAAAAAAAAAAAAAAGAATTGTAAGCAAATGAAAGAGAATAAAATTAACCATAATTATTTTCATATAGCTGTAGTAGCTTCATTACACAAATGTAGCACAAATGCAGTCTGTTTGTGTCTTATTTACGTAATTATTTCTTGGTCAAATGATTGTTATCCTGAATTATCAAACAAAACAGTTAAGTAACTTTAGACAGCCCCATTACCACACAATCTTAGTTAAAGCTGGAGATGGAAGAAATGCATTTAATTATTCCATCATTTCCCTGGACTATCAGATGGTCTAAGATTTTCATCTTGGCTAGGAAATCCTTATAATCTATATCTTCTTACATCAGTGTATACACTCTATCAGAATTACTTCCTCTAGTCTGAAATTTGGGTAAAGAAATCAGGTGGCATTCAAATCTGGAATATATTAAATACCTTTGGGTTTGATTGAGTCGGATTTGTAAACAAATGACTTTCCTAAAAACATGAAGTCATATAAAATCTTTTACTATTAATGCCTTGTTCTCTTCTGACACCATAAATAAACCTCATTTCCCCTCAAGGATTAGTGAGAAAAGCACATTTTGAAAAATCTCTCTTTCGGCAAAGATATTAGGTAATTGCTACCCGCTGCCTTGTACTTGCTTCTCTTTAGTTCCTAATGAAGAAAGTAAACAATGTTTGAAGTCGAGCCTTTCTCAGAGCTCTGCGTTTTAAGCAGACGTCTACTATCTTGGCATTTCTACAAGGTCTGTTACATGATTTACAGTGAAACTGGCTGTGGTGAGCAGGCTAATCTCTACCAATGCCACATAAAATCAGCCTTAAAACATTTTAACATTGTCTGCTATTCCTTCTGACCCACTCTTGGGTTTCCTTTCTAGCTTCCTATCATTTTTATTTGGCTACCCTTAGAGCATCCATCACACTACCCTGGTCATTCTGATTTTTTTTTTCCTCTTTCAATGCACATGCATAAATCTCTGCTATGGGCAGCGCTCTGTACCCGTTTCTGTGGGAAGATCTAGAAGGATCAGGACAGATCTGCCCCCAAGTGGCTCACAGTAGCACAGGGCAGAGCCCACAGAAATCTTTCCTATAAAGCTGAAAGTAACAAAGATATCAACTGTGAATAGTATTTGCAGCATGGAAGACTTCTTCAAAGAGGTAGTCTTTGGATTGAACAGTGAAAGGATCAGTAGGAACTGGACCTATAGGGGTGGAGGAGGGAATACTAAACAAAGGAAATGGTGTGGAAGAAAGGCAGTGAGGTGAGAAAACCCCCCAACGTGTGCACAGCCTGAAGCAGTTCAGGTTGGCTAAATCACTAGGCACCTGGAGGGAAGTCATACAGAAAAAGGTTGGAAAGGTAGTTAACAGGTCGTGGGTATTTGTGGTTAGTACTGTGATCATGCTATGTTATTAATCAACATAGAAATATGTTCTCTCCCCTATTAAATGCTGGATTAAGCCTCTATGCTGGGGGAGGGAAGAAAGGAGAATGGAGGGGAGTATAAAGGGTAAACATCATGGTCCCTGCCCTCAAGGAATTTAATGGAAGAGAGAGATACACAGCGATCCTTATAGCGTTACCAAAAATGTGGTCCCATTCTCCAATATGGGTCTCTGAACAATTGTGAGAATACAATGCCTCCAAATACTAAAACCCAATTTTCTAAAATGAATTCATCTGTCTCCAATAGACGAACACCATATGACATTTCTTCTGTGTATTTTGTTAGCAAAATCCCATTTTCTCTCTCTCCTTCTTTCTTTTCTTTCTCCTTTCTTTCTTTCTCTTTCCCATGCCTTTGGGTGCCAGACATATAACACACTGTGAAAAGCAAATTAGTAGGTGTAAAAGAATAAAAATAACAGGGGCTTTGGTGAACTAAAGACCCTATTTTAAGACTTATTTTTAAACTTCTCTTTTTGAGATAAGTGTTGATTCAGATGCACTTATGAGAAAGAATACCAGGATCCTGTGCATCCTTTACCCACTTTCCCACAAAGGTGGCATCATGCAAAACTATAGTACAATATCACACCCAGAACATTGACTTGGATAAAGTCAGGATACAGAACACTTCCATTGCTACAAGGATCCCTGGTGTTGCCATATTATAGTCACACCCACTTCCCTGCTTCCAATCCCTCCTTAATTGATGGCAACCCCTAAATTGTTCTTCATTTCTATAATTTTGTAATGTCACAAATGTTATAGAAATAGAATCACAGTATGTAAACTTTTAGGACTGGTTCTTTTTCACTGGACGTTATTCCCTGGAGGTTCAGCCAGGTTGTTGCATTTATTGATATTTTGTTTCTTTTTATTGCTGAGTAGTAGTCCATGGTACCGATGAACCACAATTTGTTTAATCATTCACTCATTTAAAGACATTTGGATCTTTTCAAAATTCTGGCTATTATGAATAAAGCTGCTGTGAACATTTGTATACAGGTTTTGTACAAACATAAGTTTTCATTTCTGTGGAATAAATGCCCATTTATTTTTCTGGAATGCAATTGCTGTGTCATATAGGAAAGAAAACCCAGACCTTCCTAGCGTCAATCCTATGCTCTTTTCCTCTTTGTTACCCTTTTTCTTCCCACCCTAGATGATTGGACTCTCTTTGATGTTATCGTAAGCACTTTAGCTTATTCACTAAGCATTTCCTGAACACCTACTACATTGTACGTATCCTGGCTGGCTTGAGACAGTAAAATAAGTCATGTCTTTATTGTATCCTTGAAGAACTCACTTTGTATCTGGTGGTAGTCAGAGAGGCAGACAGAAAAATCTCTCCAAAGAACTGATAATAATATAGGTACATGGTAAGATTTTTAAGAAACTTTCAATCCCGTTTTCTGGAGTGGCTCTACCATTTTACATTCCCACAAGCAATGTATGAGTGATTCAGTTTCTCTGTATTCTTTCCAGCATTTGATGTTCTCACCATTTTTATTTTAGCTATTCTGATAGGTATGTAGTAAGATCTCATTGTCGTTTGAATTTGCATTTCCATAATGGCTGATGACGTTAAGCATCTTTCCATGTGCTTCTTTATCATCTGTATACCCTCTTTGGAGAAATGTCTCTTTATGTCTTTTGCTCATTTTCTCGTTGGGTTGTTTGGGGGTTTGTTTTGTCTTTACCATTGATTTTTTAGGTTTTTTTAATATATTCTAGATACTAGCTATTTGTCAGAAAGGTAGTTTGCAAATATTTTCAGCCAATTTTTAGCTTGTCTTTTTATCAGAGTTTTTCACAGAGCATAAATTTTTAATTTTGATGAAGCGCCATTTATCCATTTTATCTTTCATGAATTGTGCTTTTGGTGTCAAGTCCAAGAACCTCTCAACTACCCCTAGTTCTCAGAGATTTTCTCCTTTATTTTGTCTAAAAGTTTTAAAGGTTTATATTTTACATTTAAGTCCATTTGAGTTAATTTCTGTATAAGGTATGAGACAGGTTGAGATTCTGGGTTTTTTGTAGTTGTTTTGTTTCACTTTGTTTTTTGCCTGTGGATGTCTACTTGCTCCAGCACCATTTGTTGACAAGGCTGTCTTTTCTTCATTGAATTGTTTTTGCAACTTTGTCAATAGTTAGTTGGAAATATTTATGTGGGTCTATTTCTGGGTTTTCTATTCTATTCCAGTGATCTATGACCTAGCCTCTGCTAATGCCACACTGTCTTGATTGCTGTAACTACACAATAAACCTTGAAATTGGGTAGACTGACTCCCCCCACTATATTTGTCTTTTCAAAATTGTTTTAGCTATTCTAGTCCCTTTGCCTTTCCATATAAATTCGAGAACAATTTTTTATACATCTACAAAAAAATCTTGCTGGGATTATGAAATGCATCAAAACTGCATGTCAATTTGGGGAAAATTGACATCTTTACTATGGAAGGTATTCCAGTCCATGAACAAGGACTATCTCTCCACTTATTTAGACATTCTTTGATTGCTTTCATCAGTTTTATACTTTGCAGCCTGTAAGTCCTGTTCATGTTTTGTTAGATACACACGTAAGTATTTTTTAGCAATTGTAAAAGGTATTATACTTTCAATTTTAGTATCCACATGTTAGTTGGAACTTTATTAAAATATAATTGATTTTCTTATTATACTTTAAGTTCTGGGATACATGTGCAGAACGTGCAGGTTTGTTACATAGGTATAAACGTGCCGTGGTGGTTTGCTTCACTCATCAACCCATCATCTACACTAGGTATTTCTCCTAATGCTATCCCTCCCTGATATTTCTCCTAATGCTACCCCCAACAGGCCCCAGTGTGTGGTGTTCCCCTCCCTGTGCCCATATGTTCTCATTGTTCAACTCCCATTTATGAGTGAGAACATGAGGTGTTTGGTTTTCTGCTCCTGTGTTAGTTTGCTGAGAATGATTTCCAGCTTCATCCATGTCCCTGCAAAGGACATGAACTCATCCGTTTTTATGGCTGCAGAGTACTCCATGGTGTATATGTGCCACATTTTCTTTATCCAGTCTACCATTGATGGGCACTTGGGTTGGTTCCAAGTCTTTGCTATTATGAACAATGCTGCAATAAACATATGTGTGCATATGTCTTTATAGAAGAATGATTTATAATCCTTCAGGTATATACCCAGCAATGGGATTGCTGTGTCAAATGGTATTTCTGGTTCTAGATCCTTGAGGAATCACCACAGTCTTCCACAATGGTTGAACTAATTTACACTCCCAACAGTATAAAAATGTTCCTATTTCTCCACATTCTCTCCAGCATCCATTGTTTCTGACTTTTTAATGATCGCCATGCTAACTGGCATGAGATGGTATCTCACTGTGATTTTGATTTGCATTTCTCTAATGACCAGTGATAATGAGCTTTTTTTCATATGTTTGTTGGACGCATAAATGTCTTCTGTATCCTACAACCTTGCTAAACTTAGGTCTAGTTTTTTGGTAGACCTTCCTTTGGATTCTTCACAAACAATCACATCTGCAAGGGTACAGCATTATTTCTTCTTTTCCAATCTGTGTGCCTTTTAATTCTTTTTCTCACTTTACTGTACCAGCCAGAACTTGCGGCACTCTGTCAAGTAAGAGTGACAGGGAATCCTTGCCTCATTCCTGATCTGAGGGGAAAAGTATTCAATCTTCTACCACTAAGTATAATGTCAGCTGCAGATTTTTATAGATGCTTTTATCAAGTAGAGAAAGTTTCCCTCGCTTCCTATTTTTCTGAATGTTCTTATCATGAATAGATCTTTTGATGTTTGTACATTGTGCATGCCAAACCAAATCTATCTGCGTATTATTTTCGGTCTCCAGACTAGTAGCTTACAACCTTGCAATCAGTTTGTCCACATCTTCATTGTTCCCAACCATTCAAAAGCAAGAGGGAAAGATGAAGTGAACAAAGCTATTGACCGCAGAAGAGGCCAAGGTTATTTTCATTATCCTTCCTAAATCACCATGTGGTTTTGTCCTCCATGTTTGAGAGCTTCACCCAGTTCAAAGTACCTTTTATATTCAAATAGCAGCATCTCCCCTTCTAAGAAAGTCATTTTCTTCATGACTTCCCTTCAAAGACACAGACTTACTCGTTAGTTTAGTTTTGTATAAGGGATCAAGGAGAAATAAAATATCCTTGATCACCTCTCAACATTGGATTTACCCATCACTTCAGTGAGCCCTGCTACCCAGCCATACAAAATTCAATCTTTCCCATTACAGCATGTAATTATAATAAAGTCTTTGTGAACTACACTTTGACCTCTGTATTCTGAAGTAAGCAATCTTTGTCAATTTATCCTAACTGCTTTCAAAAAAACATTCTGTCCTAAGTGGTGCAGATTGAGTAATTCTTCTGATCTCACAGGGCCATGGGCCTTCTTAATGCCATGTCCATTTCAGTTGGATTAACTCTGAATGAAGGAGAATTCTGCTTTGGATACTTGGCAATGTAACCATAAACAAAAGACTAATCTTTCAATAATACAAGTTTAAGAAAACAAGAGGTGACTGGAACTCTGTCGTAATGAAATTACCCATGCATGGCAGTTTCAGGACGGGTTTTTTTTTTGTTTTGTTTTGTTTTCTTCTGGGAGCATCAGGAGAGCCCCACACTGCCTCTACCCAATGAAAGTAATTGAGTGAATGATTTCACTTGTTTCTTCTTTGGGCTGAATTAGGTCGTTGCCATCTGTGGACTGTGCTAAATACCATAGGGGAAGGAGGCTGTTTTCTCATGTCATTTATGTAACGGCTGTGTTGTCACTTGCCACCTTTGAGCAAAATCAATATGTAGCAGGAGTTCAGCCAGGTTTCCTACAGTTGAAATAAAGTAGGGAATTGGGGCAATTGTTCAGTTAAAATGAGCACATTTTAAAAAGCAACACTTGCCTTCGAATTACTCAAATGCTTCAGGGAACATTTCTAATTGTTCTGGCTTCACACTTTGTTTCAGCTATTGATGTCTGGCCACTAGCACATGCAAGTGGGTGAGGAATTTTTAGGGTGATACATTCTCTTCAAATATTGGAAGGGTAGTCAGGAATAAGGACTGGACTTTTCTGCATGAAACTGAAAGAACTAGGAGGTCACTGGGTAGGATCTACTGAGTCAAGTTTAAGCTCAGTTGAAAGAGAAGCTCCAATTTTCTGATGATAAGATGGGCTTTCCTGGGAAGTACTGAAGTCTGTAGCTGGAAGCGTTCAAGAGAAGGATACAATCAGTGTTTCTCAAACTATGGCTCACAACTCACTAAAGGGTTATCAAGTGAATTTACAGGGTTGTAACCAGTATTTTTAAAAATGAAAATGGAATGAAATTAAATAGAAAAGAATAAAAGGTATCAGAGAGCATTACAATAGATATCAATATTGTTTTGTGAACTTTATTTTTAATTTGTGTGTGTGTTTACTAGGTTACAATGCAAAATGCATTTTTAGTATGGGCTACAGTCTAAAAAGTTTTTCTGACTAGATTATACATCTAGTTGAGGGGAAACACAAGTATTGAGTGGGACTGATTGAACTCAATGACTATTAAGACCCAACTCAAAAAGGCAAACAATCATAATGTTAAAAGGATCATAATCTCCATAAGCTAAAATGAAATCAGTTTGCCAAAAATATGGAACTATTCCCAATCCTGAACCTGGAAAAAAATTTTCCTGGGCTCTTTTAAATACCTTCTTACAATGCACACAATGACAAGTTTCATAGGGATGTTTTAATGATATCCCAATATATAAGCTCATGGCATCACACCAAAGCAAAGGTCAGAAATCAAGTCTATGGAAAGCCAAGATTGATGCAGTCCAGGGCAAGTCTTTCAACTGATCTGGTCTATCAATGGGCAGATACAAGCTTGAAGGTGCTCATCTCCTTCATAGTTAAGGCCATATCATCCGCAGAAAACAGGCTAAGTAACCAGCAGATCATGTTAAGGAACAAACAATGGCCATCTTTCTATCTATCACAGAAAATTCTAAATGCCTTCCCGTTTAGAACTTTGAGCATTTATCCAATTATATTATTATCAGTTCTTTGGAGAGATTTTTCTATCTCCCTGTCTGACTACCACCAGATACAAAGTGAGTTCTTCAAGGATACAATAGAGACATGACTTATTTTACTCTCTCAAGCCAGCAGGATACATACAATGTAGTAGGTGTTCAGAAAATGCTTAGCAAATAAGCTAAAGTGCTTACAATAACATCAAAGAGAGTCCAACCATCTGGGGTGGGAAGAAAAAGGGTAACAAAGAGGAAAACAGCATAGGATTGACGCTAGGAAGGTCTGGGTTCAGCCACGGCAAGAGAGTTCTCTGGTAATTCAAGAAGGGAAAGCTCAACTTAGATAAAGAATAAAACCATTTTGTTTCCACATCTTCTTCTCTGAGATTTCAATAGAAACATCAAGGAGACATGAAAGCCCAAGAACCTCCTACCTCATCTAGATTTTGTATTATTCTATGTACTTGTAAACATATTTATATACTGTAGAAATTTCCGTTGCTCTGAAACTAGTATCAGAATAAACTTCCATACAGATAATTCAGGAGAAATTTAGGGAGGAAGAGACATGGAGAGAAAGGAGAGAGTAGAGAAGGACTTCGTATATGGAGGAAGGCTGAAAGCCCCGGCCTCAAGATGGTGGCAGGAAAGGCTGTACCACTCCAGCAGGAGGAAGAGTATTTCTTGTTTCTGTAAGCCAGCCAGCTCTCTGTGTCCCTTTAAGGCATCAAAACCAAGTGTGTTCCAATGAGGGAGTGGTGTCTAGTCATTAGAAAAAAGGACTCAGAGCCAGATTTTTGACTTTTTCATTCTTGGCTGTGCCTCACAACCTCACTGTCGCGTTGGCAAACTTTTTCTCTCAACATCTTGAGGCCTCTCTTGACACATCTGTGAAATGTATATGAGTGCTGGGCCATGTGATGGGTGGATGACATCAAACTGTAGTCAGGAGCTGCAGTTCCAGTGGAGAAATGGTGGAAGCATCAATAAGCATCATATTCCATTGAAGAGCCCAGGCTCTATCCTATCAAGGGGTGAGTGTTTGAAAACCACAGAAGAGGCAGTTAGGAGCCAAGTAGTATATACTGTGTTGCAAAATAAAACAGCACTATACAAAACTGTATAGTAGAGCTCTAGACAAGATACAAAACCAGATTAACATAAAAATGCAAAACCTACACAGGACATAAAGACACCAGCGTTTAAGATTCCTGGATGGCCACCTCTAATTGTCATGTTTCTGTCTTTTGGAGCCATCTGGAATTTTAAATTTTAAAGTTAGAAAGATGCTTAGAGATCATAAAGTCCAGCTTTTTTGTCAAAATAGCAATCTTCCTCCACAACCTCCATGCAGGGAACCATTCCACTTTTGTGGGGACGCTCCCAGTGTCAGAGAGCTCACCATCTCTCAAGGAAGCCCCATCATTGGATGGCCAACTGTCCCAGTTTGCCTGGGACTTATGAGTTTTTTGCAGATGCAGGACTTTTCATTACTAAAACAGAGTTGCCAGCAAACCAGGAAGGTTGATCGCCTTAATTAAGAAATATTAGAAATGCACCTCCCAGAAGGTACGAAAGGATACTTACTCCCATCAGACAAGTATCTTCCTGGCAATATGTCCTTTTGGGAAGCATTGTCTCTTAGATCGAAGCATTGGAGGAAACTGTGGGGCTGTCTCTTAACATGATGGGCTCTTCCCTGATTACATTTCTTAAGATAATTATTTTATTTGACCTACTTGGGGGTATAACTGCTTTAGTGTTCTTGGGGAAAAGCATAAAGGATTTCCCGTGTTAACCAATGACGATCACATGGGAATACCATGTCCTATAGGCAATGATGTGTCCCTCACACAAAACACTTGTAACACAGATTAGCAGTAAAACAATCAGTCTACAGAAATCAAACAAGGAGAAATAGATAAAAAGGCCTTGGTCTGTCTTTGAAATTGCATTCTCAAATCAGAAAATTCCAGGTGAGCAATTTAATCTTCAAAAAGTATTAAATCTTCCTACAAGGAATGGACATAGCATCCATGGAAGTGCTCCATGCTGTCTGAGGGAATTCTAACCCCATTACATTTGTTCACTGAGACTTTTTGTATACATTTATCATGTACAACATGACATTTTAAATTATATATGTGTGTGTGTGTGTGTGCGCGTGTGTATATATATATATATATATATATATATACAGAGAGAGAGATGAGAACACTACATCTACTGTCTTAGCCTTTTTCAAGGATACAATATATTGTTATTAATAGTATAATAGTTATTAACTATAGTCATCATGTTGTACAGCAGATATCTTAAACTTATTCCTGCCCTCTAACTGAAATTTTGTATCCTTTGACCAACATCTTCCCCTCCCGCAGCCATCCCAGGCCTTAGTGACCACCATTCCCCTCCCACTTCCATGAGATCAACTTTTATAGATTCCACATGAGTGAGATCATGTGGTACGTGCCTCTCCATGCCTGGCGAATTTTACTTAAAATAATGTCTTCCAAGTTCATCCATGTCATTGCAAATTACATTGTTCGGGGAGATTTGTTCCTTCAGAGTCCAGGACTCCCATGGCTGGGTCCTGAGAATTAGAGAGGCAAGGTGGTGGAGTTCAGCCTAGGGAGCTGGTCTCTTTGGGAGTGGATGTTGAGCACAGAGAGATTCTGCAAGAATTCTTATTCTGTAAGATACAGAATGAGAGCAATACTAAACATGAAAGGAGGAATATAAGAAAACAAGGGACTTCATGTTTGGGGACCTTGCGCTCTACAAGCGGAGAAGTCATAAAACCATATATATGAGCCATTTAGCAATTCATTAAATAGTTATAGAGTCAAGGTTCCAGAGTGAACAATATCTTTTTTTTCCCTAAGGGTAGGAGGAATCTCAGCTCCTGGTTTCTCACCTAAAAAACTAATGGAGGAGAGAAGATAAAAGTATGCACGGATTCATACACAAAGATGCCCTAATGCCTTCTCTAACTCACAGGCAGCTTTGGTGTGAGAATGCAAGCACTTCCTCTAAGCCATCAGGGTGCAGCTTCTCCCTTAGCAACTCATTTTCTCACAGGGTGAGACTAAGAAAACCACAGAGTATGGATTTTGTTTTAATCCTAAATTTTATCTGCAAATACAAATTGGCCATCTAGCAGCAACTGGCTTGCATGGGCTCCATTTGCAATAAAGATGAAGTTCAAAAGGTTAATCAAGTTATTAACATTTTAAAAGACGGGAAATTTTCTTTCCCAGATGGCTTAACAGGTGACTCCTATAAATTACACAGTACATTACAGCAGGCATCCGCTAGCCCAGTTATAGTAGAGAGTCTGTCAACATTTCCATTATAAAGCCTTATTTTCAGAGTTTATAACTCAGCCGTAAAACTCTGCTCCAAGCTGGGCCTTGGCTTTCTAGTCAAATTCTCAACTCAGCAACAAACCCTTTTTTTTTTTCTTAATTCCTTCTCCTTCTCCTCTTCCTCCTCCTTTTCCTCCCCTTTGCCTTTCTCCTTTTTCTTCTCGATTAAAAAAAAAATTGAATTGCTCTAGTTTGCCTAAGTTACACAAGGACTTCCATGCAGAGAAATCTTTCAGCCACTTTATATTCAAGCACATTTTTTTCAATGCTCAGTTATTGAGATTTTTTTCAGGAACTATTAGGAATCAAGATGTTTCTAATAAGGCCTGTGTTACAGTCCTTCAAATCATAATGAAGATGTATAAGCCACTACTATTTGATAGTGGGGGTGGGAGGTTTCAGAAGAGGGTATTTTATCACAGAAATATTTCACCTTGTTTCTAGAATTCTAAATGTCTATTTCTAATCCTGTTCCCTAAAGGTAAAAGCAATGCATATATCCCATTATTTTATCAATGTGTGCATGGGCCCTTGCAGAACATAGCATCAGCACGGTAACTTCCAGATGGGTGGGGTGTGTGTGTGTGTGTGTGTGTGTGTGTGTGTACAGGCCACCAAGGTGGAGAGAGAAACAAACAAAATATGAAGTGACAAGGAAGGTGCACAAGTGACGAGCGGAGATCTGCCGTTCCAAGTTTGGCTGGTCACAGCCTGGGGAGTTTTTATGGCCTATTCAAGGCTGTGGTGCAGACTAAACAAGGTTTTCTTTACTTTCACCATGACATCCTCGAAGACCAGGCCAGAGGGCGGGGAAGACTGACACACACAGCCAACTCTGCTTAAACCAGAGATTGTTGCTTTGCATGAAAACTCTGCTGCCGACCTTGGAGCCTAACCTCCAGGGCCTCTCCAAAACCCTGTCTCAGACAGAAAGTTAAGCCACATGGGCAATTTCTCTGCTAATGCAGGGGAAAGAGAGTTCCAGGAATGGGGTTGAAACACTCTCTCACAGGGGGCAAGTAAAAAGAGAGCAGGGCACAGTGGTACTTGGACAATTTTCCCAAGACCCAGGCCAAGAAGAAGGAATCTGAAAATGCTCAGAGAGATGGTGGTCTTTCTCATGATATATCTATCAGCGTTTATTTTGATGCCAACTCAGCAGGTCCTAATGTTAGGCATCACCTCCCACCTAGAAAGGGAGATGTCCCAGGGACAAAGGGTAACTAATCCCCCATTTTACTCACAGAAAGACCTATCAGCCTCCTCTTGCATCAAAACAGGAGACTGCAGCTCTTGGGTTCTTTGGGGGATGGCATTTTGGCTTAAGAAATACTCTAATGGAAGGTGCTATGATTTGCCTGCTGAGCTTACCACAGGCAAATCTGCTGAAGAACCGCATTTACACATCCCATTCTCCCAGCCAATTGCCTTTTCCTACGCTTTTCATAGTTTTTTATTAACATACTTGCTCATTAACAAAGGCATTTGACTTGGAGGAAAACTGTGCCCTTGACAGCTCATCTTTTCCTCCTCTTGAGTCCTGTAGTCACATCATAATATTTGAATTTGTGATATACATCGTCATCATTTCCATAGCAATAGAAACAGTGGCCGTTGTGAAAACAGGATTTACGATTCAATGAAAGAAAAGAATTGGAAAAAAGAGAACAGCTGGTTCTGCTTCCTGCCATAGACAGGTACACAGCTAAGCAGACCAAGGACTCTTTTCAATCGGCACACTCCACTCACATGAATAACATGCCTCTCCTTGCTGTTTTGTAACTAAATAGATGACTGTCTCACTCCTGGACAAACTAGCCAAGAGCTTCAGATGGCAGGCACTGCATCTTTTCCATCATTTTCCCTCTAGCATTTTACCCAATGTTTGAGAATAGTGGATACTTACATTAGTTGGTAGAGTGATGAAGATGTCATACATTGAGCCTATAATCAGCTTTACAGCCAAGATTTCATCTTGATATGTGTAAGTAAAGTATCTTCTGTTATAAGTTAAATCTATTGAAACTTCTTTCTCTAGGTGAAAGATGTAGATTGGGCCAGGCGCAGTGGCTCATGCCTGTAATCCCAGCACTTTGGGAGGCCGAGGCGGGTGGATCACGAGGTCAGGAGATCGAGACCACGGTGAAACCCCGTCTCTACTAAAAATACAAAAAATTAGCCAGGCACAGTGGCGGGCACCTTTAGTCCCAGCTACTCGGGAGGCTGAGGCAGGAGAATGGCAAGAACCCGGGAGGTGGAGCTTGCAGTGAGCAGAGATCGCACCACTGCACTCCAGCCTGGGCGACAGAACGAGACTCCGTCTTGGAAAAAAAAAAAAAAAAAAAAGAAAGATGTAGATTGATCAAGGATATCCATAAAACGATTATTCATTCTAATGCCTAAGTTCATACTGATTCACTACCTAACACTTTTATTGCCCTGCTTAAAAGTAGACAAACTCATCTTTATCACAATGCTCTTTTTGCTACAACATCCGTGATAAGTGGTAGGTGAAGAATAACCCCCATAGGTTCTTAGTTAGAATCCACTCCTGATACAAAAGACAGATTAACAAGTGAAAAGCAAAAAGAAGTTTCTTAATGTGTATACATATATATATATTTTTTTTATTTTACCTAAGTTCTAGGATACATGTGTAGAACTTGCAGGTTTGTTACATAGGTTTGTTACATGTGCCGTGGTGGTTTGCTGTATATTTCATATATACATGGGAGACACCCAGAGAATGGGTAGTTCTCAAAGAGGTGGCTTTGAATTCCAGCTTATATAGCATCTTCAACACAGAACAGTACATTTTTAGAGAGGTGGCAAGACAAAGGAAGAGGACTTTGAGTCTCTACAGGTGGCAGCTTGAGAAAAGGCAAATAACTGGCAGATAAGGCTAGTTAGTAAAGCTTGTTAATGTAGTTTCTTCTGATGCCATCGCAAGGCTAATAGGGGTCCAAAGCTGATTTTAGTGGTTAACCTTTGTTCTCTCTGGCAGAGAGAGAGGCAGGATACCCCTTTTGCTATTTACTTATATGTTTTATTTTATTTTTAAAATTGACAACTAATAATGGTATGAGATACCGTTCTTTTTTATAAATCCATGCCCTGCATTTAGGCAAACAGAGGGAGACCAGAGAGCTGTTCTGTGTCTGCTTCTTCTAAATTGTCTTCAGCTCAACAATCCTTTATATTTTGGGGTAGCATATTCTGGTCTCTCACATACTCTATTTCTCTTTTACATTTTACAATTCAATTGTAACTTGAAGCACTCAATGAGGATTCTGGAAACCTCTATCTAGCCCTGCTATCACTAGCTGAAGGACCCTTGCCAAGATGAGGAACTCTCTATTCTCTCAGTCCCCTCATCTGTAAGATCCCTGCCTATGTCACAAGGTTCATTGTGGGGAGAAAGTAATATATGTGAAAGCTTCTGAAATTCTTAATTGTATACAAGAAGCAAGTATGAGTGTTATTAAAATTATTCAGGTAAGGATGTATCCAGTGCTGAACACAGTGGATTGCTACTAACCCAGACAGAGGTGGTCATGACAATTTCCTTTCACAACATTACATTTGTCCGTGAAAATCAGAGCTGAACAAGAACAAATTTATAGCTGGGGAGCACGTTGGGGGTATGGAGTGGGGAGAGGTGTGGGGGAAAGGGTGTATAGAAAATTACTAAAAGAAGATATCACGGGTAGTAGGAGTTCTTGCTACACTGACCTAACAGGACTCTTGCTGAAGGGAGGCCTAGGTAATCAGATACGGAAAGTAGGGGAATGGGGAATTTGACCCGGGTATCAAGAATGATCAGATATCAAGGTTGGGGAGATTCTCACTAAACTGACTTCACAGGATTCTTGCTATGGAGGCCCACCAAGAATGATAGCCAATGCCGAGGCCTAGTCAAAGAAGAGGGTTGAGAGGACATTTTGAGCATTGTAAGCAAGATGAATTTTAAAGGAATTCCATTTTCCATCTCTTTGTAAATGGAACATGTAAATATGTAGGTTCTAATTCATGGACTGCAAAGTTGTCCTTTCGAAATTAACTATTCTTAAAGCAAAAGCTACCTGGAATACATTTTTAATCCCTAAAGGTAACATGCTATTTTCCTGTGATTAATTTCTTTTTTCATTATTTTACTGTCTTATTATTTCCTCCAACCCCACCAACTTCAGTAAGAATAACAATTGACCAGATACAAATGAAATTTTTGTTATCTCACCCCAATATTTAATGGCAAAATCCCATGTTAACCTAGAGTCTTCATTATCGGACTGTAGCCTCTGGGTTTTATATATTCTCCAGCCTGTTGTCCAAGAGCCCTGGAGCCAGCCATTCATCAGCCTGATAGAAGCACACACATTGGCAATCACCCTTCTGGCCAAACAAGCACACCTGTTAACAAGCACACCTGTTAACACCACTTTCAAATGTTTTGACCTGAGAGCCCTGTGAAGCTTCTCCAGCACCACTCTGCCACTTCCATCAAAGAGGCATCATTTTTCTTCTCGTTCCACTGAATGGAAGTTAGATTATGAAAAATCCGTTTTCTCCGTCCTCCTCTTTGACCTTACATATCCCAAATCATCTCGTACCTTTTCTAATCAGCCTCCTTCCTGCTTTAGCCTTCCTCTCATTTCCCTTCATAAGTGGACAATTCCTGGCTTCATTTTCACTTCACGTTTGCCTCTCATGTTTTTCATGAGATCTGAAGTTCTGCATTTTGCTGTACCTTCCTCCCCTCCCCCACAGAGTTCGACTGGATCAACCACAGTGGGAACAGCAATGAGGCCCTGCTATGGGCTGTAGGTGTGATGTATTTGGTCTTTAATCTTGACAACAATTCTATTGGGCAGGGTAATTACTATCATCTTCATTTTACAAAGGAAGAAACTGGAAGCCCAGAGTCTGTAAGTTAATTGATCAAGGCCACACAGCTGGACAGATTAGGGAACTTACTTCCTGATTCCAACTTCTGCACTCTTTCTGCTAAGCTAGTGAGATTTGCTGTCTCACTCTTCTATGTCCCCATTGCCATTCTTCTTACCATGTTTCCTTTCTCTCAATTCTTCATCACCTTTACATCAACGATTCAACTGTTCAACCCATGAACTCCTGTTTTTGTCCTGTCTTTACCCTTTACTGCACCGCTCCTCAATCCCTTTTATTTCCTTCCATAGAATTGATGTGGTCCCAAAGATTTACTCTTCCTTGAGAAATAACTGGACAAATAAAATAAAATCTGGGGCAAACAGAGAACAGATCCAGCTTCTGGGAGGCCTGAGGCTTAAAAGTTTTGAAAGATATTGCATTAGTCCATTTTCACACTGTGTATTAAGACATACCTGAGACTGGGTAATTTATATAGGAAAAACAGTTTAATGGACTTACAGTTCCACATGGCTGGGGAAGCCTCACAAGAATGGCAGAAGGCAAGGAGGAGCAAGCCACATCTTATATGGATGGCAGCAGGCAAAGAGAGAGCTTGTGCAGGGAAACTCCCATTTTTAAAATCATCGGATCTTGTGAGATGTATTAACTATCATGAGAACAGCACAGGAAAGACCTGCCCCCATGATTGAATTACTTCCCACCAGGTTCCTCCCATGACATGTGGGAATTGTGGGAGTTACAATTCAAGATGAGATTCGGGTAGGGAAACAGCCAAACCATATCAGGTATCATTAAGAGAAATAATGCAAAATTGCTACTATAATTTTAGGCAGAAATATAAGTATTAACTTAGAATGAGAAAACAGATTATAACAAATTACAAACTTAAAAAGCTAACAAAGCCATAATCACAAAATCCAGAGAGTCAAAATAATATTTTTATTAATTAAATAGCTGACATATCTGTATGCCTTCTATATTACTTTTTTGCTATTGTTTCTGATTGCCTCTTCATATCACAAAATATTGTAATATTTTCTATGGAGAAACTGTCTTTAAAAAAATTAGTTTTCCTCTAGCATAACTGCTCAAAATTTATTTGATATACTTGATATCTTAGAAAAGTTTATTTCAGGTTCATTACTACTAACGGTAATGTCATGCTAAGATGCTATTCAATACATTAGGATGCATAAAACATACAATGTCACATGAATATATTATCTATTTATAGTAAAACTATAGTTTCTGCCCCACAAATATTAAAATTCTGATAAATTCTGTTTTATGCAGTTCCTATAAATAGAAATAAAAGACCATATGATGCATTTACAAATGCATGTGCTGCATTAGAGAAGATAATTTCATCAGGGGAGAGAAACATTTTGCTTATGCATTGATGATAATTAAGTCTATTTCTTACAATTTTGCACACTAAGCGTTTTTAAGAATTTTCCACAGATCGCTTCTGGCTGTCTACACTTCAAACTTTGTTTCTCCTCCATACCACTTGCTTCTCATGCCAAGCACTGCTCTGTACCATGACTTCCCATCTTGCAACTCCATGTTCAAACACTCAGGGAGTCATTTCAGTGATCAGCAGGTATATTCTTATGTTATTCCTACATGAAACAGCTAGAAAACTGTTCATGAGACTACAAACTAAATATATCTTGCAAAAACCAAGCCAAGTGAACCCCAACTGAACTCTTACTTAGCTGTATCCCCAAAATATCCACAGCACTTCATTGCCATCTGACATGAGCAGAATGACAGAGGAAAGTTCAAAGTGGAGACAGTCTTGATCAAATGCAATATCCTTGCATATTTTACGAAGACTATGATCATATAAATCCATTTATAGAATCCCTGCATGAGCCTTAAAGGGGATCTGTGCAAGCAAGAGAGGCTCTGAAATACAAGTTTCATATCCTTCAGGGTAAATCTGCCTCTGATAGTTAGCCATGAAACCAGCTTTCCTGAATACTTTTCAAGGCACAGTAGAATGAAAGTTACATCAAACAAAAACAAAAGGACGGTTATCTAACAAAATAAATGTTTTAATAGGAATAAATCTCATAGACAAAGTCACTAAATCCAATGGTCTCCAGAGTCTTTGATTGTGTATTTTTTTGTTTGTTTTTTGTTGTTGTTTTTGGTTTTCATGCACAGATAAACACCTGCATGTAGTAATTGCTCAATGTGAGTTTTATAAATGAATTAATGAATGAACACATGAATGAATGAATGCCATTAAAACCCAGTGTTTATTGCCATTTCCTGAAGAGATCTAATTAGAAAGCCCATTTATTAGCTGACTGAACAGTCAGTGTGTATTGATTATGGGTCAGCAGAGAGTCCTACCTGTCTCTGTGCTTTTATAATGGTCCAAGTGTGACTCAAGATTTCATAAACTGACTCCCAAGGACTGAGATAATGATCATGTGCCCTAAAAGGAAGATAATATAAACATATCACAATAACCTGTGAACATTTATAGTAAGAACAACCTTCCAAAGCTTATCAAATTAAATACATTATTCCTTTTCTATTTCTAATACTGGGAATAAAGCTTTGACCTTAAGCCTCCCCTGAAAAGAAGAAAAAAATAAAAACACAACAACCAGCATTTGTAAATGTAGCCATGATAAGTAAAACAGAGTGTGAGGTGGGGAAGATAGAAAGCCATATTCATGATCCTTGAAATTGCAGTGTCTGCCCCACACCTGTCAAAGAAGTTGTAATTCAAATGATGATGTTTTTAAACAGAGATTGTTGTCTGACAGTGAACAACGGTCTCTTTCCAAATAAAAATGTTTTTAAACACTCCTGGATGTGAGTCCAATATGGAAATGGATTTGAAATAAACATTAAACATTTTGCCATCTGTTGCCCTGCTGAGTCACTGAAGAATATCCTCCCCAAATGTTCATATTTTCAGACGAATTGGTCCATGGCTGCCAGGCACGAAGAAGAAAGAAAATCTGAAACTCAGTGATTCCACTAAGTTGTAAAAGATGCACTACAGAGACATTGCTATTTGAAGATGAAGTTGTGGATTAACAGTGGAGTCAAACCAGGGAAAACATTCCTAGGTTGTCAGAACATCTTATCCAAAAATTCATCACAATCAGCACATTCCAGTAACTTTGATTAATTTAATGCCTAATTTTTTATCTCATTTCTACCAAAATACATTTACTTTACATTTCTAATCTTTAGAGAGCATTATTTTTTAATGAGCTTTAGAAATTTGAGGAAGAATTGGAAAAGCAATGGAAGAAAAAGATAAAAGGGATAGAAGGAGAGACAAGTAGAGTAAATGATGGATGAGTGAGATTTCCAAAATAGCAGCAAGAAAGGGGAGGAGAAGACTTTAAAATAGTCAAAGAATCCTAGTACCGTTCCTCACATTGCAGGCATGCCTTTCCTCTGAGGAGTGTAGAACAAGCTAAGGAAGTTAGCTCCGGTCTGCTTGAGACTCAGAGGAATGGCACAAAGTTGGTCTCCCCACTGCCTGCTCTCACCTCTGACTACCTCCAGAGTTACTATCCAGCACTAATTCTCCCATGTTTAAAGGCTCAGCCTGAGTCCTGAGACCGCAGTCCCAATCACAGGACCACCTTCATGCTATTTTCATAGCCTTACTGTCATTCTGGATCAACTGCACGTTAGCCTCAGCATATAGGGGATGATGGAAACAAGAAATAGAGGCAGACGCAAGGGAATAATTGAAGGAACGTTTCTTAAGAGGACTGAGGAAATTCCTCTGGCTGATAAAATTTATCCTAATAAAAATCCCAGCAGAATGCTTTAGAAACCAACAAGCTGGCTGAAATACATTTTTTAAAAATTATATAAAAAAGCAGAGGACCTAGTACAACCAAAATAATTTTGAAAAAGAACAAAGTTGAAAGACTCACAGAACCTAATTTCAAGACTTAGCATAAAACCAAGACATTCTGTTATTGGTGAAAAAATAAACACATAGATCAGTGGAACAAAATAGAGTCCAGACATAAAACCACATATATGTGGCCAAGCTGTTTTTCACTAAGTGTGAAACCATTTCGGTGGATAAACCAGTCTCTTCAACAAACAGTGCCGAACAATTGAATATACATATGCAAAAATATAAACTTCAACCCACACCTTACTCAATATATAAAAATTAACTCAAAAAGAATCATAGACCTAAGTGTGAAATGTAAAACTATAAAACTTCTAGGAAAATATTTATGACCTTGGCTTTGGCAAAAATTTCTTACATGTAACATAAAAAAACATAAACCATAAAAGAAAAAACTGATAAATTGGCTTTCATCAAAATTAAAAACATCTTCTCTTTGGAAGACAAAGTTAAAAAATGAAAAAACAAGACACAAACTGGGAGAAAATATTTGCAAAACATATATCTAATAAAGAACTGATATCAAGAATATATAAGCCTTTCCAAAACTCAATAACAAGAAAACAGCCAACCTAAGTAAAAAAAAAAAAAAAAAAAAAAAGAAGAAAGAAAGAAAGAAAAACATTTTAACAAGACACTCTATCAAAGAAGCTCCTTGGAATAAATAGGTGCATGAAAAAATTGCTCAATATCATTATCAATGGAGAAATGCATATTTAATGAGATACCACTGTATACCTATTAGAATGACTTTTTTTTTTTGAGATGGAGTCTCACTCTGTCACCTAGACTGGAGTGCAGTGGCGTGATCTCAGCTCACTGCAAGCTCGGCCTTCCGGGTTCACGCCATAGAATGACGTTTTTAAAAAGACAATTACCAAATCCTGCTGATGGAGCAAATAAAATGTTATGATAACTAAAAGAAGCCAGACTCAAAAGGCTGTCATATAGATGGCTTTATTTATATGACATTATAGAAAAAGCAAAACTAGATGAAAATAAATCATACCAATGGTTTCTAGGGAAGGGAGATGGGATTATCTACAAAGGAACTTGAAGGAAACTTTTGAGATTATGGAAATTTTCTGTATGTATGTATCTTGATTGTGATGGCAACTGCTTCACTTAAATTTGTCAAAGTTCATTGAACTGTATACCTAAAAAGGAAGAATTTTACGTGTAAATTATCTCTCACAAAACTAAAAAAAAAATCATTACCATAAATTCAAAATTAATTGCATATAAATTATCTTGTGAAATAAAATTTTTTTGACATGTACTCAAATTCAATCAGGACAGAATTCAGTATATTATTTGAATCATTAAAATGTCTTCTTGTGATTAATTTTCAGATGAATAAAATACATTTTCCTAAAGCATTCACCACATTGTTCAAAGGTAAGGAATCGTTTAGTAATGATTGGTAGCTATAGTTAATTGCTGTGATGATTTAACATCCACTTATTGAAACATTCAAGAACCATTTCTTGAATATTACTAGACTAGAGGCCTACAAAGGACTAGGACTCAGTTCTCCCCAGTTCTGGACCAACTGGATATGCTTCAGTTCTCTCCAATAAACTTTCATAAGGTAAGATCAGATGGGACTAAATATTAGAAAACTAACTTCAAGCTTAGTTTCAGCTGCTACATAATGATACAGTTGTTTAATATTAGAAAATAATTTCACATGGCATGGCAACATTACAAACACCGTAATTACTACACTTAGAATGAGTGAAACTTATGGAAGACATTTTAAGTGGTCCACATATTATAACTCTCAGAATACTCAAAAGCAAACTGCTAAAAAGGTAATGTAAGCTATAGGAACACTACTTATTTTAATAGTGAATGGAAGTACGTTATACATGAAATTTTAGTCATACTGTCTCTGCTAGAAGACACCTCAGATGGGGAGCCAGTGGCTCTAGGTTCTACTCTCATCTATGCCAACACTTTACATTTTCTCTACATCTCACCTCTATCTTTGAAATAATTAAACAACCCACCAATTTCAATAAAGTCTTGCTGTGAATATGAACTCACGAGTGTTTTCAGAGTTCCCAGAAGATGAGCCATCTATAAAGGGTTGATCCTGTGGGCATGTCTCCTATACAGTCCTGCTGGTCCCATGCTTAGAAGGGCCTGCACTTGGTTTACTGTTCTACTCTTGCTGTCTTGAAATTCTTAATATTTTTTTAAAAGAGCTCCACATTTTCATCTTACTCTAGGCCCCACAAAGTATGTACCTGGTCCTAACTCCATAAATACCAAAGCTGAGGTGAGGATTCTCAGTTACTCTTTACATATAGCCACTTAGGTCATGTGTTTGACTAAAAATCTAACTAAATTTATCTTGAAATACTTTGGCTAAGAAACTATAGATAGAAAGTTGGCAAGCTGGGCTTATACAATTTCTGGAAACTTCTGGTAAGACAGACATCTTGCAAGGACAATCCACTTGTATGAGGGTTTGGAGTTTCTACTTCCTATTCCAGATAAAACAGGGTAGACAGAAAACTAGATAGATTTTGTTCTCATGTGACCATCCAACATTGTATGCAAGCACATATTTAGACTTGGTTTTATCTGAATCTTCATTTGAATCTTTGGTCAGTTCTTGCTCCTAAATGTTTTATGTGTTCATTTACTTATTCATTAATTAAATGAAGATTTAATGACTCCCTACAACATGCCAGGCATTGTGCTTAACACTAGATATAAAATTAAAAAACAATAATTAAACGAACAAGACAGCAGTTTCTTCCCTCATAAAACTTAAAGTCACTGAAATCAGGTCACTTCTAATTGTCCCATCTATAGACTTTATAATTTTGTTACTTTCTTTCCCCAGGACATTGATTTTTAGTATATGAACCTAGAAGAAGGATATGCTGCATACTAGCTTTTTCAATAAATAAGTAAATGTGCTTTTTTAAATGTCAGGTTTTATTATGTAATAATGAGAGAAATTTGGCTAAAATAAATGGCCTGGGCTGTGTAAAATGTATCCAGTAAACAATTAGCATTGCTCCTAAGCTAAACCACGTCACCATTCTCCCATTCGTATTAAATGGCATGCACTATCATAGTCAGTCTCAGAGCTGGCTTCCAGCCCAGTCAGCTCCTGCAGCCAGCAGGGCCCAGGGCAGCAGTGTCTTTTATAAGTGGGCTAAAAGCATTTGGCTTACATCTCAAATGCTGAGTCTTTCTGCAAGATGGCAAATACATAACCCAAGTGCTTTGGAGCAAAGCTGATTTTAAAAGCACTAGAACAACTGAACCTTCTCTTAATCGTGGTCCAAACAAAAACCAGTTGGTCCCCTGCAGTCTTTCTTCATCCTCAGCAGTGTAACTGGGATTCTTTGGTTCTGGAAAAGTGTCTCTCTCATGCATTAGCCATAACACAAAGCAGCAGATGCCGAATACCTATTTCCATACCAGTTCCTCGGCTGAGGAAGTGACAACTGGTCGGAATTAAATTGAACCTGGAAACATCCTGGGGTTCATTTTTATTTGAGGTTAGAAAATCAACAAGTGCCATTTTTCTGGGCTTGGTGAAGAGGAGCATGGTAAAGGCATCAAATGGCACTCATATACTTGGATGTGAATGAAGGGTCATATCCCCTGACAGCTCAGCAGGGGTGAATTTAGTTCCTGCAAAGCATATGGAGGCTTTTATTCCTCCCCTCAGTGAAAATGTGTTATTTTATGTGCTCAGACTATCACCTCCTCCCTTGCTTTTTTAGAGAACACCTATTTCTGATGAAAGCTGCCAATTTACTATCCCAGAATCCCACCCACAGCTGGACACATCATCAGTAGGAGCCAATCAGAATCTTCCTCTGGGTTTTCTCACGAGGTCTGGAGGGAAAGAGCTTTCTTTCCTCTCTGGTCAGTAGACTATAAGAACATAACATCCTGGGCTCCTGGAGTGTCATGGAACCAGTCAGCTGGAGAGAAGACAGCTAGAAGGTAGAGAGAAGTAGAAATGAGAGGTGACAAGGAAGCCCTGAGGTGCCATTTCCTGGACCTCATCATTCAAGAGACCAGTTCCTCTGCTCACCCCATCATTTCAGCACATAAGCTAGAGCATCTCTCTTTTATATTTTGCTTTGTTTATACTAACTCAGATTGGATTTCTGCTACTTTTAAAAAAGAGTCCTGACCAATTCACCCCCTGCTGCAAAGGCTGCATGTCTAGAACCTGCTGGACATCAAGTAAATTCAGGTCATATCCAGGAGGATGAGAGGAAACCATATTCTCAGGCTCAAGGAAGCCTACCCGCTTCCAGTCAATTAACTTCCTAAAGTCCTGTCAAATTTATGCTACCAAATTTATGGAAGCAATTTATTAGAACCTAATACTCTTTTCTGTGCAGAGTGGAGATGTCAGTCACAGTCTATGGCAGTTAGGCAAGAGAGGATGAGGGTTGGGGAAAGAGAAGGCAATACACACCTAAGGGGACTACTCAAAGCTGGAAGTCTCCTTATCCCACAACTAACAAAATGAAAGTGCACCTCCATCCAGGAACTTTCATTTATATCACTAGTTGTCTCCCTTCTCCATATCAGTAACTTCTGTAAATCAGTAACATTTACCCAGAGGTAGAGACCAAATTAAACAAATGTCATTCTACATACCGTGGAATAGAAGAGTGTTCCCCATGAGCACTTCAATATATATAATAATTTCATAGGGATGTTATTCAAAAAACAAGGTAAATGAGATGAAAAGGGAAGCTAAAAAACTAAGAAAACAAACTGAAGACTAATTCAGCTGAAAAGTAAATGATTATCCTCTCCCCTGCCCCCCAACACACACACACACACACACACACACACACACACACACAAAGACTTGAACAATCTTAGCAAATGCATAGAAAAAAAGGCAGAGATTAAAATAAGAGGAAAATATAGAAGAATGACATGGACAGCCTAGAATAAGGACAAGTTTTTGGTCTCCCTTAGGTATAGAATCAAATACATGGAATATAAAAGTCATTCAAAGATGACGAGAAGGAAAAAATTTCTCCGAAATGAAGAAAAGCCTGAATCTTCTGATTGAAAAATATATACCATATTATAGATACAGCTAGGTTTTTCACCTCATATTCATTTTCCTTCCCCCTTCCTAACAGCAACAGGTTTTCATTTAGATGTCCACCCCTCCTCTACATGACTTCTATGCTTGGGCTCCCTGATCCCATGCTCGGTACCAAGGATTGGCTCTGATTTGTTTAAACCAATGAGAAGTCTACCATCAGAGTAATTATTCCTCAAAAGAGAATCTGTCTTTTGTGTCTATAATTAAGATATTATCGTTGTCATGGATGTTCTACAGTTTCACTACAATTTTTGACACATTGTAGTGAAACTGTAGAACATCCATGACAATGATAATATTTTATAGACACAAAAGACAGATTCTCTTCTGAGGAATAATTACTACATTTAGCATATGCAGTTGTGTTCTGAAGTCAGTTCATACTGGCTCATGAGAGCCAGTTATGCACATCTCTTCCCAATTCCCATTTCAGTGAAGTCATACTGGTAACCTGAAATCAGCCGTAATGACAGTATTTACACCACAGCAATTAACAAACACTATAAATCAGGGCTTTCTTCAATCGTGAAGAGCTGGTTGTTAATATTTACCTGCATGCCACTGAGTACATAGTTCTTTAAAAGCTGGTATTTTTCATCAGTTTTGGAAAATTGTAAGCCATTATCTCAAGAATTGCCCCTTCTCCAATATCTCAGAATCTCTCTCTCATTTCTCGTAAATATTTTTTCAGTTTTTTCCATCTCTTTATCTCTCTGCTACATTCTACATAATTTTCTCAGTTGTCTTCCAATTCACTAATTCGTTTTTCAGCTGCTTATAATCTAACACATAACTCATTCATGGAGATATCAATGACATGCCCGTATTTCTAGAAGCTCTATTTTTTTCTTCAAATTTACCTCTTCACAGTGTATTGTTCTCTCCTTATGATTTTCAGTTCTTCTTTTATCATTTTAACCATTTGAAGCATGGCTATTGTATAGTCTTTCACAGATTGTGCTATTATTTCAAGTTTGTGGGAATGCTAGCCTTCCTACTCATACAGCCTGCTGACTCATTATAGATTATTTCCCCATGGAATTTACAGGTTTTACTTGTTTCCCTCCATTTTCCCCCATAATACCTGCATATCCTGGAGTGTAAAAGTCTTGCTATATAATTATTTAACTTTTGCTTTTGTCTGGAATAGTTTTGATGTTAGTTTCTCAGCTTACATATTCCAGCATTAAATTAAGAATGTAAATGTCAACTTTACATCTATTTTTGGTGACCAGGAGTTTTCATTTCTCTCATATTTTCCCATCCAGAGTTCCAAAAAGTAACAAATTTTCTAGTCACACTACCTGAGCCAGTGAGTTGTTGTTTTTTTGTTGTTTTGTTTTGTTTTGTTTTTTTTGCTAGTCTCCTTTTACCAAGGACGTAACTTTTCATCTCCAAGGTCCCAGTTTAAGTAGGGATCTGTGTTCCAGCTCCCTGCCTCAGTCAGGCCCAATGCCATATTTCCCATGTCTACATGGGCATTAAAACCTCAGCCTCTAATCCCTTTATCCAGCCTAATATCTTTCAAAATCATCACAGCATCCATTCATAAGTTTACTGCTTAAACCTATTTCTGGCATGCCATGATACCAGAAATGATCTTTTTTCCAGATTAATTTATATATTTTATTTGTATTTGTATAATTATTGCCAGAACCAGAAAACAATCCTGTTTTTATAAAAAGTATCTTTCTCTTTTAATCTATTTGTATGTGTGCATAGAGAAAAGTCCACAACAATGTTCACTCAATGGTTATAACTGTAGTTCCAGATCGTTGAATTAGTAGTTTTCTTACATTTCCTTGTACTTGTGCAAATTATTTATAAATTTAATTAATCAGCTTGTCTCATTTTTAGCTGAAAAAAAATGTTGTTATAGAATAAATATCAGTGTCCTCCCAAGTCTGTTGGAAAAACACTAATCTCCCTAGCTACTAACCAAGGACTTTCATGATTGACCTCACTTGCCTGTGTAGACCCATTTCTCAACAGTCTCCCCATATTCCCTACCCTCTGTCCCACTGGACAGCACAACATTTCCCATACATGCCTCTTACTGTCACATTCTCATGACTTTATTAAGGTTCCTCTCTTGGTCAAAATCTCCGCATGTCTTTACCTTATTAGCAGGTCCCTATATTACTCAACCTTCAAGACCACTTCTTTCTTAAAACCTCCTCATAACCCTTTACTTCCTTTCTTAGTCTTTCCAAGTCCTTAATATACAACACTTGCCATATAAATCACATTTATTTATATGTTTGTTTTTCCCTTGAGGGAAAGGCAGGCACTATGTCTACTATTTTTTGTGCTTCAGTTATTCAATAAATGAGTTCACGAATAAATAAATGATATAAATGTTTACAACTTGCTGAGTTAAAAGCAAGCTTCTCAAGGATTTCATAACTAAGACTGTGGGTGGGATGCAGGTTCATCTGAGTTGCCAGATAATTTTCTTGTCTTCTGTTGGGTGGTAGTGAATTAAGATGCTTTCGCAGCTCTGAGTAATTGTTGAGAATTCGTTAGGGAAGGAATGGCCAATGGTATTCTGTAATGCCCTACACATGTATTGTCTTTGGTTGTCATAGCATCTTCACAACCCACATTTCATTTGATCCATTGAGGTCAATGGGGCAGTTATGTAGTCATCTGTCAATCAGAAAACTGATATCTAGAGCATTTGTGACTTGTCCAAAGACTCAGGGAAACAAGTTTGACCTAGATTTTCTGTTGCCCAGCCCAGTGATCTTTGCTCTTGTCTACTTTACCATCAGTCTCTACAACTCTGCAGGTATCCTGCTCCCTACTGTGATGGCAGTTATAATGCCAGCTATAATGTCATCATGGTAAGAGAGCCATGCATCATAACACTGGTTTTGCCCTGACTTGATGAGTGACTGCATGTCACCTCTCTAGCCTCCAGCCTTTCCATATGCAGCCTCAGTTTCTTCATCTCTAAGATGAAGAGGTAGCAATCTCAAGGTTCTTACTCTTGGTTGTTTCATGAGCCCAAGCCTCTGTGAGAATTTGCTGAAAGAACCATGCCTAGTTTAAGTTCTCAACTTCTTCATAGCCACCTTTTCCAGACTTCTGCCCAAAGATAAGTATCAGCGTCTGGAGTCCTGCCATAAGAGGAACCTGAATCTTTTGACCAAACGACATTCATGTTCCATTCTTTCTACCATTCTTTTTTCTTCAGAAGCCAAAGGGAACAGTTAAATAACTGATACCAGCTAGACTTAACCAAAAATTGTAACAGCATTTAATGCAACCCACGAAAAAAGAAAACTAAAGTCACCAAGCATGGTGCATAAACCTAACACCAAGTCCCACCTGCTTCCTATTTCTCCTGCCTTTTTTCCCACCAACAATTCTTTAAAGCTTTATTATTTCATTACTTAGCATATTTTCAACAAAAACAAACCAATCCACTCCAACTGTCCAACTGAAAAGTGGGCATTTTATCAAATGTATTTTCCTTCTTCTTTTATTTTCATCACATTTTAACACCTTGTAGATTATTTAAGGGGTAGAAAATGAGCCCTTTTTTCTTAAGGAATCATCATACAGTTAATTTTATACAATAGTCAGAAAGCTATACCCTGAATGAGGTAGAAGAACTAATATATAACTTAAAATTCCCTACAATGCTACCATCAATGTAAAATAAGTGTGTTAAATCAAAATGCCACTAAAATGTAAAAGACGAAACAGAAAGGCAAAATCTATTATACATGCATTTATTTGCAGTCTTCATCCAGGATAAACTGGAGCCGACTGGCTTCAATTCTGTTTAATTGTTTTATAATTTTATTTTATTGGAGCACTTTCTTCAAATAAAGAAAATAAACATGTACCTGCTATCAGAGCATGGAGTGAGAACAGAGCTAAGCACTGCCTTGGTGGAACTCGTATAGCTGACAAAAAAAAAAACTTACCAGGACTGACTAGTTGGAGTTGACCTATAAATATGGCACAGAGCCGAAGAAGGAAAGCTGAGTACAACTGCTCAGTTTGTTTTACTTTTCTGGTGAATGACCATTTGTTTTCAAATAGTCCCAAAGCTCATGTCTTTAACGGCCATTACTCCACTGTACTGGCATGCTGCTGAGGGCTTTTCTTATTCCCTAATTATCAAAAAGGGCTGCTGGAATTTATTAAGAAATTATAAGTAATATCCCAAGTACCTTAAAAACCAAGTTTGGCAATATCCTTAACTCATCAATGTAGACTCTCTTGGTCTGCTCTGAAACAGACTAAAATCGACAATGCTGGAAACATCTGAGTCAAAGACAAGACAGCTGGTTATTTTCCAGTAATTATTTTTCCTACGACTTATTTAAAAGTCCTTCACATGGGCACATAAGAACAAACCAAACCATTTTAATTAATAAAATATAATCTACAAGCTATGCAAAGCTACTAACTAATATGGTAGAAGTATAATTCATTCAGATGTTACAGAAAAATTATACCGCCTATTCTGAGTTATTGTGGAAAGTGAAATGTGTAAAAAGTAAGTAAAGAAGCCACATTTGAGATTCAGAGATTTTTTTTTTACAATTAATTTAACTACTTACTAATCCAAGTCAACTCCTATGGCAGTAAGTTTTGTCACAACCAACATTTTGCTCCAGTAAAAATATTTTTCAGAACGGTCTGAAACCCAGCAAAATTCAATGTCAAATCCCAGTACAACTTTAGTTCAAATAGCCTCTAAAGTTGGCTCCAATGGACTTTGACATCGAGTCCCATTTTCCTTCCTTGAAAGTCAATTCTTTTTCTTACATAATTTTATCTACCATCTACTGATCTTTAATATGTCTCAGACACTATACTAACCACTTTATACACATAATCTCATTTAATTACCACAATAACCCTTTGAACAGAAACTATTATTATTCCTGAGTATACAGGGATGTATACAAATGGCACTGAAACTTGGGGAATCTAAGCATTTTGCCCTCAGTCACATAGCAGGTAAGTGATGGAACCCACATTCGATCTCAGGAGGTCTGACTCCAAAACCCATGCTTATCACAAATATGCTAACCAGCCTCATCTCCCACACACACACTATTTTTCTCTATCCCAGAATCTTGGAACAGTTATGATTTTAATGTTGTCTAAGATTATAATCCATAATTTACCTCCATGATAAACTTTCTTCCCTCTACCTAACTAGACTCATCAATACATAAATGGGAAACTTCACAAACACTAGAATATATATATATGCATAAACACACATACATATACATATATAAACTATGCATACTCTATATCTTTATGTCTATATCACACACATGCACACACCCGAGAGAGAGAGAGAGAAAACAAAAAGAAGGGAGAGCAAGAAAGAGATAGAGACAGAAAGACTGGTGATCCCAACCCAATCCAACAAGATGATATTCAACAGAGATAAACACAAGTTCCCACATTTATGTCAGGCACTCTGCTAGATCTGATGTCCCCATCACCTAAGACAGTGCCTCACGCATAGTAAATGCTTAACAAATGTTTGTAGAATGACTGAGGGAGAGAGTGAATGAATGATAAGTGACATTAATAGGTGATTATAAATAGGGGAGACATAATTTTATGTGTGCAATAATCCTCAATGGTCCTCAGTGGCACTAAGGTCAACACGAGTAAATAACTAGATGTGGCCAAGAGTGGTGGTGCAGTATAGTCTGTTTACAGAAGCCTCTACCTGAGCCATGATGGTGTTAGTCCTGACCTCCTTTGCTGCCCAACACTAGGGGAACCTGGATGGGGAGGAGCTAAGAAGAGAATATGGGTGACAGGGTGTCAGAAAGGCTCACCATGAGAAAAGAAGGCTCAGGGAAACCTACACTTTTCAAACATTACAGGGCTATCTAGAGAAAGGGATTAGGCCTGTTTTGTGTAATCTGAAGATAATGAACTAGGAACAACCAGTAGAAGCCACAGAGAGGCATATTTAGCTTCAAAGTAAGGAAGGACAGGCATTCTGCCTCTTTCCCCGTGGTTTTGCCCTCCTTCCTCACCAACTTCCAATGCACAGTACATACTGTGTGTGAGTATGACAACATACTCACTGAAACTGAATTATGCACTGAGTATTGCTGGTTTACAAAAGATAGACATCTGTCTAAGTCCATTTTCTGCTGCCATAACAGAATTCCACAGACTGGGTATACCCACATAGCTTCTGTGAATACCACAGAAGCTGAGAATAAAACAGCGTTTGCCAAAGACTAGGGGAAAGGGGAAAGGGGAAATGGGAAATTTTTCAATGAATATAAAGTTTCTGTTATGCAAGATGAATACATCCTAGAGTTCGGCTGTACAACAAGTACCTATAGTTAACACTATGGTATTGTGAACTTTAAAATGTTAAGAGGATAGCTCTCATGTTAAGTGTTCCTACCAAAGAAAAGGAAGAAGAGAAACACAAACAAACACAAGGACATTTTTGGAGGTGATGAATATGTTTATTGCTTTAGTTAAGGTAATGGTATCACAGTTTGGTATGCTTATATCCAAACTCATCAAGACATATACATTAAAAGCGTGCAATTTTTTGTCTATCAGATTCCAACAAAGCTAAAATGGAGCTTTATTGGGTATGTGACTTATACCCCTCCAGTGTCAACCCTGCTAATCTTGGTTTCAAATAATTCTATCCATTATCTGTCTTACCTGTATGTTTCTCCATCTTGCTATACCTCCAGATAAAATAAACAGACTCCCATCCTCTACTTCAGTCTTTGTCCAAGTTACACTGTATTCACTAAGCAAAATTGCTTTTCTCCTCTACCAAGCCACTAACTTTCTTCAACCCAACCCAGACCAAGGCACCTACATCATGGAAGTTTCCCACATTTAACCCATCCCATCACCCTCCAGAACAATCCCAGCCCAGCCATTACTCTTCCATGCCCTGGGAGTTAAGTCATCTGGTTACATTTCAGTTGATGATATGTGTCTGTTTGTCTCCTCTAATGGCTTGTAAGGCCTTGGGGGTCGAGCTCATGTCTAATCTTTGCTGCATACATCTGTACACTACTGAATACATCATTACTGTACATTACTCTAATCCAATGGGGACTCAATAAAAACTTGTTGACTGACTGATTTAGCACGGGGATGATTATTACGTAAGCCACTTTGGTAAATAAATTTCAAATAATGACCAGCTCACACAAATGTTTTACTAGCTCACCCTCCCCATGGAATTAACATAAAGAATGAAAATCAGCAGTCATTTCTACTTGCCCAACATTAAATGTTAACTCACCCCAAGAGAGTAGCTATTTTCAAGCCTAATTTCAAGTCAAAATGTCTAAAATTGTTGTCATTCTTGGTGACGTGCTGGGAAGATTCAAGAAATGAGGTACCAAATCCAGTCACTTCCACAGGTTATTAACCCCAATACTGCAGATTATTATTTCCAGCACATTACTGATAATAATTCTGACAGTTTATATTTGTTCATGTTTATTCAATGAAAAAGCACTGGACATTCTAACAAAAGCAATTTGATAGACAATGCTTTATTGCTTTTTTATAATTTTATGCTATATTGAAATAAAATTGATTAGGAACTTTATTTGATTTATATCATTCTTTAATAATTCAATTGATTCAATATATAGGAATGTAGCTATGAAAATAATTATCTGCCTACATACTTACTTGAGGCAAGTGTGTGTGTGTGTGTGTGTGTGTGTGTGTGTGTGTAATAAATTTTTAAAATAAATTTAACACATGTTGTTTCTTTTTCCCTTCCATTTTTGTTATCCCATCATAGAAGCCTGTATTGGGAAGAAGAGGATGAGGAATTTTACATGTATAATCATCCCCGCGTATCTGCAGGGGATTAGTTTCAGGACCTCCCTTGGATACCAAATTCCAAGGATGCTCAAAGTCTTTGTATGAAATGGCATGGTAATTGCATATAACCTCTGTATATTCTCATGTATACTTTTAAATCATCTCTAGATTACTTATGATACACAGTAAATACTATGTAAATACTTGTTAGGCTGTATTAGTTTTTTATTTGCATCATTTTTTGTGGGATTGATTTTTTATTATTGCTCTTTATTTCTTCTTATGGCTTTTTAAAATTTTTTATTTCAATAGTTTTTAGGGCATTGTTTCTTTCCTGGAATATTTTTGATTTGCTCTTGGTTGAACCCATGGATGGGGAAGCTGCAAACACTTTCTGTACTCTGTGTCCAAGTTATTTTAGCCTTCTGATATGAATGGGACAGGGAGAGAGTGACACGGCTCACAGTTCAAGGGCATCAGGTAGTAAATGAGTATGGATTGAGTCAATTCCAGTTTAATAGTAGACACAGTTTTCTTACCTAGACCAGTGATTTTAACCAAATAGTTTCCAGGTTATTTTAATTCTTATCTGTGTATGTCATAAACAGGTTTGAATATTTAAACTATCAGTTTGGATTACAAATTTTAAATGTGAATTTGAAGGAAAATGTTTTAAGAGGTACTAAAATACTTGAGAATTACTGTAAAGTGTCATACAGCTAATTATATTTAGCTTATTTCAGACTGTTCATGAGAAAATGGATTAGCCTATCCTCTGCCATGCTGTGAAAAGATAACCTGCTTTGGGTGCTCTGATACCTTTTCAGCAAACAAAAGGTTCAATCACATAAAACACTTGAAGCATTTCAGATCCCAGGATGTTTCTTCAAGTTGGGTCTAGCCTGATTCACGGTGACAGCTTCTCTGAAGTTGTATTCTTTAAGAAGCAATAATTGTCATTTGGGGGCCTTCCGGGTGAAAAGGTAAAACAGAAGCAACTGAGCTAGAACACACAATCGCACAGCAAAAGAAATGCTCAGGGTGTCAAGGGCAATGAAGTGAGTACTTTAATGTGTATTTGACTTTAAAGTCGATCTCTTCATTTTCTCCACTTTCTTAGGCAAATAGCAAATACAACAAACTGTCTTTAAAATTTGAGATGTATTTCAATAAACTTCATATCCAACACACTGGGCTTCTAAGCTCTCCTTATACATATAAATGGAAATAGTTAGACTTTAGATGAAAAAACTCTGACAGAACAAAGAAGGACCATGATCTAATATCAGAATAAAGTTAACAAACGTCATTAAGTGAGATGATTGGTGATGAGTGAAGGTCATGCCCAGTTTACTTTTCACAGTTGACAGATCAAAGTTGTTCTTTCATTTGAGATAAAGATTGAATGCAATTAGCTTGGCCTTGGAAAATCCTTTCACATAATATGAAGGCTCTCTGGAGTCTGCAGTTTCTAAGGCACATGAATGGTTAAGACGAGTCAGGCAGCCAAAGCAGGGCGGGAAAAAATTAAAGATTACATCTCAGTTTAAATGACCTTTCTAAACACAGGATTAAATAATAGGGAAACTGCAGTCATAACAGAGCTTCCGGAAGATGACAGTACAGTATGTTCATGAATATTACATGGATATATAGAAAGATAAACAAATAGATAGACGATGTCATGAAATGATGGACTTGTGAGGTTGGAAGGCACTTTAGATTACTTATGATACATAGTAAATACTAAGAAAATACTTGTTATACTGTATTAGGTTTTCATTTGCACCACTTTTGTGGATTATTGCTCTTTATTTCTTCTTATGGCTTTTTAAAATATTTATTGCAATAGCTTTTAAGGTATTGTAAGGGGTCATGATGCCTAACCATCCATCTGGTCCATGAATTTTCTCCCCTGCCAGGTGGATATCTAGTCCATGTTGGAAGCCTCCACTGGTGAGGACTTCTCTGGTCCTGCTGTAACCATGCCATACCTCTATCAAAAAGCCCTGTCTTTCTGTGACCAGAAGTCTAGATTCATCTATTGTGCTCGATTGCTACCCCTCAAAACTAAACAGAACAAACTAAATCCTTTCACCACCTGGTAATCCTCAACTATTTGAAGATGGTTACCTCACTCCTACCATGACCACTATCACCACTTTCAAGACTTATTAATCCCTTCAAATATTCCTCATGGGGATGGTATCCAGTCTTCTCACTATTCTCATGAGGCTTTGTAGTCACAATCCAATTTTCTATGTACCTCTAAAAATATAGACCTAACTACAGACCTTCAGGTAGACTCTTCCCACGTCAAAGACAATGTCAATTATCACTGCTCTTGCTCTAGGTGCTACTCCTTCCTTAAGTTAGTTAAGTTCTCATAGGCACTTTAGGTAGCTACTATCATTTGAGCAACATTTCTCCAACCTAGAATAACTGATGTTTATTTCATACTTTATGCTTTACAAATTGCTTTTCTCTCTCTCTCTCTCACTTGACCCTGATAGCAACTTATAATAAAGGTATTATTTTCATCATTTTCATATGATGAAACTAAGATTTTCAAAGGTTAGGCAATTTTTTCTAACCACATAAATAAGATGTGAAGCTAAGACCCAAACCAAGGTCCCCTGACAGTAAATCACGTGCCTTTGTGACTATATTACTCTGCTTTAGACTCTTTGATTCTGTTCTGCCAGTGTGGGAACCATGTCTTGCGACAGAACGAGAGCAGCATGGGAGGCCACATCATGTTGCTTCCTTTTCAGAGTAGTCACAAACCATCCTTTTATTTATACACTCCAGATTCTTGGCCATATTTGACTCAGTGGTCAGTTGGTTATGGTCTAATTCTTTAATTTTGAATTTAAAACTACATTTTCAATATTCCAGCCTTCTGACATCTTCCCTGTACTTAAAAATCAAAGAGATAACCAACTGTTACTCAAGGTCCTATTAAGTTCAGAGCTCATCATGTGATGTATTTGCTATTACTTAAGACCTCCGCAAATGTAATGATTTGCTATATGCTTCCATGCAAGACATGGATTTTTTAAAAAACTGAGAGGACTGGGCCGAGACCAGTGACTTAGGAAACTTAGAGACCTTTGTGACTTCCCTTCAACTCAGGAGCATGACACAACACCCTAGGAGGCACATCAGAGTCCCCATGGTGAGAAGCTAGAGAATGTGTAGATTTGAAAATGCATATTTAATACCATAATTTTATATTGAAAAACATTATTGGCCTCCCACAACAAGCTGCAAAAACTGTTTTCAAGTTTACTAATTATGGCCAAGGATTTTGAATGTTTAAGACATACTATTCTTTACTTCACAGTCACCTTCTCGGTGAGACTTTGCTTGGCCACACTATATAAAATTGCAACCTCCTGCACAAACAACTCAAACCCCTCTATCCTGCTGACATTTTAGGACTTACCTACATCTAACATATACGTATTTTATCTTTATCTTGTCTGTTTTCTGAATCTACCGCTGGAATGTCAGTTCCAAGAGGGCGGGGATTTTAACCCTTTTGTTCACTACCATATCCCTAGTGCCTATAACAGCTCCTGAAACATAATAGATGCTTAAAAAACACTTTCTTCATTTGGTGCTGTTGAATGAATGAACGAATGAAAGAAAGATTTTCAAATTATCCCCTGTCAAGGAAAGAAGTAGGGTTGGTGGTGGTGACTTGGTGAAGTCATGGGAAGTCCCTGTGACCACTGCTTCGTTACTTCCCAAATCAGCGCTTTGATGATCTATTCTACACTGTTGACCGGAAATTCAAACTGTGGTTCTCATATCTAGAAAGGGCACTTGACCAGTATCTCATGCACCCTATATTTCCCTTCCCAAACCACTCGGCATTGTGCCTCCCACTGACTGCACACTCCAAGAAGGTGAGGGCAGTGTCCCTCAGTTCCCTGGTACAGCCCCAGCATGGTGCCTGGGACCCAGTAAATGCTTAACAAATATTTGTACATTATAGCATTCATGAAACCACTTTCATGTTTTATTTTTTTAAATTAGAATGCTACTTGCTCATTTCCAATCCTCAAATAGCCCTAACAGTTGTTCATCAATTTTATTCTCTAGTTTTTATAGGATTCTAAGAGTTATTGGCCAGAATTGCTGAGCTAATTGAGAACACATAGGTCCTGCTTCTTCTACTTGGGCTTCAGTTTCCTCTTCATATTTTTTCTACCCAAACAGAAAAGACAAAAGGAAAATAACAGGTAAACTGTCCTTTATTTCTCCCTCACCTGTCTACAGTACATCCCTCACTACAAGCAGCAAGTTTGGCCTGCCTGGTTCTTCTGTTTCTCCCAACACTTTTTTAACTTCTTTTTCATGGTTGCTAGAATGTTCTGAAAGTCCCAGCTTATTTAGGTGTTAGTCTTTCTAAATCTATTATAAGCGCAAGCTACTTTCATGTTCCTTTTATTATATCCTCCACTTTTCCTTGTTTAGGCATAGTTTTTGTGTTGTGTTATGTTTGTTTGTTTTGGCTTTTTTAAAAAACCAGGTCACTAAACTGCTGTATTTCAAGTACTGTTCTTCCTCTGAGGATAAATGCAGCTGCACAGTAAAAATTACATTTATGAGGGCTACCTGGCTTTAAGCCATGTTCTACACTTCTTCAATTTACACAGTGCTTATTAGGCTCCTCAAATGTGGCAGGTAATTGAAATATTTTACATCAGAACCAATATTCTCAATAGAAATAAATAAAACAAGATATGCCATAAACAAAAACTTTCAAGAAGTTTGAAAAGGATATCAGTCAAAATTGGTTTGTTTGGCTTTTTTGCCATATTAACATAGAGAGAAAATGAAGTTTATTAACAAGTGGATATATAAAAAGAGTTATTCATGAAAATGTTTTAAAGTCACTGATAATAACCAATTATCATCTCTGTATGTTTTAAAGTCACTGATAATAACTAATTATCATCTCTGTATGTATTTCTTTTTAGGGTGGAGCTGGATCCTTATTGTGATGTTCCAAAATCAGGACATCCAAAATGGGGCAGAGTAGTGATACTGACTCTCTTTTTTTTTTTTGAGACAGAATCTCCTCTGTCACCTAGGCTGCAGTGCAGTGGCACGATCTCGGCTCACTACAACCTTTGCCTCCCAGGTTCAAGCGATTCTCCTGCCTCAGCCTCCCAAGTAGCTGGGATTACAGGCGCGTGCCACCATGCATGGCGAATTTTTTGTATTTTTAGTAGAGACAGGGTTTCACTGTGTTAGCCAGGATGGTCTCTATCTCCTGACCTCATGATCTGCCCACCTCCGCCTCCCATAGTGCTGCGATTACAGTCATGAGCCACCGCGCCCAGCTGATACTGACTCTTTCAAATGTATGTTTAATCTTTTAAATAGGATGTTCTCTACGACTACCAAATTATTCAAGATACATTTGCTAACACCCAGAGATAAAACTTACACATGATTTGTTTTTGGATTTGGACCTGTCCATATACATGTGCATGGCAGGTGGTCAGTGAGCCACCTCTCCACGTACAAGAATAGAAGACCATCAGTGAGTCACCTGTTCGTGTACAAGTGCATGGCACATCATCAGTGAGTCACCTGTCCACATACAAGTGCATGGCAGATCTTCAATGAATCACTTCCACCAAGGCTTCAACCGTCTTCCTGGAGGTCAGAGAGCACTGGACATTCTAGCACAGTCTCACATCAGTAGTCTGCCATTTCTCCTGCTCACATATCCCTAAAATAACTTAGAAAACTTATGAACCTCTTCACACTTTTTAAGTAGTAATCTGAAATTTTCATCATACATTTGAAAGCATATTTTTAATAGTAGGTAGAAAATCTTTAAAATTCAGAGTAAATAGTTCATTGCACAATGTGATAAAATAGGCTTTTGCTACCTTAGGCAATAATATACCAAATCCAAAAGAAATCATGTATAACTTTTATCCAAGGGTGTTGGCAAATGTGTCTTGAAAAATTTTGTAATCTGAGAAAACACTCCATATTAAAAATTAAATATACATTTTAAAGAGTCATAATTATTAACCTACACCATTTTGGAGGTTCTGAATTCAGAGCATCTCAATACAGATTCAGCTCTACCCTAAATGGAAATATGTACAAAACAGGGCAAGATAGAAAATCCTCACCAATTTGAGATACTTTAATTAGGCTTCTCTAAAACAATATTTCTATTTATGACTTTGTTTGGTCACAGAGGTGTTTACACTCTGGGACAATCCACCAGAATAAGATTCTACTTAGGGGTAAATATGAATACAGGTGAGTTCTCAGAGAGCATTAAAAAAATACAAATGGAAGACAAGCAAAGATCAGAAATTGATTAAAATCAATTTCTGCACACACGTACCACTTGGAAAGTCAACATACACCTTTAGCGGTACACACAGTTGAAAGGCTGGTGTCATGAGCTAGTTCTCAAACTGAGGAGTGTCCAGGGCCCAATGCCCTTTGTCATCCCACCCCATTCCTGGTACCTGAGAGCTGACGTTTCCAGTCTAAAAGATGACGAGAGTTCAGGCCTATGTACAACAAGTTCCCCTTTAAAAGGAAGCCAGTGAAGAGCCCAGAACTTAAAGTAAAATTTAAAAAAAAAAAGATTATACATATTATAAGAAAAAAAAGAGAGAGAGAGAAGACCAATTTTAATGGCTACCGCTGAAAGAGGTGGGCTGTCCCGAATCATTTATGTGAGAGAGAGATCTAGTGACCTCGTGACCTGAGCAGTTCAGATTTCATATACTCTGGCCCATTGTCCTCATGAGAAATTCTACACTTTTCATAAAGGTAACCCATCTTTTGAGTGAGTCATCACCTGTTCTCATAGATGTTTCATAGAAGATAATCTAGAGCTTTTTCACTTTAAGATGAGGGAAAAGAGTGACTTCTAGAAATTTTTTTTTTTTGAGGTCTGATATCACAGCACACCAAACCTCTTCATAGAAGTTTCTTAACCCTAAATGTGGGTGCATGTGTGTACATGTGTTGCTGTGCGTTGTGTCTGAGTGAGAGAGAATGAGAATAAATAAGACTCACAGAGACTTCTATGGTGAAGTTGGAGGTGACAGTGTACTGAGAAATAGTTAATGTGTCTGATTTTATAATAAAACATATTGGAAGAGAAGAGAAAATGATGAGATGCAGCTCTAAAGAGAAATGATACTGATGGAAGTAGTGAAGCAAGGTTTATATTAGGCCATATTTGCAACTTGAGGTACCTTCTTTTAAAATTATTGTAAAATGCAAACTTCTATAGGCAATGCAAAAATTATCCTTTCAAATCAAAAGCAGTGCTTTGGGAATCTGGAATCAAACCATTAGATTAAGCCTATAAAATCAGAGCACAAACAGTCAAAACCAAGATGCTGCATTTTCAGGAAAACTTGATTAAATGGGTGCAAACACATTTCAAATACCCAGGGATTCTCTGGAATGGGGTTCTAAACAAACTTCCTAGGAAATAATTACAGAACTGGAGGACTGAAACAAAGAAAAATGATTGCAATCCCTTCTTAAATCTTCACCTACAGAAACTACTGTTTTGTAGCCAGGCCAGTGAAGAACCAAGCTTCCTAGAAGTGTCGTGACTTACATACCAAAGATGTGCAACCCAACACATACCATCTTAAATATGAATCCTAAAAGAGACTGGAATAAAGCAGGGAAAGCCGAGCCTAAGAGCTATATGGCATTGGTCAGAATACTTACCATCTCTGGGCCTCAGCTTCCTCATCTGTAAAATCATATTATTCATTTCATAGGATGGTTGTGATGACTAGTTTAAATTACTCCACATGAAGCACTTAGTACAGTACGAATGGCATGAGTTAAGTATTCCATAATGGAAGCTATCATTATTATTATCATTATTCAAAAGACCTAATTTCAAATTCTGTCTTCTCTGCTGAGCAGCTGTATAACTTTGACCAAGTTACATAACATCCCTTGAACTTCTATTACATACCCTTTAAAAACTCCAGAGGTTTGCTCTGAAGATTAATGACATAAGAGAGTCTTAAGCATAGAGCCAGGCATATAGCAGGTGCTCAAAAACATCAGTTGCCTTCATATTCTAAGATAATTTTCAGTTATTTTGCTTTAGTGACCATTTCTTGTCTATAAACACATAATATTCAACCAAAAAAAATGGTAAGCTAATATCCCTTAGTTGAACACAAAAAGCACAAGCTTTAAAAGACAAACTGAATTCCATTCAAACTTAAAACTTCCATTTTTTTGAAAGATACCCATTAAGAAAATAAAAAGGCAAGCTACAGACTGAAAGAAAATATTTGCACTACATATACTTGGCAAAAGACTTGTATCCAGAATACATTTAAAAAAATAAAACCCTTCCAACTCAATAATAAAAACAACTCAATTTTTAAATTTTTTTAATAAATGGAACAGACACTATACAAAATAAACTACAGCAATGGTAAATAAGCACATGAAAAAAATGTTTAGTATCATTAATCAAGTTAAATCAAGTTTAACCTAAAGCTGCTTCCTTACATATTTTACGTTCAGCCTAAAGGTTTCTCTGTACATTGTGAACTATTACCTAAATGGAGGTATAAACACACTGTAACCTACTCTTGTGCCAATCACTGAGTTTTGGCCAATCAAAGGGGGCCAACTGTTCAAACTGTGGTCAAATAAGGCAAGCACCAAGCTATAACCAATTTGCCTGTTTCTATACCTCACCTCCATTTTCTGTATGCCCCTTTTCTTTTTCTGTCCATAAATCTTCCACCACGTAGCTGCACTGGAGTCTTTCTGAGCCTACTCTGATTCGAGAATCATTCTTTGCTCAATTAACTCTGTTAAGTTTAATTTGGCTAAGGACTTTCTCTTAAGTCATTAGGGAAATGCAAACTAAAACCTCATTAAAGGTGCCATTAAGCCACCAGAACAACTACAATTTTAAAAGACTGACAATACCAAATGTTATCAAGGATGTGGAACCACCAAAACTCTCATACACTGCTGCTGGGAAGGCAATATGGTAAAGCCACTAAAAGACAGCTGTAGAGTTTCTTCTAAAGTAAAGCATACACTTATGCTCTGATCAAGTAATTCTACTTTTAGTTACTTAGCCAAATAATTTTTTTAATTTGTAAACAATTGTTTATAATTGTTATTCCTAACAGCCAAAATGAAGAAAAATGCAAATGTCCATCAACAGGTAAGTGGATAAACAAATTGTGGTACATCAACGATGGAATACTATTCAGCAATGAAAAGGAACGAACTATTGATACATGCACCAAAATGGATGAGTCTTTGGAACAGTAAGCTGACCAAAGGAAGCCAGACATAAAAAGAGTAAATACTCTATGATTTCTTTTACAGAAAACGCTAGGAAAAAAACAAATTAAGCTTATGGTAATAGAAAGTAGGTCAGTGGCCTGGGCCTACACTGAGGGGACACGAGGGAAATCTTGGGATGGTAGAAGCATTCTGTGTCTTGATTGTGAGTGAACACATTTGTTAAAACTCATCAAACTGTGCAAGTAAAATCAAGGTATTCTGATTATATGTAATCAAGGGGGATTTTTTAAAGTCCACATGCCTTTATCCAAGATGCCAAAATCCAAAAGCTCTGAAAATGGAAAGGTTTTTGTAAATGCAAAACCTGAACTAGCCTAATGTGAAGTTATTCATAGTCAATCTGTTTGCTATTGAATGATAATATCCATGAATTAAACTGCAAATAATAAAAAAGTGGTTCCTCAGACCTTGCTTGGGGTATATATATTACGCCATAATAGATGTATGACTACATCTATCACTCAATTACCTTTCTAAAGCTTGGAATATTCTGAATTCCAAAACATACCTCACATGGGGGATTTGGATAAAGAGTTGTGGATTGCTTTTCTTATCATATAAAAAAGAAAGGAAGAAGAGAATAAAGCAAAAAGGAAGAGAGGAAGGGAGGGGAGGAGAGAGGTGGGGAGAGGAGAGAAGAGGAGGAGAGAGGGGAGAAAAAGGTGCTTTCTGAGTTCTCCTGGTGCCAGTACAAACCCTTCACAACCAATCTGCTCTCCTGAGTGTCTCCATCCTGGCCGTATGCCAGGAGGGAGTGACACCTGCTTTGGTCCCTGGTGAGAGCCATCAGATGGGTTGCCCCAGCCCTCCTCTCAATGCTCAAACCAGGAAAACTTTCTCTAATTGATCAGGTTTCTTTAGAAGATTCTGAGCATTCCCTTTTTAGAATTGGGTTCCAAGAGCAGGCAGGCTGGGCCCCTTTATCACGCCTATCTCAGAATTAAGAACCTGAGGGAAAAGAGGGGGAAACATGATGAAAGAAAAACTATTTTGAGAATTTGCCAACTGATGAGTTTTTTCACACCCCTCTCTTCCAGCCTTTCTACAGAGGGTTAGTTTGAATCTAAACACTTCAAAACTCTTTCTGTATCTATTTTCCCTCTGTCCCTACACCCCTCACCACAGAGCGATGGAGAAAGGATCCAAATTTCATTGCAGGACCTTGGAATTAATTTAAAGCAAATAGTTCCCCTAAAATGTTTCAATCCACAAAATGAGATTGTTTTTCAAGCTTTTATTTTACTTATTCTCTTTCCAACATGGTCTAGTTGCAGCCCCATGTGTAAACTATTGTGAACATATTAAATTAGAAACACATTTTTTATTGTTATCTTTACCTCTTTAACTTTTTGTCTTCCCTAAAATACCTTGTGATCTCTGTGGGACCACAACTGTGTCACATGAATTTTATGTTCCTTCTTTCTTAATCAACTATCGTTATAGAGCAGCAATTCTATGCAGAATAGAGAAAACTCAGTACTTTCCTGAAGAAAGGGTTAAATAGACAAATATCAGATCAGATTCCCCTAACACCTTTGGATTAATTGGATTTGAGGCTAAAAATAAATTACCCAGTAGGGTAAAATGAGGTAATATTGAAAGAATCCTTTGAAAAGGAACTATAAAAATGCAAGAGTTTCACCTTGAATAGCTAAGAACACCTTGCAAAGGGAGAAGAAAACAGGTATGTTTCTTCTTTTTTTTTTTTTTTTTTTTTTTTTGAGATAGAGTCTCACTCTGTCACCCAGGGTGGAGTGCAGTGGCACAATCTCAGCTCACTGCAACCTCCATCTCCTGGGTTCAAGCAATTCTCCTACCTCAGCCTCCCGAGTAGCTGGGATTACAGGTGCCCGCCACCATGCCCAGCTAATTTTTGCATTTTTAGTAGAGACAGGGTTTCACCACATTGGCCAGGCTGGTCTCAAACTCCTGACCTCAGATGATGTGCCCGCCTTGGCCTCCCAAAGTGTTGGGATTACAGGCGTAAGCCACTGCACCCAGCCACAGGTTATGTTTCTTAACCTGATGAGAACACTTCAGGATGCTGGACGTGTTATCCCCAAGAAAGTGATTAAGGGCAACAATATTATTGGCCCTTTGTGCTTATAGTATTGGGGAGGCAGATTGATACAACAGAAAAGTTCCTGCTCCTGAGGAATTTGCCATCTTCTAGCATTCTGCTGTAAGCCCAGAGTGGCCTTTCTTCCTATGTGATGCCCCAAACAAGTAAAAGAGTTGTATGTTGGGGGCAGGAGGGGATGGATTTTGTGGTCAAATCTGGAGGAAGAAATGCATGCTCTAGCTCCTTCTTGGAGATTTACTGTCACTGTTAGCATGCCAAAGGCTCTGAAAACTCCTACAACAAAGAAACCTGTTTACATCTATTTAAAGTATAATTTCCCAAATTTACTTGACCATGAAACTCTTTGTACATCTACTAATAGCTTACAGAACTAGGGTTCCTTGGAACAATATTTGGGAAACATTGTTCTAGAGTTATTATTTCCCATGTTGTGGTATTACTATTCAACAGATGAAAATAAATTTTCCAGGTTTGGTCCACAAGATCCACACAGAGAAGGTGCAAGATTTTGCTCTTCTAATCCCTGTGGGTTTTTAGGAGGAAGCTGCTTCCTAAAAAGTAGGCCATTCATCCCCCTAGCACTGTTTTTTCCTTTTTTAATAGTAATGATAGTTAACATTTATTGAGGGTTTATAGTGTGCCAGGCACTTTCTTAATCACTTTGCATGTGTCAACACTCACAGTAACCTTATTAGTTAAGTACCATTACTGTTATCCTCGTTTCACAGGTAAGGAAACTGAGACACAGAGAGATTGAGTAATGAGTCCACAGTCCACACAACAGAAAGCGGTGGAACTCTTGAAGCATGCTTGGTGGTGACTGATCTTGGCCGTGTCTGAGCACAGGCATCAGTACTGGTCTATGATGAGTCTCTTGCCACACTGAGCTCACCATGCCTGCAGTTGCAAGAATGTAGGATAGGGGTTATGTATTTGGGCTCTGGTGCTAAACTGCCTGACTTCAAAACTGCTCCACTGCACATCATCTGTGTGCCTCAGTTTCCTCATCTGTAATATGGAGGTAACGACAAGTGTCTGCCTTATTAGGTTTTGTATTTGTTAGGCAGATACTTTTGTCATTACCTCCATATTACATATGAGGAAACTGAGGTACACAGATGATGTGCAGCAGAGCACATCTCATTAAGGTAGAATAATTATAAAGTTAGTGGCACATCATTTCTTAATAAGTAAAAATAATTATAAGAATAAATCACAGATCCATATGTTTGGAGTTCTGAGTATACACATAAGGACCAATGTCACAGCGAGAAATGGAGCAGTGCTTTAGTAATGGCTGAGTAAGCACAAGATACCCACAGTGCCAGGTTCTCTGGGAAGAATAAGAGGCTGGAGAATAAGCCTAAGCTTGAAAACCACTGAAGAGCCCCCTCTTCCTTTTCTCATAGATCTAAAATAACTTAATCTATAGAGCAGATCGGTCTGTCTTAACTGTTGAGGCACAGACACACAGAGAGAGAGAGCGAGAAAGAGAGAGAGAGAGAGAGAGACTTAGCTAGACCTATGTAGGGGGCCAAATCCCATCAGGCCTATGTATGGAGGAGACAAGGCAAGAAAACTACCTCATAAGTATTAAAAAGATACCATATGGATCAAAAAAAAGGTAGACCAAGTGTATGCTCTGTCCCCAGGGTCCCCAGGGGTCTAGCCTAGGACTCATACTGTGGAATATTAACTATAAAAAAACAGTGCTGTCTTGCACACTAAATTTGGGAACATTCAACTTACAACCTATCTAAATAATCTATAAAATAATTTACCAAGTAAAAATATAGAACAATAAAAGTGATTCCATAGAGTACTTTTGAAAATTGGAAATGTCCCTGTATTAGTCCATTCTCACACTGCTATAAGGACATACCTGAGACTAGGTAATTTATAAAGGAAAGAGGTTTAATTGACTCACAGTTCAGCATGGCTGGGGAGGCCTCAGGAAACTTACAATCATGGCTGAAGGGGAAGCAAACACATCCTTCTTCACATGGTGGCAAGAGAGAGAAGAATGAGAGCCAAGTGAAGGCGGAAGCCCTTTATAAAACCATCAGAGTTGCCAAGTCCACATTATCAACACAGTTATGCCCATATTCATCACTGTCCTGGCAGTGTACAGAAAGCCCAGGTCAGGGAGGAGGAAGGGAAGGTGAGGAATTCCCAGAAGGTGAGTGTCTCTGGGTCTCCTGCTAATGCTGCTCCTGGTTTCCAGCTGTACTTCCACCAGGTAGGCAGCCAGCGCCATCCCTCACCCCCCTCCATTCCTCCCTGGACCCATCTTTCCTACTGTCCTGGTTGCTGCCTTCTTACATCATTTGAGGCGCTGCCTTCAGCTTTAATCCCTAGAGTTTACAGAAAGAACATGGTGCAGGGAGAACAGATCAAGGAGCAGAAGCATAAATATCTATGGCATGTTGGCAGAAGAATAACTGCCCATATCACTGGTAAAATCACCACCATTCCTCTTCTCCACATCCACAGCTGGTTTTCAAATTCTTTCATGCTCACTTATCTGTTCACTAAAAATTCCAACTCATAAATGGAGAATTGCTACATCTTCCCAGAACCAGTGGGTGGATTCTCAGGAATATTCCCCAAAATGACTAAGACTCCTCTTCAATAATGTGACAGGGTGGGGTTCTCCATGTGAGGACCTTGATCATTCTTTTCTTATTCATGCCAACAGATGCCTGAAAGAATCCCAGAATACAGAAAATTTGTGCCTTCATTTCCAAGAGTTACCATGGGGTCCCTCTACACATTTTCTGTCCCCAGAGTATAAGTGCTTAAATCCCTGATGTGTCAATAAGAGCAGCCAATGGTCGAGAATCAAGTCCATGGCCATCAGACCCCTATCACATACAAGGGGTCTGCCAGCCAGGATCCAACATAGCTCAGTCCTGCCTTGAGGCACTGACCAGGGCTTTGGGTTGCTTGTGACTAAGTAAAGCTGGCTTGGCAGATTGCATCTGAATGTGAGAAACTGGATACAACTGTCAAGTCAAGAAATGGAAATGGCTTTCACTAGGTCGTCCATGGATATTTAGGATAAGTCTCAGCCAAGCTGACTCTTGCCCCTTGAGTTGAAGCCCTTTCATTTCTCACATCCTCTGTGAAAGGTATTTTTGTTCAAATAGGCCTGCACATCTCAGGAAAGACCATTTGATTCTTTCAGTATAACTCATAGGAATTGTGCTTTGTTGTGCACCCCTCATGGGTAAGATGAAGCTCAGGACTTCCAGGGCAGCTGACTCTGGGGGCAGGAGGTGGGTCTACCCAGGGCTGGGAGGAGCCCTGACCCAAACTTATGACACTTTTCCTAAAGGCCAGACATGAGGGCAGTGAGAAGGCTATACCTCCACTGCAGCCATGATGGGTGCTGGAGCAAAGCCCTTCCCCACTGGGACCCTGAGGAGAGACAATTGCCATGTCACACTCAGCCACCAGCTTCTCACACCTTGCCAGGTCTGGGCTACATTCTCCAGCTCTCAGCTCACAAAGGCAGGTCTAAGAAGGCCCCAGGAGTGCTACACAGGACCAGTGCTGGCATGCACCACCTACTAGACCAGACCCAGTCACCTCCCCTCAAGTGATGCTAAAATGGTTTGCCCTGACCCTTCTAAATAATTTCAAGGTCCTTTGTCTTTCTTTTACAACATACACTTAGAGATTCTCCTGTGATACCCCCTCGCCTACTATGAAGTAGCTGGAGCTGCTCTCACTAAAAAAAGGAACAAACACAAAATTAATATCTGAAAGGCTTTCCCTTCCTATTCTAATGTACTATCTCATTATAAAAAGGTTTGTGTGCTTCTTCTAATTACATGTTCGAATAATTTTGACAGAGTAGACCAGCCATATGCATTTCTGTCCAACTTTCTGACAGACACAATTGCCTTCTTAATGACAAGTACAGTTTCATACTCACAGATATATCTGAAACCCCTAGCATCGTGACTAGCACAGATTAGGAGCTATGTAAATATTCTGCAAATGAATGAATTAGACGCTATTTCTTTTGATTTTACATTTTTTTTAATTCAGATTCTCTTTAGGATTGAGCACAAACTGCTTTGCCTAAACTTTTATATTTCTTTTGCCAAGGTTCATGCAGATCCTCTGAATATCTGATTTTGGATTGATGGTCTTCTGAATTCTATTAATATAGCATGTTAATTGCTGATGCCTGCCTTTTCCATAGCCATCACCTCTAATTAATCAATCTGCTCTATAGAATTGACCTCCTCAATAAGTCTCAAATCCATTCACTCCTTTCTTTCTGCTGTGTGACCACCATAGTCTAAACCTCTTCATTTCTTTTCCAGACTCTGCAGCAATCTCCTAACTCGTCTCTCTGCCTTCAGCATTACAATCTTGCTCAAATGCATATCCGGCCATGTCACACCTATGCTTAAAATCCTTCAACAACAGACACATACTGGGGTTCTGGAACATGGGGATCTGAGCAAAGTGCCCTTCTCAGCACTCCCAGAATGATCTACTTGCTTCTCCAGCATCTGGCAGGTTCTGAGATCTGTGAGTAAGACCTTGGGTTCTATAAAGTTCTTCACACAGAGCTGGTGTGGAATTCCCTCCCTTTAGGGCTAGACAGTCAACAGCAGACCAGAGGTGATAGCCAGGACCTGTAGATGTAGATATGCAGGTGAAAGGACTTGTCAGTCAGGGGTTTGTGGATCCCAACTTTGCCTCCATTTCCTCAAAGTTAACATCAACCTTGTATAAGTATGTCAGATCTTGCAGACCCTTCCAAAGCCAAGAGAGGTAGAACAGGTGAATAAACTTTCCCTTCTCCTAAGCTGAGTGATTAAAGGGAGATCATAGGAGTTTCTTCAGGGATCTCAGCAGAATGCTAACATCCTGCCTTTACACTACAGGCCCACAGACCATAAACCCATTTTGCTTCTTACCTCCTGTAGGATTCCCATCATTAAGGACACTTCAACAACCAGACTTGAGTCTTAAAGAGTGGACAGGGAAAACTAACAGTCCATCTAAGAGGTCCCAGCAAACCAGAGAAAGGAAGATCAGGTAGAACACTCAAAATGAGTTCTCATGAAACAGAACTGCCAAAGGAAATAGGCAGGAGCCTGAATAGAAAATAAGGTTGCTAAGCTGTTCTAAAAGCAGTTTTAAAATACTTTACTTGCATAAAAATATAATTTTTCTTTGAAAATTCAGTAAATTAAAGATGATTATTATTAAGGCTCTAATTAGTGCTCTGGAAGATCAAATGCAAGAAATACTTCAAAGTACTGAACAAAAAAAAGAAATTTAAAGGATCCAGAAAAAAAGAGAACTAGAGGGATCAGTAAGAGTTAATATAAAAATAATAGGTGTTGCTAAAAGAGAAAACAGAACAGGTGAAGAAAAGGTAATAATTCAATAAAGGATAAAGAAAAGTTCCCTGAACTGAAGAAGGATCTGAGTTCTCAGATAGGAAGGGTTTGTATAGAGTTTCAGCTGGATTGACAAGAAGAACCACATACAGGCAAGTTGAAATTCTTGAACTTTAAAGAGAAAGAGAAAATTTCACAAGCATACACATAGTAAAAACCAACCCATCAGAGATTATGGGGGGAAAAAATCTGACTTCTCACCCACAACCCAGAGAGCTAGGAGTCAGGGGAAAGTATCTACAGATAATTGAATGGGAAGGACTATGAACTAAGATACTCAGCCAAGATACTATTCCCTTGTCAGATGAATGAAAAAATACTACAACACAGGAAAGAACAAAAAAATATGTTACTCAAGTGTTCCCTCTGAGGAAAATATCTGAGGAAAAAATTTAAAAAAAACACTAAATTAACCAGAACAGACACTTGAAGATGGAAGAACATAAAAAGAAATAAATTACTGAGCTGTGATCCTTAACATGTGTGTACACTTAAACCTTAATGAAAATACATAGTCTATTTCTGTAGTATATAGGTGGTATGGTTTAAATGTGTTCCCCAAATTTCATGTGTCGGAAACATATGAAACATTCCCAAATTCATATGTTGATTGAGGGTAGGGACTTTGAAAGGTAATTAGGACTAGATAAGGTCATCAGGGTGGGGCCCCCTTGGTGGGAGACCTGAGCTAGCATGCTTGCTCCATTTTGCCAAGTGATCTCCCTGCCGTGTCATGATGCAACAGGAAGTCTCCCACCAGATGCTGGTGCCATGCTCTTGGACTTCCCAGCCTTCAGAACTATGAGCTAAATAAACCTCTATTCTTTTGTGGTATTTAGTTATAGCAACACAAGACAGACTAAGACAATAGTGTGTAATTTATTTTATATAAGGACTGTTGAAATAAGTGGGAAATATTGTAAGAAAAAACACTATCTCAACAAAAATGTAGGAGTTGGGGGTGGAAGGTAGAGAGAGGAGGAAGTCAAACATGCTCTCAAGAGTGTAGAGAGAAGAGGAATGGTAAAGGGAAATTAAAGCTATTCTACAAGGAGGAAAATGGAATGAACAGTACCTCTGGTAGCCATGGAGGTGCCACGTCTTCCTTCGAGAGAAAACAGCCATGAAGAAAACAATGCTACCAGCCTCCAGAGACTGGGAAAAAAAGTGATTTCTCTTAATGCTAATGATATGACTAAATATTTAAAACAGAAATAAGACAATATGGAAAGGAAATGAATGAATACAAGCTGAATATTTTTAAAATTATAGCCCTACTTTATTCTAGAACAATCCCCTGGAAATGAAATGAGGGAAATATTTTAAGAGGAAAAATAACTATGAAATACTTAGGAATAAATTTGGCAAGAAATGCACAAGAACTATATAAAGAATAAATAGTATTAAAAACAAACAAGAGAGCCACTCTCCTGTTAAGAAGACTACGTTATTTCTCCCAAAATAAATATGAAGGCTATGGGGACAGAATACTCTCATACACTGCTGGTGGAAGGACAAGGTTTCCTAGCATTTGTGGGGAGAAACCTTACAGCATACATTAAAAGTAACCGTATCCTTCAACTGAGTAATTTCAGTCCTGGAAATAAAAGCATTAACACTTATGAACATACATACAAGAATGCTTATCATAGCATGGTTAGGAGTCACAAAAAGCTTCATAAACAAAATAAATATTCATAAAAGGGAAACGGGCTAAATACACTGTGATATATCTGCACCATAAAACAGTATAAGGCTACTTAAGAGAATGAAAAAGAGCTATGTCAAGTGACTTGGAGAGGGTTCTACACAGTATTGTTGAGTCAGAAAAGCAAAATGCAGGAAAATGGCCGGTCGCGGTGGCTCACGCCTGTAATCCCAGCACTTTGGGAGGCCGAGGTGGGCGGATCACGAGGTCAGGAGATCGAGACCATCCTGGCTAACATGGTGAAATCCCGTCTCTACTAAAAATATAAAAAAAATTAGCAGGGTGCAGTGGCGCACGTCTGTAGTCCCAGCTACTCGGGAGGCTGAGGCAGGAGAATGGCGTGAACCCAGGAGGCGGAGCTTGCAGTGAGCCGAGATTGAGCCACTGCACTCCAGCCTGGGCAACAGGGCGAGACTCCGTCACAAAAAAAAAAAAAAAAAAAAAAAAAAAAAAGAGAGAGACAAGAAAAAATCACTACCTATCCCATTCAAAAATGTCTCTGTGTGTATATATAAACTATTTGTATTTCCTTGACTCTGAAATGCTTATTGTTTTCACATTGTAATTTTTCTGATATCAAGATGCCTCTTTGTCACCATCTGCCATGTGTCAGTCATTGCGGCACCCTCCTTGCCTACACATGCACATCAAAGCATGTGCACCCAACTGCAGGAGGATTGGAGGCTTGCGGGAATACCACAGAGGTAACAGTGGGGCACTGTCACAGGCAATAATGCATCACGGGAGCTCTGGATGCACAGAGGATGATGGGGTGTGGAAAAGCACATACCCCAAAGCCTAGGAATTGAAAAGGGATTCAGAAGAGTCAGACTCCAAAGGCAACGTTTTTAAAATATCTCACCCAACTAATGTCACTAATAGTTTTCTTCTCATGTGTGCAAAGGAATGATGTCTAAATAGATCTAAAAGGACTAATTTAATAAGCTTAAAATAAAAATGACAAGTCAGAACTTGAAGCCAAATACCAAAGATGACTGACTACATGTCAAAAGGAAAATGCACCAAGTTATTTTAGGTCCTGACACTTCAAGGTAAGGAATGGTGTCTTAGCACTCCCAAATTTTACGTGATTTTTCATTGATCATCTTTCCCATTTTCTAGACATGCTTTGGGTCATAGTGTGAATGACAGCATTTTTTCTTTCTACATAGAACATAAAATCACTGTCTTTCATTAATGGCATCTTAGGTTAAGTGAAATATGAAGTATAGGTATATATATTAATATTTGTATAGGATTATACAATCAAGAAGAAAATTATGGATGCACAAGATCTAGGATACTAATATGGGTGTGTTAGTTTGCTCAGGCTGCCATAACAAAATAACACAGGCTGGGTGGCTTACACAGCAGGAACTTATTTTTTCACAATTCCGGAGGATTGAAGTCCAAGATCAAGGTGTGAGTAGATTTGGTTTCTCCTGAGGCTCTTTCCTTGTTTGGTTTGCAGATAGCTGCCTTCTCGTTGAGCGCTCACACTGTCTTTACTCTTTCCCATCATCCCTGGTGCCTCTCCCCCTTCTTACAAGGATACCAGTCATACTGGATTAGGGCCTCTCCCTTAGGATGTAATTTAATCTTAATTGCCTCTTTAAAGGCCCTAGGTCCAAATGCAGTCACATTCTAAGGCACTGGGGGTTAGAGTTTCAACCCGTAAATTTGGCTGTGGGTGAGGGTACAATTCAGTCCTTAACAATGGATTCCTTGGGGAGAGTTTGGGGAAAGAGAAGAAGAGAAACCAAGCAATAAGACAAACAGAAAAGGACAACACACACATCAAAGGCATGCATATATGGGCACTTACATAAAATTACGTATATATGTAGGTAAATATATAAGGATGCAAATATAAAATAATTATTTTAAAAACATATATTTAATGGTTTCTCATTGTCTTTAGGATCAAGTCCAAACTATAACATGGTTTACGTCCTTCTAGGAGCAAGTCTCTGTCTCTCTCCCCAGTCTCCTCTGTCTCTTGCATTCCTTCCTCACTCTCTCTGTACTAGAAACCCCAGATTTCTTTCACTTTTTCAGAAACTCCTACCTTCATTCATTGTCCATTCTCCCCTGAATACATTTCTCCAAACTGCCCGTGTATGCTTCATTTAGTTTTCCAGTCTCAGCTTAAATTTTATTTCCTTAACGAGGTCTTCCCTACCCCAGAGCAGGTTTTTCAGAGTGGTCCAAACTTCAACAGAATTACCTGGATTCTCTCATTTAAAATGCAGACACCTTGTTTTCACTCTAAAGCTATTGAATCTGACTACTATTGATGGAAGGAGAGGAGGGAAGAGAGAAAGTGAGAATTCTTCTGCACCCTAAAGTGTGTGAATCCATGCCATGGACTAGTTAATTCCCCTAGCTATACTCTCCCACATCACTTTGAAATTTCTCTTTTAAGATCCATCAGAAGTGTTATCGTTTATTTAATGCAAAGATTGGCAAACATTCTCTATATAGAGCCAAATAGAAAATGTTTCACTCTTTGCAGGCCCAAAGGCAAAATCAAGAATATTATGTAGATACTCATATAACAAGATTGAAAACAAATTTCTACAAACTTTTTATTAACAAAATTCAAAATGCAATGAAATACAGTATTTTGTAATTCAAATCTACTAAGGAGAAGAATAGAATTTGGGGGGAAGGACAACATTTCCCTTCACTGGGGTCAAAGTTAGTGTTTCCTAACATTATAGTAGAAACATGACCTCATCCTTCTACAAAGCTTTCCCTTGCTTCCCTGCAACACAGTGCACTGCATTATTTGAAAGGCCATAAGTCAACATCACTTTGAAAAAAATGTGATACAGAGCACCTTTGTAGATTGTCATATACATGCACATACACATAAACTCTGCCAATGATGAACACAAACTCCAATGAGCCACTCAAACCAGCCTCTAGAATTCCATTGCTACTTTACTCGTAATGCAGTCTCTACTCTGGTAGTCAATTAACTTGTCTATCTCTTATGGGGTAAAACAAAGGAAACTGCCAGTTATAGCTGATATATTTTAAAGTCAGCTTTCCAGATGGAATAGCCACCCTTTAAGAGTTGGAACTTGAAGCCAAATACAAATGATGACTGACTACATGTCAAAAGGAAAATGCACAAACTTATTTTAGGTCCTGACACTTCGAGGTAAGGAAAGGTGTCTTAGCACTCCCAAATTTTACATGATTTTTCTTTGATTGTCTTTCCCATTTTCTAGACAAAGAGAGGCATGGCAAAGTCAAAGTTGCATTAAAAGAAAACATGAGTTCATAGAATAGAAAAAACTGTCCTAACTGTGATTCAACATTCAGAAGCTTCCTGCATAGGAAAAGAAACTATCATCAGAGTGAAAGGCAACCTACAGAATGGGAGAAAATTTTTGCAATCTATTCATCTGACAAAGGGCTAGTATCCAGGATCTACAAGGAACTTAAATAAATTTACAAGAAAAAAAAACCCCATCAAAAAGTGGGCAAAGGATATGAACAGACACTTCTCAAAAGAAGATTTTTATGCGGCCAACAAACATATGAAAAAAGCTCATCACCAATGGTCATTAGAAAAATGCAAATAAAAACCACAACGAGATACCATCTCAGGCCAATAGAATGCAGATCATTAAAAAGTCAGGAAACAACAGATGCTGGAGAGGATGTGGAGAAACAAGAATGCTTTTGCGCTTTCGGTGGGAGTGTAAATTAGTTCAACCATTGTGGAAGACAGTGTGGCAATTCCTCAAGGATCTAGAACTAGAAATACCATTTGACCCAGCAATCCCGTTTCTGGGTATATGCCCAAATGATTATAAATCATTCTACTATTAAGACACATGCCCACATATGTTTATTACAGGACTATTCACAATAGAAAAGACTTGGAACCAACCCAAATGCCATCAGTGATAGACTGGATAAAGAAAATGTGCCACATATACACCATGGAATACTACACAGCCATAAAAAAGGATGAGTTCATGTCCTTTGCAGGAACATGGATGAAGCTGGAAGCCATCATTCTCAGCAAACTAACACAGGAACAGAAAACCAAACACTGCATGTTCTCACTCATCAGTGGGAGTTGAACAATGAGAATACATGGACACAGGGAGGGGAACATCACACACTGGGGCCTGTCAGGGGGTGGGTAGGCTAGGGGAGGGATAGCATTAGGAGAAATACCTAATGTAGATGACGGGTTGATGCGTTCAGAAAACCACCATGGCATGTGTATACCTAGGTAATAAACTTGCACATTCTGCACATGTATCCCAGAACTTAAAGTATAAAAAAAAATTCAAAGGTTCACCAAAAAAAATGCATATATATACATATGATACATAAAAGAATTTGCACAGTAAAGAAAAAACACACACCACCATAATATGTAACTAAAAACACAAAGGACAAAAAAATTGCAATTTATGTAGAGAGAACTTTTAAAAGTGGAGAAGAAAAAGATTAAACACCTCATAAAAATTTTACTAGCAATATAAATGGACAATTCACAGGAAAGGAAATACAAATGACTGTTAACCATATTTTTAAAAAAACACTCAAGTTCTTTTATAATAAGAGAAATGCAAATTAAAACTACAATGAGATACAATTTCTCACCTATCATATTGGCAAAAATTCAAAACTTTGACATCATACTCTGTTGGCAAGACTTTGGGGAAAAGACACCCTCATAATTTGATGATGTGATGCAAAATGGTACAACCCCCATGAAGGGGAATTTGGCAGTTTCTAGCAAAATGTCAAACGTATTTACCCTTTGACCCAGCCATCCCACTTCTAGGAATCTCTCCCACAGAAATACTGGCAAAGATACAAAAAAGGCACATGCGTAGGCTATTTATTTCAGCACTATTTGAAATAGTTAAAAGCTGGAAGCAACCCAAAGGTCCATCAATAGAGAGCCAGTAGAATTAACCACAGTATGTATATCCACCCAAAGGGGTACTATGTAGCTAGTCTTCAAAACAAAATGAGGACTCTTTCTATATACTACACAGATTCCCAAACTTCCTCACTTCATAACGCCCTTAGTGTCTCAGTAACTTTTTCATGGTTCCCTAGGCTGAAGGAAATGCCTAACAGTTTTACTTATTAATGGAATTAAACAATTCCATGTATTAATATTTGAATTTGTTTGGTCCTGGAGTAGGCTGGAGGAGACAGGATAGAAGTTAAAATTCTTGGAGCAGAGGTGGGGATGGTTAATGGGTGCAAAAAAGACAGGGAGGGGTCATCAAGACAACAAGGGGATGTTGGGACATGTTGATTCTGAGGATCCAGTGGAGTTGACAATATCCTGTAGAAAGTTGTGTGTCCCTCTCTAAAGTTCAGGGGGAGACTTGGTCTGAAGGTGAAGCTATAGGTGTGTGAGATTGCTCCTGGAGGACTACAAAGTGAGAAAGGAGGATGACTGTAATAGGCTGTCCTTGCATTGCTATATGGAAATACCTGAGATTGAGTAATTTATAAACAAAAGAGGTTTGATTGGCTCTCAGTTCTGCAGGCCATACAGGAAGCATGGCACCAGGGAGCTGCCCAGCTTCTGGTGAGGCCTCAGAAAGCTTACAATCATGGCAAAAGGTAAAGTGGGGGCCAACATATCACATGGCAAGAGGCAGAACAAGAGAGACAGAAGGGGGACATCCCAGACTTTTAAACAACCAGATCTCGCATAAAATAACTATGCAAGAACCTGGCCGGGCACGGTGGCTCACGCCTGTAATCGTGGCACTTTGGGAGGCCGAGGCAGGCGGATCACCTGAGGTCAGGAGTTCAAGACCAGCCTGGCCAACATGGTGAAACCCCGTCTCTACTAAAAACACAAAAATTATTGAGGCATGTTGGCAGGCACCTGTAATCCCAGCTACTCAAGAGGCTGAGGCGAGAGAATCACTTGAACCCGGGAGATGGAGGTCACGGTGAGCCAAGATCACACCATTGCACTCCAGCCTGGGTGACAAGAGCAAGATTCCATCTCTAAATAAATAAATAAATAAATAAATAAATAAGTGCAAGAATTCACTTATCACAAACGGATGGTGCTAAACCATTCATGAGAAACCCACCTCCATGATCCAATCACCTCCCACCAGGCCCCACCTCCAACACTGAAGGTTATAATTCAACATGAAATTTAGAGGGGACAATATCCAAACTATATCAATGACCAAGGACAAAACCTGGAGAAATCATTTATCCACTCAATAATTCCTTTTCTTGATAAAGGCAGGGCTCACGGGAAGGGAGGACCTATTGAAATACCCTGGGCTAATCCAGCCCTCCTGCCTCCTGACTTCTGAGAGCAGAAGAGGGCAGAGGGTGAGGGGCTGGGAAAGTTCACTAACAGGTTACATGGTCAGAGAAGGAAAGGAGAACCAGAGAAGAATGGTGCCAAAGAAAGTAAAGGAAAAGATGGTATCACAAAAAGGTGAACAGTTTCTAGTGACAGAGAGAGAGCAAGTAAGATTAAGACCGAAAAGGGTCTTCAGGGTTGGCAAATAGTGAATGTAGTCAAGGTGGATTTGGTGCAGAGATGAGGGCAGAAGGAAAAGATGGAGAGGAGCAGCCTCTATTGTGGAGGGAAATGGCTAGAAGAAGAGCAGATGATATCAACATGGCATGGGGAATAGGCAGAAAGTACATCCTGAATGGAGAAAAGGACTTTACCTGAAAGCAGAGCTTTAAATCATGCTGCTATAAAGACACATGCACACGTATGTTTATTGCGGCACTATTCACAATAGCAAAGACTTGGAACCAACCCAAATGTCCAACAATGATAGACTGGATTAAGAAAATGTGGCACATATACACCATGGAATACTATGCAGCCATGAAAATGATGAGTTCATGTCCTTTGCAGGGACATAGATGAAATTGGAAATCATCATTCTCAGTAAACTATCGCAAGGACAAAAAACCTAACACCACATGTTCTCACTCATAGGTGGGAATTGAACAATGAGAACACATGGACACAGGAAGGGGAACATCACACTCTGGGGACTGTTGTGGGGTGGGGGGAGCAGGGAGGGATAGCATTAGGAGATATACCTAATGCTAAATGACGAGTTAATGGGTGCAGCACACCAGCATGGCACATGTATACATATGTAACTAACCTACACATTGTGCACATGTACCCTAAAACTTAAAGTATAATAATAATAATAAAAAAAAAGAAAAACAGGCCTGCAGTCCCTTATCCAAAACCTTGGAGCCAGATGTGTTTCTGGATTCAGAATTTTTCAGATTTTAGAGAAGTTAATAATGGAACACATACAGTCAATACATAACACCTGGAAAGCACTCCATAATGAAACACACATATTTCTACAAAGAAATATATGGATATTAACAGCAAGTATAACAAATACCTGCACATCAACTTAAGTTTTTGTTACCAAATGGGACAGGAAAAACTTTCAGCTCTCAATGCATTTCTTTATTTCAAAATTGGAGGTAAGAAACTGGGTTTGTAGCAGCAAAACGCTAAGCACAGATCTCTAACAGGTTTCTACTGAGCAGATGGTGAAAAGAACATTCACAGAGAAGATTAAGATCAAGGACCAAGCATCCTTGTCCTCTTTCAGGACAGAACAGAACTTTTAGGAGAAGGAACAGCAGAGTAAAGGAGGACGGGAGAAGCCCTGGACAGTATGAGGAGAAAAGGACTCTGAGTAGAGGCTTTCCTTCTGGGGCAAGGGCTGAGATTCCAAGGATGTGGGGTCACAGTTGAATCGACTATGGCTTGAGCAGATTGAGTCCCCAGAAGTGTCAGAAGGATAATGAGATTAAGACTGTATCCTGGCCAGGACCAGTGGCTCACACCTGTAATCCCAGCACTTTGGGAGGCCAAGGCGGGTGGATCATGAGGTTAGGAGTTCAAGACCAGCCTGGCCAAGATGGTGAAACCCCGTCTCTACTAAAAATACAAAATTAGCCAGGCATGGTGGCGGGTATCTGTAATCCCAGCTACTCAAGAGGCTGAGGGAAGGAACTGCTTGAACCCAGGAGGCAGAAATTGAGTGAGCCAAGATCCCGCCACTGCATTCCAGCCTGGGCAACAGAGCAAAACTCCGTCTCCAAAACAAAAAAAAAAAAAACAAAAAAACAGCATCCTTTCTTACTTTCTAAATGGGAAGCTGCTGAGAAGCTCTTCTGGAGTCTTCTGAACAGAAGTCCTACCAAAGCAGTGAGGGGTTGAGGAAGGCTTTCCAAATGCACCCTCTCTGTGGAATCACAGCTTCTAGGGATGGTCGGGGGCATGAGGCTTCATGTGGACAGTACAGAACCTCTACCACCATGCTGAGAGAAAAATCTTATCTCACACACATAACACCCAAGGCTTGGAACCCTGAAATTTAGGTGACTGCAGTCTCAGAGTCCTGCTATCCCTTTCCCGGGGAACCTGTATGTAGAAAAAGGATTCCTAAGTCTCCTGCCTTCCTCTCTAAAGAAGGTTATTCCTGAGAAGCAGAAGGTAATGTTTTTTGTTTGTTTGTTTGTTTGTTTGTTTGTTTGTTTTTGAGACGGAGTCTCACTCTGTCACCCAGGCTGGAGTGCAGTGGCGCAATCTCGGCTCACTGCAACATCCGCCTCCTGGGTTCAAGTGATTCTTCTGCCTCAGCCTCCCGAGTAGATGGGACTACAGGCATGCACCACCACACCCAGCTAATTTTTTTATTTTTAGTAGAGACAGGGTTTCACCATGTTAGCCAGGATGGTCTTGATCTCTTGACCTTGTGATCCTCCTGCCTCGGCCTCCCAAAGTGCTGGGATTACAGGTGTGAGCCACTGCGCCTGGCTGGAAATGCTCTTAATGTACTTGGAACATCACAGACAAAAGGAATGCCTTAAAGTAGACATGTAATTTGACAGGCCTCTGGAATGTCTTTTTTGTTCCACACATCCTAGGTTTAACAGTAGTTATAGAGATTACATTTGGCTTGGTCTAATAATACTGAATACACCCCTATCAGGCTTGAAAGACTCTTCAGCCTCAGCCAAAGTTTTTTCTTTAATACTCACGTACAATGAACTCCAGTGACAGTAAGTTCCTGGCCACAGAGGCATGACAGGAGGAGAGGTGAGAGATCATGGATACCAGAGGATTTTTGCAAGTGTTTGAAGGCAGAACCAGACCCCCAAGTACTGTCATTCCTGCCCTGTGCACTTCAGCAGAGTGGCAGAGATTACCAAAACATCACATTAAACCATTCAGCTCCCTTTCAAAAAAGTCACGGATGGAGCGAGGGGAACACCAGGCTACAGTGTGGGGCTGTCAGGACGCCGCAGGCCTGCGGTCCCCAGGGAAAGCAGCGGGTTTAGGAACACCTGAGAGCAGGCGTGTGAGCTGGTGTTTAAGCAGTTCCAACATATCATCAAAAGCTTCAGCCAAGTTAATGAGAACCAGAGCTCCAAACCAAAATGCTTATTTTGAAAATACCTATTTTTCAAAGATTTTGCATTTTAAATTAAACCAGATGAGTAATTGTATCCTAGCTTCGGAGTACATTCTGGAAAAGAAAATTCTTGTCCCCTAACTTGGGAAAGAACATCATGATTTTGCAAAAGGAAAGCAGTTATTGAGAAGGGGTTAGAGCCTGGGGCTGCCCAAGCCCAGGCTACAGCAGCTGCCAGGTGACCGTGGCCACACAGAGAAGCAAAGGTTCTTGTGAAGTTGCCAGACTGCTACTTCTCCCTCCCCCAGAAAGCCAAGTTCACCTTGCAGGCTGACCTACCTCCACCTTGCTTCTATAGAAGGTGAGAACTTGTCTTAAGTTAGTGTATTTAAGGCATTTGAAATTCATGGAGTGAAAAGAATGGTGTTAAAGTGCAGACATTGTTTGATAGCTCCTAAATGGGACAGATCTGTTTTATCGGAGTAAGAAGGTATTTGTTATTTATCTCTTTTTATTTTTCCTTTATTTAGTTTGTGCTTGTTTGTTTTGTTTTGTCCTGGCGGTTATCTAATCTTTCTGATTTTTATTTCCAGGATTCATATATTGCTCTACACAGGTATTTCCAGAAAACCTGTCTGAGGTTTAACTAACAATAGGCCCACAGACTACAAATTTTCACAGACCTAATGCTATTGCTCCTCCTTCTTTAACTCGGTGACATTGTTCCCAGAACTATTTAGTTCTATAATCAATACTTTCTTGTCTTTAAAATCAATTAAGGGGCCTTTAATAAAACTTGCCTATTCTGAAAAGGGCATTTACATACCCCCTTACCCAATTAAACCGTTAAATAAGGTGAAGATGGGAGGATACAGAGAAAGAACACAAGGAAACAGATGAGAAGTAGAGGGGTTCAACAAGGTCAAGCAGGGAGTTGTGAGTTCAAATCCTCCTTCTGCCACTGGACCATGTGGCCACTTGCCAACCCTGTGAATAGAAATTAATATGTACGGAGCTTGACCATGCACCAGGCCCTCCCCTCAGGCATCCTCTCATCTAATTTTCACACATAAAACCCATTTTCTTTTTTTTTTTTCTTCAACTTTTAAGTTCAGGGGTGCATGTGCAGGATGTGCAGGATTGTTACCTAGGTAAACGTGTGCCATGGTGCTTTGCTGCATAGATCATCCCATCACCTAGGTATTAAGCCCAGCATGCACTAGATATTCTTCCTGATGCTCTCCCTCCTCCCCCCACAGGCCCCAGTGTGTGATGTTCCCCCCATGTGTCCATGTGTTCTCATTGTTCAGCTCCCACTTATAAGTGAGAACATGCAGTGTTTGAAAACTCATTTTCATGACAAGGAAATTGAGACACCAAGAAGCTAATTTGACTTGACCAATGTCTCAGAACTAGAAAGTGGAAGAATAGGGACTCAAACCAGGTCTGTTAAACTCCAAAGCCTCTTAAGACTCAAATTGGCAAAGTGAAAATTCTGACAAACTAGGCCCCAGAATTAAAGAAATGGTTGGAGTTAATTGATTTGTAGCCAGCAGTGATAGGAGAGAAGGAGCAGGGCATCTGTTTGTAAATTCAGTCTTCTCCCCTTACTAGTGATATGACCTTGGATGAGCTATTTAAACTGTGCTTCAGTTTCCTCAATTGAAAAATGAAACTAATAAAAATTGCACCTCTTAGTCTCATTGTCAAGATTATCCGAGAAAATCTATTCCACAGAATCTCAGTAAATGTTGCTTGGTTAAGGAAGTTACTCAAAAGGAAGCATAACATAGCATCTAAGTGCATGCCCTCTGACTCATTCTACCAGGTCCAAACCCCAGCTTTCCCAGATAGCATCAACTTGAGCTAGTCTCTTTGGCTCTTGGTAAAATGAAGGCAATAACAGGATTGTTGTGAAAACTCATGGAAGGTCTTAAAACAGTACCTGACATATAGTAAGTATAATATGAATGTTACTATAATTATGGTCAATATGAGTGAAAGTAATAGATTCCTTCAGCATGCTAAGCAGTTGTACCATCACATGCTTGGAGAAGTGGAAGAACACAGGATTGCTGCAGAAATAAAAAAGAAGTTTAGTCTATAGTTTTTACTAAACAGCTCAAGCTAAAAACTTAATACTTGGAGATATAACTATATAGTTATGATTCAGTGGTTGTCAATAGTAAATTATTTATGAAATAGATCAAAGACACTGATTTGATTTTTCTACACATATTGTGTTCCAGGTACTATGCTTGGACTGAAAATGCAAAAATGAATGAGGCAGATTCCTGACTTTGAGAAGCATATTGTCTATGGGTGAAACAGGCATGAAAACAAATCACCCTAATATAGGTACTAAACGCTACATCGAGGTTAAGAGTAAAGTGCTAAGGAAACATGACATCAGATGGTTTTATGTTACTTGGTGATATAACCATGAACACGGATTATCACCTTCTCACTATAAACCACAAAGCAAGACTATCTGAGATCCTTGTTGGTGAGTGAGACACCAACTTCCGTATAACTTGTTCCCCAAACATCAAATAGTCAAACAAATTCTAAGTCAATTTGAGGGGGTGGTTCCTGGCTAATTTAAAGCCTGAACTAAACAAATGCATGTCTCCTAAATACCCATACCAGGCATTAATCGGCCAGAGTTCCAGAAGTTTCAAGCTATGATGACAAAGACGTATACTTGGGGTGGGCAAGGAAAGAGCAGGCAAGAACCCCAACAGGGGGGCCTAGATATACTTTCAGAGCTAGCAGGAAATGATTATCAAAGCAACCAAACTGTAGGTATTCTGGCAAAATTATGGTGGTGATGGTAACTAAACGACATCTCTAATTGCACCATCAACCCCAGAAGTATAGCAAGACTGAACTGGGCTCACAGCTGGGAGAAAGTAGCCATGATGTGCTGGGTTCAGTTCAAGATTATAAATGGCAGCACCCAACAGAGGCAGCAACACATGATCCTTCCAAGTTGGTGAGAACCAGCCAGGCGCCCAAAGGGTCTCCATCTTCAGGAAGTAGAGCATTTGGTACAGGACAGTTTGTGATACTTCTTTTGAGCAATTTGCTTGCTGGTGACCTCTACACTTATTGGTCATGCTGCATATAGGGAGAAACTTCCTAGAGAAATTACCCCAAACCCCTAAATATGAGGTCAAAATGACCAACCCAGGACAACTGTGAAGGCTACTCTATTTCAGAGAGAAATTAGGACTGGCCAGGCCAGTATGAAAAGGATCAGCAGGGAAGGGGCTATGGAGGCTATGAGGTCTAGGTCTCCTGGGCCATTCCTCAGGGTTCCCTAGAGTTCCCCTTGACCTCAGCTTAGCATTTAGTGTTTTCACCCTGAAGAGTCAACTGTTGCACACCTTTCCCCTCAAAAGACTATAAGCAAGAACAATGTCATTTTCCTTTATATATTCCAGATCATTTGGCATAGAAAGGTAGCACGGTAGAGAGGAAAGAACAGTATGGAACTGAGCCCTGGCATTGAGCCCTACTCTGTCGGATAGCACAGTGGTTGAAACTAGTCTATGGAGCCAGGTTGTCTAAATTCACATCCTCCCTCTTCTTATTGACTATATGATCTTGGGCAAGTTGTTAGTCACTTTGCACCTCAGGTTTTGCACATGTCAACTGAGAATAATAATGCTCTGAGAATTAAGTGAATGTAAGCACTTACAGTAGTATTACTACTATGGTAGATCATATTATTAGTGTCCACAGCTTAACAAACTAGTACATGTTAATTTGCCCCCTAAGCTTTAATTTTCTCATCTGAAAAAAATGAGGGCATAAGATCCAATCTCACAGGATGGGATATAGGATAAAATTGGATAATGGAAGTCAGAAATATGTTGAACGAAAAATGCAATCCGAATGCTTGTGTTTCCCATTATTGTTGCACATAGTAGGCACTGGAATCAGTGATTGCTAAAATGTGGAAGCAAAACAGCCATGGAGAGATTGGATCAGATCCCCTCAAGATTCACCATCCTCAGATCTTGCACAGGAAAGTTATTTGTAAATGTGAATGCCAGACAAGTGTTCCTCGTTAGCTATGTATGGCCCTGGAGACCAAGACTGCCATGTGGTAAGATCAAATGAAGAGACAGTCCCTGCCAAGTGCGGTTCTGAGAACATCCCCTTCATGTGCCTGAGAAATGACTCCCCCGGAGGCCTCCTGCACTGCACTGGGCCCTGGCTCCCATCTTGCCCACCTCCATGAAGACCCCTGCCCTCCCTCCAGCAATCCTCCAGTCTTCCCATTCCTAGTTGGCAAGGAAGACAGAGCTCAGCACATTCCACACTCCATCCCCCTAGATCCACCCCAATGGTGTGATTCTGCCTGACTGCCCCACACAGCAGCTCTAGGAGGGTCAAAAAGGAATGTGCTCAACTTGCCAATGCTGGGGCAAAACCAAAGCCAGCATGTCCTGTCATCCAATGGAGCTTAGTGCTCTCGTCATCACCACTACAGAGACACAAAGCAGGCCCTGGGAAGAGCCTGCACCTTCCCCAGAGCCAAGGTGACCAGAAAATCACATGATGTCGTAGGTTCTCCTGCAAAAGCTGGGCCACCAACACTGGAGCCCTGGAAAGCCCTTTCCGAGTGGACGCCTGGCAAATGAGAGGGAAGAAAGGGAACTGGCAGAAAAATAGCATATGCCACTGATGTTCCCTGGCTCCACCTAAACCTTAAAAATGACTCATTTAAACTCAAATTTGTGGTAAGCTAAAATAATGACAATGAATTGGAAGGCATTCCTTCTCTAGATTTGGAGTGCCTAGAAAATTTTTGTAAAGAGATTTTGAGCAAGGACTTGGCCTCTCTGAGCTGTGTCATCTGTATAATGGGGATTAAAATACTGATTGTGCATGGGTTCTATAAAGAGAATGTACAAAAGGAAGCTGGTACATAGGATGCTTGACTATTAATAAGCCAAGTAGTTTCACCCAGTTCACAGTAGATCTTGATTACTTTTCCTTAGATGCGAGGCTCTTTCATGCAATTACCCCAAATAGCTGAAGGCTATTTGCCTGCAACTGTGCTCATGGCACACCCCAGAGCTGACATTCCCAAGACTCTTTCTGCTGGTGCCTCCATTGGTCTAACCAATTTTTACAGGTGCATTTGGAAATTGATAAATCCGTGGTGATGAACGTGCTGTTCACAGCACTATGGTCTCATAGTTATTCAAAAACATTGATTCACTCTGTTCCTAACATGGAGTCCTTTAGCCCTTTTTATTTTTCATAAGTAGGATTATGGCCCTTAATTCAAATTCATACTCATTCAATCATTCATTCACTCATTTACTCAACAAATACTTATTAGGTGCCTACTATGTGTCTGGCACTATGCTAGGAACAAGAGATGGAGTAGTGATCAAAGCCAGAGACAATTCTTGTTTTGTAGTCCAGTACATGCATTCTCCATGGGGGTAATATTGCCCCAATGGGGAAAACAAATTCTTGGGGTGGTAGAAAAAACTTTATTCTATTCATACATAAAACACAGATATGTATAGAGCACACACACACACACACACACACACACACACACACACACAGAATTGTATTAGTTTTCTATTGCTGCTGTAACAAGTTACCATAAACTCAGTGGCTTAAAATAACAGAAATAATTATCTTACAGTCCTACAAGCTGTGTCACTGGGCTGAAATCAGGATGTTGGCAGGGCTGCATTCCTTCTGCAGAATCTAGGGGAGAATCTACTTCCACAGCTTTTCCAGTTTCTAGAGGCTGCTGGCATTCCTTGGCTGATAGTACCTTCCTTCATCCTCAAAGCGAACAATAGTCAGTCAAGTCTTTCTAACACTGCATCGCTCTGACACTGGCTCTCTCGCCTCCTTTTTCCACTTATAAGGGCCCTTGTGTTTACACTGGGCCCACCCAGATAATTGTCTCTCATAGAAGGAAGGTACTATCAGCCAAGGAATGCCAGCAGCCTCTAGGAGCTGGAAAAGGCGTGGAAACAGATTCTCCCCTAGGTTCTGCAGAAGGAATGCAGCCCTGCCAACATCCTGATTTCAGCCCAGTGACACAGCTCCTAAAACTGTAAGATAATTATTTCTGTTTTTTTAAGCCACTGAGTTTATGGTAACTTGTTACAGCAGCAATAGAAAACTAATACAACTCTGTGTGTGTGTTTGTGCTCTATGCATATCTGTGTTTTATATATGAAGAGAATAAAGTTTTTTCCACCACCCTGAGAATTTATTTTTCCCATTAGGGGCAATATTACCCCCATGGAGAATGCATGTACTGGACTACAAAACAAGAATTGTCTCTGGCTTTGATCACTACTCCATCTCTTGTTCCTAGCATAGTGCCTGACACATCGTATCTCATCTCAAGGTCATCTGATTAGCAACCTGAATGCCATCTGAAGCCTCAATTCCCTCCTTGCCATGTAATGTAAGATATTCACAGGTTCCAGGGTGCAGGATGTGAATATCTTGGGGAGGGGAGCATTATTCTGTACGCTACAGTGTAGTTGTGGTAGTAAAATTTCATGGGAGATAAGTAAAACATATCTAAACAAAGGTTCTTTGGCCTCAAGAGCTGGGTGGGAGGGAGGGCAAACATGAAGCAAACATTGAGAAACACTGATGTAGTAGCAAGGCAACACAGAATCATGATGAAATATGTGCACCGTGGGGTCAGCCGGCCTGGCTCAAATCCCAAATCTGTGATTACTAGCTGTGTGGCCGTGAGCTAGTTACCTAAGCCCTCAGGGAGGGTAGAAATAGGAAATATTTTCTCCATTTTTGTAAAAACCAAGTATGTTAATATACTGGCACACTTAGAAACTTCTAGGTTTGCAATTAGTCCTCCAGACATGTTTCCAGTATTGTTAGTGGAAACAACAAGATTCTTCAAATCACAGAAATAAATGTGTCGGCTCAAGTGACAATAAATGCTAAAAAGCAGAAAAATGCTCTTGCAGTATTGTGAGAGTAGAGAACAAGGGGATCTCATGGGGGTGGGAGGGTACAGAAGAGTTTTCTAAGGAAGTGATCTCAAAACCGAGATTTGAAGCATAGGTGGGCATTAAGCCAGTGAAGAACAAGGGGTAGGGCATCGTGGAGTGCTCCCAAGGTAGAAGGAACAGCACGAGGGTGTCTTTGGGGCAGGAGGGATGTGGCACAAGGTCACATGGCTGGCAGGCCAGCGTGGTTGCCCTACAGAGGGCAGATCAGGCTGGAGAGCTGGATGGGGCCAGATCATAAGGGCTTGGGCCATGTTAAGAATTTTTGCCTTTATTCTAACGGCAACAGGAAGCCACCGATGGATTTGAAGTAGATGAGGGTGGTGTGAGTGACATGGTGCAGACTGATTGGACAGAGACAATAGTGGATGCAGAGAGACCAATTAGGAGGTGATAGCGATGGGACCAGGGTGGGGAGAAGATGAAGACAAAGGAGCAATATGAGAGATATGTAAGAGGTAGAATCAATAGAACTTGTTGAGAGCAGCAGAAAGGAGAGGGTTGTAGATGCACACACCTTGTTTTTAATGCCCCTTGTGCCTGTCCACATGTGTTCATCAATGCCTGAAGCCACCCCCACAAGCTTGGGGGTGTCCCGTTCAGGGAGATGTCCTGCCAAAACATCTGATTGGTCCTGCTCAGATGTGTGGTGATTTCTCAGCACTCTGTGCACCATTCCGTATCCTGGGTATAAAATAAACTTTAAATTGGATACAGCTTTAACAAAAAGTGATGCTGGCAACAGATCTTCTTTTAAGGCCTCTGTTTACTATAGAGTGTTTTAAGCATGATGTTTTAATTTCAAATTTTTTTAAATATGTATTTTGTGAGAAATAAACAGAGATGACTTAACTGGAAATTGAACTGGGGGTCTCCTGGCCCTTGGCCCATGTTTCTACCCAGGGACCAACTGTCTGCTGAAGTATAAATCCATCTACCCAAGCTGCTGTATGACCAGTGTGAGCTGTGTTTATGTTCCTCTTAAAAACGCATGCACTTCTTGGCTGGAGGGCTCATGGGCCAGAGCATTGATCTATTAGACCTTCTGCTCCAAGAAAACCTAATTCAATTCCTGGCATAATTACTGAAGACAAAATTGTAGCTGCACATATTTTCCCAAAAGTTCTCTGCATTTGCTTACTCCAAGTCCAAGGTTTTCATGCCTCTCCTTGACCTGGCAGGGCCACAGTTTACAAATCAACAGCTCTGGGTTCCTTGAACCATTTGCCAAGGCAATGGTTAGGAGAGAAATTTACTGGGAAGGATGAAGACTAGCAGAAGCTAAACTGTGAAAAGAAATAAATAATGATTAGGGTGGAAGAGGGGAAAGGAGAGGAAAGGAGGGATGTCACAGCTTCCGTTACTTTAGAAACACTAAAGTGAAGAGACTTGAATTTTACTCCACCTATGTCACTGATTACGTGTGTAATCTTTGGCAATTCAGCTCCATTCAGTTCAACAAACAGTGAGTGAATGAGTGAGTGAATGAATGAATTCATTGGACATGTCCTATAAGCCAAACACTGTGTTAGGCACTGGAAGATGTCTAGGGCAAAGTGCATACCCGTGGGGGGCTTACAAATGAGACACAGACACAAATACTTAAACAGGAACACAATAAAATGTCATAACCAATAAGGCATAAATATGCCCAAAGGCTAAGGAAAAGATTAATCCCAACCTGGGGTGTAAGGAAGACTTCTTTGCAGCAAACATACTTGTGTTTATGTTAGAACATGGGCAAGATTTAACTAGGCAAATAAAGATGTGACAAAGCACTGCAAGTTAGCCATGAAAGGACACTGAGCAGCTCACAGAATTGTCACAAAGGCTGAGGAATTATAATGGCCAGTTATCCTTCTTTGGGATGCTCAGCGTCTGAACTTCATTCCTTTGTTTAGAGAATTTTTCTCCTTTTGAAGCTTGGTAGAATTCCTACTGTAGAAGGTGTACAACCCTGAGACTTCCCTTTCTTCTATACAGTTAGGTAGGCATGTGACTTAGGTTTGGACAATCAGATAGATACACATGCCAAAAGCATTAAATCAGGAGCCAATGGTACAACGAAACACAGACCACAAAAAGTCATTTCTGGCACCGTCAGCCGTCATCCCAAGGTCTTGTTCCCAGAGACTGTGATGCCAAAGGAGCCAGGGGCAGCACCCAGGTCCCAGTGTCAGAGTGTGGACAGTGCTGGCCACAACATTGGGGGCTGCAGTGGTGTGAACTCAATAGACCTGTTCCAGAGCATGATTTGAGCTATGATTTCAGCTGGCTAGCCTCCGACCTAGTTCTTCAGCTTTAGTGGCACTTCTGTAAGCTGCCCAATGTCCCTTTAATAAATTTCTTTCAAGCCTAAGTTAACCAGGGTTCGTTTCATTTGCTTGCAACCAAAACATCTGACTGATACAGGAACAATGTGAGCAAAACTTCAAATGTAAGTGAAGTTTGGTGGTGTGGATATATGTTGGGGGTACCACGTGCAGCTCAATGTTAACAGAACATAAAGAATGAGATGAAAAAGATTTTCTAAAATCAGGCTAGAGAGACAGAGGTTATGTCACAGCACAGCTGGCATACTGGGCTAAAAAACTTGAAACTCATCTGAAAGGTGATGGGTACTCACTGAAGGTATAAAGCACAGAAGTGGCATTGACCACATTCATATTTTAGATTGACTGGTCTAACTCCAGTGGGAGGGGCTAGCTAAAGAGAGACTACACCAGAGGCAATTTTGATAGGGTCCAGAGAAAGGTGATGAATACTGACCTAGGGCAGAGGATGTTGGGGGAAAGAGGTGGTGACAGCTCCGAGAAATATTTAGGCAACAAAGCAGGTGACCTTTATATTCACACTGAGATAGGAGAAACCCCTTTGTCATTCCTGGCTCAATTTCTTCATCTTCAAATTAGGAGTGACGTTTAGGTGTCCTACAAGGCATGCAACAATCCACGATTGTGGTTAAGGGAGATGCAGGCACACCAACCTGAAGACAATGGAAATTCTCACTGAGAAAGAAAAGAAACTTCATTATGGGGAAGGGTCAAAACAGGTGAGCCAGCCACTTCAAGTAAGAAAGATGACCCAGGAGGGTTAACATTGAAGGCTATGGACTTGTGAAAGGCACAACATATGGTAAAGATGGACTTGTTTACTGAAATGCATGTTTCTATGATTGAAGCTGGAAAGAGGAGATGTTCTTTTATAAAGGGAGGCATTGCTGTCTACAACAGGTGCACTGCCAGGGTGGACTAACATTTGAAGATCTGATATACTATAAAACACCATCTTCTTTATTAACTGACTTTTTTTTTTCTTTTTTACTATTTACCCAGATGTTTTCCCAACACAGAGACAAGCATTCACAAGCAGACAATTTCTTGAACATTCTCACTAAAATGTATCTTTAATGAGACTACAACATTTCTTAGCAGCACTATACTCTTCTGACCGACTATCTGAAGGGTTGGGTATCAAAACATACAGGATAGGATTATAACTTTTAAGTATGTTTACAGCTAAAATTGACAAGAAGGGTATCCAAGACTAGAAACATGAAAGATGGGCATTGTCAAAGAATCTCAGCTCACCAGTGGTAAACATATGCTTCTGGCCCAAGTGGGATTTGTCTTTGTAGTGCACGAGTTCTTTCTAACCAAAAAGAAAAAACTGTTTGTTTTTCAGTTATTGTGATTGTAGTTTTGTTTGAAACTTTTTTTTTTTTTTTTTTTTTTTGGACACAGAGTCTTGCTCTGTTGCCCAGGCTGGAGTGCAGTGGCGCAATCCTGGCTTACTGCAACCTCCACCTCCTGGGGTCAAGCAATTCTCCCATCTCAGCCTCCTGAGCAGCTAGAACTACAGGCGTGTGCCACCCCACCCAGCTAATTGTGTGTTTTTAGTAGAGATGGGGTTTTACCATGTTGCCCAGGCTGGTCTTGAACCCCTGGCCTCAAATGATCTGCCTGCCTTGGCCTCCAAAGTGTTGGGATTACAGGCGTGAGGCACTGCACCTGGCCTTGTTTTAAAATTTTAAGTGACCAGGAAGCCTTCTTAAAATCATTTCTTTGAAGACTCCAAAATAAAAACACATGTTGTATTATTTTCCACAGTTAATGAGTTTGCTACCTTCCCCTCCAGTGTAATCAAGGGAAATAAGATGACATACCTTCATCTCTTGTGCTAGCAAACTCTTGATCACCTCACCAGGTAGGGCTACTGACTTCCTGAGGAAAGACTCACAGTCCCTTTCCAACCACAGGCAGAAAATGGCTTTCAGAGGACGTGCTTCTAAAAGTCCTGTTGCCATGATTATTTGGCCCACTGAAAAATATGAATTAAAATAAAATTTATAATCACTGTTTATTCCAGTTTACTTTTTCTGTCTTTCAAACCGGTATTTGGTAAGTTTCTGATGGGTAATGTGTGTAATTAAACCTTCTCCATATTCTGAACACACACACAGACACACATACACCCTCCAAATTAGAGCACATGAGAAAAACCAAGTTACAACTTGAGATGGCAGAAAAGAATATTTTCCTCTTTCGTTCAGCTTGAGGTACCCTTGGAAGGTTTTCTGATTTTGCCTTCTGAGCCCTTTTTAAGTCTCCTTAATTTCATGAAGAACACATTCATTTATGAAAAACCATTTTTCAAGCAACTATGCACTGATTCCCAAGCAGCTGAATTTTTAATAGCTAAAAATGTCACCACCACCCTCCCTCCCACAAAAGGGTGCTTATTTTTAAAATCCGCTTTCCTGAAACTTCAGGTTTGTTCCTCTGAGCCACAGCACCTTCTAAGCGTCATTGTACAGCAGAGGTGGTGCGACCCACCCTGGCCGGTACAGTTCTTTTTTTCTCATATTTCTAATAGTTCCCCTAAAACCCTAATTTCAGTAAAGTGTGCTGGGCAGAAAAATGCTAATACTTCAGACAGTCTCGTTCAAGGAGAGACAACTGGGCTGTGGGTGCAGGGGGACAAGATCAACAGCCCTCTAAGCTGTGCAGCAAATCCTGAAGAGCGGGAATCTCCAACAACAAATACTGGGAAACAATTTCTTGCTGTTAACCGGCTCGCCTTTGCCATGAATAATCAATTATTGGGAGGAAGAGAAAGCTACTTTAAAACAGACGTTTTAAAAACATCTGTTTGTTTAGTATAACTTTCCTGCTGCATCTTTCATTCAAGAAATAAGTCTTCCCTGTCTGACAAGGACAAATTCCTCCAACTCCTCCACTGTAAACCACCTCGCCATCCACTTCCATAGAGCCCTTGCAGCCCCTAAATTGGATCCCATGAGAAATAAATAGTGCCGCTGCTGCCATTGACTTATCTCAAACCAGAAAATGAACCCGATTTCAAAAACCTGTTTTCTAAACTCCCGGCGGCTGAGACAGGAAGGGCTTGGGGGAGAAGACGGGACAGCCTGTTTGTACATCCCCTGGCACTGCCTCTTCCTCACCAGCGAAGCTTTCCATGGAAATTCTGGCTGCATTGGCCTTGGCTAAGCTTGGGACTATTTTTGGAAGCCTAAAATCCTCAGGGGAGTGACTTTTACTTTTATTCATGTACAGAGTCCTTACTTTTATTTATTAAAGAAACAAAAACATGTCTCCTGCTTAACTTCAACCAGCTTTCATGTCAAGTAAAACAAAACTTGTTGGCTGGTCCAATCGGCCATCGGCCAGGATGGACAGGGAGCCCCCTCCATCATGGGTCTGAAGTGTATGTGACCTGAGTATTAATCATCTCTCCCAGAATGGGAGGAGCCATGGGCTTTTGAGACTCTTGTCCCAAGGGAACAACTTTGGGGGAGTATCTGAGTCTGGCTGGGAGAGAAAAAGTATCTAGGCAAAATTCCAGCAAAATTGAAGTTTTACTTTTTAAAAGCATTTCAGGCAAGAAAGAGATGGAAGGCTCAGCACTAAACCCCTCCCCCACCCCAGAACTGTGACACTGACATCCCAGCACCTAAAACAATCAGTGGGGAGGATCACGGAGCGAGAATCAACCCTCTCGCCCCCCTAGAGTCTAAGTGTTCACTTTAACAAGTTGTGAAGGGCAGGCAGCCAACTCCTCGGCCTCCATGAGGCAAATTGATTCAAGGTTTTCTCCTTGAGCCTGCAGCCAGGGTGCCTGCAACAATAGCAGCTGGGGAGGTGCTATTGTTTTATCTCAGTGGAGATTTGAAACTTCTTTACCCAGGGCAAGTGGCCCAGCAGGCGTTTACAAATGGGAAAAAGAAACAGCAAGAAATGCAAGCAAAGTGGCATGGAGCACTAAACAAAGCAGCTGTGAGCACCCTCCAGGGAATTTGCTTGGATGGGCATCCCCACGCCACATGTCCGGCTAGCTCTCCGTGACCTCAGCTCTGTCTTATTTTCCTTCTACATCCTCTTCACTGCCCCGCTGCCCCCAGTTACGATTCTAGCTAGGATTCACATCATATCCCAACATATTGGACGATGGCTACAAAGATCTATGCCACATTGGGCAAATTGCATTAGCTTCCCAGGAACTCAGTTTCACCCTGTTAAATGTACGTGTGGCAGAGACCGCTAGCTCTTCACCATAAATCTGTCATATGTTTCATCTTCTTCCCAGGCACACAGCTAGACTCTATCTTTGGTGTCCCTTCCAGTTACACATGGCCATGTAACTGTCATTCCTACCCAGCAGAATATGCACAGAAGTGATGTGAGCCATTTTTCAAGCCAAAAATTTATTGTGCCACCTTTTCCTCTTCCCACCAGTTGCACGTGGATAATGATGAGGACCTGGTTGTCTACATATTAAAGGATGGCAAAGCTGGAAAATATATCCCAGAATGACCCTGTGAAAGAAGCTGCCCTCTAACCCAAAATACCTTCCTTGGACTGTTTCATGAGCAATGGGTAAACATTGATTGGGTTAAGCCACCAAAGTTTTGGGGGCCTATTTATTACTGAAGCCTACTGTCTTAGTCTGTTTTATGTTTCTATAAAGGAATAACTGAAGCTGGATAATTTATTTTTAAAAAGAGATTTATTTTGCTCACGGTTCTGCAGGTTGTACAAGAAGCATGGTGCCAGCATCTGCTTCTGGTGAGGACCTCAGGAAGCTTCCAATCATAGCAGAAGAAGAAGGAGAGCTGGCATATCCCATGACCAGAGAGGGAGGATGAGAGAGAACAAGAGTAGCGGTGCCAGGCTATTTTCAACAACCAGCTCTCACATAAACTAATAGAGAACTCACCCATTTCCATGGGGAAGGCACCAAGCCATTCATGAGTGATCCACCCCCATGACCCAAACACCTCCTACCAAGCCCCACCTCCAACCCTGGGGATCAAATTTCAACATGAGATTAGGAGGAGACAAATATCCAAACTATATTACCTACCCTACCCTGATTATTACAAGGTGATAATAACACCTACCCTGCCTAGCGCAAAAGATGGTGGGAAGAATCAAATAAGATATGTGTGAAGGCTGAGTGCAGTGGCTCACACCTATAATCTCAGCACTTTGGGAGGCCAAGGCGGGTGGATCATGAGGTGAAGAGATCAAGACCATCCTGGCCAACATGGTGAAACCCTGTCTCTACTAAAAATACAAAAAATAAAAAATAAAAATTAGCCAGGCATGGTGGCGGGTGCCTGTAGTCCCAGCTACTCAGGAGGCTGAGGCAGGAGAATCACTTGAACCGGAGGTGGGGGTTGCAGTGAGCTGAGATTGCGCCACTGCCCTCCAGCCTGGCAACAGAGCAAGACTGTCTCAAAAAAAAAAAAAAAAAAAGATATGTGTGAAGACACAAAGTATATATTAAAAATATATTACATCCTTCAAGTCTAGAGCAGAAATAACACCATCTGTGGAACAAGAACCACTCATAAATTAACAGTATTTATTGAGTCCAGTCATCATGCTATTTAAATGTTTTACATGGATTATTTCCTTTAAGCCACATAACAAACTAGAAATACCATTTGACCCGGCCATCCCATTACTGGGTATATACCCAAAGGACTATAAATCATGCTGCTATAAAGACACATGCACACGTATGTTTATTGTGGCACTATTCACAATAGCAAAGACTTGGAACCAACCCAAATGTCCAACAATGATAGACTGGATTAAGAAAATGTGGCACACATACACCATGGAATACTATGCAGCCATAAAAAATGATGAGTTCATGTCCTTTGTAGGGACATGGATGAAATTGGAAATCATCATTCTCACTAAACTATCGCAAGAACAAAAAACCAAACACCGCATAGTCTCACTCATAGGTGGGAATTGAACAATGAGATCACATGGACACAGGAAGGGGAATATCACACTCTGGGGACTGTTGTGGGGTGGGGCGTGGGGAGGGATAGCATTGGGAGATATACCTAATGCTAGATGACGAGTTAGTGGGTGCAGCGCACCAGCATGGCACATGTATACATATGTAACTAACCTGCACATTGTGCACATGTACCCTAAAACTTAAAGCCTAAAAAAAAAAAAAAAAAGCCACATAACAATGTTATAAGATACTATTGTCTTCCCCATTTACCAGATGAGAAAACTAGGGCTTACAGAAGTGAACAACTCACCCAATATGACAAAGCTAGCCCACAGTTGAAGACAGAAAGTCTAGCACCAGAATCAATATTCTTAACCATGAATCTAGAAAGAAACCATAGCTTCAGATAAATGAATAATTGTGACTTTTAATTAAATAAGTGAAACTTTAAAAGCACTTTGCTTCAATTGCCTATTTTTTAAAGCCACTTTGGCCTCCTATTAATCCTCAGGCTGACCTGGTTTTCCCACTTTATTTCAATATATACACACAGTTCCCATCTTTGGTAGCTGGTGTTCTTTTAAGAACATTTCTAACCTAACAAAGTAGACCACCACCTAGCTTCTCATCATAAGCTTGTATGCAGGGTTTGACTAGGTGCATTCTTACATCTCACTCCAGTACATTTTTTTATTCCCTTTAGGAACTCTTTTGTCCCCTTAAATGTATTTAATATAAGCTAAGAGACAAAGACATTCTGTTTAATGAGTGAAAAGGGGCAAGGGCACCTCCCAGGTATTAACTCATTTAAGAAATCTTAAAACAATGTTACCTCATGCTTCCACCATTAGACGGAATCCCAACATAACAATTACTGAAGCCTTGTAATGAGACCACCAAAGGTAAGCAGGCCATTATAAAAATTTAAGAGCTATTGCGCACCATGAGTTTTTACAGTCGGTCAGCTCAGAGTTATTTAGCACATGTTTTTTCCATCCTTGCAGTGCATGGAGAACATTCACAGTGTCCAACATCTCTCAAAACCACATTTCCACCTGTGTGGGGCAGTGGAATTAATAAGCATATAGAATAAGCTCACAAATTTGGATCCTACTCATCTGGAATTCATGATATTTCAGTTACACATATGTGGGCCTAGTCAGACAAAAAGGCTGGCAGGGGTGGAGGTCATTGCATAAAGCTAGAGCAAAATAAAGGCTGGCAGGGTCAAGAGGGGAGAAGAGATTGGTCTGCAGAGCTCAGAAGCTGTTTTAATGATCAAATAAGAATTATATATATAAAGCCACTAATTGTGTGCTGAGATGGAGTTTACCTTTTGATATTCATGAGGGTTTGGGAAAATTAAGCTCATAAATGAAATTGCAGGAGGAATGTTTAACCTGCTTGTAAATAATGCATTTTCTTGCACTTTTCAGAAATACATTCACAAAAGCTATCAGCACACTTTTCTATTCACTAAAGGATGTACATAATACAAAATTTAGAGGCTTCCTGGCATAAAAGTAATAAAATACTGGTGGTTTCTTTAAAAGACAAATACTGTATGATCTCACTTACATGTGGAATCTGAAATAGTCTAACCCACAGAAGCAGGGAGTAGAACAGTGGGTTGCCAGGGCCCTGGGGGCAGGGGAAAGGAGAGGTGATGATCAAAGGGTACAAAGTTTCAGTTATGCAAGATAAATAAGTTCTGGAGATCTACTATGGTGCCTATAGCTAACAAGACTGTATTGTATATTTAAAATTTGCTAAGGGAGTAAACCTAATGTTAACTGTTGTTACCACCAAGATGAATAATTAAATAATAATGACAATAATAAAGAAGGTGGGAGGAAACTTTGGAAGGCGATGGATGTGTTTATGGCCTTGATATGATGGTAGTGATAGTCTCACAGGTGTATACTTCTCCCCAAATTCATGGAGTTGTATACCCTAAATATCCACAGCTTTTTGCATGTCAATCATGCCCCAATAAAGTGGTCTAAAAAATAAAACTAAGGATGTGCAGACTTGTTACACAGGTAAACGTGTGCCATGGTGGTTTGCTGCATAGATCATGCCATCACTCAGGTATCAAGCCCAGCATCCATTAGCTATTCTTCTTTATTCTCTCTCTCCTCCCACCCCCACACTCCTGCAGGCCCCAGTGTGTGTGTTCCCCCTGCACCTCATGTGTCCATGTGTTCTCATCATTCAGCTCCCCCTAAACTACCAGTTTTTAAGATTGAATTCAAATTTGAGGCTTCCAGTGATGCTAATAACCCTCCTACAATCCCTAATATTCCCACATACACATGACCTGCTACTGAGTCGAGTGAGGCGTGGCTCCACTGCAGATGCAGAGGAGACAGGTCCAAGCTCAGACCTAACTGTGGACCCACTAAGGTATGGCCATGCTTGTTGCGCTTGTTTCTTTTGTTTAAAGAACAAAACTCCTGTGAAAAATAAATAATATGAAACTGGGCTTCTAAACCACACTTGATTAACCATTCTGGGGCTTGGTCTCCATTTTTCCCCACATGCCTGCTTCCTCCAGCCAATTCAGACCTCCCCTAAGGTAATGAGCATAAGGCAATCTTGATGGAGTCAGCTCCATTTTGATGCTGTTAGAAAGATAAAAAGTGCAAATAGTCCTACAGAGACAAATAAGCCTGCTCCATTTACCTCTGTGAGGACATCAAAATACATCATTTCCTCCTAATAAATAAAACACTAGTATGGTATGACAAATACCTTCTTCTTACACATGGGCTATATACTTGGCAGAACAAAAGTTAAAAGAAATCCAAACTCTGTTTAACTGTTTATTGAATCTTTTTTCTTTATTCCAGAAAGAAAAGCTATAATCACCTTAGGCTCCCAGGGCAGTCTCAGGACCCTTACAAGTTGCTCTGTCTGTCCCATTTTTCCCAACCATTTTCTGGCTACTGATGAGAAGAAAAGCACAAATAACCTAAACTGGATTCCTAAGGGGAAGTACCTTCTTTTATTCCGATTATTCTCTTTACCAAGCATTCAGAAAATACAAATTATAAGGAAAAGAATGAAAATCGCCTACAATCTTACAGCCCAGAGATAGCATTTTAGCATACATCCTTTTAGACATTTCCAAACATATATATATATATAAATATGTAAATAGTTTGGAAATTTTATATATATATATATATATATATATATATATATATATATATATATATATATATATATATAAAATTTTAAAATGTTTACCAAGATGGCATGACACTATCTTTAGATGCTTTATAGTCTGTCTTATTTTTTTCCCACTTAAAAAACATATGTCCGGGCACAGTGGCTCACGCCTGTCATCCCAGAACTTTGGGAGGCCGAGGCAGGCAGATCACCTGAGGTCAGGAGTTTGAGACCAGCCTGTCCAACATGGCGAAGCCCCGTCTCTACTAAAAATACAAAATTTAGCCAGGCGTGGTGGTGAGTGCCTGTAATGCCAGCTACTCGGGAGGCTGAGGCAGGAGAATCACTTGAACCCAGGAGGCAGAGGTTGCAATGACCCGAGCTCGCACCACTGCACTCCAGCCTGGGTGACAGAGTGAGACTCTGTCTCAAAACAAAACAAAACAAAAACATATGATAGGGGAGGAGAAATGTGGAGAAGTTAGTCAAAGGGTACAAAATTTCTATTATACAAGACAAATAAGTCCTAGAGATGTACTGTATAGCATCGTGCCTACAGTTAACAATCCTGTATTGTACAATTTAAAATATGCTTATGTTAAATGCTCTCATCACAAAAGTAATAATAAAAGGAATCGGGGAAATTTTGGAGGTGATTGTAAGTGACGGACAGATAGGTTTATGGCATAGGTTACTGTGATGGTTTCACGGGGATATACTTACCTTCAAACTCAGCAAGTTTTATATATTAATTATGTACTTTTATTGTATGTCAAAAAAAAATTTAACAAAAAACAGATGGTTACATTTCCTGATCAATAAATACAGATCAACATTATCATGGTGAATGGCCATGCCATAAATTTATTTAACTATCCTTAGCTGATTTACATTTAGATATTTTCCAATTTTTCTCCATTATAATGCTGGGATAAACATTCTTCGTATATACAAGAGTGAAATTACTTTATCAAACAGTATATATTTTCTAAGGATATCAATACTTTTGTCAAACTATACTCCAGAATCTGGATATCTGAATTCACCATCTTAATGGCTAAGTAAGCAAATGTTCACTCCCCACCCCACCACCCCCTTGGCCACACTTAGTACTAACAGGCTCTTTGCCATTTTACTCTTTTTACGTCTTTTATTCTTTGCCATTCTGATTGCTGTTCACTTTTTAGTGAAGCAAGATAAGCATTCTCGGCTTTTATAGTTCTTCATTATTTACAAATCTACCTCACACATATTTTCTAATGAGATTCTGCTTTTATTCTGAATAATTTTCTTAGCCTTTGCCTGAGGGCCTGGGACCCTCAACTGCTCTGCAATTTCTCCAAAGTTGTCCTTGCCTTCTGCTACATATCTACTCGCTTCAAACTAGAAATGTGTCTTGTCATCTCTTTCCTAAATCTGTACCCCCTACCCCCTGGCAAATGATTCTTCTATTTTAGCTTTGGACATCTTAAGGAGCCATGCTATATTTTTCTCTATCTTGATTAAAGCGGGGCCAATGTCGGGGTGGACGATGCTCCAGGTGACATCATAGAAAGCTACAGCTGATGGAGTAAGGCGCCCACTGGAGCCTAAGCTATATTTTTTCTGCTGAGACAGACATGGGCACTGCACTGAAATTTGGAAATGTTGAACACAGATTTTCCTTGGAAATGCCAGGCCCTATCCGCCCCCACCCATTCATTGCCCCAGGTAGAATAACAGCAGGGATGCAAAAAGGCCATTTTAATATTCAGTTTCTAAGCTTGTACATGGATATTAAAAATACATAACAGAAACAAGATAATTGGGGAAATCCAAACATTTTTGTGTTATAGAAACCAGCCTTTTTGAGAGGAAAAAAAGTTTTTGAGAATCAAAAGCTGAACTTTGAAGGAAACAAGGCTTAGAGTTTGTGACCATGACCCTGTCATTGGGATCTGCGAGAGAAGTGGTACCTCCCCCTCTTTCTCAAGGATGGTGGAGTTGGGAAGTAGGGTTAAGCTGGAAATCTGGGGGCAGGGATTTAATTATGACTATTTAATTATCACAATGCCAATAGCATCCTCTTTGAGAAACTGCTCGAATGAGTGGATTGTCAAAAAAAAAAATAGACAAAGACCGGAGAGTGTGATATGGACAGCAGAGGAGAGCTGCCCAGGCTAGGAAGTGGAGAGTCTGACCTGGGCAGAGCTCTGTGAATCTACAGTGAGGAGGCCAGAACTGGACAGACAGGACCAAAAGGAGCTGGGTCAGCTCTGAGTGACTGCCCAGGGCCGTGCCCAACACATGTGGTCATTGACCAGTACCTAAGATCCAGGCAGGAGCTGATCCCAACCTGCACACCATCAGCCACCATTCTTGTGCGCTCCTTGGCCACCTGCCTTGAACGGCCATCTGAGCTGTCCTTGTTTCCACCATCAGCTGCATACCACGCAAGAATCGGCCTTGCCATCCAAACTGTCCCACATGGGCAAGTCCTATTCATCAGGTTTATAAACCTTCTGAAACCGAGGGTAGGAGGGTAGGAGTCTGATATTGAGTCAAGGGTGAGTGTGAAAGGGTAAGCCCCAAGCACCTGATCTTGGGAGGGAGGGAATGAAAGACACAGAGATTCCCCCACCCCTTGCATGGCCCACTGTCACCTCCAGGTAGGATTAAATCCAGCCCCATTACACCTGCCTGGCCTCACCTGGCAGAAGAGCAGGACAGACCTGCCCAGAATCCACCCCCTAAGAATCAGAGGAAGCTTACAGGGAAAACACCTAAAGACAAAGGAGGTAGACACACCAAGTTGGCTCAGTACTATAGCCCTAAATTTTTGAGGGCAAGGATGCTATCTACTGGATCACCATTGTATCCTATGGATCTGACCCTGAACCCCTTACTGGTTCAGAGTCAGATCTGCAGGATATCACTGAATTGAGATATCATGCTGTACTCCATTCATCCATTTATTCATTCGTCCATGAATTTATTCATTCGTCCATGAATAAATGCATGAATGCACTACAGCATGATGCCTCTCACTTGGATGTATCTGAATTACAAGGAGGCTGAGAGATGTTAATCAAGAATGTATAGCTGTGTTTACTCTGAGCTCCCAGTAGGAAACAGACAAAGCAACACTGTTTTTGTACCCTTAAAGCAAAGAGTAATAGAGAAGAGGACATGCCCAGCTCTCCAATCCTGCCCTGGCACATTGGAGGGCTCCTGAAAACACAGAGCAGCTTGGAGACTTGGGGGTAACAGCAGCGCCCAGTCAAGGGCAGTCCTACCGATGGCGAATGCCTTTAGTGACCAGGAAGCCACTAAAGGGCACCTCACAGGGAGAAGGTATGAAAAAGCTGGATCTTGTGATGACCCTTTTTTATTTCATTTTGTTTCACTTCATTTCATTTCATGTCTTAGGTATTTACTGAACATCTAGCTCCAAAGGGTTATGTGGCAACCTCAGAAACAGGGGATTTGGGAAGAACTCTGAGAAGCAGAAGGGGATCTAAATAAAAGAAATGGAGTGAACAAAGATATGAAGACAAGAAAAAGCATAACTTATCTCATGTAGAAGCGAGACAAGTGTGAGAAGACAAATAGGCAGGTCCGAGTGGGTGCTCTAGGACTGATAACTCCCAATTTTGGGGTAGATTGGTAAAGGCAATGAATAGAAAATAGGGAAGTGATATGCTCACCCTCCCATCACCCTCCTGGCTGGGCACAGCCAACTAGACACTACTTAAAATCTCCATACAATGGTACTTCTCTTAGACCAACCGAACAGTGGCCAGAACTCACCTGCCTTGGACTATGAGTTTCTAGGACAGTTTCCTTAAGGCACTTGTATTCCACATTACAGTCGTTTTTAAATAACAATCTTGAGCAAGGCTCTCAGACATAAAATCTTTAAGTGGTTTCATGGCAGTTGCAAAAACTGGGCGGCCTCAATGAATTTATTCTTCAGAATCCTGGGCAGTTAGAATTCTGGGTTGCTATTTACAAGACGAAAAGTTAATTTTCCTCTTTTTTCTTACAGTTAGCACTGCTATATATCCATTGAGAAAATGCTGAATGCTGTGTTCATGATTAAATGAACTCAACATTTTAAAACCAATAGTAATCTGTGTTTTAATTCCCAACCGAAATTTCAGAAAGTGGCAAGGTCTAACACTTTTCCCCAACCAGAGTCAGGTAATATAGAAATAATACCTTGTTTCCCTTTCTCCTCTTAGTACATCTCCAAACATATGCCCCAAACTCTTTAGCTAACACGTCTCTTGAATTAATGTGTAAAGAGTTTCCCAAGATCAACACTGACATCTTTCATCAAAGCCTTAATTCAAAACTAACTGGTGTTTTAAGGTAACAGAACCAGCTGTGCACACAACATGCTGGCCTGAGACAGCTCTGCAAGATCCAGGCATCTTAATATAATCCTTCAAGCATGAATGAGCCCCACAGCTCCCTGGAATCTCTGACCAGATAAAAGCAGGCAGGCAACACTAACTCTGTGAATTTTGCATTCCACATTGAGTACACCTGCTTTGACCCCCTGGGAATTTTTTTCTCTGTAATTCCAAGTATTTTGACCAAGCATCTCAGTCCCGAGCAATCTGACAGTTCAATTAATATTGTCATACCTAGATAGATGGGACTATAAAACATCCATGTGTCATTATAATATGCCCTATTTTTTAGGAGCCACCAAAACTGGAGAGGGGTCTTACAGTCACCACAGCCTTTGGATTTAGAAACTCGTGATTATAGAAAGGTCCCTCCTGTTCTCACATACCCTCCCTTCATGATTCATTCTAGCAGGTGATCAATTACCAGTGTCAAGAGTCAAAAAGACCATTTATCTGCTGCATACCCCAAAGAACTTAGTCCCTGATTATATAACTTACTGGTAGAGGCTTTCCATATGCTTTAGAGCCACAGTCTAATTCCTCTAACAAAAAACTTCTTTTCTTGGGACCTCAGGAACTGAGGGCAGACAGATAGCCTTCTGCTTCTACCATCATCATCCTTTTGTCTAAGAAGAGGCTGTTTTCCATTGGCACCATAGTAATTACAATCTGAATATTTGGAGAGGATTCTGACATAAGATTGCCTGATTCCAGAGACACTGTACAAACTGACCCTTTGAAGAAGCAGAAAATCTGAACTGTGCAAAAATACAACAACAAAAAAAGGGCTTCCAGCTTTTGGAGGTACCAGGCAGATTTCATTTGAGAGAACTTGAAAAAAAATGAGATGAATTATTTTTCAAATAAAGTAAAATAACCTCATGTTTGTACCACATTATTAGGCTCTGCAAAGACTGGAGAAATGAAACTGGTTTCCATGTAACTGGAAGTCTTGTCCTGAAATGGTCAGATGCTTCTACTGCTGTCACGATACTTTTAAAAGTTTATGATGTGCTTTTAATTGAATTCTGCCTATGTGCCTCAGTTTATTCCTCAAAAGCGTTCAAGAAGTTGTTGGTTTTTGTTCTACTTTGTAGAATGAGTTAGAAGTTTCCAGATGTACCTTAGATTTGCTTTGTGGCTCTAAGAACTTACAATGGGGACTAAAAGTTTTCCAAAGCAACATATTCTGTGACATTTAATGGGGACCAAATTAATTTTGTGAAAATATGGCAGAATTAAGTTTTCTTTCGCTTCCCTCTCCTTTTCTGGAACTGGGAGCAAGATCGTCTCCTTTCAAGGAACTTGGCCATAAAACATAATAAAAGATCTTTGAAATTCAGGGAAAAGAGACTGAGACATTTAAGTAACACACCAGAGTTTTGCTCTCAGAATATTCAGGCACAGCCCCTCTTCTTCATGACCTTCCTTCTCTATTGCAGTACCTGAAGCATACACATCCCCACCATGTCCACCAGCACCAGCCACCCCAACTCCACAGAGAGGAACAAACGGAAGCTGGGAGGAGAAGAGGAAAGATTGGGAAAGGTAGAGTTGATCATGAGGAAGAGAAGGAAGGGAGGAGACAGAGAAGAGGCTTCTAAGGCCCATCAGAGGACATTCAGTATGGGCTAGGATAACCTTGAAGGGAAAAGAACTGACTTTTACTATCTACTGATCGCCAAATGTGTTTGATCCTTTAGTAGTAAGACTTTTGTAAAGGACTGTACATTCCTTACTTCCAGAAGTCATGGGTGGGACTGAGTTTCCATGTATGTGGTTAAAAGTTGTAGAGAAGTCTCATGATGCTAAGGAAGGTCTAGGGTTCACAGATTCATACATTAAAAAAATAAGAATAAGGTTCTCTGTCAAGATAGACTCATAGCTTCATTCTTTGCCTTCCACTCTGTTAAATTAGACTAAATTTGGCCTGAGGATGCCTTTGTACTTGGGTCCTTACATAACAAACTGTAACCTAACTTAGTACATAAACTAACTGAAAGTCTAACTTAAAAGGATGTTTCTGTAACAAATAGCTGAGTCTCAGACAATCACAGCAGCTGACCATCAGTCAATCACAAGTGGCCAGCTGTTCAAACTATGTTCAAATAAGGTAAGCGCCAAGCTATAACCAATTAAGCTGACGCTGTACCTCACTTCTGTTTTCTGTATCTCATTTCCATTTTCTGCCCATATAATGCTGCCTGATCATGTAGCCAACCGGTGTTTCTCTGAACCTGTTCCAAGGTTCTGTTCCGGTTCTGAGGGCTGCCCAATTTGTGAATAATTCTTTGCTTAAATAAACTCTGCTAAATTTAATTTGCCTAAACCTTTGCTTTTAACAACTTTCTTCCAAATAATAGACAAAAAGAGATGAAACCATAAGACATATCTATGCTCAAAATATCTACAAAAATCTAAATTCAGGGCTGACACTGTGGGCCTGCTGGGTTCTGGAGTCAGAAGCAGTGATAGCCAGAAGCTGCTGGAAGCAAGACAGGGTAATGAGAACTAAAGGTTCCCCACTTGTGGGTAGGCATTGGGCCAGGTTCCCTGCAAGAAGCCATAAGGCTGGAGTTTTCTTGATTATGTTAACAGCTAGAAAATAAAAGGTTACTGACCTCATAAAGGGAACTGTAGCTTCATAAGAAGTTGTGAGCCAAGGGATATGGGAACAAAGAAACAAAGCTTCATGACAAGAAACTGAGTCTGCAATCAAATCTCAATTTTAAGACCTGGCAGCTCAGTGATAAAGCAAAAATGGAACAATAAAAAAAAGAACTGAATATTAAGAGAGAGAAAAAAAGAAAACAACAAAAGCTCTCACTTAAACCCGCAAACCAAAATTCTAAAACACAAGAAACCTAATACCAGGAAAGTTAGCCAACAAACTTGAACGCAAATTCACTCCAGATGAAATAAACTCTATGGTAGAATTTCAAAAAATAATGTTGGTAAGCATTTAGGATACTCAGAGAAATAAATGAAAGAAAGACACCATTAAACATGACCAAAAATTTATACAACAAAACACAAAAATGAAAGAAAGGACTGCTACACATGATTTTCAAAAGCTTATTTGAAATACTGGAAATGAAAAATATAGTCACTGCAATTTTTAAAGACTCAAAGATGTAATGTACTCTAGACTAAAAGCAAAGAGATAATTAGTGAAATTAAAAAGAAGGTAGATCAAGCAGCATGAGAAGATCATCCATGCAGGAGCAGCAGCCTGGAAACCAAGCCAAGTAAAGAGGGAACTCACATGTGGGGGCAGCCTGTATGTTGCATACATATATGCATACATACATACATATGTTTATATACATGCATATATCTATCTACTCTATGTATATACGTATGTATATAGAATACACATGTACATATTCCCTAGCTCTGTCCACTGAGAAGGCCTTGGGGCACAGATACCACAAGAACCATGAGCACACCTACTACCCAGATATTGGCTTCTAAGTACTATTCTGTACTGCAAGATCAGGGTTTCTTAAAAAAATTCCAGTATTGGGCTAGGGAAAGTGTAAGATGAGACTAAAACATTTTGTCATACTAAAAAGCAAGGAGATCCTCAAAAAATGATGGAGATATATCCAAAGAACACAGAAGCAGCCTGGGTGGACTCCCAATGGCCAAATCAAGAACAATTTCAGTATCAAAATAAATAAGAGTACCAGATTACAGTCCATTAAATAGAGCAGGAAACCATCAGTTCATAGAGATACGAATGAATTGAACGTGTGATAAGAAACAGTATATTTACACAGTTTCAAAGTATCTCCCCATAAAACACATTTTAATTAGAAAGAGGAAGAGGATAACTTTACCCTGGCAAAGTCTGGCAGACACCACCTTCGTCAAGCTATCAAAGAAAAATCATCAGTAATGGGACAATGTGAAATAATGTGCCGCCTGATGGAATACAGTGAGAAGAATACCCACCACTTCTGTGATATTCCCACCAAAGGTGTGTGAGATCAACCTTATCATGAAGAAACATTAGATAAACCCAAACTGATGAACATCCCGTCAACTAACTGGCCTGTAACTCCTCAAAAGCTCATGCTCAAGAAAGTCAAGGAAATACTGAGGCTCCATTCCAGACCAAAAGAAGGAAAGGAGACATGACAACTAAATGCAACATGTGATTCCAGCCTGAATAATTTTGCTACAATTGGAACAGGGTGAGCTTTGAAGGGAGTCTGGTAGCAACATGACTGTTAATTTTCTGATCTTGACAATTTCCTTGTGGCTATGTAGGAGCATGTCCTTAGGGATAGGAAACACACCAAAACATGTGGAGGTGATGTAGCATCAGGTCAGCTACTCACCTTCAAATAGGTCTGTAGAAAACAAGTTACTTGTACTATACTTCCAACTGTTTTGTAAGTTTGTGATTATATTTTTAAAATTTTTAATTTTAAAAAAGAAAAGAAAAACAGGCCTGGGAAATTCAGCATAGACCAATCTCAGCTCAGATAGACACAGTTAAGAGAGATGTGGAAGAGAGAAGAAAAAGGTCCATAATAATATCAATGGTGGAGAAGCAATATTTGAAAAGATAGCAGCTTAGATTTTTCTAGAATTAAAGAAAACAAAAACCCTCATATTTAGGGTGTACTTCAAATTCTGAGATCAAAAATAAAGATAAACCCATACCTGGGTACATCATAGTGAAACTATATACTATCAATGTTTCTTTCTAAAAGTCTTTAACATGAAAAAGAAAAACAACAGATTATCTGCAAAGAACAGCAGATAATCTTAGAGTTTAACACACTTCTCATCAGCAATAACGAAGTCCAAAAGGCGCTGAAGTGGTATCTTCCGAGGAAAAATCCCAGTCACCTAGAATTGTACGTCCAGATTATTAAAGAGGGAAAAATAAAAATTTAATTACACCTATGTGTTTACATTTCTAACTCTTTCTTCCAGACTTAGACAAACGCAGGGATTATGTCTGATCTGCCCCTGAATCACTCTCACCTAACTCAGGGCTGACAGTGCCCAGTAAATGCTCCCTGCTGAAAGAGAAGAAAGAAGGGGGTGGGAGAAGAAGGAAGGGAAGGGGAAGAATAAAGCATACTGATTTAACCCTATTATGCTACTGTTTTTACTTCAGGCTTCTCAGAATGATCTGGAAGATTAGGATAGGGGAGGAGTTTCTGACCCTAAGAACCCTCCATGCCTTGACTGTTTGTAGTTGGGATCTAATTACCAGCCCCTGCACCTGTAGGGAAAGAAAAAGGGAGGGCCCACACAATTGCCAAGACATGGGACAGGTCCTCTTCTTATGACAGCCTTATGGTAGAATTCTCTGAACTCAGTATAACCTGAGGGTTGGGCTGTGAAGGGTAAGGGGACGAGGCAGGGCAGCGGCTCTGTAGGTGAATGGAGTCAGTGATGCCAACTCCCAAGTGGCTCAGAACAGAAGTGGAAGTCACAAGGAGAGGATTGAGGAAGGGGGACAAGGTGCCATACTGAGACCTTCCCTGGGTCTGTTTCCAGAAGCAGGTGAGTTATCAGCTAAGTTTGTAAGCCTCAAGCTGAAAATCTTGGAAGAGCTAAACTCCCTGGCTAGATCAGGAAGAGAATGCTGAGGCTTTTCCTACAAATATCTGAAGTGTTCAAGCTTCTCATAATACGATCTCCTGTAAAGCATGAGGGGGTCTAGCAGGTGGAGCTTGGAATGTGTGTTTATAAGACTTAAGTCTCACTCTGGCACTTATTTGCTCTGTGATCCTGAACAAGTCACTCTGCCTAAATCCATTTCCTCACCTATAAGATACGGATGATAGTTTATAAGGCTATAAACATTACACGGCAACAGATATGAAAGTTCCTGGCAGGTAGTAGTTGTCTAACTTAAGTTTGTTTAATCGGTTAGTCCACAAGTTCTTACTGAGCACTTACTATACACCAGACATAGCTCTGGGTACTAACAATACAGTGGTGAACAAGGCAGACTTTGTGCCCTAGAACTAATTTTCTGACAGATGATAAACACAGAAACAAACCTGGTGCTACCCAGTACAGGCAAGTGCTCTAGAGAAAGTCTAGAGAGTGAGCTGGACCACAGCACTAGCTCACGCGATCAAGGGGGAGGCCTCTGTGAAGAGGGGATATTTAGTTGGGGACCTGAGGGGTGATAAGGACATCATGGAAAGATCAAAGCTGTCACTCTTGCAGAAGGATGAGCAAGTGCCAATGTCCTGAGATCAGTAAGGTTTTGGCATTCCAGGGGGTCAAAATAAGGGTGTCTTGCTGAACACAGTGAATGAGGAGAAGGAAAGGAAGACGAGGCCAGAGTAGGCAGGGGCCAGATCACGCTGGTGGGCCTTGAATGCCACCTCAAGGAGTTTGGGCTCTATTCTGATTTCAATAGGCAGATCCAAGGGTGCTTTGATGTGATAGACACAGTATGCAATGACGAATAGACTCATGGTCAGGTGGATTCTTTCGAAATTTGTGAATGAATGAATGAATGAATGGACCCAAGACCACATTATTGTATCTCTGTCTACCTGGGCATCCCTATGGCCATGGCAGTTCTCCACGGTACTGGTGATGTTAAATAGAGTAACGACACAGAACCAGCAACCAAGTCTCCTGGACACGAAAGTCCCAGCCTCATGTGGGGACAAGAACAGAATGTCAGACAGCCCTCCTCACATATTTGATCTGACTGGTTTTGTTTTTTTTTTATTACACCTTCTGAAGTACCCAGTGCTAAAAAGCAACAGTGTGAAAATCAACTGATTCCAGAATGTCCTTCAGACTGCCTCCCTGTGAACACCACAGTCTGCACATTTAAATTCCCAGATGTAGACATTAACTTTAATTCTGATCTTGGTGATCAAGCCAGCTCTGAAATGGCCTGCTTTTTAGAAGGTCTGTGACTCATGTTTTTATTTCACAGAATCATAGAAATTAGAGATGGAAAAGATTTATTAAGTCATCTTATACTTGCCCCCTGCCAGAGAGACATTGTTCCCCAAGGTATATGTGCTACGACTGTACGTAGGCATGTTTGCAATCCTTCAGACAGTGAGGCCAGAGTCCCCCACTGTGGGCAATGACTCTACGTTCTCCAAGTTCTTCCACTCAGAAAGTTTTTCACCCCTGGGATTCAACCACACTAGTCCTTTTGTAGTGTTTTTTCTTTTTTCATCTCATTTTACAATTACAGCTTTCTTACCACTCCCCAACAGAATAGGAAAATTGCCTTTTGGCTCTGTAGCCCTTAAAAGGGGCTGGACCTAAAATCTTTAGTGAAGATTAAGCTTTGGTTTAACCCCAGAGGCATTTCTGACATTGTCCAATGGCAATGGTGTAAATAAACAGAGGTCGTGGGAATAAATAGTAAGTTACAGGAATCCCCAGAATATGCAGAATTTTGTATAATTCAGAGGATATGCATTTTGTGATGCAAAAAGTATAGAGCTTCCATCCAATTATCAAAGAGTGACCATGAAATGTTTAAGAACCACTTCCAGGAGTAAGATCGCCAGGGAGCAATGGAGTTGGGAATAGATCAGGAATATGTTCTAGAATCTCCTGCCAACTAACTATGTGGTTTGAATACGTCTCTTAAACTCTTTAGGTTTCAGTTTCTCTCTCTGCCAAAGGAGAGCAGGAAGGGGAGAAAGGGGAGGTTGAATTAGGTTATTTCTAATGTCCCTTTCAATTCATAGAATCTTGTTCCATGATGGACATCAATGATTCTTGCACTCTATTTCAGACAGCTTTGCCTACAAGCAGACAGCCGCTAATCCATTCCAATTCCAATTCCTGCCTGCCTTCCAGATTCTGAGGATTGCTGGCAATGTCTTGCTGTTTGAAAACAGCATCAGTCTCAGTCACCTCCAGTACAGACAAGCATGAGCACATCCAACACCACACCACCCCAAGCTTGTGAATATAGCCCCTTGAGTCGCTACTCAGTCTTACTGCTCTTGAGTTTGTAAATTGCTCCAGAATAGGGGCCACAGTGCTTTACACAGGGATTGCTTTGCTAGTTCCCCATTCCATTTTTCTTCTGTAGTCCACAAGTATTTATTGAGCAGCTACTGTACACCAGGCACTAAGCGAAATCCTGGGACACTACTGTAAGCAAAACTGGTTCCCATCCTCAAGAGGCCCCTCTCTGTGGAGCTGCCCTGGGTTAGTACTGGCTTGGTTTAAATGAGAAGAAAGAGGAGGGGTTGGGCTGGGACTGAAATAAGAAGGAAAAGGAGCATGCAAGAGTGCCACACACTCCACTATCCAGGAAAAGACAATGCTGGCACCCTCCCAGGAGTGAGAATGAAAACCCAGCTAATCGCCTAAACCCACACCCCTGAGCTTGGTCAGAAAAGATGCTAAGGCTTTGCATTTTTCATTTGAGTTTTCCTTCCACTGAAAAGAAACTGACTGCCATACTAGATTAACACATGAATATTGCTCTCCCAAAGAGCAGGATTCCATCCAACGTTGAGCCAGCTGACTTCATGAGACCACACCTAGTAACACTAATCCGGGTGTTATGTTTCTCTTGAGGAGAGAGCAGACAGTTATCTGTCTGTTTCCCCCAAATAGCTAATATTTCTTGCCTGTGTTCTTTTCCTTTCAAGTTTGCATCTTATTGGAAAAGCACTTCTCTTATTTAAGACAAAGTCTTGCCAAATATAAAGCATTCTCTCCTGACAATACCAAAATGCATAAAAGTCTATGCTTAAAATCGAAATGTTTGAACTGGGTGTAGGGGCTCATGCCTGTGATCCCAGCACTTTGGGAGGTCGAGGCAGGTGGATCTCTTGAGGCCAGGAGTTCGAGACCAGCCTGGCCAACATGGCAAAACCCTATCTCTACTAAAAATACAAAAAAATTAGCCAGGCGTGATGACAGGCTCCTGTAGTCCCAGCTACTTGGGAGGCTGAGGCATGAGAATTGCTTGAATTGCAGTGAGCAGAGATCGCACCACTGCACTCCGGCCTGAGCAACAGAGCGAGACTCTGTCTCAAAAAACAGAAAAAGAAATGTTTACCCTTTCTTTCTGGTGGTGATACTTGCCTGGACCAAATCTGTTGGCTTACAAAGCAAAAGTAGGCTCATAGCAGTGAATAAAGTGGTCACTGCACCATAAATCCAGGACTGAGACTCAGGATGCCAGGAAGATATTCCCCTCCTGCCAGGGACTCAGGGAAAAAGACCTCGCCATGCTTAGAGAGAATAGGCTTGGTCCCTGCCTCAGCCACCCACTCTTCCCACCCCCATGGCTAGACAGGAGTGGGGATGTCCTGTGTAAAAGCCAGAATTAAAGAGGCAATAAGAATAAAGAAAATTGTACTCTTTCACTGTACATGCATTAGAAAATGTATTAATGACTTTAGATGAAGGGAAAAAGACCCCAAGGGGCTCACTTGAATAGCAAAGATGATCATCTTATAAACGGAGAAGGTCCCATCAACTGAGGGGTCGCCTGTGTCTCTCCATGTGGAGTTCGATGCTGGAAGGGCTGAACTGCACTACTATTCATAAAGGCCAGGAGCCTGAAGTTCCCGAAGCACAGGGGAGGTGGGATGGGGAGTAGGTCCAAGGTGGCTGGGGGCCATGAAGGGAAGGAAGGAGCAGGGAAGCGGAGAAATAGAAGAGGAAGGGGAGAAGAGAAACAGCTGTTGAGGGATTATAAGTTGTACTAAGATGTGCAACGTATATGTCGTCAAGTTTCCTCTGTGTCACATAAAGGTGACAGAGCTCACTGATGTTTTTGTGCAAGTGGATTATTTGGGATTCTAAGTGAAATCAGAGGGAGTCATTCAGACACAGAAGCTGGAAGATGAAAGGCCACATGGCTCACGTGACCCCGTCACACACTCACTACCCTATTGTCCCTCTGAGGACTGTTCTGGGGCAGGGGAAGGAGGACAGAAGGAACCCATGGGGAGAACTTGTGTGGGGGCTCAACCACGCTGGGCATGGTCTCCTCTCTGGAATTCAGTTCTACAACAGGTCTGTCACCATGCCCTTCCTACTGGAGGTGACTGATCAAGCCACTTGCCCCAGGAATAGACACAATCAAACTACACAGGTCACAGTTCATGCAGTCAGAAACCAGGTACACCTCCTTAAGGGAAAAAGGTACTCTGTAGTAAACCAGGTCCCAATTTTATGGGCGGGCAACCTGTGCCCGCATTGCTTGAACGCTCTGCTGCTGCTGTCTTGACATGCTTCATCATTTTTGAGCAACGACCCCTGTCTTTTCATTTTGCACTAGGTCCTTCAAGTTGTGTAGCCAATTCTAGTGATAACTACCACTCTGCCAGCAAAGGAGTGACCAAGAAACCAAATTAAACGTGTGAACAAGAAGGCCAGGGAAAGGTCAACAGTAAGGGGTGAGGATGTCTGATGCTGTAAAAGGAAACCCAGACTTAAAATTGAGATCTGGGTTCAAGGCCTGGCTCTGCTATGAGCTGGGTTTTCTTGGATTAATGTCCAGAATCTCTGGGACACATTCAAAGCAGTGTGTAGAGGGAAATTTATAGCACTAAATGCCCACAAGAGAAAGCAGGAAAGATTCAAAATTGACATCCTAACATCACAATTAAAAGAACTAGAAAAGCAAGAGCAAACGCATTCAAAACCTAGCAGAAGGCAAGAAATAACTAAAATCAGAGCAGAACTGAAGGAAATAGAGACACAAAAAACCCTTCAAAAAATTAATGAATCCAGGAGCTGGTTTTTTGAAAGGATCAACAAAATTGATAGACCGCTAGCAAGACTAATAAAGAAAAAAAGAGAGAAGAATCAAATAGACGCAATAAAAAATGATAAAGGGGATATCACCACCGATCCCACAGAAATACAAACTACCATCAGGGAATACTACAAACACCTCTACGCAAATAAACTAGAAAATCTAGAAGAAATGGATAAATTCCTGGACACATACACTCTCCCAAGACTAAACCAGGAAGAAGTTGAATCTCTGAATACACCAATAACAGGAGCTGAAATTGTGGCAATAATCAATAGCTTACCAACCAAAAAGAGTCCAGGACCAGATGGATTCACAGCCAAATTCTACCAGAGCTACAAGGAGGAACTGGTACCATTCCTTCTGAAACTATTCCAATCAATAGAAAAAGAGGGAATCCTCCCTAACTCATTTTATGAGGCCAGCATCATTCTGATACCAAAGCCAGGCAGAGACACAACAAAAAAAGAGAATCTTAGACCAATATCCTTGATGAACATTGATGCAAAAATCCTCAACAAAATACTGGCAAAACGAATCCAGCAGCACATCAAAAAGCTTATCCACCATGATCAAGTGGGCTTCATCCCTGGGATGCAAGGCTGGTTCAATATATGCAAATCAATAAATGTAATCCAGCATATAAACAGAGCCAAAGACAAAAACCACATGATTATCTCAATAGATGCAGAAAAAGCCTTTGACAAAATTCAACAACCCTTCATGCTAAAAACTCTCAATAAATTAGGTATTGATGGGACGTATTTCAAAATAATAAGAGCTATCTATGACAAACCCACAGCCAATATCATACTGAATGGGCAAAAACTGGAAGCATTCCCTTGAAAACTGGCACAAGACATGGATGCCCTCTCTCACCACTCCTATTCAACATAGTGTTGGAAGTTCTGGATAAATGTCATAATGTCCCTGAGGCTCAGTGATGTATTCACTGGTTCATTCAGTTATTCCTCACACATTTTTTATCTACTTAGCCCCTAAGCAAGGTGCTGGAGATGCAAGAATAGCACATGGTTGCTTCCTTCACATGGGAAAAGCAATTGCATGAAAAATTATACTAGAGTGTGATGTACATTTTAATAGGATAAATAAACAATGCTGTAAGAGCACAAAGAAAGGGCAACTGATGCTGAGGAGGAGAGGAGCTTGGAGGGGCAGATAAGGGAGGCAAGCAGGTTTGGAGAAAAAGTTAGGAAGGTTTCCCAGTGTGGAGATTCTGCCAGCTGCTGAGTGTGTCTATTTCAATTGTGCATTATAGATCTGGGGAAATAACCACAGAATGGGTTTGGGGACCCATTGGGTCCGCTGTGAAATGGACCTGAACTAAAACTTCATCGATCACCTGACTTCCACAAGTCCCTACTCTGCCTGGTAGACCACAGCAACATTCTGGGTCTCCTGGAATTCATCTCAGTTCAGAGCCAGCATCCAGCAGTCCCTGAAAGGTGTGGTTATTTCCTTTCTCCATTGCACAGTCACCCCCAGTCAAAGGTTGTAGATCTTGCAGAAAAGGAAAGAGAACCTGCACTGCTGCAAAAATGGTTCTATTTCTACCCGGTCTGCCTACACATAGGAGCTGTCAAGAAAACCAAAGCAGACAGCCTTGGGCATTATTAATATTGGGTAACTGATCAATTGAAAAGATGAATATCATAAGAAAAGATGCTTGTTACAACATGGCACTTCTTTCATAGACAAGAAACCATGGTCATCTTTCTTGTTTTTCTTTTCATGATTTAAATCTCTCACAATAAGACTCTTGGACTAGATGTAAGATCATCTGTGCTTGCCATTTCTAAGATCTCAGATAAGATCCAACTTAGATCTTCCTCTATCTCTCAGCAGCTGAGAGGCAGGCAGACACAGGAACTACTTTCTTTTAACTTAGCGGTATTTGGCAAGCAGTGATGACATACACACAAACATTGAGATCTGCACAGGAGACCATTTATTTTAGCAGTAAATTGTGTAGTGCAGACTGAAAGCACTGGCAGCACCCAGCCTTGGACTAGAAGCCAGTGCCCCAGCAAAAAGGGGCAGCTTCCCGCGGGAAGTGAGCCTTGATGAATCACACCACTTCTCCCCTCGGCAGGGCCAGTCCGGCTTGGTCCCCTCCTGGTCACCACGGGGATGCGCTTAGTCATCAAGATCCTGTTTGGTGCCTCCCGCTTCCTCAGCCCATGCCTCATGCTGCACCTCAGAGCTGATACACTCACCATTCTGAGGTGATAATTACACCTCTTTTGATTAGCTGCCACCACATCCCTCAGCAGAAATTGCTGGGATTGGGGAGGTTGCTTTTTATAATTTGGGTCGAGTTCAGGAATTTTTCAGAACAACTGGATCTCCCTTTCTTTGGTAGAACAGCATCTCATATCTTTGGCAAAGGAACATACTCTACACTGAGAGGGGTCTGTGGTGTCAGGAACAGGTGGAACCCCTGAGATACAAAAGCAACAGATCATCTAGTGTTTGGGGGACAAGAACCTAGAACAGTCAAGAAGCTCCAGCCGTGAGTCTTTTCACACCAGGAGCCATGCCCTGTTCATGCTGAGGGGATGACAGGCAACAGGCAGTACAGCGAAGGGGGCTCTGCAGCCCACAGCTGGTCTCTGGCTGGTCCCATCTGTCTGACGACAATGCTTATTAGAAAGCACCTTCCCAGCAGAAGTGGCACACAAATATTTTTCCAACTTTTATGTGGATGTCTTCAGAAGATTTCATCTTTTTGACCTCTTGATAACTGATCACTGTGCCCTAACTACTCCCATTTTATTCTTGAAATCACAAGTCTAAAGTTGACCACCGGACATCATAAGTATAGCAGAGACATTTACTGATCACTGAATATTCATGAGCTCAACCAATGGGCCATGAGTGAAAATAAGGCACGCATGCCACTTCTGGATGTGCCAGTACATGACCCCTCCAACCCTGTAATGTGCTTCAAAAGCATGGCTATTTAATATTGAGCAGCCTCCATTTCTGAGTAAAGCCCTGGAAGGAAGATGCCCTAGGGAAGCACTGGGCAAGGCCTGAACAAGAAATAAACCTATGTTGGTTGGGTGCGGTGGCTCACACCTGTAATCCCAGCACTTTGGGAGGCCAAGGCAGGCAGATCACTAAGTCAGGAGATCAAGACCATCCTGATTAACATGGTGAAACCCCATCTCTACTAAAAATACAAAAAATTAGCCGGGCGTGGTGGCGGGCACCTGTAGTCCCAGCTACTCGGGAGGCTGAGGCAGGAGAATGGCATGAACCCGGGAGGTGGAGCTTGCAGTGAGTGCCACTGCACTCCAGCCTGGGCAACAGAGCAAGACTCCGTCTCACAAAAAAGAAATACCAAATAAATAAATAAATAAATAAACCTATCTTAAGTCACTGAGACTTTGCAATGTGTTCATCACTGTGCAGCGCTTCACCCGATGAATGCGACTAGGCCTCCAGAAGCACCTGCCGCTCAGTGGGACTCTAAACTGGGAATGGAACACAATAGCCCTACACTCTCAGATACAGGCACTCTGACCTTTCCTCAAGACTCTCTGGGTCAGAAACTACCAAAAATAGTGGCCATATAACTGGCAATAAGAGTAAAGTAGCAAGGAGAGGTGCCAAATAAAATATCGGGACGGGAAACGTTGGTAATTGATGGAAGAGTGCCCTCTCCTGTGGCCATCCTGGTCATCCCAAGGATGTGTGCTTGGGAAAGATGTTATTGCAGCGGGCTCAGGAGAGGATAGGGATGGAGGTGGTACAGCGCGGCATGGAAGCTTTGCTTCTCAGCCAAACCCCAAACTTTCATGTCAGGCCAACAGCAGGGTACATTAGAAAGCTGAAAACCTGGGCAGCCATGGACAAAACTGTGAAGTTTATTTTTAGAGCCTGATATCTGCCATGCAGCTTGGATTATTTGTTCACTCTCCTTGCCCCCTGCCTCTTTCACAACCTTGAGCCCCATCCCTCAGCCACCCAGTGTCTAGTTCTTCTGAGGTCCCAAACTTCTGAAGCCATCCCAGCAGCACCCCACTCTCAACACCTTCCTTCTCCTCTATCCTATCTTTTCAGTCCCAAGCCCAATCCTCTTAGAGCCTGGACAAGCTCATATATCAATTTTAATGAGCCAAGGTGATACTGGCTACTTTGGAAGTAAGCCATTAATTATTCTCCTAGTTAAAAGCATCGTTGCTGTAATTGAAAGATGTGACTGTCTGAATGTCATCTCTCAATGCAAATCCACGGAAGAAAGCTTCAGGGGAAAAAAGGATTATCGAGGCTTTTCAAATCACTCTGGGGATACAGACAGCTCTCTCCTGTGTTACAGAGCCACCTTCCCTGTCCTGTCAAAACCATAACCCCCTCTCACCTGTCCTATGGCTGACACTCTTAGCCCAAACTTCCTCCCCCGACCACTCACAATGACACATCGACATGGCTCTCACTGTGACTCTGGAGGCAGAGAAAGAAGCAGAAGGACACCTGGGTTTTCTGCCACTGAAACTGGAACACAGTCCTTGAGAAAAAAAGATGTTAACGTCCAGCGGGACATATTTTTCCATCAAAACATTGTAAAATGAGTAGAGGTTTCACATGACGCTCATGTCTTGGTATGTGTTTGTTGTTTTTAGAATAGCAGGCCACATATCTGAAGTGATACATGCATATATGATGTAGGCGTTACCATGGCAAATGCCATGCATTTTTTTGGTTGAATAGAAGGGTAAATAAGGGTGTAAATATTGCATTTTCTGTTGTCATGGAGATGTAACAACCTGGGCCCTCATCATTTTGGAAAGTTTTTTTATTTTATTATTTGGCTTCATTCCCTGCTGTGACTCTTCCTATCAGAAAGTCTCCAGGTCCTGCCACTGCTGTAATTATGCTTACCCAACCAGCATACTAGATTTGTCCTTTCAGATGGGATATTGCTGATCCCTAGGGGAGAAATTCTTCTGTTTTTTTTCTTTGTTCCCAGATGTGAAATCTATATTTTCAACATGAAAAGTATTAATGTTGGCCGGGTGCGGTGGCCCACGCCAGCACTCTGGGAGGAGGCAGGCGGATCACTTGAAACCAGGAGTTCAAGACCAGCCTGGCCAATATGGTGAAACCCCATCCCTACTATAAATACAAAAAAAAAAAAAAAAAAGTTAGCCGGGCATGGTAGCAGGCTCCTATAATCCCAGCTAGTTGGGAAGCTGAGGCATGAGAATTGCTTGAACCCGGGAGATGGAGGTTGCAGTGAGCCAAGATCATGCCACCGCACTCTAACCTGGGCGATAGAGCGAGACTCTGTCTCAAGAGAAAAAAAAAAACAAAAAAAAAAAAAACCAGTATTAATGTTAAAAACATGTCAATACGTCACAATTGTCTTTAGTCTGCCTGGCTATAAAGAAGGGTGTCTTTTCCCAGTCTTGAAGGGTTTTTTAAATATTTTTAAACAAAGTGCTTTAATTCCTAATTCTGTATGTCAGCATAGAAAGCCAGATGTTTAATGTTTGCAGAGTCCTGACATCTCCATCACCGTCATTGACTTAGATGTTTCTAGCATGTAAGCTAGAACCTGTGGTTTAGCATCTGCTAAACTTGTCTGTAGTCTACAGTGAACAAAACTCTAGATTTGGAAACTTAGATTACTTATTCTAAAATATGCCGGTTTGCTTATTACCAACTAACAAGCATATTGGACAAGCACTGAAACATTTAAGGAGCACCTACAATGTTCCAGGCATTGTACAATGCATGGGGAATTCAAAAATAAGTAAAGCACAGTCCCTCCCCCTAAGGAACTTGTCTTGTTGATAAAACACCAAGGTGTTTCTTTGAATTTTTATGTAGGGCTGAAGTTGGATTTAATTGCCTCTAAGGTTTCTTCTAATCCTAAGATTCTTAGATGCTAAACTTTAAATTTAATTCTACAATGAAGTTCAAGGCTAAATTAACACTAACATCAAAAATTTACAGTTTATTTTGTAGTTGCTACTGGTAACAAAAACTAATTTGACTATACTTTTGCTCATTGAAAGAGGTGGTTAGGCCATGGAGGCACAGTCTGATTACACTGTGTTCTCTTCCAGACCCCAACCAGCTAAATAAGTGCCAACAAGAAGACAGACCCACTCTAGCCAGAGACGAGGCAGCCCAGAGCAAGGTGGGTCCAAAAGGAGTATCTCCAATGATTACCTCCAGAGTGGAAGAATTGGCTACCTTCAATCTGTGGCAAACAAGCTTTATCCACCACACCCCTTACCTATTCATGTTATAGATATTTGACATTGTCCCTGGTCTAATCATTCAGACTTGGCACTTCAGTGTCATCTTGAATTCCTTCTTCTTCCTTGTCTCCAACTCCCAAAGTACTACATATGATTTTTGTTTGAAGTGAACATAAACTCAAGATTTTATTGTCTTCATGATAAAAGATGACACTTAGAACTGGATCACTTGGCCCTTTCTCTTCTTATCTCCTCCCAGTTCAAAATGCTTGCATCTTTTAATAGCCAGCAATCTCTTAGATCTGCAGAAGTACTACATATGATTCTATATTGTGTGTGAATGCATGCACATATGTGCATGCATGGGGAGACTTGAAAAGTACACACTGTGATTCAGATATTGCAAAAAAAAAAAAAAAAAAAAAAAAAGTCTTTTATTTTGTTATAACGACTCTACTTTTTTTGAGCCCCCACATCTGCTGATGGCAGAAAAACAAAAATATTCAAAGCAGCCAATTAAAACCACTCAAAGTTTAAACTCCATGTGAGGACAGCTTCTTCCCTCTTGAGAGGTCTTTCTCCCTCTCCTCATTCCCATGAAGTGCCAGCATTTCCCCCAGCAGTGAAGGGGGCCCTGCAGACCTAGGTCCAGGCTATCCTCTGCTGAGATGTTCCTCATTGCCCTGCTCACTGGAGTCCTGTGCTGGAGGCAACAGAGCTGTACTCAGCTGGTCCGCCTGCCTCTGTCAGCTCTGAGCTGTCACTTTGCTGATTGACAGCTGACATGGTCCTTCCCTGGCCCTCCAGATGCCTCACGCAGCATGAGCAGGGCTTTCCCCTTTCTGTCTGCCAGAAATTTCCCTCCTGCCAATTGTCTCCCCCTTTTCCTGCTCCATAGCTTTTGGTAATATCTTTAACATCTAACCTAACCACTCTTGGATCTTGATATAAACCGAGAAGCTTTTGAAATTGATGAAACCTTTTTCTCTTTAAAAAATAAAAATAAAATCGAAAATAAAAGCTTCATTCGCCTTTGCTTGAATTCAGAACAAGTCTGATTTGAAGCTCAAATCTAGGCAATGACCACTTAATTTTAGGCTCTATTTCAAACAACAAATGTCATTAATTCAATAGGTAAGAACTATGGGACATCTAGGATCTAGAGTTATTGGGAAATCCATTGCTTTACCACCACCCTAAGCCTGTTCTCATGGTTGCTTTGCTCAGATCTCCCCCTTGGGTGGCTTCACAACGTTTCTATCCTCCTCACCCCAGGCCCAATATAGATCAATATGTTTAAGGCACTAGGAAAGCAGGGGAAAAACTTGAGAAAGCTTTAATCAATTCAACCAGAATTTTGCTAGCTGAAATTTGGAAAAGAGGCTATTTTAATTCCAATGTATAGATGAGTTTGGAGTTTTATGGTTTTTAAGACACAGGTGGATGGGAAGGGGGACCATAACTTTTTCAGTGTTTAACTTGACCCCTATCCCATCTAAACCCCTGGAATGTGTGTAAATGTTCTACACTTTTACTTCTGTTGTCACTAAGGAAAGGGTGGACGCTCCTTATCGGGGCCTGGCATGTAGCTGTGCGGCAATAAAGGGTCAGGATCCAGAACTAGACCACCTGCTGGAGCGGGGAGACCCTGGTGGGACAGAGTCTTCTGCAGGCTCTCAGGGAAGTTGAGGCCTGCAGGCAGAATACAACACCCACCCAAAGGAAAAAGGAATGGCAGGGGTCACCTCTGGCAGCAGTGACCATCAGAGCGTGGACTAGGAAGGTCTAAAGAAAGCAACAGAGGTGTCCACACAGACTCGGAATTCAGGAACAGGTGAAAATGGGTGAAACCGGCAAGCCGACCCCAAAGTCTGTCAAAAAGTAGTAAAAAATCACCATTCAAATCTAGGAAGTCATGGGACTGGCTTCAGATGGGCTGAGACACTGGATCAGGTATCAAGACAAGGGTCTCTGTCACAGAAAAGCAAGACACAGCCATGAAGTGGGAAGCAAGACTGAAGAACAAGACAGAGACCCCAGGGATGCAAGCTCTCATAGGAGGTCAGACCCCAAATCACAGTCACATGACTAGCAGACCACCCAACTGCATAGCGCAAGCTGGAGCCCTTCCATTGCACTGAGTGGGGCTATAAGCAAGAGGAAGGACGTGTTGCTTTCGTTCCTGCAGGTGCCACCTTGGTCTTCTCTTCTGGAACAGCCCCACAGTGTGGCACAGACCTGGTGCTCAGTGGGTGCTGAACAAGTAAATTGGTGTGCCAGCCTTCTAGCTGGACTTGCAGCCAGATGATTCTTCTGTCAAGATATCCTGTGTATCACCTATGCAGGTATCTTCCTACAATGCCACTTGCAATCTGTTACTTCCCAGCTCAAGCAAAACTTAAATGCCTCTAGCAGAGGCTGAAAATTAGAAGTCTCTGAGCTCAATCCAGCCCACAGATGGCTTTTGTTTGGCTTATACTGTGTTTTTCAAAAACATAATTTAGATACAACATTTTTAAATTGAGATTTTGTATGACACACGCAGAGAGAGAGAGAGAGAGAGACTGAGACTGATTGATTGATTTCTGACTTCTCTTAAAAAGTCAGAAAGTCTGGCAACTCTAAGCCCATGTTTCTACTTGGCAATGATCTGCTGCCACTGAGTGGTGGCTGCTCTGTCCCTGGCACCTGCTCTCCACGGCCCACCATGACCCCATCACCACTTCTGCATCTTTCTTGGCCTTTCCCCACTATGGTTCCTGCCTGCCCCCTGTAGTGGTTAGATTTGTTAACCCTTCACCTACAGAATGAATTCTGAACTGTTGGCATTCAAGGCTTTCCCCGGTCTGACTATGTATAACACTACTGCTGAATATCTGACCCCTCCTTTCAAAAACTTTTCTACCTGATAGCCCTTGAAAATATCACCCGTCCTGCATTAAACAAACACTACTGCCAGCTCACCATGTGCTAGAGGTAAACAGTAAGCAAGACCCACACGGTGCCTGCCCTCAGGAAGCAGTGGGAAGACTGGTATTCAACCAGCAGGTGCAAAAGAGAGGGCAACTACCATCAGGCTGGAAGAAGAGATAAGAGATCATACAAGGGTACTGACCCCATCTAGAGGTTTTCTAGAGGAAGTCCTTTCTAACACAAGGTCAAGGGTGGTGAGTGAGAAGAGAGTGTTACATGCTGGGGCCACAGCATATATTAGGTTGGTGAAAAAGTAACTACGTGTTTTGCCATTATAAGTAATGGCAAAAGCCACAGTTACTTTTGCACGAACCTAATAGCAAGGCCTAGCTGTGTGCAAAAAACAAAAAGGAGGTGGGTTTGGAAACAATGGTCAGGGGGAGTGGTGTGTGAGGCTCTCAGAGCCTAAGAGCTGACACTGGGGAAGTAGGCAGGCACAGCACACAGAATATATCCCAGGCCAAGGGGAAGCCTTGCAACAGTTTTCAGGAAAGGAGTGGCATGCTCAGCTTCCTGGTTTAGAAAGGGCAGTGTAGGCTAGGTGTGGTGGCTCACATCTGTAATCCCAGCACTTTGGGAGGCTGAGGTGGGCAGATCACAATGTCAGATCGAGACCATCCTGGCCAACATGGTGAAACCCTGTCTGTACTAAAAATTACAAAAATTAGCCGGGCATGGTGGCGTGTGCCTGTAGTCCCAGCTACTCGGGAAGCTGAGGCAGGAGAATCGCTTGAACCTGGAAGGCGAAGGTTGCAGTGAGCCGAGATTGTGCCACTGCCCTCCAGCCTGGCAACAGACCAAGACTCCGTCAAAAAAAAAAAAAAAAAAAAAAAAAAAGAAAGAAAGAAAAGAAAAGAGAAAAAAGAAAGAGCAGTGTAACTGCTAGTGGAGAACAGATTGGAAGGGGCAATGAGAAAAATGGAAGACATGTTAAAAAGACCAGAATGGGAGGCCAGATGTAAAAGGCCACATATTGTATGAATCCATTTACATAAAATATCTGGAATAGGTAAATCCACAGAAAAATAAAGCAGATTAGTGATTGCCAGAGTCTGGGAGAAAGTGGGAATCGGTGGTGACTGCTTCTTAGTCTGCTCGGGCTGCTGTAACAAATACCATAGACTGGGTTTGTAATGGTTCTACAGATATTCGTTTGTAATGGTTCCTGAAACTGGGAAGTCCAAGATGAGGGTGCCAGCATAGTGGGGTTCTTGGTGAGGGCCTTTTTCCTGGTTATGTCCTCACAGGGCCTTTCCTTGATGTGTGCATGCAGAGAGAGATCTCACATCCCTTCCTCTACTTAAAAGAACACTAATTCCATGATAGGGCCCCCATCCTCATGACCTCATAGAAACCTAATCACCTCCCAAAGGTTCCACCTCCAATATCATCACACTGGGGATCAGGACTTCAACATACGAATTTTGGGGTGACACAAGCATTCAGTCTATAACACTACTTAATGGGTCCGGGGCTTTCGTTTGGGGTGATGAAAATGTTTCGGAAAGAGATAGAGGTGATGGTTGTACAACACTGAGAAATACTATATGCCACCGAATTGTCCACTTTAAAATGGCTCACTTTATGTTATGTAAATTTATCTCAATTTTTTTAAAAAGGATTATCATGGGGTCCAAGCAAGAAACAATTGAAAGAAGAGGTGTCATGACATAGGAGCTCCAGCCTCTGTCCTTTGCCCATACCAGTCCCTCCTCCCTCTGAAATGCCCTCTCCCCTCCTCCCTACCTTCCTCAAGTCACTTGTCCTCCCGCCCCACTGCACTCCACTGGCTGCTGCCTCTGAGATCAGCCAGAGCTCATGGCCTCCTCTTCAGAATCAGGGCCCAGGCTTCTCATCACACAGACCCTGCCCCTTTTTAATCATTCCATTATATCTGTATTTCTCATTTCTGTAACTATATAAGCACCTATATGAACAGCACCATTTAGTGAATACAGGTTAAGAAAGGTAAATGCTAACATCATTATATGGGTTTTTAGCAGGTAAGTCAGGAGGAAAGATACAGAGTTTTTTGCCACCTAAATGTGATTTTGTATTTTATATTTACATAAATATGTGTGGGTTTTTTTAATTACAATCCAAGAACTTTTTGGACCAAGTAGAAAATGTCACAGAAACATTTGAAAGTGATACACAATTTTTACATTCTGTCAAAAGGCATCTACAGAAGCACACATTATTACAGTGTCTTTTCTGAGATGATCTGTAAACCTAAATTTCCCTGCTTCCTACTGATGGAGCTCTTACCCAATGGGGACCTGATCCCCCACATTTCTCAGTCATATCATCTAGTCCCCCTTCCACTGCTCAGGAAACTGGGGTACATCCCTATGGAGTGGTACTTCATCCCACTCCAGAAGTGGAGACGCACTCAGATAGGCCTGGGATGCTAGGCATGAGGGCGGACCAGAAAACCTGGGCTGTCAGCTCAGACTCCAGCCCACTCAGGGTGCAACAGCCACACAGCCCAGGAAGTGAGTAGCACCTTCAGAAAAGGGGATGGTGGGGAGCCACGAGACAATGAAGTGCCAGGTACTGTAGCCAGAGTAATGACTCAGGTTGAACAATATGCCCTCAACAGTTCTGCATTCTTAACAGTACCTGGCTCTGATTTATTCATTCAACATACAGTTATTGAAAATGCATCACCAACCAGGTACTATGGTGTGAAAATAGTAGGCATCAACAAGACACAGTCTGGCTCCTGGGGCTTTAAGTCTAGCCAAGTTTTAAGCCACCAGGTTTGTGGTAATTTGTTATGGTAGCCCCAAGAAATTAATAAACTTAGCCTCTGTGATCTTCAGTTTCCTCATCTCTAAAACATGGTTAATAACGGTACATACCTTACTGGGGTTTTCAAATGAGATAATGCATAGAAAGCACCTAGCACAGCACTTGGAACATGGCAAGTGCTCAGTAACTGCTATTAATATTATTATTACTAGTAGTAGTGATGTATTAGGAACACAGAAGACAAGTCTATTTCAGACTTGGGAATAGCCTTTTAGAGGAAGTAGCATGCAACTAAGGCATAATGGATGAAAAGAAATTTGCCAAACAAAGGAAAACAGAAAAGGGTTTAGAAGGCAAGAGTGGGAAGAGAGATGTAGAGCGTGGAGTTTCAAGTGGAACAGCATGTACAGAGGCCAGGAGGCAGGACAGACCAGGGAACAGTGGGGAAATGGAAGGTTTTAGGGTATATTGGATGGTATTTGTAACAGCTTTATTTCCATACTGTATAGATGCTGGCATCATTTCAAGTTTGTGTGAGGACAGCAGGAACATCTGATTTGGTATTAATTTTGCATTTTACTCTCCATATCCAAGTTCTACCAAATGTTCACAGATATACCTTCCCCATGTACAGCTTGGGTGGGAGGGACAAGTGAGAAGTGAAGCCGGCTATGCTTCTGGGTCAGGTAGGGACTTAGAGAACTTTTCGGTCTAGCTAAAGGATTGTAAACGCACCAATCAGGGCTCTGTATCTAGCTAAAGGTTTGTAAATGCACCAATCAGCTCTCTGTAAAAAAGCACCAATCAACGCTCTGTGTCTAGCTAAAGGTTTGTAAACGCACCAATCAGCACTCTGTAAAAACGCACCAATCAGCACTGTGTCTAGCTAAAAGGTTGTAAATGCACCAATCAGCACTCTGTAAAAACCGACCAATCAGCACTCTGTAAAATGGACCAATAAGCAGGACATGGGCAGGGCCAAGTAAGGGAATAAAAGCTGGCCACCCAAGCCAGCAGGGCAGTGGCGGCAACCTGCTTGGGTCCATTTCTATGCTGTGGAAGCTTTGTTCTTTCTCTGTTCTTTCTGTTTTCACAATAAATCTTGCTGCTGCTCACTCTTTGGGTCCGCACTACCTTTATGAGCTGTAACACTCACCACCAGGGTCTGCAGCTTCATTCGTGAAGTCAGCAAGACAACGAACCCACCAGGAGGAACAAACAACTCCGGATGAGCCACCTTTAAGAGCTGTAACACTCACTGCGAAGGTGTGAGGCTTCACTCCTGAAGTCAGCAAGACCATGAACCCACCAGAAGGAACAAACTCCGGACACGCCGTCCTTAAGAACTGTAACACTCACGGCGAAGGTCCGCAGCTTCAGTCTTGAAGTCAGCCAGACCAAGAACCCACCGGAAGGAACCAATTCCGGACCCACGAGGGTTTTCAGAAAACAACTAACAAACGATTTCCCTTTTGCCCTTGTACTACAAATCTCAAACTCGGTGCTATCTGAATTCTCTTTTTTCCTAAGTGCTTTGATTAGGCATGTATTCTTCTGGCACATATCCATCAAATAAATATTTTTATTTTATGGAGGATGTAGGGATTCTCCCACGTGCCAAGTCCATAGTGACTTCCAAATGGCATGCATGTCACTGACCCGTTTGCTCTCACACCCATTCTCAACCTTTCCCTCCTCTGCTCCCTACCTACATGAGGCTTCCTTGCCCTCTGGCTTCCTCGTAGATTCAGCCAATGGAAGGTGTCTCTCTAAGCCTACATTTCCTAGGGACACTATAATAATCTTGCAGTGTTATTGTAAGTATTCAATGAAAAAAAAGGCATATGTTAGATGCCTATAGCAAAAGCTATGCTTTTCACTCATTTTATGATTTCTCTTTCTTCTACTGTTATTTATAGCTGGACACGTGGCCATTCAGAGTAAAACCTACATGTTCAACCTCCCTTGCAACTACATATGAAAATATACATAAGTTCTGGGATATGAAAAAAAAAATGTGTGTGCAATTTCCAGGCCTTCCCTCTTTTCCCCTTTCTTCTTTGCTCTGGCTCACCTGTGATGTGGTGATGGGCTACCTTGGAACATGAGCAAGGACAACACCCTAGGGACAGCAGAGCAACAAGTTGGCTACGCAGTAGGCACTTAATGATTTGCACTGAAACAAGTTATCTACAGAGACGAATTTAGCTTCCTTGAAAGCTGAAAAAAGAATGTCTCTTCTGAAAGTAACAAAAAGTCACTGCCTTCTGGATGCAACCCAGAATTTGCCTTTGAAGCAGCCTATCCCTTTGTTCTCAGAGCAGTAACTTGGTTGAGCCCTTTTAATTATGTAGTAAGGAAGTTATCTTAGAATTAGCTGGGGAACATTTCAGAGAAACTAATTTCCTGCAATTAGGCCAATAGGTACTCCAGCAAATTAATTGGGATATTAAAAGAAAGTGCACTCTTATTTGCGGGACACAGACTAATAAGGCTGAAGATTTATTGGTTACACAAGTTACTTCTAATCTTTCATCATGGCCAGCCCTGGACAGAGTAGATCAGGAAACATCTTAAGCAGTAGTTGGATGGAATGCTTCTAAGACTTTCCATTTCATGGCCCTTTTATCCAAAATCCAAAACTCTTCTAGAAGGTTCCGGGCCTTCTCAAAGTCAGCCTCTCAGTCATCTCATCTCTCCCTGCCTCTCCATGGTATCAGCTGGGTGCCAAAAAGCAGACAACTGTGACTCTATCCTGCTGCTGAGGGACTTGCCAAATATCCTTGGCCAACTCAATTGTGTTGTCTGTTGTTCTTCCAAGATCTCCCTTACCTTTTTTCAGTAATTCATATTTACTCAACTCTCCAACAACTTCTCCTTCTATCTTCTTATCTTATATCCCAAACCCTTTCCTGACTGTGCTCTTAACACACACTCACCTGTCCCCATTTGCTATCAACAATGGTCACTGTAGCTCACAATCATGGTCTCCCTTTCAATACTATTTTATATTGTCCCAACAGTCATTAGACACTAGGTAAGATATTGAGTCACTACGTTTACCTGGAAATCTTCTAACCCTGTTTAATTTTTACTCCCAAAGAAACAGACCCATGTTGGGCAGGCCTTCTGCTGAATAGCTCATAGCATAGAAAGGGCAGCCAGTTACTGGCTCGTGTTTTCTTTCTGGTTCTCTCTCTTGATTGTTACAAGCAGCAATATTAGAATAAAAGGAGTCTCCACACTTACCCAAAAGCTCACAGTTGTAGGACAGGCTGGGAAGCTCCGTTTGATTCTTTCCTACCCTTCACTTCCTCTCCCACTCACCACAGCCACTACCACCACCATGGTCTTTATTATTTTGATGCAGAGAATTAAGCCCAGCTCAGGAGCTGTAAGCCTTGGGCCTTTGAGCTCTTCTGCTGGCACCAGCCCTGCAGGGTCTCTGGGGCAGTCTGTGGGATTGGGATTGGAATGGAGGGGTATTAGGGGAGTTGCTGCCAGGGGGATTCACAGAGCCCTGAGGCTCTTAACCCCACACTCTCTGTCAGTCTTCTCCACACCTTAGGCACGGAGGCTGCTCTTCTGGGGCTCCTTTTTCCTTCCAGTGCTTTCTCTGCCAGTGGTTCTGTTTGTAAGGAAATATGGGGAGGCTGGAGGGAAAGAGGCCACTAAGAGGGTTGTATTCAGGCTGCTGGGATGCATCTGTGAGGAGAGGTGTGCGATGGGAGCTGTGAGGATGTGAAAAGCCACATAACCTCTCATCATTCTAGCTGTTTCTGTAGGGGAAAGACAAAATTCACAATTCTGCCCCCATCCCCAGAGGACACTATTCCTGATGTCTTCTCCCCTCAAGTTTTTGACCGCTGCTTTCTTAAAGTGGATAATCATCACCATTGCCACCTCACTGGCAAAGCAAGGAGAAGCAAAGTGACAGCGGCCCCAAGAGGCTGGGGCACCCCACAGTTCCAGGGCTTGGCTCCAAGCACTCTACTTTCAAGGGCTCCTTCCATGCTGGCTCATTTGTATTTGGAAAATGTGGCCACATCAATCCACCACCTCTGCAAAAGAAAACACCTGTAAAAGGAGAAACCGGCTCTACATAGGACCGTGGAGGTGAGACTCAGTGTGCACAGGGCACGAACAGAAGACTCACAATCAGCAGGAAGCAGACCAGAAATAAAAATGATTTCCACCTCCCACTCACCCGAGTCAAACTTGAAAGGAGAGGGAAGTGGCCACAGCTGCGCTGGCCCTTGGCACTGGCAACTGCCTGGTTCGTTCCGAGTCCTGCCTCAGGGTTTGGCTGGTCAGGAGGTGCCCCTGCACTGCCATAAAACAACACACTCGAGTATGTTTTTAGTTACCATAATGTGTACTTTGAACCTGACTCCTCTGCTGTGGAAAAAAAGATAAAATTGGAGTACTGGAAGGGACCTTAGCGATTACTGAGCTTAACAGTTTGCATGTGCTTCAGTTCCTGCATCTGGAGTGGGGTAGAGAAGGTGAGTTGACTTTTCTAAGGCTCCACAGGAAAAAAAAAATTGGCAGCACAGGCACTAGACTCTCTTCTGACACCTGTCAGTGCTCTTTCCACGTCCTTGGAGGTTACTTAGCATCATGGCACTTTGGGAATTATAGACTCCCATATAGGTATTATAGATTGGCCAAAACAAGTCCCAATCATTTGCAGTTCCTCCCATCAATCCCATCAAGAAGAGGTCTATTTCTCTACCCTGGAAGCTGAGCTTGGCCATGTCTCTCACTTAGGCTAACAGGACATTAGCAAACGCAATACAAGAAGAGGCTTAAAGCATCCTTGCTGGAAAGCTTATGAATGAAGTGCCAAGTAACCCTAGGGCAGGGTGACAAGCTGCACCTGCTCCCTTTTAACCCTTCGATTCTAGGATTTTTCTGAATGTTCTAAAAAAACAGAAAAAAAACTACAGCTTGAAATCATATTCCTAGAAAAGAACAGCCTGAAAGTTTCTTCTTATTCCCTGCATATTCTGAAGGTATAAGGGGAAAAATGGCCATTCATTCACTTGATAAGGGTTGTGGAGCACCACACTGGGGCTAGGGTGATCAATGGAAGTCTAACTAAAGGCCTCTTGGTTTCTGAAGCATCCAGCTGGAATTATTGCAGTTTTGAGTCTGTCTTGCTTTCTCTTGCAGTACATGTTCTGGTTATCTATGGCTGAGTAACAAACCACCCCAAAATATAGAGGTTTAAAACAAAAATAATCACTTATGTTGTTCATGAATCTGCATTTAGGCTAGAACTCGGCAGAGATAGATCATCTCTGTTCCATGAAATGACAGCTGGGGAAGCTCACTGGGGCTGGAGGGTATATTTCCAAGATGGCACACACACATATCTAGCAAGCTGATGCTGGCTATTAACTGGGAGCTTAACCAGTTTGGGATCTAGGAGCTTTGGTTCTTCTCCATGGGGTACTTGGACTTCATCACAACATAGTGGATAGATTCCAAGAACAAGTATTCCAAGAGGTCTTGAACAAAGTTGACACATTTCTTATGACCTAGCCTCAGAAGTCCCAGAACTTTACTTTCACTACAATCTATTGGTCAGGCAATCAACAAAGATCAGCCCAACTCTAAAGGTAGGCAATCAGACAGGGAGTAGTAGCAATGAATCAGCACCCCACTTTATTCTACCATAGCAAGATTAAGTCCCTTAAGTTCTCACCCACAGTTTTTCCCTCATGATTCTAATCACAAGTTCTTTCATATGTGTCTGAAGAAAAACCAACCCTCTGAAGATTCCCTCCAGAAAGAAGTGTCTAGGAATTGGCCTGACAGTCTGCTGGGTGCTGGAAACTCTAGCAAAAAATAAAGCACACATTCAATTTGAGATTAAAAGGTTTTTCATATAGTAATGCAAAATTCCTTTACTAAGTATGGTAGACACTACAGTCTGATTATCCCCAATCCATTTCCCTTTTCCTCTCATCAGAGCCCCAATTTTGTTCAAAATCACTTTCTCTACAAAGCCATGTGCTTCAGAAGTTGGTGCAGCTCTAGCTCCAGGGGGTGAAATAGGATTGGTTTGTGCCAATGATGGGGGTCTTGTTACCCTTGCCGGTGAATGGATAGACATGTGACATATTCCTAGCCAATGAGATGTGGGAGCAAATCTCTTGGAATGTTTTAGGGAAGGATTTTTCACTAACAGAACAAGAAGAAACAGTTCCTCTTTGGTTGTGTCCAGATGGGATGTCCAGCACTGCCGCAAACATCCTGCAGCCATGAGAAGAGCAAACCTGAGAATGTCCATCATCTTTCTGCACAGCTCCCCACTGTGCTGCATTTTAGGTATAAAAGGTACAGACATTTGAACTGATTGGTTTTTGACTCTTCAGACAATCATGGAATCTCAGTGTAAGAAGGCAAGTTAAATGGCATCTAGAATAATCAACTTTTAGCCAAATTATAGACAGCCATGAACATCAAAAGGCTAATATACAGCAGATCCTCATTATTTCTGAAATTCATATAGTCACTAAAATTTATCTGTAATCCCAAAATAATGATTTGCCCTGCTTTTGCAGTCATTTACAAGCACGTGCAAGCACAGAGCAGGTGAAAAACCTAAGAGGCCTGATGTGCAGGTTCCCAGCTGAGGTCAAACAAGGTGGTGCTCTGCCTTCTTGTCTCAGCTCTCCGCCTTCTTGTCTCAGCTCTCCTGCTGGAAACCAGTGTCCTTTCATGGCATAGTTGGTGCCATATGGTTTGCATTTTTTGTGCCTTTTCTTGGTAACTTTGTTGCTTAAAATGCGCCCCCCCAAATGTAGTGTTGTATAACTTTCCTAAGCACAAGAAGACTCTGATATGCCTTACAGAGAAAATATCTTGTTAAATAAGCTTTGTTCTACATGAGTGGTATCCTGCTGGCCACGGGTTCAATGTTAATCAACAATATATATTAATATTGCATAAGTGTCTTTAAACAGAAACACACATAAAACAAGGCTATGCATTGATCAGTTGATGAAAGTGTTATGACCAAAGGCTCACAGGAACCTAACCCTGTATTTCTCCTAGGCTCAATGGTTTAGTATTCACTAAATCAGTGTTCACATAACTTTATACTATCTAACTACTATGAATAATGATAACTGACTATATGTTTTGCTTCCTATTATTTGCTTCTTTCTCTCACAAAAGGTGTCATGTTTGGGGCAGGGTTGAGGAAGGAAGCTATAGAAAGTGAATATCATCAATCTCAGTGACTCTCTCCCTTATGAGATCCAACCTCACGATTATGAATCCAGCCTGCCTGGAACCCATTAGTGGCCTGGCATCATGATCAGATGACCCAAGATGGTTCACCTCCACATCCCAGCAATCATTAGCAAGTCACAGCATGTGCAGCTTGCACCCTTTGCAGTCAAAAACATTAGAAGAAAGTTTTCCCAAAAGCAGAATTTTCCCACAAACCATGGATTTTCAACCCGAACCTCATTGCTCTCCCAGGTTTCCTCTCCCAGGGTGATGGTACACACCTTTATGAAGTGTTACTTTGATCTGGAGTTTCCTCTAAACCCACGTTAGAAGAATGGTCTTCCCAAACACAAGCATTTGAGCCCAGACTCAAAGTCCACTCTTCATAGTCTGGAGGACAGGTTCCTTCTAAGTCAGAGGTCCAGCACACTCTTCACAAAGAGCCTGGCTGCATGTTCCCCAATCCTTCATGTTTCATCAACTTCTTCATGTGGTGGGACCTTTTTGTTGGCCACTGCCAAAGTCAAGACCACTGACGCCTACAGCAGTCTGGCTAACACATGCCACTTTCACCACTGCCAGAACCCTGAAATCCAGGAGACCTCTGAGGCCAACTCCTCCATCCCATTGAAGGCCATGACTGAGGGAAGGGGTTATGGCTGTCTTTGTCACAAGCCAAAGTGGATGTAGACTCTCTTCAGGGCTAGTAGTCCTTATAGATTGGCTTACACTTGACCAGGAGGTAGCCCTATGTTCCTGGCTGAAGTTTGCATCTCTGAAAAACCAACTTCTCAAATAATTCATTTTCACTTAATGTGTCCCTCTTTCCTCACTCTTCAAGTTGTCCTCAACCTCTACTTTGCCACCTACAACTCAGGAAAGTTTTCAACAGCTTGCTAAATCACACAATTTCCAGTCTTAGCATTAAGGCACTCCTAGCAGCATTTGACACTGCTAATAACTCTCTACTCCTCAAAACACACTCTTCTGTCTGCTTCTGAATTTCTCCTCTCTCCCTTTCTCTGTTCCACGAAGTCCCCAGCGCCTTGGCTCGCTTACCCTCCTCAGTCCACTCCCAGATTCCTGGAGACCTGAACTGGGCCCTTTTCCTCCCTCACTCTATACGCACTCCCAAGACAGCCTTGTCCCCACATGTGTCTTCACTTACTATTTATGAACAAGCCCCAAGTTTATATGAGCAGCCCAGACTTCTTTGAGCTTTGGACTTGTATATAAATAATAGTAATAATGACTAACATTTAAATAGTACTCGCTCTGTACCAGGCACCAATCTCAGTTTTTGTGTATGCTAAACTTATGATCTCCCCATTTTACAAATGAAGAAACTGTAAGGCACAGAAAGGTTAGGTAACTTTCCCAAGGTTGCACAGATGCTGGTCACATGAGCTGCTAAGACCATGCTTTTAACCACTACACAACACTGCCTTTTGATTTATTTGCTTACTACAAGTCATTATTTGGATGTCTTATAGAAAGTAACAACTAAACATGACATTTCTCCCCAAATCCAGCCTTCCTCCAGTATTCCGTAGTTTGGAGAATGTTACCACCACCCTGACAGTCATTCTAATGCTCCCTTACTTGCATGTCTAAACAATCACCAAATCCTCCAAAATATGTCTCAAATTTGACTCTCCTCCACCCCTGTACTGTTACCACCCTCACGAAGCAACAGTAGTCTCTTGTCTGGGTTTCTGTAACAGCTTCCTAACTGGTCTTCCTGCGTGCACCCAGGCCTGCCTCTAGACATTTCTCCCATTGCAGAGTGACTTTTAAAAACTCCTATCTGGCCATGTCACATCCTACTCAGTTTCTCACTACTCAGAGAAGAAAGTCCAAAATCTTTTCCAGGCCTATGGAGCCAACTGTCCTCTCTAGGATTGGCCCTGCCCCTTGCTTCCCTAGTCTAAGGCTTCTGTGACTTCCTCACATGTGTACTTTACTCCTTCCCACAGGTTGTTCCCTGGGTCCTCCCCTTTGCTCCCCCAGTCTCCCCCCTCCCCAAGCCATACTCCATCTAATTTGCTTCAGCTAACACTTCAGAACAGCTTCTTGAGTTCAGCTTGCCTCCCCTGACTTCACGTTCCCATAGCACAGTTTCCAAGCACATGATGCTTCTCCTCTGCAGTTCTTCACATGAGTTTCAAATAATTAATTTCATCATAATCTATTTAAAATCTATCTCCCTCATTAGAATATAAGATCCATGATGGATGACAGGGACAACTTGCTGTCCTGTTTGCCACTATGTCCCCAGAACCATCAGTGTGCTCTAAGTGTTTTCTTCAATGATTGTGTGATAGTTTGGAGCCATCATGTGAGCAGCTTAAATGCCAGATGGAGAGGTTGGCACTTAGCTATTTAGAAGGCAGTGCTTTAAGCAGAAAGTAGGAGGGGTCAAGTGCCACATTAGGAAAATTAATCTGATAGTGCTATGGAGAATGAGCCACATTAGGTAGATGAGCAGTTAGTCCAGCTATGTGCGGATCAAAGCCTGGACTGGCAGAGTGGTGCTGGAAATGAACAAGGCAACAGAGTTGAGAGATACAGCAAAGTAGAAATCTGCCGGACATGGTAACTCAAGTAATTGATTAGTTGGAAACTGGTCAGTCTTATTCTGCTAGTTAGTAGGGGGCGGAGGTGGCTCCCTCTTAGATGCCTATGATTTAGTCAAATGGAAATAGAAGAGTGGATTCTGAGACTCTGATAGGAGGGAAAGATTGCAGGAAGGATGCTCAAATTCCCCCTTGCATCCTAAGACAACATAGATCAAGAAGATAATTACACTAAATATGCAGAGAAATTAAGACAGGGACAGATAACTAAAACAATTCTATATCAACACAGGACATTCACTCTTCCCTATCTAGTACCAAAAAGACTCATCTGTTGCTGCTTAAAAGCAGGTAAACCTGAATGGTAGTAATAAAAGCCTTTCTACTTTGGGCATGCTCTCTTCTCATCAACAAACAACCAATTTTTACATCTGAAACTGAAGTTTTATAAACTCGTTATCATATTTTAAAACATCTACCCCCTTTCATGAAACAAAACTTAATAAAATGGGAGAAATCCATTCCAAGTGCTCTCTGATAATAGACAGAGACAAGTGTTATCAAATAATCTGGCTGTGGTTACAAATGCACAGTATTTAAACTAATCTGAGTGCTATAGCTTAAAGGACATTATTTACTTCTAACATTAGAGAGCTTTCCATCATGCACTCATAATAAAGAAATGGAAAGTCTGAACTGCCCCACAAATGAGATGCCTCTGTACCTCTTAGGCCTTGAGAGTTTCTCCACTCCCCTCCCCAAATATACTTGGAAAATTTAAACTTTTAACTTTCAGGAGAGGCTCAGTCGTAAGTGAGGTATAAGTAAGTATATAAAATGTCAGAATGCATTTCTCAATCTTGGCCTTTTGTATTGAACTTCTAGTTCGTGGGAATAAAATGGCACTCAATACCACATTCTGCAAAAGCATTTTGGGTGCATCATGTAATTTCTCAGCCAACAAAAGCTTGTCTGAATCAAAATGCATTGGAAATTTCTTAAAAATGTAACACTCTGTGCAAATCTTCAAGTAAATGCTCAGCCCTTCCCCATTTCCCAGTGAGGCTGCAAATGGATTGAAAAGACAAATCAAAACTGTAGGCCAAGATGTGCCCTTATTAACCAATTGTAGAGCATTTATTTATCCCAGCCTCCATGTGGTGGCCAGTTTTCCGTGTTTGTGTTTGTGTCTCTCTTATCTTAAAAATCGTGATTTATCTGGACAAACTTTTAATAAGGTCAGTGGTTATGTCAACAAAAGAATGGTTATCTGGTCTTGAAATAAATAGGAAAAGCTCAAAGCAAAGTACAATTAACAACAACAAAAAATCCACTCCAATCAAGAGGAAATGTCTTGAATGAAAGCAAAAGACTTAAATTTTAAAAAAATAAACTATTTTTAAATTATACAAATGCAATTTCCCACTTCTGTTTACTTTGGCCATATGGCCATATTATTTTTCTATTTACATATATGCCAACTGGGGCTAGCTTGCTGATTTCATCACAGGAAAGAGCAATAGAGGAGTGCTAAGTTTCTCCATACCTGCCATGACAGAAAGTGCTCCCATCAATGCTCAGTGTGTTCGACTTGTGCCACTGCCAGAGATTATTATCTTACATGACTTCTTACCTTGATATAGCATTAATTTCATCCACACAAGCCTGAAATCAGTACACTGTGTCCACTTTACAGACAAAGAAACTGACTCTGAAACATTGGGTGGTCAGAAAGGTTAGGGAATCAGCCAGCAGGGGCGTGAGACGTCACATAAACTCAGGTCTTCTGACTCCACATCCATTCCCCACACATACTGCTAGGTGGCAGGCACAGATCAACATGTCTGACATTCCTGACATGCCCAGGGCTAAAGCAAAACCCTTCATAGCTATATGAGTCTGACAGCAGTATCCCTTACCCCTCTCTCAACCTAATGAGTAGAATCAAGCCTGAAATAAACAGCTCTACTCACTAACCTCTAAAGCAGACTCAAAACATTTAGGTTTTCTTCAATCAACTCTATTGACCACTGACCACAGTCACCAAGTGTTTTAATACTTGTAATAGCAAAAGAAGTGTCATTTCCCCCTCTTGACTCACCTGTCATAGGTGACCACCTTTACTACTAGCTGTGTCCAGGGCAAAAGGAATTAGTGGGTCTGGGGTCAGGCTGCCTCAGCGAGGTAACCATTCTTGGAGCTCCATGGTTTGGCAGCACTAAATTAGACCCATAAAAATCTTAGCTCCAGATTGCTAAAAAAAGAAAGGCTCTTCTCTCAATCCTCAAATGACTGGAACACATACTGTCTGCCATTTATTCATTTACTCCATTCATTCAACAAATGAGTACAAAGAACTCACAGTGTGTCAGGCACTGTGCTAGGTATCAGGGAACAATAGAGAGTTTACCTAGTGTGGAGAGGTTAGAAAACACATGCTTTGAAGTGTCTTAAGGGCAGTGGTGAGAAAGGAGAGTATCTATGGAAGACGTGCCTAACAGACTTAGGAGGAGGAGATTTCCTGAAGGAAGGCATGTCTAAGCAAAACTATTAAGGGCAAGTGGGAGTTAGTCACAGGAAGATTCTATTATGCACTAGGCATTTTCCATGTATTCTCTTGCAGTCTCTTAATCACCCTCTATGGTTGTTATGTCCATCTAATGTGGGAAAACTGAGGCTCCAAGGGATCTCATGATTCTCAAGGGCCAGGTAGTGTCAGAATTCTAATCTAGCTCTGCAAACCCAAAGCCCATGTCTCACTGCTCTTTCACTACTCTGCAAGCAAAACACCTTCTCCCCACTGATTCAATAGGAGTCCATGAATACTCCTTAGTGTCAGTCCAAGATCTCCCCTGGACTGTGCTTCCATGAGGTCAAGAGATCGAGACCATCCTGGCTAACATGGTGAAACCCCATCTCTACAAAAAATTAGCTGGGCATGGTGGCGGGCACCTGTAATCCCAGCTACTCAGGAGGCTGAGGCAGGAGAATCACTTGAACCCGGGAGGCAGAGATTGCAGTGAGCCGTGATCATGCTACTGCACTCCAGCCTGGGCAACAGAGCGAAACTCCATCTCAAAAAAAGAAAGAGAAAGAAAAAAGATGTGCAGAAAAGGTCTTGATATCAGCTGCTGTGTGGGCTGCCATCAAAGGCACCCCAACAGTGCTGCTGGGGCAGGGCAGACACACAATTTGAGGAGGGTTTTTTCAGAATATGCCCTTCCTGGACCACAGGGGAGCCTTGGGTTCTCTGGTGGGCTGAGTTAATCATAGTGATTAATCCAGGTGTGAGCATCTCCATGACTTGTCAAAGCCATGCATTCTGCTGTATCAAAAGTGATATACAGCGTGATCAGCTATCTTCTTCCTTAAACTTGAAACTCAGAGGCAGTGGAATGTTTTCACAAATCCCACCCACTGTCAATGGAAAAGGATTTGAATCCATTGGAGGTATTTAGAAGAAAGTATCACAGGCCCTGAGGGACAATGACACAGGACCCTGGGAATTACCTGGATAAAACCATAGTACAGGTTTCTACATTAGCTTCTTTGAGTGGGTAAACCACTCAGTTTGTGTGCAAGTTACAATGAATTTGTTCAATGAACAATCTCATCACCTGCCAGCTTCACCTTGACCAGATGATCTAACTTCGATGAATGAGAATCTTCCAAGACTCCAGACTTATTCTGGAAATTAGTTCTTGTTAGTAAGCTGTAGGCAGTGTAGACAATTTGCTAAAGCTAAAATTTGGCCCCTATAGCATCCCCTATAAATCCTAGATGCTGCTTGCTTTCTCTTGCTGCTTTCTGCTAATTGCAGATGTCCCAAATATATCAGTTAATTGGGGCTTCTGCTGAGTTATGTTTCAGTTAATTGAGGCATCTTTTGGGCACAGGTTAGTTTTATGTTCATTAAGACCTCCTAAGTGCAAGGTGCCATATACACCCAGCATAGGACCTCCTCTTCAAAGGCAATTTTTCACAATCACAGATGAATATTGTCATTTCTCTGGCAAGCCTTGCTCTGACCCAGGCATCAACTGTGGGAGGGAATCTTCCCTTGCAAAGTTGTCTTCACCATCAGAAAGATAGCACTGTTCTCTGATCTTCCCTCTCTCTCCATCCTCCCTGTTCCATTCTCTGCAGAGGGCTCTCACACCATCACAGCCCCCCCATGACCTCATATTGCTTCTAGCTACTTACAACCTCATTATGGGGAGAACAGGTCTCCCTGAAATGATGTCTTCCCCACAGGATTTCTCTGTCCTAAAAACTAATCCTCCATCCCACTCCTCAATCTGTTTCCCTCAAAGAGATCACCTCAGACTCTCTGAAAGTAGTTTGAATATAACATGGAAATAATTATTAAGATAACAATAGCTAATATTAGTAAAATTAATATCACTGGAGCATCAGCAGACTTAACCCCTCCAGGAGGCATTTCCATTTTAAGGACAATTTTATCACCCAAAGGAACTGCTAATTGAGCAGAGGACAATCTATCATTGCTCCTCCTTGGTGCCGTAACTGCACAAGAACTTTGACCAACAACCTACCCAGATGCCTCCAGTCCACTGCTGGCCTTTGCCTTAAAACAGATAGTAACATCCACTGGGCTCAATTTTCTCCCATGCTTAGGCAAGAATTAGTTGCATGTTCTCCTGAAACACAGAGAGGAGTGATGAAAATTTTGTCTTTCTACACCATTCATTTATCCAACCATTACTGAATATCTGCCACATCAGGCATGGTCTAAAAAGGCCTTCATGAAACTTGCGACTTCATATGCTAAAGAGACAGACATGTATACAAAAAAGGACAGTACAGCACGACAGATGCCAGCCTTATTAGAGTCACACACAGGGTCCTGTGGAGGTAGATTTGAGGAACACTAACATTCTCCCAATGACCAAGACAGGAAAGGGATTTCAAGCAGAGGGAAGAATATTGCAGAGGCCTGGAGCTGTGGGAGCTCAGTCAGAAAAGGAGCCCTAGGAACACAACCAGATGGTCTACCGGGCAAAGGTCAGCAAAGAATTAAATCAATTGCCCAGAAAACTCACAGAGCTGATAGATTGAACAAGGCACCATAGTTTAGTAAGGGGCAAAAATACCAGCCTGGGTATGTATCTTGGCTCTGCCAATATTAGCTGTGAGCTTTGGGTCAGCTACTTATATTCTCAGATTTTCAGTTTCATTATCTGTAAATGGCGAAAAAGGTATACACCTCATAAAGTTGTCTTAAATATATAATTATAGAGGTAGTATATGTGAAATATCTAGGCCAGGGAGAAACAATCTCACAGCACCCCCTAGTTTCTGATTTTCTCTCCAGTCACACCTGTCTATATGGAAAACCTAAGTAGAAATGACTGTTCCCAACAGCAGCAGAATGAAGCGATTTCCAGCATTCAGGTCTGCAGTCTCAGAGAAGCAGGGGAGAAATGAATGCCAGGCTATGTCTAATTTGACTTTGTGTCTAGAATAGGCCCCTGTGTGCCCCAAATAGATCCAAAGGCCATAGGCACATTGACTAATTTGCAACGGAACCTGGGCTTATCTCCCTTACCCACCCTTTTGCTGGTTCTTATCTTTTCTAAATTCTTTGAGCCCTTATTAGCTAACAATCTGGTTTTCTAATAATACCCTGAGGGACATCCAACTAAGGGCAAAATCTAAAGATAGATTGGGGGGTGGGGAGCAATCAGGAAGCTATGTGGGAGAAGAGGGTACCTTCGTGGGCAGGCACAAGACGAGCTTCACCCACTTCATATCCTTGTTGAGGATCAGGCCTGACTGGTATGCCAGGGTCCTCTAGACATGAAGGATAGCATGGTTCTGGTAAAGTTCCAGAACTGGAAAAGGACTTTCTAAATCATCAGGCCTACCGTCTATTCTGGAACGTAAGACCACCTAAGAACTATAGCAAAGGCAGAAACATCTGCTTAATTACTGAAGAGACCATTTCTCATGAGCCACCAAATAGATTTTTTTAAATCCCTTTACTGCCTCCCCCAACTCAAGAAACACTTGTGGGTTGACCTCAACCAGCTCTGAGTGACAAGCAGAGAAAACAAAGCAGTAAAGAGAAGGGGGAAACGTGTCCAATTAAATCAGTCAGACTTAATTGCCCATATGGAGTTAAGCTGGACGAGGGTGATATCAAAGGACAGCTGGAGGTGAGAATATCTGCATGCTTTAGGGGCTGAGTTTGGGGGCTAAGAAAACCCTGTGGCTATTTAACCCACTTCTGTTTAGTCCTCAGGCTGTGCTGATGTTAATATCAGTGTAACTTCCATCACTAGATTGCTCTCAGGGAAGACCAGAAACAAAGCAGCAACGCCTACTCGTTCATTCTGTCATTGGAAGCTTGCTGTGTACCAAGGGTGCACCCAGGCCTCTGCCAGGAAGTTGGGTGGACACATGACGTTGCCACCCCTGGTCAGAGAAGCCTTTGTAATCTGAAACACCCTCTCCAGACTGACCATGACCACGCGTGAAAGCAAGATGTATACTCTGCTTCCCTCTTTTCATGGCTCACATCAACATAGGGCTAGGCACCTTGGAGGTGCTCGATAAATCCTCACTATTTGATAATCCAGAAGACAAGTTCCCTGACCTCAGGATAGAATTTAATCCACAAAACACAACTTCTTTGGAAAGACCTGTTTTATAGAGTAGATTTCAAAAGACTAACTTTGTGCTCAGAATAAGCAAATTGACATGATAAAGGCCACATTCGGGGTGCCCCTAAAGTATGGGCACATGTGGTACAGGACATGAACGAGCTCCAAGCTTGCAATTGCTTTGTTTTAACCTTGGCAGCCCTGCAGCTTGGCTCCCACATTCAAAGGGATGATGTATTTCCCCATATTTATTATTTGCAGTAGACTACTGAGGAAAAGAGCAGAGCAGCAGGCGATGTGTCTCAGTGTGCCTGCCAGGAATAACAGAGAGGCCTTGCACCAGCGCCTCATTAGCTTATGGAAAACAGTTCCCTAAGGAAACTGCAGGGTGTAAGTAAATTTAAAACATTTCAGCCTTTTGAGGCCTGTAGATGCCAAATTTGTAAAAGAGTGGTGGCTCAAGAACGCCGTAACATTCTGTTGCACGTCTCACAAATTTAGCATAAGTTCTATAGTCTGTTTATAAGCAAAATAATGTGATATCATGAACATACTCTTTTAATGTAATATCTAATACTTTATTATTTATAAAAAGAAAAACTATTTGGTAAATTCAGTAGTTAAAAAAACAGGATAGTTCTAGAGATAGTCATGTATATACCTTCCTAATTCGGGGCCCTGTTTAAGAAATGTCATCTGTAGACGCTATACAGTGCCATAGTATATGAGCAAAGCTTGATGCATCTCCATGCATTATCCATGCCTCAAACAGGGTGTTAGAGCATTAAACATGAGAGAAGTGAATGAAGTCTAAACTTAAGCCTAACTGAACATTTCTCTACTGACGGTTAATAAGGCATGCAAAGAGAGTGGTATCATAGACTTGAAAGTCATAGACAGCATTTAATCTAAACACCTCACTTCATAGACAAGAACACAGAGACCCAGAGAAGCAAAGTGATTTACCAGAGTCACACTGCAGGTTAGTGGCAGAGCCGGGAGAACAGCATGAGAGTCTTTGTCCACTGCTCATGAGACTAATAGAATAAGGGTTGCATAGCTCTTAGCACCCTGCCTGGCACATCATGAGCACTTAGCATGTACTAACTATGACTGCCACTCTTATCATCATCATTTCTGTTACCCCAAGATGCCAAGTAATACAGCTTATTTTCATCTCTTTGCCAACAGTGATGACTTCTCTAAGAAACTCAAACTAGGGTTACTTTCGCACCTGCTATCAAAAAATGTTAAAGTGTCATTTTAACCCAGTTTCATCATCCAATTCATTAGGTGATCCTCCCTAATATTAACTCCTGAGTCCAAGAAATCCCAGAAACTCTTAGTTTCCCTTAGTAATAAAGAATGTACTATGTTCTGCTAAATCATCATAACTTTATGAGGGCAAGAACCACATCTGTTTTGCTCATCGTTGTAAGCCTCAGATCCTAGTGCATAGTAGGTGCTCAACAGACATTTGACAGGCGCGGTGCTAGATAATGAGACACAAAGGCAAATAAGGCATACCCCTCACCTTAAGAGTTTCACAGTCTCATGACGCTAACTCTTCTTGAACCTATTTCAATATAGTCCATGCCATCCCATATATTTTATATTTACCTCTTCACAATGTAATCCATATTCCTACTAACCCAAGAATAGTCTTCAAGCAAGATTTCATACAAGATATGCCTTAGATAATAGCCCTAACAATAACAATAAAGCACCCCAAATATATTAAAGAAGGGTGACTCTTAAGAGACAAATGGACACTTGGGCTATATAATAAAAGAAAGCTGTGTAGCTTATGCTAAACAATAAGTCTACATCATTTTTTCAAAGAAGCAAGTGAAATTTAACCTAAATTTAATTCCAATCAGGGAAAATGAACCACCCTCAATAATTAAGTTCTGTGAAGCTATTTGGTGTCTAGCACATCAAAAGGTGTCTAGCCCATCAGTTAGCAGAGCCAACAACTCAACACAAGTATAGGATTCAGAACATACAAACTAGTGCCAAAAACACCTGGCCACAGGCTAAGGCTAGCCCAAAAAGGGAGTAGCTGGGCAGCCTAGAGAGGTACAACCAAGGTCCCAATTCATAGAACTTTCCAGGGGGTTCTAGCAGTGCTTCTCAAACATAAATTGCATCAGAATCCCCTGGAGGGCTTGTAAAAACACAAGCAACTGGCCACACCCAGGGTTTCTGGAGTGGAGACAGAGTCTGTATTCGTAACAAATTGCCAGGTGATGCTGATATTGCTGGTTCAGGAACCCTTGGTTAGGGAAAGCACAGTACACATGTGCCCCAAGATGTCTAGACAGCAAGGAACTAGTGCCAACAGCCTGTAGTAGATGTCCTATTTTTGCTTTTTTAAAAATTTCTTGTGGCAGTCACCAATTATATCGGGTGACTCTCAAGCCAAAGGAGAACATAAAAGAATTAAGAAGCCATCTCAGTAAATGGGGCAGAATGTAGGAAATAGGCTGAGATGAAAGTCAAAAAGGGAAATAAAAAGTTTCTGTGATAGAGAAGAATCAGAACCAACTCAAGGGGGTGGTTGGAAGAACTTGACCGGGGAAAGCGGATGAGAAGAAACGGCACCGCAGAAGCCGTGTGCCGAGGAATTGGGATTCCCCAGACTGTGAACACAGATCTTGTAACAGCCCCATTTACTGAGCTCATACTACTGTTCCAGGCCCTGTCCTAGGGGCCACACATCTCTATCAAACCTCACAACATCCTCTGAGATAGTTATTATCTCTCCTTTACAGATACAGAAAGGGAAGCTGGCCAGGCACAGTGCCTCATGCCTGTAATCCCAGTGCTTTGAGAGACCAGAGTGGGAGGATCACTTGAAGACAGGAGTTCAAGACCAGACTGAGAAACATAGTGAGACCTCATCTCTACAAAAAAATTAAAAAAGAATTAGTCGGGTGTGGTGTCATGCACCTGTAGTCCCAGCCACTCCAGTGGCTGAGCCAAGAGGATCGCTTCAGCCCAGGAGGATGAGGCTGCAGTGAGCTATGATCACACCACTGTACTCCAGCCTGGATGACAGAGTGAGACCCTGCCAGAGTGGGAGGATCACTTGAAGACAGGAGTTCAAGACCAGACTGAGAAACATAGTGAGACCTCATCTCTACAAAAAGATTAAAAAAGAATTAGGCGTGGTGTCACGCACCTGTAGTCCCAGCCACTCCAGTGGCTGAGCCAAGAGGATCACTTCAGCCCAGGAGGATGAGGCTGCAGTGAGCTATGATCACACCACTGTACTCCAGCCTGGATGACAGAGTGAGACCCTGCCCCCCAATCCCCCCCCCAAAAAAAAAAACATAAGAAATGAAGGTTCAAAGAGATGAAATAATGACACAAAGGTAGCAAGTAAGTGGTAGATTCAGGATTCAAACTTGTGTCTGATTCCCAGGCTTGACTCTTAACATCTAGGTAGTCTGCCTCCCCATCCCTCCTCTCCAAAGATGAAACCTACAGGGGAAGGTACTGGGGGAACCACAAGTAATACATATGGCTGTAAAGAAGAAGGGCAGGCCAAGCATGGTGGCTCACATCTGTAATCTCAGCATTTTGGAAGGCCGAGGCGGGAGGGTCGTTTGAGCCCAGGAGTTTGAGACCAGCCTGGGCAACACAGTGAGATCCCCCTTCTCCACCAAAAAAAAAAAAAAAAATTAGCCAGGCATGGTGGCACATGCCTATAGTCCCAGCTACTCTGGAGGCTGAGGCAAGAGGATCACTTGAGACCAGGAATCCAAGGCTGCAGTGAGCTATGATGGCACCACTGCACTCCAGCCTAGGCAACAAAGTGAGACCATGTCTAAAAAAAAAAAAAAAGATAGAAAAAGAAGTAGGGCAAACAGTGGGTGTCCTATGCTGACGCAAGCTTTGGCTTTGGAACTGGATAGGTCCGCATTCAAATCCCCACTTCAGGGGATGTAGTTTTGGGCAAATCACTTAATTGGACCCCAGTGTCCTTATCTGTCTAATGGGGATATTAATATCTACCCTCTGATGTTACTAGAATGAGTGTAGGCCATTTTTACATTGAACTGTAGACACCTACTACATTTTTTTCAGTACATTTCCTAGCAAATAGATATTCAAAACTGAAGGTCATCGTGGTGATGATGGCAAAGGCAAGACTGAGATCCTAGCAGTGGAGGTGCTAGGAAAACATTTGACAGCTTTAAATAAGTTTCAAGTCTCCAGGTTTGAATCAAGCCTATACTCAATACGAAGAGAACCTGCCACTGTCAATTCCCAATGTGGAATGTGAGAAATGGAGACAGAGACGAAGACTGGAAATGAACAACTTCTTATCCTATTTTCAAAAATATCATGTATATTCCAGAAATTGCAGACTTTCAAGCTTATAGTTGAACTTGTATTTATGCAGCAGTCAGGTATCACAATGGAACATTTATTAATAATTTAGAGATGGCCGGGCACGGCGGCTCACGCCTGTAATCCCAGCACTTTGGGAGGCTGAGGCAGGCAGATTATGAGGTCAGGAGTTCAAGACCAGCCTGGCCAACATGGTGAAATCCCATCTCTACTAAAAATACAAAAATTAGCTGGGCATGGTGGTGGGCGTCTGTAATCCCAGCTACTTGGGAGGCTGAGGCAGGAGAATCGCTTGAATCCGGGAGGTGAAGGTTGCAGTGAACAAAGACCGCACCATTGCACTCCAGCCCGGGTAACAGAGCAAGATTCTGTCCCAAAAAATAATAATAACAATAATTTAGAGATAAAACAAGTTGCCCCCTAAGCATTATCCAATAAAATCAACATATAATGCTGGAATTAGACCAGAAGCATTCAAAGTCACCTTGAGGAGACATTGGCTCAGTCTCCAACAGTTTTCACTGGAACCTAATGGAACCTAATATTTAAAGAATTAAAGGAATAACATAAGGAGGTTGATACAAAGTAGACATAAGAAAAGATGGAAGTTGGCAACAGTGGCCAGTAACTTTACCAAGAAGACTTTGTGCTGGTCCAGTCCCTGGCATTGAGCCAAAAGCTCCTTGAAGACAAGAACTGTTCCTATTTACCTTGGGGTCTCCAGGCACAAGCACAGTGCCCAGCGATGCAACTTATGAAAGCCCCAGTGTGATGACAGCCTTCACAGAGGATGGGCTGGCCCCTGTGCTCTGCTTTTACATGTCATTCAAAAAGGTTCCTAGGTTTTCCATGGGAAACCCCTAGTGTGAGGTTGCAAGTCATTCCTAGCCTGACATTCTAGCCTCATTCTATTTTCCTTTCTACTGGGGTTCCCCATTCCATTTCCTAAATCAGCTCTCTACTCTTTCCAAACTGATCTACTCATGCCCCTGCCCCACAGAAGCCTTGTATTATCTTGCCTCTGTGTATTTTGCTACACTATTTGAACCATAAATGCTCTCTCTACCTTTCTGCACCTTCTGAGATCCTATCACTAGAAACTCCCTCCCTCTGACCATCTCAGGAGAACTTTCTCTTTCCCACTTTCAAACTCTTTGAGCCATTGTTCTCCTACCACTCATTCAGCAACCACCAAGTACCATCTTTTCTTAACATTTGTGTTTTTTCAAGTAATTTTGTCTTATCTCCCCAGACAAACCACAAACCTCATGTCTTATTTACTGTTGCATCTAGCCTTGGGCCTTACACAGAGTTAGCACTTAATAAATGTTTGTTGCTGTTGTTAATGACAAAAAACTAACACTTCGGTAATTCTCAGGCATCTGACACACCCAACTCCACTCAGACTTTATGTCATCATTTCTTCCATTGTAGGTAAACACTGTCCTTCCACCAGCAATTTCCCCCAGTTTCTCCCTGACTAACCAGGGACAAAAGGAAACACTTGTTATTTGTTTTATCCCTAATAGAGGCTCACAGGCCCTCACACTCCCCGCAGTGTCTCTCTAGACCTTATTTTGGTTGCCAACCAGCTATAGGATCTTCTAAAAAGCACTCAACATCCCTGGACCTCTGGCCCTAAATGTCTCTGCCTTTCCACATGAGGTTGTCACTAAGATAAGAGAGATAACAGATCTGAAATTGCTCTGAGAAGTTTAAAGTCCTATCCCCAAGAGAAGTAATATTTTTAGGAAGCCCACTTAGCTCTTTCAGGTCTCTAGGAGATCACTTAGATGGTACCTTGGCACCCTAGCCACTTGAAAGCATTGTACTCAGGCTAGGAGGAGGAGCCAAGATGGCCGAATAGGAACAGCTCCGGTCTACAGCTCCCAGCATGAGCGACGCAGAAGACGGGTGATTTCTGCATTTCCATCTGAGGTACTGGGTTCATCTCACTAGGGAGTGCCAGGCAGTGGGCGCAGGTCAGTGGGTGCGCGCACCGTGCGCGAGCCAAAGCAAGGTGAGGCATTGCCTCACTTGGGAAGCGCAAGGGGTCAGGGAGTTCCCTTTCTGAGTCAAAGAAGGGGGTGACGGACGGCACCTGGAAAATCAGGTCACTCCCACCCGAATACTGCGCTTTTCCGAAGGGCTTAAAAAAGGGCGCACCAGGAGATTATATCCTGCACCTGGCTTGGAGGGTCCTACGCCCACAGAGTCTCGCTGATTGCTAGCACAGCAGTCTGAGATCAAACTGCAAGGCGGCAGCCAGGCTGGGAGAGGGGCGCCCGCCATTGCCCAGGCTTGCTTAGGTAAACAAAGCAGCCTGGAAGCTCGAACTGGGTGGAGCCCACCACAGCTCAAGGAGGCCTGCCTGCCTCTGTAGGCTCCACCTCTGGGGGCAGGGCACAGACAAACAAAAAGACAGCAGTAACCTCTGCAGACTTAAATGTCCCTGTCTGACAGCTTTGAAGAGAGCAGTGGTTCTCCCAGCATGCAGCTGGAGATCTGAGAATGGGCAGACTGCCTCCTCAAGTGGGTCCCTGACCCCTGACCCCCGAGCAGCCTAACTGGGAGGCACCCCCCAGCAGGGGCACACTGACACCTCACACGGCAGGGTACTCCAACAGACCTGCAGCTGAGGGTCCTGTCCATTAGAAGGAAAACTAACAAACGGAAAGGACATCCACACCAAACACCCATCTGTACATCACCATCATCAAAGACCAAAAGTAGATAAAACCACAAAGATGGGGAAAAAACAGAACAGAAAAACTGGAAACTCTAAAAAGCAGAGCGCCTCTCCTCCTCCAAAGGAACGCAGTTCCTCACCAGCAACGGAACAAAGCTGGATGGAGAATGACTTTGACGAGCTGAGAGAAGAAGGCTTCAGACGATCAAATTACTCTGAGCTACGGGAGGACATTCAAACCAAAGGCAAAGAAGTTGAAAACTTTGAAAAAAATTTAGAAGAATGTATAACTAGAATAACCAATACAGAGAAGTGCTTAAAGGAGCTGATGGAGCTGAAAACCAAGGCTCAAGAACTACGTGAAGAATGCAGAAGCCTCAGAAGCTGATGCGATCAACTGGAAGAAAGGGTATCAGTGATGGAAGATGAAATGAATGAAATGAAGCGAGAAGGGAAGTTTAGAGAAAAAAGAATAAAAAGAAATGAGCAAAGCCTCCAAGAAATATGGGACTATGTGAAAAGACCAAATCTAAGTCTGATTGGTGTACCTGAAAGTGATGGGGAGAATGGAACCAAGTTGGAAAACAATCTGCAGGATATCATCCAGGAGAACTTCCCCAATCTAGCAAGGCAGGCCAACGTTCAGATTCAGGAAATACAGAGAACGCCACAAAGATACTCCTCGAGAAGAGCAACTCCAAGACACATAATTGTCAGATTCACCAAAGTTGAAATGAAGGAAAAAATGTTAAGGGCAGCCAGAGAGAAAGGTCGGGTTACCCTCAAAGGGAAGCCCATCAGACTAACAGCGGATCTCTTGGCAGAAACCCTACAAGCCAGAAGAGAGTGGGGGCCAATATTCAACATTCTTAAAGAAAATAATTTTCAACCCAGAATTTCATATCCAGCCAAACTAAGCTTCATAAGTGAAGGAGAAATAAAATACTTTACAGACAAGCAAAGGCTGAGAGATTTTGTCACCACCAGGCCTGCCTTACAAGAACTCCTGAAGGAAGCACTAAACATGGAAAGGAACAACCGGTACCAGCTGCTGCAAAATCATGCCAAAATGTAAAGACCATCGAGACTACGAAGAAACTGCATCAACTAACGAGCAAAACCACCAGCTAACATCATAATGACAGGATCAAATTCACACATAACAATATTAACTTTAAATGTAAATGGACTAAATGCTCCAATTAAAAGACACAGACTGGCAAATTGGATAAAGAGTCAAGACCCATCAGTGTGCTGTATTCAGGAAACCCATCTCACGTGCAGAGACATACATAGGCTCAAAATAAAAGGATGGAGGAAGATCTACCAAGCCAATGGAAAACATAAAAAAGCAGGGGTTGCAATCCTAGTCTCTGATAAAACAGACTTTAAACCAACAAAGATCAAAAGAGACAAAGAAGGCCATTACATAATGGTAAAGGGATCAATTCAACAAGAAGAGCTAACTATCCTAAATATATATGCACCCAATACAGGAGCACCAAGATTCATAAAGCAACTCCTGAGTGACCTAAAAAGAGACTTAGACTCCCACACATTAATAATGGGAGACTTTAACACCCCACTGTCAACATTAGACAGATCAACGAGACAGAAGGTTAACAAGGATACCCAGGAATTGAACTCAGCTCTGCACCAAGCAGACCTAATAGACATCTACAGAACTCTCCACCCCAAATCAACAGAATATACATTTTTTTCAGCACCACACCACACCTATTCCAAAATTGACCACATACTGGGAAGTAAAGCTCTCCTTAGCAAATGTAAAACAACAGAAATTATAACAAACTATCTCTCAGACCACAGTGCAATCAAATTAGAACTCAGGATTAAGAATCTCACTCAGAATGGCTCAACTACATGGAAACTGAACAACCTGCTCCTGAATGACTACTGGGTACATAACAAAATGAAGGCAGAAATAAAGATGTTCTTTGAAACCAACGAGAACAAAGACACAACATACCAGAATCTCTGGGACACATTCAAAGCAGTGTGTAGAGGGAAATTTATAGCACTAAATGCCCACAAGAGAAAGCAGGAAAGATCCAAAATTGACACCCTAACATCACAATTAAAAGAACTAGAAAAGCAAGAGCAAACACATTCAAAAGCTAGCAGAAGGCAAGAAATAACTAAAATCGGAGCAGAACTGAAGGAAATAGAAACACAAAAAAACCCTTCAAAAACTTAATGAATCCAGGAGCTGGTTTTTTGAAAGGATCAACAAAATTGATAGACCGCTAGCAAGACTAATAAAGAAAAAAAGAGAGAAGAATCAAATAGACGCAATAAAAAATGATAAAGGGGATGTCCCCACCGATCCCACAGAAATACAAACTACCATCAGAGAATACTACAAACACCTCTATGCAAATAAACTAGAAAATCTAGAAGAAATGGATAAATTCCTGGACACATACACCCTCTCAAGACTAAACCAGGAAGAAGTTGAATCTCTGAATACACCAATAACAGGAGCTGAAATTGTGGCAATAATCAATAGCTTACCAACCAAAAAGAGTCCAGGACCAGATGGATTCACAGCCGAATTCTACCAGAGCTACAAGGAGGAACTGGTACCATTCCTTCTGAAACTATTCCAATCAATAGAAAAAGAGGGAATCCTCCCTAACTCATTTTATGAGGCCAGCATCATCCTGATACCAAAGCCAGACAGAGACACAACAAAAAAAGAGAATTTTAGACCAATATCCCTGATGAACATTGATGCAAAAATCCTCAATAAAATACTGGCAAAACGAATCCAGCAGCACATCAAAAAGCTTATCCACCATGATCAAGTGGGCTTCATCCCTGGGATGCAAGGCTGGTTCAATATACGCAAATCAATAAATGTAATCCAGCATATAAACAGAGCCAAAGACAAAAACCACATGATTATCTCAATAGATGCAGAAAAAGCCTTTGACAAAATTCAACAACCCTTCATGCTAAAAACTCTCAATAAATTAGGTATTGATGGGACGTATTTCAAAATAATAAGAGCTATCTATGACAAACCCACAGCCAATATCATACTGAATGGGCAAAAACTGGAAGCATTCCCTTTGAAAACTGGCACAAGACAGGGATGCCCTCTCTCACCACTCCTATTCAACATAGTGTTGGAAGTTCTGGCCAGGGCAATTAGGCAGGAGAAGGAAATAAAGGGTATTCAATTAGAAAAAGAGGAAGTCAAATTGTCCCTGTTTGCAGATGACATGATTGTATATCTAGAAAACCCCATTGTCTCAGCCCAAAATCTCCTTAAGCTGATAGGCAACTTCAGCAAAGTCTCAGGATACAAAATCAATGTACAAAAATCACAAGCATTCTTATACACCAACAACAGACAAACAGAGAGCCAAATCATGAGTGAACTCCCATTCACAATTGCTTCAAAGAGAATAAAATACCTAGGAATCCAACTTACAAGGGATGTGAAGGACCTCTTCAAGGAGAACTACAAACCACTGCTCAAGGAAATAAAAGAGGATACAATGTCTTCTTTTGAGAAGTGTCTGTTCATGTCCTTCGCCCACTTTTTGATGGGGTTGTTTGTTTTTTTCTTGTAAATTTGTTTGAGTTCATTGTAGATTCTGGATATTAGCCCTTTGTCAGATGAGTAGGTTGCGAAAATTTTCTCCCATGTTGTAGGTTGCCTGTTCACTCTGATGGTAGTTTCTTTTGCTGTGCAGAAGCTCTTTAGTTTAATTAGATCCCATTTGTCAATTTTGGCTTTTGTTGCCATTGCTTTTGGTGTTTTGGACATGAAGTCCTTGCCCACGCCTATGTCCTGAATGGTAATGCCTAGGTTTTCTTCTAGGGTTTTTATGGTTTTAGGTCTAACGTTTAAATCTTTAATCCATCTTGAATTGATTTTTGTATAAGGTGTAAGGAAGGGATCCAGTTTCAGCTTTCTACATATGGCTAGCCAGTTTTCCCAGCACCATTTATTAAATAGGGAATCCTTTCCCCAGAAGACATTTATGCAGCCAAAAAACACATGAAGAAATGCTCATCATCACTGGCCATCAGAGAAATGCAAATCAAAACCACTATGAGATATCATCTCACACCAGTTAGAATGGCAATCATTAAAAAGTCAGGAAACAACAGGTGCTGGAGAGGATGTGGAGAAATAGGAACACTTTTACACTGTTGGTGGGACTGTAAACTAGTTCAACCATTGTGGAAGTCAGTGTGGCGATTCCTCAGGGATCTAGAACTAGAAATACCATTTGACCCAGCTATCCCATTACTGGGTATATGCCCAAAGGACTATAAATCATGCTGCTATAAAGACACATGCACACATATGTTTATTGCGGCACTATTCACAATAGCAAAGACTTGGAACCAACCCAAATGTCCAACAATGATAGACTGGATTAAGAAAATGTGGCACATATACACCATGGAATACTATGCAGCCATAAAAAATGATGAGTTCATATCCTTTGTAGGGACATGGATGAAATTGGAAACCATCATTCTCAGTAAACTATCGCAAGAACAAAAAACCAAACACCGCATATTCTCACTCATAGGTGGGAATTGAACAATGAGATCACATGGACACAGGAAGGGGAATATCACACTCTGGGGACTGTGGTGGGGTCGGGGGAGTGGGGAGGGATAGCATTGGGAGATATACCTAATGCTAGATGACACATTAGTGGGTGCAGCGCACCAGCATGGCACATGTATACATATGTAACTAACCTGCACAATGTGCACATGTACCCTAAAACTTATAGTATAATAAAAAAAATAAAAAAAAAAACAAAAAACAAAAAAAAAAACAAATAAGTCAATCTGGGTAAATGGCAAAAAAAAAAAAAAAAAAAAAGAGGATACAAACAAATGGAAGAACATTCCATGCTCATGGGTAGGAAGAATCAATATCGCGAAAATGGCCATCCTGCCCAAGGTAATTTACAGATTCAATGCCATCCCCATCAAGCTACCAATGACTTTCTTCACAGAATTGGAAAAAACTACTTTAAAGTTCATATGGAACCAAAAAAGAGCCCGCAACACCAAGTCAATCCTAAGCCAAAAGAACAAAGCTGGAGGCATCACACTACCTGACTTCAAACTATACTACAAGGCTACAGTAACCAAAACAGCATGGTACTGGTACCAAAACAGAGTTATAGATCAATGGAACAGAACAGAGCCCTCAGAAATAATGCCGCATATCTACAACTATCTGATCTTTGACAAACCTGAGAAAAACAAGCAATGGGGAAAGGATTCCCTATTTAATAAATGGTGCTGGGAAAACTGGCTAGCCATATGTAGAAAGCTGAAACTGGATCCCTTCCTTACACCTTATACAAAAATCAATTCAAGATGGATTAAAGACTTAAACGTTAGACCTAAAACCATAAAAACCCTAGAAGAAAACCTAGGCATTACCATTCAGGACATAGGCATGGGCAAGGACTTCATGTCTAAAACACCAAAAGCAATGGCAACAAAAGCCAAAATTGACAAATGGGATCTAATTAAACTCAAGAGCTTCTTCACAGCAAAAGAAACTACCATCAGAGTGAACAGGCAACCTACAACATGGGAGAAAATTTTCGCAACCTACTCATCTTACAAAGGGCTAATATCCAGAATCTACAATGAACTCAAACAAATTTACAAGAAAAAAACAAACAACCCCATCAAAAAGTGGGTGAGGGACATGAACAGACACTTCTCAAAAGAAGACATTTATGCAGCCAAATAACACATGAAAAAATGCTCATCATCACTGGCCATCAGAGAAATGCAAATCAAAACCACAATGAGATACCATCTCACACCAGTTAGAATGGCAATCATTAAAAAGTCAGGAAACAACAGGTGCTGGAGAGGATGTGGAGAAATAGGAACACTTTTACACTGTTGGTGGGACTGTAAACTAGTTCAACCATTGTGGAAGTCAGTGTGGCGATTCCTCAGGGATCTAGAACTAGAAATACCATTTGACCCAGCCATCCCATTACTGGGTATATACCCAAAGGACTCTAAATCATGCTGCTATAAAGACACATGCACACGTATGTTTATTGCGGCATTATTCACAATAGCAAAGACTTGGAACCAACCCAAATGTCCAACAATGATAGACTGGATTAAGAAAATGTGGCACATATACACCATGGAATACTATGCAGCCATAAAAAATGATGAGTTCATGTCCTTTGTAGGGACATGGATGAAATTGGAAACCATCATTCTCAGTAAACTATCGCAAGAACAAAAAACCAAACATCGCATATTCTCACTCATAGGTGGGAATTGAACAATGAGATCACATGGACACAGGAAGGGGAATATCACACTCTGGGGACTGTTGTGGGGTGGGGGGAGGGGGGAGGGATAGCATCGGGAGATATACCTAATGCTAGATGACGAGTTAGTGGGTGCAGTGCACCAGCATGGCACATGTATACATATGTAACTAACCTGCACAATGTGCACATGTACCCTAAAACTTAAAGTATAATAAAAAAAAAAAAAGAAAGCATTGTACTCCTTAGAGCCTAGCTCTGTTTTTTTTTTTTTTAATCAGAAAAAGATTAGAGCATTAGAGAGACATTGGCTCAGAGAAGAATCTTTAGGCAGGAGAGCATTTTAAGAGTTCATTACATTGTGTTGTGTTCATTTTCTTCTATGGCCAAATTCTGCAATTAGACATGCTAAAAGGTGCTTCGTTTCTTTCAAAAGCTTCAGAGAATAGCCCTGAGAAAACAACAGAGATGGCTTAAACATGCAAGACAGCTGAGAACAGAAGGTCAGGCAGGCTTGGGAAACCTCAGTCCCTCCAGATTTCTCCAATTCCATAGGCCGTGGTTAGATGTGGAGACTCCACAATAACCCCCAATTGGCTGAGAAGAGTCAAGGGAAAAGCACCAGGCTAGAACCCCTGGTAGTTCTTTCTTCTACTAAGAGGCTGCTTCAAGTTGACAATGTCCCCAAAGAAATGTTCTTTCTCCTCTACAGGATGCCCCAATTAGTGTCTACTGATGAGTAGATGCTGACATGTTCAGCTAACTAACTTTCAAACATCTACTGAGTGCTTACTGTATGCCCAGCAGGGCCACAAGGCTAGCATGCTTTGGATTTCCCATATATGACTGGAAGGACCTGACGTTTGATATACCACAGTTAGAAAATCCTTTGGCCAAAATATTAGTGCCTGCTCCACTACAATTCCCCTTGAAAGGGTTTCTTCTTTATCAGGTCCCACCATTCATGCTGCTGATTACATCAGGCCTTTCTTGAGAGCAGATATGGATAGGTAGACAGATGATGATAAAAGCACACGGAAGGTGGACAAGAAGGTAGAGGAAAAAGTAAGAAGACCTTTCCCTGACCTATCACACATTAAAAAAAAAAAAAAAAAAAAACTGGTGAGGCCTGTTTTAGTCAGCTCAGGCTGCCATAACAAAACACCATAGATAAACCTTCAGTCCATACACGTATCTGTCAGAGAGTGATGTTCACATCATCAGAGTGGTTCCAAAGATTTACTCAAAGCACAGCATTGAGCCCTGCAGGCAGTGGATAAAACACTGCTGGAGTTCTCAAAGGAGCTTACCGTTTAGTGCAATAGGCAGACAACATACAAATCAGACAAGGGAGTAGAGGGGGTGGGCTGCAGATGAAGGTTAGGTGCTGAGTGGGAATCTCCGGGTTCTAAATCTGGGTCCCAGAAAGAACTGCTTTTTAGTGTCGAGGTTGTGCAGGAGCAAGGCCAAGACTCAGTGGGTACACAACTGTGCACTATAATGGCTGTTAAATATGGAAAGACCAGTCCTGGTGAGTCAATAAAGGGTCTGGGAACAGCAGGGGCCTCCAGGACCCAGGCCAGCCATTGTAGGTCTATGGGAGTGGTTGGATGGCAAGTGTTTTGAATATCATGCCCATAGGTGAGAGCACACTCTGGAGAGAGATTCAGACCAAGGGGCCCCTGGGCAGAAGCAGGAGATGGGAGAGACCATTAGGCTTTTTAGCATCCTTAGTCTTTTATTAAATTAGTTCCTAGGTGCTTGTGTAGAAACAGAATTATAAGTGATATTATGCTTATGTTGTGTGCAATATGTGATAAATTCCTAATCTCTAAGACTGTAAAATAAAATAAATGAAGGAATAAGGGTGAGGGCAGAGGTTCAGGGCCCACCACTCTTCTCGACTTCCAACTAAAGCCAAGTGGAAGTCAATGGGATTGCAGGCTGTGTAGAAATTCAAGGCCATTATCTTACTAACAGAGGTGAGGTTCTGATTCTTCTAGTGGTGTAGAGAACAGCTCCATAGATCCTCTGTGGTGCTGTTATGGACTGAATGTTTGTGTCCACCCCTACACACACACCATTCATATGCTGAAGCTTTAACCCCTGTGTGATCATATTTGGAGATAGGGCCTTTGGGTGGTAATTAGGATTAGATGAAGTCATGGGGGTCAGACTCTCATGATGAAATTAGTGCCGTTCTAAGAAGAGACACCAGAGAGCCTGATCTCTCTCCCCACCTCTCTCTTTCTCTCCCTCCTCTGCACACAAAGAGATCACGTGAGCCCACAGAACAATGGTAGCCACCTACAAATCAAGAAAAGAGGTCTACGAACAAAACCTACCTAGACAGCACCTAAATCCTGGACGTCCCAGCCTTCAGAATTGTGAGAAATTTCTGCTGTTTAAGCCACCCAGTCCATGCTATTTTGTTATGGCAGCCCAAGCTAAGACAACATGACATTCTTGTTTCTCTCAAGACAATGCTGTGAGGTAGGTACTATCATCTCTGCATAATAGAAATAAAAATTGAGGCTTAGAGAGGTCACTTAATCCATCCATGATCATAGAGACAGTAAATCCAGAATCAGGTTCAAGTCTACATTCAATGGAACCATAGGAAAGACTGCCACCTAGAATTGCCTCACAATAGAAATAACCGTCATCATCAATGCAATAATTATAGCTAACATACAAGGTATCATGCTTAGCACCTGGTTTTTTTTTTTTTTTTAAACAAGATCTTGCTCTGTCACCCAGGCTGGAGTGCAGTGGCATGATATCGGCTCACTGCAACCTCTGCCTCCCAGGTTCAAGCAATTCACCTGCCTCAGCCTCCTGAGTAGGTGGGATTACAAGCACACACCACTGTGCCTGGCTAATTTTTGTATTTTTGTAGAGACAGGGTTTTGTCATGTTGCCCAGGCTGGTCTCAAACTCCTGAGCTCGGGTGATCTGCCTGCCTCGGCCTCCCAAAGTGCTGAGAATACAGGCACGAGCCACCGCGCCTGGCCAGGCACTTGCCATTTAAACTCACTTCATCCTCACAACAACCCTCCGAAGTAGGTGCTATCATTCTCCCCACTTTAATAGCACCTATGAAAGAAGCCAAGGGCTTTATGGCTCTCTTCACTCTGACTCCTATCAATATTCGACTGTATCCCATGTGTCTCCCTATGACCACCTTCACCAAATATTTATGGAGACTCATGTGCCATCTCATTGGGCTGTGTGCATCGTTCCAAAGAGCCCCTAAATTCTTTCTGGAACAAGGCAGGGTATGCCCTGACTTTTCTTCTTCAAATCCACAAAACAGCAGGATGTCAGAGCCCCACTGGGCTCACAAGGACGATGTCTGGAAAAGAGCCAGACAAGATGCTTTCTGCTGGTGGTTTCTTATTTTCTGTCAATTCACACGAAGCCTGCGGTCTGGTACTGAGGGAAGCAAATCACATCCAGGCACACGCCAAGGAACAGGTCCAGCCCCACTCCGCTGGCAGAGCTACAGCCCCCACCCTGCCTCCTCCTCCCTGCTCAAGCAGGGCTGGAGCAGGCCGCCAGCACCACACTTCTCAGGTTACACTGAAGGGTGGAGGGGCTACCACTGCAGCGGCAGATGTTGTCCAGTGCACCACCATCCATCTTCCCTGCCTCTTCCAGGATGTGAGCAGAAGTTGCTAGATTGATTCTTTTCCACTGGGAGTCAGAAATGGAGCCCCTGCCTTCAAGCCCAACCTCTCTCCCAAAGCTCCTAGAACTGACCGCATCTCCTCTAGACTCCCAGGCTTCCTGGGGTTGGCTTCATCCCTTTGCAAGGCTTCGGGGTAAAGTCTGACATCACAGCATGACCAGAGTGTGAAGTAATAAGTGGCCATGTGCCAAAAAACTGTCTTTTATCCTTGCTGGACCCCCGGAGCGGCCCAAGGAAGGGCTGTGTACCCTCAGAGCAGGTTTGCAAAGTTGAGAGCAGCACATTCAGGCACCTCACTGATTCATTCAGGAATCAAATGGGGTAAGATGGCTCCTGGGAAGATCAACTCCATCCCAAGTGCTGTGGCTACCTGAAAGGGAGCAGGGGATGGACATATTCTTTTTTTTTTAGAAAAGGGGGCCAGGTGTGGTGGCTTACACCTACAATCCCAGCACTTTGGGAGGCCGAGACAGGCAGATCACAAGGTCAGGAGTTCAAGACCAGCCTGGCCAACATAGTGAAACCCTGTCTCTACTAAAAATACAAAAAAAATTAGCCAGGCATGGTGGTGGGTGTCTGTAATCCCAGCTACTTGGGAGGCTGAGGCATGAGAATCGCTTGAACCTGGAAGTCGGAGCTTGCAGTGAGCCGAGACCACGCCACTGCACTCCAGCCCAGGCGACAGTACGAGACTCCATCTCAAAAAAAGAAAAGAAAAGAAAAGGGGACACCTCGTGGTTCAGTGCTTGTTATTATCAACCTTCCCTCTGGTTATTTTCTTAAAATAATAGTATTGCTGTTATCTTCTGACTAGTTATTTCTAAGGACATGTGTTTCCTCCACAGTCACTAAAGCATCCTCTGATATGGGAAAGTCAGCTCTATCCACACCCAGGGCAGTTAGGACTCACTTGGTTGGACAGGTGGGGTCCTGAAAGGCCCACCTCACCAAATCTCTCCTCCACCAGCCTGGCCTACTGATCTTGCTGCAGGAATGCCCACCATAAAGTTGTCCTTTAGTCAAGAAAGCCAATCAGAACAAACTTAGCCAGAATTCATCACTGTTATTGAAAAGGATTGCAATTATTTTTTCTAAGTGGTAATATCTGTATCAAGGGTCTTAAATTAACACACTGCCAATCTAATGTGCAAAACAGTTGCTTCTTGGCCAGGCACAGTGGCTCACACCTGTAATCCCAGCACTTTGGGAGGTCGAGGCAGGTGGATCACCTGAGGTCAGGAGTGGAGTTCAAGACCAGCCTGGCCAACATGATGAAACCCCATCTCTACTGAAAATACAAAAATTAGCCAGCCATGATGGTGCGTGCCTGTAATCCAAGCTACTCAGGAGGCTGAGGCAGGAGAATCGCTTGAACCCTGGAGGCGGAGGCTGCAGTGAGCCAAAATTGCGCCACTGCACTCCAGCCTGGGTGACAGAGCAAGACTCCGTCTCAAAAACAACAACAACAAAAAGAAAAAAAAACAGTTCCTTCTTTTATTTTTCTACATCTGAATGGAGACTGTTCAAAAGCCCATTCCCCGGCATGGTAGAAAAATAATAATAAACTTGCAAGTTAAGTTTACTCGGTCTCTTCCTATTGAAAGCAGTTTCATTTGGGGGTAAATATTCTCTCAAAGTTCAAACTCACTTTCAGTTGGGATTGTTTCTTTCCTCCAAAAGGAAAACATGGAGAGTGGGCATGAGGTGACACTTTTGCATCCTTGAGGCACTGAGAGGAGGGGTGTCCCATACCACCCTTCTCCGTTGATCACTGTGATGACTCCTAGTACCTGGGAATTGGCCTCTGTCTACTGCAAACTCTAAAGTGTCCATAGCTGGTGATGCATGCGGTCTGTTTCCTTGGCCAAAAGAGGGCCCAAGGACCCCCACTTTGGCTCTTGCTGTGCTATAGGTCCTCAGAGTGTCAGCCACATGCTTCCTCTGATCTATGGACTGTCCACTTCAAAGTTCCTGGGCATGCTCACTTTGCCCCATCAGCACAGCAACCCCACAGGGCAGATGCATTCTTTCTCCACGCTCAGATGTTTTCTTAGTTCCCACTAAAGGCACAGAACCCAAACACTTCTTATCCCCTACCTTTCAGACTAGACCAAACCACACGGTCTATTGTTTGATTTTGCAGTGGCTATTCAACCCACTACCTTGTTCACGCCTTTATCTCCTACAGCCTGTTCTCAACACAGCAGTGATCCTTTTAAAATAAAACTTAGTCATATCACTCTTTTACTCAAAACCCTTCAATCGCTCCCATTTGACTCAGAGTAACAGCCAAAGGCCTTAAAATAGCCTACAAGGTTGCACAGAGTGGATACCCACGTCCTCCCTAGCCTCATACCCTCCTTCCAGTCACCTGCTTACTCCACTCATCACAAAGGCCTCATTGCTGTGTCCCACCTAGGGCTGGAAGGGGAAAGGAGGAAGGAAAACAATAGAACGTAGAATCAGAAAGGGGGAAGGTATGGAAGAAAGGGTTAGAAACCAGAGGGAAGAGAAGCATATGTGTATGGGGCCTCACAGTGGGCTTCAGCAGACACAGGAGAGGACACAAGAAGCTGGCACCTCAGCCCCCATCACCTTCCCCCATACGTGCATGTGGCCAAATGCCTGTCTCCTTCATGCCTTTGTTCACCCCTCACCCTCTGCATGAGGCCTCTTCTGCCTTTTAATACTGCAGTCTGCTCCCTGAAACTCATGGGGCCCTTATCCTATTCTCTGTTTCTATCTTTCTATAGTACATATTACCTAACATACTCTGTGAACTACATATTTATTACGTCTGTCTGGGTTATCTTCCCCACTCCCTCACCTGCCTCATTCCTCCAGAGCAAGGATCTTTGTTTTGTTCACTAGTATATCCCAAGTTCCCAAGTGCCTAGAACAAGGTCTTATACAAAGTAAGATTTCAATAAATGACACTTTTTTTTATTTTTTTGAGACAGAGTCTCGTTCTGTTGCCCAGACTGGACTGCAATGGCATGATCTCGGCTCACTGCAAACTCCACCTCTCGGGTTCAAGCGATTCTTCTGCCTCAGCCTGCCCAGTAGCTGGGATTACAGGCGCACGCCACCACACCTGGCTAATTTTTGTATTTTTAGTAGAGATGAGGTTTAGCCATGCTGGCCAGGCTGGTCTCAAACTTGTGGCCTCAGGTGATTTGCCCCACTTGGCTTCCCAAAGTGCTGGAATTACAGGCATGAGCCACCATGCCTGGCAATAAATGACTTTTCAATGAGCAAGTGACCCTTATGGATCCTTTCCATCCATGACGGAGGTGGAGGAGGCCCGGGGAGTCTCCCAGGCCCTTTTTCTGCTGATGTATTCCATCAGGCTACCATTCCCACCTCAGCCACCCTGTGTCATGGGGCAGCATCCCCTGGAATTCCAGGTTGAGTTTGGAGACTCAATATCACCTCTGTTTTTGGCTTCCCCTTCAACCTATCTGGCATTTATCTTTTCTCCCTGTCCCACCATTCTCTGCCCTCCCCCTATCAGGTGGGAGGAACTTCTACATCATATCCTATATGGCATAAATAGAAAGAAAATAAGATCTGATAATCCACTAAGCTTTACTTTTAATATGAGAATTTAGGAAATCAGGACTCCTTTTCATCTTTCAAGAAAGCCTGGGTTTCTGGGCTGTTAGCTCCTTATGATCCCAAAGGCATAGCAGTGACAGCTGTTTCCTGCTGCTCCTGCTCCTCCCTTCTCTGGGGCACCCAGCCTGGAGGCTTCGCTGTCATGATGGGGAAACAGGCTGGCAAAGCAGGTTGTGGTCCACTGACAGTTGTCCCCAAAAACTATTTGCCCATTCTTCATTGTTGTAGAATTATACCTGGGCACATGGATGCCCAGATGAAAACATACTTCTTAGTCTCCCTAGAAGCCAGTGTGGGGATTGGACTGTGTTCTGATCAACTGAATGTGAGCAAAAGTGATGTGTGCAACTTCTGGGTCTTGTCCTCAAAAAGATTAGATGTGGGCATCCCTGACCCTTTCCTGTCTTCCTGCCAGCTACTGGGAGATGATGAGAAGTAGAGTAATGTGTTGAGGGTACTTCCCATCACCCTGGTCCTCTTCCCCACAACTCTGATGTAAGAGAGAAATGAACTTTTAGCTTTATATAAGCCACTGTATTTTGAGGCTCCTTCTGTTACAGCTGCTTAGACCATGCCCTAAATAATACAAAAAGAAAATACATTTATCATTAAATACCTAAATATAGAGACCCTCACCTGAGATCCAGAAAACCTAAATTCTAGTCTTGCCCCAGACCAATTAAATCTCAATCTTTGGGAGTAAAGCCAAAATAGGCATACTTTAAAGGCTTCAGGTTTGAAAATTATGGAAAAATCAAGAATATTTTTCTGAGTAGTAAATCTCAAAAAAAAATCTCAATAGGTAGCAACAATTAGGCTTTATTCACTCACCAAAAAGAAACGAATCTAAAAATTAAACAAAAATAAACCTTACAATCAAGAGAATAAAAAACAATTTTAAATAAATTATATCAATCTTAGAGCTTAAACTTTTGGCCAGATTTGATTCCCAGGCTAATAGGGCAATATAACTAAGTAAATGTTAACAGATACTTACATAATTTTATAAATAAATACATGTACATGTATGTTGATACATATCAACATTTATCTAATTTATATATGTATATATGTATATACATATGGGTGTGTTCATTATCTTCTCTCTAATTAGACATTCTTGATTTTTTTCTCAGTAAATCCTTCATTTTTTCCTTAAACTTAAATATGGCAATTTCAACTCAGAAGCAACCAATTATTTTAAAAGCCTAATGTACAAGAAAATGAAAATAAGTATTTTATAAGTAATAAAGCATTTTCAACATTAAAAAAATTAAAAAATAAATTATATCAAAGAGAAAAGTAATAACATAAACTCGAGATATCAGTTCCCTTAAGGACAAGGGCAAGGTTATGATGGAGAAGGAATAGACAGCTTCTGGGGTCTTGCCAGAGTTATTTTCCTTTACCTGAGCTACTCATGTAAAACTAGACATCTTAAACTAGACATGTAAGTTTTATGCATAATGAAAATGTTTCAGGGAAATAATTTAAGAGATGGTATCCAGAGCATCCTCAAAAGTAAATGCAGTTTTCAATCCATGTATCACTACAAAAGGGTATGGGTTGGGAGTTATGCAGATATGGGTAATAGATCTCCCTTTTATGCGGACAAAAGGGAGGTCCTGAATTCCTAAACTCCCACTATATTAGAAGTACAGTTTAGTGGATTAGAATCTAAGGCATAAGTATAGAGAAAACTGGACATGATGCAGATGGAGTTTGCATCTCTGTCTGCCACAACTACTACGTCCCTTCAGGCAGGTTACAAAACTTGCCTGAGCTTTATTTTACTTTGTCCATCTATACAACAGAGATAATATAGGTATCTATTCTCAGAAGGTTGTTATCAGGATTAAATGAGATAAAGTAATAGTTTCCCCAATGCTGGTTTTCTAATTAGGAAAGTATTCACATAGTTAACACACGTGGAAGGTCACCTACCTCTGCCCTTTCCTACACCATGTATTCACCGCAGATACTGGCTGGATGCACTAGTTGGGACTATGAGAGGCCTGGAGACCAGAAAGCACATTGGGTGCCCAATGTTGACAGCGGGGAAATCATTGCTCATGGAGCCTGGCCCCTGGTAGGTACTCGATGTGTGTTTATTAATAAAATAAGTATTTAAAAAGGCTTTTTCTCAATAGAACAAAAAGTATTTCCAGGTTTAGAAGATTCTATGAGCAATGCAGTTCACTTAGATGAACTGCACTTACTTATTTCTAGACTGTAAATAAATGCAATTCATTTAAAGGTCAGTGGATAAAATTTGAGCCTTCTCCCTTTACATCTCAAATCTGACCTGTGTCCCATACATCCTCATATTGTCTCTTAGAAAGCAGCAAGTTTAATAGGTGAGAGGAAATGACTTTCCTCTGTGATGTCAACCTCATAACTTTAGCATGTACCTAATGGTTTCCCTGAAGAATTTACCCTCCATGACTTAATTGTATGCCTCTCAGACCTATTTATAACTTGCTCCTAGACCACCCTGTAGATATGGTACATTCCTTATGTCCACTAGCAATAGTGTTACGTTGGAGCTTCCAGCATAGCCCCCAGTCTTACTGGATTTTATAAAATGTAATCATATGCCCCTTGCAGACTAAAGAGTCTTGTTCTTCATAGGGATGCCCCTGTGGCCCCAGATTATTTAAAATGTCCTTCTCCATATGAGAGAAGAGATTGCTGGATCTGCCTGGAGCCCTAACATAAGGTGTTTGAGAAAGATTTCCAGCACCCCCTTTCTCTTCTCCCAAACATCTCTGCAAAGCAGATTTTATTCTCTCCTTTCCCCCACTGCATTCCTACCCCCTCCTCTTTCTGCCACATACCCTAGGCTAACCTCACACTTCCTATAATACAAGTTCGATCATTTTCAGAAACCTACACCTCAGTGTGAATGAATCTCAGATGCTTGCCCAAGTGCAAGACCAACGAAACAAGGGGAAAAGGAGAGGGGATCTGAGTGCCTTAAAGAACCAGGAAGCAACGGCCACTGAGGAGAGGAAAGGCAGTGAATAGGAGGCACCAAAGAAAAAGAGAAATAAGATATGGTATCTTTTCAACATCTGTTGTATGCCAGACACCATGGTATGATTTGACTTTACACAAACTTATTTCATTTAGTCCTTTTCCTCTTTTCCATTTTCCATTTTCAAAGGAGAAAACTGACTGGTTCAGAGGTAAGGGATCTTTCATGAGATTAACTCAGTCAACAAAAATTTAATGTGCTCTAGGAAGAGGCATGAAGGAAATTAGCAAGGCGCAGCACCCATCCTTAGAAGACACTACCTGCTAAGGCCCAAGATAGCAGAGGACACAACCAACTTCTAAACACCTGGTGCCACATGCTTTCCCCTACACTGAATTGCCCACATCCCTGCTTTTCCTGAAGCCAGCCCTAGCAAACATGGCCCCACTATGGGCATCTGGATGATTCCTCTGAAGAACAGTGCTTAGCGCTAAGGCAGGCTGACCGCTCTCCCTTTGCACCACCAGATGGGAGCCGAAGGAGACACAAAACATGAGCAGTGCCTTCCCTGCTCTCCATTGTGCACAGAGCAAGATGAGCCCGGGCCAGGAGTACTACCTGGAGAAGGTAACACTTGCCACCTCCCTCCTCCAGATCCCTCTAAATACTGCCCAAAATTTCTAACAACCAGAAGTGCCCTACAAAGAATACTGAACAGTGTAATCCAAGGTTAATGTTTGAGTCTTTGTACTGGAGAGATGTGCTTCCCCTGCTCAAGGAAACACTCAGAAGACAAGAGTGGATGTTTACTTCCACGAGGCCCACACAGACATTGGCAACAGGCCAGTGGGTAGAGGGGTCATTATCAGCGAGATTTACACTCCCCCAGAAGGAGCCGAAAGGCAGCCCAGAGTTACATGGCTCACTGAAGTTCAGGGTTAACGGATATATCATTAAGAACATAAACCAGTGGTTTCTGAAGGTGACCATTAACCACAGCACTCAGTTTTCTTGGGTCTGGTTGGCATTCTTCAGAGCATCCCACTAAAAGCCTTTTTATTATCAGCAACTCTCCTTTAAAAGATCCATGCAGCTAGCCACGCTGTAGTGTGCCACTTTTCCTGCCAAGATAGGCTCAGGGAAAGTAAATTTTTTCCACTTAAAAAAGTCATATTAAAGTCATTTATTTTAACAAAAAAAAACAAAGCCACATATAGAAAATTTTCACTTAGAAACCAGGATGCTGCTTTAACAACACTCAATCACAAAATCAAGTTGCTAACACCTGGACCATGCTGGCCACAGGCTCCTTTGCACACTGTACCCTGCCAGGGTCCAATCTGATCTGTACCCTGAAATGGGTGCTGTGTCTCCTTACAGTTTGGTTACATATATTCCATCTGAAAAAGAATGTGAAAAGGACTGAGGATTTTTCCTAAAGTTCAATCACTCTGCAAAAACCAGGATACAAATAAAAGCCTTCTAACACTTTAGAGGTGATCCTGAAAAGAAAGCAGACATTGGAAAGCGAGAAAACAAAAATACGTTCTTATGAAAAACGCATAGGAAATATTCTTGAATAGTTGCCCTTCTGTCAGCTTCTTCTCGAAGGACTTACAATACCCGCAAATACCTGGATGGCAAACAACAGTGATTCCTTGGAGGCCATTCCCAACCACCTTTGTCTTTAGCACGTTCCCACCACAGAGGATGAGAAAAGCCAGATACTCAATTTCCAAGCCTCCCTTTCAGTTAAGGTGATCATGATACCCACTGCTGGGCAGGGAGATGCATAAGGACATCTGGGACAGATTTTTCTGCCCTAATGAAATGAGAGAGGCTCATTTGCCCTCAAATTTCAGGCTTGGTGACTAGACTATGCAGCCATCGTGCAACCATGAGGGGCAGATAAAGAGAATACCGGAGACACAGAGCATCAGGGCATGCTAGATGTGTTCAACCAGTCCTGGAACCACCTGACTCCAGACTTCTTATTAATAATAAATCGTCTTTGCTTAAGGTCATCATTTGTTGGTTTTCCTGTTACTAGCATCCAAAAATGTGATGGCTTACAGTACCTCTTCACCCAACTGTACTTATATGCGCCAATGCTATGATCTCCCCTGCAGCGCAGAATACAATGGGCATCCTCTGTTCTTGCTTCCCTATCTGCCTTGAAGCAGAACTTGGCACTTCACTGCAGCCCCTAAAAGCAAATCCCGTTCTGCCAAGTATTAGCAATTAATTTTTGCTGAAAATCTTGTGGGCCTATGAAGAAGATGATTAAGCCACATAACACCTAGTAAAATTTAACAAAAATCCAGAAAAAAAATCATTTGTTTCCCTCCAAAGTCCCAGTTTGGTCCCAGTGACCTTATTTCCACTTGACTTTTTTCCCATGCAGACTTCCCAGCCTTGTGATTCTGTCTTTGCTGGAGTATTGGAAATTCCCAATTCCCAGCCCTATTTTTTTAATCTCTGACAATTTAGCCCTCTCCTGGATTCTCCAATAATGAATCATTATACTTATCACTCTATTTGGCAAATAAAAGGCATTATTTAGTAGGATCAGTCCTCTTTAGAAGACAGAGTCTATGGATAGTAAATAGCAAATAATCCTTCTTGTCACAAATAATTTGTTTCTTACCACAGTATACTTTCTTCCACTGCCAGAGTTCAATTGGCTAACTGGGAGGGAGAAAGGAAAATTAGGGAAGTGGAAGAGAGGAGGGGAGAAGTGACCAGAGGGAAGGGAAGAGGAAAAGGAAAAAGAAGGGAAGGAAAGAGAAACGAAGTGAAGGCTTCTCTTCATTGCTCACTTTACTCTCATTACCCCTTTGTATTAGTCTGTCTTCATGCTGCTGATAAAGATATAGTCAAGGCTGGGTAATTTATAGAGGAAAAAGTGGTTTAATGGACTCACAGTTCCATGTGGCTGGGGAGGCCTCACAATCTACATGGCAGCAGACAAGAGAGAATGAGAGCAAGCAAACAGGGAAACCTCTTATAAAATCACCAGTTCTCATGAGACTTATTCACTACCAGGAGAACAGTATGAGGGAAACCACCCCCATGATTCAATTATCTTCCACTGGGTCCCTCCCACAACACATAGGAATTATGGGAGCTACAATTCAAGATGAGATTTTGGTGGGGACACAGCCAAACCATATCACCCCTTCATCACCCCCTCCCAAAAAAAAATACTTTCTTCTATTTTTCCCCTCTATATTTTGCCTTTGAGATCTTCTTCCATTAGCTGGAAAAAATTTTGAAAGAGCAACTGACACTCCCTGTTTCTCTTTTCTTGCCTCTCATTCACATCTGCACCCGATCTATGGCTCTGACCTCTCAGCATCACTCTGGAACTGCTTAGGTGGAGCCTAAATCCCCACGGTACCAAGACAACCCATTCAAGTGGACTTAAATTGCTGTCATGACAGTAAGGGGCTGCTTTACTTTAATGTAAGTTCCTATTACAAGCTAGGACCCCCATCTGAAAGTATCTTTGGACTGCAGCTCAAATTAAAAGACAAAACAAATTACTTTTTAATCCCCTATCACTATCAAGACATACACACACTCTACAGTCATTGCTTTTTAACAAGAATCTCTACCTAATTGTGACAATACTGGCTTGGGCCCCAGAGACCGGGGAGCCACATCCACCCAGGACCCACTTGGGTAGAAGCCGGTGCCTAAGAAGGTGGAAAGCGCAATCTATGACACAACAGGTGGCAAGCAACGGTGCTGAGCAAATGAATGCACGGGCATCAAGGTTTTCCAAGATACTTGCTGCGCCACGGGTAAGGCAGGTATGCTATGCTGAGATGGCCTACAGCACCTTTTCACCTGACTGTAATGACATATGCCAATGCTATGATCTCCCCTACAGTGCAGAGAAATAAACCACAGGCCTCAAGAAGCTTTTGCCATGGGTTTTTTTTTTAACATTCTTTCTTAAAGCATGGACTTTTTTCAAGTTCAAAAGATTCCCTACCCATCAGGGTTAAAAGTTGAAGGCCAAGAGTGTGGTTCTAGCCCTTGAACATCAGCATGGGCTGCCTATAACCAGAGGAATGCATGAGGCTCTTGGGCCTCCTTTCCTGGGCTTACAAAGGGAGCTTAGGATGGGGGCCTGGAATTTGGAACTGGAACATTCTTTTGTCTTACAACTGCAAATGGCATGAAATTGAATCATGTGGAAAGGAGGAGGGAGGAGTTGCTGGAGCTATGGGGCTCTTGTCTTATGGCAGCACCATGGCTGAGCTTGGAGCTAAACGCCTTTGCCATCCCCTGAGAGCTAGGCTTGATAGGGTGACATATTGCTGGCCTCATCTTAGCCCAGCCATCACTTTCAACTCAATTTTTGTCAGGCATCATGAGGCCAAGGAAAAGGCTAGAGAAGTAAACCAGGCATCTGTTTATTCAAGTGTTTTTTTGTTCAAGTGTGTGTGTCATTGCACTTTGCTCTTTCCCAGCCCCGCTTGTAGAAAGAGCAACTTTACCAGAAAACCCGGTAGCACCAGCTGCTTCAGAGAGGTGATTCACTCAGAGCCCAGTGGAGGCCAATTACCTGTTTGCTTGTCTAAGGAGGTTTCATTCAGCCAGGATTTGCTAAATGCAAGCTGCCTTGGAGGGCGCACAATCACTCAGCTGATTTGATTTCGTATACATGTACGTAGGGCAGGGATTCGTTAGAAAACATGTATTGAGTCTAATCATTGTGCATATCACAGAGCTGTTTTTCTGCCATATATTGGGGGTTAGGGAAAATGCAGGGGAACTGCTTTCTTGCAATTAAAAGGGGGAAAAAGTGCTAGGGGCACATTGCACTACATCCTAGAGCCTGACCAGAAGACATCCTCATCTTGCTTGTATCCCTACCCCTCTTGTTCCTCTACTAGCACAAACAAGGCCTCCAAAGCCCACCCAGGACCCTTCCCCTGCACCAGCACTGCCCTCTAGGAAGGAACTAGGAACTACTGGGTGGAGCTGGCGCCTGTCTTTATATAGCCAAATTAATCCCATTGTCAGCTCTTTATCTTATAAGAATCGTATTTTGGTAAAATTATCAAATTATGTGAGTCTCCTCCTCTAGACCACAAGCCACTTGAGGGAAGAGACTGTGGCTTATTCATCTTTCTATTCCAGCCTCTTACTTGGCACACAAGAGTCGCTCTACAAACAGTGAAGCCAAATTGATCATTTCCTGGAATTAAATGGGTTGAGTTCTCTTTTTTTATATTCACCAAGCAAAGTCCCAGTTATCAGCTTTTCTTACGTCTTTAGGAATCTCAAAGTAAGCCAAATTTCTTCAAAAATTTTTCCTTAGGTTTCCTTAGGCCTGCCCTGGTTTACTGCTATTAGTTTTATCATCATTTTCATTATTTCATTCCAAACATGCCTCAATCTGAAGTATAAATTATATGGTCATCTGTGTTGATCTAGGCCCACTGAAAAGCAGTCACCAAGATGAGATTTCACAGGCTAGACCTTATTAGAAGAAAAACCTTTATGAGAAGAAAGGGGGAGGAAGCTAGGTAAAGCTGAGAGAGCTGCTAGGTCACAAGGCAAGACTGACTCCCAGTAAAGAAAAGAGAGAGAGGAGGTGGACGAAGTTTCTGCAAAGCAGTCAGGGAGCTCTGGAGCCAAGCTTGGCCATCAGAGGATACACATCACTCCCAGGAATAGGCCTGCCTCAGGATCCCTGTCCTGCTCAGTCATTGGCTGGGAGCAGGCTGTGAGAATCATGACCTCAACATGAAAGTGGCAATGGATGTGCCAGGAGAGCCTGGCGGCTAGAGCCTTCGGTCAGTTACCTCACTCCCCTACCCGCCCCCCGCCGTTCCCCAGCCCTGTAGGTGGCAGTCTTCGAGAGAGGAACACTTCCATGGCCACCACATCACTCTACTTAGGAGAGGGATTATTAATCTCTTTATGTTGCTATGCCATGCCTCTTGCTCTCTTCTCAGCCTGATGAAGCCCCAAGTTTTGGAAAAACAACCATTACAAACAAATCAGCTGTCCTCCTGGAAGTCAGAAGGACCCTGGCTAAATCCAACTATGGTTCACCTTCCTCTGCCACAGCCAGGCCTGGGAAGTGACAGAAGCAGCTAAGAGCTACATATCTTGGCAAAGGATACCTCTTTGCAGAAGGAATTAGCAGAAGTGCCTTGGCAGGGACTCTGCTGCACAACTTCAGGGGCAGCAGTCACACTGTACCCTACATGGCTGGTACCTGCTTGACCTGTGTAAGGCAACGTCCACTTGAAGGGGCTTTGGCTAAACCCCTGTTACCTCTATTGGACCCTGTAGCTGCCCATAATAAACACATTCTAAGTTAAAAGCAGTGTCCTTGTTCGGCCAACAGGATGCTGCTATCTCCATGCAGAAGCAACTTAAGAGCCCACAAGGTATACGACAGCCCACATTCTGCACTTCCCAGGCAGGCAGGCTCACCAAGGGCAAAGAGCCCCTTATGCCAAGGTCTGATACAGAGTCATCCTATGCCCTATTTTTGTTTTGTGTCTATTGATTTGAAAAAAAAAAAAAAACAAAACAAAAAACAACAAAAAAAAAAAACAAAGAATGAGACTGCAATGGGAAAGGCTGGCAATACGAAGTCCTGCCTTTTCTTCCCAGAAGAAAGCCGTCAGACAACAACATTTCTCCCCTCCCCGCCCCCATCACATCATGAACCTCCCTCCTTTACCAGAGCAGTCAATCCAACACCAGATTTTATAGCCTTCCTCTAAGACAAGAGAAGGCCAAGAGAATTTGGTGGCAAGGTCTAAATTTATCTTGAAGTCTGGCGAGAAAACTGCCCCAGCCCACCAAAATGTCCACTCCGTTGTTTCACCATGAAGAGTATGCACACGGAAAGACAATTATCTCAACTTACCTTCCTACTCTCTAGGCACAATCACTCACCCAGGCATTGGGGAGAGAGGAATGTTTCCGAAACCATCAACCCCAAAGGTCTCAGTTCTGTCTTTAAGTTCTGTATTCTCCTCACGTTCTCTCTGCACTCTGACAAGTCATTTGTCCATGTGCCCTTTACATAGCCTTGCACATGGGAGATGCCTGATGAAGGCTGGCTGACATAATTGCCCATCCCTGCTGTCCGCAATGACAGCCAATCTCCTTATGCTGCCCATGTACCCTGCACTGAAACAGGAGTGGACCCCTTGAAAGCCATGTTTGTACTATATAGGTCACAGCTGATAGGGTCCAAATGAATACCCAGCCCAAATTGGGCCAATCAGATCGTCTATCCTAGGGACTTGGAATTAGAATTTTAAAGCTGATGGGATGTGTATTTGTGGCCGGGAGTGATAGAAAGTCATATTCCATCATGTTGACAGAGAGAAAGAGAAAGCCCATCTGCAGAGATAACAAGTATCTAAAGAAGATGGAGAAATGCAGGTGTGGTCTGTGCCCCACCCAGCAACCTTGGACTTCTCCGCTTTAGTGCACACTTATCAAATTCCAGCTGCCAGCATTTGCCCAAGAGATTTCTTCGAAGTCTCCATCAGCATATAAACATCCCAGCTCCCTCACCACCCAGGTGGGAAAACTCTGTGTGTTCTAGAACACTGGTTATAAACTAGGGGCAATTTGGTACTGTCTGAGGATGTTTTGGGCTGTCACACACTGGGGAAAGGGAATATGACTGACACCTCTGGATAGAGACCAGGGATGTTGCTAAATATCCTACAATGCTCAGGAGGGCCCACACACAATAGAGAATTATTCAGCCCCAAATGGCAAGAGTGCCAAGGTCGATAAACTACTCTAGAGAAAAAGATTAAGGACTAAGCTCCAGTCACCCACAGCTGGCAACCAGCTCAATAAAATAACCTTTACTGGCTGCCTTCTCCTTCTTCTCTCACTCTCCTCTTCCCCTACCAGTGCTTGCCTTCCTCTCTCAAATAAGCAACTTGCCCTTCTATCCTTAACTCAGGATCCACTTCTGAGGGAAAACAAACTAAGAGACGAAGATTCTATTTTCAGTTCCTGATTCTAATGCTTCCTAAGGTTCAAAAAATTCAGGACAACTGCAAGAGTTAGTCAACTGTACCGTTTTAGAGAGGCACTGCGGATATACAAAAGTGCCCTCACTTCTGCCACCAATTGCAGACTCAAGGGGCTATCAAACCCACCCTCATTTTCGACCCAGAGGTTAAACCAGGCTAGATCTGCTCACTTTGTGCAGCTTTCTTTGATTGAAGCACCCACTGCATTCTCCAATCAGAATCTCTAATGAGATTAAGATGACCAACATTTCAGTTTTCCCAGAACTATCCTGGTTTTAGCAATTTAGGTCCCACTTCCCAGGAAACCTTTCAGTGCTGGGCAAATTGGCCATCCGAATTAAGATTCAGCATTAAGACGGTTTTAGGTTATTGGAAGCTTGCTTGGCCAATGGATACTTTGGTCTCCATCTGAAATCAGTGTGCACACATTTTATGGGTCAAAATATCTGGGCAGGGTAAGAATGAGTGGTTGGATTTGGGCACATTCCCCAGGCTCATAATCTTATGAACACCAAAACTGCAGACTGGCTGGACTGAGAGACCTCACCCAGGGCCACATGGAGTCCCTTGGCAGTGAGGCATCACAGCGTGGTGGTGAGGTCATGCCTAGAAAGACTTCTGAAAATGTGAACTGCTAAGATTCATCATTAATTATATATTAGATGGCACTCAACCAGGAGATTCTCCAATATTATTCTTGGAGAATATGAAGATTGCTTGGAGAGAGACTCAGAGATACCCCACAGGCAATAAAAATAAAATTGATTGTCCCTCAACATTGAGTCTGAGAGAATCTAGTATTATCCTGCATTCCTGGTACAGGTACAATAGTCTCAAAAAGCTCAAAATCTGTCCATAGAAATGACAAAAAGAGTGCAATGTATAAGCAACCACCACAATATGTGCAATAGACAGCAGGCTCTCTAGGAGTTTGTTACATTCGTTTGTCCTGTAAGTGTTGTTGAGTATTACTGAGCATGTCAGACACTGTGCTAGGCACTAATAATGGGGAAAAGTCAGGTATCCCTGCCCTCATGAAGCTCATATTCTAGCAGACACAAAACTCCTGATGACATAATTATATAAGGAACAAATGTTTGATAAACACCATGAAGGAAAATGAGAACAATAATACCATGTGAGCAATAATGTTTATTGTTTTAAGCCGAAAAAAAAAATCAGCATTGTCATAACTTAGGTGAACACAACAGGGAGAATTATAGGGAAAGGGAAGTCTTGACCAAATAAAGATCCCTTCTCGAGGGCTGGAGTGAGTCTAGCAGGCATTGATTCAACTGAAGAAGGAAAAAGGGTGGCTTACTTTCAAACCAATGTAGAAAGTGAATGAGAGTTATGAATGTATGACTGGCTGGTATGGTTTAAATGTCTACTCCAAAATTCATATTGAATTTTTTTTTTCTTTTTTTTGAGATGGAGTCTCACTCAGTCGCTCAGTCGCCCAGGCTGGAGTGCAGTGGCGCGATCTCGGCTCACTGCAAGCTCCGCCTCCCGGGTTCACACCATTCTCCTGCCTCGGCCTCCCGAGTAGCTGGGAATACAGGTGCCCACGACCGCGCCCGGCTAATTTGTTGTATTTTTAGCAGAGACAGGGTTTCACCGTGTTAGCCAGGATGGTCTCGATCTCCTGACCTCGTGATCCGGTCTCGGCCTCCCAAAGTGCTGGGATTACAGGCATGAGCCACCGCTCCCGGCCCATATTGAAATTTAATTGCCATTGTGATAAGAGGTGGCGCCCTTAAGAGGCAATTAGGTCATGAGAGCACGTCCTAATGAGCTGATCAATGTACTTATCACGGGAATGGGTTCCTGATAAAAGGATGAAGTTCCAGCCCCATCCTTTGCCTTCCCCACTCCTCTCTCTCACCACATGATACCTTCTGCTATGTTATGATGCAGCAGAAAGACCCCACCAAATGCAGCCTCTCAATGTATGACTTCCCGGCTTCCAGAACAGAGAGCCAAATAAGTTTATTTCCTTTATAAATTACCCAGTCTGTAGTAGTCTGTTACAGCAGCAGAAAACAGACTAAGATACTAGCATTTTGTGAAAACTACTGGTATCTTCCTTTGCTACCTGCTGTTCTCATCCTCCACCTCCATTGATTCATTCAATAGTTACTGAGTCTCCCCACTCACTATGTGGCAAGCACTGTGCTGGATGCAGAGTTTGTACAGTGCCAAAAGAGATGTAAGTGCCCTCAAAGGACTTGCTGTCTGGTGGGGGAGCAAGGCAAGTAAATAAGTCATGTCAGTTGTGGTAAAGCCACAATGGGGGTAAGTATAGAATGTCAAAGTGCTCAGTTCCCCACTAATGCCTCCCACTACTCCAGCCCGAGTCACTAATTGTGGCTCCCCTCACTTTGCTGACTATGGATGTTGTTCCTTCCCTTAATGCCTTCTCCCATGCTGTTCCAGATGCTTGGAGTTTCCTCCTGCTTCCCCCCTTCATCTGGCTAAGTCATGCTCATGTTCCACCATTCTCCCATTCACATGCTGTGACTTCTCCTTTTTTCTGTCATTATACATACCACTCTCCTACATATTATAATACTTAACACACTGTACAGAAATTCTTGGCTTATGTAATATTTCTTCCCTACTAGACATGAGGAAAGAGCCTGCCCATGTATTATTTTTGTTGTTTCCAAATTTATTCATTCAGCACAGTAGTGGTTTTTGAATGAATGAGTGAACTGAAAAAAATGAATGAAATGGAATTATCAAAAAAAACTATCTTCCAGGAAATCTAGCTTCTAGGAAAAATAGGAAAATGAGATTGATAATTCTGAACAAAGATAGGCAAAGATGACTGTGCCATTAGGTAGGATTTTGCTGGCCCTTGAGAATAAATAGAATGCAGACTTGCAAAGATGAGAGTGAAGGGCCTTGTGCATGAGGCCACCAGAAGAGCAGAGGCACAGGTAGGAGAGGGGTACCAGGGACATGTCACTGAGGAGATCCTCAGTCTCTTGCAACGATGAGGTAGGATGGGCATTCATCACGGTAAAGAGCCAAGAAATTAGGATATGATCCTTCTTATTCTTGCTAACCAAAAATATTCTGAGGGACACTAACCAAAGATCTTCCATCAAGGGCAAAAGATTATTGTAAATCTAAGCTTTAAAATAGCAGTTAAAAAGAAAAACCAGGCCAGTGTGGTAGCTCACACCTGTAATCCCAGCACTTTGGGAGGCCAAGTCAGGAGGATAGCTTGAGTTCAGGAGTTTGAGACCAGCTGGAGCAACATGGTGCAACCCCGTCATGAAAGGAAAGGAAAGAAGAAAGGAGAAAGGAGAGGAAAGGAGAGGAAAGGGGAAGAAAGGGGAGGGGAGGGGAGGGGACGGGACAAGGAAAGGGGAAAGGAAAGGAGAAAGGAGAGAGAAGAGAGGAGAAGGGAAAGGGAAAAAAAAGGAAAGGAAAGGAAAAAAGATAAGAAAAAAAGGAAGAAAAAAGAAAAAGAAGGCAAGAAAGCAAGCTAGCAAGAAAGAAAGACCATTCCAGATCAACCAATACACCCTATGGGCAAGATGCGGAGACCTCCCAGTTCTTTGTCCCTGCATCCATGCAGCTGCAAGGGGGAGCTGGTGGTCAGGACTTTGATGGGAGCATCAGAGGCTTGAAAAATAGGCAGACACTGTTCGCCTCAGCAGTTCAATGTCTAAGCACCTAGCCTAAAGAAATAAACAGAGTTATGAGCAAAAATGTGCAGCTCAAGGATGTTCATTGCTGTGTTGCTTATGGTAGAGAAAATGTACCACCAAACCAAATCTGTAAGGTAAGAGATAAAATACAATGCATATCCTTGTACTTAAATTCGGTGCAACTATTAAAATCCTATTTTAGAAGAATATTTAATGACATGAACAAACTGTTCATGAAGTATTGAGTAAAAAGAACAGATTCCAAAACAAAACATACTATACAGTGTAGTATACATGCTACACCACGTGATGATTAAAACTCAAACTGAGTTTAAAGGTTCCTTTGCCACTTACTATCTGTGTAAGCTTGGGCAAGGAGTTAAACTTTCTGTGATCAGTTTCTTCATCTATAAAATTAGATTAAAACAGTACCCACTTTATGGAGTTATTGTGAGGTTATATTACTTATTATACAATAAGGCACATGCTAAGAATTTAAACAATAGCAATTATGAATATTGCATGACCTTAATTTGTGATAAATGTATGTGGTATATGAACATATATATATACTTGCACTCACACATCGCCATAATATATATGTATGTTATGTATGTTTTCCTGCCTATACTTGTACAAGAGGAAGAGAGAGGGAAGGGGAAACAGAGAAAGGAGACTGAAAGTTTTAAAGGATTAACACAGAGAATGTTAAAAGGGTTATCCCAATAGAATTATGGATGACTTCTCTTCTTTGCATTTTTCTCTATTTTCAAATTTTTCATGAGAATGATTACTTTAATGACTATTAGGGTCAGAGAAGATCCCCTACTTCATCCATGCTCTGAACCAAGTTAGAGAGTGTCAAGGACTCAGCAAGATGGAGATCCCAGTATCATCCTTATTATTAATAAACATTGTGCACATGTGTATGTACGTATGTCATGGCCAAGACTGGCCAAGAAACATGATAACTTTCCACGGGATTGAGCTTATGCCAAAACCCCAGGCTCCAGTCTGGGAAGAGTTCATGCCTTGCCAGGCTTCCTGCCAGTCTAAAGGTAGAGAAAGATGCTACTGCCTTGGGCTCCCAGAGAGAGGGCTGACCTGGCTGGGCTCTCAGCCCCATTCCTTCTCCAAAGCTCTCCCACCTTGAAGGAGTAAGAAAGGAGGCCAGGAGTATCTCTCCAGTGGAGCTCCCTTTGCTCTGAAATGTGAAGTCTTGGGAAAAGTCCCCCAATCCCAACCACCTCCCAAACACAGTAACTAGAAAAGCAATGTTAAGGGAAGTCCAGACCCTCCAAGGTGTGGGTTCCAGACTTTCAGAGCAATTTTGAGATTGTGATCCCTACTGTAATATATTCGACAGGACCTCTCAATAATCACTGATAGTTCAGGTTCCCCTCTGAGATGTAAAGGAAAACCTCACATCAACTCTGATGATCTAAGTTCGTCGCTGATTATGGGAAAGAATGACCTGCTGAACTTTCGCTTTCAAAGGGTATTTAAAAAAAGAAAAGGAAGAGAGGCCATGCCGACTTTTAGATTCAATCACATCACAGTGATCTGTGATATTTACAGCGCCCAGGTGCATTTCACCTGATCCAAAATATAAATACCCTTTTGCATGCATAGGTACGCATGACCTGCTGTTTAGCCTTTTAATCACAAGGAAAAAAATACATTTATTTTCTGAGAACTGTAATGTATAAGCCCCTGAAGCACTCTGTAGTGCAGCATCTGGAATTCATCACCAAGGTTATGCTATTCAAACAGCCAGAATAAGGGAGATAGGCTAAGCTTTCAAATGTATACAAACATGGAAGTGGGCTGAGGCAGGGCAGATTAAAAGCCCATCTTCAACTTGATTTTGCTCCTGAACAATTAATTTGCAGGTTGAATGGAATTTACTAATAGGACTAAGGCTGCCAAAGCCATTAAAAACATTGATCTAGAAGCAAAAAGCTGGGGGAGGTTGAAAGTCTTCAAAAAAATCCAGATACCTCTCAATATATGGCTGTTTTTTTAGACTTAAGGGTGTGTGTGTGTGTGAGTTGCTTCTCATTGCTGAAAACCAGAATCCTACCACATTTTTACCATAAAATAATCAGGGTGGTGTTCTGTAAACTGTCCCAGGTACCTTACTGGGGCTTCCTGCCCCTCAGAAGTGCTGCAACTTTGATGAGCTTTTAAGTAATGGATCATTCACCAGGCGTCAGACTGCCTTGTGCCGAGCACTGCTCTTAGTGAGGGTTTTATAGCCCAGATGAGCACCTAAGTCACCCTGACAAGGCAGAGCACACCTGCAAAAGAACCAAGAGCCACATGAGGGAATTCCCAGGTCAGACACCTAGACTGAAGAAGAGTATGAATCATAGAATCACAGCTGACTTTAAATCCTGGCCCTGTTTCTTTAGAGGTTGGAAGGCTTTGGGTACTGACCACAGATTCCCAAAATGTCAGAACCAGAGAAAGCCTGAGAAATGGTATAGGCTGAGTGCTTTTTAAAATTTTCTTTAGACATAGACGTTGACCTTCAAACAATAATTTTCTGTAGAAATTCAGACGTCACAGAGCTAATTTGTTTTTTGCAGGGTGAGGCGGGGAGCAGGGCAGAAAATGCCTGCTTGCTACTCACCCCCATGCCTGCAGTGATACCCTTGAATCACATCCACAAGACTCCCAAGTACCCAAATAACACAGAAAACTAGTGGTCTCATACACCCCTTGTGTTTTACAGTTGGAGAAACTGAAGCCCAGAAAAGCAAAGTCACTGCCCCAGTGTTACTCAAGGGCTGAATGACAGAGCCAGATCTGGGATCCAGGATGTTTTGCCATGTGATGATGATGGTCAGCCCCTCCAAGGGATCAAAAAGAAGGGGAAAGAAGAAACTTGTCTCTGTGGTATTCCCCACCCTCCCAGCTAGCACCCTCTTTCTGTATTATCTCTCAGTTACCCAGTGCCCTCATCCTAACCTTCTGTTGACAAATATTCTCCCTCCACCACTCATGTAGCACACTCTGGTCTTCCCTCCCTGAAGTATCCTATCCTCCAAACCTCTTCTGTCTCTTACTCCCTCTTAAAACTTATCTGTCCACTCTCTTGTTCACTTAAGACCCCACTTGCTGATCAACATGTTGGCAAATAGATCCATAAACATATTTTTGGATGCTTATATATTATCTAATTAATTTCTATAATTACATTTTGACAACAGCCTTCTAAATGCTCTTTTTAAAAAATAACTGTAAGAGGATATTCATGCTGATCACCAGGAAGTTTTAGACATGTGTTCTTTCAACTCACACGATGCCTTACCTGGACAGTAAATACCAGGATGACTCCACCAGCAGCATCAGTCACTCTGGCCACACCTCTGACCCCAATCATGCTCTCATTTCTCACTCACCTCCAAACCCAGCCAACTTACTACTATTGTGGGTTATCACACAGAGAGAGGACCTTGGTAAGTCACAGAGGAAAGTAGGAGCTGAATTAAACATACTGCTATGGTCTGAATGCCTCCCAAAATTCATATGTAGAAACTTCATCGCCAATCTGATAGTATTAAGAGGTGGGGCTTCTAAGAGGTGATTCAGTCATAAGGGCAGGGCCCTCATAAATAGGATTATGGCCCTCAGGAAAGGGCCTGAGGTGGTGAGTTCACTCTCTTCCACTCTCCTGTCATGTGAAGACTCAGCATTTGTTCCCTCCAGAGGATGCAGCGATAAAGCACCACCTTAGAAACAGAGAGCAGCCCTTCCTTGGAAAGAGAGAGCAGCCCTTACCAGACACCAAACCTGCCAGCACCTTGATCTTAGACTTCCCAGCCTCCAGAACTACGTGAAGGTAAATTTCCATTATCTATAAGTTACCCAGGCTGCGGTATTTTGCTATAGCAGCACGAATGAACTAAAATATCCTAAAAGGAAACCTGATTCCACAACCCCCCTGAACTTTCCACAAATACCCTCCTCATTCACTGTTCTCAAGCACCTGATGGGTAACTACACCTGAGCGGTGCAAAAATCACAAAGACTTTGATTGGACATAGTGCCACAGAAATAACTGGCAGTCAACGGACCCAGATTCCAGACCCAACTCTGCCATTAACTAGCTAAACAAGCTGGAAATTCTCATTATCCCTTTAAGCCCAGGTCTCTTCAGCTGTAAAATGGAAATGGGAATATAATGGCTCTAAAGTCCCTTCAGATCTAATGTTGTATGGTTCTTTCATTTTTCAAGTTGTTTACCTTCTGGAAAGGATGGTGAAGATAACAGGCCTCCAAACATGTGGGCTGTTCCTTCTGGAGCTTCCCCTCCTCCACTGGGAAGCAGCAGCCTCACCAGGGGCTACTCCCAACATCCTTGAGCCTGGGTGCAGCCATGTGATGAGTTCTCACCAACAGAATATGAATGGAAGTGGGCCAGGTGTGGTGGCTCATGCCTGCCTGTAATCCCAGCACTTTGGGAGGTCAGGGCGGGCACATCGCAAGGTCAGGAGTTCAAGACCAGCCTGGCCAACATGGTGAAACCCTGTCTCTACTAAAAATACAAAAATTAGCCAGGCATGGTGATGGGTGCCTGTAATCCCAGCTACTTGGGAGGCTGAGGCAGGAGAATTGCTTCAACCCTGGAGATGGAGGTTGCAGTGAGCTGAGATCGCACCACTGCACTCCAGCCTGGGTAACAGAGCGAGACTCTCAGAAAAAAAAAAAAATAATAATAATAATAATAATAATATGAACGGAAGTGGTGCCCATCACTTCCAGACAAGGCAATTAAGACAGACATCCCTTTCCCACACTCTCTTCCCATCTCTGGCTGGATGCCAGGGGCCTATAGGAAGCAGAACCACAAAATAAAAGGAGCCTGAAAATAAGAATTACCCCATGGAAGAAGCTACCTCTGACCAGACACACTCTTGCTGGACAATTCCATGAATGGGAAATAAACTTTCCTGAGTGAAGCCACTGACATTTGGTAGTTTGCTCCAGGCAGCTATCCTTACCCTAACTACTACAAGAAGTACGGAGTGCTGTGAGATTTAGAGTCTCACTACAACTTGAAAAATACTCATGCAAAGCAGTATGATAAGAGCTGTGGATACTACACAACAAGAAAAATATAGTCCCCTCGCAGGCTTGAAAGTAGCAGAGCATAGAGACATATATTCAAGTTACTAAATTACGAGGCAAAAATGAGGTAAGTTCCATAAGAAAAGCAAAGATCTGTAGAGAAGGTAGAGAGGGAGAATGAATAAAAGCTACCCAACTCACCTCACTGAAGACTGCTCTGGAAAATATCCAAGTGAACCATAATTACTTCCCAGATTGAGTTGAAAGTATTTGTTCCAGTTAAGTCATGTCTCCTGGTACTCAAAGTGACCCACACCACCCTCTGGTTAACACACATGGTGTGGGGGCAATGGCTGCTTCCTCTGAATACAGCATGACTCCCAGCATGCCCTGTGCTAAGCCCAGGCACAAAGAATGTGACTTGCCCCAGAGCAATAGTTCATCCCCTCCTAACTCTTTAATTCTCACAGATAAAGGAACAAGATATGTCAGGCCCACCGACCACCCAGAGGGACTGGGGGGAAATACAATTATCATCATGGGAAAGCACTCTAAAAGAACTTATCCCAAGGTATTTCAAATTTGCTAACATATCTGAAAAGAGAACAGTTGGCTATCAGGTGGTCACTAGCCACTGAAAGTTACTCTAAACTACTCAGAGTTTGAGAATATTGCCATTTATTATTTGGGGACTTGTCAAAGTATTATTTTCATTTCACTAATAAATACTGTAAATGTCAAAATAAAAAATACTCTAAGTTCTGGAACTTGTCTTATCTAAATCTATATGATCTGGAAATATTTAGCAAGGGAACTCTGTAATACAAAACAGATACAGAAAAAGGGTCCCGAGGAAAGCCCTGGGGAAATGCCAAACTATTAATTACATGTTAAACTGAAAGTCTCTTTAACAGCAATTGCCTATGCTGCAAAGAACAAAGCCAAATGTATTCCAGGGAAAGGAGTAGAGAAGTCCAAGTTCTTTGGCTCCTTTGAGTAAAGGCCCTTTAAAGATAAAATTGTGATGGGTATGTGAATTTTGTTTGGATTATGGGGAGAGGGAAGGAGAAGTTGTTGTATTTTGTTTCTCAGATTTAAAATAAATAATTCTGATTTTTTATTTTACTATAATCATACCCAAACTAAATTTAAGTAAAGATGATCTGAGCGAAACTCCAAATGGGACAATTTGCCAGAAAGACTCTCACTCCCTGCAAATCTGTCTACAAGCACTCTTTCCACATGAAATTCATGTTATCTATCAAAATATTTTTATTTTAAATCTAAAGAAGAAAATAAAAATGACAAAACATGAACATTCAAAAGTGACCCTAATACATATGCATGGCTAAATAGCTCACCCTTTTTAAGGATGCCAGCATTAACGTAGAGCTTGTAACTATGTGATATGTGTTCTTTGAATTATTCCACGTTAAGAGAGCTTAAATAATTATTAAACAGCAATATTGACAATGCAGATTGATTCCGTCAAATTCAGAATGAAGATGACTGTGACCTGCATACAGAGGACACAGTTTGACCCAGTTTGCAAACAGATCATAAAAAGATCTCAACCTCCTACCTAAATCCAGCAACTTACCTACACTGCCCAGCTCAGCTCTGCGCTTTTCCAAAAGCCATAACCACCCACAGTGACGCATCCTTGGGCACCAGCAAAGACTCCATAACTACTAGTACACTACACCAGGCCTATAAAGCCTGTTTTTAAGTTTGTTTATCTTTTATTTATGTGCTGAATTCCCCCACAGCCTTCTCTTTGAGGCCATTAAGAGCTCATTTCTGAAGCTGGTGCAATCCTTATTTTTCCTTTGGCTTTTGCCATTTAAATCTGGGTTTCTGCCCCTGAGTCCCTGGTAGCCAGCTGGCTCTTGGATACCTGCTTGGCACAAGTTACTTACCCTTTTATTCCATGCTACCTGGCTTCTTCCTGCCACAAGGAGGTTTTCCCAGAGCGGATGGAAGGCATTTCACACAGGATGAGCAATTATTTGTGTTGTGTTTTACCACCAAGTCTCTTTATTGCTCTCCCAGGCAGATGTGATAGAGTTCCTCTGAACAGCCAGAAAGGATGTGAACCTGGGGAAGTTTCTAGTCAGTTATTTCATTGGCTATGATTATGGCATTGACAAATTTTATAGTGTTTTAAAAATCTACTTGTTTCTTCAAAAGACATTTCTGCCAGATATGGATATATTTTTAATCTGTTGTTAAATATTAGTGATAAAATAAGAATTCTTTAGGGTGTGAGATACTGTTGAAAACACTTTTCAGACTCTTCGAACTTACATGTGGGTAGTGAGTACTAGTAAAATTCAAATGATTAACTGCTTTCATATTAAGACTAGTTTTATAAATTCAATCTTACCTTGAACCATATTTAAAGTTACAATAGTAGATTCATAGAAGTTGTATAAAGCTTAGTCAGGTGATGGTGAACAGAACGCACATTGTTCTACCAAAACACAAAAAAAACTTCAGGATGGAAAATGACAGGCTTACAGAAGAGCAGTCGATATCACATATTCCAGTGAATTATACATGGAGAAGCTCCTCATCCTGCATTTGGCCCTACCAGCAGGGCCTCAACCTGTAAAGATGTCTCTCTGGCAACCATGAATTGACTGCCTTTAAATCAATTCCTGCTTCTCCAGCCACTGCAAAGACCAAGCACTGAGTGATGAGTTCTCAGTTGAATGATCAGTCCATTTTGCTTACTTCAACTCCTCAAATACATGTCAACAGAGTGGCAAAATACATATAGGCACAGCCTACACAAAGTAAAAATGAATTCTAACTTAAATACTAATCCAGACTCTATAGGAATATATAAAGTATGTAAGTATAAAGTAAACAAAGAATATATAAGTAAAATATTTCAAGCATAAAAGTATATAAGTACATATACTTACATAAGTCAATAAGTATAAATAGAATATATAAGTAAAGCAAATACACCTAAAGGTATAAGTATATAAAGTATAAAAATACTGATTCAGACTATAAAAACAGTGATTTCTTTTAGATTAGGTGTTTTGGGAGAATTGCTTCACAATTCCTGTGGGTTGAGGGGGGACCGCTACAGACATCTACAAATGAACCAATCACCTCTCCACTTCAACACTACAGACACAGCTAGTACAGACAAAATAACTGGGAAACGTTAGACCAGACAGTTTTTCTTATAAATAGCACTTTTTTTCACATAACCTTTTTTATTTATTTATTTATTTGGTATAGCTTTAATATTACTAAGAAACTTGACATGAAATAAAAGTCTCTGCTTCTGATGTGGTTTTGCACTTCACCCAACTTTTACACAGAGAAAAACACTGAAAAAAATGTGTCAAAAGCAAGTAATTTAAAAAAAACAAAAGAGCGGTAACATTTCTAATTTGTATAGTACATTTCAGGATATTCACTAATTTTAGAAAAATAGACAATATTCTGCTGAAACCCTCAGCTGTTTCCCTATAAATTTCTAAGGAAAAAACATGGAGAAATCCATTTCACCACAGAGTAGTCCTGGTGTTCATGACTTCAGAGTTTCAGATCAAATTTGAACCTCTTAGGGTTCAAGTTTGTTCGCTCTCTGTGATACATGGTTTCCTGTTTATAAGAAAAAAGAAAAGTCCTTAAAAAGCTTATAAAAAACTCAAAAGGCTTCTTGGACCTTGAATCCCTCTTGCAAAACAACATTTTGATGAGTTAAGTGTAAATAAATCTGAAACATACGATTAAATTTCCATTAAAATGCACATGGGTTTAAAAATTAGAAGGAAAAAAATTCTAGGCAAAAGAAGTTTTACGCTTTGCTGACCCCATAGCACTTAAAAAGTGGTTGGATGCATGCACACGGTCACCAGCTTTGCCATCGGTATGTGAATATACCTTTCCAAATTTTTAATGTAATGCTCTTCATTTGAGTGCACCATTCATCACCCCAGAGCTCTGCCACAGGAACAAGTACCAATGTGACCTTCATTCTGCCATCTGGTATGCTCCCCTCAGCTTGCACCCCAGAGTCTAGGCTCCCCACCCCCTCCTGAGGGAATGGGTCCAGACCAGGATGTGCTAACAATGCCAGAGCTACCCTAGGTGTTTGGGCTGCTTCCAACAGCTCAGAAAACAGAGAAGTGTAGGAAAAGGGGAGGGGGTGTCTTGGCTGTCCACACTCAGAAGCTATCCTGGAAGACCCCTCCCCAACATGAAGAAAAGAACTGGATTTGCAGTGCATTGGTTGAAGTGACTATTTTTGTCATTTGGCCTTCTTTACTGTACTCCAACCTAAACCATCCCTTTGGTTCACTTCAGCAAATATTGGCAGTGAATCAAAGCAGTACTGTAAGACCATGGATCTCATTTTCAAACGAAACATGGAAAGTAAGCAGGGAGAGCAGGAGGTAAGGATCTGAAGCATGCTCATTTTCCTATGGGACATGTTCCTTATGACACCCCACACTGCCTACATCATGGAAAGCACCCTCAAAGGAGTTTCCAAAAGCCACTGTTCATGTCTCCAGGTACTCTATAAAACCCAAGAATTGTACAGCTGGAAGGGACCTTATAGGACTGTCATCTCTATTCTGCCCTTGCTCTACAGATAAGGAAACTGAGACCCAGAGAAGCTAAAGAAACTCACAGACATCACACAGTTAGTTGGCAGCAGGTCTCCTAAGCCTGGGCCCAGAACTATCTGCACTGCACCAGGCTTGCTATTTGCCTTTAGTCTGTGGCCCTTAAGGCCCTGTTTAAGAGTGACAAGGTAGGAATTTTGCAGCTAGCTGGGAGAATCGTCTCAGCTAAATGATGATACAGTCTGCTGTACCATCTGCATCCAACCAGCCGATCCTCTGAAGCAAGGAGAAGAGCAAGTCTGGAGAATTCATAGTACCTGACAATTCCTATGCCAGACACAATGTGATTTGTCAGCCACAACAGCAAATCTCTTTCAAAATTAAATCTAACGTTAGGAACAGAGATTAGAATTCAACAATGGAGGTGTGGCACACAGGACCCTGAACCATGCTAGGTGTCACCAAAGAATGAAATCAGCAGAAAAAGAACATTTTAAAAAATAACAACACACATGCATGTACACAAAGGGCACATGTAAGCCTTAGGAAGTGATGAGAGAAGCTGCCCCCTTTCTGCTCTCTGAAAAGCTCCCTGCAGTGCCGTCTGGAGTCAGGAATAGAGAATAAAGCCTGAGGTGCTTAATGAGGTAAAACCTGCAACAGTTAAGACCTTTGCATGGTTTCTGTGATTATGTACTTGCACATCAGCACCATTTACAAATTGCATTTACCTTTTCAGGGAACTATTTAAGCATTTTGCCCTAAGTTTAAGTAAAATAGGTCACTGCCTTTTTCAAAGGCTCTAGAAAAACCCAAAGATCAAAAATACCACCTTCACCCTGGCCTGGTGTCTAGAATGTTCCTCTTGGGGCTTGTTTTGATTATCTATGGCTGCACAGCAAACTGACCCACATATTAGTGGCTTAAATAAACAACTATTTTACCATCTCTTATAATTCTGGGCTGAGCTGGGCAGGTCTTCTCTTCCATGTGATGCTAGCCAGGGCTGCAGTCATCTGAAGGCCCAATTGAATGGAAGCATTAATGTCACATGGTTGGTAGTTGAGGTTGCTTTTGACCAGAGAGCCCACATGTGGCCTCTCCACATGGCTTGGGCTTCTCCACGGCAACTGTGTTCCAAGAGTATGCATCTCAAGAGCACAAATTCCAAAAATGAGAACATAGAAGCTGCCAGTTCTATGAAAGGTAGAGCCTGGAGCAGGCAAAGTGTTATTTCCACTGTGCCCCATTGATCAAAGAGCCTCTGACCCAACCCAGATGCAATGGGATGGAGAACTAGATGCCACCTCATGGTGGAGGGAATGACAAAGAATACGTGATCATCTTCAGTCCCACCATGGAGCTCCATTTCTTTTCTTATTGTCATATGTATAAAAGTAGATGGACATGGTAGTGGCAACACATTAGGTTTTGCACAAAACCATCATTGCAGCTCAGTGGAAATGTTGCTTAGATCCTTTCCTGAAGGACAGTTGTATAGGAAGAAAGGTATATTATACCTTTCTATTCCTATACACCAAAATCATGGCCCCAATTATTTACCCCTTTCCATACCCATGCCCTTTGCCATGTTATTTGGCAATACCCTCCACTCTCACTCTGGGATCATCCATATTATTTGCTTTGGCCAATGAGATGTTAGCAAATGTGATGCAAAAAGATTTCAAAAGTGCTTCACAATGAAGCTTTCCCTCCTGCTCACACCTTGCCCTCCTGCTTCCACCTCTAACAACACAATGAGAACATGTCTGGGCTCACCTGCTAAAAGATACAAGACACCTAGCACAAGCCAAGTTGCCCCACCTAAGGTCATCTTAGGTCACTGGACAGCCAGCTGTCCCCAAACAGGTGAGAAAGCCCAGTTAAAATCAGCAGAGCCCTCTAGTGAAACCCTGGCCAACTTAAGAATGAGCAATGAATGCTTGTTATGGCACTGAGGTTGCATAGTTGTTTGTTATGCAGCATTATTGTGGCAATAGATAACCAATAGAGAGTGTTGAGACTAGGAATGTCTGAGAATGGTCAAGGTTGTTATCAAGAAAGAGATAGAAGACAGAAATCAAATAATATCTAATCGATTGAACTGTAGGTATTTCACAGAAGTGATTCATTTGCAGCAGGGAATCATTTGGCACCAAGAGAATGGGGCTTATAAACAGCTTGTGATGACAACAGGAAAGTGCAAAGAAAGAGCCCCACTTGGTTTTGCTGGAATGAGTCACATCTATGGGCACTTGGGACTAGATGCAGCTCAGTAGAACCCAGAGCAAAATGACAAATGGGGCCCACTGACTGCGTATACACTGGAGGGAACTCTGACCTTTGGCTTCAGTTCATTGACGAGATTGAGGTTTCTTCTTGAAAACCTGGGCAGCAGCTTTGAGAGTCCTTCCAGGGATTTAGTCCTGAGTTAACAGGCAGATGTAAAGGCTCCTTTTGTCTAAGTCTGGGTGTTTTGCAAGGTTTTAGCCATTGAGCTTATTTATTTTGTTTGCCATAAATTACAAGCATAATGTGTGTATGTATAATATATGTGTATAAGTATATAACTATATACACATCTGTGTGTCTGAATATATATCTATCTCAATCCATGTGAGTATGCAGGGGTAAGTCCTATAGGAGCTATAATAAATAATGGGAAATGCATGGAGCCCTTAAAAATGGTAATAATCCATGATTCACATTGTTTATGACAACCACACAGAAATTATAGCCTCCTTGCAGGTGCAGTTTTACAGATATTGCTATCTTTTCTTTCTAGCAAACAGCCTCTGTTATCATGATGACTGTAAATTGTCTTATTATGTAACACATTGCCCTGAGCTTATGCAAGCTAGTTTTAACAAGAAGTTCTCAGCAGTAGATGGCTTTTTCCATTGTAGATATACCCCCAAAATGTGTAACACTGTAAAATACAAGCAAAACTACAGTTAACTATAAATTTGGAAATAATAAAAATAAATTGAATTTTCATGGTAACATTAAATTATTGCATTCTAGCCCTCTTTCATTTAAAATCTATAATTAAATAAAATATGTATACAGACAAATGAACAAATGGTTATGCAACCAATAACAGAAGAGATTCACACTTCATTTCTCAGGCATGACAGATGTGTTTTATTTGACACATAGTGCTCAAGGTCATATAAACTTGAACACAAAAATGAATCTAAAGGAGCTAAGAACACAAATTAACAGAACACATACTTAGGTGCTTACACATTTTTCAAATATCTAATTAAAACTTATAGAATTCTCAAAGAATATATTCAACTATATGATGGTTGGATCCATACATCTTAAAGTTCTTCTTTTGCACTATGAAAACAACAGTAACTAGAACAGTTTTAGGTCAAGAAAACATCTTTGGGGGTGGACCACTCCACAAATGGACAAATGTAGTCCGGTATGCAGTCTCCCTAAGTTGTGAGTACACTGTGAGGTTGGGTTGGAGGAGAGAGAAGAGTTGAGAGAAATGGGAAAGTGGGCCACTTCTGAAGATCTAGCCAGATTTACAGAGCTTTGAGTTGCCCTTACAGATGGCCATGCTCTCTAGGCAGGTAGGTGGCAAGTGTGGAAGCCTATATCAGAAAGAATGAAAGAAACCGATGAAAGCAGATGGATGTTTTTCACAAGACTCAATTATCTGTTTCAAATTTATTTTTCGCACTTGTAGCTTTAAAACTCTTTGGGACAATAGTTTGCACAAATATATATATATATATATATATATATAAATATATATATATATATATATATATAAATATATATATATATATATATATATATAAATATATATATATATATATATATATAAATATATATATATATATATATATATATATATATATATATATATATATGTGCCAGACTATTTCCAAACAAAAATTTAGAAGAATCATCATCTATTCATCAATGACTGGTACTTACTTTTTTAAATAAAGAACCACAAAGCTGTTTGTATCCAAAGAAAATTTGACATCCTTAGTTTCAAATTCAATTCTGAAATCTACCTCCTACCTGGATGCAAGGAAAACCCTTCCTTCCCCCAACCCCTCCTCTATTCCTCCCTCCAGACACATTCTGGGTGGCAACTAGCCCTTTTTACTTAGAAATCTCAGAACCTTACGATCATGCCAAAGAATAACAATATTAATCACTTACTGAGCACTTAAAAGGTACCTGGCACTATGCTAAGTGGATTACATCATCATCTCACCTAAATCTTCCCAACACTACTCCAAGGTTTATGCCATTCTCATCTAACGGGTGGGAAACTGAGGTTTAGGAAGCTTTGTGGATCATGGAAGACAATTCCTCTGTCTTGGGGTAGAGGTGACTTGACCAACATCAGCCAGCTGGGAAGTGACAGAGGTAGGATTAAAATGCAGGTCTTCTGACCACCCAGCCAGATCTCTCTCAGTCACACCTAGCTTGCTCCTGGAAGACTTTCCCAGGGCGGGAATGGGACAGTGCCTACGAAGAAAAAATGGCACTAACCAGCTATCTCTGGGAAGAGTGGAAAACCATATCCTCATCCTCCAAACTCCTCCTGCCACCCTATCCCACCACCCAACATCATGGGAATCTGTCAGAGCTGCTTTTTGCATTTCCACATGAGTCCAGGCCCCACCCCACTGCAGGAGAATGGGACTCAGTGTTTTTGTGTTACCTGAAGATGCTACATAAGTGTTCAGTGTCATCCTGATATTGTTAAAGTATTTCCAACTTTCCCCAAGAACTTAGTGTTCGGTTCGAACAAACCTAAAAGATATTTTGCCCTGAGCTTTTTCACATAACTTTAAACCTAAAATTATTTTATGAGAAATTTAATCCATATGTTTCTGATTAATTTGTTAAGAGTCATTTGATGTCCAAGGGCCTTTTAAGTTTTTATAAGCCTTTTAAAGACTTTCACTTAGAGATGTTTTACCAAGAGAAAATGAACTTAGTTCTCCCATAGTTTTAGTACCAATCTCAACAATGATGGGACTCTGCTGAAACTATACTTCTTGCTGCTCTAAACTGATCATCTACAGCTCCAGGTGTAATTAACTCATCCCTTATTCCTTTTCTCAAGGCTCCTAGTGAGATATTGCTTATCTCATAAATGGGATGATGGTTAAGTCACATTACCAAATACGTATCTCACAATTTAGCCTACATCCACACCAGAGAGACTCTTGCAGCTGAGTTGAATAACTGATTCCATAAAGCATTAAGATCAATCGCTATAGAAAAGCTCAAGATTTTTTTCTTTACCAAATAAGATTATTTCTCTATTGACAATCTGGCTTCTACTCTCAGGTCTATAATTTACTAGTTGTATGACCTTGAACAAGCCACTTACTGTCTTTGAGCCACCATCCCCTTAAATTATAATTCCAATGTTATAGTTATGTCCATTTCAAGGATTAAAATTATAATGCCTGTCAGGTTCCTGGAATATAGTAGACCAGTGGTTCCTAAATTTGAGTCTATAGACAGAAAAACAGACAGGATGAATAGGATTAGATAGATGATTGATTGATTTAGAAATCATCTGAGGAGCATGTTGTAAGTGAAAATTCCTGGACCCCACTCCAAAAGTCTACTTCAGTAAATCCGAATCTGTATTTTTAAAAGTTTCTTGGGTAATACAAACTAGCTGAGGACTGTACTTCGAGAAACTTTGGTAATGTGGGAGGAAAGAGAATAAAACATAATAAAGGTATAATGAGATGACGATGATAATGAGGACATGTTGGCATATCAAAGGAAGGTTATGAAATACTTAAGGGAAAATGATGCACTACAGTTTCTGGACACTTTCTTAATTATTTGCATTTCTCAAAGGGAAACATAAGCACACACACAAAAATAAATTCATAAATGTTTCTAGTTAACATTCAAATTGATTCAGTCCCTTGCACACTGTTGGTGGGAATGTAGATGGGTGTAGCCATTATGAAAAACAATATGGAGGTTTCTAAAAATGCCACCTGACCCAGCAATCCCTCTTCTGGTATATACTCAAATGAAATAAAATCACCACCTCATCAAAATATCTGCACTCCCATGTTCATTGCAGCATTATTCATAACAGCCAAGATATGGAAACAGCCTAAGTATCTGTCCACAGATAAATAAGAAAATTGTGATATATATAGATATGTACACAGATATAGACACACAGACACACACACACACACAATGGAATATTATTCAGCCTTAAGAAAGGAGATCCTGCCATTTGCCACAGCTTGAATGAGCCTGAAGAACATTTTGCTAAGTGAAATAAGCCACTCACAGAAAGAAAAAGAAAAATACTACATAATCTCACTTATATGGGGAATTTTTAAAAAGTTGAATGCATAGAAACAAAGAAGAATGGTGGTTATCGGCAGCTGGGGAGTTGGAGAGATGGAAGTCAAAGGGTGCAAAGTTGCAGTTATGTAGGATAAATAAGTCTAGAACAGCATGAGTACTAACTATAGTTAATACTATTGTATTGTGTACTGGAAATTTGCTGAGAGAGTCTTGGTGTAATTTTACCCCCCAAAAAACACACACTCACAAATAAGATAACCATGTGAGATGATGGATATGTTCATTTGCTTGACTGCAGTAATCATTTGACTGTTTATGTATATCAAAACATCATGTTGTATGCCTTAAATATGTATAATTTAAACAGGTAAATAATGTAAATGTTAAATTTTTTAACTTAACCTATAATGTGAATAGGTTAAATTTTTAAATACTTCCACAAAGATAGAATTGAGTAGAAGAATTGAGTAGGAGAAATGAGTTCAATTTTATGGCAAAGATTGTTAAAATTTTAATTATAATGCAACTTGAAATTGAAGAAAACTATTTTATTATGATAGAAAATGGTAAATTTTAATTTATAAACCAAATTTTCAAATTCAGCCCTAATTAATAGCTCAAATCAGAAGACACAGATTTTTAATAACAGGAAAGTTGAGAGATTGAGAAATTTTAAATTTCTTACTCAGGACTTTGAAAATACCAGTGCATTATAGGCAACTAGAAAAATATGAACATCTTTAAAAGAAAAGATTCTCTGAAGACATTACAGATAAGTGGAAATAAATGAAGGCCAACCAAATGAGAATAGGTGAAAGCTATTTATTTAGAGCTTGCTTTAGTAAGAGTCAGTTCCCACAGTTTGCAAGGACTCAAAAGCAGGTAGGGGAGTGGGAAAGCTTTACAGTAGAAAAAGAGGAAGCCATCAGATAAGCCCTAATTAGAGGCTGTTGACAGGGGGAAGCTGTAGACCTGCTAACTAGAAGTGGGGCATTACATGTTTAGGAGAGTGCAGTTGGCTTTTTCTTATTGGTTTTATGTTGGAAGTAGAGGCAAAAATTAGGAAGTTACTAATTAAGTCCTTGTCATTTGGGGCCAATTGTTACAGGGGCTATGGTTTGGTATACTGGGTTGTTACTACAGATAGCAACCTGACTTCCTATAAGTCTGACTTATAACAGGTTGGCTTCCTGGGCTGCTTTTGTAGATAAAGGCTTGGTTTCCTATCCAGGTTGTAGGTTAGAATTCTATTTTTATGTATAGTCAGGTCATTTTCCATTTAGATATTCAGTCTCCCAGATAATAAATTTTTACCAGGATCAGGGTGAAGGTCTTATTTCAGATTTATATTTGTTTTATATCTTGTCATTGTAAAATGAAATATTTATAAGAAGAAATGAATTCTAGTTAATTAAAATGATTTTATATAACCTTAAAATTGAGACTACAGTATATATTTACTTATAAGAAAATATGGCCAGGTGTGGTGGCTCATGCCTGTAATCCCAATACTTTGAGAGGCCAAGGTGGGAGGATCACTTGAAGCCAGGAGTTCAAAACCAGTCTGGACAACATGGCAAGACTCTGTCTCTACAAAACAATAAATAATAAAAAAATTTTAAATACATATTTACTCACTGATTATCAGAAAATTAGTATAGCACTATTTAACCTAACTGTAATTTAAATGATACTGTTGTAATTAATTCAACCAATATAAAAACTATTCACATCTTGAAGATGGGAAACACTCATCTTTTATCAATCATGATACAAATAAAAATACACAGTGACTCCAACAGAAAAATACTATGCCATCCTTCAACTTCTTCTTCACAATGAAGAACTAACCCAGAGGCAGATTTAACCCTCTCTAATTGGAAACACCTAAACAAAGCTTTTGCTATTTTTGTAGGTAATCTGTAAGAGTTACTATTTTTGTATGTGATCTTAAAAAAAATAAATAAATACCTAGAGATATCATCAAATTGCTGGCTAACCCTAAATTCTTCTGGTTAAAGAAAGAGCATTAGAGAGCTGATCTAATGAAAGATCTGTGATCAGATGTGGTGTATATGCTGTCACGGATCATTCATGGCCACAGAGAATGGACCGTGGGAGCGTATCCAGGTCAAGACTGAGTTGGGGGCTGGAAGAACTGAGTGGCCATTGAAAGAGGTAGTCTTATTCAATCTAAGCATAGGATTCAAAGACTACAGCAAGTTCATGATGCCTCAAGCGACAGCTTGCACTGGGCAGTCCATCCAGACAGGTAGAGTCCTGCAGGGGTACTCAAACAGAGAGAAAATCTGGGGGTCAGCCAGGCAAGCAAATGCCAATCAGAATACCCACTCATGGCCATAGGACAGGCTTGAGTCAAGACCTTCATCCCAGAAAGCGAGCCTCAAAAAAGGAAGGCAGGTACCAGGGTCTGCAATCACTCAGCCTGACCACATGACCAAGAGAACCTCAACAAACTTAGAGCACAGGAATCATATCTGGCAGTGTTCAACTGGAGGAAACAAAACCACTCTAGCAATTTTCAGGAAAAAAAAAGAATTCAACATAGGGAAATCCTGCCTGGAATATCATTGGAAAGCTGGAAGTTTGGGCTCTAGGATGAGAATCCAGAAGTAACTCCAGGAACACTGCCAAACTGGCCCACCAAAGGAGCTGCTCCCTCTGCCATAAAGGAGGAGGTGTGGAATCAAGAAGCATCTACCAACTACACTATCACCACCACAACTTCTTGGCCCCACAAAGCTACGGAGTGGGCATTGGATGCTGCTGCAGTCAGGGCAATCTGTACCAAACTACTGCAAATGTCCCTACAACCTTCCCATGACCCTCACGGATACCAGAGCACTGCTGCAGAAAAAGCCAACATCTCCTCTATCTTGCTTGGCAATAGAAAATAACCAGTGTTCCAAATATCACACTAGGGTATCTGATTGGTGGAAATGGATTCTCATCCAGAATCCCAGTGGGCTTCCCAGCCTCCACCATTCAGAAAGCCATGTGGGAGCAAGGATAGATGCTGAGTGTAAAACCTCTAAGCCCAGATCAAGTCCCATGGAATGGAAAAATAAATTGCTTTCCTCAGAGTTAACAAGTACCTAGTGGTCACTCTTGGAGTATCCTAGGGATGTTTAATAATTGAGCAACTCAAGAAGTAATAAGGGAGTCCAGTAGTAGTCATAATTAGAAAGACAGCTACCATTTTCTGAGCATCTATGGGCCACTTTATATACAGTTTCTGAAAATTAATCCTGCGAAGTAGATAGTATCTCCACTTCGCAGGTAAGCAACTGAGTTCTAACTAATGTAAGAAACTTACGAAGACAGACAGCTAGTAAGTAACAGAGCAGAAACCAGAGGCTGAATGTAAATCCAAAGCCTAGGTACCTCCTACTGTACTACACTATCTCACAGTGTTAACTAAGCCACCAGTTCCAAAGTCCCAAAGAATAATTTAATTCTAAACCCTACCAAAGGTTGGCATCATAGCTGCTGAAAAACCCTTTCGTAGATCAAAACTGACTCTGGACCTGCTGTTGCCACAGCCTTCAGGTAAAGATGCAGCCCAGTGAGATAGAAAACATAAGTCAAAAGCTGGTGTTATAAGTCTCTGTAAGTAACCGAAAGAATGCTAAATCTATTTTAAGTAAACAACTGGAAAGTTATTGAAAATATGCATATAGAATGAAAGGTTCTAGAGAATGAACTTTGATCCAGGAAAAGGTTCTCACATTTACTGTAGTTTATTCTCAGAGAATAGTAGGTTTATTCTCAGAGAACCAGTAGGTTCTATGTTCTGCTACCATCTGCCTTAACCTTTGTCTTTAAACCAAGAGGCCTCAACAATGTCGCCCCCTCCCCAACCCTATTTGTGGCAATTGGTCAGAGGCTTTTCTCACCCTGCTTCTTAATTGGTCTTGTTTCTTTTTTTTTTTTTTTTTGAGATAGAGTCTTACTCTGTCACCCAGGCTGGAGTACAGTGACATGATCTTGGCTCACTGCAACCTCTGCCTCCCAGGTTCCAGAAATTCTCCTGCCTCAGCCTCCAGAGTAGCTGGGACTACATGTGCCCACCACCACACCCAGCTAATTTTTTGTATTTTTAGTATAGACGGGGTTTCGCCATGTTGGTCAAGATGGTCTCAAACTCTTGACCTCAGGTGATCTGCCCACCTTGGCCTCCCAAAGGGCTGGGATTATAGGCATGAGCCACTGCGCCCAGTCAGTCTTCTTGTTTCTAAGACAATAATTCTATTTTTCCTCTGGGTTACCTCATACGAGCCACTTTGAACAACTGCCCCTCCTAATTGAGTTCCAGCTCAATCAAGAACATTCCAGCCTCCCTTCATTTCAGGCTTCCCTCAAAGAGAAACAGTCATCAGTGGCCCAAGGAGAATCAAGAATATTCAAACAAAACAGAAAAATTAGTTGTGCCCTAATATAAAACTGCTGGAACATTGTATAAAAATTGATAATCAGATGTTAAAAAGCATATCATGAAATGAGGACATTTTTTGGAAAGAGGCAAGAGAAGGTGGTAAAAGGCAGGCACAATACATGCAGATTTGACTACTCATGAAGGAACACAAGAAACTCAAAGAAGCCATGATCAAACTATATAAAACCATGAACCATTTGGATAGGAGGTGAGCAAATCCTGCTGAGACCTATGGTGGTTAAGTTGAGGGCTGGAATTAAACTACTGGAAATGTGTTCACCAAGTACTGAAATGTAAGAATTCTAGACCACCTTTTAAAACTTAAGGAACTTAAATTTAGGAAAAAATAGGGAGTACTGTTCCCAAAGTATAGATTCATGGAACTCATTACAAAAAAGTGGTAAAAAGGAGAAGTGTAAATTAAGCCCCAAAAGATTTGGAAAAAATTATAAATGACCAAGCCAGAAATAGCTACTAAGAAAATCTAAGTTACAATTAAGTTTTAAGATTTCCATCTAGCGTTCCTTTGTTGAGGAGGGATTGTGAGGAGAGTGGAGGTTGGGTCCTGCAGTGAGGAATGTCCAAGCGGGCTGATGGCCCAACAGTGGCCAGAAGATCAGCTACATTCAGAGAGATTAAACAAGTAAATAAATATATTAAAGAAAATGGAAATCAGATTTATCACTATTGGAGAAAGGAGGTACAAATATGGAAAGCATGAAAGATAAATGAACTCTGTCATGTGTGACTGGAATTGAAGATAGCAGAGTGAATTGTCTTTAATATATACAGATACAAAAATAAATACAAATGCAAATATGTGCAAATATATTTATACGCATATATATTTCCTAATGCTGCCTTCTGAGATAGCCTGGAATCAGTTACATCTCAGTAATAATGAGCACACCTACTGTTCAGATACTGATTTCTAAATGCCACTCTTCACTATAAGAAACCAAGGCTCCTTGGAGAAATGGTTGATTCCAAGACTAACACAGGGAAAACATAAGATGAGCCTTGAACATCTTGTTCTGTGAAGCAAATAGGAAAGTGCTCAAAGAATGATAGGGACATGTAAAAAGGACACAGAAGCCAGCTTGTAAGGTTTCCTACTGGCAAAGTCTGGGACAATCTGAGCATCAAAATAAATAATGATAGTAACGGACTAAGAACCATTGAGTAAAATCCAGGAGTGCACACTCATATAAATGAAAAAATAAATAGAGACAAAAGAAAGATCTTCCTTACAGTAGAATGCCAACCACCAAATACAGAAAGAATGACAGAACTACAAAATCACCATTTGGCAACATGATAGTAGTCACTAATTGAGACAGGAAACATCAATGTATTTGAAAACTAGTGGATAAAAGTGGTGTGAGGAATGAGTTTTACAGAATCTCAAAGTATCTGTCTACAAAATTCTTATGAATTGTAAAGGGGAAAGAGGGAGGAACTTCATAGTGATAGAACCTGGCAGACACCATCTCCAGGAAGTTATCAATGCTAGCACTACCAGTGATGGAGCAGATCAACATCATGTGCCACAGTATAAGATATGATATCAACACATTCACTTCTGTGGTATTCCAGCCAAAAATAAAAAACTTGAGGCCTAGTCAAAAAGATACATTGGACAAAGCCAAGTTGAGTAATATATTACAAAATGGCCTGTAATCTTTAAAAATATTAAAATCATAAAAGCCATGGAAGGACTGAGGAACTGTTCCAAACTGAAGGAGACCACAGAGACGTGATAACTAAAAGCAACATATAACTTTGACCTGGATTCTTTTGCTCTAAAGAACATTATTGGGACATTGGCAAAACTTGAATGAGGTCTCTGGATGAAGAATATACGGGAGTTCTTTGTACCATTCTTGCGACTTTCCTGTAAGTTCAAAATAGTCTCAAAATATAAAATATTTTGTTAAACCCTTCTTAAGTTGTTTTATAAATATCAACAGATTTTTCAAAAATCAAAAATAAGGTCAAAAGGTAAATGACAAACTGAAGGTTTGCGAACAAGGGGAGACTGACATTAGGAAGAAACACAAATGCTCCTGATGACATTACTTGGGATCAACCCTTTGCAAAGGAATACTGAATAGGATTAACCATAACTCCAACTCAGTATGGCTGTAGCTGTCGCCCCAAACTTAAAGTGGAATGTTGTCAGTGAAACCACAAAGATAGAGGCAGACAAATGCCTAGGCAGATAAGGGAGGGTCCCCAAAGAACCTCTGGCCCACCCAGGTCATTGTGCACAGGGGGTTTACCTAAACATGCCCAAGGTGAAAAATTCCATCCCTTAACACATGCACAGTAAGGGAAATAAGTCAATGTAGAGTGGCTCAGACTAAGGGCCTGCATGCACACTGGAAAAATGGGGTGGAGCCACCAGAAATTTGGGCCTTATGCAGGGGAGGAGCCTGGCCTCTTCAGCTCGTGTGTGGTGGCCTGGTATTCAATTTGTGAGGTGGAAACCTGTGTACAGGACCCCAGCTCTTTGCTGAGAGCTTTCCTTTCGCTTAATAAATTCCATCCTCCTCACCCTTCAATGTGTCCACGTGCCTAATTTTTCCTGGTCATGAGACAAGAAACCAGATTTCGCTGAACTAAGGAGCAAAAACTCCTGCACCAACAGGATCCTAAAATTATGCCACTATATTCAGAATCACCTTTGAAAGTCATGGAAACCAGTCGTATCAATTATCTATCATATTACACACAGAGACACATCATAATTTACACCTCAGGGCACTAATTTTATGGGATAATAATGGATGTGATTTTAAAGGGGGAAAGGGGAAAGAAGTGAGATTTATACAGGCAAAGTTTGTGGAAGGATGGGATACAGGACTCAGTTCACATGCCTCTCCGCCTTTGCTTGGCCCTCTCTTTTCCCATACCATCAGCCACCAGGGCCTCCTCTCCACAATGCCACAGGCTGTCTCAGCCTTCCCCAGAGTAAGGACAAGGCCTTAACAAAGTCACCATCACATCCTCTGCAGAGGCACAACAGAAGATTCAATGTCCAGATCTAACCCAAGGGCCCAAGGCCATGTTGCAGAGCATGGAATCTGTCTAACCCAGCAGCTGCCCAAAGACACCCGGTAACACAACCCCTAAGTGCAGTGACATTAATACTCCATGGTTAAACTCTGAACAAGATAATTCCAATGCATGGTGGTTCCATACAGCCTGTCTAGAAGACATAGCCCTTGCTTGGTCATGAGGTGCTCCTCCTTATGAAACTGCAGCCAGATGGGTACTACATCAACTAGCACTTGCTTTTCCTCTTTCTCTATTTCACGTCCCTTCTGGCCTCACTCTTGCTGCCCTAGGATTGTACCTCCCAATAAATCTTTAGACTGTAACTTCAGCTCAGATTCCATTTTCTAGGAAACCATGTAAAGATCACACTTTTGAAGTTAACCCATTTTCTTTAAAAGACTTTTATGAGCCTTTAACATGCTGATATTCATTGTGAGTCTCCAAGATGGCATATTTTGTGCTACAACCAATTATATTTTAACAGAACCCTTTCCTGGAGAACATCTTGCAGAAATACCGCTCCATGCAACAAAAATTTAAAGAAAGCCAATGTTGTAGATTTCCATTACAAAAATCATTATTATATGAATTTAAATATTCCACCAATTTAACCTTGTCTTCCAAAACATACAATTGATAAATTTAAATAAAACCATTATTCTTGAACCTAGGTTTTAAAATCAATGATATAAAATGGGGACTCTCTAGAGAGTCAGAGGATGTGAAAACACTTCATAAATTGCAGTTATGGCTGGGCTGGGATCATGCCTATAATCCCAGCACTTTGGGAGGCCGAGGCGGGCAGATCACCTCAGGTCGGGAGTTGGAGACCAGCCTGAACAACATGGAGAAACCCCATCTGTACTAAAAATACAAAATTAGCCATGGTGGCACACGCCTGTAATCCCAGCTACTTGGAAGGCTGAGGCAGGAGAATTGCTTGAACCTGAGAGGCAGAGGTTACAGTGAGCCAAGATCGTGCCATCACACTCCAGCCTGGGCAACAAGAGTGAAATTCGGTCTCAAAAAAATGCGATTACATAATGTATTTATTATAATAGTTAACATAAAAATTCTATGTGCCAGACAAAAGTCTAAGCCTTTACATACCAACCTAGGTAGACATTATTATCATTCCCATCATGTAGATGAGGAAACTGAGGCATACAGAGTTTTGTTAACTTGCCCAAGATGACACAGATAAGGAGTAGCCAGTCCAGGATTTGAACCCAACACCTGCATTCTTAACCACTGCATTGTCATCTCTACATGATAATTAGCTCGTATATTGCACTTTCCCCTAACGAAGATGCAAAACGTGATAGGATTTTTTGGTTTCTACCCAGCTTAATAGGGAATAAATAAGTCAGACTGTTGAAAGAATCCCAAAGCTTTGTCTTCCTTTGATGCCCCAGATCTTTACTACCCATCTCTTTAATTCTGCCAACACAGCAAACTGGTACCAAAGAGGAGCATCCTGTTTGGTAGGATTTGCCATGATAGCTGTGCCTCTCTAGGTCATTGCCTGTCACATGGCTTCCTGCAGTTGGAGACTCTCTTCTATCAGCTGGTATCTACTCATAAATCTCATATGCCTCCATGTGTCTACCAGATGGGTAGGTAAGAGTAGAGGCCAGGGGAAGGAACAGTGAGGAAAAGGAGCAGAAATGGAGAAAAGGAGGAGGTGCATTAAATCCAGCAGAAAGTAGAACAAAATCCTAGGTAGAAGAGAGTAAAGATTAGGAAGAAATCAGGTACATCTCCAAGGAGGTAGGTATGTGATTTAAGGTAATCAGGGGAAGCAGGTGTTAGAAGGAAGGACAGAACAGAAGGGGCTGGTGGTCAGGCTCTCGGAAAATTAGGTGCCCCTTCCTTGTACTAGTCTTCTAGGGCTACCGTAACAAAATACCACAGACAGTGGCTTAAACAACAGAAATTAATTTTCTCACAATTCTGCAGGCTAGAAGTACAACATCAAGGTGTTCCTGGTTTCTCCTGAGGCCTCTCTCCTTGGCTTGCAGATGGTCAACTTTTCACCGTGTCCTCACGTGGCCTTTTCTCTGTGCTCTGCATACCTGGTGTCTCCTCTTCTTCTGAGGACACCAGCCCTATTGGATTAGGACCTTGCCCCTGATGGCCACATTTAACCTTAATTACCTCCTTAAAGGCCCTATCTCCAAATATAGTCACATTGGGGGTTAGGGCTTCAACATATGAATTTTATGAAGACACAATTCAGTCCTTAAAAGCCTCTTAAAAGCAAAAATGTTTTGGTCCTACAAGAATCATAAGCATACAGCAGGAAAATAAACCAAGGTACAGTGTGGAGTCTCTGCTCAACTATTTCTTCCTGACATTTGTCTTTTTTAACAGTCACGTAACTTATCTGTAATGTAAGAACGCTGTGGAGATGGGTAGGAACTGAAAACCTCACTAAGTAAAAATGTTCCCAAAAAACTTGTGGAGAATGGACTTCCTATCAGTCTCATCACCCCCTTTTTACAGCTGTCTGTACAATTCTAAAACTAAATTGATAAATTATATAACATATATTTACAATTTCAGAAAACTGATCTACTAACTACAATGTAAAGGATAAATAAAAGTAATTTATAATAAAATGATTTGTATGTTAATATGTAAATGCTTATGCAGGACTGCAGTAGGAAACAATGAAATAGTCTAACGCATGTATTCACGCACACCGAATGCTTGTATTTGAGTAAAGACCAGAAGACATTCTGTGTGCATACAGAAAAATGAAAGAAGTGGGGTGCTGATGGATACTAAAATTTCTTATGATATATGTCAACCTATGGCAATTTCAAGTCTGGAGATAATAAGAAAAATGGAAGGCCCTACCTCGAAGATCAAGACATTTGAGAAGTAACTGGGAAACAAGATGATTATTGCAGTGTGGGGCAATTCTACACATTAGAGAATATTGTGCACCCTTGCGTTCTGACCACTACATGTTAGCAGCGCTTTGCAATAATAATGCTCCCACAGATTTCCAAAATGCCCCCAGTGAGATCCACTGACCTGAAAGTATTTGCCCAGAAATAAGCTACCCTCTTGACCTTTGGTGTATATCCACTTGGATCATCATAAATACTGGGTTCACTAGCAAGAGTTTAGAATTCTTTTTTTTTTCTTTTTTTTGGTGGGGGGATGGAGGGAGGGGCCAATACAACTAAGTCTATACAACAAATACAAACTGAAAAGCTTGTTATCATACATCAATTATCAAATGATCATTTATAAAGCTGAAATGCTCAGGTAAATAGTCCCATTCTTTTACTAAATCATAAAAGATAAACTTTGCCAAAAAAAATTCAGGTTTACATATTCTGCTTCAGATCATTAGGTAACTGCAAGTCTTCTCTATCATTAGACACCTTGCAATTCAAACCCTTTATGTTAGAGTTCCAAATATTAGAACCACAATTCTCATGTGGGAGAAATCTTAGAATGTAAAAGGAAACAAATGTATTGAGTCACTATTACGTAGCGGCCTCTAACTAGTTTGCTTTACGTATATTATCACATTTAATCCTTATTATAACTGTATAATGTGGGCAATATTATCATTGACATCTTACCGTGAAGAACCTGAGACCCAGTAACATTAAATAACTTGTCCTGGTCAAACAGCCAGTTCATGGCAGAGCCAAGTTCCAGGTTCCCACTCAGGTCAGACTCCAAAGCCAATGTTAACATCAACCATTGCCACCAAGAAATCAAAGCAAAAAGAGGCTGATATATTTTTTATGTCCAATCCACATGTCTTCTCTGGACCTATATTTCACACACATCATCCTTATAACCCAGAGAGAGGGAGATACTGTCATTGCCACATTACAGATAAGCAAACAAGCCCAGAGAGGCATTTAATTAGAATCACATAGCACAGATGTGTCTTAAGATGAGATTTGAAAAGCATAGCATGTGCTTTTTTTTTTTTTTTTTTTTTTTTTTTTTTGAGTTGGAGTCTCATTCTGTCATCCAGGCTGGAGTGCAGTGGCATGATCTTGGCTCACTGCAATCTCCATCTCCCGGGTTCAAGCAATTCTCTGCCTCAGCCTCCCGAGTAGCTGGGATTACAGGCATCCGCCACCACGCCTGCCTAATTTTTGTATTTTTAGTAGAGACTGGGTTTCACCATCTTGGCCAGGCTGGTCTTGAACTCCTGACCTCATGATCCACCTGCCTCAGCCTCTCAATGTGCTCATGTGCTTTTTACTACATCTTTGTGTTAGCCAGCATTCTTCCAGAGAAACGGAAGCAATAGGAGATAGATAGATAAAAGTGGAGATTTATTATGGGAATTGGCTCAGACAATTACGGAGGTGGAGAAGTCTCATGATATGCCATCTGCAAGCTGGAGAACCAGGAAATCACTGGTGTAATTCATCTGAGTCCAAAGCCTAAGAACCACAGAAGCTAATGATACAGGTCACAGGTCAAGTCTAAAGGCCTGAGAACCAGCAGCAGAGGGAATAGGGAGCTGGCGTTGGCTACTGGGGTAAGCCCTGGAGTCCAAAGGCCTGAGAACAAGGTGCTCCGATGTCCAAGGGCAGGAGACGATAGATGTCCTGGCTCTAGAAGAGTAAATTTGCCCACTCTCCACCTTTCTGTTCTATTCAAGCACTCAATGAATTGGATGATAGCTGCCCACATTGGGGAGAATGGATCTTCTTTACTCAGTCCACAGATTCAAATGCTAATCTCTTCTAGCAACGCCCTCACAGGCATACCCAGAAATAATGTTTTATCAGCTATCTGGGCATCATTTTACCCAGTCAAGTTGACACCTTAAATTAACCATCACAGTTGCTGTCTTTCATGAAAGGAGAACCATCACATCCATGTTCAACAACTAACTAGAAAAAGTTATCAGGCCTTTGCCTGAACCTACAAGAAAGTTGAGAACAAAGAGCTACAGTTGTTGCTTAGAAAATTTTTTAGATCATCTAAGAAGACAAAACCATTTTATTGTTCTCAAATAAAAAGATCTGTTTGCCTCAGACTATCATTTAAACAGAGTTTTTGGCTCAGTGGTGTACAGTCATTTGGTTTACCTTTCAGTAATATCCTGATGTCAAAAGGTAAGGAACAGGCTAACATTTTCAAACAGCGCATGGAAGGTTTGAGTCATATTGTTCCCTTTGTCAGAATCTGGAAGATCTTGACTTTCCTGCAGTTTCCTTTAGCCTTTTTGTAGTGTGGAGGATCTGATTCTTGGTGAGCTTCTGATTATTAAGTTGTTTGGTGTTTTTTTACACCACTGTGACCCACAGTCTCTGTGCAGGCCATATGGCTGATAAGAAACAGTATGTCCCTTGTTGCATAATTTCCTATCCGAAGTCATGCCAGGAAGACAAGATATGAAAGTTAAACAGACTGGAACTCTTCTACCCTGCTGATAAGAATGTAAATAGGTACAACCAGCTTGGGAAAATGTTTGCCTGGCAGTGCCTACTAAAGCCAAACACGTGTATGCCTGTGATATAGTCTTTCTTCTCTTGGGAATATCTCAAACAAAAATCAGTGGTTTCAAACACTAAAAGACTTGTATAAGATTGTCACTAGCAGCTTTATTGTAGAAAGTCATTACTGGACACAACCAAAGTGTTCATCATCCATAGACTATGACATGGCAATAAAGAAAAAACTACTGATACTCTCAACATCATGGATAAATATCACAGATATAATGTGCTTCCCTATCATGTCAGTAGCCTGCTCAAGGAGCTACAGGAGCCTCAGGTTGTCTTTCCTATGAGATATAAATGTGCCTTCACTGTCCCAGTCCCAAGGAATCAAATTCTTCTCTTGATTCACCCCATGAAGACCCCTCCCTTGCAGCCAGGGAAGTATCTCCTATGTTAGTCTTATTCACTTTCATTATTTGGAGTCAAGTAACCCTAAATTCTACTATCACCTCTAATATTCTTTGCATAACCCTAGTCTTAGTTTCCTCCTCCCAAATAAAGCAAAAAATTCCTACCACATTGTAAATTAATAAAGGAGATTTAATTTTTGAAGACAGTGGTAAAGCACTAGCACAGTGTCAGGCACGTATGACTGCTCAACAATAATTAGTTTTCTCACCTACCTGGCTTTTCCATTCGCATTTCTTCTCAGCCATCTTCCAGCCTGGAATTAGCACTTCCCACCAACAACTCCATAAACTCCCCTCTAAGAAACATGCCCTGACAAAACCAACTCTGTCTCCACTTTGATTTCCACATAATCTGCATTATCTATAGTCTAAACTAACTACAAATATGCATGCTTTATCTGTAAATACTTCCTTTATCACATCCCTCATTCAGGCCCCATCCTGGAACCCAGAAATGTACACACAATGAATTCTCAATCACATGTGGGCAATTTTAATTGTTAGGTATGGGAAGAACTGGTGAAAATGCTGCATGATGGTAACAACTACCTGTTAGGCTGACTTAAAAAGAAGGATTTAGACATGTTAATAAACGATCTACACTTCGGTAACTATTAGTCATGCTTGCCCAAGCAACTCAAGAGTAAGGAAAATATCCATTTTACTAAATTACAAGACTAAAGAACTATTAGGATAATTATCCCATAACAAATGCCAGAAATAAGTGGTTATATTGACTTAATTTTATAGACACTTTCCAAAGTATATATTCTAGCCTTACCAAAAAAAGGGCAGTACCATTGCTCAGATTTTACTAATCCATGAGCCCCTGGGAAGAAAGCCCTAGGTTTATCCTATAATGGCAGCTGGCCACTTTTTCTGTGGACATAAAAGAAATTCAATTTCTCCGGACACTTTTTTCCTCTGCTACCAATGAGCTCCAGGGACTGGTAAACTCCTAAAGGAAAACTATTAAAAAAAAAAAAAAAAAAAACCATAATCCAGAAAAAACAAAATCTAGCTAGTTAAACTATCACCAATAAGAAACATAAACAGGAACCATTTTCAGTTGCTTGGAATCAAAAGCTCAATTTTTAAAAAGCTTCAAAACAAGAGTTTACTGTTTCCCGGACATCTGCAGTTGAAAAAACACAAAAACAGTTCTGGAAAGTGCTATGGTTTACTTCATACTGAGTGATTCCCAGGTGCAGAGGGGACTACTGGGGCAGAATAAAAAATGAAATGAGCATGAAGCAAAAGTTTTTCAGAGCCACATTCATATGCACCTTTCTCCAACCTGGTTGGTGACTCTTCAGGTATAAATGTGGCATGGGGTGGATTGTTCGAGAACAGCCTTATCCTTGGGAGAGTTTAATGTACATTTCCCTCTGCCAGGCTCCACACAGACTTCTAACTTGGGGATCCTTGGAAGAAGGGCCTGGCTTAATATAATTTGTCATTGTCCCCATGTCTGGAACAGCAGGCAGATTCAAAACCTTTAAGATGGGGAGTGCCACAGCTTTAGAAGCAGAACTGCCAACCAGCTGTGTATGTGCCTCAGACTGTGGAACAAGCAATAAAAAGAAAAAAGGAAGAAGAAAATTGCCAACTTCTTGCAACATGGAGCCAGAACTCTCAGAGCCAAGCTGGTCATTTTTCCACCCAGCCAGCCCCAAGGTTGGCATCTGACATCAGTGTGGAGAATGACATCAGAGAGTCTCCAGTCACCTGCCTGCCTGACAGGCTTGCTCAAGAAATGCCATGAGAGCCAGCAAAGATGCAAGGAGGAGAGGAGGTGAGAGGAGGTGAAAGGAGGACTGATGTCGGTCAAAGTTCCCTTGCTTTTTGTTAAACAGACTACTGTTTTGACCAACAATGTAGAGCTAGTTTTGCAGAACAAGATGAAAGAACAAAGCATTTTTATTTTGGAGTTCAGAAGGAAAAAATAAGACTAGCAAATTTAGATTTAGTTTCCTGATTTGCAAGCAAGGAAAACTGACCTTGGCTAGTGTTATGGACTGTAAGTTTGTGTCCTCCCCCAGAGTAAGTTCATATGTTGAAGCCGTAACCCCACAGTGTGGACTGTATTTTGAGTAAGGAAGTAATTAAGGTTAAATGAGTTCGTAAGAGTGGGACCCTGATCCAACAGGATTAGTGTTCTTATAAGAAGAGACATCGGGGAGCTTGCTCCCTCATGCATGCTCTGTCCTTTCTCCTCTCTTCCCACATACATGCACAGAGGTTTCTTTTGGCCATGAGAGGCCAAAGTGGCCATCTGCAAGCAGGGAACAGAGCCCTCACAAGAAACCATAACACAAACTTACAGTCTACAGCCCCTGCTGGAACGTCAATCTTGGACTTTCAGCCTCCAGAACTGTGGGGAAATTAATTTCTGTTGTTTCAGCCTTGCAGTCTGTGGCAGCCTGAGCAGACTAATCCAGATGGCTAACTCCAGCCAAGTGAAATGAGGGGCTTGAGGAACTGACCAGAAGCTGCAGAGCCAGCCTGGAAGCAGGCAGAATCCAAGCCAGCTCCAGAGAACCAGGAATCAAGAACTAAGCACTGGTCAGGGCACCACCACTGAACTACAGAAATTCCAACTGTTTCTCTCATTTTTCCATCACTCACTCAAAATTCAAAGTCCCAGGAAGATGTGTCTGATTTCTAAGCTTTGGTGATATGCCACACCCATACCCTACCCCAGGCTATGCCAGGATAGGGAGAGAAAAAATCTTGTCCTTTTCACTTCCATAACAGCTAACTGACATAGGGATTGTCCCAAGACATCACAGTGAGCAAAGCCTTGCCTCAAAAGGAAATCAGGATGTTTCTAGGAAGGACGAATGAATGCTAGGTAGTATAAACATTTCAAATGTCCATTACACTAATGATCATTACAAATTCCATCATTCTCCTGGTATGCATACTGTGTGTACCTAGGATAGATTTCTGTGGCTATAGATTCAGGAACAGTGAATCCCAGAGGGGCACCTGCCCACAGGCAGAACGACAGGGTTGGACTTTCCCTCTGAGATCCAGACCTACACAGCATCTGTCCATGTAGCTAACTTCCTGATGTCAGGACTATCTACATAGTATTTGGCAGTCCTTGATCAAAATATTGATAAAAAGAAATGTCACTGACTACTCTATACTGTCATTCATTCATCAGTTCCATCACATTCTAAATACCTTCTGATTGTCCAATTATGTTTGTTGAACAGCTGTTGTCTATCATGCTTTTTGCAAGGAGTTTTATCCACACCAGCTTATTTATTCTTTAAAATAGCCCATGAAGTCAAAAAGGTCAACACTGAGGAACAGAGAAGGTAACAAAATAGTAGTCTAGTTCCTATCCTCTATGACCTTGGAAAACAACAAAAACTACAAATTACATAAACACAAAATAACCAGAGGGTAAATAAGCGACCTATGAAGAAGTAGGAAATTGGTGTAAACTAATTGTACCAGTACCAATAAAAGTGGAAAATACCTGGTTTAAGGTCTTGAATCTGCCACTTGACCTCAGACAAGTAATGTCTTTTCTGGGACTCAATTTCCTCAACTGTTCAGTAAGGCATGTATTAAATCACCTATATGGGGACTTGCAGCTTAGAGAGGATGTCATTCAATGCCTCCTAATGAGTTGAGTAAACAGAGTGGTGTGGAATTAGTCAGGAAAGGTTTCTTGAAAGGGGAGACATTTTCAACCTCTTCTCTGCCCGCCTAGAGGCCAAGTCCAGTGATTGCAGCTCAGCTCAGGCCTTACCCTACTTGACACATCTGTTGCCTCTGCACTGCTGACTGGTCTACCTTGCTTCACATTTCCTCCTCCTTCATGTCCCTGCAGCTCTCTTCTCCTGGTTCTCTTCTTGCTCCCCGTTCTCTTCTTGCTCCCTGGACTCCCCTCTTCTGGCTCCTCTTCCTCAATGTACCCTTAATGCCAATGATCCTGAGATCTGTCTTTGGCTTTTCTCTTATTCTTCCACATATTCTGACAATTTCATCCATACCTGCAGCTTCAAATACTAATTGCACAGAGCCTTATCTTTCTCTTTAATGGAGATACCTTCCCCAAATTCTGGATTCATTTATCAACCTTTATCAACCACCTACTAGATAACATGTTCTCAAAGGCCTTGACTGCCCAGGTTCAAAACTGAACTCGGAATATCCCCATCCACAACCTTGCTTTTGCCCTGGTTCCATGAATGATGCTGCAATCTACCCAGGCATCTGGAAGTCATCAGACCTCCCTTACATCACTGGTCATTAGGTCCTATCATTCTGCCTTCAACATGTCTCACAAGTCCTACCCCACCTTTTCATCCCCACTGTAACATCTCAGGATAAAGCCTCAGCATCCATCTCTCCTGATCACCCTGCCTTCCCATTCCGAACACACCAGAGTAGTCTTTCTAACATTTAATCATGACCCCCTCCCCACCAGCTCAATATCCTTCATATGTCAAACGCTGATGGGATAAAATTCGAACTCCTTTACAAGGCAAATTAGATCTCTGTACCTGCCCCCACCGGAGCTTGTATTGCCCTGAACTGTGCTGTAGCTGCTTGACTGTGTCTATCTCATCATCATATGCCCACTGCTTAGCACGATGCCTGAACATAGGGGCTCAAGAAACTACTAATAAATGAATTAGCAAATACCTAAAATACCTAAAGTTTCCTCACAAAATTTCTCCCTTTATACAATATTTCATTTTTGATAAAATGATATCAGTAAAGATATATTCAATTTTATTTTATCTTAGAGTTTTAAATCAGCTAGTGAGCATCAAATTCAGTGGTTCCGAATCTTGGGTGCACATTAGAATCAGCCGCAGAGATTTTAAGCTGGCTTCCATCCAGACCAATGGAATCAAAATTCAGCCTTTGTATTCACTGTGGCCATTTGAGTGATTTCATTGGAAAAAGAAAATAGAGATAACATTAAAGAGATTCACATCATGCTTGATGCAGAAGATTTTATACATGGTATCTTATTTACTCTTTAAAAGAACCCATGAAGCAAGATTCTCTATTTATTGGGCACTTGAAACACAGAGAGATTAATTTACTTGAATGGGGTCACCCAAGTCGTATGTGGTGGGTCTAGAATTCTAATCCAAAGCTACTTCCAAAGAACATGTACTTCCTTCTGCCTGATAAGCCTCCATGTAGGCAGTGCAAAACGTGTCAGAGGAGGGAGACAGGGAAAGAAGAACAGCATTTGCAGACACTAGATTTGAATGTGGGAACGACCCACAGTTTCAACACCACACAGTCGCCTTGAGTCCAGTGTGGTAAGAGTGAACCATCCATGGGCATACTGGCTTGAAGTTTTACATAAACGTTACCATTTGGCAAACACCTAAGCAATCATTGTTCCAGGCAAGAACTATAGATGCTAAAATGAGAGAATGAATGGGAAAAGGGAGACTTATATAGTCTCAAAGTATCCACCACGGGATATTCTTTTAAAGAGAAAGTAGTAACTTTATAGTGGAGAAGTCTGGCAGACCCCGCCTTAACTGACTGAGCAAAGTTTCATTTGAGTAATAAGACAAATTGAGATTATGCACCTCCTGACATAACATGCTGAGAAAGCCACAGCATCTCGTCCATGGCCCGCTTGCCAAAGATGCACAACTTTAAGTATGAAGAAACATCAGATAAACCCAAATTAGGAGAAAATCTACCAAATAATTTCAAAAAGGGTAAGAGAGACCACAGAACTGTTCCATATTAAAGAAAACTAAGAAAATATAGCTAAATGCAAATGTGTAGTCCTAAATTAGATACCGCCCAGAAAAAGGTCATTAGTAAGACAGTGTGTGAAATCTGGATAAAGTATGCAGATTAAGTAGTATTATAGTAATGTTAATTTCCTGCTTTTTATTATTATATTGTGGTTATACAATAAATCAATATTTTGGGAATTTGGATGAAGGGTATGTGGAACTTCAAACTATTTTTGCAGCCATGTTGAAAAATTTTAGACTTATAAAATTTAAAAGTTTTTAAAAATTAAAAAGTGAAAATGTGTGACAAAGTTATGAGACTGGATTTCATCCATGAATCTGAAGACAATTCTAAAAGCAGTACCAAATTATTTTGAGTGTTATGCGTGGCACTTGCCTCTCAAGATACTTTTTAATGAGACAGGGTTATTTTGCATGCATAAAATGTCACACTTGTTACATTACCAGTCTCATTTCATTAAAATTCTATACTTAAACCTCTATAGAATGTTTCTCACTATCCACTTCACCAGATGTCATTTGACACGTAAGAATCTGAGTGACTCCCACAGCTCACAAGGCCATAAACAGCAGAGACGGAACTGGAAGCAGGTGTCTGCTCCAGCTTCAGGGCTCCTTCCACACTGAGCTACACTGCCTTGCAGATCTTCTAAAGTTCACCCAAGACCCACAATTCAAGAAGTCAGAGAGACCAAAGAAGCTGAAGTCGAGGGAAAGCATGATAGACTCCATATCTATGAATTACTATACTGCAAGGTTCATAAACATCTCTCTCTCAAGTTAACGTTATAAAGTATATTCATTAAATATTTTACCTTTTGGGTTGGGGGGAAGCTAATCTGTCCTTTCTCCCGAGACCTTTAATAATAGTGATAAGAATAGTTAACATTTGTTGAGCAATTACTATTGCCAGTTATTGTTCCAAGTTCTTTTTTTTTTTTTTTTTTTTTGAGATGGAGTTGCGCTCTGTCGCCCAGGCTGGAGTGCAGTGGCGCGATCTCGGCTCACTGCAAGCTCCACCTCCTGGGTTCACGCCATTCTCCTGCCTCAGTCTCCCGAGCAGCTGGGACTACAGGCACCCATCACCATGCCCAGCTAATTTTTTGCAATTTTTTTTTTTTTTTTTTTTTTTTAGTAGAGACAGGGTTTCACCATAGCCAGGATGGTCTCGATCTCCTGACCTCGTGATCCACCCGCCTCAGCCTCCCAAAGTGCTGGGATTACAGGCGTGATTTAATCCCAGAAACAACCCTGTGTTGTAGATGTATTATTCTAGTTTTATAGATGAGGAAACTAAGTTACTGAGAGTTTGAGCAAGTTGCCTACAATCATATAGCTGAGGGATGAAAAAATTGGTCCAGGATCTTTTTTAGCATTTCCAGGATGCTTTTGCGTCTCCTACAGGCACTCTCAAAAGTTCTCTATTTGCACACATCTAGTCCACATCCCTTTCTTAACACTGCCTTCCATCACCACAGGCTCCTTTGAGATCTTTAGGGGAACTTGTTTCAAATAGTAAAATACAGATCATCATTTTGTCAAATACACTAATAGTGCTCATTCTGCCTAAAAGACCACACCTGAGAAAATGAGAGGCAAGGACAAGATAAAAGGAAGAGGGTCTGGTCCCTACCCTTAAGGTGTTTAAAATCTCCGCAAAGAACACCTTTAAAAATTAACTTGAAATTTTTCACTATCCTAAGAAAAGGCAGTGACTCTCCTCTCTGTTCATAGGGATTTGATGGGATATACATTTTATCCTATATCAGCCACTGCTGGATACTAATCCTACACTTACCAATGGTCAGGATACATAATGAGAGAGGGATCTGGTCAAAAATAATTGATTTACTTATTCAAAATGGTCCAGATTGTAAGAAACTTCTCAAATGAGATATAGTTAATTTTATAAGTCATCTGACTATGTCTCTTCAACAAGAGTATTTTCTTCTTGTCACACAGAGATATTATTGACTACACAGTGGTAACAATGGGAGTGAAGAGATTCATGGGGAGCCTACCCCTCTGATCAACAGCAGCAAGCTCTTTCTGGGGTTGGCAAACCTGCCAACAGCCTCTGAGGAAATCAGACCCTCACTCTTGACCTTGTCAGTTCTCGACTCTTCAATTCAGAGGCTGATTGGCCAATCTAGGACCTTTTGGGGCAGGATCATCTTCTGTATTCTGCTACATGTTATTTTCCTGTGCAAACTCATTTCAATCAAGTCTTCAGAGATTCCCCATACTATGGTGAAGCATTTCTTGGGCAGGATGCCTTCTAACAGATGGCAGCACAGAAAGCAGATTTTGAATTCTTTTTTGAAGATACACAAAACTTTCCAGGTATTTGCAGAAAAAAGAGAATCTCAGCATTTCTTATAATCCCACACAGCATTAAATGTTGAGTAAGACAGAATATTTGGGCCATCAGGCTTTGCTACTGCTATCTCTATAGAGTCAGGAAACCTTGAAGTTTAAGGCATAACTCCTTTTGTCTGCTACACACACACATTGTACTTCCCATTTTCTCTTCTGATTTACATTGAAATTCAGATAGAAATTCTGAGACAGTAAACCTCATAAGAATGGGGAAGGGGTGGTAATGCTAGTATAATATTAAGAATCATGAGCCCGTATACCAATTTTATTATTATATAGTATATTTGTAGACATTTCATAAGTTTGAAAAAAGCTTAGCTTATCAATGCTGGAAATCTTTCTTAACTTCGATATAGAGAATAATTTGCTATGATGTGGGGTGGGAAATGAGGCCACTCAGGGGCTTTTAGATGTGACTCGTAAATCAGAATAGCTTTTCTGATTCCTCTGTTATCTTTTGATGGGCCAGGGCTACAAGCATTCACTATGGAGAGTTTTTTGTTGTGGTTTTTTTGTTTTGTTTTCTTTGAGATGGAGTCTCCCTCTGTCACTAGGCTGGAGTGCAGTGGCGCGGTCTCGGCTCACTGCAACCTCCACCTTCTGAGTTCAAGCGATTCTCCTGCCTCAGCCTCCCAAGTAGCTGGGACTAGAGGTGCGCGCCGTTACACCCTGCGAATTTTTGTATTTTTAGTAGAGATGGGGTTTCACAATGTTGGCCAGGATGGTCTCGATCTCTTGACCTCATGATCTGCCCACCTTGGCCTCCCAAAGTGCTGGAATTATAGGCATGAGCCACCATGCCCAGCCTTCACTATGGAGAGTTTGTAAGTCAAAATCTCTACTGAACTCCTCTTCCTGCCACAGCCAAATCTCCTCCAGACACAGCAGACCCACAGAAAATGTCCCTAAGAGGTGAATGGTACCAAAAGCAAAGGCTAATGTTGATGGTTCAGTCTACCTACAACATAACAAAGACGTGCACACACGCGCGTGCGTGCACACACACACACACATTCCTCCTCTGGAAGATGGAGTCAGATTGAAATATGCTTCCAGCGGGCTATTTAACCACACCATGTTTAGAATCTTTTCAACCTGTCTAAAGTCCAGAGAAGAAGTTATTACTGAAAAAAATCAATATCTAAATACTTTCATATTTTTAAAATCAACTAAATTTTAAGTACCTTTTAGTCTCTCTTCTTCCTATGAATGGTGTCTTTCTGCCTGCCTTGGACACCCTTTCACATTCAAGAATCAGCTCACATAGGAACAGAAAACCAAATACCACATTCTCTCACTTATATAAGTGGGAGCTAAATGATGAGAACACATGGATGCATAGAAGGGATCACCACACACTGGGGTCTACTGGATGGCAGAGCGTGGGAGGAGGGAGAGGATCAGGAAAATTAGGCTTAAAACCTGGGTGATGAAATAATCTATACAACAAACTCCATGACACATGTTTACCTATGTAACAAACCTGCACATCCTGCACTTGTACCCCTGAACTTAAAAGTTAAAGAGATTATACAACAGGAAAACATGTTACAAAAAAAATTTTTGAAAAAGTTATATTTTCTATAAAATGGACTTCTTCCTCTCTCTCAAAAAAAAAGAATCTGCTCACAAACGATACCTGCTGATCAAGCCATGAATCTGAAAGTCAGATGAATGTCTTCCCTCCTTTATTTCCCAAGTTCTTACCATTTTTTCAGGGGAGGGGGGCCTTCCCTTCTTCCCATCATCTCACCCAGACCTACTGTTCATGCTCTAATCCTCTGGTCTTTTCCCTTCTTGGCAGAGTCATTCTAATTTTCATAATTTATGTAGAAACTGGTAGACGGTAGATCACAAAAGAACCCTAGATCCCTGTGAATCATGGTAACCAGTCATTATTATAATCTTGTCACAGACATAAACAGAAAACCTTCCAGCTAGTATCTGTTTCTTTTCACATAATCTTCCACAGATCCTTACAGCTTCTCAGAGTTAATTCGGAGATTCTACAGAATACTATCTGCACAGAAATAAAGAAGAAACTAAGACACCACTCTATATCATACCTCATTTTTATCTGGGCTTTTATTAGAGTTCCTCCTAAATTTCATCTGGTTTAAAAAAAATAACAACACTGGTTTAAGAAAAGGTCTGAAAACAACTTATACTCCAGCTTTCCAATTTTACACATGAAGAAACTGAGGCCCAGAGAAGACAAAGGAACAGGATGAAAAGCCAGGAAGTTCTTGAGTATCTACACAGCAAGACCTTGGTACAAGCAAATGTTTATAAAGATTATAACTAGCCTTGGATTGGAGCTGATGTCAAAGATTCATAGACTTTTACAATCTTGGGTTGGTGGGTATATAAAGACCTCTGGGGTCCCTCTGAATACACCCTCTCCATGGCAGCCCCCATGAAGCAGCCTAATACTGAGCTGACTGCTTTGGGAAATCTTAGTATACTCCCCAGAGCTCTAGCTTCCTATATAAGGTTGTCCAACAAATCCTCCTCTGTAGTAGGGAACAGCTAAAAATAGCCCAGATGTATATCCATGGACAATGGAATATTTTACAGCAATAAAAAAGAATAAGAAAACACTGTAGTACTAAAATAGAATTATCTCCAAGATATAATCATATTACAACCATAAAGCTAAGATGATGCGTAATTTGTAGAATGCATAAAATACTTCTAGAAAGCTGTGGGGAGGGGAAATTGGTGCCTGGTAGAAAGGGGTGGAAGACTTATAAACTTCTTTGCATCTTCTGATTTGAATCACATGAATGTATTCCCTGACGGAAAAATAACTTTGTTTTAAATTAAAATGCCCCAATTTCAAAACCTGCGTTGGGTTTTTGTTTCTGTATCTGTGACTCTTAAAATCTAAGATTTGTTTTCTATTTTCCATGGGTACCTCAATTTCCCTTCCTTGACAAAAAGAACTGTTTGTCCCTTCTTCATTTGATTTTATAATAAACTTGCTGCTGGCTTTAAGTTCAATTGCCCGACATGCAATAAAGCATCCAAGTATCCAATAAAGTCAGCATAAAAGATAGCTTCTTCCTGACATTTAAAAACACTCAGCTTTCATGCCTCTGGCTCCCCCGCACCCCCAATATAAGGCTGCCAGATCCTTCTTTTGGTGCCCTGTCCAAATACATCATAGTCACACAACGGTCATGTCTGAGACATTTTTCCAGGGACGTTAGGGTCCAGTACTTCACAAACACCTAGTTAGAACTGATCCCCTATCCTTCAAGCTAAAACTTCCTTCTTTAGCTAATCACATCTCAAGAACAACCGAGATCTTACATTTATGAGTAATCAATTTCTCAGCAAGTATTACTGTAGCTAAAATAGGTGTATTATATTCCATACTTCATGTTCCAATAACTTTTCATGAATGGGAGGTGCAGGAGGCCTGGGAATCTCACCCTGCAGTGCCCCCTACTGGTCATTTTGAGAAGCGGCTAAAAGGGAATGAGGGGAAGGGCACTGGCTTTCTAGACGGTGCTGTGGGAATAATCTACATGGGAGGGTTTTGTTTTATTTCCATACACCTTTCAAATTGGGTATCATTTTGGTCCATATGCCATCCTGGTTACAAGCTTACAGAGAATGTCTGTGACTCACGTTGGTGACGACCCAGTGTCAACAGAAGGGAAAGGCACTTCCACCTCCAGGGAAAGTAGAAGAGGACCCTCTAAGGAGGGACGCAGAGCGCCTTGAATCTCCACAGGCACTGCCCCGCCTCACTCCTGGCCCTAGACGGGGTGGCCACAACTGGACATAGTGTGAGTTTCATCTGCCAGAAACTATGCTGAATTTCTGTTGGATTTTTTTCCCTCTCATGAATTTTCCGTCTCTTTCAACACGCAGATAATTCTGGGAGAGTTAACTGCCTTGGTTTTGCATTTGTTTTAATGAGATTTCCTTGAAGAAGATTAGTTTTGTCTGACAACTAGTGAAAAACAACTTAGTTTGGAGTTAGATGGGACTAAAAGAGTTAAGACTTTTATTAAGGAGTTTGGGACATGGACAAGGGAAGCCCAAAGGCCTCCAGGTATCCAGGGGAAGCAGAAGGATCCTGAAGGAAGTGCCTGCAGTCCTGGCCATGAGAACACTTAACCTTATCTTGGTGAGGCAGGATGTTCAAATGGGACTCTTCCCATCTTAACATTTTGGCCATGCCCCAAAGCTGAGACAACAGATGTCAAGGCCTTCTCTTCAGGATTTGGAAGGGAGTGACCGAAAACATTGTTCTTCCAGTGGGAGCCCACCATGCACCTCCTGACAATATTAAAGAAATATAGAATTCATCAGGAAGACAGAAGTTAGGAGGTAGTTGGGATTTTCTCTGAAGAGAGTTATGGGTGTCCAAGAGTCCCCAAGGACAAGGAGAAGGTGGTGCTTCCCCCTCCTAATGCCAAGAGGGCTCTTCAAGAGGGCAACTTGGAGAGTTTTCTGTTTGTTCCCTGGAGATTGTGGACTAAAACCTGACTCGTCCCTCTAGTGTTGAAGATGAAAAGCTGGCTGGAATGGCTACCCGGTAGCAAAGAGGCAGAATGAAGGGAACAGCCAGGCTTTCCAGCGTTGAGTGGGAAACAGACATCCACAGAGTTCTCACTAGGCAACTGGAAACCCCATGGAAGAGAACCAGACTCTGGTTATCTTAAATGGATCCCCTGGAGGGATAAGGTGACCCCAACAGAGAGACAGACTGCCAGGAGCCAGGGGCTGAGGGGAGAGCCACAGATGTCCAACTGCAGGAGTAACTGCCCACATTAAGCGAATTGCATGTAGAAAAATGCTAAGACCAGAGTCCCTGAAAACTCACTGCAAACTCCCTCTGCCCACCAAGAGTAAGCACTAACACTGCATCATCCAAGCCGCCTCAGTGGCAGGTTACTACTGTCCTGCCAAACAGGACTTTCCCAGCCCCTTCACCTTCCCTTTCACCTCCACCTCCATCCAGGGCAGCAGAGTGAGTGGTGCAGAAGTAGAACAAGTTAGGGAAAGAGGCCCCAGCCATGCCTTTCCCCAGTTCCACATAGGCTTCAGCCCAGAGAGCCTGCGCTGAGGAAAAGGAAAAGCTTGGCTTCACCCGAACTTTGCAACCACGGTGATTATTCATTTATTTATCATTAAAAGAGAAAGAGAAACCTAGGCTCAGATCCCAGAATACCACTGCAGTTTGGTAATGATGCTGGAATACATTTTGTGTATGCCTATAGGTGGATCAAAAAACAAAAGACAAACTCCTGAGACCCCATGAGACATCCAATTTAATCTTCTAGGAAATAGGACTTTGGAAGCATAACGACTAATATTTAAATGGCACTCTACAAACCACATTCGCATACATTAGTAGTACATTTAATTCCCATAATAATCCCCATTTCAAAGATGAGAGAAATCAAGGTTCAGAGAACTAACTTGCCCCAGGATCAAGCACACTAGTGAGGGAATTTGAACCTAACCTATCTGACTTCAGGCTACTGACTCTGAAAACCATTTGTAAAACTCAGTCTGTAGTTTTGTGGGAAATTTCTGAAAATTTCAATGGATAAAAAGTGTTAATGCCCCCCACCATGCCCCACAAAAATTCATGTATTGAAATCCTCAACCCCAAGGTGATGGTATTAGGAGGTGGATCTTTGAAAGGTGATGGTATTAGGAGGTGGATCTTTGAAAGGTGATTAGGTCCCTTATAATGGGATTATTGCCTTTATAAAAGAGTCCTAAGTGAGATCTCTTGTCCCTCCTGCCATGTGGAGTTACAGCAAGACCATCCATCCATGAACCAGGAAATGGGCCTCCACCAGACACCAAATCTGCCACTGCATTGATCTTGGACTTCTCAGTTTCCTGAGAAATAAGAAATTTCTGTCGTTTCTAAGCCACCCAGTCTATAGTAGTTTGTTACAGCAGCCTGAATAAACTAAGACACAAAGAATCTCATGTTTTATTTCCTAGCTACTAATCCATAAATGTAACCTACTGGTTAACTATTAGATGCCTAACCCACCAGCCAATAAATACCCCTTTAAAACTAGCCTAAAAATATTGATTTTCTTGTGCTTTCTTGAATACCCTAAAACACATTTTTCCTTGAGAAGCGGTCAGCTTCAACTATCTAAAGAGAACTAGAAGATCCCTTTTACCTGGTCAAGCTCTTGACCTCTAATCCTGCCCATCCAGTCTCTCGATAATTTCACTGCACAGGCATATGTGACATCCTGTGTGCCGCCTTTGTCCATAACCCACAACCCACAGTAGGCTGCGGTGGTTCCTCAAAGCTGAGACAGGGTACTTTCATTCTAACAAATCCCAGCACGTGCTCCCCTAACATGTCTGTTTTACTAATTTTACATTATATACAATTTTTCATTTTAACCTAAAACAAAGCTTTCAGTTTTTCTCAAATAGCATGGCAGGTTTCATTAAATCAGATTATTGCCCAGTTCCCCCTTCTCTTTCATCAAAAGAAGGGAAGATAGAAGCAGAAGAAAAGTAGAAACAGTCCAAGGCAGTAATATAGCAAAGTGAAAAAATGTAAAGGAAGTTTAACTCTCATCCCTCCTCCTAGAGATCCAAGGTCTCAGAGACAGAACAGCAGCTTTTCTTTTTGCACCTCACACATTGAGAGAGACTAGACTTCACTTCCTGGCAGCCCTTTCCATTCCCATTTCACAGCAACGGCTGTAGACACAGCATTTCTATCTTAGTTACACCAACCTTTTGAGTTCTGAGCAGAGCACTAAAGACTCACGATGTGTTTAAGGCCAAGGTCGCTTGGGGACCAAGATAGAGAACCCAGAAACATGTTTGGAACTTCAAAAATGCTGGGGAGGTTGGGAGGCCTAGGAAGTGGGGGTGCAGGATTCACTGCAGTTGCCTCCATCCCCACCCTTCCACCACTAGCCTTAGATAAGCAGACAAGGGTTCCAGTCCTGGCTTTGCCTGGGACCTTGGAATAGCTCTGGCCCGAGATAAGCCTGAGAAGGGCTAGAGTTTGGAATGGTGGGTTTGTCTGCTTCATAGGAGTCCTTAAACCTGGGCCCAGGCATTTTCCTCCTGTCGGCCCCCAAGAGCAAACCCCAAACGAGCTGACTTCCTAGTGCATTGTAAGCACACCTGAGAGAAATCACAAGCATACTCTGAGAACAACCTCATATGGCAGACGCACCCGAATGTGTTCCGAGATAGGGAATCCGTAAGTCACCAACCCGGAGATTCATTCCTTGTCTGTTAGGAACATCTGAGCCCTCAGGCCGTCCCGTGGAACATTGGCCCTATGGGGGATGGAGGCCCTGAGTTTGGGGGTGGGGAGTGCGGTACATGAAAGCTACCAGGTGGAGATCATTAAGGAGAGGGTGTTAAATGAAAATGCTGTATAAACTGAATGCTGTTTGCAAGCAATTGTGGTTTTCCTGCCCAGCCTGCTGCCACTGGACCATACGTACAGTGGTTATATTGTCCAGCCCACCACCACTGGATTGTTTCTATAGGTAAGGTGTCCAGCTCGCCACCACTGGACCCTCTCCCCTGTAAGTAAGTCCCAGTAAAACCCCCAAGTCACATTTGCTAGCTCTAGGTCTCTTCTTTGGCCTCTTGAACTTGGTGCCTTCTCTATTGAGGTTAATAGGGGTTCAGCACAACACCTAGGCTTCCAGCACACCTCCCCATCACACCCCCCACCTCTTCTCCCCCATCAGATCCTGATTCTTTCCCTCAGCCTCAGAGTTCTGAACCCTGGCCCTATCCTCTAGCTATCAGCCCCAACTCTTGCCCACTGATATTTGAAGGTCTTCTTACCTCTCCTGCAGTTGCCGTTGTTCTCCCATAGATCCCTCTGTGGTCCCTCCATCGGCAAGTTCTTCCACGGCCTCAGAGAAAGACATCACCCTTCAGACTTTGGTTCTTTAGAATTTCATCCTGGTAGCCCCGCCTGTCCTCACCTAGGCTGCACTGATAAAGGTGCTGAGTCAAGCCCCCACGGCCCACCAAGGCAAGTTCTCAGGGCACCCCATCTTCCCAGTTGATCCCAAACCATTCCCTCTCACTCTTGTCTTGCTTACTATAAATCTTGCTTCTGTCTTCAGGCCCTCCAGATTAAAGACTTACCCATGCTCTCGTAGCACGGGAACCTCAGCTTTTCCCCATAGTTGGTGTCAACTCCCTGATCAAACTCAAACACCCCCATAACATGCTTCTATTGTTATCCCCATTTTACAGACACGAAAGTCTGCCAAAGAGAGCTTAGGCTGCTTGCCTAAGGAGTCTGAGTACAGACTCAAAATCTTCCTACACCAGTGGTTCCCAAATTTCAGTGGACATCAGAATCACCTGGAGGGAATCAGATGGCTGGGATTCAATCCCAGAGTTTGAGTCAGTAGGTATAAGATCTGATTATTTGCATTTCTAACAAGTTCCCAGGTGATGCCAATGTTATTGGTCTAGGGACCACACTTTGAGAACCACTCACCTACACTCTTGCTTCTGTACTTTTCACTACACTTTAAATAGGCCAATGAAGTCATAATCATTAGAGGTGAGCCCTAGACACCAGTGTTTTTTAAAAGCTCTCCAGATAATTCAAATGTGCAGGCTGATTTGAGAACTACTAGATATAGTCTTGCCAATCAAAGCATACTGGCAGCATCAACACCACCTGAGTCCACTCAGACCCTATTACCGGATGGAAGGTCTTGACTGAGTTGTCCAGGTTCTTGGCATGTTGAACAAAGAACGGAATAAAATGCACAAACAAAGCAACAAAAGAATGAAACAATGAAAGACAAACAACAACAAAAAGTAACGAACGCACAGATTTATTGAAGCGAAGCTACAATTCACAGAGTGGGAGCAGACTCCAGCAAGTGAAGCAGCACAAGAGCACCCCCCCCCACCAACAACAATTAGGCTTTTTATTAAGTTACAAAAGTTTAATAACTCCCCTAGATGCACTTTAGAGGCCTCCAATTGGTTACACCCTATGAAGGATTGGCCTGTGACCAATTAGAGGCTGAAGTGGAAACTTCTGTCTTGTTATCAGAGGAGCAAGGATGTGGCCTGTTTGCTGCCTAATCTTGCCTAGAACTCGCTGCACCTGCTGTTCTTTCCGTATACCTTAACCCTTGGTTACCCTAATTCCCTGTTCTCCTGCCTCACCCCCAGGTGATTGATATCTCATTAAAATTTAAGGAACGCTGATAAACACTCTACTGCCTCACAGTTCCTCCCCAGCTGTTCAGCCCTTTAACAGAGATCCCAGGCAATCGCTGTATCAGGTGGGGTTCTACCAGAGAAACAGAACCAGTAGGAGATCTTAGTAAGAGATGTGTTCCAAGGAATTAGCTTACAAGATTGTGGGACTGGCTAAGCAAGTCTTAAATCCAAAGGGCAGGCCATCACCCAGGACAGGTTGCAGCTCTCAGGCAAAGGCTGAAGGTGCTGTCCCCAGGCAGAATTCCTTCCACTCTCAGGGATACCTCAGCCTGCTTTTAAGCCCCTTCAATTGATTGAATCAACTCGGATTATTCAGGATAATTATCCCTTACTTAAAGTCAACTGCTATGGACTTTAGTCACATTTACAAAATACCCTCATAGTTTGAATGAATAACTAAGAACTGTAGCTTAGCCTCGCTGACACACAAAACTGACCATCACAACCACTGAGGTTGCTTGATGTAGTAATAGAGCCCATGGTTGGGTACCTTCTCTTTTATGAACAACCAAAGTAAATAGATCAGGCAGGGGCTGGTGGCTCACGCATGTAATCCCAGCACTTTGAGAGGCCAAGGTGGGTGGATCACTTGAGGTCAGGAGTTTCAGACCACTCCAGGCAACATGGTGAAACTCCGTCTCTACTAAAAATACAAAACTTAGCTGGGCATGGTGGCGCCTGCCTGTAGTCCCAGCTACTCGGGAGGCTGAGCCAGGAGAATCGCTTGAACCCAGGAGGCGGAGGCTGCAGTGAGTCAAGATCGTGCCACTGCACTCCAGCCTGGGTGACAGAGTGAGACCCTGTCTCAAAAAAAAAAAAAAAATAGATCAATATGTCTTTACCTAAGCATTGATTAATATATTGAGTCAGCTAGTGGCAAGTGATTACTTCCACTTCCTTCAGGTTTCATCACTGACTAGGTGCTCATAGATGACCATAATAAGTAAGCAACAAGAACCTCCTCTTTTTCTAAAAGATCCATCGGCTGATTTAAAACATAAGAAACACTGGTCATATAAGCAATAGAGTGTACTCATCTTTTGTGGATCTGAAGACTATACAAGACTATAGAGCCTATACAGTCTTCAAGCCTGTGCAAATTACAAAAGCTTATTCCCACTTTGAGCTGGACTCTAAATAATGCACCCTAATATTGTACGACATTTTCTAGCAGCCATGTCACATTCTTGGAGTGTTTTGAGCTTGAAAGCTACTGAATAATTCTCCCTGTTAATTCCTAAAAGACTGAATTTCTGCCGGTCTGTTAATTATTTGTTATCTGTTTATTATTTAAACCAAAGTTGGGGCTTCACAGTTCTTCCTTTATTCATTTACACAACAAATATGCTAAGCACACAACACACAGACAAGAAACTCCCAGCCAAGTGGGAGAGCAAAACCATGTGAGATGTCATGTCATAGAGATAAGCACAAAGTAAAAGTCCATTTTGCTAATTTGGGATCATTCTTATAACTTTTAAATTTTTTTCCTTCTGTTTTTAAGTGCATATCTATCTAACCCAGCTTCATCTTAACCACAAATTCAATAGGCACTTTTTTTTTGTCCAAATTGTTGCATATATATATATATATATATATATTTTTTTTTTTTTTTTTTTTTTTTTTTGAGATGATGTCTCACTCTGTCACCCAGGCTGGAGTGCATTGGCATGATCTCAGCTCACTGCAACCTCCACCTCCCGAGTTCAAGCGATTCACCTGCCTCAGCCTCCTAAGTAGCTGGGACTACAGGCGCACACCACTACGCCCGGCTAATTTTTTGTATTTTAGTAGAGACAGGGTTTCACCGTGTTCCCCAGGCTGGTCGCAAACTCCTGAGCTCAAGCAATCCGCCTGCCTCAGCCTCCCAAAGTACTGGGATTACAGGTGTGAGCCACTGCGCTCAGCTGCTTATATTTTAATAGCATTGGTTGGTACCTCAGAATTGATCCTCTTTGGGTTTGACTGTTTAATTACTGTAGTGGTCTGAATGGTGGCCCCCAAAATGTCAGGTCCATGTCCTCACCCCGGGACCTGTGAATGTGACCCTATTTGGAATAGGGCCTTTGCAGACATAATTAATTGAAGGATCTCAAGATAAGATCATTCTGGATTACCTGTAGGGGTCCTAAATCCAATGACAAGTATCCCAAGAGACACCTAGAGGCAGAGATTGGAACTACACAGCCACAAGCCAAAGAATGGCTGGAGCCACCAGAGCTGAAAGAGGCAAGGCAAGATTCTGCCCTAGAGCCTTCCAAGGGAGCTCAGTCCTGCCGACACCTTGTGATATGGTTTGGCTGTGTCCCCACCCCAATCTCATCTTGAATTGTAGCTCCCATAATTCCTATGCGTTGTGGGAGGGATCTGGTGGGAGATAATTGAATCATGAGGGTGGTTTCCCCCATACTGTTCTCATGATAGTGAATAAGTTCAAGAGATCTGATGGTTTTATAAGGGAAAACCCCTTTCACTTGGCTCTCATTCCCTCTTGTCTGCCACCATGTAAGACATGCCTTTCACCTTCCTCCTTCTGCCATGGTTGTGAGGCCTCCTCAGCCACGTGGAACTATGAGTCCATTAAACCTTTTTCTTTATAAATTACCCAGTCTCAGGGATATCTTTATCAGCAATGTGAAAACGGACTAATACATCTTGATTTCAGACTTCTGGCCTCCAGAATTGTGAGAGAATAAATTCCTGTTGTTATAAGCCACCAAGTTTATGGTCATTCATGACAGAAACCACAGGAAGCTACTACTACATGTTTAACCACTGCCTGTTGTGTGCCTCCTTGGTGGACATATTAGTAGGAGTCAGATGTTGTGTGAAGGGGGCAGCCAAAGGCACATACAGGCCCCAATGACACAAGCTAAAAGGCGTGAAGACAGAAATACAAGTGACTACACTCAGGGTCCTTCATAAGAAGCCTGGACTAGCCTGAAGGAAGGAATGCTGGGCTAATGGTGAGCAGTCAGCTTCAAGAGGAGAGCAGGAGATGGCAGGAGTTTGGACTTGATTTGATCCAAGGGGCAGCCTTAGGCTTTTGATTAAAGCCAGGTATTTTAATGGTTAAATTGGAAATAATATGCAGTATGGATGAGGATGTGGGCAGGGAGGGTAGTTTCTGAAAGAACGCTGTCTCAAGATTCCAAGCATTAGATTAAGACTGTGTCAAAGGAAGAATCCACGAGAATTAACACATTATAGAATTTCAAGGTAACAAATCCAATGTCAAACCTCAGAATACAAAAAAAAAAAGGGAATGGCTCTGTCCAAACTGGAAATACGAGAACAAAAATTTAGTTTGAATGACAGTTTAACCAGTGCCCATTTGAACATCTGATGCCTGCCCCTTGTTGGCACATACACAAGTCACTACTCCCTTACTCCTTCCACCTTTTCCCTGCAAGTTTCCCTTTGCAACTAGCAGTCACTGTCACTGGGCCTCTCAATAACCACAAAGTAACCCTGGTGCAGTCATGAGAATAAGCTCTGACCCATGTGGCCAGCTGCTCGATGTGCAGCAGGTACAATGAAACTCAAACAGATGAGGCTCAATTTGCTCCACCTCTCTCTGCTAATGAGATTTTCATGAGAACTTAAATTTTGGGACAGTGGGGGTGGTGCCTGAATGTCATTGAATTGGTAGATGTTTTAGCCCGATAAAATGAAGAGATGTAAGAAGAAACAGGTTAGCAGGCAGATGGGGAGGGGGGCAGGCATAAGCTGTACCCACAGATATTTGTCAAAGACATTTCTTCTAGGCTAAACAATTTTTAGCTTCAGTTTTGTTAAAAGCACAAAGTAGTCCATTATGGTCAATAATCCATTTAAAAAAGACAATGCAGTGAAAGTTCTAGGATTGAATCTGACTCAAAATCAAGATCAGTAGCTGGGACAGAACTGTACAGGGTTGGGGGACACACACTCACTGAGAATGTTAAGTACTAAGAATCAAGATATAATGGGTTAAATCCTTTCAGAAATGTTTATTGGGCATCTGCTGTGTGCTAATCCCTGTTCTAGATGCGGGGTATAGAGTGGTAAACAAGAGAGACTTATCCTCCACCTCCTTACATGGCTTGCCTAAGGGTGAGCTGAAAATGAAAGCAACATAACTTCGTAATCCAGTCAAAAGGACCCAAATGTTGTTATGTCTGTGAGATAAGCAGGATGTAGTCACACAAAAATATTAATGAAATGCAAAAGATATAAAGGAGACTGTAACCTCAATTACATCTTAGCAGCATGAGGTAATAGTGCTCTCAGAAGTGGATGTTTCCTTTTTAAAAGGAATTCAAGGACCTTTGTGATGATAGAAGAGTTCTGTATCCTGATTGTGATGGTGAACACACAAATCCACACATGATAAAATTGCATAGAACTATTCACACACACCCAAATAAGTGCATGTAAAACTGGTGAAATCTGCAAAAGATCTGTGGATTGCACCAATGTCGATTTCCTGGCTTGATATTGTACTCTAGTTAGGCAAGATGTGACCACTGGCGGAAATGAATTAAGGGTGTACAGCACCTTTCTGAACCATTCTGGCAGCCCGCTGTGAATCTATGGCTATTTCAAAATAAAAAGATTTTTTTAAGGAATTTGAGATTAAGGAATGTTATAATTGTGACTATGATCCACCCAGGACAGAAGGTGTCTGATTCTGCGACCGCTGTCAGAGTTCTAGACACAGCCCTGGAAGGAGACAGGGTAATCCATCCAGCTTCCTCAGCGTCCTAGAAACAAGTCTCCTCCTATGTAGCCCCTTTAACTATCCCAAGGATCCCACACCAGAGGCACACGTAAAAACCTATGGCAAATTCTGGACTCCAGCTCAGGAAATTCCTCCAGATGCCTCCCCAGGGCCAGCTTGAAGTCTCCTCATCACACATGCTTCTCGATTCTCTTGGCTTCTCGCCTTGGCTCCCTCGTGGCTTGTTGCCCAGGGTGGGGCTAGTAATGGTGCCCCAGACTCTTGGCACGGACCTGAGACTTCATGGGGCAAGACTTGGTCCTCACTCCTCAGCTCCAAGTTCTGATGTGCCTCTGAAAAATCAGGCTGAGGCCGTGTGACCTGGAGCCCAGAAAAAGTAATGATGTCCCCTGTTTCCTTACCCCTCCAATCCAATGAATATTTGTTACTGTCTTTGTTCAGGTTGTATTCTCAGCTAGCAACAATTAATCAATGATTTGGACTTTCCAGTAGATTCATTCACTGGGAGACAGTGATCAGAGAAAATAACCAATATTTATTATCATAGTTATTATACCCGTCATTGTAAAGAAATCCATTTCCACTCTGGTTTCAGCATGATTTAAGGCAGTCCCTCAGTACAGTATAGCAGTTATGACTCCAGAGCCAGGCTGCCTAGGTTTAAATCCTGGCTCTGTCCACACTTGCTCTGAAACCTTATATACTGCCACTTACTTGCTATGGGACCTCAGGCAAAAACCTCATTTCTCTGAGGCACTTTGTTTCCTCATCTGTAAAGTGGGATAATTAACAGAGCCTACCTCATAGGGCTGTTGAGAACATTAAATTGAGTAATACATCTAAAGTACTTCAAGTAGTGCCTACCTGCAGTAAGGGTTATATGGTAGTTATTATTACTGCCTGGAAGTTAATAAAATGTTGAAGACTGTAAAACTAAGAGACAGTCCTGTACCTATAAGGACTGAGTTAACCTTAAGCCCTGCCTCACTAGCAGACCCAAACTGAGAAATGGGCCAGCTTCTGAGACTTCTCTTGCCCCCAAGTCCCTATAGAATTGGTATTTGTTCTGCTTGTTGAGTTTTTAAAAAGGGCCACAAACCAATGCTAAGTTTTGCCCTTCAACATTAAAATCATCTGGCAAGTGATTCCGGGCAGAGAAACAACCTGCTGGGAGTCCATACAGACCTGTTGCTGCACTGACTCACCCATGGAATAAGAGTTGCAAAAACAGTCCATGTAAAGGTCTCTGAAAATATCTCAGGTAGCAGTGTTTTGACACAAGTACTGCTTGGGAAAGAAGCACAGTCAGTGAATACTTCGCATGGGACTAGGAGAAGTGAAACTGTTCTAGGCTCTATGATAACAGATCAACCAACTATTCCAGCAAAGTTGACCAAAGAAACTAACAAACTAATCATTTCATTCAATTAACTTGCCAGTTTAGTGAAAGATTCAGTTAACTTTGTGTTCAATTCCATCAAAAGTATTAAACATGTTTTGCTATGATCACAAGCTTTACCTGTAGCTCACTTGACAAAAAATAAAAATGACAGTTCACCCAGGGAAACATACAAGAGTTAGAAACTGGCTATCCATTTCGCAAACTTACCAAAACCAAAAATTAAGTTTGTATGGAAAGAGCTTAGAAAGTCAAGCTATAGTACCTGTCAATATCATTAAAATCTGGTTGCCCTAAAATGTGATTCTGGCTAAGCTGAAAGAAAAAAAAAGGAAAAGACATACCTTAAAAGCTGATCACAACACAATTAATAAATACCAAAGTAATGGCTGTATTTGAACAGGTGATGGGGTAATTAGGCAGGGAAAGTTGCTTGGGGCTGATTCCGACTGATTCCATTAAGTCAACCGGTGAAGTAATACTGCTGTTTCTCTGGAGACACAAGACATCTCTGAAGACCTCTTTTATTTTCCCTACCATGGGTCCCTGGGCCCCTGGAGGAGTTCCAAATGCAAAAATCCTACATCCATACTTTGCACAGATTTCAGAAGTTGGCAAAATAAAACCAGAGATTTTTTTAAAATGACACAATCTCAAGGATCAATAGAACTACTAATAGAAGACCAAGACCTAATAGAATTCTCCTAATTGTCCATTCGTGGAAATGTTATTAGAAGTGGGGTGGGGGGTTGGAGAATGGAGCTGGAACACGAAAGTACCAAATAACAGCCAATATTTGTTGGGTGCTTACGATGAGGCAGGCATGCTTCTAAGCGCTCCTGTGCATTAATTTATCTAATTCTCAGGAGAGTGGTGTTATCAGTTCCATTTCACAGATGAGGAAAACTGAGATGCAAAAAGATTAAGCATCCTCCCCAAGATCCACAGTGAATAAGTGGCAGAGTTGGGATATTTTATCCAGGCAGTATGGCATCAGAGGTTATTTAGTTCAATACTACACTATGAGGCCAAACAGAAGACCCTCCCTTAAACAATGCACCATGGGGCCAGATGAATCCATTGTGACCCCATCAGCTTAGGCGTACCTCCAGCAACAGTGGAGGTACATCTAAGAGCATGGGGCCAGTGTTTGAAAAGATACAGGCACTGGGACCTGTGGAGCAAACCCAATGACATCTCTTTTTTAAATGTATTTTATTGTCTTAAAATGAATTAAGTGTACAATACATTATTGTTGACTATAGGTACAATGTTGTACAACAGATCTGAGAACTCATTTGTCTTGTTAACTAAACTTTTATGCCCAGTGATTAGTAATCCTCATTTCCCTCTTCCCCCAGCCCCTAGTAATTACCGTACTACTCTTTGATTCTTTGAATTTGACTATTTTAGATATCTCATACAAGTGGAATCTTCTGTGACTGGCTCATTATTGTACTTAGCATTATGTACTCAAGGTTCATCTATGTGGTCATATAGTGCAGAATTTCCTTCTTTATTAAGGCTGAGTAGTATCCCACTGTATATATATACATTTTCTTCATCCGTCTCTCAATGGACACTAAGTTTGTTTCCACCTTTTTTGCTGCAATAAACACTGGAGTGCTACTATCTCTTCAAGATTCTCATTTCAACTGTTTTGGATAAACACCCAGAAGTGGGATTGCTGGATCATATGGTAGTTCTAGTTTTTAGTTTTTGAGGAACCTCCACACTTTCTCTTAGCAGCTACACCATTTTGCATTCCCACCTACAGTGTACAAGATTTCCAATTTGTCCACATCCTCACCAACAGATGTAGTCTTTTGTTTTGTTTTTTGATAATAGCTACCCTAACAGGTATGAGATAATATTTCATTGTGGTTTTGGTTTGCACTACCCTGATGATTAGTGACATTGAGCATTTTTAATATACTTGGCCATTTGTGTGTCTCCTTTAGAGATTAGACCATTATCCTCTATCATACACAAAAATCAACTCAATGTGGGTCAGAGACTTAAATTTATGACCTGAAATTATAAAAACTCCTAGAAGAAAACATAAGGAAGAAGTCAATGATTTCATGAATATGGCACCAAAAGCACAGGCAATGAAAACAAAAATAAGTCAATTACATCAAACTAAAAAGCTTCTGAACAGCAAAGGAGACAAGTAAGAGAGTGAAAAGGCAACCTATGGAATGAGAGAGAATACTTGCAAACCATACATCTGATACAGGGTTAAACTCCAGAATACCTCAGAACCCTCTACAACTGAATTTTTTTTTTAAAGTAACCTGATTTGTTCTTTTTGCTTAGAATTGCTTTGGTTATTACACACATACTTGGTTTTATATAAATTCTAGCACTGTTTTTTTCTAATTCTGTGAAAAAAACACATTGGTAATTTGATAATTGCATTGAATTTATAGATTGGTTTGTGTAGTACACTTATTTTAAAAATATTGGTTCTTTTGAAAAAAAAACTGGGCTAAGAACTTGAATAGACATTTCTCCAGTGACATATTTATAAGATTGGGAAGAGGGAAAAAAAGGAAGAAATTAGTGCTGTAACAAAATATTCACCAGGTATCAGTTTTTTTCTTATGAGCCTTTGCACAGCCTCTATAGGCTGGCCACATCCACAGGGGTTCTGTGCCTGGGAGGCATGGAAAACACTCTAAAACAGTGTCCTGGTAGCCATTTAAAAAAGGGTGGACTTAGAAAACAGCAATAATGAAGTGTGATTCCCCATTACTGCAGCCCTGCCAGGCCCTATAAACCATCTGAGAGCTCCTAGCACCTGTGGCACTAAGGCCCCAAAGCAAGTGAGGGGAGAAGGGAGTGGCTACCTTTCCTGTTTCAGAGATGTAGAAAGAGGTGAAGGATGATAAAGCCTGCTAGTGCACAGAAAGGAACACTCTCATCACAAGGAAAAGATATAGCCACCTGAAAAGTAAAAGTAATTATTATTATTATTAGTGAGAAATGAAATAATTAGTCTGGGAGCAGAGACCTGGCTATTAAGTATGTGTCTCACGAAACAGTCAAATATGGGCAAAGATCACAAAAAGAACTAGAATGGAGATAAGTGGAGTTATTTAGAAAATGAAAAAATATATATTTTTAAATCATCAGCTACAGTTAAGAATGGCCAAAATCTGAGCGCTTGTTTACAGAGGAAATTGACTGGAAACCCAGAGAGGTGTCCTCGGTCTACTCAGAGTTCTTGTTGGACCCTTCTAAGGAAGATAGAGGTGTTTGCTGTCCTTCATCCCAGGAAGCTGTCCTGAGTAGGGCAAGGCGGCATCACCCAAGCCATATGGAGCTTTCAAAGGAAAGAAGGAGAGGACAGTGAAGGTAAACCAGCTGTTTCTCACTGGGTTAGAAAAACTTCCAGAAAACCACACAGAGCCTTCTAAATGATGGGACATGCTGAACATGCCAAAGAGAAAGGTCCCATTGGGATGGCATTGGAGGGTATTTTCCCCCTTTACTTGTAATGATTCAAACACTGATGGATGCCATGCAAAATTGAGGAAGCAGTGGGGGGAAGGGGGATCTTGATGGAGCTCATGTATGCAACATATGGAACAAGTTATTGAAGAAAGTGCTTCTAACAGAGTTTATGAAAGTTAAGAAGAGGCAGTTATGCTTCTTTTAGAGACAGCAAAGATTAAGGGCGTGGTGAAAAAAATAGCGAAACAGGATTAAGATAAAGCAAAACAGAGGAGAAATATTGGACCAGATGAACTTTCACCTTCCCTAAAATGATTTATGTACTTATGAAGAGCTAGACTGGACTTGATTTCAGGGGGTGAGAGTTGCTGGTGAACCTGCATGTACCCAGTATTTCTGCAGAAATTCTGGACAAATCTACACTTCTACAGGCAAAGCCAACACTGAACATGCATGGTGATGAGGTTCTCTATTTAAATAGGACAAACACTTACTTGAGCACCTCATTCAGAGTAACAAAGAGAGAAGGAAATAAAAAAGGAAACAGCATCTGAATATAAAGAAATCTAAGTAAAGAAGTGGCTTTTTGTAATGCTCCAGTTTTTTTATCTTTGTTCTAGAAAATAATCATTTCTCTCTGTTTCATTTATGACTTATTGGTGTCAGAACTCAAGAGAGGCTCAAATGTGACAAAAGGCCCTGTGAGGACCCAACAAGATCTAACCAGTCTATTTCACAGTGGCTTAGGCCAGAGAGGATTGGGCAGAACAAAAATGGTTAGCATAGTGGTGAGCTAAATGTCAGTGTGTCTGACTAACTGTCACAGGGGAAAGCAGGAGCCAGAATCACCAGGAGATGAAGCGTAAGACTTGGAAACTTTACTGCATTGCAGGTAGTGGATGGGGAGGTTGAGGGAATGCAGACTAGCCAAGTCCAAGGCCCAAAGAGCCAGCTGAGGGTTGAGCCTGGAAGCTTTGCTAAGGGTTGAGATCCATGGAAGGGTCATGAAATCAAGGTAGCCAATATTTCTCCAGAATTTTAAAAGTAGAATAAGATAGGACAGGATAGGATAAGATATACAATAGATTATACTAGAAGAGTGAATTACACTCTACTAAGGATAAGTATTGTTTAGTGAAACTTTTAATTCAGAGGGGGTATATGTGGGTGTGTGTAGTGTTTCTGTGTACTGGGTCATTATATAATGACTCAAAAAAGTTTGAAACCACTGATAAAAGAGGCTCAAATAAAAATAGAGGAGGAGGAAAGAAAGTGTTATAAAATAGGAAAAACCCTGAGATCACTACACCTCTGGATTTAGATGTGTCTATAACTTTCCTTATTGTATTACCTTCCTTATTGGGTCAGGTTTTCTATTGCTTGATGCTGACTAAATCACAAGGTAGCAAGGCTGAAGTGAAGATTCAATTAGATAATCTGGAGTTGGACATGGTAGCTCACACCTGTAATCCCAGCACCTTGGGAAGCTGAGGCGGGAGGATCATTTGAGGCCAGGAATTGGAGACCAGACTGGGGAAGATGGTGAAATCCTGTCTCCACAAAAAATTTAAAAATTAGCCAGACAAGCCATATGCAGAAAACTGAAACCGGACCCCTTCCTTATATGTTATACAAAAATTAACTCAAGATGGATTAAAGACTTAAATGTAAGACCTAAAACCATAAAAACCCTAGAGGAAAACCTAGGCAATACTATTCAGGACAGAAGCATGGGCAAAGACTTCATGACTAAAACACCAAAAGCAATGGCAACAAAAGCCAAAATTGACAAATGGGATCCAATTAAACTAAAGAGCTTCCACACAGCAAAAGAAAGTATCATCAGAGTGAACAGGCAACCTACAGAATGGGGGAAACTTTTTGCAATCTACCCATCTGACAAAGGGCTAATATCCAGAATCTACAAAGAACTCAAACAAATTTACAAGAAAAAAAAACAAACAACCCCATCAAAAAGTGGACAAAGGATACGAACAGACACTTCTCAAAAGAAGACATTTATGTGGCCAACAAACATATGAAAAAAAGCTCATCATCACTCGTCATTAGAGAAATGCAAATCAAAACCACAATGAGATACCATCTCACACCAGTTAGAATGGCAATCATTAAAAAGTCAGGAAACAACAGATGCTGGAGAGGATGTGGAGAAATAGGAACACTTTTACACTGTTGGTGGGAATATAAATTAGTTCAACCATTTGTGGAAGACAGTGTGGCAATTCCTCAAGGATCTAGAAACAGAAATACCATTTGACCCGGCAATCCCATTACTGTGTATATACCCAAAGGATTATAAATCATTCTACTATAAAGACACAGGCACACGTATGTTTATTGCAGTACTATTCACAATAGCAAAGACTGGAACCAACCCATAATGCCCATCAATGATAGACTGGATAAAGAAAATGTGGCACATATATACCATGGAATACTATGCAGCCATAAAAAAGGATGAGTTCATGTCCTTTGTAGGGACATGGATGAAGCTGGAAACCATCATTCTCAGCAAACACAGAAACAGAAAACCAAACACCGTATGTTCTCACTAATAAGTGGGAGTTGAACAAGCAGAAAACATGGACACAGGGAGGGGAACATCACACACCGGGGCCAGTTGGGGGTGGGGGGCTAGGGGAGGGATAGCATTAGGAGAAATATCTAATGTAGATAACGGGTTGATGCATGCAGTAAACCACCATGGCACGTGTACACCTATGTAACAAACCTGCACATTCTGCACATGTATCCCAGAACTTAAAGTATAATAAATTAAAATAAAATAAAATAAAACATTAGCCAGACATGGTGGTGTGCACCTGTAATCCCAGCTACTCAGGAGGCTGAGGTGGGAGGATCCCTTGGGCCCAGGAGATCGAAGCCGCAGTGAGCTATATTGTGCCACTGAACTCCAGCCTGGGCAAGAGAGTTTTTTATTTTTTTCTCAAAATAAATAAATTAGATTATCTAAAAGTATTTTGTAAACTAGAGACAACTTATACAAATGAGAGCTTTTCTCCAAAATCACAATGTTTCAACTAACCTAGGTAGAAGGGATTTTTTAGGAAAAATCCTCAACTGTTGTAAGCCTCACCTTCTCTTTGTTGGGACATACTTGCCCTCTCTCTTGGCTCTGGAGCAGGGATTGCATTCTGTACAACACCTAGTGCATTATCAACACTTAATAAATGCAGAATAATGTGATAACTAACAAATTGCCACCAGATGTTCTTAAGGCTTTGCAACCTTCAGGTGAAACTGCACAAAATAATAGTTTAATTATTACAACATCCCTGTCAGTAATGATGAGTGTCTGTCTGTTTTAAGGCTGAAACCTCAAGTTAGGCTGCTGCTATAGTGTTTAAGACTAAATGCTCAAATATGGTCCCCAAAGGCAGATCTTGGGAACAGCTAATAATCAGCTTCTCTATACATCACCATGTTGAATTATTTTACTCAAAAACAAAGCTCAACATTCCAAATCAATATGTCAAAAAAAGTTTCTGGCTGAAATGAAGTTTCAAGAAGACGACAAGTACTATCAGCAGAGGCAGACAAGAAACAAAAAGCATTATCTGTAAGAGGTTAATGAGACGGTAGGATGGCAAGGCTGCTTGGAAGAACTCAAAGGAATTGCCTCCTCCAAAGGACATCAGGAAAGGAACTGGATCCTTCCATTCTCAGAAAATGTTTCTCTTCTCCAGTGGGGTCTCAACCCTGGTGTAGATTGGAATCACCTTGAAAGGTTTTTGGTATTTGGGGCTTTCTTTTAGCATCATGTCCCTGAACCCCACTCTAAACAGTTAAATCAGAATTTCTTGGAGAGGAACTTAAACTGTAGATACTGGACCAACATCATGAACACCACCTAGGAACTTGTAAGAAATACAGAATCTCAAGCCCCACTCAAGACCTATTTAATCAGGATTTGCATTGTCACAAATCCCCAGGTGATTCTTGTGCCCATTATAGTTGGAGAAATGCAAGAATCTTATTTTTTCTCACATAACAGTTCCAGGGTAGCAGTTCAGGGTAACAGGGAAGCCCTGCTCCACATGGTCTTTCAGGTACCAAGGTTCCTTCCTTTGTGCTGCTCATCATCCTCCAGGACATTGCTCACATCTGCCTGGTCAAAACTGGATTACTATGGGGTTCCAACCAGTAGCAGTGGAGGAGAGCATGGAGGAGATCCTTTTATTGCCCTGAGGCCCACACCGAGAAATGCCACACAGTATATCTGCTCTGAATGTGGTCACAGGAACACATCTAATGCAAAGTAGGCTGTGAAATGAAGTCTCGTTACAGGCCTAGAAAGAAAGAGAAAACAATTTTGGTAGACAAAGAACAGTCTCCATGCCAGACACACAGTGCCCAATAAATGATGGCTATTATTATTAACCAGGATGTATACTTCACCAGCTTAGAGTACAAATAGTGTTTCACTTATTTTTCTAGTGACTTGCTGAGGCCCAAGGACCTTACCAACAGAAAATCTGGTATTCCTTTCTTGGGGCCTTTCCCAATACTCTATCTCCAGACGATCCAACATTCTAGGGCCTTTCTCACTTCTAAAGGGTCAATTACACTTCCAAATGCCAGGTGGGAGAAATAACTAGAAAGTTCTATGAACCCACCAGCACCATTGCTTTGGTAGTTACCTCATAGGCATACTAAACACTGGTCTCGCTAGCCCAATGGCCAGTCATCCTTGTTTTGGAAATGTCCTTGCTGCTCACAGGTCACAGTCATGTCTTCACTTGTATTTTTAGGTCATTGCACTTGCTCAGTTGTCATTCCTCAGTGAAACTGTGCCCAGCTGGCTTGGTGTGGAGGTTCATCCCTCAGCCAACTACTAGAAGGAACTATCCTTCCCCATGAGATGCTGACCAAGTACCAATGTTGAATTCAGATCACCAAACCGGACATGCCCATGGTGAACTCCAATCTAGCCCCGTTAGTGTTCTTTCCAACAAACTTCAGTCCAGTTCATCTCAATACATCAGTATCTAATGACATTAACCCTCACAAGAGAAGGGCCAAGGACTTTATCCCTTTCCTTCCAGGGACTCCTTGCCCTCTTGGCAAAATTGTCCAATTCCTTACTCAGGACTAGTTTTATACACCAAGGGCTATGGTAAGGGGGCCACCTTTGTCAGAGCACAAACAAAAATCCCCTAATAACATTCCCCCAGGAGTAAGAGGTATCTACTGGCCTGACATTTTTACAACTATGGGGTGCACTCATGTGATTTTTTTTTCCTATTATAATGAAAATCTGCTCCAAGTCTGCTGCTCAATGTTGAAGAGGCAGTTACCATTTTTTTACATTTCATCTCACTGGTTCTCAATAACATCTAAGGTCTCTTTAAGCCAAGTATCACTACCTCTGTTTACCATTATAGAAATGAACAGTTTAAGAGACTTCCTAGTCTCCATGACCACAAAGCCAGGATTCAAAACCTAGTCTTTCTAACCCTAAAAACAATTAAATATATATATCATTTATTATACATTTTTTATTCACCAGCTACTTTTTAAAAACTTTTTAAAACAATTTACGTGCAGAAAAATACACAGATCCCAAGTATACAACTTGCTGAATTTTCACAAACTGAGCTTCTTAATATTGAGCAGCAGACTTGGAGTAGATTTTCATTATAATAGGAAAAAAATCATAGGAGTGCATCCCATAGTTGTAAAAATGTAAGGCCAGTAGATAACTCTTACCCCTGGGGGAATGTTATTAGGGGATTTTTGTTTGTGTTCTGACAACGGTGGACCCATTACCATAGCCCTTGGTGTACAGAACTAGTCCTGAGTATGGAATTAGCCCATGTAATCAGTACACACAACAAGAAACACACATTTCCAACGACTCCTAGAAAGCCATCTTATGGTACTTTCTATTCATTCTCCCAACTAGGGTAGTCATTATCCTATTGTCTAGTTTTGCCTGGTTTTAAGCTTTAGATAAATAAAATCATACAGTATTTACTCTTTCATGTCTGGCTTCTTTCATTTTACATTATATGTGTGAGTTTCATACCTGTTGCATGTACATGCAGTTTGGTCACTTTCATAGCAGTATAATATTCTATTACATAAATATACTACAATTTATCCCTTCTATTGTTGGTGGGCATTTGGGTAGCTTCCACTTTGGGGATATCACAAATACTGCTACAATGAACATTCTACTACTTGTCTTTTGGGAAACATATGTATTCATATCTATTGGGCGTATACCTAGGTGTGGTAAAGCTGGTCATATAGTATGTATAGTGTTCCAATGGTAGATACCAATCATTTAAGTGCTTTACATGTATCAACTCATTTAATCCTCATAATAGTCCTAATAATGTAGGTATTATTATTAGCTTTCATTTTTACATATGAGGAAATAAAGGCACACAGGGAGCAAATATATTAAATAGTACAACCAGTCAGTAAATAAGTTGACTTTTAAACTCAGGAAGTCTAGGTCCAAAGCCTGACCCATAACCACCATCCTGTATTCTTTTTTTTTTTTTTTTTTTTTTTTTTTTTTTTGAGACGGAGTATCGCTCTGTCGCCCAGGCTGGAGTGCAGTGGCGCGCGGTCTCTGCTCACTGCAAGCTCCGCCTCCCGGTTTCACGCCATTCTCCTGCCCCAGCCTCCCGAGTAGCTGGGACTACAGGCGCCTGCCACCATGCCCGGCTAATTTTTTTGTATTTTTAATAGAGACAGGGTTTCACCGTGTTAGCCAGGATGGTCTCCATCTCCTGACCTCATGATCCACCCACCTCGGCCTCCCAAAGTGCTGGGATTACAGGCCTGAGCCACCGCGCCCGGCCATCCTGTATTCTTAAACCAGGATTGACTCTATAACTATACCATTCTGTTATTTGCTAATTCATTTCCCTTGCCATTTACAAGAAGAGTTAGAGTACATGCACACATACACATGCACACACACACATATGCACACACAAACGAGAGTTCTAAGGAATGACAATTGTTAACACCATTGATATCATTGACAGAAAACCAGCCACAAGCTGGTCACTTACATGAGCAGTTTGTATATATGTGAAAGGTTTAGATCCACCGGGGGGAGTAGTATTTTTACTTATTTTACTTCTGGTAAAATTTGAAATATATGAGAAGAGGATTCCGGGAAGATGGCAGAATAGAAGCACCAGGAATCTTTCTCCCCACCTAGACAACAATTGCCCTGGCAGAATCTGTCTGATGTAACTATTTTGGAACTCTAGCATCTGTTGAAAGCTGGAAACTTCCAGGGGAAGGCCTGAACGGTAAAGTGGGGTTGATTTTGTTCAATTTCACCTCTTCACACAGCAGCAGTTACCCATCCTCTACCCCTAGCTCTATGGCACGCAGCTCTGCAAGTGTTCCTGCAGTAACCTGCACATAGCTTGCTGAGGCCAGGATGAGCAAAAAGGACCCTGTCCACCAAATACTGGGGACCTGTGCTCTGAATGGTGATTACTGCCTCTGGTCACAGAGGTGCAAAGAGGTAGGTGACCATTGTTGTTGCATCTCCCCACAATTATTGCAAGCCCCATCTCCTCTGGCATAGGTGATTACCAGGGGATTTAAAGAGCAGACACCCCCTTTGTTTTTCCTCTGTTCATTTTTCTTTTTCCCATTTTGGGGGCCAGGCACTGAAGACTAGGACATTCAAAAACAAATATATATATATATACATATACATATACATACATATATATATATACACACATATACATACAGAGAAAATTAGAAAGTGACTGTGCATGCACAGGGGAAAGTGAAGGCTCAGAAAAGACCTGAAAAGACTAAATGTGCAACTCAGGATGATCCTTGGCACAGAGGCAGCCTACGACAATCAACAAAACAAAAACAAAAAATAGCAAACAAAAACAATTTTTAAAAAACAGCAAACTCTAGGGAAGGAAGAGAATCTGAGTTCCAGAGTTACCACGTTATTAAATTCAAATGCCTAGTTTTCAACAAAAAAAAAAATCACAAGGCATACAAAGAAATAGGAAAGAATGGCACATTCAATAGAAAACAATAACAGAAACTCTTCCTGGAAAAGACCTTTTAGAAGAATTACTAAACAAATATTTTAAAATAACTCTTAAAGATGATTGAAGAACTAAATGAAGCTATGGGGAAAGTCAAGAAAATGATGTGTGAATAAAATGGAAACATCAATAAAGAGACACAAAACCTGAAAATAAACAAAAAATTCTGGAGCTTAGAAGTACAAATACTGAAATAACAAATATCACTAGAGGGATTCAAAGGCAGATTTGAGCAGGGAGAAGAAAGAATCAGTGAACCTGAAAATAGAACAATGGAAATTATTAGTCTGAGAGACAGAAAGAAAAAAGATTGAAGAAAAATGAACAGAGCCAAAGGGACATACAGGATACCATCACATGTACCAACATATGCATTGTGAATGTTTCAGAAGGAGAAGAGAGAGAGAAAGGGGAAGAGAGAATATTGAAGAGATAATGTTTGAAAATTTCCCAAATTTGATAAGAGACATGAAAGAAACATCCAAGAAGCTCAATAAACTCCAAGTAAGATGAACTCAAAAGAGTCCCACATTGAGTCTTGTGGGAGTCAAGTCCCTGATTTGAACAGTACTTTCTTCTTCCTATTAAATAAGAAAAAAAAAAAAAAAAAAAAGAGTCCCACATTGAGACACATATAATCAAACTTTGAAAAGACAGAATCTAGAAAGCAGCAAGAGAGAAGTGACATAACATATCATATACAAGAAATCCTCAAAAAATATTATCAGCAGATTTCTCATCAGAAAATTGGGAAGTCAGAAGGCCATGGGCCAATATATTCAAAGTACTAAAAGAAAAAAAACTGTCAGCCAAAAACCCTTTATCCAGCAAAATGGTCCTTTGTAAGTGAAGGGAAAGTTAAGACATTCCCAGATCAACAAAACCTGAGAGAATTTGTTACCACTAGACCTGTCCTGTGAAATGCTCAAGGGAGTCCTGCAAGGTAAATAAAAGGACACTAGACAATAACTTAAAGATATCTGCTGACAAAGATTTCAGTAAAGGTAAATACATGGTAAATTATAAAAGTTAGAATTATTGTAACTTTGGTTTTAACTCCATATTTTGTTTTCTATATAATTTAAGAAACCAATGCACTTAATAGAGTTATTAGTTTGTTTGGAGGCACACAATGCATAAAGATATAATCTAGTGACATCAACAGCCAAAAGGCATGGACATGGAGCTGAAAAGGATCAGGGTTTTGTGTGTTATTGAAATTAAACTGGCCGGGCGCAGCGGCTCACATCTGTAATCCTACCACTTTGGGAGGCTGAGGCAGGTGGATTGCTGGAACTCAGAAGTTTGAGACCAGCCTGGGCAACATGGCAAAACCCCATCTCTACTAAAAATACAAAAATTAGCCAGGCACAGTGGCATATGCCTATAGTTCCAGCTACTCAGAAGGCTGAGGCAGGAGGATCATTTGAGCCCAGGATGCAGAGGTTGCAGTGAGCCGAGATTGTGCCATGGCACTCCCGCCTGGGTAAGCCAGACCCTGTCTTAACAAAAAAGAAAAGAAAAGAAAAGAAATTAAATTGCTATAAGTTCAAATTAGAGTGTTATAACTTTAGGATGGCAAATGTAATCCCCACAGTAAGTACAAAGAAAATCACTTAGAATATACACACACCCAAACGAGAAAGGAATTTAAACATTTCACTATAAAAAAAAATCTACTAAACACAAAAGAAGACAGTAATACAGGAAATGAGGGGCAAAAAAGAAATAAAGCATATAGAAAACAAATGATAAAGTAACAAAAGTAAGTCCTTCTTTATCAGTAATTGCTTTACATGTAAATGAATTAAACTAACCACCCAAAAGAAAAAATTAGCAGAACGGGTAAAAACACATGATCTCATTATATGCTGTCCACAGAAACTCATTTTAGATCCAAGGACACAAATAAGTTGGAAGTGAAAGGATGTAAAAAGATATTCTACACAAATAGTAACCAAAAGAGAGAGCAGGGATGGATATACTAATATGTGAAACAGACCTTAAATCAAAAAACTTTACAAGAGACAAAGAATGATATTATATGTTAATAAAAAGTTAAAAACTGTAAGAACAGATAACAATATAAACATTTACACACCTAATAAAAGACCATCAAAATATATGAGGCAAAAACCAACAGAACTGAAGGGAGAAATAGATAGCTCTACAAGAATAGTTGGGCACTTCAATGCCCCACTTTCAATTGTGGATCAAACAACTATACAAAATATAAATAAGGAAATATAAGACTTAAAAAACACAATAAACCAACTAATAATAGATTTCATAGACATATACAGAACACTCTACCCATTGACAGCATCCACATTCTTCTCAAGTACATATAGGACATTTTCTAGGATTGGCCATATGTTAGGCTACAAATTAAGTCTCAATAGATTTTAAAAGATAGATATTATTCAAAGTATCTCCTTCAACCATAATAGAATAAAGTTAGAAATCAATACCGAAGTAACTGAAAATTTCACAAATTTTTGGAAATCAAACAACACACTCTTAAACAACCAACCAATGGATCAAAAAACAAATCACAAGGGAAATTAGAAAATACTTAGAGACTAATGAAAATGAAAACAACATACCAAAACATATAACACAGTGAAAGAAGTGCTAGGGGAGACATATATGGCTGTAAACACCTGCAGTAAAAAACAAGAAAGATCTCAAATCTACAACCTAAGTTTCAACTTAATGAACTAGAAAAAGAAGAGAAAACTAAACCCAAAACTAGCAAAAGGAAGGAAATAATAAAGATTGGAGCAAAGATAAGTGAAATAGAGAATAGAAAATCAAGAGAAAATCAATAAAATGTGAAGTTAGCTTTTTGAAAAGACAGACAAGATTGACAAAGCTTTAGCTAGACAGAACAAGAAAGAAAAGACAGAAGATTCAAATTACTAAAATCAGAAATAAAAGTGGGGACATTACTACCGATTCTACAGAAATAAAAAGGATTATAAGAGAGCACTATGAACAATTATATGCCAACAAATTGAATAGCCTAGAAGAAATGGAAAAATTCCTAGAAACACAAAACCTACCAAGACAAGATCATGAAGAAATAGAAAATCCGAACAGACCTATAAGTAGTAAGGAGATTGAATCAGTAATCCAAAATCTCCTGACAAAGAAAAGCCCTGCACTTGAGGGCTTCACTTGTGAATTCTACCAAACATTTAAAGGCAAACTAATACCAATTCTGCTCAAACCTTTCCAAAATATTGAAGAGGAGGAAACATTTCCTAACTTACGCTAGAAAGACCAAGGGACTTAAATAGCTTTCGGTTCTAAGAGTTTTAGTCATACTGTACTTAGAGCATGGATATTGATCTGGATTTCAGTCACAGGCCAGTGTGCAAATTCAGCACATGACTCCTTCCTTGAAATACAGACTTATAAACTTTTCCTGGCTGACTGAACTTGCTGGCCTTTTCCTTTACACTCATGTCTCTTTTCTGTGTATGTAGGATGGTTACTGGAAAATGTTAACAGTATACAGACACATGTTACACAAAACATGGCAATAAATGTAGAATAATGAAACTGGCAAGAGGATTACAAACTTATATGCAATAACAGACCTTGAACTGGAAAGATCCCCCAAACAAAAATTTAAGAATTAAGTTGTCTGGTTGAGAAAATTTGTCTGCCAAGTCCTCACAAGTAATTAGAAAATCAAATAAAGCTTATTCCTCTCCTAGTCTCAGTTTTGTTTTGTTTTAATGAGAAGGAGAGACAACAATAAGATAGATAATAAAGCATGTAAAATATAGTACAGCATGGTAAAATGAACATGAATTTTACAGTTAGACCCAGGTTATATGACCTTGGACTAATAACTTTACCTCTCTGTCCTTACTTCCTTTTTTTTTTTTTTTTTTTTGAGATAGGGTCTTGCTCTGTCACCCAGGCTGGAGTGTAGTGGCGCAATCTTGGCGCACTGCAACCTCAATCTCCTGGATTCAAGTGATCCTCCCACCTCGGCCTTCCTAGTAGCTGGGACCACAGGTACACGCCACCACACCCAGCAATTTTTGTATTTTTTTAGTAGAGACAGAGTTTCACCGTGTTGCTCGGACTGGTTTCCAACTCCTGAGCTCAAGTGATCTGGCAGCCTCAGCCTCCCAAAGTGCTGGGATTACAGGCATGAGCCACTATGCCTTTCTCTGTCCCTGTTTCCTGATCTACAGTGATTAAGTAAAATAAGTTCTATAAAGAGCTCAGAATAAGGTAGGTATGCAAAAAAATATGTTATACACATGATGATACTATAGCCAACACATCATTGCCAAGAGGCATGCAGAGACCTCGATACCAGGATGACAAGGAGATGGAAGCCATTCCAGTATGGCTCAAGCTAAAAGAACTGACCTGAGCTTGGGCTTATTTGTCCATCAGACTACATCACAGTATTTAAAGGCAAGCTTAATCTGATCCAGGCTGGCACTTATACCCAAGGGCCTAGAAATGGAGGCCTAGAAAGATATGACTGTGGAGATAGTCATAGTCAAGTGGTTAACAATTTGATTCCAGACAGACTCATTCATGTTAAAACATACCCTTGGCCAGGACCAAAAGAGATAAGGGGCTGATCCCCCAAAAACAGGGGTCAGCACAAGCCAGGAGTTTGTCAGGGCCCTTGTACTAGGCTGAAAAATGGCCCCCAAAATGATATCAAATCACATCGAATCCCTGGAACCTAAAAATGTGACCTTATTTGGAAAAAGAATCTTTGCAGATGTGATTGAGTTAAGGATCTGAAAAAGAGGCACTTATCCTGAATAATCTGGGTAGGCCCTAAATGCAATCACCTGTATCCTTATAGAATAAACACAGAGGAGAAGGCAATGGGAAGACAAAGGCAGAGATTATACTGATGTGGCTACAAGCTACAGAATGCCAAGGAATCCCAATAGCCACCAGAAGCTGGAAGCAGCATGGAGCAGATTCTCCTTTAGAGCCTACAAAGGGAGTATAGTACTGCCCATAACTTGATCTCAGACTTCTGGCCTCCAGAACTCAGAGAATAAACTTCTACTGTTTTAAGTGGTGATTTGTTACGGCAGCCCTAGAAGACTCCTACAGCCCTGGACAACGCTTTGGGGTTTGGACAAAATTTCAGCCCAAGAACAGAAATGGAATTCAATCTAGAAGTTGAGTAGAAGCCCATCCACAAGGGTTCATGGAGAAGACAGCAGTGTGGCATTTTGCTCAATGCGTACCAGACCTAGGCCATCCAGACCAATTCCAGATCTAACCATGATGGGGAGGAGCAAGTCTTGGGTTAGCTAGGAATTGGGTTCACCTTGCAGATGGGATATTTCAACAGCCACAGCCAGGCTGGGCAAACAGGAACTGGCAAAGCAGTGGGTGATGTTTTGGCAATAGATGATAAATGTCTTCTACAATCTGACCACATATAATTAGAGATAATGTCAGTTTCAAAAGGAAAAACACAAAGGGTCAGAAAATATGCTGCTCTTGCTGCGGAAGGAATCTGTCCAAGGACCTGGAATCACTAGTTCCTTCCCTTCACAGACCAGGCACACACTAGCCCTAGCTCTGGGGTACGGAGTGTGCCATCTGTTCTGGCCCTTTCTGTAGCCCCCATACCCTCTCTGGAACTAAGATCTCCCTGTGTGCTCAGGGAGACTCCTTCTTCAGCCAAGAGCTTCTGTGACTTGAACAGACCATTCTGTACCCATATTAGTAAGAAAGGAGAACTGGGAAAAGGAAGAATTTACTATCCCTACAGGGTTCAGACTCATGTCTGAGACTCAGCCTCATTGTTAGAATACAACAAGGATCTCTTACCTCCCCCACAACAACAAAAAAAAATGGTATCATAATGGGCTCTCAATTTAGATGTTCTCAAAAGCTATACTTCTCCCTCCCTATAGGAGAAATAAATGTGCATCAGTTATAGTCCCTGTCCTTCAGAAGTTTGTGTCCTCATACATAATATGAGGTCAAAACACAGTCACTAATCTGGAGAGATGTGAGTACAGTAGAGTGGCACAAGCTATCAGAGTTGAAGAAGTTGAGAACAGAGCATGAGAGATATTTGTATTAATATGTCAATGGCAGGAATGAAAGGATTCCAATATATGGCAATCTGACATTAAATTCATAGCATCAATTTTATGGCCACTAGACATAACCTGGGCAACATGGTGAAACCCCACTTCTACAAAAAATATAAAAATTAGCTGAGCATGGTGGTGTGTGCCTGTAGTCCACACTACTGGGAGGCTGAAGTGGGAGGATGGCTTGAGCCCAGGAGGTAGAAGTTGCGGTAAGGCATGATCATGCCACTGTACCCCAGCGTGGACAACAGAGTGAAACCCTGTCTCAAAAAAAGAAAGAGAAAGAAAGGGAGGAAAGAAAAAGAAAGAAGGAAGGAAGGAAGGAAGGTGGTGGGGAGGGAGGTAGGGAGGCAGGGAGGAAGGGAGGCAGGGAGGGAGGGAGAGAGGAAGGAGTCTTATCCAGAATGACCATCATGATGTTGAAATAAAAGAATGCAATGTATGGTTATAATGAAAATCTCTGAATAGTCAAAGAATTTCTAAATCATTTCACCACTCTGGGCTTGATCTTGATTGCTTTATCTATCAAATGAAAGAGGTGTTTTTTTGTTTTTTGAGACACAGTATGTTGCCCAGGCTGGAGTGGAGTACGGTGGCGTGATCTCGGATCACTGCAACCTCAGCTGAAAGAGTTTTATACATTATCACTAAAGTCCTTTCCAGCCCCCAAATATTCCTTAGACAGTTCATGGCAAGGTCGATACCAACAGGTACCTTTTGTAAGGCCATAAAGATTGGTTGACATGTGAGTCGGTAACTGAGGAAATAGAGCAAATTGGTCTGCATAAAACCTTGGGTTCCTTCCCAAGAGGCAATATGGCCAATCAAGGGAAATGGAAGACTGATGGACACCAAACCTAAGCCCAGGCCTGTGGAACATGTCCCATCACCTCCATCAATTTGGTTTCACTTTGCCTTCATTTTAATGCCTGACTGAAATTGCTATTCCCCTCCCCTATTTCCCCAATTTTTTTTTGAATTAGGCTTAACTTTCTAAAGCTTAAAAATTATAAAACAAAAAACAATATGAAAAAGGGGGGAGGGAAGGAGCTGTACTCACATAACTGTAGAATTGAAAGGACCACTGTGATGTTAAAGCCTCAAAAAGAGGCTGAACTACTGACTCCTCAGAGGGTTGACTGGTTTGAGCCACATATATTAGCGCTTGCCTCCTCAGACTCATCTGTTTGTTGGTTGCTATGTGGATGGTGATAAAATACCCATTTGGGTGGGGTCAAAAATTATATTACACTCTTATAGCACATCTGCAAATCCTGGCCTTTTGAACAAATGACCGCAGTACACCAGGCCTCTGTGCTGTCAGAAGCTGTTTCCCAAATACCAACTTTGAACCTAGCCCTACCATATGGACTCATGGGGTCAATGAAAAATGGTGTCTGAGGGGCCCCAAAGCATGAGAAGTTCTGGCAAAAAGTGACAGGTTTTATCCAGGCTGCTGAAGAGAAATGTACTGAGACTGGAAAAGCTAAGGAGGTGCACGCCTTCAGAACGTGTCTGTGGATCAAAATACACCCTAACAGATTCTAGAGAGAGCCCCTGGTGGCTGTGTTAATCTTGGCATTGTTATCATTAAGAGGCTATGCTCATTTCTGGCACCTAACACTGGACATATTGACAGCAACCGGGTTGATGGAAGAGGAAAGAATCTGTTTTGCAGTTAAAAAAAAAAAGTTCTCAGATTTCTCAAGCTATTTGAAATCACGCCACAGAAATACTTGATTTCAGCATTCTTCAGCTCTCTGCGATGATGCCGCAAGTGGTGTCCCCCACATGTGATGATGTATTTCAGAGCCAGAGTTTTCTCAAGATGTTCCAAGCCTGCAGGCTCCTGATCCTTTTTCAAATTACCAAGATAATAGTATCCCAGTGAGAGTTGTGATTAGTCTAAACTCTCCACAGCTGTGAGAGATGAATGTACAAATTCCAATAAAGATTCTGCATGTTCTGGGCTGAATTTACCTACATGACATCGAGGCCTAATTCAGGGACCACTTAAAAGAACTGGAGCTGCTTCGGTGCTACTCCATTCTTCCATGGCATCAGCTGCTAGGAGGCTTGCAACTGATCCAGGAGGATGCCTCCCCTCATGCCAATGTCACCGCCCACCAGTGGGTATTTGTTTAAAAGGCCTGCAGTATGCAGGGGAAAGATGCAGGGAAGGGAAAATTAAACCTAAGTACATGGGAATTCAAAGAAGCCTTGCAATTCATTATGTGAGCAGCCAGGGAGATTACAGAACACCTTGTAACTGAAGCAGTTGGCCTGAGGCGGCGTGGGACAGCAGAACCAGCTGCCTCACCACCTCTAACTCATTTATAATGGTGCTAGCAAGAAACCAGGCTCAGAGAGTTCTTCAGATTCTTGGGAAAGCCAACAGTGCTTTGGTTTCCTAATTTGGACACCTTTTACCTAAAATACTTCCTTGAATACTAAGTGAATGTAATAATACATGACATGCCCCTTTACCATGTTTTTTGTTTTGTTTTTAAGACAGTCTCATTCTCTTACCCAGGCTAAAGTTCAGTGGCACTATCTCGGCTCACTGCGGCCTCCACCTCCTGAGCTCAAGCCATCCTCCCACCTCAGTCTACCACATACCTGGGACCACAGGTGCAGCGCTGCCATGCCTGGCTAATTTTTGTAATTTTTTTGTTAGAGACAGCGTTTTGCCATGTCACCTGGGCTGTCTCAAACTCCTGGGCTCAAGTGATCCGCTCGCCTTGGCCTCCCAAAGTACTGGGATTACAGGCATGAGCCACGGCACCCGGTCTCCTTTACCATGTTAATAATTGTATCACCTGGAGGCACTTGCCTATTCTTTACGAAATACCTGACACTCAGCATGCTTTCCATGACTGGGAAAGACAGGGGACAAGGATTCACGACATTGTCTACACACGTTAACAATTATGGAGAAAGAAATAAGATTGTTAGTTAAACAGAAAGTTATACCAAAGGAATTTATAGCCCGGTTTAAAAAAAAATGATCTAATAGGATTTGCCTGAATGTAGAATCTTCTAAAGCCACACTACCTTCATCTTATACATCCACATCCATTGTTTAGAGCCCACTGAATTTTTAACTGTATAACTTTCTTTCTGACATCTGGAGATTTTAATAGTGCACTGTAATTTTACAGTTTATCACACAGCCATACACATATGTTACTCTTATGTGACATATGGCATTTCTCCTTGTAGACTCTGAACTCAACCTTTCACTCTCGGTGGCAAACCAGAAAGAGAACATGACTCAAGTCAGGAGACCCACCGGAGAGTTGAATGAGCCATAAATGAAATTCTCAAAATACCAAACTCTGGATGATCCATACATCCATTTTATTAAAATGGGAGTGGGCAGGAATGGAAAACCAAGTATCATATGTTCTCACTCGTAAGTAGGAGTTAATTTATGGGTACACAAAGGCATACAGAGTGGCATAATGGACACTGGAGACTCAGAAGAGAGGAGGACGGGTGAGGGGTAAAGGATAGTAACACTATCTATTGGAGGCTGGGTGTGATGGCTCACGCCTGTAATCCCAGCACTTTGGGAGGCTGAGGCGGGCGGATCACCTGAGGTCAGGAGTTCGAGACCAGCCTGAACAGCATGGAGAAACCCTGTCTCTACTAAAAATACAAAATTAGCCCGGCATGGTGGCACATGCCTGTAATCCCAGCTACTTGGGAGGCTGAGGCAGGAGAATCACTTGAACCCAGGAAGCAGAGGTTGTGGTGAGCAGAGATCAAACCATTGCACACTCCAGCCTGGGCAGCAAGAGCAAAACTCCGTCTGGGAAAAAAAAAAAAAAAAAAAGAACACTACCTTTTGGGTATAATGTACACTACTCGGGTGACAGGTGCACTAAAATTTCAGACTTCACCACTATACAATTCATCCATGTAACCAAAAACCGCTTGTACCCCAAAAGCTACTGAAAGTAAATAAAATCAATAAAATGAAATTTTAAAATGTAAACGGAATAAATTATCCAATCAAAAGACCAGAAAAATGGGAGTAGAAGTGAGGGAGCGAGGGAACACACTAATTTTTTTCTAATATACACAAAAAACAAAACACAGAAAACCAGAAACATTTTCTCTTTTATTTTTTCACCATCTCTCATTGCAAATCTTCTACACGCTAATAGATTCTTTTTTTTTTTTTTTTTTTTTTTTGAGACGGAGTCTCGCTCTGTGGCCCAAGCTGGAGTGCTGTGGCGCGATCTTGGCTCACTGCAAGCTCCGCCTCCCGGGTTCACGCCATTCTCCTGCCTCAACCTCCCGAGTAGCTGCCAGTACAGGCGCCCGCCACCACGCTCAGCTAATTTTTTGTATTTTTAGTAAAGACGGGGTTTCACCGTGTTAGCCAGGATGGTCTCCATCTCCTGACCTCGTGATCCGCCCGCCTCGGCCTCCCAAAGTGCTGGGATTACAGGCGTGAGCCACCGCGCCCGGCCGCTAACAGATACTTTCAACATTGGTACAGATCCCCTCAGATTTCATCTTCTCAAGAGCAAAATCAAATCATTAATGTAAGCCTGTTAAACTGGATGGCCACTAACTATGACTTCCCCTGGAACCATGTTGCAAGGACCGCTTTTTCAAGCAGCTTTTCCTTGCCTTTCTGCTAGAGACCGGTTCTAGGTAAAATCGCCCAGCAAGGCAACTTGGAAAAAAACTTTAAAAAATTAATTAGTTGGAAATCATAGAATATGCCAGGATTCTAGACAAATAACTAGTGTCCGAGTCCCCTCCTTGCCCCAACATTGTCTCCCCACCCTCTAGAGTTCTCTACTCTGACTACAAGGGTAATACATGTCAGGGTGCCTCTAGGATACTACTTAAGCATCCTGACAGTGTCTGATCTGAGTGGTCAGTGCTCAATGTTAAGTATTTTGCATAAAAATGCTAGTTTCCCCTGTGTGTGTAAATATACATATATGTTTATATGCATATTTGTGTGTGTGTGTGTGTGTGTGTGTGTGTGTGTGTTTAGGCCAGGATTCTAATAGCTAAAACAAAGATTCAGAGACAATAAATAGAGCAGCCCTGCAGAAAAGGGGAGTGTTGCCTTGCTGAGAATATTCACAGTTGGTCTGATGGTAACATGGGGTGTTCTACTAAATGACAGTTTGATCTAGATGATTTGTTTGTTCAAAGTATCTTTCATCTCCTAGGGATAAAAAGCCCTGCTTTGTCACATTTGCAATTTCCCTCATGTAAATAACACCCACTATGGCTCATTTCAAGCTTCCCAAGTGACATCACTGAATGGAAAGTTAAAGAGAGAAAGTCTTTCAGATGTAAACAATCTCAATTATATTTATAAATAATAGTAAAAGGTAGTGGAATCACTAGCATATGAATTTTGAGTATCATATTTGCTTTTAACATAATGTAATTGCAAGTTTGCATAATTTAATATTTAATAATAATTGCATTTAACAACTAGCTCCCAAAATCCTTGAAAATTTATCACTGGGTAGGAGTGAGCATGTCCCATTGGCTCCAGCACACCACTACATGTTGCTCTTCAGGGACCTTAAAAGATACTTTGAACAAACAAATCATCTGGATCAAACTATCTCCAGAGTTCCCAAGGGTGCCAACCTCTTTGCTACCCCACTTTAGAAATACCCAAAACACAGGTTAAACTATGCACAGTATTTATTAAGAATGCCATTTACAATACCTTACACTTGTATCACGCTTTACACTTTTCAAAGTAGTGCTTTTATGGCACGGTGGGACTGTCTGACCCTGCAGAGTGAATTTAAATCGCTGGGTAATAGCTTTTTAATGTATAATGGGTGAAAAGATAGTCCTGGGAGCCGTTTGTCAAAGAGAAAGGCGAAGGAGTGGAACTGGCAGCCCCACAAGGAAGTCGGGAAGCTGGTTGGCCCCTACCCGGTTCCTGGTTCTCTCCTGGAAATGGCTCCAACATTGTGCAAGCAAGTGGGTGTGCAATAGTTTTGAGCACGCATCTCTCTCTCTGTCTCTCTCTCTCTCTCTCTCGGATTTAATTAGAATTTCCGTTTTTTCCAACAAAGAGTTGGACGGGATACGTTCTAAGACTTTTACAAACTGTAAAATGATGAGCGAGGTAACATTCAAATATGCTCTTAACAGAACAGCTCAGTAATGGTTTCCTCCACATCAAAACGTGCCTATTGCTGCAGCAGACGCTTATGCAGAGTCTACATGCACTCTCACCGCAAAAATTCACACAGCCAGTAGTCGTGGCCGAGTGGTTAAGGCGATGGACTAGAAATCCATTGGGGTCTCCCCGCGCAGGTTCGAATCCTGCCGACTACGGGAATGTCAGCTTTTTGCCGTCAACACTTACTTTTTGTGTTTTAGAGCGTTCTGCTCAAACCTTCCACAGATTTCAGGAATTTACAAACGGCTGAAACACAACAGGGACCCAAACGGGAGAGGAGAGAATGAAGGGGCGAGAATGCGTGCTTGTGGTTACAACGTGGGCCCGGGAGGGGGAGACGGGAGGAACCACGCCAGACATGCTGAAAGGAAGAAACGCAAAGCATCGCGAGTCACACAGACACACTGCAGAGACAGCTCCGAACTCTGTCCCTGCATACGCCCGCCCCTCACGAACCCACCGCGTTCTCTGCCGCGAGCCCTCGTGGGCGCCGGGTTGCCACGGGAAGCGGTGCGCATGCGCGGGGACGCCTAACGGGGCAGGAGCCCGCCAGGTCCCCTCGTTACTCCTGGAAACCACCGGAGCCTTGGCGATTGGAGGGGAAAAGGCCAGGCGATTCAAGATGGCGGAGGACCTGGACGAGCTCTTGGATGAAGTCGAGTCCAAGTTTTGCACACCTGACCTTCTAAGACGGGGTATGGTCGAGCAGCCCAAAGGCTGCGGCGGCGGCACCCACAGTAGCGACCGGAACCAAGCCAAGGCGAAAGAGACGCTCAGGTTAACCGGGCGGGAGGGGTGGACTGTTCTGGTAAAGCCCTGCTCCAGGCCCTAGAGCTGCCCCTCCGCCGCCCAACCCAAAAGAAACGTGCCCGCGACCTCCAGCCCCTCCTTGCATCAGGGTTCAGACCCTCAGCGCCCTACCCTCCGCGGCAGCGCATTCGTCGACCCTCTTCGCGGATTCTGGCACCTCTTCACTCAGCGCAGACTCCGCCCCCCGGCATGCCCCAGAGGGCTGGCCCCCGCCCCGCCCCGCCCCGCCCCGCCCCGCCCCGCCCCGCCCGCAGAGCCCGCAGTCCGCGCCAGTCTCCTTCATCCTGTTTCTGGCTGCCAGCGCGTAGGAGGTTCTAGTCGGGGACCGGGATACCCCTCAGGCGCCCCGTTCTTAACCCCGAGAGGGCTGTGCTGACCTCGGCCGCATTTTGCCTCTGTGTGGCCAAGCGGTTCTCATCTCCCTGTGAGGTGCCCTGTTAGACAGCCTCATCCCATTGCCTCAGACCCCACTCCCCAGGTCAATCCTATTTGTCTTTAGCTCAGTTTTGTTGTTTTGTTTGTTTTTTGAGATGGAGTCTCGCTCTGTCGCCCAGGTTGGAGTGCAGTGGCACGATCGTAGCTCACTGCAGCCTCCAACTCCCGGGTTCAAAGATCCTCCCACCTCGGCCTACCCTAGCTGGGATTACAGGCACGAGCCTGTAATCTGGGATTACGTAAACTGGGATTACAGGCACGAGCCCGGTTAATTTGTATTTTTTGTAGAGACAGTCTCACTGTGTTGGCCAGGCTGGTCTTGAACTCCTGAGTTCAAGCTGTCCTCCCGCCTCTGCCTCCCCTAACTGCTAGGATTACAGTTGCGAGCCATCGCACCTGACTCAGTTTGTTTTATTTTTTTAACTCAGGGAGTTAAGATGAGATTAAATTCATTACAAAAGGGTTAATTATTGTGAACATTAAACCGTCTACCTTCCTTCTCTCCATGGCCCCCTAGTTAAGGGTGCCAGACATACATATGGAAATTTAAGGACATTTCTTAAGGTATTTTGGTTTTTTATCTAAAAACTACCTTTCAAATTTACCAGTCGTTTTTCCTCCATGTAATTATTAAATAATAGGATTTCCTTCACTTCCTCATTTCCCCCACAACCCCTCAAAAAAAAAAAACAAAATGTTTGCATAAGAATATTGACCTTCAGTAACTCTTGCTAGAATCTTTTGGAAATTGCCTCTTGCCTAGAATATTTTGGAAACGCTTGTGAAATTACACGGAGGCAACTTTGGATCAATCTAAGAACGTCATCTCCGTTAATTTTTTTGCTGCATCTTTGGTTTGGTTTTGGTTTTTTGGTGTGTGTATGTGTGATTTCCCAAAGTATTATCCAACTCTGTTACTATCCAGTTCACCTGGCTTACCTCCAGTGATATTTATTTATTTTATTTACTTATTTATTTATTTTTGAGTTTCGCTCTGTCGCCCAGGCTGGAGTGCAGTGGCCCACCTCAGCTCACTGCAAGCTCCGCCTCCCATTCCCCTGCCTCAGCCTCCCGAGTAGCTGAGACTACAGGCGCCCGCCACCACGCCTGGCTAATTTTTTGTATTTCTGGTAGAAACGGGGTTTCACCGTGTTAGCCAGGATGGTCTCGATCTCCTGACCTCGTGATCCACCCACCTCGGCCTCCCAAAGTGCTGGGATTACAGGCATGAGCCACCGTGCCCAGTCAGTGACATTTATTTATAAAAATTCACTCTGCGAAGATAAAAGCATCGAAAAAATTCTAAAGGAGTACATAAACAAAATTTCTAAAAATTAGTTGAGTTCTGAGCAGCATTTTAAAACAAAAATTAGAAACAACTATAATTACTATGAATGGGCTAACACTCATTTGGCTGGATGTTGTAAATATCACTCTCATTAACTTTTATTATCTTGTGTACTGGAATTCCTTATGTATCTATTAGCGCATCTACCATCCCTATCCCACAACAGTGTTGCTTTGCAATTTCTTTAGTACTTTTCGTTTGTCCTTCTAGGGGATAGAACTAGTCTATCAAGGAGCTTTTCAGAGCTGTTCATCTTAGGAGAACTAGCATGCGGAGGGGCAGGATGTATTGAAGCCAGCTGCTCAAAATGGAAAGGACTATTTATGTGGATCTTCTCCAACCATGGGTTGTGTCATGCCTGTTCTTGCTCTACTAAAATTCATCCATAATATTTCTAGTACCTCAGCCCACCTTAATACATTAGATTTTTTTAGTACTAAGTAACATAAAAGCCTTAGTGAAACAGTACTGTTGTCATTTATATTAAAACTTTTCATCTGGCAATGTAGTTGTAAATTGTACAAAAAACAGCAACAAAGGGCCTAAACCTTATACCAAATATAGTCCCAACCTGGTTTATAATGTTATATATTAAAATTTTTCCTTGAGCCAAAATTTATACTTAAAAGCTAGGAAGCAATTTATGTTTGAATTTATTGACAGGAGATTACCTACTAATTGTATAGCAGTGTAACCTGTATCTCTTATAAGAGTTAAAATACTAATATTACCTCTTAAAATGATACTATAAATGCAAATAATACTATAAATGACCATGCTACATCTGGATACCAGGAACAACTGCTAATGTAAGAGGTCAAAACATGCAATTTGTTGAAGTGTTCAAAATGATAAAAAGAAATATGTGATTAGTAAAAAAATTAAAAAAGACTGATGTGGGTTGAGAAGAACTGCAATAGGAATAAAGTGGTTCAGGATGATACAGATGGGAATATTTAAAGATAATATAGCTTTCTAGATGATAACTATAATAACAGCCAACATTTATTGAGCTCTTTCTGTATGCTAAGTGCTTTGTATATGTTATTTCATTTAATCTTCACAATCCCATGCGTGAATACTGTTATCCCCATTTCATTGACCAAATCAATGCTTAGTTACTTGCCTAAAGTCATATTGCTAAATCACAAGGACATAGTAGATCTAGATTTAAGCTTTCTATATAATACCTCTCACATTTAATTATAGGTTTAAGTGTTTATATTTTATCTTAAATATATGTTTTATTTTCAGCAGAAACTATATCTTTAAAAGATTAGAATGTCAGAAACAGAGTCAGAAAGGGAACCAGTAAAAGCTTATTAACATTTGATTGAGATTATTGTCACATCAAAAGACCAAAAAGAGTCTTATACAGTCCTTTAAAATTATGAGTTCTCAATGAAATGTTGACTTTATTGTTATTACTATAGCAAAGCATAGGCAAGTGTAGGCATTTTGAAATTGTGTGATCTAAGAACAGACCAGAATCTTATGTAAGCTGGTAATTTGGATCTGTAACAGTACTGATTAGGTTGGTGGAGTTTGGATGTATCTGATTCTTGAAATTGTGAAATTGCATGAGGGAGGAGAACCCGGAAAGTATGTCCTGAAAGCCAAAGGAGAGAATTTTAAGAGGACATCTTAGCAACCTCTTATCGAAAAAGAAATATAAGGAATTGGTACCCAACAGTGTCAGATGCTTCTGAAAGATTAAAGAGGATTGGAACTGAGAACCACCATTAGATTGTAGTGATTTGGGCAGTGGAAACCTTCGAGAGAAGAGTTTCACTATAGTTGAGGGATTAGAGGCCAGAAGTAGAATATTATACCTGAAAGAAATTTTAAATAGTCATCTAGATATCATTTTTATAGATAAAATATTTGAGTTTCAGAGAGATTAAATAATTTAAACTAAGTCGGTATCTCTAGACTGGTGATGATTTTGCCACCCAAGGGGCATTTGGCAATGTCTGGAGACATTTTTTATTGTCGCACCTGGGGAAGGGTGTGCTATTATTTAATAGCATCTAGTGGGTAGATGCTGTAAAATGTCCTGCAATATACAACAGTCTCCTGCCCCCACATACACACCCCAGAGAATTATCTGACCCAAAATGTCCATAATTCCAAGGCTGAGAAACCCCCGCCTAGGATTAGCACCCAACTGATTCTAAATCTAGTCTACTTGTAAGGAAGTAGAAATCGTGGATATAGACTATTCTTCAGTAGTGAGTAAGAAAGGGTGGCAGCTTCAAGACAGGGGTTTTTTGAAGTGTCTCTTTGAAGAAGCAAGCCTTGAGCATACCTCTAAGTCAAAGGAAGAAACCAGTATACAGTGAAAGACATTAAGGGTAAAAGTTACAGTACAACTGAAGAGGCTAAGCCTGGAGACAGAATCAACCATTAGGTAGTAGGCAGCCGTCTCTTGCTTTTCTTATATCAGGTTAAATTATTTTACTCCAAGATGTAATGAAGAAGGCCTATGTTAAAAATTGTCAGAGTAAATACATTTCTGAAATTAGAGAGTTTGACTAAAAAACTTGTCTTCTAAAACAAATAATTTAATGAAGTTATAAAGTTGATGTACAGCATCTACTTCATACAAACGCTAAAGAAAGTTAATCTTGTATAGTATTAAGTGCACGGACTGCCCTAGATTCAATTCCAAGCCTTTTCTCCCACTACTTATATGACCTTGAACAGATTTCTGAATCTCTCAGTGCCTTTTCTTCATCTATAAAACTGGGGTTAAATAAAGATATACTCATGTAAAGACTAAGGACAATGCCTGGGTTATAGTAAGTATTCAGTAAATACTTACTATTTAGTTATTAGCTATTTAGCATCAGCTATTAAATAGAAGTTCTATGCAGTAGTGGTTTATATTAATAATCCAGTGATGGCTTTGCCTGCAGAAGGTAGAGGTAGTTGAGTAGTTGAGATATTCTGTCTAACAAATAGCACCTTTTTTTGGGGTGGAGGTGGTCATTTGATTACATGACCTTCGGCCCCTCTAGTAAAGAGGTATGGTTGACTTACAATGCAACCTTTAGGGGAAAAGTCAGGAAGACTCGTTAAAATTATCTTTGTTTATAATATCAGGTTCTGCTTATTGCACATATTTTGTATTAAATACATGCTTTATGTAATTCAGATAAGTACATACCCAGCTTCCTCTTGAATATAATGTATATAGCTGTAAATGTCTGAAGTATGTAATATCAAGTATGTAATAGTATAGAACATATGTGAATTTGTACCTGATAAAGTATATCTTTGTCTCAACAAACTTAGACTATATCCACAGTGAAAAAAATTAAAATCACTTTTATCTTTCTATTATCAGCTCTAATAATGGACTTTAAGCAAAACTCTTCTGATACTAGCTTTCTCTGCTCATAAACCTCAGGTAAGTTTTCTTTGTGTATGTCTTCTTTTCAGATCAACAGAAACATTTAAAAAAGAAGATGATCTTGACAGTCTTATTAATGAAATACTTGAAGAGCCCAACTTGGACAAAAAACCCTCTGTAAGTCAAGTGTTATAAATATGTAGTAATTCTGTCATTATTTCAAGACATGTTTAGAATAGTCTTAAAGATGACACAAGTAGCTACCCATTATCTTTTGAATTCTGAGAAATACAATTACTTAAAGAAATTATTACACTTAAAGAGCAGTAGAAGCAGTAAAATATCAGAAACTCTCAGTATGTGTTTCCCTGTGCATTTCTCAGTAAGAATAACAAATTAGAAAAGCTGTTAGCATAGAAGTCAACTCACACATCAAGCTGGTCACTTGTATTTATTTGTAGTATCTAAGGACACTTTTCTAAAAGGCCAAAAACAAACAGCTTTCATTGTAGGAATGTGCTTAGCACCTCACATGCAATGCCATTGCTCTTATCCCATGAAGCAATGACTAAATTGTTAATATTTCAGTTTTTTAAATGTTTGTATGTCTATTTTAGCTGCATAAAAAGTTCAGAAAGTAATATAACAGCAACCTATATACTGAACATACCATGACAGCCACCCATATTAAACATATATTAATGTTTTGCCACATTTGCTTTACTGGACCTTTTTTTTTAAAAAGAAGTACAAATTAAAGATATAGTTTAAGACCTCTCTAAATCCTATTCTATTGCCTTCCTTCCCAAAGATAACCATTTATCCTTTCCATCCATACATTTATACTTTCATTACATATGTACATAACCATAAACAATTCTAACTGTGTACAGTAGTCCATTGTATAACTCTGCCACAGTTTATCCACTTCCCTGATGATGGACATTTAGATTGTGCTCAGTTGTTTGCTATTACAAATAGTGCTTCATCAGATACCTTTTTTTTAATCGGAGAAAAGGCATACAAATTTTGACATGTACACAGGGAAAACCAGTGATTACGCCTTCATTAGATATCTTTACATGGCTTCTTTTACCCATATACGGAAGTTTCTCTAGGGTGTATAAAGCTAGAAGAGGAATTCCTAGGTCATAAGGTGTGCTCATCTTCAACTTTTCTACCCATTGCCAAATTGTTTTCCAAAGTGACTTTATCACTTAACATTTTTCATACTGGGCAGTATATGAGAATTTATGTATTTTAATTTTTATCAGTATGGTGTGTGTCAAGCATTATCTGTTAGATTTAAAAGAAAGATACAAAAATAGAAGTCTAATTTACAAAGATCACAAAAAAATTTAAGAAATAACTATAGTACCAGGGTTTTGTTTTTTAAAGGATAGGGAAGATAAAAGCAAAACAGTGGACTGAAAATACCTAGGTAATGGTTGTGGTAAGAATATGGATAGGGACCACTTACATTTTTGTCACCCAGACTAAAAATCAAGTGACTAGTATAGATTTTAGAAAATTAAACTTTTTCAATTCACCTGAAGTAAATTAATAAGCACATGCCAAGTTGAATAATATGTAAACACAATAGCAATATTAAATACAGTCATTCCTTGGTATACTCAAGGGATTGGTTCCAGGACCCCCACATATACCAAAATCCATACATACTCAAGTTCCACAGTCAGCCTTACAGAACCCACCTTATGAAAAGTTGGCCCTCTGTACGTGGGGTTTCGCATGCCACAAATACTGTATTTTTGATCCTTGTTTGGTTGGAAAAATTCCACATATAAGTGGACTTGTGCAGTTGAAACGCATGTTGTTCAAGGGTCACCTGTACCCTGCAAATAGAATACTTCCTAAATACTGAGTAAGTGCATAAGCACTGAATAGTAATGCCAATTAGTAGTACTAATTAATGGTAGAAAAAAATTACATCATTTTGTTGCTCTTCATTAATCATCTGAGCAATTCATTGTTTATTAAGTACCAATAGGGTGCATATCTGTATATGAGGCGCTATCTTTTCAGTTAAGGTGTTTCAGAAGAAGATAAGTACTTCTCTGGTTTGGCTTTAAGATATACTAATTTGAAATAAAAGTAGCTCTTATAATCATGAAGAAGTAAATTTTTAATCATGATCTTTTCCTTTTTTAGTTATGTATTATGTCCAGTTTTCCAACCTTCAAAGGAGACAGCAGGTCTAAGTAAAACATTTATTGGGAAAAAAAAACATGTATTAACAAAAGAAACATAGATAAACAGATAGTCTATGCCAACGTTGTCATTAGAGGCTATATTATGCCCTGACAATACTACTCCCTTACCGCACCTCCTGCTCTCCCATTCTGTCGCATTTCTGAACTGTTCCCAGACCCACACAAGAAAGCCCAGGAACCAACAACAAACCTCAGAGTGTGCCAGCTTAGAGTCATAAGCCTGAGTCTGGATGGCACATGAAACATGCTCCCCAAACAGAAAGATTCGTGCATATTATTATTTTTCAAACATGTACCAAAATTTTTTCCATTTCTGCTTAACATCAAATAAGAGTTGAGAGACATAGTAAAACAATATTTTCGCCTCTATTAAATTTCCTCACCCACTATGTAAAATGAAGGCATGTCTCTGCATAGTTTAAATTGCCTTTTCTCCATCTCACTTCCTCTCCTTGGCGGTGGTCCTAGTGTGTGGTTGGTTTATGTTGTTTGGTACCATATACCAGTTAACACTTAATAAATGCTTGCTAATGATGATGATACTATGTAACCATATAGGAACTACTGTATGGTTGTGACTAGGTAGTTCTACATTTTCCTTGCACATTTATTGGTTGATGCCATTCCATTTGATCAAAATTAATATTCCTGAAGTTACACAGGAGCTTGGTTAATTTTAATTCATATGACGCACATTCACAGCCTTTAAAAATGAGTCTGAGGTTTTTTTCCTCCTCAATTGAATTTTTCTAGAATGAAGTTTTAAATAGCAGGTCCTTCATATTAAATCATTGAACTGTAATATTAACTGAAGAGTTATAAAGTGACTCTAAATCTTAGCATGCTAATAATGGCAATATATCAGTTTCCTAGCCTAAAAGTTAGTAGAGTAATTTGCACATTCCTTAGGGAGTTCTACTTCCCTTTTGCCTTTAAAAGGTTTTGATCATTGTTTTTATTTCAGAAACTTAAAAATGATGCCATGAAAATTTGTATTTAAGTCATTTAGAAAATATTCTTGTTATAAGGAATATTAGTTTTCATGTTACAGTTTTCTAAGTTACTCATGGCCTTTTATTGTTTTGCTTTTTTAACAGAAATTAAAATCTAAATCTTCAGGTAACACATCTGTCAGAGCTTCCATTGAAGGCCTTGGTAAAAGGTAAGTTGAGATTGCTTTGGTGAATTATACACACTATTGAGCAAACACTATGAGCATAGTCTAGTAGATTTTGTTACCATTTAAACAGCAGTGACATTGAACAACAAAGCATTGGTTGGCCTTCAGGAGAAAGACCAATAGCAATATCTTCAGTGTTCTTATGGTCTGTGACCCCCTTTGTGTAAAGGAAATTAAATGGGGGATTATTGCTATTGTAAATAATTTTCTGCCATTTAAAAAAAGTGTGAACAGTTTCTCAAAATTAATGTTCTGTTATATTCTTCAGTATTTACTTTGTCCCTTACATTATTTGGCAAACACATTTTTCTTTTACTCATTTTAATTCCTTGAGTGTTCCTGAATGTACAGGTTATATCCAATAAAGCAGTGATCCTACAATAAATATCTCTTCTTTGAAATGGTTGGCTTGCTAGGGAAAATAGACAATTTGATTACAAGAACATAAAGTCAATAAAACCAAAAATTTTTTTAACATGGCCAAATTAACTTCTCCTATTTTTTGTTATAACTTCATATTTTTGCATCTGTTGAACACATCTAGTTGCAGTCCGGTGTACCTTGGTGGAAGCTCTATTCCATGTGGGATTGGAACAAATATTTCATGGAGGTAGGTTGTCAGAAATGTATTATACTTTCTTACTAGGTTTTTTCCAAATGGATGCCCCATTGTTAAAATGTAGTTATCATCTTCACATCAATCTGTTTTATAAGGAGAGGTATTTTTATTAGCTAATCTAAGAATTCTTTGTTTTTTATTCTTGGGAGATAGCTATTGAAAGCTGTGATGTTAGGTACATATTATTCATTTTATGCCCTTTTCTAAGCCCCACTTGAAATGCCTGGATCACTCCAGTCCCAGCTTTGTTTCCACAGGACACAGGAGAGTGAACTTCCTTCCAGGCAGTGGAAGCAAAGTGGCCATGCAGATACATGATGCCTTACCCACACTGCCTTGGCCAATTAGCATGCAAAGCTACAGGTCTGCATTGCCCAAAACATTCTCAAGCGTAGTTGCTTGATTTTACATGTTTACATATTTCAAAAACAAAAACCTTATGTTCTTTGTCTCTTCCCTGCCCTTCCTGCCTCCACTTTCTCACTCAGTACCTCTTTCTGGGCAGTCTTATAGTCATGATGCCACCTACCCCAAACCCATATTAGCCCCATAGTCCTAGCACATTCCATTGGCATTTTCATAATGTGGGCAAACAGTTTGGCTTTAAGCAAACCCTACTCTCCTGCTGCTTTTGGTTCTATTTTTGGCAGAGGTCTACTTACCTAACTTACTTTATTAAAATACTTTTATCTAATTATTTCTAAAACACTTATTTTCTGTTAATTTTTTAAGAAAGAATGGCCTAAGTTATATGATTGCATGTTGACCACATTTCTGGAGGGCTAACTGTTGTATAGTCAAGTGTCACCAACAAGGATACATTCTGAGAAATATGTCATTAGTCATAAGTCATTATGACTTCCTCATGTACAAACATCATAGAGTGTACTTACACAAACCTAGATGATATAGCCTACTCCACACCTAGGCTAGGTGGTATACTAGCCTACTACATACTACTAGGCTATAAACCTGTGTAGCATGTAACCGCACTGAATACAGTAGGCAGTGGTAACACAATGGTAAATATTTGTGTATCTAAATATTAAAAAGGTACAGCAAAAATACATTGTAAAAGATTTTTCAAATGGTACAGCTGTATAGGGCACTTAGCATGGACAGAGCTTGCAGGACTGGAAGTTGCTCTGAGTGAGTGAATGAGTGGTGAGTGACTGTGAAAGCCTAGGATATTACACTAGTATAGACTTTATAAACACTGTAGCTTAGGCTACACTAAGTTTACTTTTAAATGTCTTTAATAATATTAACCTTAGCTTACTGAAACTTCATTTATAAATTTTTTTATTTTTTTAACTTTTGATTCTTTTTAATAACAATTTAAAATACATCGTACAGCTATACTAAAATATTTTCTTTCTTTGTATCCTTATTCTATAAGCTTTTTTCTATTGTTTCATTGTTTTTTACTTTTTTTTTTTTTTTTTTTTTGAGACAGAGTCTCGCTCTGTCGCCCAGGCTGGAGTGCAGTGGCGCAGTCTCGGCTCTCTGCAAGCTCCGCCTCCCAGGTTCACGCCATTCTCCTGCCTCAGCCTCCCGAGCAGCTGGGACTACAGGTGCCCGCCACCACGCCCGGCTAATTTTTTGTATTTTTAGTAGAGACGGGGTTTCACTATGTTATCCAGGATGGTCTCCATCTCCTGACCTCATGATCTGTTCTCCTCGGCCTCCCACGGTGCTGGGATTACAGGCGTGAGCCACTGCGCCCAGCTCTGTTTTTCACTTTTTAAACTTTTTTGTTAAAAATGAAGACACAACACTCACATTAGCCTGGGCCTATACAGGGTCTGGGTCATCCATATCACTGTCCTGCACTTCCACATCTTGCGCCACAGGAAGGTCTTTGTTGCGGGGGTACAACACGCATGGGGCTGTCATCTCATAGTAACAGTGTGCCTTCTTCTGAAATACCTCCCGAAGGACCTGCCTGAGGCTGTTTTACAGTTAACTTTTTTTAATAAGTAGAAGGAGTACATTCTCAAATAATGATTCAAAGTATAGCATAGTAAAAGTATGAACCAGTAACATAGTTTATTATCATTATCAAGTATTATGTACTATACATAACTGTATGCACTACTTTTATACAACTGGCAGCTCAGTAGGTTTGTTTACATCAGCGTCACCACAAACACATGAGTAAGCATTGTGCTATATAGGACAGCTATGATGTAACTAGGAATAGGAATTATTTAGCTCCGTTATAATTCTATAGGACCACTGTTGTATATGTGGTCCGTCATTGACCAAAACATCACTGGGGCAAATTAATTATATTGAATAATAGAAGTGGGAGTTAAAAAAAACATTGTTGGAGGGTTGTGGTGGTGCCAGCCTACATCGAAGGACAATGCCCAGAAGGTAGGGCTATAGGACAAAAGTGAAATTAGGAGTCTGGAGAAGCCTTATATGGGAACACCAGGCAGCCAACAGGCTAATATAAATCCACTGGAATGTTACCTACTGTTAGAGCTATAAAGAAGAATTAATAGTAATTGAATCACCATGTGTTGAGGACTCTCTGTACAAAAAAATTAGAGATACAAACTGCCTGTAGAGGTAGTGTTGTTGCTGTCAGTCCTAAATTGCCTGTCTCAACTCAGTTGGGACTTGTCTCCGTCATTTTCAGAGCCATGCCTCCTCTATTCCAGGCATCTCTCAAGTCACCCATGAGCCACAGCAGCAGTTTCCCAGTTATCATCCACTTACATCTTTTCTAATATCACCCACATATAGCATTCAAGATAATATCCCTAAAATACTATTCTGAGTGCCTCTCCTCTATTCAGAAGGGAAGTGAGAGTTGCCATTTGTCTCACATTAACTCTAAACTCACTATTTGCTTTACCAAATTGTTATCCTTGTTGTTCCTCTTCTCTCTTTAGTTCCTTCAGCTCCAATTAAAGCCTGGGTCAGATATTCCACTGCCACTGGGATGCTTGTCATTCTGTACTTTCCACTTATGTTTTTCTGTGTCTGAGTATATTTACATTTATTCCCTATCTGGAACAACACTCCCTTCTAATGCATGTCTCCTGCTGCCTTATCTGTTTAATTCACACACTGCAGATTGATTTTTCTATTTAAATTTTTTCGATTTTTTAAATCCATTGAATGCCCATGTCCTAAACCCTGTGCTAGCTTATCAATAAAAGGCAAAACACTGGCCAGTAAGGAACAAAGAAGCAAATGATTACTCCTGTGGCCTGAAATGGAAGGGCTCTGATGACAGAATGCCTGAGTTCAAAGCCTCACTCTGCCACTTACAAGCTCTGAAGCCTTAAGAAGGGATGTTATCTTCTAAAACCTGTTTCCTCACTCTTAAAAACTAAACATATTTCATGGAGATACTCTGAGGATTAAATGAAATAATACATGAAAACTATGCCTATGGTGCAAAAGACAGCTAGGTACTGCAGGCACACTGGGTTCTAATTAAGGTGTCTTTCTCATCCATTAGTCCTGCTTTCTTGTTACGTTATATCTCAGGGACAAGAATCTTTATTCTACTACTAGTTTTCCATTTTATCTCAGGAAATACATATAATTACAGGTGCCTTCTGTTTTTACAAATGATCTTTTAAAAAAATACATTCTGGTTTACTTCTAAAAAGTAAACATTTCATTAAGATTTTCTTATGTATGAAATATTTTGTACGTACTTTGATTTAGTTGTAGCACAGACAAAATCTATGTTAGATGGAATTTCAGTAAACCAAAGAACAGCCTGTTTTCATAGCTCGAGGCTCCTATCACATACTATTAGTCCAAGTGGGATGCCGAAATCAATTATACCTGATTTCTACCTCCTGCACAGCTGTAAGAAGAGATACCAGTTGCATATATATGCGCAGGTAAATGTTTGTATTCACAGATTTTTTATTAGTTGCCCCTTTCATGAAACAGAATTTGCACCCATAGAAAGACAAACACATGTGTTCATCTGCATATGCAAATTTTATGTGTGAAGTACTTTATACTGTCCAGAGCACTTTTTATATATGCATATTGACTTACCTGCTCCACAAGAGAAAAACCCAAGATGCTGATCAAGAATTTTTACCTCCATTTTATAAATGAAGAGATTGAGGTACTTGTGTTAAATTCATCAAACACATATTAACCACCTGATAGGTCCTAAGGATTAAATGAACAAATTTTGATGAACAAATAAATGGACACTTCCTGTCTTCAATGAGCTTTCAGTCTAGATGAGGAGATGGGCTTTAAATAGATTATTCCACAAATAAGTATTTATTTTCCATTTGATATGTGACATAAAGGGAACATATGGGATACTATAAGCATAGATAATGGACACTCTAACTAATATGAAGGGTCAGGGAATACTTCTCTGAGCAGATAATCAAACCACAATATGAAAAATGAGTAGGAGTTAGACAAAGAGAGGTGACCATTGGAGCCAGAGCACACGCATGTTTAGAAGCTCCCTGAGAAGGGGAGGAGCTGGGGGTGTTCCTCTGGTGGAAGGAACAGAGAGTATCTGGCCATGCTGGAGCATAATGAGTAGGGAAAGAATGGCCACTGACTGGGCTGGAGAGAGAGTGGAGGGACATTTGGCTTAGGGTCCTGTAATCCTTTTGAGGATTTTGGAAAAAGTTTGTCCTGTGTTCAATGGGCCAGATTTGTGTTTCTTAAAAAAGTCATGTTGGCTGCTGTGCAGAAAATGGCTTGGGAGTTGGAGGGGCAAGACAGGAAAGGACACAGGAAGACTAGTCAATGGGCAGTAGTTAGAGTGGTCCAGGAAAGAGAAGATGGGAGCTGTGACCTGCGTGGTAGCAATGGCTATAGGGAAAAGGTCAAATTTGAAATATTTAGAATATAGAATTGACAGAATTCAGTGATTGACTAAGGAGGGTAAGAAAGAAAGTTGTTAAGAATGACTCCCAAATAAGGTGCCTTGCTCAAGGTCATATCAGTTATTGCAAAGCAAGGATCCAGATTGGTTACTTGATTCCTAATCCATTATGCTTTCTATTATACCACTTAGCAGAAAGCCATGTAATATGGGAAGAATCTTAGCTGATGTTGCTGTTGGAACTGCTGTTATCTTCAAACTATCCAGACATCAAGTTTCTTTAGTCCCATTGTGCAGATCTGATAGGATTTAACAGAGAACCACAGTGTCTGGGCAGAAGATTGTATTGGGTTGGATTTGGGGCATTCCTGTCGTAAACATCTTTAAAATAGTGAATTCTACTTTTTAGCTGGACAAAAGAACAAAGCTCTTGGTGACATCTTATGTGTGATTCCCTCTACATTTTAGAGGGAAAGACCTGACAGTTTGTCTTTCACTGGAGTCATGACTTTATATTAGATATGCTTTTATGTACATAGTTATGAAAGAGAAATATATTTCAGCCCTGAAAAGAGTACTGATTTACATGGCCAGGGCATAAAGGAAATTGAATCTATCCTGCCTATTTGCGTTGTTTGATTTCTAGATACAGCTCTGGCTTGAGGTAATGCTGAATGACTTTAGATTTTAGAAAAAGATTTGTCTTTCACTTGTTGGTGGAAAAGGGGAGAGAATAGTAGTAGGAAGCATGGTGGCAGTAATAAGTACTACAGATAAAACGAAGGCATTTTCAAGCCAATCGAATTTTACTCTCAATTATTTTTTAAACAACTTGCAAGACTGGATTATTCCATAGACTGGTACTAATTATGATCTAATAGAGTAAATCGTAGCAGTGGAATGATTTCTTAGCTGCAAGTTAGTTTTATGTTTCTCAAAGGACAGTGTTTGTAGGAAAATGTGGTGGTGTGAATAGATTTGAATAAACTACTAAATTTTAAATTAAATTAAAAAGCTGTATTTAGCATTATGGTTGAGATTTTACACATACAAAATGTCAGGAAATTCTAAATTATAGTTCCCACAACAGCAATAATTCAGCCAAATTGCACATATGTATTAAGGCATTAAAGTTAACACTCTGTGCAATCATGTAATAAACTATATATGCATAAGAAAGCAGGTCATAGTAGCTTTGGGAACTATCAATTTGCATTTCCTGACTTGTACATTCGAAGTCTGAGTTCAAATGTGTACAAATGTAGTTGTTGAATTTCCAAATGTAGAAATGCAACTTCATAAATTGCTAACAGTTTGAAAGAAAATATGGACTTGCCTATGAAACTTGTATAGGTTTTAAATGTTTCATTATTATTATGGTTAATAGTATTTTTAGAAATACAAAGCATTTATTCTCAAAGAAATTTTCAGGCCAAAAGTATTTGCATTTTGAAATTAGCGTATCTGAACTTTGAAGGGAAATAAATGAAAAAAATCTAATGATGAGTTTATTTTTTCATTACAGAAGTATTATGTGCTTAATGAAAGAATAAAAACAAAATTGAAACATGTATAAAGAAAAAGATAATAATCTCCCTTCCTTCCCTTCAACCACTCCTGATGCAACCAGGGTTACTGTGTAGTATATAACTTTCTACATTTTGCTCCATGTTCTTTTTTTTTTGAGACAGAGTCTCGCTTTGTCGCCCAGGCTGGAGTGCAGTGGCGCGATCTCCCCTCACTGCAATCTCCGCCTCCCGGGTTCACGCCATTCTCCTGCCTCAGCCTCCTGAGTAGCTGGGACTACAGGCGCCCGCCACCATGCCCAGCTAATTTTTTTGTATTTTTAGTAGAGATGGGGTTTCACTGTGTTAGCCAGGATGGTCTCGATCTCCTGACCTCGTGATCCGCCCGCCTCAGCCTCCCAAAGGGCTGGGATTACAGGCGTGAGCCACCGCGCCCGGCCATTTTGCTCCATGTTCTTATAAACTTCTAGCCACCTATATAGGAATTTTTTGTGGGGGTCGTTTTTACAAAAATAGGATCATGCTATATATGTTAGTGTGCACCTTGCTTCAGATATCCCTCCAGGTTAGTATATAGTCTAGTTATCATGAGCATTGTTTGTTTCTTCTCTCACTGCAATCAAAGCTCTATGAAGACAGAATCTCATTAGCACATACCAGACTCTCAATAAATATTTTTTGAGTGAATGAATGCATTATGCCAAGTTGTGAGGAAGCAAACAAATACAATCTTTTCCCAGCGCTTAAGCAGCTTATCTGAAAAACAGATTCATTTCAATGTCATGTGACATATTCTTCGGTAGAGATATTCCTGAAAATTTCAGTAGGAAGGGGAGCATTTAAAGAAGTTAGCTTATATGACGATCTCCCTCAGACGTAATTTGAAAACCATGGAATTAAAAGATCTACAAATCTATTTTCTTTCATATCTATATAATATATGTGTAAGTTCAGTGTACAAGATCATAGTAAAATAGGTAGGTTTGTGCAAAAATTTAACCTTAAGGTTTAGACCGTAAATAATGCTTTAGTATAAAGATTTATAATCAGATTAATCTGTACTTTTCTGTTGTTTATTCAGTAATCTGTAATATGTGGTGTATCCTATAAATAAATCACCATGTTTTCATTGGTATTTAAAGATACCAATAATCTTTAATATACAATTTTTTTTCTCTGAACAGAGCATGTGACCATCTGCGTTGTATAGCCTGTGATTTCTTGGTAGTCAGCTATGATGACTATATGTGGGACAAATCGTGTGATTATCTGTTTTTCAGGTATGTTGCTAAAGAACTTCACTCTGAAAAAAGTACCAAGTAGTTTATATTTCCTATTTTGATATATTCTCTCTGGGTGGATTCAGCCAGATCTTGTGGGCTTCACCTCTTCAGTATAGTCATGTGCTGCGTTATGATGCTTCAGTCAACGATGGACTGCATATATATATATACATGGTGGTTCCATAAGATTATGACGGAGTTGAAAAATTCCTATCACCTAGTGACATCATAGCCTTTGTAATATTATACTGCAATGCATTGCACATGTTTGTGGTGATGCTGGTATAAACAGTAACATGCTGTAGAGGTTTGTAGCCTTGGAACAGTAGCCTATACCATATAGCCTAGGTGTGTGGTAGGCTATACCATCTAGGTTTGTATAAATTCACTCTTTGATATTCCCACAATGATGGAATTGCCTAACAAAGCATAAGCAATGCATGACTGTGTTTCTGTCATCCATCTCCTTCTCTCCATCTGCCTGCTGTCAGCCTAGATAAGGACATGTTACTTCTGGACAAGAATACAGAAGTAACCTCCTCACTGGTTTTTCTGGCTACAATCTCTTCTCTCAGACCATCCTTCCCTTGTTCAGAATTAAAGCATAGCTCAGAGTATACCGTCCTCCTGCTCAACACCCTTCCACTTACAGAATAATGTCCAAATTCCTTAGCATGGCATTCATGACCCTCCATAATCCAGCTCCCATCCATCCATCATCCAGCTTTGTCTTCCCACAATGTATATTTCACCTTTGCAAGATTTTAGCTACATCAGAGTACTCAAGGCTCCCATTCCCTCTGACTTTGTACAACCTCTTTACCTCTTGGGATGCCTTCCCACCATTTTATCTACCTAAACCCTACCTGTCCTTCAGAGTATAATTCATCACATGTCTTCCATGATTCTTTCACCACTCTCTCAACTGGAAGAAAACTCTTCCCTTCCTGTGTATTCACGGTGCTTTGGACCTATTATATACTGTAATATAAAACTGAAGCTCTTAGGTTGGTGTATGACTACCTCCCTCCTTGTGGCTGAGATAATGTCTTGCTCATATTTATATAATTTGTACATTCTTATACACTTACAGAATACCTACTATCTTTAAGGTGTTACAAGTTATAAAAATATATTTGAACTTTACATTGACATTTTCAAATAAAAATTTAAAGCTAAAAATTAATACAGTGTAATATTGCAGCACTTTTCAATAGCATAAAGAAAAGGGTAAGAGACTTTCCCCTACGCCTTTTTTGGCAGCCATTCTTGGGTAAATCTATGAGTATACCCTAATTTAATAGTTTTTAAACTTTTTCACATCAAGAACCACTTTGCAAATCTTATGAAAGCTTTGAATGCCCCTCATACACATACAATTCAAATATAAAAATACATGGAAAAATTATAACTTGAAAAATTTTACAGTTTCCAACCCAAATAAAGCCTAATGTACTCCCAAAATCTGAGGTTAGGAACCCATACTTTTAGGCTTAGCCCACTTTTTACCCCATAAGTGGAAAAGTTGGCTTTTAATTACAGGTTGACTTTCCCTTTTCTGACTTTTCTAAACCCTCTGCTATTTACTGTCTACTAGTTAATCTAATAAGTGGTTAATAATCCCCATATGTCACCAAGATGAAGCATGAATTTTTATAAAACTATCATAGGATAATAAAATGCATGTAACATCAAGGCAGTGGTGAACACAGGCATAAAGTAAACTATGGATAACCTAGTCGGTACTTGAGGAACTTGCAGCATCTCAGAGTTATCAAGAACACCAGTTGGTTTACCCTAGATCTGTGGCAGCCTGGTTTAAAAAATATATGTACTTTTAGATAAAACAGTGACAACTAGAGGATTTATTATACTATTAAAAATAAACAAGTAGTCATTATTTAAATCAGTAGAAAATACTGTCTCAGTTCTCAAGACACTTAGGAATATGTTTGGGAGATAAGAGAATGGAACAGCTAAAGAATAAGGCGGTCTCCACCATTAGGATATAAATCACTGATAGATTTATTTTGTACAATATATTGGTGTTTACCAGTAGACATTATTCAGCACCTAGTCTATGACACTCTTAGATACTGGGCTCATAAGATGAGAGGAACCCAGGGGAAGGGAGACATGGGTGGGGACAAGCATGTGAGCAGCAAGGTCATAGAGACAATAGGGTCAAGAGCACTGATGGGAGGTGAGCCTTGGATAGGAAAAGGAAGACCTCTGTGACTGAGAGGAAGCCAGCAAGGTACTGATGTGTTCAGGGTGAGCTTGCCAGGAAATTGAAGGCTTTCATACCTGGCGACCTGGTTTTGAGAATGAAGATGTGATCTGCTGAAAATAAGGGAGTGGAGGAGGATGTGGAATAATCACTGAGGAAACCAGAAGTGGACAGTGACCAAAGACAAGTTAAATGTTACACAGTGGAATGCTGTGCAGTTGTTTTATTGTCCTATTTTACAGATGAGAGAAATAAATGTATCCTATCTTTGAGAAGTTTTAGAACTTTTTTTTTTTTTCTGAGCCAATCTTGCAAACCCTGTTACCCAGGCTAGAGTGCAGGACTGCAGTTTCAGCTCACTGCAACCTCCACTTCCCAGATTGAAAGGATCCTTCGGCCTCAGCCTCTCGAGCAGCTAGGAATACAGGTGCGCACTACCACATCCAGCTAATTTTGTAGAGATGGGGTCTCACCATGTTGCCCATGCTGGTCTCGAACTCCTGAGCTCAAGTGGTCCACCCACCTTGGCTCCCCAAAGTGCAGGGATTACAGGCATGACCCACCACACCCAGACAAGTTTTAGAACATTGTAAAAGAAGTGTCAGCTATACTTACTGACCACCTTGCCACAACAGCTGAAGAAAATGCTTTTATTTTTCTATTAAATCGTGTTTTCTTTAAGAATGGAATGATTTTTCCCTAAGCTTTTAAGATACGTGCATTTTAAAAACCATTTCAAATGTCATAATTAGATCCCTGCCTATTCATGATTCCTAATCCTAAAATCGCTAAGGATTCAGTCAAGTATCAAATGTTAAGTTTTCAAAATATTTTGCAGATCAAATAAAGGACATTTTTCCTCAACAACTTAGTTTTGGCGGGGTTTTTTTCTTTCTGTTAAAATTTAGATTATTCATTTCTTCCCTTAGCTAAGTCGTTTAGCTAGTCAGTCTGTTTCCTGAAGTCAGACAGTTGGCTTGGAAAATCTGTCAGGTTTTGTGAGGTTCTAACCTTCTAAATTGTGCCTGAATTTCGTACAGTTTAATACTGAATATGGTGCCCATTGACCACCAGAGGGCACTTTGTAGCCTGCCTTCTGTTGCAGTGATATCCACAAGCAATGGTTAGGTACCGTATCTCTTTTTCTGGTATTCATACTGTATTTCGTCCTTTCACTTTGTATTTTTTCATCTTTTTTAAAAATTTTTTCTACTTTTCTTTGCCATGGAATGTTTATATGAACTCATTACATGGATTATCATGAAATCATAATTGATGTTTTTATTAATTAAACTTCTGTAGTCTTTTTTATAATAGTATGAAATCCAGTGTTTATCATTTTTACGATGGCCCTACTTGTTGATTTAATTATTTCAACATTATTAATATTTATTTCAGGATAGACATTTTTGTTGCTGATAGTATGAATAAACAGATCATTGAAGCTAATGAAAATTTTCTATAGTTAATTCATCAGAAACCTATGATCTTTATGCCTCTAATGTTCTCTCAACTTGCCATATTACAGGCTTTTAAAATATGGCATAGGTGAGTATCTGAGGTAGGAAATGAACCACCATCCTTTCCACCCTATTTTCATATTATTTCATCTCTGATAGGGCGTTTGTAATTCTTCAGCCTTTAGGTTATTGTGTTCTTCAACATTCAATAAACTGGCCTAGAGGATTGCCATAAAAAGTACAGATTATCAAAGAAATACCATCAGAAAGAGAACACTGAAGCATATCTTCTAGTGTTAGTGTGAGGGGATCTAGGTTGTTTAGTGTTCAGATACGGGGAAGATAAGAAAATAGGCTGGGCACCATGGTTCATGCCTGCAATCTCAGCACTTTGGGAGGCTGAGGTGGATGGATCACTTGAGCCCAGGAGTTTGAGATCAACCTGGACAACATACTGAGACCTCATCTCTACAAAAAAAAATTTTTTAAGCCGGGCATAGTGGCACATGCCTGTGGTCTCAGCTACTTGGAAGGCTGAGGGGAAGCCTGGGAGGTCAAGGCTGCAGTGAGCCATGATTGTGCCACCGCAATCCAGCCTGAGTAACAATGAGACTCCTAAAAACAAAAAAAGAAAAGAAAAGAAAGCAATGACCTTTTTTTTTTTTTTTAATCATTAAGCACTGAACAAAGCCACTATGCTAAAACTTTCCTGTTTTACTAATAGGAACAACATGCCAGAATTTCACAAATTAAAAGCAAAGTTGATAAAGAAGAAAGGAACACGGGCATATGCCTGCCAGTGTAGCTGGAGAACTATTGAAGAAGTGACTGACCTTCAGACAGATCATCAGCTTCGCTGGGTTTGTGGTAAACATTAAGAATGCAGACTGCACATTCGGACAGATGCATCCATGAGAGTGGTCTCCATGAATCATCATCATGTTTAGACAATAGTCCCTAGCAATACCATTCCCTGTGGGAAAAGGCAGTGAATTTTATTGATACAACTACATACATTTTTGAAGACCAAATGGACTAAGGAAGATCATGTATTATAACACTTTGGAATTATTCCTGATACATGGATGTTTCACTTAGTAACAGGCATCTACATTCTTTACTAATCTGTCTTCTGTTTAATAGAGGTTTGATTATGGAGTTCCATACAAATATCTAGTTTTTCATTAGCAACTGCAATATTGATTGCTAATACGTTTAGCAAATCATTCCCCAACTTGTAGCAGTTAAAGTGGATAAAGCCGGCCAGGGCAAAGAGATCATTTAGGGGTGTCTACAACACTTCTTCCAGTCAGATCTTTTGTTGCCAAAGATCATAATTTGGACATGGCAGAAACCAGGTGATCAGTGGCTGACTGAAGGGTGTTCAGAAGTAGTTACAGGTATTTTGCAAAAACACTGCCTCATAGCTGATCTTACCTCATCAACTCAAAGCAATGTTATGCACAATATTAAATACATGTTACCAGTTTTAGCTTATTTTTCCCTCTTTTGTTCATTTAACTATCAAAAGTTATTTTCTATTTTGATTACCCAATAATATATAAAAAGAGTTTGATGCACCCAAAATCACAAAAATCCTAATACATACAGGTTATTGTTGGATTTTCCAAGTACTTTCTATCCTTTAATGCCTAAAACTCCATCAAGGGAAGTAAACAGCAAGTAATATAATTTTTCAGGCAGCCTGTGGACTTCTCTGGTAGGATCAGGTTGACATATCGTTTATTAGGTGAGTAAGTGAAAAGACAAGTAAAGCATAACTGAACCAACAGGTAACCTGTTGGGCTCCTTCCTGACATCACTGAGATCTGAGGAGCCCTACAATAGCAGCACATTCAGGAAATCAGGTCCCTCAAAATTTCTAGCTCCCAACCCCATTGAGAGATTTTGGGAGCTTTCCAATCTGCCACAAACTCCCTGCTACATATGTACTATATAGTTCAAATGTGTGATACAGAGCACCCTGAAAGGGAATAATTGAAACAAAGTTATAATCTTCTTAGTCTTATGCTAAATTTATTCCAGCCACCCTACTGAAGGGAGGAAGATCTGATCATTAGAATCCTTTTCCTAGCCATGACACATTTACATACTTGTAAAATTTATTGTAGTAAGTCTAGCATTGCAACAGAATAGATCTTATAATGGCCAATCCTCACACTTTTGTATTAAGGATATTATGACAGACTAAGCATGGTAGCTCACGCCTGTAATCCCAGCACTTTGGGAGGCTGAGGCAGGCAGATCAGCTGAGGTCAGGAGTTCAAGACCAGCCTGGCCAACATGATAAAACACCATCTCTACTAAAAATACAAAAATTAGCTGGGCGCGGTGGTGCATGCCTGTAATCCCAACTACTCGGGAGGCCGAGGCAGGAAAATTTATTGAACCTGGGAGGCAGAGGTTGTAGTGAGCCAAGGTCGCGCCACTGCGCTCCAGCCTGGACAACACAGTGAGACTCTGTCTCAAAAAAAAAAAAAAGACATTATGACAGATTTTATCTTTTAATAAAAATGTATTATATCCCTAAAGTTATATCTATATGTAATTGAGTCAGAAACCTAGGGGGATGTCGATTGAAGTCGACTGCTGGAAAAAAATAGCAGAGCAACAAGATCCACACATTTAGAACCTCATAGAATTTGACACATTATTCATAATGGTGCAATTCTTTCTTTTTTATTCCAGTAAGCAAATTTACTAAATCACTAATTTGAAAAAAAAAATTTTTTTTTTGAGATGGAGTGTCACTCTGTTGCCGGGCTGGAGTGCAGTGGCACGATCTCTGCTCACTGCAACCTCCGCCTCGCAGCTTCAAGTGATTGTCCTGCCTCAGCCTCCCCAGTAGCTGGGATTACAGGCACACACCACCACGCCCAGCTAATTTTTGTATTTTTAATAGAGACAGGGTTTCACCATGTTGGCCAGAATGATGTCGATCTCCTGAACTCGTGATCCGCCCGCCTCAGCCTCCCAAAGTAGCCTACATTGCCTCTACTTTGAAGGGACAAAGTTGTCCTGGTTTTTTTTTCCCTTTTATTATTTCATTATAACTATCCTAAAACTTACATACATTGCCTATGTTTGGCATTCCATAACATAATAATTATAATAATCCCCCAATGTCAGAAATGTATGTGTGAGTTCCCATGTTTATTGGCAATTTATAAGCTTTTTAATATTGTACTATTTTAAACTAAAATGTAGAAAGAATATTATGTTTATATACAGTCAGATAAATTATTAACTGTTGTAATTTAAGCTGAAAATGAAACTATTTTAGTATCAGTATAGAAGAAAAGTATAGTTTCTAATCATCTATAATTTTAAAATGCAAAGCCTATAAAACTTTCAAGATGTTTTGCCTGTTTGTTTTTAAGATTTATAATAATTTTCTATCTTTAGCAAGTAGCTATTTTTAAGCCAGGTAACTTCTTTATTTGAACTGTATTATACTCTCAGACCCTCATCCTGCCTAGAAATGAATAAGTAATAAATAATTACTCTGTATTATTTACTTCTTTTATTTTATAGTAAAATATTCATTTGGATGGACATTAATTTGAAATCATTTTGATGTTTTTTTTTTTTGAGACAGAGTCTCTCTCTGTTGCCCAGACTAGAGTGCAGTGGTGCAATCATAGCTCACTGCTTCCTTGAACTCCTGAGCTAAAGCGATCCTCCCACCTCAGCCTCCCAAAGTGCTGGGATTACAGGTGTGAAGCACCATGCCCAGTCAAAAAAAATTTTTTTAATGTCAACAGAAAAGTTTCCAAGCATCCAGTTAAACAGATAATTTGTCTACACTGGGGAGGAGAAGTATGCCATAACTCTGATGTGTGTGTGTGTGTGTGTGTGTGTGTGTGTGTGTGTGTGTACATGCATGTGTAAAGAGAGTATGTGTGTGCATGCATGTGTAAAGTACCATGGGTATTCAAAGGAACAGGTCCAAGTTTAGGAAGAACAGGCCATGCTGACTTGGCGGTGTATACCTAGAACCTGTTCGTTGATGTCAGTAAACTTAGTACCTTTTTTTCTTAGGCCAGAGAATATGTCATCAGACTATGAATCTGAATTGCTTTCTCTCTTTTTCTTACTGATATTTAAGAATATGAAAGAAAAAGGTCTTTGTATCCAAAAGCATTGTGATGAAGCTTAGCCATGAATTTCAAATGCTGATATTTCTAATGTTTTAACAAAATCTCTATCAGCCAACCTAATGCTCCCAGTAATCAGCAATATCTCTTGTATAAAATAGTTCCTGAAAGAAAAAATTTAAAATACGCAATCTCTTTAGAGATTTCATATCTTATTGTATTTCATTGGGTTTGTGACATCATTTTGTGCCCTATTTTAAGAATGCACTAGAAAAACCAAAAAAGAAAAAAGATTGCATTAGATATGTATATATACAAGTACATGATAATTAAATTTGACTTTCCCCAAATGCCTTGAGATAAGGGATGACCAAATGAAGTTTAACAAAGTCAGAGTTCAGAGTCGTGTCCCTTAGAAAGTCACATGACATTTTGGGCTTCGTTCGCCTTAACTGTATGAATTATAATACCACTTTTGTAAGTTTGTTGTAAGGATTAAATCATATAACACATGAAAAGTGACTAGCATAGTGTTTGGTTCAGAATAGGTGCTTAATAAATGTTCTCATTCTTTTGTTATTATTATACTTTAAGTACTGGGATACATGTGCAGAACGTGCAGGTTACGTGCAGGTTTGTTAAATAATTATACACGTGCCAGGGTGGTTTGCTGCACCCATCAACCTGTCATCTATGTTAGGTATTTCTCCTAATGCTATCCCTCCCCTAGCCCCCTAGCCCCCAACCAGCCTCTGGTGTGTAATGTTCCCCTCCCTGTGTCCATGTGTTCTCATTGTTCAACTCCCACTTATGAGTGAGAACATGCAGTGTTTGGTTTTCTGTTCTTGTGTTAGTTTGCTGAGATGGTTTCCAGCTTCATCCATGTCCCTGCAAAGGACATGAACTCATCCTTTTTTATGGCTGCATAGTATTCCATGGTGTATATGTGCCACATTTTCTTTATCCAGTCTATCATTAATGGGCATTTGGGTTGGTTCCCAGTCTTTGTTATTGTGAATAGTACTGCAGTAAACATACGTGTGCATGTGTCTTTATAGTAGAATGATTTATAATCCTTTGGGTATATACCCAGTAATGGGATTGAACTTCTGGTTCTAGATCCTTGAGGAATCGCCACACTGTCTTCCACAATGGTTTGTTCTCATTCTTTTTCCTTTTAAAATAAATACTGTCTAAATTGAAGTAATAGTGCAGCATGATTCTTACAACAAGTAATTTGTAAAGATGTTTGTTTTATTTATTCCCTATGAGGAAAGCAGCAATGCGATCATTTATTTATAACTAGTGACTGTACACATGGCGACCTTTATTTTATATAAGTTGAAGCCACAACTTTTCTATTAAAAAAAAAAAAAAAGATGCTCCCCCTAGCCTGCCTCTTTCTGTGTGGCTTAAACCTAAGTGGGTCATCATGAAGGCATTCAGGCCTTTCACGATATCTTTTCAGTTTCATCTGCCTCTGCTTTCCTCCTTCTCCAACCAAACTGCGTACCTGCTGTTCTTCAGATATACTCCCTCATCTTATCCTTTCAAAATCCAACTCATTTTTCAAAGCCAGTATCTTGTACAACAGCAGTTCTCAAAGTGAGTTCCACTCTCAGGGGTCTTTCAGGTAGTCCACAAGATCAAATCTATTTTGAGTCAGAAGATATCAGTTTCCTTCTTCACTGTGTTGACGTTTGCGCAGATGGCGGAAATGGTAGCTAGCACTGCTGGCACCTGACTTAGCACCATTCAAAGCAATGATGCTATGCACCTCCCATAAAAAAAAAGCCAGTTTCAGTTAAGAATGTCCTTGATAAAGGCAGTAAAAATTATTATCTTAGCCTTCAACAACTTGTCTTTTAAATATTCTGAGTGACTAAATGGGAAGTACAACTAAAGCACTTGAGCAATTGTCTGAGTTGTGAGCTGAATGAACTGCTTTTTTCGTTGAACCCATTTTTGCCTAAAACAACAGCTGACAGACAAAAACTATGAGTACTCAGAAAAGTAATAATATGAGTCTCCTTCAAGAAAATAACTGACAGAATGTTAAGTGAAAATTAGAATTTCAAAATATTTGTATCCACTGCGAGCATGTCCCCATTATTTAAATTCTTTCCAGATAAGACTAGTGGTGATATTAACAAGCAATTTTTTATACTATATAATGAAATGTGACAATATTTGGAAGATCTGTATAATTCAGCAAACCAGTATTGCCAAAAGAACCAATACATGATATAACAAAACTATACATTTAAAATGCAAGACAGACCAATAGATTTTAACATAACTGCATGCTGAAAGTTCATTTGATATGATTTCAGTTTCTACATTGCAGCTAACTTTTAAGAAACTACTCCTTGTGAAGTTTTGATGTAGTATTGATAAATAGGTACAGTTATCTGAAAAGACTATTAAAATACTATCCTCTTTTCCAACTGTAAGTCTGCATGAGGCTGAGTTTTCTTCTAAGGCCTCAGCCAAAACAACCTATGTCAAGAGAGCGAATGAGCAGTAAATATGAGAATCCAGCTGTCTTCTGTTAAGCCAGAGATTAAACAGAGCAGCAGAAATAGAAAACAAATGTCACGCTTGTCACTGCATTTGTTTTGGAAAATGTAGTTATTTTCATAAAAATGTGATAACATATAATGGGTTTATTATTTTTAAGTATAGTCAATGTATATTTTTAATGTTCTTAGTTTTAATTACTAATACAGTAAAAATCAATAGATATAACCCCAAAAAACCAAGCTCTTGGGGTTAAGAATGTAAAAGGGCCAAAAACATACACTAAGGAAAAGACAATAAATGATGCTGGGAAAACTGGATATCCCTCTGCAGAAGAATGAAACTAGACCTCTATCTCTTGCCCTATACAAAAATCAAACCAAAATGGATTAAAGATTTAAATGTAAGACCTCAAACTATGAAACTACTAAAAGAAAACATTGGGATACACTCCAGGACATTGGTCTGGGCAAATATTTCTTGAGCAATACCCCACAACCATAGGCAATCAAAGCAAACATAGACAAATGGGATCATATCAAATTAAAAAGTTTCTGCACAGCAAAGGAGACAACCAACAAAGCGAAGAGACAACCCACAGGATGGGAGAAAATATTTGCAAACTTTCCATCTTACAAAGGATTAATAACCAGAATATATAAGGAGCCCAAACAGTTCCATAGGAAAAAACTAATAATCCAATCAAAAATGGGCAAAAGATTTGAATGGACATTTCTTAAAAGAAGACATACAAATGACCAGTAGGCATATGAAAAAGTGCTTAACATCATTGATCGTCAGAGAAATGCAAATCAAAACTACAGCAAAATATCATCTTGTACCAGTTAAAATGGCTTGTATCCAAAAGACGGGTAATAACAAATGCTGGTGAGGATGTGAAGAAAAGGGAACCCTTGTACACTGTTGGTAGGAATGTAAATTAGTACAACCACTATGGAGAACAGCCTAGAAGTTCCTCAAAAAACTAAAAATTGAGCTACCATATGATCCAGCAATCCCACTGCTGGGTATGTACACAAAAGAAAGGAAATCAATATATTGAAGAGGTATCTGCACTCCTATGTTTGTTGCAGCTCTGTTTACAATAGAAGCAACCTAAGTGTTCGTCAACAGATGAATGGATAAAGAAAATGTGGTACATATACACACCGGAGTACTATTCAGCCATAAAAATGAATGAGACCCAGTCACTTGCAACAACATGGATGAAACTGGAGATGATTATGTTAAGTGAAATAAGCCAGACACAAACATCACATCTTCTCACTTATTTGTAGGATCTAAAAATCAAAACAAGGAACTCATGGACATAGAGAGTAGAAGGGTAGTTACCAGAGGGTGGGAAGGGTAGTGGGGACCTGGCAGGGTAGGTAAGATGGTTAATGGGTACAAAAAAAAATAGGAAGAATGAATAAGACCTACTATTTGATAGCACCACAGAGTGACTACAGTAAATACATAATTAATAATTAATTGTACATTTTTAAATAACTTACAGAGTATAATTGAGTTGCTTGTAACCCAAAGAATAAATGCTCGAGGGGATGGATACCCCATTCTCTATGATGTGCTTATTTCGCATTGCATCCCTGTATCAAAACATCTCATATACTCCCATAAATATATACACCTACTGTGTACCCACAAATATTTTTTTAAAAAATTTTAAGTGTAAAAAAGTTATGAGACGAAAAAGGTTGAGAACCGTTGTACACAATCCTGATTACCCTTCCTAGGCCACCCTACCGCAGCCTAAAGATGTAATTTCTCCCTCTCCCATCTGCTTTCAGACTTTGTTTCTCATATAATACCTTGAATTGTAATTATTTGTGTGCTTATTGTATTGATCTTGGAGATTAGATTTCAAGTTCTTTAAAGTCTCTGAGTGGTACAGGGGAAACTGGGAGAGTTTTGTCACTAACTTCCTGGGATCACTGTAAGTAAGCCAGAGTGTCTTTGGGCTCATCTGTGAAAAGAGGGTTGGATTATTAAGTTTTCTTTGTTTGTTTGTTTCTTTGTTTGTTTTGAGATGTAGTTTCACTCTTGTTGCCCAAGCCGGAGTACAATGGCATGATCTAGGCTCACTGCAACCTCCACCTGCCAGGTTCAAGCAATTCTCCTGCCTCAGCCTCCCGAGTAGCTGGGATTACAGGTACCCACCACCATGCCCAGCTTATTTTTGTATTTTTAGTAGAGACGGGGTTTCACCATGTTAGCTAGGCTGGTCTTGAACTCCTGACCTCAGATGATCTGCCTGCCTCGGCCCCCCAAAGTGCTGGGATTACAGGCATGAGCCACCATACCCGGCCTCTTAAGTTTTCTTATAACTTGCAGATGGTATGAGTACTGTTCCTCTAAAAGTAGCTTGGTGCACCTGGTGTTGTCCTGTCCACACATTGGGAGATGTGATGTGTGTGGTGGGGAAGATCCCAGATTCTGGGGTCAGAGAGACATGGGTTCCAAAAGGCATCATCTATCTTCTCTGAGGCTGCACTAGAGACATAGGTAGGATTGACTTAAGAATTCAGTCTGTCCCATACAGTCCCATGAGATACAAATTGAACTAATTGTAAGAAGCAGTTGAGAGAGAAAAATGACAAGCACTTTTTCCAAGTGTGGTACTGAGAGTTATTCTCTCTCCTCTCCCAGAAGGATTGTATACCCTCACCTGTTGAACTCAGGAGGAGAAGAATGACATCCCACTCTTTGACATCCCACTCTTTGAGAATGAAAGGACCTCAGGAAGACAGTCCCAAGAAAGCCATGTTCAGTTAAGGCAGGGTGAGGGCACGAGGAGCTCACTTACCATGAAGCGGGCATTCCAGAAGGCATTTATGGCGAATAATTTGGCCAGGAGGCAACAGTGGGGGGTGGTAGGGGAGGCAGGGGATGGCAAGAGATGAGGAAGAACGAGCAGTATTAGGGTGAGAGCCTGGAAGGAACTCATATTTTAACCAAAAAACAATAGGGATCAGAGCCCTGGGGGGATTCAGCAGCCTTGATCTAACAGCAACTGGTCTCTGCTAGAACAAGGCGGTTTCCTTGTGTGATGTAAGCTCAGGCTCTGGCCCTGGGTGGTAGCTCAGGCTCTGGCCCTGGGTGGTAACCCAGGCTGCAGGGCAGGGAGGGAGGTGGGGGAGAGGGATTGTCACGTTGTTTGCATCCAGTCCAGCAGCCTACATCCTTTGCTCTCACTTTTGAGTAGAATCAATTTAAACAGAATCCAATTTGTTAGGAGACTGCGAAGTTCATCTCTGGCTAGAGAAGTACACAATACCCAAGAAAAAAATGTGTCGAAGTATTGTGTCTTTGGAAGGCCATTTCCAGGCGCTCTGAGTACTTGGGAATGAGGCCTAAGCACTAACTCTTACCAAGTCTTTGTTCATAAGAACAAGTTAGTATCAGGGATTAAGGGGATTGTGTGGTTCAGATAGATTTAAAAAGCAGGAAAGACTGAGGGTCCAGGCTTCAGTTTTGCTGGAGATTAATGCCAGAGAAGAGACATGGAAGAAACTGAGGCACAAAAACTTGCCCAAAATCACACAGGTTGTAAATAGCAGAGTAGTGTTCAGACCTAGCTCAGTTGAGTCACACAGGGCTTTCACCCTGGTATTCCCCCATTGAGCCTTGACAGACCAATAGATGAATACACTGGACTGTGAGAATATACAATCACAGTGTTACCAGAATAATACTTTCAGATATTTTGTGTGATTTTATTTAGAGGAACCAAGATACAGTGCCTGACTGTAGCTGTGTCTCAGGTTGTCTTCCCAATGCTCATGGACAGGCAGCAGATGAACAGTATGAGAAGGCCAGGTTAGGCACAGCAGGAAACAGTTCAGTGACCCATGAGTCAAGTCTGCCATGGGCTCAGGGGTGCGGAATGAGAGACTGCCATGGGTTTGCTAACACTGGCAGTCTCGGGACTGGGGGCTGGGTTCTTGTCTAGCTCAGTGCTTCTCCACTCTGGCCTCAGATAGAGTCAGCTGGAGAGCTTTAAAAAGTGCCAGTAACCCAGGCTTTAGGCCCAGAAAATCTGATTCATTAGTCTGCAGTGAGACCCAAGCATCGGTACTTTTCAACAACTCTCCCAATTATTCTAGCGTAGTACAGCCAGGGTTACAATCCACTAACAGCAATAAGACCTTGGGCATATCACTTCCCTCTTTGGGCTTTAGTATCCTCACCTATTAAAAAACAATTCTCTAAGAGTCCTTACTGCCAGTATAAAAATATGAGGTTATACTAAGTGATTTTTAATGTCCCTCCCAGAATAAAAGTTCCATGAATCTCTTTTCATAATGTAATCATTCAGAAAAGATTATTTCATTTAGGTTGAGTGTGTATTATGATCAATGTTTCTTTTAGTCCCCTAGAAACAGTCAATGCCAACTTCAAGGTTTGAGTTCCCTAATGACCAATTCACTTTACACAGAAAAAAGTAACAGCCTCCAAAGGTTGACAATACCAATTCCTCCCACTAGGAGAAGTATCTTAGAGTGCGTGGCCCTCTAGAAAGTGAGTCACTGGCACCATCTTCCATTGCAAAGAGCAGCACTTATTAGCAATGTTAGATAGAAAGCAGGACTCTAGAAAGTGGATGGAAAAAATAAAGAAAGTACATAACATAGAAACCATTTTAAGTTCTTAGAGTCAAGTAAAATTGACATTCACAGGTATGTAGGAAAAATTGTAAAAGATCTCTCAAAGAATATAATGTTTTATCCTTACATAATTTTTTGAGGGATGGGGGATTAGACAAGAGTTTTCCCCATGGAGTAAGGTATATTCTATCATAAATAGCTATAGCCTCAGCCTCTGGTGGTGGAAGGACCCCACAAACGCTTTTCAAGTCCCTTCCATCTGGCCTTGGTTTTCCTCCACAGCTGACTATGCACTAAAGGACTTCTTTCCACTCTTTCCACTCAGATTTTAAGGAACAGTTTTAGGTATTGTATTCGGTTACTAGCACAAATTTATTCTGAAATAGCCTAGGTCCAGTGATAAATCAAGGGAGTGAGAAGGAAAGGATTTGCATGGCCCATGACCCTGCCCCCAACCTTGAAGGCACAGATAATGTGTGCACTCATGATGCTCAGCACCACGTCCTCGGCAAAGGAGCTCCAGGCCACTTCTTGCCTTTGCCCCTGTTAATAAGCAGAGTCTCACATTAACAGGCTGCTGCATTGTGTGAGGTTATGAGCACAGGCCTGGGGTTAGACTGCCTTGATTTGAATACTGGCCCTATACCTTATGTGGCATGTGATGTTCTACAGGCCACGCATCCTCCCTAAGCCTCTTCTCCCCAGCCTGTGCAACAGGGTTAAGAATGCTCACCTCACAGAGAGTGATGCTGGGAGGAAGTGGATGGGATAATCTATGTAGAGCATTTAGCGAGGCTCCTGGCACATAGTAATTACTTAATACGTGTGAATTATTTGCTGAGATCTCTGTACAATGTAAAAATGCATACCTTAAAGATGGCTTTCTGCCATGATTCTACATAGGTTTTTTCCTTCAACATTCTTCTTTTTTTGCCTTAAAATGTTTAATTCCCACCAACTTTCATCTTACAACAGGAGGCTCAAAGTGACAGATTTAAAGAGAGCCTTCAAAGCGAGGACCATTTCACTTAAATGCCCACCTGCACTGTGCTAGGCATGGCAGTGGACCCAGAGGTGCCAGACACCAGACAGGAGCAAGGGTTGGCAAAACATGGGTCATTTCCTAAGGCATTGTAATCATTGGTCTTTTACGTAAGGTGTCTTTGACTCTGCTCAGTACCAGACATCAAGTACTACAGGCATAGTCCGTGTGTTTAGGCTGTTTCACAACTGAGTGAAATTCAACAGTGGCCATCCCCCTGTTGCTCATCATTGATTGTAATGTGACCAAAATGGAAACTGCTAACCTATGTGTCAATGCTTGTGCTGGAAACATACTGCTTCCAGATAGGGGGAAAAAAGCAATTCAGTTAAACGTCTCTTTTATGGTCTATAATTCTTACTGCAACTTCAGGTCGGCTGTTGCGTCATCAAGTCACATTCTGAACCCAACTCTGGCTGTTTCTCAGGCCTGAGGGACCCAGCAAAGGAGGGAGGTCCTGAAGCAGCCTTTCCAGGGGTAGAGTTAGTGACTTACAGCGAAGAAGAAAGAGACAAATTTGTCTCCAGGGACTCAGGGTTGTAAAAGACCCACCATCCTGAGCCCTCCAAACAGTGAAACAAGTTGAGAATCTAACCCATAGCGGGCAGACCTACACTGAGGACCAGATCTCATTTCTTTGTTGGGCTTTGGTCTCTCAGGAAAAGCACCCAGAACACTTCATCCAAATCTGCCTGCTGTTAACAATATCCCATAGTGGTGGAGGTAAATGTTTTTCTCTGGCTGAAAATAGAAATCCTCCCTAGCGTAAACCCCCTGTCTTTGCTTTTAGGAGAAAAGGATAGGCACCAAATATTAGGATCTTTCCAGGGAAGTTTACCAGCCCTTTCTACACAGAAGCACTTGTCATCTTGAGCTTGTGAGCTTGAGCTTGAGCGTAAGCTTGTGGGCTTGAGCTTTCTTTCTGGGAAAGAAAAATTGGAACCTTCTAACTGATTCACTTAAATAATCAATTCCGTAGCACTTAAAGGAATCTAAGTGGATCTAAAGTTAAAGAGAAACAATGAAATGATTCCTCACTCACAATGAAAGGTTGAAAATCGAGGTAACGACCTTGGTGAGCAGAGAGAGGAAATCGCAAGGGCAAGTGGGTTAATGCTGATGGGCTTTTTGAGACCAGGAAACCATATCTTCATGACCTTTGAGCATGATTGTTCAGCACAAATATTTCCAGAGTACAGTGATTTGGTTTTGTTTTTAATAGTTGTTGCTTTTTTTGATGGACTGAAAAACAAAATGAAAAATTATTTCATGTTCTCACTTTTTTGTGCATTGAAATATAGTACATAAAAAGCAGAAATCCCTCCATTATCCCAAGAGAAAAACACTGCTCATTTAGTGTCTGTCCTTCCAGATTTGGGGATGAATGGATGGATAGATGATAGAGATATTTACTGAAATATTTTTCTTAACGAAAATGGGTCCTGTCCTGTATATTATCCTGCCATTTGCTTTTGTTTTACTAAACAGCATATCATGGCCGTCTTTCCTGGCCAATATACACATATTTCTTAGAATGGCTTTGTGGTATTCATGATGTGGGTGTTCCATGAGTTCTCTAACCCTTCTTCTGTTTATGGAGATCTTGGTTTCAGTATTCTCCTGTTATAAAAAATGCTTCAGGGAATATCTTTGTACATATATTGGTACACATGCTTGCTAGTATTTCCTTAGAAACAGATTATTAAAAGTGGTACTGCTAGGCAGAGATTATGCATTTCTAACAAGCTTCAAGGTGATGCCTGTTTGCTGTTCTGTGGACCATATTTTGAGCAGCAAGGCCATGGATGTAGTCTGCCCTGCAACAAATTCAACTAATCAGATCAGCATGCCGTAGAGGCCACATGTGGGCATTCTGGTGGATAGTGCCAGTGGAGCCCACTCTTGCCAACTTCAGTGAAGCCATCTTGGGCCCTCCAGACCTGCCAATCTGCCATGCAAACACCAGCAAGTGACTTCAGCTGATGTGGAGCAGAAGCATTGCTGCACCAGGCCTGTCTGGTTTCATGGTTCATAGAATTGTGAGATGTATAATAAAATGGTAGTTCTGTTAAAACCCCACCCCAAAAACACAGGGATTGCTTGGTCATAGAATTTGCATGTTTTTAATTCAGATGATATTGCCAAATTACCTTTTCACAAGATTGTGTCAATTGCTATTAGTACAACTATGGATAAGAGCGACTAATATTTTTCCTAAAGGCATGGAAAGAGTCTGTGTTTGTTGAGCATTATTGACTGTTTAAAATATATTTTATCATGAAATATTTGAAATATACAGGAAACCACAGGGAATAGGATAAAATAATGGTTCAAACATTTTTGTTGGTTCTTGAGTCAAATTTAATGGTAATTCTGGCTGGACACACTGGCTTATGCCCATAATCCCAGCGCTTTGAGAGGCCGAGACAGGAGGATGGCTTGAGGCCAGGAGTTGAAGACCCTAGGTAACATACTGAGACCCATTTCTACAAAAAATGTTTTAAAATTAGTCTGGCATAGTCCTAGCTATGCAGGAGGCCAAGGCAGGTGGATTGCTTGAGCCCAGGAGTTCAAGATTACAGTCAGCTATGATCAGGCTACTGTGTCTAACCTGGGTGGCAGAGCAAGACCCTGTCTCAACAACAACAACAACAAAAAGTAATTATTCTTGTTCAGAGAATTGTCCACATCATACTTCAGCTAAATAGTTAAACTGAGATTTCAGTCAAAATGTGTTTGACTGCAAAGCCCAAACTCATTTTGTTTGCCAACTTCCCTTCTTATATAATATGACTCATAGTGTAGATATACAGTATTTAGCAGATGTCTAAGACTTTGGGTCATGTTGCCTAAGTAGCTTCTGAAGATCACAGAACTAAAAAGAAAAAGAACAACATCTGGCCTATCCTCTGGCTGTCTCTTCATCTCTCCCTCCCATAGCTGAAGTATCTCAGCCCACTCCCTTTACCTTGCCACCCCCAAGGGCTGTAGACAAGTTTGTGAACCATCACCTTGCAATCAGGGAAGCCTTCTACCAAGGGCTTCTTGGAAGAAGGGGGTGGGACATGGGCAGGGAGGGAGAAAGTGGATTTGTCAATGAGATTCCTGTTGGCAGGGATTGAGAATGGGAGAAGGTCAGGGAAAATTAGGGAAATGAAAAATGTTTAAGAAATACAAAGTAAGAGGAGTCAATCGAGGTCATATTTCTAAAAGAAATAGGTGTGTGAATTATGACACTCTGGGCAAAGAGAGTTCAGGCCATCTAATGCCAGCCACCAGGTGATAGGTACACAGAGCTCCCAGCACACAGGCCCCTGGCATGGGAAGGCACCTGACATCCAAAGGCACTTTCTTCACCCAGGGCAGCTGAAGGGCAGGGGAAGTTGGTAGAGGTAGGAAGACGCATGCCAAAGCCCTGTGCTCAAGGTTCCAGAACACAGCCAAGTGCCTCCAGCGCCATTCCAGCTCCCCATTGGCTACCTGGACAGCCATGAGCCACACTCAAAGGAGGGCTCTGGGGCCAGCCATATCCCAACACAGCCTCCCAGGGAAGAAGAAAAGCCTGGGTTACCTTCACTTATTCTGGCTCCAAGTCAGTTATAAAGATCTCAAAACAAGGCCACAAAATTCTGATACTGTTTAAATTGCTACATTGAGTAAATATATTAACATAAAAATACAAGACATAATAACTATAGAATTACATATACCATATATATACTAGATAACAGATAAACTATATAGAGCTGTATAGAGTTTAATTTTGTTTTTTACAGTGCATTATAGGCGGTGGGTTCTGCAGGGCTTGGAAGGCATCTTTCTCCCCACTCTGTTCTCTCATCTGTGAACAGCTGCTGCTGTTCTTGCCCTACCATAAGGGCTGAATGCCAGGAGCTGACAGCTTTAAGTGATATGAGCATATTTCAGTGCTGTCACCGTATTTCTGTGCCTGTATTTATTGTCCCATTTGCAATAATATCACAACCTAGGCTGGGCGTGGGGGCTCACACCTGTAATCCCGGCACTTTGAGAGGCCGAGGCGGGCAGATCACTTGAGGTCAGGAGTCCGAGACCAGCCTGGCCAACATGGTGAAACCCCGTCTCTACCAAAAATACAAAAATTAGGCGGACGTGGTGGCGCACGTCTGTAATCCCAGCTACTCGGTAGGCTGAGGCACAAGAATCGCTTGAACCCAGGAGGCAGAGATTGCAGTGAGCCAAGATTGCGCCGCTGCACTCCAGCCTGGGTGACAGAATGAGACTCCATCTCGAAAAAAAAAAAAAAAAAATCTAAACCTGAAGACTTGGTGAACTCCTGCCTTTCCACCACTTAGCAGCCTCTGTGCCTATGGCCCATGCCTACCCTCCAGCCCCACAGACCAGCCTGGCTGCTCCACCATCACCCGCACCAGGTCTATGTCCTTCCAGCCATCCTCAAATGCTGCCATGCCCCCTTTGCTGCCTCCTGGCCACTGCCTGACAACCACAGAAGCTGTCACCACTTTGTTCCTAAGGTAAGGGAGGGCCCTTCCTTCCCTGTGAGAATCTGAGGAGAGTGAGTACAGCAGCCTTTCTAGGGTCATGGCCACCAGCACAGATTTTTCAGCTCTGCTGAAGTCCCTTGGCCAGTGAGGGAGTGCGCTGTGTCACAAGGGTGTCAGAAGGCCTGTAAGGGAGCCCCAGAGGGTGCAGGTGAGCAGGTCAGGAAGTACATTGGGCAGCTGCATGCTCAGCTAATTCATCACCTGCTCCTCTGCTTAACCTCCATGAGCCATATTTAAACACAGGAAGGAACTGTGAATGCCCCCAGTAAATGCTTTGACACTGAAGCTCTCTTCAGTGTTTAAGCTTACTGTGTTACGAAGGTACAGGTTGTGTTCCCTGGTAATAACTCTTATCTTTTCTGAACAAGAGTGGGGCTTTAGGACATGGAGAGTCGGGGAGAAGACAGCGACGTCGAATGAGAGCGGCACAGGTCGAAGGGACAGTAGACTAAGTAACTCATCCAGCCCCATCATTTTACAGATGAGTCCACAGGCTCAGAGCCCTCAATGGACATGCCTGCAGACACACAGCATTGGTATAAGAAACTTTTTAAAGGAATAAAAGAGTCTTGGAAGTTATCAAGTCCAGCCAGGGGTTGCTAGGCCCCTGAGAAAGTATCTTTGATGTCCTACCCCTCTGTTTAGCCTGCCTCATTCTTCTCTCTCAGCGACCTGCCCAGTCCAGGCCTCTCCAGATGGTCCCCTGGCTTCTGCATCCCTCTTTCACCTCCTTTTTCCTCAACCAAGACAAACCACTCCTGTCCAGTCTATCAGGGCCTCCCCACTGAAACCAGGTACCCCAGCTGAAAAACAAACCAGTAAATAAATGTCCTCCCCCACAGCTGGGAAGAGCTGCTAATGGCTTCTAGTGGTTCTGTACTCTCAAGGATGTTCTTTTATTAATTTAATTTTTGAAAAGCCAATACATGCATATGGCTCAAAATTCAAACACTATAAAAATTCCCATTCCTGTGCCTGCCTCATTGCATCGGGGCAATTCCCATCCCAACTCTCAGTAACTGTCTTTTATTAGTTTCTTGTGTATCGTTTCAGTGTTTCTTTATACTCATATAACCAAATACAGACATATTTACAGAGAATTCTTAAGTGTTCTCAGAACCATAAGCCAAAGGAATCTTGCTAACAATAGAACTTCAGGCACTTTGTAAATTTTATTGAGCAACAAGTCTTTCCCAGGGCCCCTTTTGTCACACCGTATAAGTGGCTACTTTCTTGTAGTTGGAGTTCCTTGCTCTGAAGAAAATTGGTTCCAACAGGACTTTGTAACAATGTCATCACCCAGAGAGAACCACAATCTGCATCTCATTTCCAGGTATGAAAGGGTGAAGGGGTGGTGTTGGAGAAGTCCTGAGACCCCTCTCTTTATTATTCATTCCTTTGTTGAATACTCCTAGGCACCAGGCATTGAGCCAGGTCCTGGAGACACAAATACAGCCCCTGTGCTCATGGCAGAAGGAAGACAACATAGGTCGAGGAGACTGTTCAGTTGTGACTCACCAGATCCAACTCAGGCAGGTCTATATTTAAAAAGAGAATTGATTGACTCCTGTAGCTGAAATGTACAAGGATAGATTTGACTTTAGGGACAGCTTGATTTAGAGCTTAAATGATGTCACTAGGAGCCATCTGGCTGTGCACCCTCTGGGCTGGTTCAATTCTCAGGCTACTCATGGTGGCCCAGGCAGCTTCAGCCTCACATCACCACTGTAGACCATGGAAGTAAGTCAGGATCTCAAGAATTCAAACCAAAATTCAGGGACCAAGTGTCCTTAGCCCTGATTGGCTTATTTAGATCACCTGCCTATTTCTGAACCAATCACTGAAGCCAAGGGGCATGGATTCTCCTGATTGGTCTAGCCTTGGTCACATGGCCCACTCTTGGCTCCTAGGAGTCGGGTCAACTTTACCCAACGCACACAGGTTGACAGTGGAGGAGGTGTGGTACCTCAAAATAAAACCAGGGTACTATAGCCACACACCAAATAAAGAGAGAGGCTGCCAGGCCACAAAAATAGGTGCTGTCCCCCGCACCCATGTAATTACAAGTGAAGTGAATGTTTCAGAAGGGGAACTGCAAGGTGCCCTGGGAGGCCTGACCTGGGATGAGGCATTGGGAGTTTTCCCTGAGGAAGGAGCGGGCATCACCAAGTGAAGGTTGTTGGTTTATTCTTGGACAAGGTGACTCCAGCTGTCATGGGAAGGCCCAGAGGCAGGAGGAAACAGAGTCCTTCCAAGGAACTTAGAGCTTCACTGTGACTGGAGCTCGGAGAGCAGGGAATGGGGAGTGATGGAGTAATAGAGAGCAGAGGAAGTGACACAGGCGAGGTGGGAAGCCTGGATGCCCTGCGCCTTTCATCCCCACCACCTTTAACCCCAGCCAGGTTCCACTGCCGAGCTCCACACATAACGGGTTCCCCTGTGGGCTGCGTGTTCAGGCCTGTCTTCAGGCACCGTAGCTGGAAGCCAAGTGAAGATCAAATCTGACCAGGCCGTGTCTCTGCGTCTCTGCTTAAAATATGAACGAAGTTCCAGGTTCTCAGCATGGCCATCAATGCCCTGCCCACACTCCAGCCTCCTATCTCCCTGCCTTATCTTCTCCCTGCTCTGCAGGCCCCACGCCCCAAGGCCTCCTAGTGTTGCTCATCACTAAAGCCACAATTACTAAGGACATCCTCGGGAAGAAAGAGGGCTGAGGGGAGCTGGACTCTAGCCACAGGGTGCATGTTTCTTCTTAACAGAGCAGGTGGAAGAAGGCTGGCCAGGGGACGTGGGCCAGGTGTGGACATCAGCTGTGGGCCTGTTCTTAGGACTCGGTCTCAGGCACAGCATCAGGCCTCCTGGCTCATCTCAATGTACTCACAGAGGCCCCCTTGCCACTGGATGCCCATCATGGGAGCTGAGATCAGGGCAAGGGCTTTCACAGGGCAGAGATCACGGGCCAGAGAAGCCTGTGCTCTGTCTCTAGGCTCAGAAATCTGCCAAATGCTGATCCAGACTCAAACTTGGGACTCCTGGGGAAATTTTTCTTGACTTATTTGGAAGGATCCATGAGAAATGCAACTCCAGCAGAGTCACATATATAAGAAGGTGAAAAAAGCAAGACGAGAGGCTCAGAATTACATTTACTACCTAGTACCTCACCTTAGATTCTGGGCAGAACTTTCTCCCACTTCCTCTCTATGGTTTCTGATCTCTTTCTGACTTATTTTTAAGCTGCCCAGTTTACATATGTGGTTTTTTTTGTCTTGTTTCATTTTTTGAGATGGGGTCTCGCTCTGCCGCCCAGGCTGGAGTGCAGTGGTGCAATCTTGGCTTACTGCAACCTCTGCCTCCAGGGTTCAGGTAATTCTCCTGCCTCAGCCTCCCAAGTAGCTGGGATTACAGGCACCCACCACCACGCCCAGCTAGTTTTTGTATTTTTTTAGTAGAGACGGGATTTCACCATGTTGGCCAGGCTGGTCATGAACCCCTGACCTCAAGTGATCCTCCCGCCTTGGCCTCCCAAAGTGCTGGGATTATAGGTGTGAGCCAGCACACTCGGCCTACATATGGGTTTTTAATTAAAGTTGCTTCCATTACTTTCTTGAAGCAGATAAATAAATAAATAAGATGATGAAAGTGGTGTTTTTTAATTCCACAGAGGCACCATAGGTGTAAAATAATGTGTTATGGATCAACTCCAGGTCCTCAAATGTTTTAAAGCATTTCCTTTATATCTAGTCCATCAGAGGGGATCACAGCCATCACCAGTGGACCTTTAGCTTCCTCTGTTTAATCAGTTTCTCATGAATGCACAATATACAATTTCCTCCTGACAGCCCAACAAGTGTAACTACAGCTGCAAGTGCACATCTGTGTTTAGCTAACAAACCAGCCGGGCTCATGCCAATCATCTCTTTTATGCAAGAAGACCAAAAAAGTAAATAAAGCTTCACAGGGGTCCCAGTGTCCTCTTGAATGTGGTTTATGTGCAGTAATTATCATCTGCATTCTTTCATTCGTCAGCTAGAAAATTATGTTCCTCCAGATCTTCTCTTAGAATCTGACCTTAGAGATCAACCACTGCAACCCCTGGTAGCCAAATCTCTGACTGCAGCTCAGGACTCTTTCTTGTTACACAGCTCCTCCTTCGTTTCTGCACAATTCAGTAAATCTCAGTTTTGTATTTCTTGACATTAGAATTATGTGAAGCCAGCACAGTGCTTCTTACCTGCAAAAGCCAATGGCTAACAGAAAACTGTGGGAAGGCATCCCAGTTGAAGGCAAGGCCTGTGTGGGATCTAGACCCCAGCAGTGCAGGCAGCCACTTGACTGGGACATCAGCCTTACTCCTCAACATCCATCTGCATGTTTTCCTCTTTTCTGCAGAGTATCTCTGAGCACATAATGGAGATGGTTACAAGCTCTATAAAGCAAGACTTAATCTGTCTAAACGTCTGTGTGACCGTTGTTTCTTAAAGGCTGAACTGAACCCTTTCTTCCCCACCTCCCACCTTCCACTGGAGCCAAGCAGGAATGGAGTGATACGGTGGGAGAAGGTGGGTCTGGGCCCTGCATCCAGCTGCCTGCCCAGAGCAAGTTCCCCTCACTGACAATCCCAGGTACCTGCTAAGCCCTTTTTCAAACTCTTGACTTCAAGTGATCCTCCCACCTCGGCCTCCCAGATTGCTAGGATTACAGGCATGAGCCACCGCGCCCAGCCCCCACTAAGCCTTATTTCAACAGGCCTGGCCCCCACTAAGCCCTTTTTCAACAGAGAAACTGAGTCACAGCAAATAGCCTAACAGCCACCATCCACACATGGAGATCATGTCTGAAATAGCTATCCTGCTAAGCCTGGGATCACTTAAGATCTCCTTAAAAGCAAGCCCTGGGTGCCTCATCTCCCTCACACCAAGCAGTCTCCAAGGTGTTTTGCTAGATAAAAGGCCATCTCCTCCTGAGAGAATCATGTCGTCCCCTGCCCTCACCCCCAGCAGAAGCAGCAGTTCCTCTGATCATATGTGGCTGTGTATCAGCAGTTTCTCCTACACTTCAAGAAGAATCATGATGCAACAGTGAGCTGCAGGCATGGAGGTGAGGAAGGCTGGACAAAGCCAAACCCATGAGAAGGGCATTACCTGGGCCCTGACGGAGGGGAGAGGAGCCCTGGGGTGGAGTGGGGCTGGGGGAGGAAAGTGTCTGGAGCCCTGTGCTCACCATGTGGTCCTGCAGAGCAGCCAGGGCATCACCTGGAAGCTCATCAATCATGCAGACCCTCAGGTCCCACCCAGGCCTCCTGGATCAGGTTGTGCATCCTCCAGATCCCTAGGTGATTTGGTTATAAAGTTTGAGAAACACTGAGTCTGCAGGACTCCATGATCATTAGATCAGGGGAGAGAGTCTCTAGGTCCTTTCTTTGAACCTTCCCACACAGCAACTGTGAATAATAAATGCCAGGCACAAAGCTCTTCACTGTGTTAAGTAAGAAAATGCATGTTTTCTTATTTAATTCTGGTAACATGCCTGGGAAGTGGGCCTTATTACTCCCATTTGACAGATGAAGGAAAGAGGCTTGAAGAGGTTAAATAACTTACGCCAGGTCAAAAATTGAAGGAGCTGGGATTTCATCCTGGGGGCTGCTTGACCTCTACACCTACCACTATGATGCAAGAATTACGGCTTTTTTGCTCTGGGTGCTGCAAGCCTTAAAATAAAGCTCCAAGCAAAACATACCCCTCTCTAAACCAGAGCTGGAACTCACTTTAGGAATCTGGGCTGAGGCTCCTTGGGGCCTCCCTGCAGGGGTGGGAGGGACAGAAGGGGCCAGGCAGGGCTCCAAGCTGCTCCCATGAAACAGAGCTGGGCACAAAGTCCCAGCAACAGAGGCCCTGTCCAGGCTTGTCCTTCAGCTGAAAGCTCACTTGGAACAAAACAGAGTCCTCTGGGCCTCGGTGTGACTCAGCGGCTTCTAGGGCAGGGGACCTTGCCACAGATCGCATTGCTGTGGCCTCTCCTCTGGAAGCTGCCTGGCCTGCAGCTTCACCTAGCTACAGCCCCCAGGCCAAGCCCCAGGAAGTTTATCTCCAAGATCTCTCTCCAGAAATGTCATTTCCAGCTGCTTTCTCTGAATCCAGTGCTAATGTCTCCTCCGTGAAGTCTGCTCAACTGCCCCAGGCAAATCCAAAGGCTCTAGGCTCTGTGCTCCCATCAAATGAGGCACATTCATTTCTGCACACATTACTTAGGCGTATATTATTGCCCAGTAACCATACAGGTTGTGATTACATACTTTATCTCATTTAATCCTTGAGCTATGAGATAGGTACTACTATTCCCATTTCACAGCTATGAAAATTTAGGCTAGTGGGTTTTGAAGCTAGAATTTAAACCTGGAGTCCTAATTCCAAATCCAATACTTCTTAACCACACAAGTGCAACATTTTTCATAGATTTAGTATAGGACTTATATTATGCAAGTGTGTCTTTACCACTAAGCTGCACCACCTTCCGGGGTCCCCATCATATCTTATTCATTTGTGTTTCCCAATGCAAAGTACAGTACCTACGATAGAATCTATGCTGAATAGACTAGGTTGAACTGAATTATTCAGCAAACAGTTACCAAAAGAGTGTGTGCTGGACCATTTGCAAGGCACAAGGACCATAAAGATGAAAAGATTACCCCCCACCACCACATCCCCCACCCCACCAGCAAAAAACACCCCTGCATAAGACATAAGGACATTGCTATTTATTTAGGTTCTTCTAGCAATGGAAGATGAACAGAGTGTGCTGGAGGCCTCAGGAAGGAGCACTGGAGTCTGCATACAGGAAAGGGCAGGTGGGGGAAGCGGCCACCACAGCAGATGCAGAGCCTGAGCAAGACAACACAAGAGAGAAATCTGCCATGTGGGCAAGCAGGACAGGACATTTCCAGGGAAGAGCAGAGGCTACAACACAGAGGTGTGAGAGAGCCTGGTTTTCCTAGGACTTTAAGGGAATAATAAATAGCACTGTGGAGGGAGTGGGTTTCCTAATGAGTGACCCATATATTGAACTCCTTCTACCCAAAACTAGGGCCATTCCTACCCAAAGCAGAGCCCACCCCAATCCATGAACGTTGGAAAACAGACCTGAATGCATTTTGCTTCAAGACAAGAAAGGGTCGATGCCCAGCTGAGTGTGTTCTGTTTCTTTTCCCAGGTCACAAAGAGCCCACCCCAGCCCCAGGAGAACTGAGAAGGGGTCTGTAAGAAGCTCTAAGTATCTCTTCTTTACAGTTCCCTCTGGTAATCTGAAATTCCCTCCAGTCTATAGAAAGACAGATGCTGGGAATCAGTGTCCCCCACCCCAACCCAAACCCAGCAGGGTTCAGGAACTATTAGCTGTCCAGAATCACTGCTCATGAAGTGCTGCAGGGAGTGGCCAGAGGCTGGCAGGTAGCCTGGGCCATGCCAACATGGCCTTATCTGCTGTATGTCATCTCCCAAAGGTGATGGGAGCTACTGAAGAACGTTGAGGAGGAGGTGACACCGGGAAGGTCACTCTGAACCATGGAGGGTTAGGAGCAGAGAGGAGGGCACAATGAGGCAAAAGTGCCTGTAAGGAGTTTCCCCTGTAAGGATTCACCCCAAAACTCTGGCTAGGGCAGCAAGGATGGAAAAAAAGAGAGGGACTCAAGAGATGTTTAGGAGGTGACACATAGGGCCTTATGATTAACTACATATGACAGACAAAAGGAAAGACGGATTCAAGCTTGACCCAGGGTTCCAGCCTGGGCAGCTGGCTGGCTGGTGGTGTCATTCTGGAGGCTGAGAACAAGAGAGAGAGAAGTTTGCAGAAGAGAGGAGCTCACTTTGGGTTTGAGGTCTGGGATATCTAAGGCAAGACGCCCAAGAGGTATGGATATCAGGAAAGAAAGCCAGTCTGGAGAGAGAGATTGGGAGTCAGCCGACTATAAGAAGGCACATTTCCTAGGCAACAGGAGCCTGGAGTCAAAAATAGCATGACAGTGAGTCACCCAGGACAGCCTTTCTCTGCCTCTGCCTCCTCCCACTATTAGGGAACTCCAGCCCCTCTCAACATATTCCAGGGAATCCTGGCAAACCCTGGTATATGTGGGGGCAGGTGGGGGGGAACAGGAGGTTACATAAACTTACTTCTTGTACTAGACTTCTGTGCCACCTGGTATCCATGGTTCCCCCTTCCCTGCTCCTGCTCACTATGGTGGCGTCCTGGACCACCCAAGACTCAGAGCCATGCCTAGGTCCAGATGCTCATTCCAGGAGCCACCACAGTTTCCCTGTCTCACTGGGACCAAAGTACCCACTGTCAAGGGCATTGCTGTCTGCATTGAAAAGGAACAAATGCACAAAAAGCATGTGAGGTATGACCACAATTAGAAGTAGCTTCACTGGAAACCAACAGGACCCAGCCCAACCCTAGTCCCTCACCAGCCAAGCCTTTTCTAGGTCCTGGTCTGCCTCTAGATCAGGGCTAATTCATTCAGCCTCCACCCCCACCATCACCAACAACACCAACGCTACCATCACCAGGAAGGTCCCCAGCATCTCTGCCCCAGTCCCCACTGACACCCTGGCCCCTATCCAAGCATGCCTCTCCTACTTCAGGGTTAGCATCTTTCCACAATGATAGACATTGGGAACATCCCTTTGCTACAAGGAAAAAAGACCCTAATCCCACACTGTGCAATCTGAAGGCATAGCCCAAGTAGACAATAACACCCACCATCTGGATTACTCCGTCTTAAATAGCATCATCTGTGGGTCCACCATGAGCAAATTTTGTTTGTACTACTCTTGAAAAGGTAGCAGATTCTAGTCTCTTCTTACTACTTCCATTGCTCCCAGCCCAGACCCAGCCACCATTTTCTCTTGCCTGGATTATTGTCATAGGTCTTCCTGTTTCTGCCCTTTGGTATATTCTTAACACAGTGAGCCTTTTAAAACATCACTCAGAACACATCACTCCTCTGCTCAGAACCCTCCCTAGTCTTCCTGCCTCAGAGTAAAACCCAAGTTTTTACAAAGCCCTAAGTTATCAGCCCTAATACCCCCACCCTACACGCACACACACACACACACACACCCCTCCACCACTATTGGCCTGACCTTATCTTGGGGCCCTCCTGATTCACTCTGCTTCCTTCAGTTCTCAAGCAAAGAATTTTTGCTGTTCTCTCAGGACTGTTATAAAAAATCTTTTTAAACAAATTTAGTTGAAAGATCTACTTGGCTTTTATTAGCAATTCATGAATTGGGCAGCATACTGTCTACAGATTTAGAACAGGTACTCTGATGCACTGAGGTGGGGGGGCGGGGCTTACAGGCAGAAGAGGGCTGAAGAAGTAGAAATGGAGGACAAAGCGGGATGCTCGTTTCGAAGTGACTTTCCTGACAGTGTTAAAACACAGGGGTTTTCCTTATCATGCCGGCTCAGGTAAGCTGGTGCCCTTCTGATTATTTTCCTTTTTTTTTGGAAAATTGGCCCATTTTAAAGTTAAGTTTAATTATATGGCAAGCACAAGTGGCTCCATTCTGGCTTGGTCTGGTCTGTCGGACCCAGCACAAAAGCTCAGTCCAAAGCAATGGCCTCCCATAAGCTTCATTAAACCTGCTGTCCCTCAACCTGGAATACTCTCCACGCGCATGGTCACACACCAGCCCTTCAGTCTCTGCTCAAATGTCACCATCTCAGTGACTGCCCTATTGCAAATGTCAACATGCACACACACACACTGCACACACACACAGACACACACACACTCTTCCTATCGCTTCACCCTGCTTTTTGTCCTCAGCATTTCTTGCAATGTGGTCTTACTTATCTTGTGTCTGTCTGCCTCCATGAAGACCAGAATTGTGTCTGTTTTGTTCCCTGCCATACCCCCAGTTTCTAGAAGAGTGCTTATTAATGTGTGTAGAGTTAAATATGTTGATTGGTTGTCATTGAGGAGGCAAAACCACAGCTGGTTCTTTTCCGGGACACTGCTAGTTCCCATACAAATAGACCTGGGGTAGTCCGTTCACCAGGTCCCCAGACATGCCCAGAACTGCCTGAGGCCTGGCAAGCTCAGCTCCGCTCAAACCAGAAAGCTCTGCTGGGGGTAGGCAGCAGCCGACATCCTGGGTTTGAAAGATCACTGTGGGGAGGAAGATGGGCCCTGCGAAGAGAAGAGCCATGGGCTGCGGGAACGCTGGGAAAACAGCATTCCCAACACACCCAGATGAAAGGGGCTGGCCTGGGAGACAGCAGAGTGGAGAAACAGTCCTGCCAGGAAAACTAGAGGAGCAGAGGATTGCCAAGGGGTGGGGTGTGGCTGATGGTGTCTCCTGCCCCAGGGGAGTCTGTAAGTAGAGCCCCGGAAAGCCCACCTAAGTAGGAGCCTTTGCCCAGTTTCCAGGAAATCGTGAGAGCAGAAGCCAGAGAGGAAAGGGTGGGAGCCCAAATGGGGTGGAGAAGTGGATAAAGGGAGTGTAGACAACTTTCTCAACAAACTTTGCTGCAAAACAATCTATATAGGCCAAGAGATCGCAATACGTGGAGGACTTTTGTAATTTGGAAGAGATCTTCATATTCGTTTCCAGGGAGGAAGAAGCCGATGAAGAAGAGATTGAAGGCACAGGCGATGGAAGGATACTCCAAGGAGTAATCCAGAGAAGGCAGGAGGCTCTCTGCGTGTGGGCAGTTCAGTTTTAGCTCGGCAAGGGGACCACCCTTCCTCAGAGAAGGGGGCAGGGAGGAGAACGCAAGCAGAGAAGCTCGCTGGTGACAGGGCAGGAAGTGGAGGCGGCCACACCTGAGGACATCTCTTCCAAAAAACAGGAAGCAGTCATGGCTGGGAGGCAGGGAGGCTTGCGGAAAGTGCTAGGGTCTGAAAGGGCTGAGAAGGGAAATGGGACAAGGAGCTAACAAAGTCCATGCGAGAGGCTTTGGGAGCAGCATCTCCCAAAATGAAGCAACAACAAAACATGTAACTTCTCTTTGGGATGCAGCTGCTGTCTGAGGCTGCATAGTCTGCGCAGCAGAGGAGCGGGACTCAGCGGCTGAGGTGGAGGCAAGGGCTGGCTCAGCCAGGAGCAGGAGGAGCAGGGAGTATGTGCACAAGGACGGGAGACCATGAGGCTGGCAGGCAGTGGGGCAGAAACAGAAGTGCATTGAGGATGGGCTCTTTTACTTGGTAAGTGGGGAGGAGACCAGGAACTCAAGATCCCCGGGAGATCCTAGAAGAGGTTTCGTGAGAGAGAAGGGCAAGCAGGAAGGATAACAGTTCGGTGAGCTGGATACTTCCAAGTTGGGATGACAAGCTCCCTGCTGTGGCCTTGAGGATGGAGGCTGGATGGAGGGAGAGCTTGGATGGAGGCATCGAGAGATGGTTGATGCAGTGCTGAGGACTCCCAAGATGATGGCACAGTTTGAGGGAAATGGGCAATGAAGTCCTCGGAGCTTGTGAGGGGATACCTAAGATGTGTGGAGGCCAGTAATGAGGGTGATGTGGGAGAGACTGAGACCTCCCTCCCATATCCATCAGCCTCTTCTTCCTTAGCAAGAAGAGGTTTTTTAGCCAGAGCCATTGCATCCAGACTTTTTAAGATCACATTGCTCATCCTAGCTGGTCAGCGGGAGTGGCTGTGTCCCTGCTCTAGGGTGCTCTGGAAGCCCTTCCTGTTCCCTTCCCTCCGTGGCCGACCTGGAGCTCTGACATGGTGGCTGAGGTGTGGGCTGCATCCTGGGCCATAAGACGAGGCTCCCACCTTAAGAATGGGAGAACCATGAGTGGGAAGAAGCGTGGGTCCCCGAAGACTTCATGAAGCTAAATTACCTGCTCGGGACAGTCTGCTTCAGAGACTTCTTTAACTTAAAAAATAAAATCTCGAGTGTTTGAGATACTGTTATTTTGGGTTTTCTGTCAGCAAATGAACTAATTCTAAGCATGACAGATGGTCGAGGAGGAAGGCACAGATCTCAGTGGAGAAGCGTTTTCTAGAGGAGAGTGAACACATATTTGCCTGTAAACAGCAGTAAGAAGCTTCAAGAACACCAACAGTGGGTTCCAGGCCTTAGGTAAATGGGGGGCAGGAGAATGAGCAGCCTCCACTCGCAAGGGCTGTCACCCATTGTGTCCTCAGCTCCAGTGAGAAGGAGGAGAGGGCCCCAGCCATGGGGAACTCCTGTCAATGGAACAAGCTTCCTAGAAGGCAAAGCCGAAAGCCTTAAGAGCCAGGCAGTGCTGTAGTAGGAAGAGTTGGGAGCTGTGGAGTCAGAGTACTGTGTGGCTGAGTATAAGAAGGGTCCATATTGGATACAAAGGTCAAAAATGAGGCCCAGGGTCTCACCAGACCCAAAATTTCCCAAGAGAGTTTAGCCATTTCCTGCTGTGATTGTCAGGCTGAAGCCGACTCCGGTTCCTTCCTGCAGCTGACTCCTGAGGGCAGGAGGGGGAGCTGGCCAGGGCTAGAAGGGCAGGGAGAGAGGACGTCCCCTCCTGCAGTGAGGGCCAGCATGCCGGGGATTAGGCAGGGGAGCAGCCCAGAGCTGAGAGCTCTTGAGCCTGGGACAGCCATATCCTTTCCAGGGGTCATGATCTTAGTCTCAGGTTTCCCATTTTCTTTCCTCAAGGATATTAGTCTTGTTTTTCTAACCTAATTTCCATAGTAACTTCAGAGGACCCTACTGTATGTTTCTATTTTGAAGCGCAGATCCTATTTAAGCATTGGAAATGTAGATTCTGGACAAGCATGTGGGCCTTGAAGAGGGACTTTGTTTTTGTTTTTGTTTTTATTTTTGTTTGAGACAGAGTCTCGCTCTGTCACCCAGGCTGGAGTGCCGTGGCACAATCTCAGCTCACTGCAACCTCCACCTTCCTGGTTCAAGCGACTCTCCCACCTCAGCCTCTAGAGTAGCTGGGATTACAGGCACATGTCACCATGTCCAGGTAATTTTGTACTTTTAGTAGAGTCAGGGTTTCAACATGTTGGCCAGGCTGGTCTCGAACTCCTAACCTCAGGTGATCCACCCTCCTCGGCTTCCCAAAGTCCTGGGATACAGGCATGAGCCACCACACCCACCAAAGAGGGACATTTTATAGGAGGCAACCTGCCAGGAGGACTGCAGTGCAAAACTGGTCTGAGGAAGACCTGCCTACTCAGGCACGGTGGTGGGAAAGGAATTTAAGACTAAAATAGAAAGGGGCAGCTCCAGAGATCAAAGGCTAACAAGAAGACAAGATTCTCTTTCACTAAGTGAAACGCAGGGGCCACATGTGAAAAGGGAGCCAGGTTCCTGAAGAGGTCCTAAGCCTGGAGGAGCTGGGCAGGCCTGCAGTTACCCTAACCAGTTTCACAGTGCAGACCACAACCTGCTTATAGGAACCCAATGTCAGTGTGGGTGGATTAATAATCAGGAATTCTTGCTGTTGGCACACACTCTTGAGCTACGGCTGCCTTGATTCCCCCCACCCAGGGTGAGAATTGGGCTGTGGGCTTGGGGCAGAATGGGTGAGGTGGGGTGGAACTGGAATGGGGCTGAGATTAGGTTTCCAGCTGTGGGGAAGAAAAGGCCGGCAGAGGCCAAGGATCAGACAGGGCCAGATAGATTGTGCAGGAGCCTGCAGCCACAGCCATTGTCCTGAAACTCATTCCCCTTCTCTCTGTGAACCCCAGATGGAGGAATTTAGCCATGCTGCCAGGGACAGCTACCCAAGTCACAGGCGTGGTACCAGGCAAGAAGTAAATAGCCTCTTTAATGTAAACATGGACTCTAGAGCCAGGGTTCTTATTAGAATGCCTGGTGTGCTATGAAAAAAAACAAAACCAAAGCTTGTGCTCTGGCTGCACCCCAAAGCAATAAAATCAGACTCTCCAGGGATGGGAACAAGGCAGCAGTGGCTTTAAAAGCTCTCCAGGTGGGCCGGGCACAGTGGCTCATGAGCTGGTCGCCCAGGCTGGAGTGCAATGGCATGATCTCGGCTCACCGCAACCTCCGCCTCCTGGGTTCAAGTGATTCTCCTGCCTCAGCCTCCTGAGTAGCTGGGATTACAGGTGCGCACCACCACACCAGGCTAATTTTTGTTATTATGAGCTAATTTCGGCTCATGTCTGTAATCCCAGGCGAGTGGGTCACAAGGTCAGGAGTTCAAGACCAGCCTGACCAACATTGTGACACCCCATCTCTACTAAAAATACAAAAATTACAAAAATTAGCCTGGTGTGGTGGTGTGCGCCTGTAATCCCAGCTACTCAGGAGGCTGAGGCAGGAGAATCACTTGAACCCGGGAGGCGGAGGTTGCAGTGAGCCAAGATCGTGCCATTGCACTCCAGCCTGGGCGACAGGCTCATATGAGCATTGAATGTGCTTAGGCAGGCCCTGGCTCAGAAGAGCTCTTCAGCAAGTGCAAGCTGCTGTCATTTGTGGTAGTTAAGGATTCAGTTTGCAAATGCAAACCTGAATAGTGATGGCTCGCCTGTTTGGCTGTTTTGGGATTTGTCAAATGTCACCCTTTTGCAAAGTTGAGTGATTTGTGGGGTGGGGAGGAGTCAGGTTCTATGGTGCTGATGGGAAATGCATGTTGGTATTTCTAAACAGGACAGGGTCAGAGAGAAAAGTAGGTCCCACTCAGGCTGATAATTATATCTTAAAATGAGAAACTACCTTTCCAGGAAATCATCTACTTTTCAGCATTTAATTTTTTTTTTGTAAAAGTTTTATTGAGATATAATTCACTCATTTAAAGAGTATAATTCAATGGTTTTTAGTATATTCACAGAATTACACATTTTGTTTTGTTTTCATAAATCATATTCTGAGGGCTTGTTACATTTCTACTATATTTGGTGTTCCTGGTCTAGTCCTAGAAAAATGCTGTTTATCCAGCACTGACCTGCTCCAAACTTCAACATGCCCAAAATAGATGGTTCCTCAGGATGTGAACTGTGACCATTTGAACAGGGCACTGCTCCGAGTGTTATTTTCAAGTCCCTGTTACAGAGATCATGTCAGAAGACTAAGGCACCACCAGCAGCACCGGACTGGGTAAGCAAAGCTTCCCCTTGGCAGCCAGCTCCATGGAGGAGACAGAGAGAAGGTTCTAGAATCATCCTTAGAAAGACATGGGAGGGCAGGGGCAAGAACGGCAGCCTCTCCCTAGCTCACATCTCACCAGGGTTGGCTAAGCAGTCCTCCCCTTGCCCCACGAGTGGCAGGACAGCTCCCAACACTTCTCTAGGCTTAAAGTACATGTGGAAGGGCGAGCCTCCCAGGATTCTCAAACAGAAGCAGCCTGCCAGGCTGAGCCATCCAGAAGGTGAGAGCTCCACGTGGGGACTGCTGGCTTTCAGTCAGGGGCCTCCACTCTCAACTGAGTCTCCCGTTCCCCCCGTCTGTCCATGGGACCCCTCCTCATCCTTTGTTTTTATTTAGCGTTAAAGTTCCTCTGAGCACTGTGTTGGCTCTCAACTTCTACAATTTTAGCCAGTTCTTTTTTCCTGCCATCATCGAGGTAGTTTTCAGAAGTGTGAGGGTGTGTGCACACTTACATGAACACATACACAGACCGACAAAGACTGTGCTTTGCAATCTCCAAACACAACTAGCAGGCTCCACACCATAAGTGACACTTCCCTCCTAGATAGAGGTGGTGTTGCCACAAGGAATTGTGGATAACAGGGGAGACAGCCTTGGCTGGTCAGGGTGGCGCCAAAACCTCTCTCAACCACAGAAGGTTAAACCCACTTTAAACCAGTGCTTCCTTAACTGCTGAAAAGTTAAGAAGTACCTGATTAAAAATGTAAATTCCAAGAACCCATCTCCAACACCAAAAGCAGAATTTCCCAGAGAGGCCAGGCCGTGTCTTCAAGTGCCCCCAGGTGATTCTTACCAGAGGAAAGCTTTCTCTTTTTCAAAAAACTCAGACACCCCCCACTAGAGATTCCTCTGTTTTCACAGATGGGAGGGAAGGATGGGGAAGGCATAAGACTGGGGAGGGGCCACTAGACTGATGTTTTCCAAACACTTCCCAGAAGGGGTCTGATGTGCAGGAGAGCTTCAGCTGGGCTTTGTAATAATGATTTCTGTGAAGTTTTCTTTCTTCTGAATAAGGTTTTCATCATCATACCTTTTTGAAAAAGCTCTGAGTTATCAAATGCTGTACTATGCACCGATGAGGCATTTCATGCACATGCTGGCATTCAGTCCTCTCAACACTTTTTGTTGGTTCTATTGGTGTCCCCATTTTCCAGATGAGGAAATCAAGACAGGTTAAATCGTTTGCTTCAGGCCACTTGGCTGAGAAGCAGCAAACCTATTTCCAACAAATCCCAGGCCAGCCGCTGAGTGCCACATTGCTGTGCTCAGCCTGCCCGCGAGGGCCCATGGGGACAGGGTTGTTCTGAGAGCTATGGGGCGCTATTGGTCATATCCCAAGGCCAGTTCCCCAGGAGAAAATGGGGATCCTTCCAAAAGTGTGCACAGCTGCTTTGTACTGGCATGGTGGGCTGTGTTGGAAACACCTTTAGGCCAGTAATTCTTAGCTGATGATACATCAGCATCATCTGGGATCTTATTAAAAATGCAGATATCTAGGTCCTAGCCACAGAGATTCAAACTCAGTCTGTCTGGGAGGCAGTTCGGGAATCCACTTTTGTATAATTATAGCCAGTGATTCTGAGGCAAGCAATTGGAGGGGACTGCGCCGAAGAAAAGAAAGAGGAAGTCCTGAGTGAGGAAACCGCCCCCCGCCATCAGGATAAGCACCCCTCTTTGAGGGCAGGGGAGGCTGCATCCTGTATGATATTTTGTCCTTTTCCCCATATCCGGATAGTTTTGCTTCTCCTTTAAGAGAAGCATGTGACACCTCCCATGTCACACTTGCTCTGTGCCATCCTTCTCCATGGCTTCAGGAAGCATTCACCTCAGGAATTCCATAGACCTTTAAATCCAGGCTGTCCCTGGATTTAAAGGCAAAATCCAGGCACTGGTGCGTTTTCTTTAACCTATTGGCTCAAACGGTAGTTTTCTCTGCCTAAATCTCTGTGGGTAACTTATTCACCTCGAGGTGAATAAGTTACAAGTCCTATGCTGCTGTCTGCTGAGCTGCAGCTGGACAGCCCAAAAGCTGGAGAAAGCCCAGCTGCTGAGCTGAGGCTGGGTGGCCTGAGCAGATGTCCAGAGACTGGCAGGCACTGTTCATGCTCCAGAGGTGATATGGCCATGCCCCACACCCACACAGGCCAAGGCTCCAGGCCCCTTGAGAACAGTGGCCCTGCCAGACCCTTTTCTGAGCTGCCTGAGCCAAGTCCAGTGTTAGGGACCTGGTGAGCACTAAATCACAGCATGGAGTGTGACAGCTCCAGTCATGTGGCAGCAGCTGCCAGAGGGCTCTGTGGGCAGGATCAAGGGTGGTGCCGGGTTCCCCAGAAGGGATACTGAGGGTGATTATTGGCATCCTCCTTAGGTGTAGGAGGCACTTGCCTGCCACATGTTTGCCAGCTGTGTTCATTCCCTGGGGCTGCGGCAACAAATTACCACAAACTTGGTGGTTTCCAACCACAGAAATTTATTCTGTCATGGTTCTGGAAGCCAGAAGTCCAAAATTAGCATCACTGAGCCGAAATCAAGGTGTTAGCAGGGCCACACTCCCTCCAAAGCCTCTAGGGGAGAAGATTCCTTGCCTTTTCCAGCTCCTGGGAACCCTAGGCATTCCTAGATTCGTGGCTGTATCACCCCAATCTCTGTCCCCATTTTCCCATGGCCATCTTCCCCATGTGTCACAGTTCCCTCTTCTTTCTCTTATAAAGGCAGTAGATTCAGGCTGGGTGCGGTGGCTCATGTCTGTAATCCCAGCACTTTGGGAGGCTGAGGTGGGCAGATCCCTTGAGCCCAGGAGTTTGAGACCAGCCTGGGCAACATGGTGAAACCCCAACTCTACACAAAATACAAAAATTAGCCAGGCCTGGTGGTGCACACCTGTAGTCCCAGCTGCTCGGGAGGCTAAGGCGGGAGGATCTCTTGAGCTCAGGAGGTGGAGGCTGTGGTGAGCTGAGATGGTGCCACAGCCTGGGCAACAGAGAGACCCTGGATTTAGAACCACCCTAAATCCTAGATGATTTCATCTCGAGATTCTTAACTACATCTGCAGAAGTAGCTCATATTCACAGGTACTGGGACATATTTGGTGGGGGCGGGGGGGGACACAATTCAACCCACTGTGCCAGCCTTGCACTAAATCAACATCAGTGGTTAAGTACTTCCTCTCCCCAACCCCTTCCGCATGCAAATCTTTCAACACCTAATGCCAGTACACCTCTGCTTTCACCATGGATGGGCCTGCCTTGGTGTCAGTTTTGCCTCATTGCAGGCCTCCTCTCCAGCCATGAGGACAGCAGGGGATGTGGAGGGCCAAGAGGGACAGAAATCCTCCTGCACCAAAAGGATGATAAAATGAGCACCAAACCAGCTCACCGAGCTGAGTATGCCCAGGGTTGTGCCAGAGTCAGAACCCAGTGCATGCACGGGAGCCAAGGCCATGGTCAGGTGCCCTTGCCCCACCGACTCATGTAGTCCCCTGTGAGCAGCATGTGCTACCAGCAGCTATGCCTCTCCTGCTCAAAGGGCACCCACATCACAAAAGGCAGTTGTGGTATAGACCAGGCTGCAAAGGCCTGCCCTTCAATCCCCCTCCACCATCTTCTGTGCAACCTGGCCTGCTACCACTCATTTCACTTCTCTGAACCTCACTGTAAAATCAGCCTAGTGATAATACCTACAGGCTTAAATCCTTTCTCCAGCCAAGCATCAATAAGTAAATGCATTCTTCCTCACAGCTTTATGGAGCAGGCTAAATAAGTGAGTGTGAAAGCTCCAGGCCCACAGTAGCCATTGCATCAACTTCTTATGTGGAATAAAAAGCATCTGACAACACCGCAGGTGTGTCATTCAGTATTCACTGGCTTTGGACACACTCCTTATCTTTAACCTGCACCTGCACACTGGAAACTCCAAAATCTTTATCTTCCTCCTGCATATCTGACTGCCTGGCCCACCTCCACAGTCAAGCACCTCATCCCCCACCCCTCACCTGCTCCTTCCCCTGTCAGCTGGTTCTAAAGGAGTAACACTGCCAGTCCAAACACCTCACTGTCCCATCACCTTCTCCTTCTCCTTTACCCCCAAATCAGTCACCAAGTGCTATTGATTCTTCTTCCTTAATATTCCTCCAACCTCTTTCCACCTCCTTATGTCCACCTTGTCTTCACATGTTTAAGGCCACATCATTTCTCACCTGACATATTGCAACAGCTTCCCTTCTTAGTCCAGTCCCTAACTTATGTTGACAAGACTGACATTTCTAAGATATGGATCTGATCATCTGCCAGGATGGTATAGAGCCTGTGGGCAAAAGCCCAAATTCCTCAGCAGGGCTGCAAGGCCCCTGTGACTAGCCCAGCCTATCCCTCCAGCTGAATCCCCCCTCCTCCCCCTAAACCACAGCCACACTGAGCCCCACCCTCTCTCATTTCTGCATGACTTTGCTAAGCTGTTGCCTTTGCCTAGAACATTGTTTTATCCATTCCTCATGATTAATGTTATTGACCCTTATTCAACCTCCAAGACTTAGCTCCTTCAGAAGGCCTTCCTCGCCTTCTCTCTCCAGGCTATTATAGCATCTTTTTCTGTGCTTCACACAACATTTACCAAATTATGTCATAAATGCCTATTACTTATCTGTCTGCCTCACAAGCCACATATTCGCATCCCCTGCCCCAGACTGTGAGCTCTTGGAAGTTAGGGACTGTGTCTCTTCTCTCTATATTCCCACCAAGCACCTGGCCCAGTATCTGTCAATAGCCAGTGCCTTGATAAATGTTTGTTTAGTCTTGAATGCCAAGGACAAAGCAACAGGATGTCGCAAGATATAGAGCCTGTGGTTGATTTTTATTTAAAAATACCATGTTATACCATGAACAAAATGTGAGCAACATCCTCAATAATGTTTTGTTGGAACATACCAAAGTGTTCTTCGTGTGGCCATCTCTTCCAAGAGCTTAACATGAAACTCAACATGGTGAAGGGCTTCTGCTAGGAGACTGGGCTAATGTAGTCCTTCATAGAACTTTCTGGGATCAGCATCAATACATACAAGAATCATTGCTTAAAAAAAGTAGTCAAATAGCATACCCTTAGGAAGCCAAGATTTTGATAGGATCTAGATCACTATCAGCTCAAGGTTAAATTTCCTGAGTAGGGCTCAGAGAACATACATCCTGTGTGGTTGGTTAAAGAAGAATCAAGTGTTTGGGATAGCAGGTGTACAGGTGGCATGGTTACATTCTATTTGGAAGGCTGAGCAGCCTGTTAAAGAGATGAGGCCTGCCCTATCTCCACCTGTATGTAGGTCACAACCTCCTTTACAGAAACCCTACACTTCAGTTATGCTGGATATTCACTTTCTCTAAATACATCTTGCACTTTTCCTTACCTCTGACATTTTCTGGAAGGCACCTGAATGCCCTCTCATTCTAATTTTTACTTAGCAAGGCTCTATTTATATGCCAAGGTCCAACTCATTGTGATAGAGTCATGGAGATAATAATCCCTGTTATCTGTTTCGTCCACATTAAATTTTTGGCTGGGCACTTGGCCACCTGGCTATTGACTACATTTCCCCATCTCCTTTGTAATTAGATGTGGCTAAATGACCAAGTTCTGGCCAACAGGATATGTGAGCCACTTCTGGGTCTGGGCCCTAAAGCACCTGTTGTATATTCCTCCATCCTCTCCGCCCAGCCCATAAGCTGGAACACTAATGTGGCAATGACCAAGTTTTAGCCGTAGAGATGAGGCCAACACCCTGTGGAACACCGGAGCAAAGTAACAAGATAGAGCAGAACTGAGTCCCCGAATGACCTTGTGGAGCTGAGCTATCCCAGCAGCCTCAACTGCCACCTACATCCGCACCGTCACAGGAGAGAGAAATACAATTATATTTTAAGATTGATCTTATATAAATCACTGTGTTTTTGGGGTCTCTGCACTTTAACTTAGTTATTTAGACATCATTTCCTCTGGGAAGCTTCCCTAAGAGCTCTGTCTGAAGTCCCGACGTGCGTGTTTGGTGCTAATGCTCTCACCACACTCCACATGGTATCACAGTGACCTCCGTGCATGTTAGTGTGTCCCTAGTGAACTATAAGATTCCTGAGGGCAAAGGCCACACCAGTTTCATTTTTCATATCCCCCAGAGTAATCAGCACAGTGTCCTGTGCATGGAAGTCATATTTGTTGAAGAAATAAGAGAATAAACAGTACTTGCCACTCAAATATTCTTTTCAGAGGTGAAACAAAGATAGCAGCAGCAAAGTCAATACACACCATAGTTAAACAGAAACAAGAGAGAAAGCAGCTGGCAAATAAGAGGTCCAGTGTGCTGAACTGGGGGTGCTAATTCTCCAAAAATAAATGTATTGTGGCAACAAAGCCTGAGGAGACTTAGGGGAAAACACAGATGGTTACTGCAGCCCTGGATCAGAGCCTTCCCTCCACTCAGTGACCCTGTGTCCCTCAGAAGACCCAGGTGGAGGTGGCCACGTGCTCTCAGCACCTGGACTATCACTTCTGCAGACTGGACAACCATGCTGTGGGCACTTGTCCATAGAGCCAGACCTGGAAATACAGTTTCTCAGAGGTACCCGGAGAGGGGCACCAACTGTGTTCTCCCAGGCCATCCCAGAAAAGTGGAAGAAGAGAGCATTTCACAGACCATCAGGAAAACACTCAACCATAAGGGTGTAGGGCCTGGGGCCAGACTGTCGGGTTTGAAACCCAGCTCTGCCGCTTATCAGCTGAGCAAACTTGGATGAGTGACTTCACCTCTCTAAACCTCCATTTCCTCACAGAGATGATAATATTGCCTAGTAGTGAGGTTGTTGCAGGATTGAATTTATACATTAAGGCACGCTTTGTTCCCAAAATGGGTATTTTGAGTACAAAATGGGTATTTTTTACTCAAAATACCCATTTTGGGTAACGCTTTGTGCAATAGAGCAAACAAAATACCAATTTTCCAGGTTTTAAAGAAAGAACCCGAGGCTCAAAAAGATTACATGATTCGCCAGAGGTCCCGGTCAGAGATCAGGCCCCAGGCTCTCCCTCTAAACCGTATGCTATTGGGGAGCTCTGCAGCCTTTACCTGGGTGCTCTCATCCTGGGTCCTGGCCTCAGGAGGGAGCAGCCCCAGGAGGCTGAGAGCCGAGGGTGCTGTAATGCCCCTCTCCTGTTTCAGTGGTTTCTCAGGAATTGAGGGTGAGGAGCCCGATCTCTGCGGGCACCACCTACCTATCGCCCATCCCCAGCAGGCCCCAAGGAGCTGAAACTTCTGTCAGCCTGGGTCTGGGCCAACAGGATGGGACAGGGGGGCACCAGGAAGATGCCTGTATATTTGCTGATAAAAACGGATGAAAATATGTGAGGGGACTTGAAAGGCACGGATGACATTGTGAGCACGTGTTAAAAGAAGGGATGCATGAGGAAGTGTAAAGGAGAACATGGAAAAAGTGCTTGGGCAGGGCCGGAGCACAGGTGCTTCCTGAGGTGTCCTGGCCCTTCAGCTGAGGTAATAGGAATAAAGCCAGGCTCTGTATGAGAGACAGCAAGAGAGAGAGAGAGAGAAAAGCAGAGACACAGATGTGAGTGGTAGACAGAAATAGAGACCCGATGTCAAGGAGACACACAGTGAGAAAAGGAAAGATGGAGGGAGAAGAGAGAAAGAAGGGAAGGGGAAGAGAGGGGCAAGAAGAAAGAGAGAAACAGAGGAGAGAAGAGAGACAGAGAGCCACCTGGCACCCCCAAAGCTGTGGCTGCCTTCACCATGTCTGACTTTCAAAGTGCCATCCCCTTTGCCCCCACAAACAAACAAAAAGAGAACAGCGGCTTCTCTTCCTGAGGAATGTGGTGGAATGTTCTGATCGCTGGGTGCTGACTGGTATCCTCAACCTTGGGTCCTGGCTAAGGACGCCACTCCCCACTTTCCTTTCTCTTCCTGACAAGACCCCCTCCCTCTTCCCTGAGCTCTGTTTCTTCCATGAGGTTGAAGAAAAATGCCGTCGTGGTCCCCTGCCTGCTTACTCAGCGTGTCAAGCAGGAGTTCTCAGCTCCAGTGTGCCATGGAGGGCCTTGGGAAGAGGTCACATACCATTCCCATCCCCAGGTGAGAATCACATAAAAACCAAGGTCCAAGGTCCAAGGTCCAGGCCACACCGCATGCCCACCAAGGGTGGAGAGGCCTGGAAGCTCCTCTGACCCTCAGGGACTCCACCATCTTCCAGGGCCCAGCAGTGACTGCAATCATGGCTCCTCTCTAGCCTGAAAGAGTGCTGTCCCTGGAAAGGGCTGGCAGCTCTCTGGCCTGCTATTTCCAGTCCCCCCGCCCCCCCCCCTCCCCCACACACACACACCCTCGGCTGCAGGTCTCTGAGGCCCCTGGAGCTTGGCAGCTTCACACTTCAGCCCATGAACTTTCTTCCAGGTCAGGCTAGACTCCAGGCCAGGTTCCTCCACTGCCCTTGTGTTGACTACAGGAGAAACTTGAGCCAACACCTGACCTTGGGCTAGCTCCCTCCTCACATCTGCTTTGGAGATTCCAGTCTCCTCCTGCCCAGGCCTGTCTCTTAGCAGGGCCAGCAGGATGGGCTGGGGAATTCCTGCACCCCAACAGCTGCGTCCCCAGCTCAGTACCTGGACAACATGAATCCACCCCCATCGTCAATAAGCGTCTTTCAGAGCTGCCAGCTCCCTCTGGGGAAAGCCCTTTCCACTCGTTCTTTGAGGCCCAAAGCTGATTCTGGTCTAATTATAACTGTATTCCCAGCAGGTGTGACACAAAGCAGGTGCATAATAAAGATTCCTGGATGGATGACTCAATTTCTGACTCCTGGAATTCTATAGGCCATTTTTTTTTTTTTGAGACGGAGTCCCGCTCTTTAGCCCAGGCCGGATTGCAGTGGCACAATCTTGGCTCACTGCAAGCTCCGCCTCCCAGGTTCACGCCATTCTCCTGCCTCAGCCTCCCGAGTAGCTGGGACTACAGGCGCCCGCCACCGCGCCCGGCTAATTTTTTGTATTTTTAGTAGAGACGGGGTTTCACCGTGTTAGCCAAGATGGTCTCGATCTCCTGACCTTGTGATCCGCCCGCCTCGGCCTCCCAAAGTGCTGGGATTACAGGCGTGAGCCACCGCGCCCAGCCTATAGGCCATTTTGTAAAGTCCTCTTTTGTCCAACTCCCGTGCAGCTCAGCCTCTTCCTACCATTTCTGCCACAGGCACAGGAGCACTGAGGACCCTTCTTGACCTCCTGGATCAGAAAGGCAGAGGAAATGCTGGGCAGAAGTCAAGGTGTCAGTGGGCTGCCCTCCCTCCGGAGGCTCCAGGGGAGAATCTATTCCTCGCCTCTTCCAATTGCTGGTGGCTGATGGCACACCTTGGCTTGTGGCCACAATACTCCAATTTCTGCCTCCATGGTCACACTGACTTCATTTCTTCTGTGTGCATCAAATTTCTCTCTGCTCTGTGATTGCATTTAGGGCCCCTGGATCAGCAATGTCATAAAAGACCCCAGTTCTTCCCCTGTCTCCTCTCTGCCGTCTTTGGGGTGTTGATTTGACCCTTAAACTAATTTTCCTTATGGCCACAAGATAGCTGCCACTGTGTCAAATATTACATGCAGTCTCAATGAAGGCTAGAGATAAAATAGAATCATCTCATCCTCGCCTCTGTCTTAAGAATAAGGAAACCTTTCGCAGAAGCCCTCTAGAAGAATGCCCCCTTTCGTGCTTCCTTGGTCCTAATGGGTCACATGTCTATTCCTAAGCCAGTCCCTGGCAAGAAGAATGGAACGACCACCTTTGGCTTCCATTATGAGGATTCGCTCTCTGGGGTGGGAACATCCATACACTTATGTCAAGGAGAACAGATACCTGTTGGGAAGGAGGAAAGAGGGACAAGCGTTGGGCAGGCAACCCAAGGACCCTGCAGCAGTCTCCGTGACAACTTCTCTTCCTGGTGCCTCTGCGACTCTGATCATTTTTTCTTGGTGTCCTCTTTCTCTGAAGGTACCCTGAATTTTTATTTCCTTGAGTGTTTTATGCCCAGACTTTTTCTGGTCTTACTCCATACCCTCTCCCTGGCAGTCTCATTCACCCCTATCACTTTAATTTCCATGTATAATCCTGAATGACAGCAATGGGGATACATTCTGAGAGATGAGTTGTTAGGTGATTTCATTGCTGTATGAACATCATAGAGTGAATTTACACAGACCTAGATGTTCTAGCCAACTACACACTAGGCTGTGTGATGTAGTCTATTGTTCCTAGGCTACAAACCTGTACAACACGTTACTGCACTGAATACCGTAGGCAACTTTAACACAGTGGTAAGTTTTTGTGTATCTAAATGGAGATAAACATAGAAATGGTACCGTAAAAATATGGTAGAATCATCCTATGGGACCATATGCAATCTGTCGTTCAGTAAAATGTTGTTATGTGGCACATGACTGTATATGTCCAGAAGTCCAAATCTATATCTCCTGCTCTTACCTCTCTCTTGAGCTTTGGTGCCAAATGTAAAACTATCTGCTTCTGACATGAAGCCCCAAGAGATCCTCAAACTCAATGTGTCTAAAACAGAACCGCCTTTCCCTTCCCAACTTTCTCAAAGTTGTTCTTCCTCTCTCTTGTGTCTGTAGTTTGTGTTAGTGGAATCACCTTCCACTCTTGACTACTCCTTCTACCACATCAAACTAGTCATCAAGCCCTGGGACTCAAGGCTGAAATCTCGAACTCACCCATCCTCCCTATCCTTATACAGTGCATGGGTTGGAGCCTCATCATGTCTCTCCTGCTGCATCACAGCAGCCTCTCACCGGCCACTTTACACAGCCACCAGAACAATATTTCCAAACCACAGGTCACATTATGCCCCTCCTTACCCACATCCCCCAGCTTCTGAAGACATCCACTGGACCTTCCATGAGCAGGTCATGCCTTGGCCACACCTTCGCCTCACCCCTTGTCCCCTCACTCTGCATTCCAACAACAGTGAGCTTCCATAAGACGCCACCTCTCTGAGTCTTTGTGCATGCTGTTTCCACTGCCTGGTATGCCCTGCAAACTTCTATTCTTCCTTCAACACCTGGCTTAGTCATCACCTCCTCCAGAAAATCCTCCCAGATTCCCCCACTTCTAGAGTGAACCAGTGACTCCTCTGTGCAACAGCTTTCTTCATTCATTCAATAAACATTTCCCGAGTACTTACCATGTGCCCGGCACTGGGTTACAACAAGGAACAAGACTGACACGGTTCCTGCCCTGCAGGAGGGAGAGGAAAAGGAAACACAGGTTTCTAAGATTGTCGAACAACAGCAATTGGCATAATGAAGGGAAGGGCCTCGGGGAAGACTTTCAGGAGCACCTGAAGTATAACTAGGAGTTTATCAGAGGAAGGGGAGAAAGGGGTTCAGGCAGAGGGAACAGCATGTGGCAAGGCCTTGAAGTGGGAAGGAACGTGGTACATCTGGGAAATGTCAAGATGACAAGTCTGAACCTTGTACACACCTAACTTGTTGGGCTCCTCGTACCGGGTTCACCTGCCCATCTGCCCTACGAGGAGGAACCCCTAGAGAGTGGGCTTCACATCTGACTCACCTCTGCCTCTTACCAGCCACAGGACAGTGCCCAGGGAGAGCTCAGGACATTTCTGATGAAGTGAAAATGGACCTAACAAAAGTATCACTTGTTGTTATGCTCAGGGTTGGGGTCCAGTCCCAGCTGAGGTCCGAAAAGAGGGGATGGATGAGCAGATAGCTGAAAGAACACTCGGGGTGCTGTAGGCAGGTGAAATGTAATTTTATTCAGCAGCTCTCTCATCAGCAGCTTACACTAGCTCGTTTACACTGTTCACCTTTATTTTGGCTGCCTGCTCCAGCTCGGCGGCTCCTCTCAGCAGCCAGCTCCCACACACACCTGCGTGGCCAGCTCTCCCTTGCCTTCAGGGTCAGCAGCTGAACTCTTTCTCTCTCTGGGCATGAGTAGGCTGAGCTGTGTCCTGGCTCCCCCTGTCCATCTGCAAAGACCGACAGCTCTGGCTCTCTCTCTCTTTCTCTGGGTGCAAGTGCACCTGTACAGAGTCAGCAGGGCAATTATAGCTTTTACAGACAATAGTGGCATCGGGCCACATGGCTACATGGCTGTGATAACAAGTGGAGTTATATGCCTGCACTCTAAACTCACTGAGTCATGCAGGCCTGGATATCCACCTCGGCCTGTTCTTGACCAAAGCACATCCATATACCTTACACTTGTAAACTGGGAGGCTCTCTGTCCAGGCAAGCTTATCCTCAGGGAAGGGGTTGGGATGGAACTCCCTTTCCCCACCTCGTGTTCATGCCCAGACTCCCCAGCAGGCATCTGGCCTCATGGGCAGCAGGAGTGACACTGCCACCACTGACCCCTCAAGGACAGTGCTATGTTGGTGGCCCTCCCCACCGCCCCAAATTCATATGTTGAATCCCTAATCCCCACTGCAAAGGTATTAGGAGGTGTGGCCTTTGGGAGGTGATTAGGTCATGAGGGTGGAGACTTCACAAATGGGATTAGTGCCCTTATAAGAAAAGACATAAGAGAGGTGACCTCTCTGTCCCCATGTGAATAGACAGTGAGCAGTCGGCTGTCTGCAAGCTGAGAAGACAGCCTTCCCCAGAACTCAACCATGCTGGCACCCTGATCTTGGAATCCCATGCTCCAGAATTGTGAGAAGTGAACGTCTATTGTTTAAGCCACCCAGTCTATGGTATGGTGTTATAGCGTGAATTAGACAGACAGCCACCTGCTGATACATCCCTTCAGGCTCCTCTGCCCAGCAAAAGGACATGCAGATCCACCCCATGAGAGAGCTGCAGATGGGAGGATGCTGGATCTTTCTGGACCCCCCTACCCCACTCCACCCCTGCACCCCTTCCTCAGCCCCACCACCTGGCCCCTGCCCACTCGAGTGTGCCAAAGACGGCCTGTCCTCTCCTCTCTGAAAATGCGAGGTCCAGGCTGCTCTTTCACATATTTGACACAGAGCCATGTGCCACCAAACCAGCTCATCCCGGCACTTTAAAGGAGGGCCACAGATACAGGCAGAATAAAGCCTGGGCTTCAGGATCCAGGCTGGGTTTTTGGTTGAGCCAATCCCAGCACCACAGAGGCCCGGAGTGCCACCACTGGAAAGAGGCTTGTTGATCACCCCGTTTTCCCCCACTTCAGACCAGCAGATGGAGGAGGCCCAGAGATGCCTTCTGATCTGTGAAAACTCAGCGATCCAAAGCAGAAGTTCACCCAAGGCCACCTGAATCGTCACGCAGGACTCTGCCCAATATTCCACAATAGCTCTTGGTGCCCACAGGTGATGAATCAGATAAAAGGGAGGCAAAATAGACAAAGATTCTGCCCAGGGCCCCTAGGAGGCAGAGGTGAGACTACCAGGGAGGGCAGCCCATCCAGGCTGGAGACAGTTAAGCCCTGCAGGAAGGAAAATGCAGACTCTGTACCTACCCAACCCCCACACCAGCTGGGTATTAACAGGACTTGAGCCGAGAGGTCCTGGAATTATACTCTGCTGTACTCCCGCCTGTACCTGGGCACTCTTTACCTGGGTGGTCTAGGATACCCGATCAAAGCAATGATGACATCAGGGCAACTTACGAGAATATCTGAAGGATATCCCCTCTTATCCACTTTTTGAGGTTCCAGTTACCTGTGGTCAGCTGTAGTTTGAAAATATTAAATGGAACATTCCAGAAAGAAATAACTTATAAGTTTTAAATTTTGCACCATTCTGAGTACTGTGATGAAATCTCGTGCTGTCCCACTGCGTCTTGCCCAGGATGTGAATGGTCCCTTTGCCCAGCATCTCCACACCATAGATTCTACCTGCCTGTGAGGCACTTAGTAGCCAGCATCACTGTCAAATCAAAAAAACATAGTAGGCCGGGTGCAGTGGCTCACGCCCGTAATCCCAATACTTTGGAAGGCCAAGGTGGGAGGATCTCGAGACCAGCCTGGGCAACACAGTGAGGCCCTATCTCTATTAAAAAAAAGAAAAGAAAAGAAAAAACATGGTACAGTATATATAGGGTTCAGTACTCTTGGAAGTTTCAGGCATCTGCTAGGGGTCTTGGAACCTATCCTGCATGGATAAGAGGGGCCTACAGTATACAGGTCCCTAGAACAATAAGCCAAAAAGGTATTTGGAACCACTGCGGGCAGGGGAGTTCCATTAAGAGGGTGATGTGGAGTGGGCGTGTGTATAGACAAGCCTACTATATGCAGACACCCAGCCCCTTTCCATTTTCTTTGATCTTTCTTTTTCACGATCTGCTTGGAGACAGAAGACAGGTGCAGCAGCTTCAGGTCCCGGGGAATTTAAAAAGCAAAATTTACCACGTTTTGTAGGCTGCCAGCCTGAGGCTCCTTCTTACCTGACCTTTCCTTATGTGGCATCTGACCTTTTAAAATGATCTTCCCTTATCTCCCAGCAAGTTGTTCTGCTTCTTCCACTAACCCCTGCCCTCCCCATGGGAGAGTGACTAATCAGCACTGTTCAGGAGGAGATGGGGTGCCCATCAGAATGCCCAGGGGGCCCTCGAACCCGGGCCCTAGTGAGGATGGGCTCCCTGCTCCTCCATGTGCCACTACAACATGAGAGTCAAGTCTGGGATCTGCTTTGGCGACGCGAGTGGAGGTCTGCTGAGGAATGGGCTCTAAGGGCAAAAGGAAGTGGTTCTTAGACTTTCCATAGTAATGGAGGCTCCCACCCATGGGCATGACAGCTTTCCCTATGAACTGGAGTCCTCGTCGACACCTCTCCCTGAATTAGAAGTGTTTAGGACCACGTGTCTTCTCCCCAACCAGGCTCCTCAGTGAGGGAGTGACCAGCTCCCTTCAGGTTTCCATCCCCTTCGTGAGTGTGGCAGATAGCCACCTCCTGATCCCCACTCCCTGTGGCTGCCACCGATACAGAAAAGAGGGAGGGGCACTTTGCTACCGGATCCAGGATTCTGAAATGAGGAGATGATCCTGGATTATCCAGGTGGCCCTAATAAGGCGGAGGCACACACAGGAGAGGAGAAGGTGATGTGACCACGGGGGCAGAGACTGCGACCACAGCCAAGAAACGCTGCAGCCGTCAGAGGCTGGAAGACATGGATTCTCCCCTAGAGCCTCCAGAGGGAGCGCAGCCTGCCAGCACCTTGATTTCAGCCAGTGACACTGATTGTGGACTTCCAGCCTTCGGAACTGTAAGAGAAGAAATGCCTGCTGTTATAAGCCACCAGGTTTACAGTAATATGTTACAGGAGCCACAGGAAACTAAGTCAGTGAGTAGCCTCATAAGATTCTTTTCTATTTATTCATTCAACAAACATTTAGCAAGTGCTGTACATGCCAGGCACTGTCATAGGCGGCAAGATGCAGCTGTGAACAGGACAGGGCAGGCCCTGCTCCATGGAGCTGCAGCCCAGTCAGATAACTGCCTGAAAGAGTGGTGCTTCCAATAATTATGGACGAGCATCACAGGTAAGCAGGAAGCAAAAATGGCAGCTAAAAAAACCACACAGACCTCCATAAAATAGTGCCAATTCCTGTACAAATTATATACAAATGCACTTGTGAAGACAGATGTCACCTTCAGAGAAAACACAAGGCTATCTAGATCCCAGCTGCACCCCAGAAAGCCTGAGGGAACAGTACAGGTCAGAGGGAGTGGGCAGAGTCCCAGACACACTGCCTTTCTTCCCCTTCAGGGGGTTCAGCCTCCTGCAGAGGAACCAGGTACAGCCATTGCCATTGCAGCTGCAGCCCCACAGAAATGGCCTAACCCCCCAGGGAAGGCCCCTAAAGGAAAGCGCCCTGAAAGAGTGGCTTTCCAATGTTTACACAGAGATTGCATGGAATTTACACCAAACTTCAGGGTGAGGTCATGACCCTGGGTGAAGGCTTGCTTCAGATGAATCAAAACATGTTGGACCTCAGAGACTCCAGCAAACAGCCTGCTTTCCCACAAGTAAGTTGGTCACATCAGGTGGGCAGTGACCTCATGTAATCGCCCAGTGTGGTGTACTCCACAACAGGTCATCTCCAAAGCTGCTTAAGCTCCCTGCACAACCCTGGCATTACCAGATACCTGATTCTGCAAAATATCTGCTGATCTTCTTGACCACAGGACTCGCTCTGTCTGAACAACCTGGGAGGAGGAGTCAGGGTGTGGCAGGGTGAGGGAAGTAGCCAGGACCCTCCACATGCTGCCCCTGCTCCCTCATCCCATGACCCTGGTGAGCCCCAACCTCCAGGCCAGGCTTAACAACACCCCTTCTTTCCACCTCTTTTGAGGATTAAATGAGACAACAGATGGAAATACACTGAAAAGTGTTAGGTGCTAAACCCAGGCCAAGTGATATTTTTAACCTGGAACTACTCAGTTGCCTCTGAAAGCAATGAACTCTATGCTGTCTTTGCAGGTACAAAAAGAAATCTTCCACTAAATTGTGTTTCAGTGGCTACAACTATGTGTTAGCTAATTCTTCCACCCTCTCACCTACCTCCAGCTGCTCCAAGTGTGCAGCTCTGTGGCAGTTTCAAGAGTAGGGTACTGTGTAGTAAAGAATTGGCCTTATCCAGAGATGTCCAGAGGTTCCTGGGAGGTACCTCTAAGCCCTGGGGATGTCCTGCCTGATAAGAGTGTCTTTGTTTGCCTGGGCAGTCTTGAACCACATTGAATAGCCTAACAGCGTGATTTATGTTGGGGGCTTTGAGCCACATAGTATCAGCTCGACCTCCAGAAGGGCTGGAGATTAAAGGTCAGTCACACAAGTAGTCCACCATGTCTACCTGTCTGAGACCCAGTAAAAACTCTGTACACAAAGGCTCGGGTGAGGCTCCTTGGGTGGCAGTACTCCACATGTACTGTCACATATCCTGGCCAGGAAAAGTTGGTGCTGCCCATGAGTCTACTGGGAGAGGACAACTAGAAGCTTCCCTTTCGGGACTTTCTGCTCCATGCATTTCTTCCTTTGGCCCATTCCTTCCACTGAAACTATAAGTGTAACAGCTTTCAGTTGGTAAGTCCTCCTGCTGATTTATCAGATCTGAGGGTGGCCAGACCTGATCCCCTCCCACTCCCACCACCCCTCAACAGATAATTGGCATCAGAAGTGAGGTGATCCTGGGGACAGCCTTGCACTCTGTAACTTCTTAACTCTTTTTGTGCCGCGGATGCCTTTGGCAGTCTGGTGAAGCTGTGGACTTTTCTGAAGATGATTATTAAATGCACAAAATAAAATATATAGTATTCAAAAAAACCAGTTATATTGAAATGTAAGTATCAAAATATGTGCTTCTTTATTAAGATATTAAATAATGAGTTATAGTAGAGATTTACTATCTACCATAATTTTGAAGTAGCAACAAACACCCAATATTTCAAGATATCTGCAACAACTATAAAGAGATGCAGATTTAAACCAGGCATGGTGGCTCACACCTGTAATACCGGCACTTTGGGAGGCCAAGGCAGGGAAATCACTTGAGGTCAGGAGTTCGAGACCAGCCTGGCCAACATGGTAGAACCCAGTCTCTACTAAAAACACAAAAATTAGTAGGGCATGGTCATGGGCACCTGTAAATCCAAATACTCAGGAGGCTGAGGCAGGAGAATCGCTTGAACCCAGGAGGCAGAAGTTACAGTAAGCCAAGATGGTGCCACTGCACCACTCCAGCCTGGGTGACAGAGTGAAACTCTGTCTCAAAAAAAAAAAAAGAAAAAAAGATGTAGATGTATATTAGTGTCAACATCACAGGTGATGTATTTTGTTTCCTACATTCACAATTGAAATTAATTCTAAATTTCAGTTAGAGGTTATTGGAAATAAAGGTCTAATTTTTTTTCTCATCCAAGGTCACAAACCCCATAAATTCTATCCCCAGATCACCAACAGGTCCATGGGCACCAGATTAAGAAGCCTAGTCTAGGACTTGGGTGATTATCTCACCCTTCCTAGCAGCTTAAGTAGAGCTGTCACTGTCAATGTTGTTTTTAATGATAATAATCGTAGCTAATCCTCATTGAGCATTTGCTCTATGCCCAGCACAATGAATGTGAAAGTGCCATACACATATGAACCATTATTTTTATGTCATATCACTTAACGAGCTTTCTGATTGAGTTAGGAAAACAAGAGCTGTCGCTTTTGGCATGCTTAATATGGGCGAGGCACATACCAAGCACTTACAATGCATTCTTTCATTAGGCCTCACGGCAACCTGATGAGGTGGAACTGTTATTCCTCCCATTTTATAGACAAGGAAAGTGAGGCTTTGAGAGTTTAAACAACTTACCCAAATGATAAGGATAGTAATTGGTAAAGCCAGATATTCAAATCAGGTGTCAGACTCAAGACAGAGCACAGCTCACAAAAGTTAGCAGAATGGCACTCAGCAAACCCGGATGGCCATGGCGGTGCCACTGGATGACCTGACCACAGTGGTCCTGTGTCCAGACAGAAAAGACTGACCAATGAATGGAAATAGAGATAACTCAGCACAAGGTCCTGAACTGCATGGATTAATAAGTCAATGATTACTGAGGCTGTGGGGAAGTTTCTGTGCTAATCATTAGTGTTCCGATTCCAGAACCATGGGCGTCATGAAGATTAACCTGCTCAGCGAAGAGTTTCCTGATTTCTCTAAGGGTGCCCTTGATTGGCACACAAAGGATCCTGTGGGTGCTTCACGGCCTAGCAGCATCCTCAGTATCAGGCCATGTGGTCTTTGCTTTCTCCAGAATCATCATCATCATCATCATCATCATCATCATCATCTGAGAAGGTTCTTACAGAGCAGCTCTTGGCATCCAAGCCCATCCACGGACCAGGATGCCCTACAGAGGCAAAGGCAGATGGGGAGGGGAGGGCTGAGACAGACACAGGGAAAAACAAACCTTACAACAAGACAAGTTATAATACAGGAATGGAAATGATGTGGCACCAATGCCACCACTCCCCACTACCATATCCAGTAGCAGAGATGCTACTCATAGTACTACTCATAGGACACTATATAATTTCCCCTTAAATGAGGTTGATGCAGCCTCAGAATCCTTCTCAACACAGCTCTCCAGGTAGCTACAACCAATTGGTTGAACTTGACATACAGGTTGCAACCTATTTTTCATCAGATCCATGATACCAGAAGGAAAGGAGAAAAGTTATACTCTTGAAACAATGACATAAAACAAGAGTAGCTAAAACTTATTGAGCATTTATTCATGCCAATTCCTGTTCTAAGCACTTTACATGTATTACTCACATTTTCTTCTCACTACAACAATCTTACGATGTGAATACTATTATTAGCCCCATTTTCCATAAGAGAAACCTGAGGCACGAATCGGTTGTTCCATATGACTTGTTCCATGTCACCCAGTGAGAAGGGAGTAAAGTTAGGTTTCGAATCCAGGTGGTCTGGCTCTAAAACTTGCATATTTAATTAGCCACTATGCTGTACTCATCCTGTCCAGTGCTGGGGGTATTTTTAGCTATTGACCATAGCAAAAGACAAAGATGAAATGGCTTTATAGTTTTGCATGTTGATATAAGCAAAAGTGACATAACATTCTCAAAGACTGTTCTCTAAAGTTTTCAGAGAGATGCCTTTGTCAATCAATGCACTTTGCTCTGGTCCTGCTTCTCAATGCGGCCGGTCTCTTCACTTTTTACTTCCCCAATGCAGCTCATCTGTAGGCCCAGTGCTGGCCATACCAGAGCCCAGCACGCAGCATCTACATTGAAGACTCCTGGCTGAGGCAGGGCCTCCCCGCTCTCCCTCCTCACCTTGTCAGGTCCTCCAGTGCCTGTGTATTTTTCTGACCCAACTGCTTGCCTAATTACAGATCCCTGGCACAGTCTAAACTGGCCCGGCTAGACCTGGAAGTCCCCGGAATCCAGGCATTCTGTTAACATCAGGTGTAGAGGAGAACAGATGCAGAGAAAGCCAGCTCCACCCCGCCCATGTTGCTGATGGCAACGAGTCAGATCTCCAAGAAAACAAGTTCAGTGGCAGAATCCAAGCGCTTAACTCGGCCACCATATTACATCTTTTATAGACGGAACCGAGGGGAGCTTTAGGAGAGGGATACAACCCGTCTCAGCAACAGAAAAAACCCATACCTGCCCTTGTAGGTAGCTGCTCTTGGCAGCAGAAACAGGTGTATCCTTTGAGATGGCCCCAAGGTCACCTCCAATCCCCCCTCAAGGTTCCAAGCTCAGTGACTGCTGGCCAAGGCAGCCAGCAGGTGGCCGTGGCAGAGCGGGTAAGGTGCTGTCCACTTTGCCTCCGTTTCCACCCAGACCAAGAGCACTGCCTCTTCTATGGGTGCAGGGGCAGAAATAAGAACTAGACCAGCAGCTCTGCATGATTAGTACTGGCAGTTCTAGTTATGACCCAGATTGGCATGGGGCCCACTGGGCTCCCACACCCAAATCCTGACAGGGAGCGAAGTAGAAGCAGAGTCCGGGCGGGTTGGAGGATCTGGCTGGTTCAGTCCATCAAAACCAAGTCAGCATCAGCCACCATTTGGAATTAACTCGACTTCCTCTCTTCCTACCACCCATGCAAAAGGCAAATTTTCAGAAACCCTATTTAAAGCTCTCCAAGCACTTTCAGTATATTTTGTAGAGTGTTTGGCAGTATATAATATTATTCCTTTTGCATGTAGTATTTTATTTATTCTTATATGAAGTCTGAGAGCATGAGGCCAGATCTCTATGAGGAAGATAGAGTGGAAAAGCCACCAGCACACAGCAAGGAAGATGGCAGAAAAAAAAATCCTAACCCAGATCTGACTGAGTGAGAAGGCCTGGCTCTTCCCACTACACCAAGCCAACTCCCCGCTGTGCTAATACCTCACAGGTGGTTCATTCATCCCGTAGAAGTTCCTGGGTGTACCAAGAAGCAGACGCAGAATTAGACATAGATCTCTGGGATCCCCTCACCCTCCCCTAATTGGCTGCCTGGCCCTTTGCCTCCCTCTTCCCTTCCTCCATCCCCTCCCTTCCTGGTAATTACCACTGGAGCAAATAAGTTAGGCCATTAGACACTCACCAACATTTGGTCAGCTTGCATCTAGCACTGGCAAGGCAGGGAGCAGCTGAAATGAGAGGGTTAGGCAACCCCGTCTCTACTGGGATTATAAATGTATAATTCTCTGCATTATCTTCAGCTTTTTTGTAGAGAAAGCATTTCACAAATAGGTCAGGCTTAGGGTGAGTCAGACAGATAGAAGCCATTCACATTTGCTGAGGTCAAGAAAACCAGGTGGAGAGAGACATTCTCAGCAGTTCCCTGTGGCCAGTGTGATCGTGGTCATGTGCAATTCTGGTGAAAGCTTTGCTTTGGGAAGTTTTCCCGGAAGCTGTCCAGAGGGCTCCAGGCACATAACTTTGAGAGCACCCCATATTTTTCTTTTTGATGGTAGAATTTGGGATTGGTTCACCAAGCTGCTCAGGTCCAGTCTCAAGAGATGCCCAGGCCCCCAGAGGTCATCAACTTCATACGTGGTCCTTATTCTTGAGGTGCCCTCCACCCTCACTGTGGTGCCCAGCCATCCTCCCTGGCACAGAAAAAAAGTAATACAGTAAAATGATGGCATGGTAAGATGTGCGTGTCACTCTTCCCAGAAATGATGCATCCACTTCAACAGAGGACACAGCACGGATGCGTAAGAACTGGTAACTGGCTTATTGACCATTCTGGACTCCTGGTTGTATAACTGGGTATTGCCTTTACCTTTCCTCTCACCCTGCCTTTCAGACCTTCCCTCTCGGTTTTCTCTTCCCCAGCTGGCTTGATATCTTGATAAGATCCCAAAACATTTTGGTCATTTTCAGATATTAACCAATGATGTTTATTTTTAGATATTAAAATTTGCAGGCCAATCTAAATGAAAACTTGAATCGCTTGGCCCATGCAGGTTTTATTCCCTCTCCTTCATCTTCCCCTATTTTCTACCTCCACGCCTGACCCGGAGTGCAAAAACCTGCCGTGAGGAGGGTCACGGTCTCTTCTTTGTCTCTCCCCACATTTCTACTCCTCCTCACATGTTTACCACCTGCTTCAGGCTCTCCAGGTTCAGGGCAGGGAGGAGAGATGTAAAACAAAGGATAAAAGTGTTCTTTAAATAAGTTGGTTGGTTTTCTTCTCTCTTCTGGCTTCGAGTTACCAGATTTTGCCAAAAAAAAAAAAAAATTAAAGGATGTCAAGTTAAATTGGAATGTCAGATAAACAACAAATACTCTTTTAGTATAAGAATGTCCCATGCACTACTTGGGCATCCTGTGTTTTCTCTAGCAGCGCTCCTCAGCTGCTGGCTGCCTCCAGAGCAGGGCAGGTGGATTCATTTCCCATGGCTGCTGGAATGAATTGTTTCAAACTCAGATGCATAAAATAACACACATTTGTTTTCTTGTAGTTCTGGAGGTCAGAAGTCTGAAATAGGTAAGCAGGGCTACACATTCCTTCCAGAGGCTCCGGGGGAGAATCCCTTGCCTTGCTTTTTTCAGCTTCTAGAAGGCACCTGCGTTCCTTGGCTTGTAATCCCTTCTCTATCTTCTAAGCCAGCAGCTTAGCATCTTCTCTCCTCTCTGACTTCTGCCTCCATCCTCATATCTTATAGCAACCTGTGACTCTCTTATCACAACCCTTCTTTCTTATAGCAACCCTGTGACTGCACTGGGACCACCCAGATCATTCAGGATTTTCTCACCTCCAGATCTTTAACTTAAACACATCAGCAAAGTCCCTCTGGCCAGGTAAAACAGTATATTCGGAGGTTCTGGGATTAAAATTTGAATATCTTTGGGGGGCTGTTGTTCAGTAACTGTCCGGGCAGGCTCTTTCCCTATCCCTCAAGGAGGGGATTTTTGTGGATTTTTGGAGACCTGCTTGCTGAGGATCCCCAGCGTGCCCCATTCTCTGATGTAAGCAGCATGGGCGATACCCTCTCCAGCTGACTTCCTACAATTCCTCAGCTCCTGCTTGTAGGTACCCCTCACCGGGGCTCTTTCTGCTGGGGTCTCCTCTCCTCGGCAGACAGAAATCTTGAGTGGAGTGCTTTCAAGTCCCTGGGGCCTGGATACCACCCAAGAGATCATGTCACCTCGGACCCCAAAGAAACATTCCAGCCCTGGCCCCAACAAATTGTGAAAGTGCATGCCACTCCCAAGTGTTTAATGCTCAGATTCGGGAGCCACAGTGGGGAGCCACAACAGGGAGTCGGCACATTCTTTCTCATTAAAGAAATCTGCTTTGAGCAATCTTTAGCCTTTGATTGGATCTAGGCTGGAGGTAGATGAAGTGCCAAGACCAGGACTTGCAGGACCAGTTGGAATACTTCTTAGCAAGTTCTGCCTGGAGGGTCTAGCACCTGTCTTTAAAATGTGTGTGTTGCGGGAAGAGAGGAGCATGGCAAGGGAGACTGCCTGTTGTTCTAAGCTTTGGGTTTCAGCCGGTACCCCCAGACAACCGGAAAAGTCTAGCTTATCCTTCTCAACAACAACAACAAAAAAAATCCAGAAGGTAAATTTGCAGTAAAGCACAGGTGTTACCTATCCCAGAGGTACTTATGTCTTAAAAAAGGAGAGGGCAATGATTGACTCAAATATATGGATCGCTAATGAAAAAACTCCCACATCAACAATAAATCCTCGCAGGAAACCCTGACTCTTCCCTGCATGCCTATACCTGGCCCTGCCTACCTGAACCAGGCATCAGCATTCTGCAGAGGAGCTGGGCCCTAAAACCCACCTGAGCTGACACAAAGAGCCCAACAATGCCAGGTGGAAGGCAGCATGAATGGTGCTGGGATGGCCCACGGGCTTGGTTTGCATGCCCACTCTTAGTCCATGCAGGCTGCTGCAACCAAATACCGTAACACGGTGACTTAAAGACAGCAGAAAAAATACTTCTCGCAGTTCTGGAGGCTGGGAGATCCAAGACCAAACACTGGTAGATTTGGTGTCTGGTGAGAGCCCACTTTCTGGTTCATAGATGGTGCTTCTTGCTGTGTCCCAACATGGTAGAAGGGACTAGGGGTCTCTCTGGGGCTCCTATGATAAGGGCACTAATCCCATTCAGGAGGGCTCCACTCCCATGACCTAATCACCTCCTAAAGCCCCCACCTCCTAATATCACCCTGGGAGTTAGGATTTCAGCATATGAATTTTGGGGGGAAACAAGCATTCAGATCATAGCCCCCACCCTGCAGGTTGGTGGTGGCTGGCTGTATTTGCAAGAGTACTAAGGCTGCCTCCTGATGCAGCAAGAAAGAGTGCCACAGTCAGTGCACAGCATCTGCCATGGCATGGGGGACAGAGCAGTGGCTTGAGGCCCTCTGTTGCCACAGAGTCAGTCTTGGGTGTGAATCCTGGCTCCCTCACTTACAATTGCATGACACTGGGGGAGTTGCTTAACCTCTGGGCACCCATTTCTATAAACTGATAAAACCTATCTATGATATAGGGTTCTAAGGAAGTTTGAACAAAGTGATGTTTACAGAGCACTTGGGGCCTAGTTGCACCCAAGAAATGTCATTTCCCTTCTTTCCACATCTAAAATGCCCACATGGCAGCGTTTTGGGGTAACTTTTCTTGGTGGCTATATATTGGTGGGCATAGAAACAAGGAGGAGTACTTACCATTTAAACTCTACATCACACAGATGCAAACCCATCTGTCACCGAGGACAGAGGCATCATTAAATTAATCACTAGCCCTTCCCGGGTGTGACAAAATTCCTCTGGCATTGTTTTTTGGGTGTGCCTGCTAGTGGGAATTCTGCAGAGACAGGTTTTCAGCTTCTAAAAGTCAGGTGGTGGTTTTGTTGTGAGATAATATCACCCTCTCCATACTACACACACACACACACACACACACACACACACACTCACTCACTCATACACACTTCCTGGAGGCCAGGGGGAGGGAAGCAGGAACTGGAGCCCACCCCTCATCCCCCAGGACATCTGCACAAAGCATGGCTTCATGGAAATCTTTTTGGCTTGCTCAAGAGAAGCCATTTCAACCTGACTTCAGATCAGCCTTTGCCTTCTCTTATTAATATTTGGTTCTAGACCAGGCACTTCTGTTGCATCTTTTCATTATATCTTCCAGCAACCCCATGAATTTGGCATTTTATTATACAGATTTGCAGACAGAAAACTGGGGCATAAAGAAGTGCTAATCTGAGGTCCCAGTGCCTGCACCGGAGCTGGATCCAGGTCTATACCCCGGGGCCTCTGTTCTCCCCTTGGGAGAGCCGCTCAACCATCCACCTGCATGTCACCCTGATACAAGTTTGTAAATAGCTTGAAGTACATTGGGAACTTCTCCCCTCCTAAAGGTGACTGAGAGCTTTGTAAGGTGTCTTTCCCTCCACCTCAAGCACTTCAAAAACGCAGAAAGAGCGTTCACTTGCACCCATCTGCTGACATCCCAGTCCTCCACTCGGGCAGGTGGGCCATCACTTTACCCAGCCGGCGGGGACCACAGCCACAGAATGAGACCGGCAGGATCCAGGAGGTAGCGAGTGGACAGTGCAGGTTTCTGCAGTCCCTCTCCCTGCTCAGGAGACACAGGAGACACAGCAGAGGCAGCACCCAGGGCACATCTGAAGGTGTGGGCCAGGGCTGCCAGCTGCCCTCTCCCTTTATAGTTCTGAAGGCCCCAGAAAGCCATCTCCACAAGAGGCAGACAGGAAGGGCTCATGCCTTCAGGGGAGCCAGAATAAAGTGCTGACTCATAGTCAGGTGTGAGGAGAGCTCAAGAGGGGTGCGGGTTGGGGATGCAGCTTTGCAAGCATGGAGGTGCTAATCCCGTGTGCACCACTTGGCCCTCCCAGAGACCCAGGGGAAGGTGACGGATTAAGCTCTACATTAAGCTCCTGAAAGAGAACAAATGCTGTCCTGGAGTTTCCAGGCTAAAAGGAGGCCCTGAACCTGAATGGTCACCATAACACCAACAGCTCACAACGGAACAGCCCTTGACCCTTGCCAGGGTGTTTCATAACACAAGCTCAAGCCAGAAATCATGGTGAATCTGTGTCCTCTGCCTTTGTTCATCTTCTGTACCAGCCCAACAAGCACGTGTTGGTTGAATGAGTTCATGGGAATTAATGAGACCCTCACAATGAACCAGAAGATGGTCAGAGTTACAAATTCATGCGTACACATGATAAGGGGGGAAGAAGTGACATTTGTTGGAGGCAAGAGTACCACATTTAGCAAAGAAAACTATAAGATTTCCAGTAAATGTGAATTTCAGAAAAAGAGCAAATAATTTTTTTGTCTTTTTTATGTTAGATTTACTGTGCTCTTCTACCGAAACAAATAATTTTTTTAGTGTAAGAATGTTCTGTGAATATTTGGGGTATATTTATACTAAAAATGCCTGTCGTTTATCTGAAATTCAGATGTAACTGGGTGTCCTGCATTTATCTGGTGACCCCAGTTGGGGGTCTACTGTGCATCAGATGCTGTCTGCACATCTCTCCTTCTGTCCTCATACAGCACTGGGAGGGAGCGAATATTAGTTATGTTGACCCGACTGTATGGATGAGCAAAAGGATACATTGAGAGGTAACCTGATTTGCTTAAGGCACCACAGTTCAGAAAGGCTGGGTGGGCACTGGAAACTTGAGCCTGTGATCTCCCTGTCAAGGGCTGCTTCCCCAGCCCTTCTTTTTTGGTGGGAAGGGGATTTGTAAACCGAGAAGAGGCTGTGGTTGGCGCTGAGCTGTGGGGGATCCCACATCATTATGGCCAGGAGCGCAGGCACATGAGCCAAGTCCACCAGCATTCCTGTGGGCAACACCACACAGGCAGGTGGGGCACAGGCCTGAGGCCCCTGCCACCACAGTTCACAATGAGTGCCTTTGTACCCAAGTGGTTTAGGGTCCTGTGTGGAATGCCTGGATGCTACACCAATAATAACAACCTCAATAATAGTAATAATAATAATATAGTGACAACAATAACAATAGGTCATATGTTTCAGGCATATAACTCTTTGTATCCATTACCTGTTCAATCCCCACCACCACCAAAAAACATTAATCTTATTAGTATTGCTAATAGCTACCACTTGTTAAGTATGACCATGTGCCAGACCTACACCGATATTTTGTGTTATTATCTCATTTAACACAAACGACAATCTTTTTTTTTTAGGGTGTTTTTTTTTTAAATTTTATTATTATTATACTTTAAGTTTTCGGGTACATGTGCACAATGTGCAGGTTAGTTACATATGTATACATGTGCCATGTTGGTGTGCTGCACCCATTAACTGGACATTTAGCATTAGGTATATCTCCTAATGCTATGCCTCCCCCCTCCCCCCACCCCACAACAGTCCCCGGTGTGTGATGTTCCCCTTCCTGTGTCCATGTGTTCTCATTGTTCAATTCCCACCTATGAGTGAGAACATGCGGTGTTTGGTTTTTCTGTCCTTGCGACAGTTTGCTGAGAATGATGGTTTCCAGTTTCATCCATGTCCCTACAAAGGACATGAACTCATCATTTTTTATGGCTGCATAGTATTCCATGGTGTATATGTGCCACATTTTCTTAATCCAGTCTATCGTTGTTGGACATTTAGGTTAGTTCCAAGTCTTTGCTATTGTGAATAGTGCCGCTATAAACATACGTGTGCATGTGTCTTTATAGCAGCATGATTTATAATCCTTTGGGTATATACCCAGTAATGGGATGGCTGGGTCAAATGGTATTTCTAGTTCTAGATCCCTGAGGAATCGCCACACTGACTTCCACAATGGTTGAACTAGTTTACAGTCCCACCAACAGTGTAAAAGTGTTCCTATTTCTCCACATCCTCTCCAGCACCTGTTGTTTCCTGACTTTTTAATGATCGCCATTCTAACTGGTGTGAGATGGTATCTCATTGTGGTTTTGATTTGCATTTCTCTGATGGCCAGTGATGGTGAGCATTTTTTCTGTGTTTTTTGGCTGCATAAATGTCTTCTTTTGAGAAGTGTCTGTTCATATCCTTTGCCCACTTTTTGATGGGGTTACAAACAACAATCTTATCAGGGAAGTACCATTATCCATGTGTCAGATGAAGGTCAGAGAAGTTAAGAAATGTGCCCAAGATCACACAGCCATCACAAATCAAACCTAGGTCTGCCTTATTCAGAGGCCTGCTGCCTTCTGCTTCTCCACCAAACCCTGGTGGGATCTCAAAGAGGCCGCTGGAGCTCTTACCAAGGCAGTTTGTCCCTATTGAGGGCAGGGAGTTGGAATAGGGCAATGACAGTTCCAGCCTGCTCTTCCACACCCCTTCACCCAGACCAAGGGATCTGTGTCAAAACACACCTTGCTTCCCCTTGGGCAAATCCATCCTGGAGTAAAACTTAATAAGTCTGTGGCCCATAATGCCACTAGTTTGTAAATTCTCACAGGGAGTGCCCCTGCCTTTCCCATGATTGCTGGCCCCTTCCTTACATAAGCCAGGCTAGTGAGGGCCTGTCATGGGTCTCGTGGCCACCTTCCCATTGAGGTCAATTTCCAGCTCCATGCCCTATGGCCTGGTTGGATTAATGAGCAAAATGATATGACCAAGAACCCATAGGTTTCCTGCAAATTAGAAACCAATGTGTCAATCTTCCCAAATTAATTTATGGCTTCATTAATTTCATTTAAAATTCGAATGGGATATTTTTAGTGAAATCTCACAAATTTGGAAGAATAAACAAGAAATGTAGGGGGAAAATAGTATTGATTAGTGACTGGTACTTCTTCCTTTTAATATTTATTAAATTAAAACTGCAAGTATAAGCAAGTCATAGGCAGACACATTAACAGAGCAGAATTAAGAATCTAGAAATGTATCTTATACAAAGAACTTGACACACGATAAAGGGTACACTTCAGATCAACAGTGAAGTGATGAATTATTTAACAAAAGGTTGTGAGGAAATGAAAACTTGGAAAAATACTAATTTAAAATACCATGTCACTTTACAATCAAAACCCTTCCAGGTAATTGTCAAAATGTAAAAAAATAAAAATAAAAATAGAAAAGGGAAGAACTACATAAGCATAAAAGAAACCACAAAGAAAATGATCAATTAATTTAACCACCACCAACTTAAAATTCGTATATGGCAAAATGTTAACAGTAACTCAGAATTTGCACGCTTGGCCAATTATCTCCTTAGGATGCAGTCAGATGACAGGACTCTCTAAGTCAATGAATACACCTATTTCCATGGTAACACATGCTGGCAAGCTGCCCTCCAGAAAGTCTGAACCAATTACACCCCCAGCAACAGTTTCTTTGAGCCCACTGCTCTCCACACTGACCATACCTGATAACTGAACCTACCATCACCACCAACCTGGCAGCAAATCGTGGACTACATGGTTTTAATCTGTATTCCTTTCATTATGAGTGAGAATGACTATATTTTCACATACTTATTTCTCATTTGTTTTTTCTTCTATGAACTGCCTCTTTATATCTTTTGATCACTTTTTAATTAAATAACTTGTCCTTGTCAAATTAATTTGTAAATTTCTTTTGTATTATAGAGATATTAACCCAATGTCACATGTATGGTTAACATTTTTTTAGTTTATCATTTGTACTTCAACTTTGTTCATTCCCCTTTTTTTGTGTTTTTTTTTTCTTTTTTTGAGACAGAGTCTTGCTCCGTCACCCAGGCTGGAGTGCAGTGGCACCATCTCGGCTCACTGCAAGCTCCGCCTCCCAGGTTCACACCATTCTCCTGCCTCAGCCTCCTGAGTAGCTGCGACTACAGGCGCCCGCCACCACACCCAGCTAATTTTTTGTATTTTTAGTAGAGATGGGGTTTCACCATGTTAGCCAGGATGGCCTCGATCTCCTGACCTCGTGATCTGCCCGCCTTGGCCTCCCAAAGTGCTGGGATTACAGGCGTGAGCCACCGCGCCCGGCCTGTTCATTACTCTTAATATGCAAAAGGACTTTTAGAAAATGTTACTTATGTGAATCTATAAAATATTTTATAGTTGCTTTTTGGTATCATGACTTACGCACTTTAAGGCTAAAAATAATCACCTATATTTTAGCATTTTATGGTTTCATTTTTCATATTTGAATTTTTTATTATCTTCCATTTATTTTGGTATAAAAATATGAGATAAGGATCCAGCTTTATGGTTTTCCTATTAATAAACAGTTGCTCTGGTTGGGCGCGTGGCTCACGCCTGTAATCCCAGCACTTTGGGAGGCCGAGGCAGGCAGATGGCTTGAGCTCAGGAGTTTGAGACCAGCCTGGGCAACATGGCAAAACCCTGCATCTACAAAAAAGGCAAAAATCAGCCAGGCATGGTGGTGTGCGCCTGTAGTCCCAGCTACTTGGGAGGCAGAGGTGGGAGGATCACTTGAGCCCAGGAGGTTGAGGCTACAGTGAGCCAAGCTTATACCACTGAACTCCAGCACGGAGAGAGACCCTGTTTCAAAAACAAACAAACAAAAAAAGACAATTACTCCAAATATTTGAAATGCCCCCTCTATCAGATACTAAATTCTGATATATATATTTATATGCAAATGTACCCACACATATACATGCATACTCACACACTCACTCACTTGGATCTTTCTGAACTAACTTGCTCGATTGACCTGTCTTTTCCTGTATCAGTATCATACACACTTAGTATAGCTTTGTGTTAATATGTGGTAGTCATTCACTACAATGGCAGGCTTAGAACAAAAAATAATAATAATAATAATATTTACTGGGAGGAGTACCTCCATTTTACTTGCCTTTTCCATAATGGTCCTGGCTATTCTCATGCTGAGTTTTAGAATTCACTTGGAATCCCTTAGGGATTCCTTTTGAGATTACATAGGATTTAGAGATCTGTTGGAGAATGTGCCTCTTTCTGACATTGCATCTTCCCATCCAGTAACAAGATTTGTCTCTCAGTTCATTCTAGTCTTACTTCTCTCAGAACTGGTTCATAAAGATTTGATTTGACTTTGTTTTGCTTTTGACTTTGGTTACATGTATTCCTAGGTGTTTTATTTTATTGCTGCTGATGTGAATGGAATATATTTTTCATTTTACTTTTAAGTGGTTTTGCTGATATATAAGAAACTCTAAGTTTTTATGTATTATTTTAAATATATATTAAATATATGATTTTTAAATATTTGTTCTACATATTTTCATATACTTATATATTTATTTTGTACAGTCTATTGAACTATATTATGTCTAAAATTTTTTAGGATTCTCTTTGTAAGCAATCATATTATCTTCAAGTGAAGATAATTTGGCCTCTTTCTTGTCAGTGTTTAGACATCTTGTTTAATTATCTTGCTCGTTGTGTTGACTAGGATTTTTAGAACAAGAAAATAATGATGACACTCATCTTTTTAGACTTTAATGTGACTATGTTTAATTAAACATAATGCTGACTATTAGTTCGAGATTTTTTTAAATCACAGAAATTTTCATATGACTTTTCAGTATCAAGATAATCATACAGGGTTTTTATATAAGGTTGATTATATTAATAGATTTCCAAACATGTTCTAATCTCTACATTCCTGAAATGAATTTCAACTGGTCATGATACATTTCTTAAACCATATTGCTGGATTCTATTGTCAATATTTTGTTTGATATTTTTCATCAAGGTCTATAAGTGAGATTGAGATATAGGGCTTATGTGTGTGCTCTGTGTGCTATTGTTTCTGTCTTGTGCAATTAAAGTGTGTGCCATGTTTTTTTGTTCAGGAAAATGCTTACACTGTAATGTAGATTTAGTATTTGACTTTATATGCATAGCAAAAAAACAAAGGGCATCATAATAGCAACACTGGTTATCTGAGTGGTGGCATTAAAAGTGTTTTTCCTTCAATTCTATAATATCCGAGTGTTATGTTTATAACAAAATGTTTGAAATACATACCATTAAAAGAGGCTCCATAGAAATATATTAGCAGTTATCACTAGGAAGGGGAAATGAGGCACGATATTGACCTTCTTCATCCTCTTGTAAATCTCTTTAGCTATCAGCACTTCCCCCTTCCTGCCCATCTCCCCGCTCTGCTGAACCCAAAATAAAAGTACATATTACATAAAATATAATTCCTTTTTTAAATGCTACAAACTCAAGTCTTCTTAAATCATAATAAGCCAGTACAAACAGATCCAAATGATTCCCAGATACAATGAACAGGAAATTCTGTGGCTACGGAGTACTAGCAAGATAGAGAAGGCTGTTAGCTCTAAACATTGCATTTTCGAAACTAGAGTCAGGTATAAGCCATGCCTTTGCTCCTATGAAAGCAGACTATTTGTCTAGGGATCTAAGCAAAACTAGGAGGTATTGCTTCTATAGAAAGTGAGCATTTTAGGTTGTGTGGAACAAGAAGGATTTTAAACAGCCTACAGCCACACTGATGCACCTGCAGCTTCATGCCACACACCTGCAGCCTCGCACGATGTAGCTGTGTCCTCACACAATGCACCTGAGACCTTACACAATGCACCTGGGACTTCATGCAATGCACTAGGACATAGATAGTGGCATCTTTTTTCCAAAGTTCCCTAAGCACTTTGACTAAACTTCCTTAAGATGTTTTTTAAAATGTTGACATGAGTCATAAAAAGCAAAACTTTTTCTTTCTTGGGCATATTCCACTTTAACCAAATGATAAAGTTATTCCTCAACCGAAGACAAGGGTAAGGCTTGGACTGGGAGTGCTCTCTGGCTCCTGAAGACATTTCATCAGCCCACCAGAGGGCTGCACTGATGATTAAAGGAGAAAAATTAATCGCTCAGTCCGCAAAAGACTATGTTTTTTCCCATCTCTACAGGACATCAGAGCTTGTCCATTCATTGCTGTTGGGCCAACTACAAAAGGTATAACACAACAATTTTTCTTCCCAAGGACTTCACAGTCTGGGCAAGAGACAGATTTTTAAAAGCAATTCCACTGAGATGAGGACTCACAGAAAGACTCGTACAGGGCATGATGAGAGCGCAGAGGATGGGCCCCTACCCAGCTTCTCCAGGAGCCCCTCCCCAGAGGAGCTGGTGCTCAGGCTGAAAAAACACATGGAGATGGTGAGGCCAGGAAGGCCCAATACAGAGCTCAGAACCCCAGCCCTTGGGGGAACTGTGCCCACTGTATTTCCTCAATTCTAAGATGCTGTGGATTATAAACCACATGGTGGACTTCTCAACCATTTAGCCTTGTACCGGCACAACCCCAAGAATGGGCATCTCCTTCCTTTTGCACCCCAGGTATCTCATTCACCTCTCCTGAGTCCTGTCCTTGTTTAAATTATGCATTTTTAAAGGCTTTATGTTTTAAAGCATTTTAGATTCACAGCAAAATTAAGAGGAAGATACAGAGATTTCCCATCTATTCCCTGCCCCAAACACACACAGCCTTCCCATTATTAACACTCCCCGCTCTGCCCCAGAGTGTTACAGTTGTTACAATTGATGAACCTACATTGACACATCATAATTACCTAGTTTACATTAGGGTTCATTCTTGTTGGTGTACTTTCTACGGGTTTGGGCAAATTTATAACGACATGTATCATCCACCGTTATTGTATCATACAGAGTAGTTTTATGGCTCTAAAAATCCTCTGTACTCAACTGTCAATAGCATACATTTATCAAAACACTAATACATCACTTTCTTCTTTAGTATCATAATCAACATTTAAGTCTTAGCCTGCTTTGTATTCTGCATCTGGAGATCCTTGGGAATAATACTGGATCATCAGTAGCTTTGCAAAACATCCTCGGTGGCACACTGCTTTCCATAACCAGGACTTGTGCCCTTGACCTCTAAAATACTTCAAAATATGAGTTCAAGGCCTGCACAAGAATCCTAAGTTTGCCTGCATTTTCTAGTTCCCCTTGAAGTTTCTTCTTTCTTTAGTGGGATTTCACATTACGGAAATTACATGACTTCTCCTGAAAGTCAACAGGAAGTTTTTGACAAACTGTCCATTACTCTAACTTTCTGAATTTTGGAAATTCCGGGATCTGTCCTGAGAGATTTGGCCATCTTTACTGCCATCAGTTCCACTGCCTGGTGTGTGCAAGCCATCTTCTGAAATTTCAATGCTACATCATTGTGTGACCTTTTTGAAGATATTAGGTAATAATTAAGATTCTAAATTTAAGTTAAAATGTAGTCATTCAGGCCAGGCGAGGTGGCTCACACCTGTAATCTCAGCAATTTGGGAGGCTGAGGCAGGTGGATTGCTTGACTTCAGGAGTTTGAGACCAGCCTGGGCAACATGGCAAAACCACATCTCTGAAAAAAGACAAAAATTCACCAGGCACAGTGGTGTGTGCCTGTAGTCCCAGCTACTTGGTAGGCAGAGGCAGGAGGATCACTTGAGTCTGGTAGGTCACGGCTGCAGTGAGGTGAGGTGAGATCATGCCACTGCACTCCAGCCTGGATGACAAAGTAAGACCCTGTCAAAAAAACAAAACAAAACAAAACAAAACAGTCATTCAAGATGCTGTCTAAACAAATAACTCAGTGAGGTGCACATGGGATAAGCAGATAAGCCAAGCCAGGCCAAGGTCACAGGTATACAGAGGCCAAGCTTTATTAAAACACACTTATTCCCTGTTCCCTGCCTGGACAGAAAACAGGACACATCAAAATACTGCCACTGTAGATCCCCAAGCCACAAACAAGCCATCAAGCTGCATCTCTGGCTCCCATTGCAATGCCTTGCTGGGGTTAGATGTTCTTTGTCAGTGGCCCGAGCCAACTTCCCTTTGCAAAGCAGTCACACCATGAAGCTGGCGGTACGAGACACCATGTGACCGGGGGCTTGTTTTATTTCCAAGCTGCCACTATCACGAGATCTGCCACTGTTGAATTGCTTCATCTCCTTCATCCCAACTTCGTGCTTTCATGTGAGTGTCACTGTCCTATCCTCCCCATTGTCTGCCAGAGTGCTGAGGAAGAAATGCTCCCTCCAGCTTTGAAGAGTCATTTCAGAAGGCATAGTCCACGGTTCCCCGAAAGCTGAAGGTGGAGGCATTTATAGACACATCCACTTGGCAGAGGGCCTTTGTTGTGGGCGAGGAGGAAGTGGTAACCCCCGGACGGCTGGGCCCCCTCCATGTGACTCGGCTATCACCTGCCATCAGCCAGTTGGCGGGAATGGGATGCAAACCACCATCCTTTGGGGGAGAAGCCAGGATACAACTTCCCGGCTGCAGCCTTATTTTGGTGTCACACTCCAGAGGCCTCCTGGCCGCAACCATAACCCATGTTATCCCAGCGGCTACACTTGGGTACCTCCCAGCATCGCTGGCGTTTCCCTCTTGCTTGTTTGACCTCTTGGAAATGTTCTTAAATACACTCTTGAACCCCAAGCAAGTCACCGAGTCTTGCTCTCTTTGTTTTTCTTTTATTACATGGCAGGGATATCATTAGTGTTAAAATTCTGAGTTTCTATTTCCTTAGAATCTTTCCTGAGATTCTACATTTCCTTAGAATGACCCAGTTTCAATGGTGGAAGGATGTTCGATATCATCTGATTTCCTAAGGGAAAATTTTCACAGGAAAAAGGCTGAAAACTCTATATAAAATTCTTAGAATTGGCAGCATAAATTTTAATGAGGAAGCAGCGCCTTGTGTAGACAGAACTTTCACCAGGAATAGCAAGGCCCCTGACTCTCAGGCTAACTGTGGGGCCGCGAGCTCTCTGCTCCTGTGTTAACTCAACTCACCCAAAAACTAGGAGGTGAGGCAGCCTAGCAGTCAGGAATGTGGGCTTCGGGGTCAGACCAATATGGGTTTAAGACATGGTTCAACCAGTTATAAACCATGTAAACTTGCATGAGTGACTTGACCTTGTTAAGGCCTTGGTTCCTTCATCTGTAAAGTGAGGACATAAGAATTTGCACAAGTTAGTTAACCCCCTTAAGTCTTCGGTTCCTGCAGATGTAGACTGATTGTACCTAACCTCTCTTTCTCTAGCTCTGTCTCTCTTGACTCTCATATAAACACACTTACGCATCTCCTATCTTAAAAATATAAGAAAGGCATCAGCAAATAAACTCCTCTTTGACCTTTGTCCCTCTCTAGCTACTGTCCCATCTCTCTGCATCCCTTCTGTCTAAACATCTGAGGAGAGGGTAGATACTTCCCATTCCTTTATCAGTTTCATCCAAAGACATTATAGCTTTTCACATTGGACTATTTCTAAAATTGGACTGTGTATCTTTTGCACTGGTAACAACTCCAAATTTCAGTGGCTTAAAACACAATGGCGGATTTCCTGCTCATGCAACATGCCTATCACAGTCCACCAGGATTCTGCTCTGTGTCATTCCCAGAAGATTACCAGTGACTGTGGCAGGAGAACAGAGCACCCTGGAGGGTCTCACAACACCCACTAAATGCTCTGGCCCTGGCCCAGAGTGGCACCTGCCACTATTCACAGCTCTTTGGCCAGAACCAACCAGAATTCCCCTGACCCCACCCAACTGTTAAGTGCAACCCCACAGTGCAGTATTTGGCAAACCACACAAATGGTCTTCAGCTACATTATTATAACAGCAAATAGACTGTAGACAATCAGCTGTGTTATAGCTTCAGTATGCTTTTGTGGGCTAGCTTGGAAACCTGACCACTATTCAAAACAGTGTTCCTATGAGAAAACACGTGCCAAAATCCAAGCTGCTGACTTATAAAACAAGCTGGAACACAATCTGTTAGTAAGTTGAGGCTTCTTATACTTAAGAAATTATTTTTGAAACATGGCCCCAGAATTTGACAGGCTGGATTGAATTATTCAGCCATAGCTATGAGATCCAGAACAAGCTACATAATTTGTGGGGCCCAATGGTGGGGAACCTTGTTCAAAAAGCAGGGGGAAAATGCAGTTAAAGTTACTAAAATATAAAGCTTTTTTCTTTCTCCAAAAGTCTCTCTCTTGATTTATCATAGTGATTTTATTTGCTATTTAGGCTGAGCATGGTGGCTAATGCCTGTAATCCCAACACTTTGGGAGGCCAAGGCAGGAGGATCGCTTCAGCCCAGGAGTTCAAGACCAGCCTGGGCAACATAGCAGGATCCTGTCTCAAATATTTTTTAACAAATAATATGATCAAAAAATTGCTATTTATTGTTGTTCTCAGTAAAGGTAAATTTTTAAATGATTAGAATGAACTGTTCTGTTCATTTTTATATTGTGCAATGCCAGGTTTAAATGCAAAGATAAGAGCATCTTACACACTTCCTATTTCAGAGTTGGTACATGCACATGTAGTTAATTCTTTTTAAGAGACAAGGTCTCACTCTGTTGCTCAGACTGGAGTGCAGTGGCACAATTTTGTCTCACTGCAGTCTCAGACTCCTGGGCTCAAACGATCCTCCTGCCTCAGCCTACTAAGCAGCTGGAACTACAGGCACCCACCACTGCACTGAGCCAGTTTTGTTTTGTTTTGTTTTGTTTTGTACAATCAGGGTCTTGCTTCGTTCCCCAGGCTGGTCTCGAACTCCTGGCTTCAAGCGATCCTCCCACTTCAGCCTCCCAAAGTGCTGATATTGTAGGTGTGAACCACTGAACCCAGCCTGTAGTTCATTTTTTTTTTTTTTTTTTTTTTTAGACAAAGTCCTGCTCTGTCACCTAGGCTGGAGTGCAGTGGCGCAATCTCGGCTCACTGCAAGCTCCACCTCCCAGGTTCACGCCATTCTCCTGCCTCAGCCTCCTGAGTAGCTGGGACTACAAGCGCCCACCATCACGCCCAGCTAGTTTTTTTGTATTTTTAGTAGAGACGGGGTTTCACCATGTTAGCCAGGATGGTCTCTATCTCCTGACCTCGTGATCTGCCCGCCTTGGCCTCCCAAAGTGCTGGGATTACAGGCGTGAGCCACCGTGCCTGGCCAGTTCATTCTTAACAGAACAGTGGAACTGCTGCACCAAACTAACTCAACTAATTTCAGCTCACTTCCTAATACAAATCAGAGAACTAACATTCTACTTTCAGCTTACTGACAAGGAAGGAAGGGGTAAAGGAAAAGGTACTATTGGTTGCAGTATCTTTCCCTCTCCTATGTCATTTTCAGTGTTAGTGGTTGGCTAATACAGAAAAGGAACAGGAGTAAGAGCAGATGATAGGATTCCTTGATCATTTGTGTTTCTGGCTTTATTTCTATGTTCAAAGCAAATTCTGATTCAGACAAAAAGCACGGGCTCTTAGCCTGTGACAGCCCCTGCTGACTCAGGCATAGGCATAACACCCTTACTTTTGTTAAAACAAAAAAAAGGAGACAAATTAAATTTGGCAGTGTTTATTTAAGCAAAGAACAATTCATGAATTGAGCAGCAGTCTGAACCAGGAGGGGTTCAGAGAGCTCCACCCAGCAGTGCAGGCAGGCAGTATCTACAGACAGAGAAAGAAAGTGATGTACAGAAACAGTAGATCGATTGCTTACAGCTCTGCATCGCGTTATATGGACATGGTCTGATCAGCCGGCAGCCTGTGATTGGCTGAAGTTTAGCTGCTGTGATTGGCTAAGACTTAGTTATTTGTTATAAGAATACACTCCTTAAGTTAGGTTACAATTTGTTTACTTACTAAGTTACACTGGAGTTTGCTATGTACAGATACAGCTTTAGGTCAAATTTAATTTAACACCTTGTACCTGCTTTGAGTCTCACTAAACTCCCACAGATTGTGGGTCCACTAGATTTTTGTGTTCCTGGGGTGTCATGAATGTTATATGCAAATGGAGTGGCAAAGAACAGAATTGGACACTCACATTACATGTGTCTCTCTCTCACCTGTGTGTTTGGTTATCCCATTAGATTTCACTTATAAAGCAGAAGTTCAAAGAAAAAAATATTAAGAATTTTTGGCAGTGACAGCAGAGCATTAAGCCAAGTACAGGACCCTTTTGAGTCCCTCTGCAACTGCACAGCATACTCCCATGATGACAACCATATCTTCTAATCCTTAACCCTGCCACAAAATCAACTAGACCCATATTTGGCAACCAGACCTCTGAGTAACATTGGACTAAGAGGTATGAAGTGGGCTTGAGCTATAGGGCCTGCCATCATTCATTCATTCCACAAGTATTTATTGAGCATCTATGAGGTGCCAGGCAGTGATTTAGGTGTTGAGATTACAACACAGGCTGGGTGCAGTAGCTCACACCTGTAACGCCAGTACTTTGGGAGGCCGAGGCGGGCAGATCACTTGAGATCAGGAGTTCAAGAGCAGCCTAGCCAACATGGTGAAACCCCGTCTCTACTAAAAATACAAAAATTAGCCAGGCATGATGGCACACGCCTGTAGTCCCAGCTACTTGGGACACTGAGACAGGAGAATTGCCTGAACCTGGGAGGCAGAAGTTGCAGTGAGCCAAGATTGCGTCACTGCACTCCAGCCTGGGTGACAGAGTGAAACATCATCTCAAAAATAATAATAATAATAATAAACACAAACAAAAAGCCCTCAGCCTAATGAAGCTTACTCTCTAGCAGGAGAGAGAGATGATAATAAAGAAAATGTTTAAATAAAATAAATAGTATGTTAGATGGTGATAAATGGTAAGGAAGAAAAAAATAAACAAGGGGTAGAAAGGATTGAATTGGGGGTACAGCTTTAGATGTTAATGTCTTAATGCTTTTACAGCCATTTACCAAAACAGATGGTCAATGAAAAGGGTCAAAATCTGTAACACGTTTTAAGAAATTTATTCTGAGGCAAATATGAGTGACCAATGGCCTGTAACACCACTCTCAGGAGGTCCTGAGAACATGTGCCCGAGGTAGTAGGGCCACAACTTGGTTTTATACATTTTAGGAAGACATAGGCATCAATACATGTAAGATATACATTGGTTTGGTCCAGAAAGGTGGGACAACCGGAAGGGGTTGCGGTGGGGAGGTGGGGCTTTGAAGTCACAGGCAGATTCAAAGATTTTCTGATTGGCAATTGGTTGAAAGAGTTATCAATAGAAAGGAAAGTCTGAGTTACAATAAGGGGTTGCAGAGACCAGTGTTTTGTCATGCAGATGAAGATGAAGCCTCCAGGTAGCAGACTTCAGGGAGAATAGATCGTAAATGTTTCTTTTCTTTTTTTTTTTGAAATGGAGCCTCACTCACTCAGGCTGGAGTACAGTGGCATGATCTCGGCTCACTGCAATATCTGCCTCCCAGGATCAAGCGATTCTCCTGTCTCAGCTTCCTGAGTAGCTGGGATTACAGGTGTGTGCCACCACGCCTGGCTAACTTTTGTATTTTTCAGTAGAGATGGGGTCTCAGCATGTTGGCCAGGCTGCTCTTGAACTCCTGACCTCAGGTGATCCGCCCACCTCAGCCTCCCGAAGTGCTGGGATTATAGGCGTGAGCCACCATGCCTGCCCAGTTTCTTATGAGACTTAAATAGTCTGTTCTATCAGTAATTCCAAAAGGGAATAGGGCATAACGAGGCATGTCCAGCTCCTCTTTCCCATCATGGCCTGAGCTAGTTTTTCAGGTTAGCTTTGGAATGCCCTTGCCAAGAGGAGGGGTCCGTTCAGATGGTCAGGGGGCTGTGAATCTTATTTTTGGTTTACAAGGTAAAAGTAGAAAAATTATCACAGGAGAAAGCTAATAGGGAAAATGGAAGATGCTGGTAGTTAGAGAATTGGAAGCTTTCCAGCAGAGGGGGACCCTGTCTGCAATCACGCTGGCCCCCTTCCACCGTGGGCCTGCACAGGGAGCCTCCTGCCCTTTCCAGCCAGTCTGGTCCAGTTTGTATAATGTGAAACGAGGTTCATTTAAAAAGAGAGTTTCACTGAGTGTAATGGCTGAACAAAGTATCAGTTCTTGTAGCCCCAGGAAAGTTCAGTAGCCCACATTTAAATAAGCTTTTCAACCTTTCACATTCATGGTTAAGTGAGCCAGTTGATGATGAAACAACATACGGTAAGCCAAAAGAGGTATAGGTTTTGTGTGTGTGTTTTATTTCCCAGTCCTGTAAATCAGATGCCCACTTTGCCAAAGTGAAAGACAGAGGGTGAGGTGTCTTCTGTCTGTCAGCGCTGTTTCATTCTGCTCAGCTGAACACAGACCATCACCAGACCTACAAAAACACCAGGCAGGTGAGTCTGTCTTTTGAAACATCGCTAGAAACTATTCCAGTTATTCTCCAAGAGAATTGCTTCATAAGTTCTGTTTATTTTTTTAAATGAGGTTATAATGCATTTCTTGACAAAATACTTGACAACAGACATGAAGATGGAAAAGTCTAAAAAAAGTGAAGATTTCCTCTTCATCTTTTGTTTTTATGATGTTTTTCTTCCTCTTTTAGTAAATCAATAGACAGAAGTTACCAGGAGGCTTTCTGAGACCTTGTTCTTGGCTCATTTTTACATCTCAGGTTCAAATTCCACTTCTATTAACTTTTAAAACATCTGGTTGTTTGGAGAGAAGAAATAATATTATCACTTCTGTAACTAATAGCATGGTGACCTTGCAAAAAAGAAATCAACATGGAATATGCTGACCATCCAGACACAGTTCTGAGAACTCTATATACCCCGTCCCTCTCTTTAATTTGGGCAGAGCTGAATTTGAAAGTTAATGCTTAGCTGCGTCTTCCTGCCCGATTCTCCAAGCTTGTGCCTGCATGCTGGCCAGAGGAGTGAGCACTGGGGCAGCCGGGTTGAGGAAACAGTAACTGGAGGGTGGGATCCTCGCCGCCCCGGCATGGTTTATTCTGTGCTATCATGCAGAATGAAGAGGGCTGCTGGGGACACTAGTTACTCATTCACCACTCCCACTGGGACCTCGCTCGGGCTCAATGGACTGTGGTGTGATTATTTGTCGGCGGATTCTGCCCACGTCCCTTCAGCGTAAACACTGGCATCTCTGAAGCTGGCTTTGTCTCCCACCCCATTGTCGGGTTCCTGCTGCAGTTCTGCATTTTGAGGTCCTTAAAGAACTTCATAAAGGAGAAGAGACAAGAAAAGGGACAGTCAGACAGGACACACTGATTGTACTATTCTAACCAGTCCATCCAATTCCAAGTAGGTCCTGCATCTTGAAGAGATAATGAAAGGTTAAGATGCAGCTGTGCCCCTTTGACCTGCTACCTTATCCTGAGAGTATTATGATTAAAAAAAAAAAAGCCATTTGTAGGTTCATCGATTGTAAAAATGGACCACTCTGGTGCAGGATGTTCATAGTGGGGGAAGATGGGGGGTGGCAGGGACAGGGAGTGTATAAGAAATCTTTGTATTTTCTGCTCAATTTTGCTGGGAACCTAACACTGCTCTAAAAAACAAAGTCCATTAAAGACTAAAAGAAATAAAAAGATATGAGGAAATCTCCCTACTCAAAACAGTTTCATAGCCCAACCCCAAATGTTCTGTGGGGATGAAATAAAATGAGATGATAACTAACAATAAAAATATTCTTTATCCTCAGGCAGCAGCAATTTGCATGTAATTTAGAATGCAAGTATTATGTTAAAAACTGAACATCTTAGTTGTTCCCATTAATTAAACATTTGCTGTACTAGATCAGTCTGCTCTGATTGCTGATTGCTTTATTTTCATAAAAACAACTATGAGGAAAGTGCTGTTATCATCCCTGCTTTACAGAAGAGAAGCAGGCTTCAATAAGTTAAGAAAATTGCATCAGCCAGGAGCGGTGGCTCACACCTGTAATTCCAACACTTTGGGAGGCCAAGGCAGGGGGCATAGCTTGAGCCCAGGAATTCAAGACAAACCTGGGCAACACAGTGAGACCCCATCTCTCCAAAAGATACAAAAATCAACCAGCTACTTGGGAGGCTTCAGTGGGAGGATCACCTGAGCCTAGGAGGTCGAGGCTGCAGTGAGCCTTGATTGCACCACTGCACTCCAGCCTGGGCAACAGAGACCTTGTCTCAAAAAAAAAAAAAAGTGTCAAAACAAAAAATAAAAAAAAATTAAACAAAGTGCCAAATCACACTGCCAATAAATGACTGAGCTGGGAAATTAGAATAATGCAATAGAGGAAAAATTGAAGGAGGGGGAAGTCATTAAATATGATTTTACCTAAACACACCTCCAAGATGATAAACATATAAAATTTTTTTTAATTTAAAAAAAAAAAAGCCCTTACCCTTACCTCTAAAGAGTAAACAAGCTGTAGCTGACAAGCTTAGAGAAGGGAATAGACAAAAAAGTAAATAGAAGGACATAGAAAGTGAGTATCATTTTCTAAACAATATATAATTAGTAGGAGTTAGCAGGTGTTTAAAATAATTCTACTAAAAAAATAGAAGATATGTTTGGCAAAAGTAAGTAAGTGGTGGGAAGAAAGTACATAAAAGAAGAGAGAAGTCTGTTGACGGACTGAGACAATCTCATTTAGATGACTTTTGTATTGGAATTAATTGGTTTCAACAAAATAATAATCTATGGTGGCATTGACCATGCAAATATGCTTTTAAATTATTTAAATACAGTTATCCGATTACAATTTAAAACCTCTAGAGAGTTTTTTGTTTTCATGTAGCATAGATGCCACTGTCTGCCCTGCTCCCTCTGAGCTTAGTCCAGAGTAAGCTGGGATGAAGACTGACCCTACTGTCGCCTCAGTTAGCCGTGGACCATGGGCCTCTGGAAGGGTGAGCGTCTCATTGCTCAGTGGCAAAAGAGATGTGTGTTTGGGGCACACCATGGCCCCTAAATGCAAACCAGTGACTTCCCCTAGTGCTTCCATGAAGAAACTGTCACCTGTCCAATGCGGGAGGAAATGCTAGTTGTTTTGTCTTCCTGAGACACTATGCCAGTCTCTTCCTAAAATATTTTCAGTGGGAGGCCTTCACTTTGCTACATTTCTGCCCTGTGTGCTATTCTAGAATGTAGCCCTCATGTATGGATGTCATGATGAGGGAGGGTGCCTTTCCCCTCCAGGCCCGACGGCACCCAAACACCAGAAACATCCACACCTGTGAGATGAGCCCTTAGGAGAAGCTCCACCCAATGCCAAGTTCTCCTGCTTTCTATTCTCATCCTTAAAATATTTATTTTAAAGGACAAATCTTCATTTCTGCATTCTCCATCAAAATTACAACAGTGTTTCAATTATCCTGATTCACAGATGCAAACCGAGTAACTGGGAGGTCAAGAAATGTGGGTTCTGGTCCTGCTCTGTCTCACTGCCTCTGCATGACTTCGGGCCAGGAGAATAGGATGGATCAGATAACCTAAGGCCCCTCCAGCTACAAACTTTATTATCATGTCTGCACAACACCTCACAGCAGGTGGAAGCTGGAATTACAGAGAACTCTTAAGTTTCAAATTCTGACTTTGAATCTGACCCAGGACCAGTTCACTCTCATGTACAAGAACGCACACACTTGCATGCAAGCACACAGACACACACATATATCGATGGCCTGTACTCCATTTGTCATCATGCAGGTTAAGGAACTCAGACCACAGAGATATACAATAAGAAAAACAGTCTCTATTACTGTATTGGGCTCCAGAATGTAAACAAGTGGCTTCTAGTAAGATGGAATAAGACTTTTAAAATGAGAAGAATGAACAAGCAAATGTTCATTCAACTGGAGAGTGACCACTGGTGAAAAATCTTGTAAAATAAAGACGTTTGGCTCCAACTTGGAGACGATGGTCATGAAAACATTGTAAGACAAACTAACGATCAGGAGGTCAGCAAAAATAATCTACCTATTACCTATCATGGGACTGAACTTCCCAGTCTATATAGACTCCTGTTTTTTTTGTTTGTTTGTTTGTTCATTTTTTGAGATGGAGTTTCGCTCTTGTTGCCCAGGCTGGAATGCAATGGCATGATCTCAGCTCACTGCAACCTCCATCTCCCAGGTGCAAGCGATTCTCCTGCCTCAGCCTCCTGAGTAGTTGGGATTACAGGCATGTGCCACCACGCCCGGCTAATTTTGTATTTTTAGTAGAGACGGGGTTTCTCTATGTTGGTCAGGCTGGTCTCGAACTCCCGACCTCAGGTGATCCACCTGCCTCGGCCTCCCAAAGTGTTGGGATTACAGGCATGAGCCAGCATGCCCGGCCAGACTCCTGTTATTATCACAGGAGAACAAAAGGAATAAAATAGTGATGAGTTAATATTAAATAGTTTTGTCAACTTCCATCATGGAGAAATCCAGATAAATTCAGAATGTTTAAACAACCCAAGGGTCAACAACTGAGAATTTCACATCTAATATTCACCGTGTGAATTCATTAGTCTCCGTAGCTCTTCAGAGCACTAAATTTTACCTTAGGTCCCTACGTAGACCTTTATTTTAGTTACCTTTTAATTCTCTAGTCTGTCCTCCTCTTTCTGAATTACTTTTCCCTGGAATCTTTAATTAAAGAAGACAGAGCATGAATAAATTTACAAATCAAGAATAATGATGTCTCATTTAAGGATTTTCAGGTGATGTGGTCACTGCAGCATCAATGATGCACATATATTTGGTTTCTAAGTGATGCAGGATCTGAATCTAAATTGCAGGAGGTTTATGACAGTTGATAATCATCATTTATTAAAAGGAAGCATAACAAACAGCTACTATACTTATCTGTTCACATCAGATGCAAAAAAGCCAAATGTACAAAAAGATCCATTCCTTAGTACCTGTGTTACTGTTCAGATGTTCCTGTGGTATAAGCCTGGGCAGACCTTAGTGTTCTGAAGTTTTCTCCCTCTTCTCAGCACCTTCTCTCTCTGTCTCTCTCTCTCTTATGTCTCTGTCTCTCTTCTCTCTCTCTCCTCTCTCTCACCTATCTCTCTACTCCCATCCCCTTATTTCTCTCTCTCTGTCTCTAGCTCTCATTCTCTCCTATCTTTCTTTCTTTCTTTCTTTCTTTTTTGAGACAGAGTCTCACTCTGTCGCCCAGGCTGGAGTGCTGTGGTGCGATCTCAGCTCACTGCAGCCTCCACCTCCTGGGTTCAAGCAATTTTCTGCCTCAGCCTCCCGAGTAGCTGGGACTACAGGCACACATCACCACACCAGGCTAATTTTTGTATTTTTAGTAGAGACGGGGTTTCACCATGTTGGCCAGGCTGGTCTCGAATTCCTGACCTCAAGTGATCCGCCCACCTTGGCCTCCCAAAATGCTGGGACTATAGGCATGAGCCTCCGCATCTGGCCTCTCTCCTAGTTATCTCTCCTCTCTTCCCCTGCCACTTTGTCTCTCTTTCTCTCTCATTGGGTATCACTTCTGACTCCTCTGTAGCTCTCATCACTTTATGTTCTCCGTGCCAGGAATGTCCATGCTCCTGGTCTCCTGCCTGGTCTGCCCTCAGTCCGCCCTTCTCGCTGGCATCAGGGAACTCTCATTGCGTCACATCTCTGCATAAAGTCTAAAGTCCTGAGTAAGTGCTGCAAGGCTTCTCATAATCTGGCCCCACCTGACAGGCAGGCACTCTTCCACAAACACTGCATCCCAGCGGCACTGACCTACTTAGTTTCTGGACCCTGGTATCGTGAAACTCCCTCTGTGCCTCTGATCATGCTCTTTGTTCTGTGGGAAAATCATTCCTCCTCAGTCCAAGGAAGGCTACCTCCTTCTAGAAGGCCTGGAGTCCCACTCTACCTCCTCCCATGCACTAGACGACTTCTGGAACTCATTCTTTTAGAAAACTTGTAGCCAGCTAGTGTCTCCAAACACCAAATTCCCATTTTCTTTAGTCAAGGGCCAAAATGCAGGCTTCTCAGGTCATCTCTTTGGCTACACTCTAACATCCACAAGAGATCTGATCTTCCTCGCCATTCACCAACCTCTCATTGCTCCCTCTCTGCATAACCTTTATCTGAGCCCTCTAGAACTTCATTCCATGGTAAAAATCTCTCATCTGAAGCCATATCACCAATGGGTCCTTCTCTCCACCTTGCTCATCCTTGCAGGGACACTGCGTCTCCCCTGTTCTCCTCTCAAGGGGATGCCACTTATTCTCCCTCACCCCACAGACTGCACCTAGGAGTTGAGAGAAGAACCACAATGTCAGTTCCAGGTGACATTTCCTCTATTCATTCAGGCTGATGCCAAACCAGCCTTTACAGTCCACATTGCCAATGTCAGATGCCAACCTCCAGTCATTCCTCCTCCTCATTCCGGAAGCCTTTGGCAACTTGCCCAGTCTTCCTTTTCACACCAGGTCCTTTATAGCTTCAAGATTTCAGTTCTTTGATCTCAGAGGAGTGTCCTCTCAATGACACCTAAACCACCCTTTCTTTCACCACTCCCTGGACCTTTTCACCATCCACAATTGCTCTATCTCTGAAGCCTTTAATCCAGTCTACTCAGATCTCAAGCTACCACCTTTCATTCCAGTGACTGCTACCACACCTGTATTTTATTTCAGCAAGAGGTTCAATATCTTGACTCCTCTACTTTCTCCTTTTCTATCAACCCCTTCCTGTTTTTACTTCCTTCCCTATCAAACCCAGACTCCACGGTGCATCTGTCTTATAAATCTCTTTAACTCCCCTGCCATGTACATTATCTTTACATTGCACTCCCCTGGCAAATCCCCAAACCTGGATAACTCTAGCTCCGCCACCCCCAACTCCCACTTCTAAACTTTGGCTTCAAAGGGAATTTGCATAAATGCCTCTGGATCTCATGGCTGGGCAAGTACAAGTTCATGGTCTCCGACTGCAAGGGCCCCCAGGGCAGACCAACAATCCCTCTGGGTATCCCGATCAGCTCTCCCTGCCGGTCTCCATGGCAGCCAATTCAAATTCTTCCCATTCCTCAAATCTCTTGTCCCACCACTTCTTTCCAGAGTATGGAGGGAACCATACTCTGTTCCTTCCAAAGAATATCACACTCCCAACTTCATAAGGAATGAGAAGTCGTGGGAAGGAAGCTGTCCCTGTCTACATCTATACCCTGGTGGTTTTCCTCCCTCCAGGCACAATGGAAGTGCTGTTTTTCCTCTAGTATTCCCACCTTTCCTGCCTCCTTGGGCTCAAAGATCCATCAGTTACCCCCCACCTCAACCCCTCTCTCTCCACTGGCAGAGGGGCTCACTTCCAGAGATTTGCCCTCTGACTTTGAGGATGGCATTCCTTAAAGAGATTATTCCACTTCTGTGCTGTATTTTTTGAAATTACCAGTTGGTCACAGTCTTGGCCCCCGCTGACCCAAAAGCAAGCCATAAGCTTTTGGCTTCTCACTTCATAGGAAACATAGTAGATATAAGTAAACAGATTCAAATTGCTCCCAAAGAAAAGTTAGTAGAAACATCTTCCCTCCTGAGAGGCAGTGGAAATCAATTTGAAGTTGGCCTAATGTTTAGTATTCTCAGACTTGCCTAGGAAAAAATTGCGAGTAACCAAAGTAGGAGAGCAGGAAAGAGGTGATAAGGAGTGGAAGAAACATTCTTCACCTTTGCTAACACGGTCCATCTGTCACTTCCAAAGCTCACTTTAACAAGAAAAAACCTGCTGACTCTTCTTTTTGAGGATATATGAAAATCAAGAAATGGCTCTTGCGAGTGGCTTGAGCAGTTCAGCAAAGGCAGAGCACAGAACAGTGAAGTGGCACAGATGTCTTTTCAAAGGGAAATCCCTACCACTGTGGGCTTGTCCTTCTGGCACTTGGAACACGAGGCCGGACGGGCCACCCCTCCTGTCACACCCGCAGGGCCCACCCGTTAAGCGGGAGCAGGTGGCCAGGCGTGCCTTGGCACTTGCACTCGGAGAATTGAGTATCAACAAGCAGCAGGGCTTCATTTCTGCTTCCATTGCCTGCTTTAAGAAGATAATGTAGGCCACAGACTCGAAGGCACTTCTCTTTCTCCTAAGAGAGTATGCTCAAGTGGACCCTTTGATCAAACTCAATTCCACCAGAAATTATTAAGAACCCACCATATGTCAGGCGCTGTGAGCTGCTGGGGATAACAGGATGGACAAGGCAGCTCCCAGTCCTGAATGGGTCCCAAAGTAGCCTAAGGAGGGGGCACAGATAAAGCAGCACTAATACAACAGGAGCCGAGCTCGCCCAGGGTTTGAATGCGGCTCTGCAGGGAAGGGGGTGTGGAGGAGGCAAGGGGTGAAGAGGCGAGCGCGGGAAGGCTCTCAGAAGTGGTCACATCGGAGCTGGGTGTCCTCCAAACTTCCAGTGCCAGGATGCAAACCCCAAGCTTTCTAAGTTCATTGTTCTAAGAAGAACTGGCAAAGGCTTGGAAACAGCTACATCTTTAGATACATAACGTCCTAATTAGTGGTTGTCCTCCAATGCCAAACAAAGCAGCCGAGAAGCCGGCTTCAAAGCAGCTCTTCTGATGACAGACTAGGACACAGAATGACTTTAAATGAGAATGAGCCCTGGCTGAGCTACATTTTGGCTAGCTTCCCAATTATCACCATTGCTGGCATGTCTAATTTATTCACTCAGAAAAGTCCTTTTCTCTGTCATCTTAGAGCCAGCTAAATCCTTCTTCAGGTCCCCGATGGAAAATATTAACAAATTCATTAATTAAAAGATGCCTGTAAACTTGACCCTGAAAACTATCATTCTGTTTTAATTCAGTAAGTGAGCAAGTTCTTGAATTCAAGTCAAGTATTTCCTAGCAGGGCTGAGCTTCATCTAGGACTGGAGCCTGACTTTATTTTTAAGCATGGGTTACTTTAAAAAATATTCATCCTTCAGAATAGAATTATAACATTATAGTTCATTCTAGTTTGGGACAGTAAACTTGATGTCTATCTTGAGCTTTAACTTTCATTCCAGCTTTTATTTTTTATTTTATTTATTTATTTATTTATTTATTTATTTATTTATTTATTTTGAGACAGGGTCTCACTCAGTCACCCAGGCTGGAGTGCAGTGGCGTGATCTTGGCTCATTGCAACCTCCACCTCCCTGGCTCAAGCCATCCTCCTGCCTCAGCCCCCAAAGTAGCTGGGACTATAGGCGCACACAGCACCACGCCCAGTTAATTTTTGTATTTTTTGTGGAGACAAAAGGTTTTGCCATGTTGCCCAGGCTGGTCTCGAACTCCTGGGCTCAGCATTTTTGAGGCACCCAGTATGTACACAGTAGGCTGTCAAAACTGAGCTCTCTCTACCACTTTCAATCCCCAGAACCCTTCTTCATTTTCTATCACAGCACTTAGACTACCTGACATTGTATTATAAATTAGAACATAAGCTTCCCAAGGGCAGAAACTTCAAACTGTTTTGATCCCTGCTATAATCCCACCACCTAAAACAGTGCCTGGCAAGGAAGGAAGTACTTGTTCGAGGAAAGCACTTGCTCCCTCACGCAGGTGAATGAATGAGCCAGGGATTGTGCTGGGATGTAACTGACAAAAGGCTGCAGAATCTAGTAGCATCTACTCATTCCATATAAAAGGAGTTGAGAGGTCCCATTCTAGAATGGGAAGGAAGACATTTGCCTAAAAGCTGGTTTGCAAGGCCAGCACATTGTTTCTAATTAGATCATGATTTAGGCTGATTTGTTGAGAAAAATGGATCCTCAATTACTGCCCTCCCATTGTCTCACATTTACTAGTCAAGTCCCATTTACTAGGGTAGACAGACATGTAAATGGACACATTAGGATCAACATGGTGGATGCAAAACATACATAAATTAAGTGCTAGGCAAGCCTCAGGAGATTAACAACCAAATGGGGAACACAGATGAGGCCCTTTGAGCTGGGGCTTACTATAAAAGTAGGAATCTGCCAGTGTTACTCATTTGCTCAAAAATCTTTGGTAGTTCCTTCAAACACACACAGGGACTTTCTTGACTTTGAATAGCCTCTTTAACTTAGACACTGGTGCATGAACTCTGGAGCCAGACTTCCTGGGTTCACATCCTGGGCCTGCCCCTTATTAAATATGAGACCTACCTCTCTATGCCTGTGAGTGAAGGATAATAATATTATACCTACCATACAGGGTTCACATAAGAATCCAATTGACTTAATAAATGTACTTAGAACAGAGCCTGACATACAGAGTGAAATTGAGTGTTAGCCCAGGCACAGTGGCTCATGCCTGTAATCCCAGTACTTTGGGAGGCCGAGGTGGGTGGATCACTTGAGCTCAGGAAATCAAGACCAGCCTGGGCAACAATGCGAAACCCCACCTCTACAAAAAAATATAAAAATTGCCAGGCATGGTGGCACACGTCTGTGGTCCCATCTACTCAGGAGACTGAGGTGGGAGAATCGCTTAAACCCAGGAGGCAGAGGTTGCAGTGAGCTGAGACTGTGCTACTGCACTGCAGCGTGGGCGACAGAGCGAGACCCTGTCTTAAAAAAAGCAAAGACAAAAAAAAAAAGATAAAAAACTACCAACTATGATCTAAAGGCAGTTCTACTTTCCACCATAGACAGTGAGAGCAACTGGGACTCCAAATAAAGGCCTATACCAGAGAGAAGGCCAATTTTAATAGTGCAAGTAAATCTTGCCCCTAAAACACCAGCATAGCTTTTAATGTAAAGGTAAATCAAATTGAATGATTCTTAAATCCAAAGCATGGCTACACAGAAGCAATGAAGGAGCAATGAATGGACTCTTGGCCCTGTGCAAGAAACTCCATAAGGCTCAATAAGTAATAATAATAAATGTTTTTGTTTTTGAGACAGAGTCTTGCTCTGTCATTCAGGCTGGAGCACAGTGGCACAAACTCGGCTCACTGCAACCTCTGCCTCCCAGATTCAAGTGACTCTCCTGCTTCAGCCTCCCAAGTAGCTGGGATTACAAGTATGTGCCACCACACCTGGCTAATTTTTGTATTTTTAGTAGAGATGGGGGTTTCATGATGTTGCCCAGGCTGGTCTCGAACTCCTGACCTCAAGTGATCTGCCCGCCTCAGCCTCCCAAAGTGCTGGATTACAGGCACAAGCCACCGCACCTGACCCATTATTTGTTTATAAAGTGTTTTAGGCAGATCTGACGTGGCCTACCACCAACCCATAAATTGGAATGGTCCCGTTTTTCTTTCAAGATTCTTACTGCCATATTCATTTAATTAAGAATATCCTAAATGTTTGTTATATATCAAAGCACATGAATACTTTAGAGAGAAAAAAAAAAACATATTATTTTTGGTCCTAAGAAAACAAATGTTTATTCATTTATCCAAATGTTATCAAGCCATTTTTATGTGCAAGCTGCTGGCTTATAATGTATTTTAATGCACCATACTTTTGTTAAAGGGCTGGCAGCAAGAAAAAATAGCTACAACTGGCCAGGTGCAGTGGCTCACGCCTGTAGTCCCAGGACTTTGGGAGGCCAAGGAGGGCAGATTACCTGAGCTCCGGAGTTCGAGACCAGCCTGGCCAACATGGTGAAACCCTGTCTCTACGAAAAATACAAAAAATAAAAATATAAAAAGAAATAGCTACAACTAAGCATAATTACAAGGTAAGACAGAACACATTGTCAGAGGGAGTATGTCAGCTCTGAAGGAGGGAGGACAGCTTCAAGTAGGTAGTGTCTGAGGAAGGAGAAAACGGGGTAAATACACAAGGGTTGCATAAGCACTGGCACTGCCATGAGAAGAACAGTGTGAGCAGGAAACAGAGGTGACAACACTTCAGAGCATATTCAGGGAGCAGCAATGGTTCCAATTTGCCTGAAACCTAGGTGTACAGTGAAGGAAAATACTGTACAAAATCTGATTCAGGTATAACATCACAAAAACCAAAGTATGAGTTTAAGGATGCAATTCAGCCTTGGCAACATGGTGAAACCCTGTCTCTACAAATACGAAATAAAAAATTAGCGGGGTGTGGTGGTGCATGCCTGTGGTCCCAGCTACTGGGGAGGCAGAGGCAGAGGATCACTTGAGCCCGGGAGGTAGAGGCTACAGTGAGCCAAGATCATGCCACTGCATCCAGCCTGGGCAACAGAGTGAAACCCTGTCTCAAAAAAGAAAAAAAAAAAAAAGCAACTTCAGACATTTTTCCTCATTCACTTTTGCAAACACATATTACCTCTAAACATTTCAAGAAAGTTTTCTATCTTAGGTATAAACAGTTAATTAAATTTTAAAATAACATCTTTACAATGATTACTATAACCAAAATAAGTGTCTATAGCCAGAAAACAGAGACAACATATTCATGACAATAATCACAACTAATTTTATGGAGCTTTTCATTGATAAAATATAAATTTTCCCTTATCCACCATAGGAAAAATCCACATTAAAGAATGCTTTTAACTTCCTTTTTCTACTTTACAAGTAACCCAAATATCACATTCCTAGCACCTCATGCTCTCTAAACTGAGGTAACTCAATGAAACCTCAGTTGCTGTGTACAAAATTAAAACTTCACAAATAGAAGTGAATTTAATTCCCTTATAACACATACATATATATCATGAGCATAGATAATAGTTGTACACATTACATAGCAGGGAAGCTCCTGGTGAAAATAAGGAATTACATTAATCTACCATTTAGCCTAGACTCTACAACTTGCTTTGGTTAAAGTTAAGATAATTTGGCATCTTAGCCAAGTGAAAGCTGCTTTTAACGTTTTGCCATTGATTCTTTCTGCTTTGAAGACCTTAAAAGCTACCATTAGGTTGATGCAAAAGTAAATGCAATTTTTGCCATTAAAAGCAATGGAAATTACTTTTGCACAAACCTAATACTAAAATATTCCAAATCACAGAAGCTATTTCTAAATCACTGCATGTAAAATATTAAATCACTGTAAACTTTATGATGTTACCATTGACACTTCCCTATTATGAAATATACATTTCAGAAAATCAGTAAAAACTTTCTAAGTCATTTGTTTACGTTCACACAAGGCATGCTTTTCACACTTCTATTCATACAAAGGAACAGGAAACACCTTGACCTTTATTAGCATAGGCCTCAGCGTCTATGCTCAGAGATTTAGATGTTAAGACATCCACCAGATTCTTGCAGATGTTTTTCTTGTAATAAAATATTTTTAAAATTTAAGTTATCTCCCAGAAATGCTTTTAAAAGATAGAAGCCTTTGAAATTGGGAGTAATTACACCTCAAAACCAACTACATGTTTTATTATACCAAGTTAAAAGTAAACTGGTTTTCAAAAAAAACAAATTTTTCAAATGTAATCTCTTTTAAACTAATTATCCCTGTTTGCTGTTTTTTTCTATTCTTCAATGACACAGTATTTTGTATAATTATTATTATCACTATGTTTTTGAGACAGGGTCTCAATCTGCTGCCCAGGCTGGAATGCAGTGGCACAATCTTGGCTCACTGCATCCTCAACCTCCTGGGCTCAAGTGATCCTCCTACCTCAGCCTCCCAAGCAGCTGGGACTACAGGCATGCCACCATATCTGGCTAATTTTTGTATTTTTTGTAGAGATGGGGTTTCGCCATGTTGCCCAAGCTGGTCTTGACCTCCTGGGCTCAAGCAGTCTGTCTGCCTCATCCTCCCAAAGTGCTAGGATTACAGGCATGAGCCACCACATCCAGCCTGTATAATTATTTTAACTATCAATATTCCCTTTGTACTTTAACATGTGGATAACGAAGTTTTTCTTTACAGATTTTTTTTTTTAAATACGCCATGATTTGCCATACTGGCCCAAAACACAAATACAGAATTGTATACAATAGTGGCTACTTATTTTTCACATCACAAAAATTAATTTTCAAACAATTTCTGGAGAATTGTGTACTTGACTTTTGATTCATTTCACTAAAACTCTCTTAAAAATCCAATAAATTCAATTCATGAATTCCTCATCTAAATCAAGATCCTAAGTCTCCTCCTTCCAGCATGTTTTAGGTCTAAAAACATACAAAAATTAGCCGGGTGTGGTGGCAGGTGCCTGTCATCCCAGCTATTCGGCGGAGGCTGAGACATGAGAATTGCTTGAACCTGGGAGGCAGAGGTTGCAGCGAGCTGAGATCGCACCACTGCACTCCAGTCTGGGAGACAGAGTGAGACTCTGCCTCCAAAAAAAAAAAAAAAAAACAAACAAAACTCTCCCTTCCTTTCCTTCTCTTCCCTTCCTCCCTTCTTCATTCCCTCCCTCCTCCCAGGTGAATTTGTTTTAAAAATATATTCTCCTGGCCGGGTGGCTCACGCCTGTAATCCCAGCACTTTGGGAGGCCGAGGCAGGCAGATCACTTGAGTTCAAGACCAGCCTGGCCAAGATAGTGAAACCCCATCTCTACTAAAAATACAAAAATTAGCCAGGCGTGGTGGTGGGCACCTGTAATCCCAGCTACTTGGAGGCTGAGGCAGGAGAATCGCTTGAACCCAGGAGGCAGAGGTTGCAGTGAGCCGAGATCGCACCACTGCACTCTAGCCTGGGCAACAGAGCAAGACTCCATCTCAAAAAAAAAAATATATATATATATATATATATAATTATTATATATTATATATAATTATATTATACAATTATAATATATAATAATAATTATATATATATTTTTTTTTTCTCCTTTCTTCTTCTCTTGGTTCTCCAATCCTTTCTTCAGGCAAAACAGCTTGAGAGCTCTGGTTTTATCTGTCTTATTTGTTTATGCTGCCAGGTGAGTTTGTTTTAAAAAGATCGTCTCTCCCTCCCCCACCCCCAGGTGAGTTTGTTTTAAAACCATATTCTCCTGGCCGGGCGCAGTGGCTCACGCCCATAATCCTAGCACTTTGGGAGGCCAAGGTGGGTGGATCACCTGAGGTCAGGTGTTTGAGACCAACCTGACCAACATGGAGAAACCCCATCTCTACTAAAAATACAAAATTAGCCTGGCATGGTGGTGCATGCCTGTAATCCCAGCTATTCGGGAGGCTGAGGCAGGAGAATCACTTGCACCTGGGAGGTGGAGGCTGTGGTAAGCTGAGATTGTGCCACTGCACTCCAGCCTGGGCAACAAGAGTGAAACTCCGTCTCAAAAAAAAAAAAAAAAATATATATATATATACACACACACACACACACACACACACACACACACATATATTCTTTCTTCCTTCCAGGTGAGTTTGTTTTAAAAAGACATTTTTTCTCCTTCCTTCTTTTTTCTCTTTCTGTTATGTGTATAATATGGCCATAACCCTTCCCTCCTCCTTCTGAACAACTCAGCCCTAAAGCCATTAGGTGGGCCAGAGAAAGGCAGGCACCTATGCAGAGAAGCAGCCTGGTGTGAGGGGTCAAAGCCACAGCTGGCTGAGGAGAGCAGCAATGGTGACAGTAGAGGGTGGTGGGGGCACTGGGATGGTACAGCCAGTGTAGAGTAAGAGCCCAAAGAGAGTCAGGTGTCCACATGGGGGAGCAGCCTGACATGCTGGTTCGAGCCTCAGCAGAGGGAATGGGGAGGGCACCCTCCTACGTGGGGAGCTTGGTGCCTAGTTCTGGATCCCACACAGAGGACTGTGAGGACAACCACACAGAGGAAAGGCTCAGGGCCTGGTGTCAAGGCTCATGCAGGGTGAGGAGGGCACTCAGAGGTGCGGGTGACCCAGTGAGGGGAATCAGAGATCAAGCAAGTAAAATGTACTCACATGTGGGTAGCCCAGAGTGGTGGGTCAGAGCTAGGTAGGGTAGAGCATTCCCACGCCACAGAGGAGGTCCAGTGTTGAGTGCTGGAGCCCAAGTGAGGTGTGGAGAGCATCCATCTGTGAGGGCAGCCTAGAATGCAGTACGAGAGAGAAGGATGTCCATGGCAGTGCGGGCAAGCCAGCAGAGGGTGTTGGAGCTCAAACAGGGTAAAGGGGGCATCTATGATAGGAGCAGCCAGGTGTGAAGTGTCAGAGCCTTAGGAGTGCAAAGAGGATGTCCATGTGGGAGAGGGGCAGCAGTGGTGATGAGAGATTGGTTACATACAGGGAGATTGATCAAATAATTTAAATATCTTAGAGCTAGTGAGACCCAGTTCCTCAATGTCAAGAGAAGGATGGAGCCCTACAGTATTGTTAGAATTGGAGGCATCTGTATGATGTCATGGATTTCAATAGATACAGAAGTTTAAATAGGAACATGTAGGTATGTATATACTAATGTTCTCTAAATGTGTCCCCTGAAAAGGCCTGGGAGTGGCACTTTCCCCAAGGCAATGAGCACATCTGGTGCTCAGATCTTGGCTTCTAAGTACCACTTAGCACTAAAAGAAACCAGGGATCCTTGAAGAAATGGCCAATTCCAGGGTTGGGGCAGGGAAAGTACAAGATGAGCCTGGAACATCTTACTGTGGCAAAAAAGTAAAGAAGGGTTCAACTAATGAAGATTTGTCAATAGGCCACAGAAGCCAGTTGGCCACTGACCAAATTAGAGACAGTTTGAGCATCAAAATAATGACAATAACAAGTAATAAAATGTGGTCCCTGGGCCAGCAGCACTAACAGTACCACCTGGAAACTTGTTAGAAATGCACATTCTCAGGTCTCACTCCATACCTACAGAATCAGGAACTCTAGAGATGGGACCTGGCAGTCTTTGTTTTAACAAGCCCTCCAAAAGATTCTGACGCACACTCAAGTTTGAGAACCACTGAATCAGGAAACTATGAGTTCATATTGAAAAGTAAATGAACTGCAAGTTTGATGAGGAGCATAGTATTTACATAATCTCAAAAGTACCACCTCAAAAGTACTATAAAGAGAGTAACTCCACAATGAATTCTGGGATACACCACCTTAATCAAGTGATCAAAGTGAACATAAGCCACGAAACAAACTGAAATTGGGCACCATCTGATGTGATAATACAACTTCTGTGATATTTCGGCTACACAGATGCCTAACCTGAATTTAATAATGAGAAGACATCAAACCCTAATGAAGGGTTATTCTACAAAATCGCTGGTGCATGATCTTTAAAAAATATCAAGGTCATGACAATAAGGGAAAGAATGAATTGCTATTCTAAATCATTCTGATAGTAGACATATTAGAAGTGTTCAATAATGCCAGGTACTGTGTGGTTCGTGCCTGTAGTCCAACCTACTCAGCAGACTGAAGCAGGAGGATTGCTTGATGCCAGGATTTTGAAGCTGCAGTATGCTATGATCACACCTATGAACAGCCATTGCACACCAGCCTGGGTGTCAGAACAAGACTTCATCTCAGAAAAAAAAAAAGTACTCAATACATATTTATTGAGTGAAATGGTTTAAGTAGCTCTGGAATTTTGGTTTCAAATCATTAGAATATTTCTGTAAGAAGGCAGGATCTATATCAAAAATCTAAACTTATTATTTTACCCTATCACTTTTGTAATGTTTAAGTCAAAATAGTTTATCTTGAGTCATTCTTTTGATATGTACTTACTTTGTGAGACAGGGTCTTGCTGTTGCCCAGGCTGGAGTGCAGTGACATGAACACAGCTCACAGCAGCCTCAACCTCCTGGACTCAAGCTATCATCCCACCTCAGTCTTCATGTAGCTATGTAGCTGGGACCACAGGTGCATGCCACCATGACCAGCTAATTTTTTATTTTTTGTAGTGTCGGGGGTCTTGCCATGTTAGGCTGGTCTTGAACTCCTGAACTCAAGTGATCCTTCCACCTTGGCCTCCCAAGTGCTGGGATTACAGGTGTGAGCCACTGCACCTGGCCTATTTTTAAAAAAACTGACAAAAATTTATATATATCTAATATGGTACTGTGTAATATATAATTATACATTATATATCATTATATATATAATATATATATATGGTACTGTGTATTTGTTTTGAAAGATGGATACATTGCAGAATGGCCAAATTGAGCGAATTAACATCACATACTCATCAGTTTCTGTGGTGAGAACACAAAATCTACGCTGATTTCCAAGGATACATTGTTATTAACTATAGTCATCATATTGTACAATAGATTTGTTGAATTTATTTCTCCTGAAATTTTGTATCCTTTGGCCAGCATCTCCCACCCCCAACCCCTCAACCAGCCCCTGGTAATCATCATTCTACTCCTGGTTCTATAAGCTCAACTTTTTTAGATTCCACACCATATAAGCAAGATCATGAAGTATTTGTCTTTCTGTGCCTGGCATATTTCACTTAATGTCCATCAGTTCCATCCATGTTGTCACAAGTAACAGGATTTAATTTTTTATGGCTAATATTCCACTGTGTATACAGACCACCTTTTCTTTATCCATTCATTTGTTGATAGACACTTAGGTTGATTCCATATCTTGGCTACTGTGAATGCTGCTGCAATGAACATGGGAGTACAGATTATCTCTTCAACATACTCATTTTCTTCAGATATTAATATATACTTAGTAGTGGGATTGCTAGATGCTATAGGTAGTTCTATTTTCACTTTTTGAGGAACCTCTACTGTTTTCCATAATGGCTGTGCTACTTTACATTCCCAACAGTGTGCAAGGGTCTCCTTTTCTGCATATCCTTGCCAACACTTCTTTCATCTTTTTGATAAGTCATTCAACAGGTATCAGGTATTACCATTATCTCATTGTGGTTTTAATTTGCATTTCCCTGATGATTAGTGATCTTGGACATTTCTTCATATACCTGTCAGCCATGTGTATGTTTCCTTCTGAGACATGTCAATTCAGGTCAAGTCATTCCTTCTAACAGTAATTGGACAGCAAAGCCAAATTATATTAAGGCACTTCCCAGTAACATTAAGCCATATCTTCAACACTTGGAAGAATGTTTTCTGAGCCTTCGTGCGGTAAATCCAAAAGGGAGTTTTGTTCACTGCTCTAACCTACTGCCTAGAACAATGCCTGGCACATAGCAGGCACTCACAGTTGTTGAATTATTAGGCAAAATATGCATAATATCTTTATTATCTTAGCAGAGGGGGTAAATCCTCAAGTCACAATATACAGAGAACAGAAAGTAAGTTGTAAAATATTTTTTATTGTAAAAACAAAGTCAATAAAGGTTGACAATGTAAATGTTATCTCACAACATTTCCCCTTGGTTCCTGAATTTGCTAGATTCCTATGTACCAGCAAATCTCCATTAGCATTTCTCAGGTTTCATGATCCTTTTCAGATATGTTGGTTGATTTTATGTATATATTGCTTAGAAACAAAAATCCACCTGATATTAAAACAAACCAAAAAAAATCATAAAAGCAAGCAAATGAACAAAAAACCCTAGTTTTGTTGTGCTTTTCTTTCACATTTCCTACAGGGAGATTTGTATATCTCAGATACTTTCAAAATCTAATAGGTAAGTAAAATTAGTGCCTTAACCAAACAGTAAGATACCAAAGAATCCTCCATCACAAGTTACTGAATCAAACTTCTCATGACATTTGCGGTATATTCAGATTTGAAGATTTTTTAAATTTAGAATTTAAAACAAACTTTAGACTGCTGATTTTCCATATTTCAAAGACTGTAGTTGTTTGCAGCATATAAATGGAAAGAGTAGTGCAAAACGCATCAAGTTTTATATGATAAATATATACTTTCAACCTAATGGCTGCCTCAAAAGTAAAGAGTGAACAATTACTTCTCAAAATAAATCTAGATTGACTTAAAGTTCACAATTTAGAAATAGCAATTGCTACTCTATTTCCATAGATTGCAAAATGATTTCAAATACAGATTATACATACAATTGTTTTACAAAAATAGAAATATTGTTTGGGATTTTACAAAACTTTATAAAATATAACACTATATTTGCAAATTCAAGATAGTTTCACACTGAAATAGACAATACTTCCACGATATGAAGTCTAGCCAAACTTAAAGTGGTCTGCCTTGAGGCCATTCTTACATATTATTTCTTCCAAATCTTCAAGCCTAGGTAAATCTGTGCTCTAACACAGGCTTTGTAAAAAAGAGACTGTTTATTTTCAAGGGTTTTATAAGATTTTCAATCCAGAAATAATGTTAAAGCATAAGAATTTATACCTAAAAAATATGTCTTACTAAAGGTAGAAGCTAATGCAGTATGACAATTCTGTATAACTGATAAATTTCAAACCAAATTCCTAAGAATGACAACTTTTATTAATTTAAAATATATATTTGACAATTATAATTTGGGACCTATATAAAACAAAAATATAATCACAACTATTTTATGGAAAAATATTTATTCATATAGAGTGAAAATACCTCCAAACTTAGTTATTTGTAGCTGTCAGATGAGAAGTATTTCCTAATTACACCCATTCATAAACACTCATTTTATCACTTCAAAGAGCACCAGTGTATTTTTTCAACAAACCAGAAAGTAAGAAGGTAGGGGCTTATTTCATGTAACAGTGCTATTATGATAAGGCACCACTAGGTATATGAAAAAGCCAAAGTATTTCCAAATCATGTGTTTTTGTTACTGGTGTCTTAACCATTAGACAGGATGGTTAGAAAAAAGCTGCTAACATTATTAATGAACCACATTATAGCCCCTTTCCCACCATTCTGTGCTTTTAGTTTTACTTATAACAGAAATGAAAACAACAACGTAGTACATGACCTGTTAAAACAAACATCTTTTCCCAACCTTCCAAGAAAATAACCTAAAAATAAACAAGAAACAAAAAATTTATCTGATATATTTGCAAAAGCCTATCCCTGTAGAAGAGTGTGAGGAGTGGGAGAAGGCAGGGGGACCTACTTTCTATGGAATATATTGAGGCACATAGGTTACAAGTTTCTCAGGCAAATTCATGGCTAGAACAAAACAGAGAGAGAGCTCAGAATCTTACATTTCCCCCAAAGTTGATTTCTCAGATAGCCACACCTGATTAAATACTCCCAAATGTGTCCTTAGTCACTGCTATCATCATCGTCATCATCATCAGACATATCATTTAAAGGAGACTTCAATGACTGGCTGTAAGAGTCTGATCTAGCAGGCTGGCATGTGGCCATGTCCCCAGCAGAAAGCAGGTCATAGCAGAAGTCACAAATCCGCACAGGCTTAGAGGACTGGCTGGGAAGAAGAAATCTCTTTTCAGAGCAGGGCCCACAGACAACAAAACCACATTTGCGGCAATGGTGGCGACGATTAACAGGTGTGAATTTTGCTTTCTGACAACGCATACATACAGTTGCCTCAGAGTCAGGAACCCAGACAGCAGCATGTTCATTACTGGGTGTCTTCCCACTTTTGGAGAGTAAATCAGTAACACATTTATTTATATGATTCATCCATTCTGATTTCTCCGTAGCAGTGGCAGCATAAACTGCAAAAGATTTAGTTGGTGTCTTGATTAGCCATCCATTCCTTAAGTCTCCCTCATCTTTGATGGAATCAATAGTGACATTTTCCAGGGGAATAATATGTTGTTTGTTATATTTTTTCTTCTGGATGACAATATTGCCATATACAAGAATATCATTAAACAAGAAAAACTGCCTTGCTTTGGGCTTTTTCCTGCACAACTTAGTCAATACTCCTTCTCCAATAAGAACTCGTCCAGGTATAGTTAAAGGTTGACCAGCTGCTCCAAAACAGTTTTCCACTATACTTATACGTCTAGTATTTGCTTCACTGTTTGCCAAGCGATCCACCATCTTTCACTAATAGCCTTTTAAAAAAAAGAAAAAGAAATTAGCACATATAAATTATAAATTCCTATAAGTTAATTATATATAAATTAAGCTAACAAATCATTGCTTTTACACAAAGGCAAAATGTTCTAAAATTCTTTCCCTCTAAGATAATCACTAAGCACATCAAAAGGGCTAACATTTCTCAATTTTTAAAATGATGAAAAACACTTATTTATCATCTCCACGTAGCACCATACTAGTTAAGCAGGTATTTGTAAAAGTATAAACTTCCTACAGACATAATTGAATGAAAGACGATTGGATAATTAACATAACTTATCTCTGCAAAATAATAAACCCCATTCAATGAAATGTAATCTCAATGGGATTCTGAACAATAGGGAACAAAATGTTACATAAACTAAGAAAAATGACTACAATTTTCCAAGTAAGCTATTACCACTGAGCTACAGCCTTAATTCTCTCACCTGGATTACTAGAACTGTTTCCCAACATGTGTCCTGGCCTTCAATCTTGCCCCCAAATCAATCTTTGGGCAGTGATCTCTAAAACCCTAATTTGACCCCATCATTGCTCAAAATGATCCCTTAACCTATTAAATACAGGGTGTTCACGGCCTTTCATTACTTGGTTCTTGTCACTCCAACCTCACCATAAGTCAGTCTTCACCTCAAATGTCATATTCTAAGAACACTCTACTACTTGTAGTCCATTTCACTGTTGTTCCTTTTACTACTTACTACTGCAGCTAACTCATATTCATCCTTCGAGACTTAGTTTAGGTAATCGTGTCTCCTCCAGGAAGCCTCCTTTAAACTCCCATGCTAGACTAAAACCCTTCCTGTGAGCTATCCATATTCCATGTATATTCTAGCTTCACTTTTACCAAAGGACTGAAATCTGTTCCTCCAGAGACCATGCAGAACCTAAAAAGCAGAGATCATCTGATAGTTTTGTTTGAAACTGATACGGTTTGACACAGAAAAGGTACTAAAAAATGTTAATAACATTTTAACAATGTGCAAAACACCCTATTAATCTAAACATTTAATCTCTAAGTCCAATATTGACTTCACTCAAGTCCCAGAGTTGTATCCTATTTCAAACCTACTAAACTAATACTACTATACTATAACCAAGTCATATTAAAGAACAACAAGCCTTGAGAAGAAGACCATTTAAAGTTTAAAGACTAACAGCATAGTATGTAAGTTCCAGTATTCAGCTCAAAAACTGACACTATAGCCCTTCTTGGCCTTCATTATAAAGGACACTAGAATTCTGGTTATTTCTGAATTCTGTCTCCCTGCAAATCTTGGGTCCTTATAAAGCCCTCTTGTCCTCCACAAAAGTAGGATGTAGCAGGCCTAAAAGTTGTTCCCAAGAATTAATAGGATAATGCATGGTTCCAAACTGGAAAGGTTTCTAATTAGGACTAATATGCCAGCCAATTAAAAGCCTACTATCCTATGCACAAGTACATCACAGAAAAGGAAATAAAAACGGCTAATAAACAGGAAAAGAGGTTTCAATCTCTATCATAATTAAAGAAATTATATTAAACATTAGTATATTTTTCACTTAGATTAATAAAAATTTTTAAATTTACTAAGATTCAGTACTCATAAAGGTATAGGGAAATAGGTACCCTTGTACACTACAGAGAATATGTGTATTCACCAATCTAATTAAATAAATTTCACTCACGTGCATAGAGATATATACAAGGATAATCAGCACAGCATTGTTTATAACAGGAAAACAATTGGAAAAGCTCCAAATAGCCATCAAGAGGAACTGATTGAAAAAGTTATGACACACCCTTAATCATATATCTTGAGAATAAGACAGATCTAAAACCAGTGACAAGGGAAATGCTCAAGATCTTTAGGTGGGGAAAAGAGATGAACTTCCTGATCTCATTTTTATTTCAAATAAATACCACATTTCATCACATCTAAGGTGCTATAGATTTTAAGACATATTTATGTGCAACTCATAAAGAGAAAAATGTTGCCAATTAAACCACAGCATACCGTTGATTATAAGACCAATTTCAAATACATATAGTAAAAAATGTTTATCTTTAGACTCAATGGAATACATATTTCAAAAGCATAATCATAGACATCTGTATCTGTAAGCACACACACAACATAAAGTTAAAAAATATATACTATACTATCAACAATGGTAATTTATCTCTGGAAAGTATAATTATGGATCATTTTTTCATACTTTACATTATATTCAAGCATTCCACAAGTATTTGTCAGGCACTTAGGATCTAGGTGCAGGAAAAGTAAAAATAAACACCACAGGCGATCATACTTGAGTATGTGACAACAGATAAAAATTTTAAAAAATAATAAATTAAACAATACAGGCAAGGTCCCTGCTCTTCAGGGTTTACATTCTAGTTGGAGAGAAGGAAAGAGAAAACAAAATTGAAATCTAGTACTAATCAATGCTATGATTTTTTTTTTAAAGTGATTTTTAAAAGAAACTGAGAGCTATTCAGACTACATGGTCAGGAAAGGCCTTTCTACAATGTTGTCATTTCAGCTGTACTAGATGGACAGACATAAGAAGGGGTAAGGATAGGGGAGAATATTCCAGACAAAAGGAGTAACTGCAAAGGCCCTAAAACAGGAAAAGACATTGGCACTTTAAAAAAAAAACTGAAAGGATCTATTTCTCTCCACCTGAATCAACTACTGAGTCCACCCATTTGAACATATCGTTATTAACTCATATACAACACAAACAGATTTCCTATTATTGCTACTATGAGAATTAATACTATCATAAATTTGTACTGTGCTTTTCATATTATTTTCTGATTTGAACTGTTTGAAATGCCTATGAAGTTACTAGAGAAGTTTTTATTGTCCCCCAAAGAAGCATCTAATAATATTAGCTGAACTGTGAGCTGATGAAGAAATTAAGGCACAAAGATATTTAATAATGTAAAAGCAAAACTTAACCTGGAATGAACTCTACTCATAGGGAGTCCAACCAATGTGCTGAGCACTTTGCACTTATTACTGTATTTCCTCCTCACAGCAACCTTATGATACATGCACTATTAGCTCCATTTTATGGATGAGTAAACAGCCAAAGAGGGGTTAAATAACTTGCCCAAGGCTGTCACAGCAGAACAAGCCTCAAATCTGATTTCTCTGTGATGTTACAGTATGTTATGGTACACTAATTGTTCCTAAGAACTCCACTGAATCTACAAGAACTCTAAGGAAGCTATTAACTAACCTCTGGACCTTCATTGCAAACCCTAAAAATACTGAAGATAAGGGAATACTACCTTGAACAAATCACCTGAAAGGATGGATATGTCATGATTTACCCAGCTGGTGTCTTGATAATCTTTCATTGTCCAAATGTTTCAATATATTAAGTCTAAATCTTTGTTCATAAATCTTTCTCCCTGTTTAATAATGATGCAACTTAAGCAAGGTTTGGGGCATTATTAATTAGTATTTGGCTGCAGCAAAGCAAATAGCTTTCAAAGTTTGACAATGACCAACATAAACACATTTTATATTGCAAGGTTACAAACACTCGTATAATTATTTCAACAATGAATGATGCATTCTTTTATCTTCATTTATTTTAATGATTCTGGCAGCCCACTTGATTGATTGGTGGGTTGTGACATATATCTGAAAAACTATGGGCATGCACAAAACCTAAGGCCTTTGGCCTTAAGCAGCCTCTTCCATTATCCTTTTTGGTCCTGAATATTTTCTGTATGTGTCAGACATAAAAAAGATGGTAAGCAATGAACTAAAAAACCCAGGAATACATAAATGCTGCCCTGCACACACACACAAACACATATAAGAGAGAGAAAGAGAGAATGGTGGTAGGGAAACAGGAGGCAGCAAGGAAAGAAAGGAGTGGAGAGAGGTTATCAAAAGGGAAATCAAAGTACCACTTTTATCTGGGTTACAGCTAGATACCCCAAATAATGTTCTTTGGTAAACTGGATTAGGGCACTACCATTTGGTTCAGGGCCTAAGCAAGGCCTCTCCCTTCCCCTTAAGCCCAAATCTAAATTTACCTCCAGCACACTGAGGTGCCCCAAGCAGTAAGAATGCTACACTTTTGTGAGAGGGTTAGAACACAAGATTACAGGGCCTAGCCAAGGACTGAGTCCTTCCCATATCCTACTCATTGAGGGGAGGAAGCAGAAGAGAGCTATAAACATGGCCCAATTTGATTAATGTCTACTTTTCTTGGGAAAGAATACCAGTGTATATAGGAAGAACTAAGAGAAAGCTTTCCCGTCCCCTTGCAGAAATGGCTTCATAGAACAAATTTCAAGAAGTAAATAAAATTACTGGCTCAAAAGGCATGAATAAAGAATCTTGCTACCTTTTACAAAATTTCCATTCTGGAAGTAACACCAATTTACCAAGCAGCACAATGACAGTATCCATTTCATCTTGTCCTACATATGGTATTTTTCTTTAAAAATTTCAGCAAGCATGACCGATTTTTAAAAGCATCTTGCTTTATTCATTTTACTCACTTTTATTTAGTGTTTATTCATTCAACAATTATTCACTGAGCACTCTATAGATGCTGGGTATTACGCTTTTCTTCTCAGAGCTTAGAGGCCAGTGGAAGAGAAAGCCCATAAATAAATAAATAGGTAATTCCAAAAGATGAAGTACAATGAAGGAAATAAGCCGGTTGTCAAGATACAGGGGAAAACTCATTTAGACTGAGTAGTACAAAAAGGCCTCACTGAGGTAGTATTATAAACTGAGTCTTAAGGGATGAGGAGTCAGCCATGCAAAGGAAATACTATAAGCAAAGGTCCTAAGATAGGAAGGAAAAGTACTTTTAATTTAATTTAATGTTTTCTTCCGTAGCTACCTAATGAGGTCAATGATTTTCTAATGTGTTTATTAATCACTTGCATTTTAAAGACTATATATTTAGAGGTTATTAATCTATGAGTGTGTTACACATAAAGACTATTAATCCCTTTTTTTTTGTTTTCCTAGTATATTAATCTATAGTTTTATGGTGTTTGACATGAAGTCAGTTGTACTTCTTAAGCAGTTAAACTTACAGATCTTTTCTTTGCGCTATTTTTCTTCCACCACTCCTAAGCTTCCCTATCCAGATATCAGATGCACCTATTTATTATCTATGCTTTATGATACAAACTCTACATTTAATTATTTTATCCACCTAAAATGTATTCTGGCATATGTGAAAATACTTTTTTGCTTTTCAAATATTTGCATTCTAAAAGAGCTAATTAATTGTTCCAGAAACACCAAGAACTGTGTGACCTCAGATATCCTTACTTGTACATGGGAATAATAGCAGATACATCAAGGAAAAGATGAATGAGATAATGCATATAAAACATTCAGCAAGCAGTCAACGAGTGGTAGCTTGCATTAATGCTGTTAGTAATCTAATCTACTGATTGATGTCACTCTCGTATTAAATTTTTACCTATTCTAAGATCTGCTTCTGGGCTATCTGCTTTAATCCATTAATCTGTTTCATAATTCTTATGTCAGTACCTTGTATCTGGTAGCTGTATTCTAGACCATTACTCAACTTTCTTAAAAACATTTTAACTAATCTTGTTTATTTGTCTAGATAAAATCTACTTAGAATAGTGCTTCTCAACCTTAGCTTCACATTGGAATCACAAGGCAGATTTAGTCTCTGGCATATCAGAAAAAAATGTTCACCTCAATTGACTATCTGGGTCGAAAATACTTTTTGTCTTTAATATTTTAAGTAATTTTATGACGAATTTACAAAAGTGAGAATAAAGGGGTAGTTTTAAAAAAAACTTTAAGAGAAAGCTTTATAAAAACTTATAACAAATTTTTTAATTCCATCTTTCTCTGATATTAAAGGTATATATATCTGAAATAGGAAACATCCTTTGAATGAAACTTTGAATGCATGAACGTGTATTATTTCCATTTTTTGTCCTTAGAAATATTGTTCATTAATTCTTGAGTTTGAAAAAAACTCATCTAGGAAATCATCATTTGAAGACTCACAGTCTAAGGTTTCACTTATACAATTAAATTCACTATCATTATTAAGTGTTGTTTCTTTGCATTTATCTTCTGACTTGTCTAATAGTTCTGAAATGTCTTCCTTTGCCTTTTTTCTTTGCTATTAAAGACAGAAAATAAAAAATGAAAAAATATGAATTCCCAAATATGTTAAATGAAAGCTTAGAAGAAAAATGCTAAAAAGGATGATCTCAAAACTGTTTTCATATTTTTGAGAAATGATACAGTAGTGATGCTATATTTCACCATTGCATCATCCTTCTTGGCAATTCTATCACTCTTCCATTTGCTTCTTTTTGGCATAATTGGGGGAAATTAATGAATAATGATTAAATAATTCGCAGGAAAATGAAATAGCAAAATGCTTCAAGATATAGGAAAAGCAAAATCACTAAGAACCCATAATATATCTTAGATTTATAAATGCCCAATGAAACCATATGGTAACTGCACACTAGAATGAGTTTTATTTTGCTTTTTAAAATAAGTAAATTTTGTTTTTGTTCTTTGGAAGACTCTATGAAATGAGTTATAAAATATGAAATCAACATAATAATAACTACTCAGAAAAGAAACCCAAAACCCAAAATTAAGAACAATGAACTCTGCTGATAAATATCAAGGGTTAAGAAACACCAATACCTAGATTCTTCCCCCAGACAGTCTAATTTTATTGGTCTGGGGTATGCAGGGTAAGACCTGTGCACCGGAGTTATTTTTAAAGCTCCTCAGATAATTGTAACATGTAGCTAAGGTTTAGAACCATTTTTTAATTACAATAAATAAATAAAAGAATAAAATCCCACTGAAATGTTGATGAAACTTACATTATATCCATAAATTACTTTAGAATTAACATCTTCACAGTTTTGAGCATTTAAGGGTGATAGTTATCTCCTCCCAAGGCTTCAAATCTTTTATGGCATAGTAATTTTGTATGTTTCTTCTGTAAGATAGTTACACTTTTTAAATAGGCTCCCAGATTTTGTATACTTTTTGTTGCCACTTTGAATCTAAGCTCTTTTTTACAGTATGTTTTCTAATTAGTTGAAACTGTTAATAGGAAAACTATTGATACTTGTTTCTTTTCACATTCAGGTACTTCATAGAATTCCATTAATTTCAACAGTTTTCCATTTGACTTTTTTTTTTTACGTTGTCTTCTTTTCCAGCAGTGCCTGGCAGTGTTAATTCACAGTTAAAACGTAAAAATTAGAGCAGAAGCATATCTTTTATAAAGCCAGCTTTTATATACCAATTTTTAAAAATAATGAAAGGTTTCAAGTCATCTTCTTCACACTACAGACAAGAACTGCATTTACATTGTCTAAGCTCCATCCTAGTCTTTAGGTAACATCTTGCTTTTAAAGTAACATGTTCTTCAGTGGGGTGTCTACCACCTGTTAAAAATGTAATACTAGAAGATAAAAAATTCTTAAAAAAAAAAAAAAAGACACAGAATCCTACTTACAATTGAGAAGAGAGACCAAATGTCATAGACTACTATGTCTTAGTTCTCCCTGCTGGAAATCAATACTTCTTATCTCATCCTTACAGGTGAGTTTAAAATGAAAACAAATCTAATTTTATTTCTTACATATACCCATGATATCTGTTACCAGTGAGCTTCAGTATTCAACTGTGCATTATAGTGAAAAACCAATGAACTATGAACTAAAGGACCTGGATTCTAATCTTGGTTCAGACACTAAATAAGTGATTTCATACAAATTACTTACCTTTTTTTTTAAAGAAGAAAACATAAATAATTTTTAAAGCCCTTTCAGTCCTTAAAATAGTGAGTCTTTGATAGTAAATGGGCCATATTTTCTGGTTTACTGTAGACTTACTTGTCTACAAGTTAATTTTTAATCAAATTTATGACTCTTAATCTCAATCAAGATTTTAAAATCCGTGTCACTGCTGGATTGAAACTTTACCGAAAATGTAAAAGGAAAGGGAGAAACTAACAAGCAACTGGAGAATGGAGGTAAAAACAAACAGCAATAAACTACCAGAGGTACATCCTCCTGAGCAAATGTATAACAGTAAAGCAAACTATTCCTCTCTTAACACATCTAAGTCAAATGAACAAATATTCTGAGTACCTACCATCTGCAAGGGACAAGACAGTTCTTACTTTCAAAAGTTCTACAGTCTAGTAACCAGAATAATAATCAGGGAATTCTTGGTAAGAGTCTCAATAAATCATTAGGATGATAAAGCAAAAAAGAAATACTTGGCCAGGCGCAGTGGCTCACGCCTGTAATCCCAGCACTTTGGGAGGCCAAGGTGGGCAGATCACAAGGTCAGGAGATCGAGACCATCCTGGCTAACACGGTGAAACCCCGTCTCTACTAAAAACACAAAAAAATTAGCCAGGCGTGGTGGTGGGTGCCTGTAGTCCCAGCTACTCGGGAGGCTGAGGCAGGAGAATGGCTTGAACCCGAGAAGTGGAGCTGGCAGTGAGCTGAGTGAGCCTCGGTGACAGAGCAACACTCCATCTCAAAGAAAAAAAAAAAAAGAAATATTTCAAAATTTAGTAAATTGCGTTTGGAATTTTATAAAACTCTACTTATTCCATCTAAAAGAGAGGTCAAGATTTTTTCTGTCCCTTCCCACCAGCATTTCTGCCACTGTGGCCAACCGATTACACAGTATGTGTTGTAGAAATTATTAGTGATAAAAGGAAGAGGTTCACTTCTTTGGTAAGACAAAACTTTCATATGTTAATTTTAAATGTATTAAAACTGGATTGAGAAACATGGAAACTTCAAAATTCTGATTCACATTTAGAGAGAGGTCAGTTTTTTTTTCCTTTAAATCTCTCATAGGCACCAAATATGCCTATTACTGAAAAGTAGACTTATTCTACAGTCTCAGCCAAGAAAGAAAAAAAGGAAGTTAACATTTACCCAGCACCCACACATGTGCATAATAGCACATTCACATTATACTCTTTCATTTAATAATCTCGATTTTGTTAAGTGATCATTACTTTAATTTTACAAAAAAACTGAGTCATGAACTAACTAAGCAATTATCAAACGGCCTCACAGTTTTTTGTTTTTTTTTCTGGGTTTTTTTTTTTTTTTTTCTTGAGACAGAGTTTTGCTCTTGTCACCTAGGCTGAAGTGCAATGGCAATATCTCGGCTCACTGCAACCTCTGCCTCCCGAGCTCAAGCAATTCCGACTCAGCCTCCTGAGTAGCTGGGATTACAGGTGGCCACCACCACATCCTGCTAATTTTTGTATTTTTAGTAGAGACAAGGTTTCATCATGTTGGCCAGGCTGGTCTTGAACTCCTGACCTCAGGTGATCCACCCGCCTCGGCTTCCCAAATTGCTGGGATTACAGGCGTGAGCCACCGTGCCCACCCATTTTTTTTAAATGCATATTCTTTCCATTATACCTTCACCTTCAGAAATAAATATGACAGAAATATTTTTTGCATATGGACCTATATTATGTATTTGGAATGGCCACTGACAAAATAAGAGGAAAAAAATTACATATCTATGGTAATAACCATAAGATATACTCAAAATGATTCTTCAAATACTAAAAGGAAGTAAAAGGCAAAGCTATGACTAATTTAGGGTACTAGTAAAGGCAGTTTCAAATAGGTTAGATTTGATAGAGAAATAGTACATAAAAACAACTAAGTCATAGTTGAATATTTTAGAAAATGAGTTTGGAAAATCAGAACAGTCACACTGGAGGTTTAAAAACATCTTTAGAGAGGTAGGAGAGAGGGAACAAATATAGACTTCAAGTTCTAAACAAGCCCTCTAAATTTTTATTATTTAAATCAGGGGTGTCCCATCTTTTGGCTTCCCTGGGTCACATTGGAAGAACTGTCTCAGGCCACACATAAAATACACTAACATTAATGATAGCTAATGAGCTAAAGAAAAAAAGAAAAAGAAAAAAAAAATCACACACACAAAAAATCTCATAATGTTTTAAAAAAAGTTTACAAATTTGTATTGGGCCACATTCCAAGCTGTCCTGGGCTACATGCACCCCGTGGGCTGCAGACTGGACAAGTTTGATTCAAATCATCCTACACAAGGCAAGATTAATATTCTTTAACTATAGCTATAATCAGGTAAGTCTACTCAGAAACCAGATTCCTTGGCCAACAGAATCAAATCTAAAATCCTTAACTTGGTATTCAAAGCCCTTCACAGTCAAGTCCTAACCTGCTGCAATCTATCTTTCCAGTTTTACCTCTTTCTCTACATTCTCTGTTATAGTCAAACCAGACTACTAGCTATTACCAGAATATGCTCTGGGCTTCTTTCCCTACCTCTAAGCTCGGCATGTCCTCCCTCCTTTGTTCTTCTCTATTTACTGAAATCTCACCAATTCTTCAAGACACACTCAGTTCGATAGCCTCACAGCCAAATATTGTGGCTGGGTATATCCTGTGGCCAGGTGAATCCTCACACCATTTTATTTGCACCACTTTATAGCACTTATAGTCTATTTGTTTCATAAAAATGTGTGTACTTGCTCATTCCCAACAGATGTGGAGGTTCCTTAAAAAAAGATTATTTCCAGGCCGGGCGCGGTGTCCCACGCCTGTAATCCCAGCACTTTGGGAGGCCGAGGCGGGCGGATCACAAGGTCAGGAGATCGAAACCATCCTGGCTAACATGGTGAAAGCCTGTCTCTACTGAAAATACAAAAAATTAGCCGGGCACGGTAGCGGGCGCCTGGAGTCCCAGCTACTTGGGAGGCTGAGGCAGGAGAATGGCGCGAACCCAGGAGGCGGAGCTTGCAGTGAGCCGAGATAGTGCCACTGCACTCCAGCCTGGGCGACAGAGCGAGACTCCATCTCAAAAAAAAGAAAAAAAAAAAAAAAGATTATTTCCTCCAACTTTGTATTTGCAACAGCACCTAAAAAAAAATGCTTGCATAAATGGCATCAATGTGCCAATGTGCACTGAACTGAATACAATCAGCAGTTAGAAGTGGCAGCAGCTCCCAATCTTGAGTTTGATGAAAATCAAAGACTTCATTTTTAACATCTATATTAATTTTCACAGAAAACAGGAACCACACCCTACCCATCAACTGCTTCACTGGACCCACAGATTTTAAATTTACAAGCAAATGTTGTGGCCCATTTAAGTACAGTATGTAATTAAAAATTCTAAGTATTGAGCAAGGCAGATCCTGTTTTTTAAAAAATTTCAATCTCATGGTAATATATATAAATGATTTCTTTCTCCAAAAAGCACAGCTGTTTAGTTAGTAAATAAAAAATGATGATTACGTGCATATTTTCATCATCACAAAACTCAGATTCAAAAACTCACATCATTTCTAAAAGTATTTGTACAGGGGCAGCTGTACAGTGCTGACAGCTGTAAAGAAAGCATTGGATAATATCTAAAAAATAGCTTGGGCATAATGGCACAAGCCTGTAATCCAGCACTTTGGGAGGCCGTGGCAGGCAGATCCCTTGAGACCAGGAGTTCAAGACCAGCCTGGACAACATGGTGAAACCCCATTTCTACCAAAATTACATAAATTAGCCAGGTGTGGCGGTGTGCACTTGTGGTCCCAGCTACTCGGGAGGCTGAGGCGGGAGGACAGCTTGAGCCTGGGGGGCCAACGCTGCAGTGAATCATGACTGCACCACTGCACTGCAGCCTGGACCACAGAGCCAGAACCTGTCTCAAGAAAAAAATTAATTAATTAAATAATATCTGAAAAATAAACCTGGTAAAGCTCAACTAAAACACTACTGAGGAATTAGTTATCCTGTGACATCCCTGACCAATTTTCTTTAGTATCATTCAAAACAGTTACAACCTGCTCACTACATTCAAGGTTTATGTTTGGTGGAAAAAAAGAACAAAGCAGACACTAGGAAATAAGATATACGCCACAAGGTTAATACAAAACACAAGGAGATAAGTACTATACTAAAAACATTAGCAAAGTAGTAAGGAAGCAAAAAAAGCAAAGAGTGAGGGCATGGCACAGAGAATACAGCATTTGAACACTGAAAACAGGTTGTGAAGAATGAGCGGAATTTAAGAAGGCAAAAAAATGGCTAAATAAAGGCACAAAGCTTTGCAAGTAAAAACGCACATAAAAAGTCACACTGGGCAAGGTGCAGTGGCTCAAGCCTGTAACCCCAACATTTTAGAAGGCCGAGGCAACCAGATCACTTGAGGTCAGGAGTTCGATACCAGCCTGGCCAACAGTGAAACCCCGTCTCTACCAAAAAAAAAAAAAAAACAAAACACAAAAATTAGTCAAGTGTGGTGGCATGCACCTGTAGTCCCAGCTACTTGGGAGGCTGAGGCAAGAGAGTTGCTTGAAACCAGAAGGCAGAGGTTGCAGTGAGCCAAGATCGTGCCACTGCACTCCAGCCTGAACCACAGAGCAAGACTCCCTCTCAAAAGAAAAAAAAAAGTTACACTGTACAGCTGCAGCAGAGGCTGTAGGGGAGTTATTTAGTGGGAAAAGGGGGGAAAAATAACACAAAATCTTGTTAATATCTAAGACTTCCTTCTGAAACTTTTGGAAGGAGTGGCCTGATCTGATCTGGATTTTTCTTAGATAACTATAGAAACAACGAAAGATAAATTGAGAAGGAAGAGACTGAAAACAGGATCCAGTTGAAAAGTAACTGCAAAAATAGAGGGGAAAGTTGATGAAGAGTCTGAAGCTTACAATAGGAAAATAAAGGATAGGTCAGATTCAGAATTGCAGACTGGATATAGAAGAGTAAAGCTAAAATTAATCTCCAGGGTTTTAGTCTAAGTGATTAATTCAAAAGCAAATAAAACCATTAATTTTTAATGAATTTCAAGTAGTCAAACATTTATTATCACTTGCTCTGTGCAAAGCAGTATTAAAGGACAGAAGATACTCAAAACTGAAAACCTCTGAGGAAGAGAAAGACAGCTATATTCTCATATTTATATAGACAAGTATATATAATTCAGTTGTGTTTCTATAGGAAAGATTATCATGGGAGTAACTGACAAAGAAGGAAAAAAACAAAACAAGGAAGGGGTTTGGTATCCCTATAATGTGCTATAAACTGAGGTATACAATTAACTTAAATCTGTGCAAAGTCTAAAACAGCAGAGGAAAAACAAGCCAAAAACTTTTTAACTTAAAACAAACCAAAACAAAACAAAAAAAACAGTGGTAAAGGTCCCAGGGCCAAGGAGTTGAGGTGGGATGTAATTTTGACCAGGTAGAACATCTAGGAACAGGTCTTGTAAGGACCAGAAATTCAAGCTGGGCCTTAAAGCAAAAGTAGTAGCTCAAACTATCTGGGGTTTGGGGATGGATGATGGTACACAAGACTATTCCCCCAGAGAGGAAATAATGGAGCCTAGGCCAGAGGAGGCAAGGTCAGGAGAAGGCATAGTGATAAGAAGTCTGGTAAGATAGGGATGAGACAAACTGCAAAAGAAAGCAACCATCAGATAGAAGAGTTTACACTTTATTACACAGGCCATGGGAAGACAAAGGTTTTTAAATAGGAAAATATTAATCAGACACAGAAGCAGTACACGGGATGGACTGAAGAGAATATGAAGAAGCAAGACTGAAGACAAAGAAACCAGTCATATGAGGATTACAACAATCTCTAAATGAAAGGTAAGAAAAGCCTGAACCACAATAATTGGCAGATAACTGAGGCATAGCAGATAGGATTTAGGAAATAACTGAACACATGGATGAAAAAGGACTGTAAGATGACTTCAAAGGCTTAAGGGTAAGCCACTGGGCAGATGCTAGCTTTGTTTTAGGAGAGAGAAGAAATCAGTTTGGGACATGTTTATCTTGAAGTCCTCCAGGGCATCCACAAGACAAACACATCTGCGGGACAGAGATGCCAGGATGGGCAGGGAGCTCCAGGACAGAGAGATTTGGTAGTCACCCACCTAGAGATGCTGGCTGATGCTGGAAGAAAAACGAGAGCAGAGGACTAAACTTTGGGGAACCCCTAGTTTAGAAAGCAGGAGGAAAATTTAAGGGAAAAAAGAACGGGACACAAAGGAGCACAAAGCACCTTTTCAACCTGCTCTCATATGTTTCACAACTCTCAGAGACTAAATAACCTGCCAAAAGGTCACAATCAGCAGTGGGACACATGGGAAAAAAAAAAAAAAATCAAGGACTAATGGCAATGTGTAACAATAAAATATCTGAAATTTTTACCCACAAAAATTTAACCTGGAGAAATAAACTGGAGAAAGGGGGTGGAGGGGGTGTGGCACATAAAAAGTTTTCCCTCTGGCATTAACTCTAATAGTGAAAAATAAAACCTAAATTTCTAGCTGAGGAATAGTTAAATGTATCACAAAAAGCCATCATAAAAGAAAAAATTTACTACCTAAACTTTTAAAACTTCATAATTGGGGGAAGAACATTAAAGTAATATGGCAAAGGGTCAACATTTATTGATTGATTGACAGGACAGGGTCTTGCTTTGTCACCCAGGCTGGAGTGCAGTGGCACAATCTCAACTCACTGCAACCTCTACCTCCCAGTCTCAAGCGATCCTCCCACCTCAGCCTCCTGAGTAGTTGGGACTATAGGCATGCCACCCTGCCCAACTAATTTTTGTGTATTTTGTAGAGACGGGGTTTTGCCATGTTGCCCAGGCTGGTCTCAAACTCCTGGACTCGAGCAATCTGACCTGCCCATCTTGGCCTCACAAAGGGCTGGGATTACAGGTGTGAGCCACCGCACCCGGCCAACATTTGTAATATGCAAAGGGCTCCTGTAAATCCACAAGAAAAGAGGAAAATATCCCAACAGAAAAATAAGAAACAAATGTCAATTTTAAAAAAATGAAAATGACCAGTAAATTTAAAAAATGACACTCAGTCCCAATCAAATAAAAATTAAAATGATATTCATATATTACTCACCTAAGATGTGGTAAAAATGGACCCTTATATTCTTGACAATACTGTATATACACTGGAACAACTTTTCTAAATGCCATTTTGGCAATAGAAATGCTTTAGAAAGTTTATACAACAATTCTATTTCCAATAATACATACAAAAATTAAAAGTGTACAAAGTTGTTCACATGAAGTTCACTGTAGCTTTGTCTATAATATAGAAAAGCTGGAAACAACCTAAATATTTAACAATAGGAGACTAAATAAATTATGGCACATCCATTAATTTTTAGGCAGTTTTTTAGAAAACACAATATTTAATGTGAAATATTGTTAAAGCATTTTATTAAATAAAAGTTTCTAAATAGCACATATAGTATAAGCCTACTTGTTATTTAAAAGTGGCTGATATGCACCAAAAAGTCAGTAGTGGTTATCTCTAAGCACTAGACTAATAATATTTTGATACGCCTAATTATCTTATAATGAACACATTCTCTCATAGACAAAGCCTTTTAGTTTGGGAAGAAAATACAAAGAAGAATGTGTAGAAAAATATAAGTATAAAAAGTAAAATACAGTTATATGTACAAGTAATAAAAATGTGAGCAAAGAACACAAAAATCTTTCTTTTTCCCCAACTGTTGTTTAAATGAAACAAGTACAAAGAATTAAAAATAGTTCCACTTCTGAAAAAGGGGCGGGGGGGGGGGGAAGATGAAGAAGTTGGTGCAAAGAAGAAAATAGAAAATTCACATCATAAAATCTTAATCATTTTAGAAGGAAGTAAGGTCATCTGCTCAACATGTTTCGAGACTGGGGTTAGCAACCTGACTGGAGTGAAAAAGCAACAGAGAAAATAAGTCAACTTGGGGATAAGAAAAGGATTAGAAAGTAACTAGTATAAAGCAGGTAGAAAACAAGTATGTAATGATCACCAAAAGCGTGACTTTGGGGGAGAGTGTAGGGCAGGGACAAAGGTAGAAAACTGACCAGTTACACCCAGCAAAGGTCAAGGAGAGGAGGGACTATGTGGTCTAGTGAGTTCATGGTTAGAACATGAACTACAGAGTTCAAGGTTGAAAAGAGGGAAGACAACTAATGGCCTAGGAGGGACTGGAGGTGACAATAAGGACAAAAAGCTGCTTAACCAGTTATGACAGAAAAGAGAAAGAGAAAACAGACCCTTGCATCGCCATCTGGCCACAGGGTTTAAGACCTGAGGTAGAGTGGTTCTGAATGATGACAAGTAACATGGTCACAACATGCAGGCTGCTGTTGTAGAGTAGCAGTGGGGGTCACCGGAGTTAGTGAAGTGTAGTTCCAAATGTGGCCATTCTGGCCAGAAATGAATGTAACCCTTACTTAACCTCTATGCACTTCACTTTCCTCAGCTGCAAATATTTAATACATCCTTTCTAGCCTGACTGATAGGAATCTGGCTGGCAGCTAACCCCTCTGCATTTTACTCAACTACAAAATGAAAAGCATAAGAAAGGAGATGGGAAATTGAGTTAAATCAAAGGTTCTCCACCTGACTGAACACTAAAATCGGGGATGTTTTAACAAAGAGGCAAAATTACCTTTGTTCTGTCCCCAAACCCAGTAATTCTGATTTATTTGTCCTGGGGTGGGATCCAGGCAATATTCTTTTTAAGTAGCTCTTCAGGAGATTTTAATGTGCAGCCAAGGCTGAAAACTGAACTAGGTATTCCTACAGGCTGCTTCCCTTTAAAAATTTTTAAATTCTATGATTCTATATAATTCACTGCCACTCTGTTCATTTGTTAAAATAATAGCTACTATCGTATTCCAGGCCCTTCCACAAACATCGAATCTTGGGTGACCCTCACGCTAACACTGAGGCAAATATTTCTGTGCCCATTTCACAAATGAGTCCAGTGAAGCTTACAGAAGTGAAGCGGCTTGTTCAAGAGTCACAAGCCAGCAAGGAGCTGAGTCAGGACAAGGTTTATTTGTTCCAGTCCATCCTACATGCAACTTGCTTTCTTTCCAGTGCATTCACAGCAACTATTTGAATGCCTTTTATTCTCTTCTCAGGACCTCCCTAAATTGAGCACATTAGTTTGTGGTTTACAGTTTGACAGGGGAGAAAGTTATCTTGGGTGGGGGCAGGAAATAAACCCCGAATTCTATAGGCATTATAGAATTACAAAACACCTTAACCTAGAGAGGTTTTCCAACTTAAAACAGCACTGTGAAAGTGTATCCATGAAGTATTTTTTATTCAGTTAAGTCAACACATACATTGCTTTTAAATATTAAGCAGGCAGCTCATGTACAAAGCTGGTTCATCAAAGATAAACAACAACAAAAAAATTTTTCATATACTTTCTATTAAGCAGGGCATTCTAAAAATTCTAAGACAATTCCGGCAAAACAATAATTGATAGAGCTATAATGAGATTTGTTCCAAGAGCTTAAATGTATAAATATGACCTTTAAATTTTTCAAGCATTAACAATATTTCCATCAAGTTCAAATACATTCAATCACACTTAAAATTATGATTATAATCCTTTTGATGATCCATGGCTTCTCTCTCATACATCAGTAATTATACTTTAATCCATTATCTACTTAGAAATTTCATAAATATTCAAGTTCTGTACCCCCAGGCGAAAATTCACTCAGGTACTAAGTTAAATTCTCAACAAAACAACAACAAAACATGTGTGTGTGTGTGTGTGTGTGTGTGTGTGTGTGTGTGTGTATATATAATAAAAACCAATCTGTGGATTTAATGGAGTTGATGGCATGTATTGGGAAAAAGACTACAAAGAAGATTTAACTATGATGCTCATGGAATTTACAATTTCAAAAGAAATTCATGAAGCATATTTACAAGGAACAAACATACGTGTACTCATCCATTCAAACCTTTCCTGAGCATCTGCTATGTTCTTGGCATGCAGGGAATGAAGAGGCAAATCAGACCCGATGTGTTGCCTGCTGTCAAGGAGATGTCATGACAGAATCTATGCGATATTTACAGTAATACCATGGGAGAAATTAATTGATTTCTGGAGAGGGCAAGGGAGTGGAATGAGAGAACAGAGCAGAAAAGGCTTCAAAGAGTATAGGCTTAAGTATTTTTAAGGAAAAAATTTCATCACAAGGATCACCTGTAAATCAGCTCGCTGGGAAATAAGTATTTATACTGAAGAACTAAATTCAAGTCAGAGCAGTGATAAGAGCAAACGAGATGGACAGATTGCTCCAGAAGACTGAGTTATGTATCCTACAAAGTTATGCTACAGGAAAAATGAAAAGGCTTCAGAGTCATAAGATCTCAGTTAAATACCAGTTTGGCTGCTACATTTGTGAAATTAGTTAATTTCATTTCTAAATAAAAAATGTTATAATGCCATTTACTTGACAATGAAGCAAAACTAAAAGAATTTTTAAGAACAACAGAAATTGGCAATACAGCCTGAGCAACATGGCAAAACCTTCTCTCCACAAAATTCAAACAAAAATTAGCCAGGTGTGGTGATGCGCTCCTGTAGTCCTAACTACTCAGGAGGCCGAGGTGGATCACCTGGGCCCCGGGAGTTTGAGGCTGCAGTGAGCGGAGATGACACCACTGCACTCCAGCCTGGGCGACAGACAGAGACCCTGTCTAGGAAAAGGAAAAGGAAGGAAGGAAAAAGAGAAAAAAGGAAAAAGAAATTGACAATCAAATATGAGCAGAAGCTGTATTTTTAGATCTAAAAAGTAAAATTCTCCAAGAATTTGGGGTTTTAGGGCTTACTGTATTTGTGTTTAAGAGCCTTTTCAGTTCATTTAACAGAATTTTAAAGCAAGATGTCTTTATTTAAAAATCATTTAGATTCATTTACTGAGGCTGAATATTTTCTTCTGAAGCTTAGTCACTATACTAGTTTTATTTAGAGGCCGATTACGTGTGCTTTCCAAATAAATAGCTTAATACCATTCATTCCCCGTGTGGTCGGGACCCAAAGAGATTATAATGAAGCCTTCGTTAATACTGAATTAACGTGAAGACCCCACGAGCTGCCAGAGTATTTAAAAAAAGTAAATGCTCAAAACGCGGTAGGCATTCACCCTTAAGAAACTAAAGGGAGGGGAAAAAAACTTCAAACTGTCAAGATCACTTCTTATTCTTAAGAGAACACATGCCTTTAAGACTCTCAAAGTTTCTGTCTAAATCTTTCTTTAATGAGTCTCTTCAGCAACGTACTACACAACACGACAAAGAAGGCATTTATCAACAACGCGTTTTGTGAGTCTATGAATTACCGAGGAGGGCTTAGGTGTCTGTAACCTTCATACCCACTTCCACCGCACACTCAAGTTATTGCTGGAATGTACGGAGAGCACACAAGGCTATTCAAGCAACACCGGCAGCGCGCTCTCGGCCTTCAATCACATTTTTAAAAAGAAAAATAAATTCGTCAAAGGATCATAAAACTTGAAAAGGCTCCAAATAAATAAACCATCGCTTCTATCAGAGCAAGTTCTGCGGGGCCATTTTCGTCTCCCAAGTGACATACAAATATGTAGTTCAGGTCATAAGGTCCCCGACACGCAGACCCTGCAAACTTTTCGGCCAGAAATTTGTCGCGACCCTGAGACGCCCCCGGCCGTGTCCAGGACCCCCGTCCTCAGGCCCCACAACTTCTCGCCCGGCCTCGGGGCTCCTTCCCGCGTCCGCCGGCCCCCGCCCCGCAGACCCGTGGACCGGACCCTACCCGGCGGCCCCCGTCCCCCCGCGGCGGCGGCGGCGTCCTACGGGCGGGCGCGGCTCGCTCCCGGGCTGGCGGGACGGCGGCGGCAACTGGCCCGCGGGCCGGCCCCGGCGCGAGGGGAGCGGCCGGGAGCGCCCCGTTTCTCACAGACCCCAACATGGCGTCGGCCGCCACCGCCCGCGACGACGACACCTCCCGGCGCTGCGACGGCTCCGGGACCGCGGGAGGAAGCGCCCGGAAAGTTTCGCGTCTCCCCTCCCGGCCCGTCAGGAGCCGGCGGACCACCCACCCGGGCTTCACCTACCCCGACGGCCGCGGGCGGCGGCGGCGGCGACAGCGAAGGCGAAGGTCCGATCCTCCTGGTCGCGGACGCAGGGCGCGGACTCTGCCCGTTCCCCGCCGGGGCCTTCCAGGGTGTGTGCTGTCCGCAGCCCCGCGCAGCCGGCGCGATCCAGACGCGGTGGGCGGGCTGGCCGCCAGCGCAGCCGCTCGCAGGTGACTCCCCCGCCCCTCCAGTCGAACCCGACAACGGCTGCCTGGGCTGGCCTCTCCCCTGCGCGCGCACGGGCGCGCCCCCGTCCACACTCCGGGCGCGAGCGCGCGGGCACGAGCACACCCACACCCCTCGCTCCCCGCCCTTTCTTGCCAGTTCCCTCGCCCCGCCCCTCGCGCCCCTCGCGACGCGCTCTAGGGGCGGGGCCTTTGGCGGAGGCCACACCCACTCAGGCCGGCCGCGGGCGGAGCTTGTCCATGTGTGAGGTCGGGACGCGCTCCCGCGACGCGTTGAGGTGCACGTGAGGCGCCTTACCTGACTTTCCTGACTCCGACCAGCCCTTAGAAAGTATTGCTCAACTGTCTACGAAGTTCTTAGGGAGACTGGAATAATAGAAGGAAGACACCTCCCCACCCACAACAGGCCTCCCCGGGGAACTGAAGAACGAGAAAGGCAGGCTTTGGATCTAAATGCCCAAAGGCATCGGTACTGGCATTTGCTGCTCCCATTTAGCACAGCAATCCTTTCCGTCACACTTTCCCTTTGCTTTACCTAAAATCCCTCCTCTTGAAACCAAGGGAACTGCGGCGACACACACATACCCTACGTGCTCCACCCAGCCCTTTCTTTTAAATGCATACTTTAGAATTCTGGTCTTCCCAAAACTTTGACGACACAAAACCCCATCAGCCTACTTCACATACCTAGAAACTGTAATTATTGCATAGTATATAAGGTTAAATGTGCCCTAATTGATCTGATAGCTAAGCGCTCTGATGGGTTCGTAGAGAGGTAACGAAGTTGCTTAGGGTAGACTAGGGATGGGGGCGAAGTAGGGAGAACAGCATACTTATTTTAAACAAAGTGTGTGTGGTGTGTAGGAGGAAATTGGGTTTTGGTAAATTTTATATTTCTTATTCATCTATTACTTCAGTAAGTTGTTTTAACCTGTGTTTGATTGCTGTTGAATTAGAGTCACTACCAGCCAAGCTGCACGTGGATGAGCACCTAGGGATGAGAGCAGACTTGGGTTCCGCCCTGCTCTTCCACCTGGGATCTTCCTCCTCCAGGCTTGTTGCCTCCTATCCTCCCCTATTTCAATAGAGTTTGTCTCTGAAACAAACAAGTCTTTTTTTAAATTAATAATTAGAACAAAATTGGCAAAGATGAACTTTTTTTAAATGGGGAAAATTGTATGATCACACACACACAATCTTTCGTGTGTTAGAGTTGTCTCTAGATGAGTACAGATGTCACCAGGACGCTTGTCCGTACCATCACTCTACCTCATTCACCTCTACGTGCACAGCAATATCTATCAGTGGGGAAAAGGCAGGACTAAATAATGCCTAAAATCCTTTTAAATTTTGAAAGTAGGAATTGCTATGTCTGACTGGTTGTCTAAGGTCAAGCCTAGAGCATTAGTTATCAAATATTTTTGGTCACTCACATTAGTAAAAATGTTTGCCCTCCTCACTTCCCATGTACTTATTTAGCTTAAGTAAAGTGCATAGATAGAAGCCAGAATGACTGTAATCAAACATTGGCTTTGTCTCTAACAACCTTGGCACATCCAAAGATAACTTTGGTTTTTTCACTTGTAAAATGGAGATAATAAAAGTATATCACAGAGTCATTATGCAGATGAAATGAATTAATATATGTAAAGCATATACCTGGCACACAGTGCTTTACAAGTGTGAAATAAAATTATTACATACATAATATACACATTTATATAGTGCTACGTAAGTGTGAAATAAAAGTTGTTACATATGTAATATACCCAGCTACTCAGGAGGCTGAGGCTGGAGGATCACTTGAGGCCAGGAGTTTGAATCCAGCCTGGGCAGCATAGCAAGACCCAGTCACACATACACACAGAATTATATGTATGATATATATAGTGTGTATTTATATACACACATACACCTATTATAATATACCTAGTATGTTAGGTACATTAAAAAACAACATACACACACAAAAAAATCAGAAATAATGATTTTAAATATATATATGTATGTTTTCTTTCTGTACTCTTCATAGTCTATGCCCTCCCTGGGCTGCGTGCACCCCAGTTTGGAGACCGTTGATTTAGATCTGTGCTAACAAATACAGTAGCCACTAACCACATGTCTTAATTAAATGTAAATTTATTTAAATTAAAAATTTAGTTTCTCAGTCACACTGACCACATTTCAAGTGCTTAATAGCCACATGACTATTGGACAGTGCACATATAAAACATTTCCATCATTGCAGAAGTTCTATTGGATAGCACTGACCAATCTGGAACAAAGCAGGGAACTCAAAAGTCACTGAAAGGAAGTAAGATTCACTCCTACCCGAACCTGTAATTGTGGTACCCTGTTCAAGTCAAGTGATAAGACAGCTCTTTGAGCCTCACATCTCAACCGTAAAATGAAGATAAAAATAGGAATTACTGGCCAGACACGTGGCTCACGCCCAGCCCCATCCTCCCACCCGCCCAATTTTTTTTTTTTTTTTTTGAGACAAGAGTCTCACTCTGTGGCCCAGACTGGAATATAGTGGCGTGATCTTGGCTCACTGCAACCTCCACCTCCCAGGTTCAAGTGATTCTTCTGCCTCAGCCTCCCAAGTAGCTGGGATTACAGGCATGTGCCATCATGCCTGGATATGTTTTGTATTTTCTTTTTAGTAGAGACGAGTTTTCACCATGTTAGCCAGGCTGGTCTCAAACTCCTGACCTCAAGTGATCCACCTGCTTCAGCCTCCCAAGGTGTTGGGATTACAGGTGTAAACCACCACACCCGGCCTATAATCCCAGCACTTTGGGAGGTCGAGACAGGAGGATTGCTTGAAGCCAGGAGTTCAAGACCAGCCTGGGGAACATAGTGAGACTGTGTCTCTACAAAACAATTTTTAAATTAGCTGGGCACTTGGAGTCCCATCTCCTCAGGAGGCTGATGTGGAAGGATTCCTTGAGCCCAGGAGGTCAAGGCTGCAGTGCAGTGCAGTGAACAATGATCCAGCCACTGCACTCCAGCCTGAATGATGGAAGGAGACCCTTTCTCTTAAAAAAAAAAAAAAAAAGAAAGAAAAAAAAAGGAACTTCCTCATAAACTGCTGAATGGAGGAAATAAGATAATGTGTAAAGTGTATGACACATTGTTAAAACATAGAGGAACTTGAAAAGATTAGTAAAACTTGAGTTTATATTTCCCCAATTTGTTTTTTTAATTTTTTACATTTGAAAATAAGAGATTGGGTCTTGCTTTGCTGCCCATGCTGGATTCAAACTCCTGGGCTCAAGGGATCCTCCCTCTCAGCCTCTTCAGTAACTGGGATTACAGGCATGCACCACCAAGACTGACTAACCCGATTCTTTAATCCTGAAAGGCAAAAAAGATCACGTTATTGTTCTTGAATCTAACGTGTATCTTGTAAAAGTGAATAGTTTGGTTAAGTTTTAATTGAAAATAGAACATTCAAGAAATGATAGGATGGCAAATACCTGGATTTTAATTACTCCTTGATTTCTTTGTCCCCTCCACTTTTAAAGGCTGGTCTTCTCCCAGTTTTGCCCATCTCAGTAAAACGGCACTGCCATCCACAAACCTGATGAGCCATCATCCTGTCATCCTTTTTCCCATGTCCTCCATCCAATCTCTTTATCTCCAAAATATTGTAGGATCTACCTTCAAAACACTTTATCTCATCTGTTCTCCTCTCCTCCTGGCCCCTCCACACAGGAGCCACACAGGATTGTGTCACTCCCTGAAGAAACATTTCCATGGCTCCCCACAGAGGCTGCCATATAGAATTGTACAGTTGTGGTAGAACAACCCTATGGGAGAGTGCATTCACATTGGAGGCACTGGAAATTTAATATTTATTATGAATATTTTCTGGCAGATTTTAGTGAAATGACTCATTCTAACAAAATTATCTTACAACAATTTTCCAACAAGATGGAAATCTAATTTGCCCAGACATGCCACATAGAATAAGAGCGTTTCTCTTTCACTTAGTACGAAATACCAGCTCATCACCTGGTTCTACAAGACCCAGCACAATCCAGCCCCTGCCATCCCCTCCAACTTAAAATGATGCTACACTCCACCAACTGCCATTCACATTGACCTTCCATCATTTCCTAAAATAAATCAAGCTCAAAAGAGCTGCTGTGGCGCTCACTGCCCTGGACACCTCTCTACCTGGATAGTCACAACTCCACAGTCTCTGCCCTTCACATAGCTGCGGCTCCTTGTCATGTTTCAGTCCTCTGAGAGGCCTTTCCTGGACACTATGTCCTCAGTTACTCTCAGTCACAGCCCTTTGCTTGTTTCCCTCACAGAACTTACAGGTCTCCCTGGAGTCTGAAACCTGCATGAGGCCAGGGACCTCATTGTCCTCTCCTTTCTACCCATAGGCCCCAACAGGAGCATGTGCCAGCTTGTCAGTTGTCAACTCGGCATGATTGCCACCCCCTTCTACATTCTCTTCTGTACCTATAGGGAGACAGCCTAGCACTCTATTTTCCAGAGAACTTACTCTAAATGTTTCCAGGTTAAATTCTGCCAGTGGAGACACATGTATAAGGATTGAAAGGCAGAAGAAAAGCAGAACCCGTCATTCTCCAGTTGCTATGTTCTGAATGTTTGTGTCCCTCTAAAATTCATGTGCTGAAATATAATCACCAATGGGTTGGTTTTAAGAGGTGGGCCTTTGGGATGTGATTAGTTCATAAAGATAGAGCTCTTGTGAATGGGATTAGTGCCCTTAGAGAAGAGACCTGAGAGAGCCTGTGTGCCCTTCCACCACATGAGAACACAGTGAGAAATGTGCCATCTGTAAGGAACAGGCCTTCAGCAGACACCATTTGTTCTGGTTCATTGATCTTGGATTTCCCAGCCTCCAGAACTGTGAGCAATACATTTCTATTGTTTATAAATTACCCAGTCTAAGACATTTTGTTATAGCAGCCCAAATGGACTAAGATACCAGTATAAATTTGAACATGCAGCTCAAATCCTAAGGGGCTATTTTCCTGAACTTCTGGGAAAATATTAGGTACAAAAAACACAAAAAGGCAGGCATGCTGGCTCACACCTATAATCCTACCACTTTGGGAGGCCAAGGCAGGGAGACTGTTTGAGCTCAGGAGTTCAAGACCAGCCTAGGCAACATGGCAAAACCCGGTGTCTACAACAAATACAAAAATTAGCTGGGTGTGGTGGCACACACCTGTGGTTCCAGCTACTCCGGAGGCTGAGGTGGGAGAATTGCTTGAGCCCAAGAGGTCAAGGCTGCAGTGAGCCATCATCATGCCACTGCACTCCAGCCTGGGTGACACTGTGAGACCCTGTCTCAAAAAAAAAAAAAAAAAAAAGCAAAAATCTGAATATACTACTTTTTAAAGAGGAGGGATACGTATTATTACTTTTTTTTTTTTTCTTGAGACGGAGTCTGGCTCTGTCGCCCAGGCTGGAGTGCAGTGGCGTGATCTTGGCTCACTGCAAGCTCCACCTCCCAGGTTCACGCCATTCTCCTGCCTCAGCCTGCCGAGTAGCTGGGACTACAGGCGCCCACCACCACGCCTGGCTAATTCTTTTGAATTTTTAGTAGAGACGGGGTTTCACCGTGTTAGTCAGGATAGTCTCGATCTCCTGATCTCGTGATCCGCCCGCCTCGGCCTCCCAAAGCGCTGGGATTACAGACGTGAGCCACCACACCCGGCCAAAGGGGAGGGGGCTGTATTCTCGAAAAAAAAAAAAAAAAAAAGCAATACCTGACCCTAGACTGGACCCTGTACTATAAGGGGAGGGTGCTATAAAGGACGATATCAGGTCAACTGACAAAATTAAACATGAATGGAAAATTAGATAAAAGTGTTATGTCAAAGTTAAATTTACTGTTCTGGTTATATAAGAGAATGTACCTATTCTTAGGATGTATGCACTAGTGTATTTAAGGGTAAATGATGTGTGTATAAATGTTATATATAACATAATTTAAATATTACATATAAAGGAGAAAACTCACATACATAAAGGATAAAGCAAATGGAGTAAAATGTTAATGGGTAAATCTGGGTAGAGGGTATATGAATGTTCCTTATATTATTTCTACTTTTGCAACCTGTCTGTAAGTTTGAAACTATTTCCCAAAAAACAGTTAAAATATATAAAGCACTAAATAAACTACTCTGAATAATGCAAGACAAACTAGGATAGTTGTTGTAAATATTCAGTCTCAAAATGGACCTAAACTGACTGTTACATGATTAAACAGCAATACATTTTACACTTTTTTTCTAATTCCCCAGAGAACAGAAAGTGAATTTACTGTTTTTACAGAAGACAAGATGTTCCCTGGCTATAGGAAAATAACCCATCGTACACACAGCATCTTTTTAAGCATTTCAATATGCAACATTTGTGGCTTTGCTGCCCACTGTGACCTGCGACCCAGTTTGGCACAACCATATTTGCTGCAAATCCTGGACTGCATGAAGTGGGATCAGATATTATATTCCTTATAAAATTCATTATGTAAAGAGAATAATCCAACATATAGCCTCATCCCCAAATTGCAGCATCACATACTTTTTGCTTTGAAGCAAAAAGGCCCTGGGCATGGAAATACAGTTCTGTGCCTTTTTGTTTGTTTGTTTGTTTGTTTTTTTCAGACAGAGTCTCGCTCTGTTGCCTAGGCTGGAATGCAGTGGCTCTCTGCCACTTCCACCTTCCAGGTTCAAGCCTCCCAAGTAACTGGGATTATAGGTGCCCTCCACAATGCCTGGCTAATTTATTTTTTGTATTTTTAGTAAAGACGGGGTTTCACCATGTTGGCCAGGCTTGTGTCAAACTCCTGACCTCAAGTGATCTGCCTGCCTCAGCCTCCCAAAGTGCTGGGATTATAGGCATGAGTCACCATGCCCGGCCAGTTCTGTGCCATCTTATCAAAGACCCTTATAGTCAGCTCTTAGAAAACCGTTTAGAAAAGTTTCCCAGTTAAATGACATAGAAGGTTCCTTTAAATATATTGCAAAACCAGGCATGGTGGCTTGTACCTGTGATCCCAGCTACTCAGAAGGCTGGGGTGGTAAGGATCTCTTGAGCCCAGGAGTTCAAGTGCAGCCTGAGCAACATAGCAAGACCGTCTCTAAAATATATACATATTGCAAGACCCTGTCTCTAATATATATATATATACACACACACACATATATCTAATATATGTATATATATAGCTAATATATGTATATATATGTATAATAGCAAAAAAAAAATCCTCTGTGCTCTGCCTATTCACCTCTCCCTTCCCCCAACACCTGGCAACCACTGATCTTTTCACTGTCTTTCTGTATATATATATATGTAGTATATATATACACACACACACATATATAGCATATATATGTACTCCTATATATATAGCATATATATATCATTCATATATATATGTATATATAGTGCATATATATATAGAGAGAGAGAGAGCAAGACAGTGAAAAGATCAGTGGTTGCCAGGTGTTGGGGGAAGGGAGAGGTGAATAGTCAGAGCACAGAGGATTTTTTTTTTTTTTGACAGAGTTTTGCTCTTCTTGCCCAGGCTGGAGTGCAATGGCGTGATCTTGGCTCACTGCAACCTCCACCTCCCGGGTTCAAGCAATTCTCCGGCCTCAGCCTCCCGAGCAGCTGGGATGCACCACCACGCCCAGCTAATTTTGTGTTTTTAGTAGAGATGGGGTTTCTCCATGTTATGTTGGTCAGGCTGGTCTCAAACTCTTGACCTCACGAGAGCAGCCTGCCTTGGCCTCCCAAAGTGTTGGGATTACAGGTGTGAGCCACCATGCCCAGCCGCACAGAGGATTTTTAATAAAACAACTCCATATGATACTGTAATGGTAAACACATACCATCAGACATTTGCCCAAACCCATAGAATGTACACCACTAAGAGTGAACCCTAACATAAACTGTGGTCTTTAGGTAATATTGACTTGTCAGTGTAGATTCATAGATTGTATGAATAACAACTGTATCACTCTGGTGTAGGATGTTGATAGTAGAGGAGGCTGTGTGTTTTGGGGGTCAGGGGATATAATGGGAACTCTGAACTTTCTACTCAATATTACTGTGAATATAAAACTGCTCCAAAAATAAAATCCATTCAAAAAAAATGACACACATGTCTCTTGGAGAGGTTGAAATTTAAGCTTGGAGAGTCATTTGAGAAATTTTTTGGCAGGCAATTAAATTCATCACTTGAAAGATTTATTGTAATCATTTTCCTTCGGCAACTGCTCTTTTAACCATCTGTCAAGCTATTTCACCTTAGAATCAAAAAGTGATGTTTAAATTTGAACTGAGATACTTACCAATATTTTTAAAAATTAAATTTTCTTGGCAGAAATTTGATCTTGATCTTGGGAGTTTTAACATAAAAATCTAGTATACGTTGCATCCTGTGAATTTTTCCAACAATCAATATAAATTGAGTATTTGCCTTACTGCAAACTAAGTTTATATATTTCTAAAAGGGACATCATTTACTTGTCATATCGGAAACTAAGGAACTAGGTTTATAATCACCTCTGTCCTATCAAAAACATAAGACTTAATACCCTACAATAAAATACATTATAAGTAGATTAGTAAATTATGTGTAAAATATGTAAACTTGAGTATAAAAAATCCATATAAAATACACCACTCTATTAATTTTTTTTCTCTGACTAGCATGCTTCTTTTCCTTTTTTCTTCTTTGTATCTAGCCAATCTTCTATAATAAGTGTGTATTGTTTTATTTTTTAGAAAAACACAAGGCACAATCATGGGTACATTTTGGATCCAATTCAAATACTCATTCACAAAAATACACAATAGCTGCTTTATTAGTCCATTTTCACGTTGCTGATAAAGACATACCCGAGACTGGGAAGAAAAAGAGGTTTAATTGAACTTACAGTTCCACATGGCTGGGGAAGCCTCAGAATCATGGCGGGAGACAAAAGGCACTTCTTACATGGTGACAGCAAGAGAAAATGAGGAAGATGCAAAAGCGGAAACCCCTAATAAAACCATCAGATCTCATGAGACTTATTCACTACCACAAAAACAGTATGGGGGAACTGCCCCCATGATTCAAATTATCTCCCACTGGGTTTCTCCCACAATACATGGGAATTCTGGGAATACAATTCAAGATGAGATTTGGGTGGGGACAAAGCCAAACCATATCATTCTGCCCCTGGACCCTCCAAATCTCATGTCCTCACATTTCAAAACCAATCATGCCTTCCCAACAGTCCCTCAAAGTCTTAACTCATTTCAGCATTAACTCAAAAGTCCTCACTCCAAAGTCTCATCTGAGACAAGGCAAGTCCCTTCCGCCTATGAGCCTGTAAAATCAAAAGCAAGCTAGTTACTTCCTAGATACAATGGGGGTACAGGTATTGGGTAAATCTGTTCCAAATGGGAGAAATTGACCAAAACAAAGGGGTTACAAGGCCCATGCAAGTCTGAAACCCAGCAGGACAGTCAAATTTTAAAGCTTCAGAATGATCTCTTTTGACTCCAGGTCTCACATTCAGGTCATGCTGACACAAAAGGTGGGTTCCCATGGTCTTGGGTAGCTCCACCCCCGTGGCTTTGCAGAGTAAGCCTCCCTCCTGGCTGCTTTCACAGGCTGGCATTGAGTGTCTGTGGCTTTTCCAGGTGCATGATGCAAGCTGCCGGTGGATCTACCATCCTGGGATCTGGAGAATGGTGGCCGTCTTCTCAGAGCTCCACTAGGCAGAGCCCCAGTGGGGGATCTGTGTCAGGGCTCTAATCCCACATTTCCCTTCTGCACTGCCCTAGCAGAGGTTATCCTTGAGGGCCTCTGCCCTGCAGCAAACTTCTGCCTGGGCATCCAAGCATTTCCATACTCCTCTGAAATCTAGGTGGAGGTTCCCAAACCTCAATTCTTGACTTCTGTGCACCTGCAGGCTGAACACCACATGGAAGCTGCCACAGCTTGGGGCTTCCACCCTCTGAAGCCACAGCCCGAGCTCTACATTGGCCCCTTTCAGCCATGGCTGGAGTGGCTGGAATACAAGGCACCAAGTCCCTAGGCTACACACAGCATAGGGACCCTGGGCCTGGCCCATGAAACCACTTTTTCCTCCTGGGCCTCTGGGCCTGTGATGGGAGGGGCTGCTGTGAAGGTCTCTGACATGGCCTGCAGATATTTTCCCTATGGTCTTGGGGATTAACATTAGGCTTCTTGCTACTTCTGCAAATTTCTGCAGCTGGCTTGAATTTTTCCTCAAAAAATGGGTTTTTCTTTTCTACTGCATCATCGGGCTGCAAATTTTCTGAACTTTTATGCTGTTTCCCTTATAAAACTGAATGCCTTTTATAGTATCCAAGTCACCTCTTGCGTGCTTTGCTGCTTAGAAATTTCTTCCACCAGATACCCTAAATCATGACTGTCAAGTTCAAAATTCCACAAATCTCTAGGGCGGGGGCAAAATGTCACCAGTCTCTTTGCTAAAGCATAACAAGAGTCACCTTTGCTCCAGTTCCCAGCAAGTTCCTCATCTCCATCTGAGACCACCTCAGCCTGGACCTTACTGTTCATATTGTTATCAGCATTTTGGCAAAGCCATTCAATAAGGTTCTAGGAAGTTCCAAACTTTCCCACATTTTCCTGTCTTCTTCTGAGCCCTCCAAACTGTTCCAACCCTCTGCCTGTTACCCACTTCCAAAGTCGCTTCCACATTTTCGGGTGTCTTTTCAGCAGTGCTCCACTCTACTGGTACCAATTTAGTATATTAGTCCGTTTTCACGCTGCTGATAAAGACATACCCGAGACTGGAAAGAAAAAGAGGTTTAATTGGACTTACAGTTCCACATGGCTGGGGAGGCCTCAGAATCACGGTGGGAGGCAAAAGGCACTTCTTACATGGCAGCAGCAAGAGAAAATGAGAAGGAAGCAAAAGTGAAAACCCCCGATAAACTCATCAGATCTTGTGAGACTTATTCACTATCAAGAGAACAGCAAGGGAAAGACCGCCCCCGTGATTCAATTACCTCCCCCTGGGTCCCTCCCACAACACATGGGAATCCTGGGAGATACAATTCAAGTTGAGATTTGGGTGGGAACACAGCCACACCATACCAGCTGCTTTCTTCCATAGAAAATTTCTAAATTATTGGAACATTACCTCCCCTGCCATTAGAGGAAAAATACACAGCAAATGCTGTATTCCTCAACATTAAATCCTATAAATGGCAAAACATTAACCTCAACAAGCAGTTATTTAACAAGCTTATGTCCTATGAAACTAGCTCAAAATAAGTATAAAATCTGCAAAGTTAGAACACTGTATTAGGTTTTTAAAAATTGGTGCCAGATTAAATAAAATTCAGCAGAAACCTTAAATCCAAATGTTGCCAAGTGAATCTATTTAAAAAGCAAGCCGGGCTGGGTGTGGTGGCTCACGCCTGTAATCCCAGCACTTTGGGAGGCCAAGGCGAGCAGATTGCCTGAAGTCAGGAGTTCAAGACCAGCCTGGCCAACAAGATAAAACCCTGTCTTTACTAAAAATACAAAAATTAGTTGGGCATGGTGGCACACACCTGTAGTCCCAGCTACTCAGGGGGCTGAAACAGGAGAACTGCTTGAACCTGGGAGGCGGAGGTTGCAGTGAGCTGAGATCACACCAGTGCACTCCCACCTGGGCAACAGAGTGACACTCTATCTCAAAATAAATAAATAAATAGCAATATATTTTTCTAGAGTACTCGCATAAATATGTCATTTATATTCCCATGCAAATACATGAAATTTAAGCATGATTTTATTTTTAAAATGTATTTTTAAATAAAAACTTTTATAGTTTAAAGCCAGAGAGACCTAGATTCAAAATCTGATTCTATAAGTTTTTAGTTGGCTAACTCTGTGTAAGTGGCTTAATTGCTCTGCACCTCAATTTCTTTCTTTCTTTTTTTTTCTCAGACTCCCAAAGTGCTGGGATTACAGGCGTGAGCCACCACGCCTGGCCTGCACCTCAGTTTCTTTATTTGTAAAATTTATAAAATGAGGAAAACAGTCCCTATCCCCTATGATTATAAAGATTAGTGATAATATTAAGCAAAGCACACAGCACGGCACCTAGCAAATAGTAGATGCTCAATAAACAGAGGATGTGTTGACAATAGTTGCAGTAGCAAATGTTGCTGCTGTTGAAATTACTAAGAAAATATAAATTTTTGCCACTCATGTGAAAAGGCAGAAAGTGGTATATTAATCCTTGATGTGTCTGATTCACAGGTCCCTGGCCAATTCTTGCAAAGGTCTTTCCACCATCTTTGTGCCTCTTCAATGACTTTATATTCCTGAAGTTGAGAACTCACAAGGGCTGTTCACAAACAGGACAAATGCCATGTGAACACACCGTCATTCAGTTGTAGCCACCCAATCCCACTCCTCACCTGGTCTCCCTTTGACTCTGTGTGAAGCTATCCCCTACACTCATCTCCAGCCCTGACTTCTACCCAAATTCACCCACGTTTCTCCACTTCTTAGCTCAAATTCAGCCACCAGGCCTGGTGGGCACCAGGACAGGCAGGCATGGCTGGATAGAGGGGAAGGTGGCTGGACCAATAGTGCCTCAAAGAAGGGTCTGTGTTCCTTGCAGAGCAGTTTGCCCATTCTACCTCAATTGGGCCTCAGCACATACAATCGCCATTGCATTATGACTCACACATAAGGCAAATCATCTTTTAGGAAAGGAAACCAAAATTTGGAAATGAAACTAAGGGCAAGGCAGCCAAGAAACAGGGAACAGAGGCAAAAGGCAGAGAGGCTTATAGCCAGAGACCACAGGACTTGGTGCAAAGGTCTGTTTCTAAAACGAGGGCCAAAATTCCTAAGTGTTAGAAAGGAAATTTTGATCTGGAAAACACTAAATTAAATAGCTTTCTGATGGCGATGCAAAGTTACGAATGGCCTCTTCCCACTATGCAACACCTTCTTCCCACTTTCTCCGTTTACTGAACTTTTCTCCTGTTGTTTCTCTCCCATTTCATCTCCAGCATATCTTCACCTTATTTTCACCTTGTCTCTGCTTTCCTACAAGAAGAGTCTTGTTACACATTCAACTTTCCCAGAAATGGAGCACTGTGGTTGTAAAGAGAAATAAAAATATGTTCATCATGAATTTGAAGACCAAAATTATCATGGAAATCTTCCACTTGGGGATAAGGTTGGAGTGGAAAGAAAATATAGAGTAAATTCATCTTATTTATTTATATATAAATTCATTCATTTATTTACAAATATCTATTGCCTGCTATGAACTAAGTATTGTTCCTAGAGTTGGGGATGGCCTGGGGTAGGGCAGGTAGGAGAAACAGACAGAGTCCCTGTCCTCATGGAGCTCACATTCTAGCAAGGAGAGAAAAGACAGACAGTGGTGAGTACAATAAAGGAAATAAAGATGATAGGCAGCATGATGTCACCTAGGAATCAAGAATCATTTGACATACTTAGTTTGAAACATCTATTAGTGATCTCACATAGCAATATCAAGTCTAGAGTGAGGGGAGAGATCAGGACTGAAAATACAAATTTGAGCATTGTCTACAAAGAGATGGGGAAGGAGAATAGAGTTAAGGGTGCTTGCAAGAAAATCTTAAGAATAAAATCTTTCAAAATCAAAGATACAAAGATGAACGAATATAATCTGTCTGTTATGAACTGAATATTTGTGTCACCCCCAAATTCATGTTAGAATCTTAACCCCCAATGTGATAGAATTAGGAGTTTGAGCCTTTGAGAGTTAATGAGGTCATTAATGGGACTAGTCATAAATGGGACTAGTGCCCTTATATAAAGGACCCCAGAGAGCTCTCTCAGCCTCTTTCCACAATGGGAGGATCCAAGAAGCAGGCAGTATACAACTCTTGCCAGAACCCAACTATGTTGGAACCCTGATTTGAGACTTCCAACTTCCAGAAGTGTAAAAAATATGTTTCTGTTGTTGATAAGCCACCCAGTTTATGGTATTTTGTTATAGCGCCCAAACTAAGAAACTATTATAAGAAATGATGCTTTATGGAGATACCATCTCACACCAGTTAGAATGGCAATCATTAAAAAGTCAGGAAACAACAGGTGCTGGAGAGGATGTGGAGAAATAGGAACACTTTTACACTGTTGGTGGGACTGTAAACTAGTTCAACCATTGTGGAAGTCAGTGTGGCGATTCCTCAGGGATCTAGAACTAGAAATACCATTTGACCCAGCCATCCCATTACTGAGTATATACCCAAAGGATTATAAATCATGCTGCTATAAAGACACATGCACACATATGTTTATTGCGGCACTATTCACAATAGCAAAGACTTGGAACCAACCCAAATGTCCAACAATGATAGACTGGATTAAGAAAATGTGGCACATACACACCATGGAATACTATGCAGCCATAAAAAATGATGAGTTGATGTCCTTTGTAGGGACATGGATGAAGCTGGAAACCATCATTCTCAGCAAACTATCGCAAAGACAAAAAACCAAACAGCCCCATGTTCTCACTCATAGGTGGGAATTGAACAATGAGAACACATGGACACAGGAAGGGGAACATCACACACCGGGGCCTGTAGTGGGGTGGGGGTAGTGGGGAGGGATAGCATTAGGAGATATACCTAATGTTAAATGACGAGTTAATGGGTGCAGCACACCAACATGGCACATGTATACATATGTAACAAACCTGCACGTTGTGCACATGTACCCTAAAACTTAAAGTATAATTTAAAAAAAAATGATGCTTTATGCTCAAAGGTGTTTTTTGCAGTATTCTAATACCATTAATAAGTGGGAAACACTAAACGTCTATTTGAGAGCAGTTGAATACTTTGTCACAATGAAATATTATGCAGTAATTCGAAGTCTTTACTAAGACTTCTGATAGAAAAGGGATACATTTATATTATAATACTAAGTGATAAAAACTACAAACCTATCTATATAGCATGATAACAATATATAAAAAATATCAATAAAAAAAGAACAGGACAGCTACTCGAGAGGCTGAGGCAGAAGAATCACTTGAACCTGGGAAGCAGAGGTTGCAGTGAGCCAAGATTGTGCCACTGCACTCTGGCCTGATGACAGAGAGAGACTCCATCTCAAAAAAAAAAAAAAAAAAAAAAAAGAACAGGAGAAATTACATAAAAGGGTAACCATAGTAATTTTTTTTAAAGTCTTTTCTATATTGTCTACAATTCCCATTTTATTAATCAGCTTAGGCTAGGCTGATGGTGAGGCAACAAAAAACACTGGACATCTCAATGGCTTAACACATAAAATTTATTTCTCACCCAAAGTCAGCTGTAAGTTAGGTGCAGTAGATAATAAAAGATAACCATTATTAATACTTTCCCACTCTGTGACATATGCTACTCATTGCACCAACGTTAGGAGTCTAATTCCCCTCCCTTTGAACCTGAACTGGCCTTAGTGACTTGCCTTGACCAACAGAATATGGCAGCAAGGATGTTCCAGGACATCCAGGGGTAGCTTGTAAGAAGCTTTTTGAATCCCATCTTGGTCTCTTGGAATACTCACTCTTGGGATGCATCTGGTGGGAACCCAGAACCCATGCAGTGAGACTCTAAAGCCACATAGGTGCTCCAGTTGACAGCTTCCTTACACTCAGTCAATAGCCAGCATTAATTACAGCCAGACAAGTGAGCCACTTTGGAGATCCAGATCAGATGAGTTGTTAGGGTGACTGCAGCTCCAGTCAACACCTGACGGCAATCAGATGAAAGACCCAAGCAAGAACTGCCGAGCTTAGCCCAGTCAGCCGACACAGAATCATAAGAGATAATAGTAAATTGTTGCTTGAAACTACTAAGTTTTTTGGGGAGTTTGAACACATGGAAATCAATAACCAGAACATCTACTGGCTCTCCAAAGCAGCTGATATCCATGCAGTGACTCAGTGATCCAGGCTGCTTTGTTCTTACAACTCCACCATCTTAATATCTGGCCTCCACTATCACTCTGAAGGAGAAGAGAGAACTGAAAGTTTGCATAGGAATTTTTGCTGCCTTGGCCCGGAAGAGACATATGTCATTTTTGTCCACAGCCTAGTCATACGGCCTGTCTAACTAAAAGGAAAGCTAAGAAGTGCAGTCTTCCTGCACCCAGGAAGGAGAAAAAATGATACACTGGTGAACACTGGTAATATCTGTCAAGTCTGTGCATTGCGTTCACTTTTTAATTGTGAAATATTCCAAACATAACAAAAGTGCAATGCCCAAAATAACAGGCATTCATCTACTCACTATCCAGACATTTAACTTGTACAACCACACACACAAAAAAAGCTTTATTTGTAAAAAGATTATTGGATATTAAATATCCCTGGAGAGCTTTCTGTGGATGTTGGGTGATAATCGCTGACTAAAGTCTTTCAAAGATTTCAAGTTCAGACTCTTTAAAATCCACTCTCACTCCTCAGCCCACCTTTCCAGGGACCTCACAGTTTTTCTACCAGTACACTCAATAGAGAGTGTTGGTATTTTTTGCCTCCTTGCATCCATTTACTCTTTCTAAAACAACACCCTAATTTTCCTTTGCATAACCATTCAAACCCACTCTCAGCAAGGCAAGCATAATCTGGATGGGATTAATTCCCCCGCAACTCCAGTGATGAGCTGATCTATGCTCAGCAGGGTATCCCATGCTCCTGGATACAGCCACCAGTCCCATTAGTATGAAGCCCAGGAATTTATCTGACATCTGAGGGCAGAGAGGTTCTCTCTCTTGCTGTCATGAACAAGGAAACATATGATCCCAGGACTGTTGGCATCTGCTTTGGGACTCTGAAGGAAGACTGCCCTAGGATGCAGTTCATACAGTGGAAGCCAGAACAAAGAGAGGAAAAGAAACAAGATCCTTAATCAAGCCTTATCTAGAGCCTGAACTGCCTCCTGACTTTTTAGGTGAGACCATGAATTCTTTTTATTGTTTAAGTCAGCGTAAGTTGGGTTTTCTGTTGATTTCAACCAAGGCTTCTAACTAATAGTGTCAACACAATAATCCAGTCACACAGAGTCACTTTCAGTTCTCTTAAATACATGTACTTTTTACTTCAAAATATGGTTAAACTCAGCCTTCAATGTGGTTAGGCTGGGCACAGTGGCTCACACCTGTAATTCCAGCACTTTGGAAGGCCGAGGCAGGAGGATCACTTGAGTGCAGAAATTCAAGACTAGCCTGAGCAACACAGCAAGACCCCGTCTCTAAAAAAAAGAAAAATTAGCTGGTTGTGTTGGCATTCACCTGTAGTCCCAGCTACTTGGGGGGCTGAGGTGGGAGGATCGCTTGAGCCCAGGGGGTTGAGGCTGCAGTGAGCCATGATCGCACCACTGCACTCCAGCCTGGATGACAGAGCAAGATCCTATCTCAAACAAAACAAAACAAAAAAGTAGCGAGTACAGTCACTTGTAAAAAGCATGATCCAGGCCCCAGTGATCATGGCTGAAGAACAAATCACCATCTGCGGCATCTAGAAAAAAAAAAAAAAACTTTAAAAACTGAGAATATTCCAGCTGTTGAGCATTCCTTAAGTGTTGGCTTGTAGACATCTGTCACTTTTGTTTGTTCGTTTTTTTGGTTTTGTTTTGTTTTGTTTTGTTTTGAGATGGAGTTTCGCTCTTTCGCCCAGGCTGGAGTGCAGTGGCGCGATCTTGGCTCACTGCAACCTCCGCCTCCCCGGTTCAAGCGATTCTTCCGCCTCAGCCTCCCGAATAGCTGGGATTACAGACACGTGCCACCACCCCCGGCTAATTTGTGTGTTTTTGGTAGAGACGGGTTTTCACCATGTTGGTCAGGCTGTTCTCTAACTGCTGACCTCAGGGGATCCACCCGCCTCAGCCTTCCAAAGTGCTGAGATTACAGGCGTGAGCCACCGCGCCCGGCGGACATGTGTCATTTTAGGGCACCTGCCTGAACAAGTGAGCAGCTCTCACACTCTGAGGTCACACCTTCTCTCAAAACTATCTGCCAAGCAGTCATGTTTGGAGCAACTGAAAAGATACCTTGAAGCTGCGTAAAGACCCTCATCCGAGGTCTGACAGCTCGCGTATGTGAAATACGTGGCTAGAAAAGCCTCGACTGAGTCAAAGTTATGCTTCTAACTTCCTGATGCAGTCGTTTGAATGGAGAAGTGTGCGTTCCTCTGAGTATGTGCAAGAGAGCTCCAACCAGTGTGGCTGAGTCAACTGGAGAAAGTTTCAAGGACTGAAAAAAAAAAAAAGAAGGGAAATGGAGAAACAGTTTTCAATCAGAGAAGCAAGACTCTTCCTTCTCCTGTTATAACTCTGTCATCTTCTCACCACATTTAAACAGCTAGAGAAGTCTCCAAGAAATGATAATATAACATTTAAAAGTTGCCAAGGGATGCCTTCCAGAAATAGCATAGTAAGTGGAACATGTGGCTTGCAGTCATCTCAGTCATACAGATCCATCTTTTCTTGGGTCACTATAATTTTTCCTTCTCTCCTTCCTAAATAAGACCCTTCAGCCTTCTTGGTGCTGACAAATATTGAGGTGTTCAAGACAAACTTTTTAGACTCCAGTAGAAATGATGAATAAATTAGATTGATTAAACATAAAAAGAATTTTTGAAGAGTTGGCAATTTGGCAAGTTGAGTACATGATTTGCTTGGCCCTTCAAATGCAAGCCTATCTCAATAGACACTTTTTTTTTTTTTTTTTAAACAGTCTCGCTCTATCCCCCAGGCTGGAGTGCAGTGGTGTGATCTCAGCTCACTGCAACCTCCGCCTCCCAGGTTCCAGCGATTCACCTGCCTCAGCCTCCCGAGTAGCTGGGATTACAAACACCTGCCACCACGCCTGGCTAATTTCGAGACGCTTTCACGTATTATTTTCTGCAAATCTCAGGAGAACATTTATATTAGCTTATTTTTCATTTCAGATCTAATTTGAAGCACTGGTATCAAAGTCCATTTCACAAATCTCAACAATATGTTAAAGAAAACCATACCTGACTTTTTTGTTAATGTTGCTATTTTAATCTCACAGAAAGAAAAATATGGGAAAAGGAAAGAACATAATTATCACCTGTATATACCGGGTGAATGAAAGAGATTATAGAACAGTGGTAGAAAATATATACAGAAAGTCAGCAAGATGACTCATAAGTACAGTCACTGAAATAGCTCAGCTTTTGTATACGGTGTGACAGATCTGCCAACAACTAACTAATGGAATAGAATAATGAATCACTTGGGACTAAAGTTATTTAAAAGTTCCTGTGAAGTACACCTCCATAGGCAGTTCCAGAAAATGCCATTGACTTTCAGCAAACATGGCTTTTGGTATAAGCGGGGAAATCACAGGAAAGTCACTTACTGGTGAACTCACAGCACCAGCTGCTTTTGCGGTCCTGTGGGCCTCCCTCACATTCACCTCCACCTGCCTGTCAGGGAACCACTGGGGTTCAGTGGTTAAACTTCTGGGACCATGCCTCTGGCTAAGGGTGAGGCACCCACTCCCCACCCTTCTCCTTTCTTCTCTTGTGCAAGCCTCAGGCCACTGAGGGCCCTTCTCCCTTTAAAGACAACACCATTCATTTTTTGTTTGTTTGTTTTATTATTATTATACTTTAAGTTTTAGGGTACATGTGCATATTGTGCAGGTTAGTTACATACGTATACATGTGCCATGCTGGTGTGCTGCACCCACTAACTCGTCATCTAGCATTAGGTATATCTCCCAATGCTATCCCTCCCCCCTCCCCCCATCCCACAACAGTCCCCAGAGTGTGATGTTCCCCTTCCTGTGTCCATGTGATCTCATTGTTCAATTCCCACCTGTGAGTGAGAATATGCGGTGTTTGGTTTTTTGTTCTTGCGATAGTTTACTGAGAATGATGGTTTCCAATTTCATCCATGTCCCTACAAATTTTGAGACGGAGTCTCTCTCTGTCCCCTAGGCTGGAGTGCAGTCGTGCCACCTCAGCTCACCGCAACCTCTCTGCCTCCCGGGTTCATGTGATTCTTGCCAGTGGCACTCATTTTATCTCTGACTTCTCTTCTCTAGTCCAAGGATGGAGGTGCAGATTGCTTGTCCAATGCAGTCTTTGCTCTTTCCTAACAAAAGCACTTATTTCCTTTCCTGGCTAAGCCTTCACTGCAGATGACCTCAGGAAGGCAAGCAGGGCTTGAAGGCAAGAAGAGTCAATGCAGGAAAGCCTCAGGGCTTAAGAAATCCCGCCAAGTTCTCACCTCCCGGAACCTGGATACAATTCCTGACCCCTGGAAGGTCCCTCAGACTCTGCGTACTCTGCACCTCACTGTATCATAAGCTCTGAGCTCTCCTCTCCCTGGGATGGGGATGGCGCAGAGTTGATCATTCCTCCATGAGACCTCCCTCCCAGCGCTTATACCTGCAGCTCCAGTGGGGACTGAATGATGAGTCAGCTACTATCCCCTCTGGCACCATTTGTCTGAAGTAAATAATTTAATTTTCGAAGGCCCCTAGACTGATGACACATCTTTTTTAAGTATTCCCTACTCCATAGAGAAATGATTCTCTCCAGGATTTTCCTCACACTCCCCACAAAAAATCAGACTAAAGTCAGGCCACCAGGTTTCCAGCCCTTCCTCTGCCACTTGCTTACAACCTGTGTGACCTCCGGCACATCACTGAACTTCAGTCAGTCTCAGTTTCCTCACCCGTAGGACTGTGGTGGTCTCAAAGAGATCGTCTACTCAGCACAGGCCCTGGTATACAGTGAGAATTAACACCAGGAGTCTTGCCAATATCTGCTGGCCAGGATCCAGCACCTAAGGGGGCAATGCCTGGCCTGGCAGTGGGCCATCTGGACTTTGCTCCATCGTGGCAACTGGCGTCCATTCAGATTTGTCAGCCCATGGGGCATCCTGGTTGCTAAACATTTTTAATCTTAGTGCTGTTTGTTTTTAATCTTAATGTTTGTACTGTGTGTGCTAAAAGCAAAGTCACACAGAGAAATATATACTAATGGGTCATCAAAGCACTGGGGAGGAGAGAGAGGAATCGGCAGGAGCATGGAGGGACAGGAGGGAGCAGGATGGCAAGGTGTCTTTTGTCTGCAACGTGGTAGGCAAACAGGATCTTAATGGTTTATGGTGTAACAGAGGAGTGTAGGGAAGATTGTTGTGTTGGTTTCCTGTGGCTGCCAGAACAGATTGTCACAAACTGAATGGCCTAAAGACAATAGAAATCCACTCTCTCATAGTTTTAGAGGCCAGAACGTTCAAGCTCTCTCTGAAGTCTCCAGGAGAGAATCCTTCCTTGCCTTTCTAGCTTCTGGTGACTGTAGGAGTTCACTGGCTTGTGTCAGTGGAGCTCCAGTCTCCCCCGTGTGTCTCTGCATCTTAAATCTCCTCTGCCTTTCTCTTATAAGGACACCTGTCACTAGATTAGGGCCCACCCTAAACCCATGATGATCTCATCTTGAGACCTTTCATGTCATTGTATCTGCAAAGAACGGTTTTTTAAATAAGGTCAAATCCACAGGTTCTGGGGGTTCAGATTTGAACATATCTTTCTGAGGGCCACTATTCAACCCATTACAATTACATACAAAAGCAGAGGCCTTTGCACTCTTAGTCTTTAACTTAAGCACATATGCAAAGCCCCTTTGGCCATGTAAAATAGCATAATTAGGTTCCAAGGATTAGGAGGTGGACATCTTTGAGGGGCCATTATTCTGTCCGCCATAGTTGGAAGCATGGGTTTCTTTCTAAGAACAGTAGGAATCAATGGGAGGTTTTAAGCAGAGGAGTGAAACCAGCAGAATCAGGATGCAAAAGCAGAAGAACCATACTGGAAGCAGGGACAAAAGGCTTATCCATAGCTGGAGGATATAAAGTGAACATAGGAGCCCGCTAAACAGTATTTTAAAACTCATATAATATATGGTCATTTGTATGATAATGGTAAATAATATGTTTTTATTCTTTTATAGTCTGGGCTTGGTCTTTCTCAGTTAATCCTCTGAGGTTTTTATAAGGTCCTGAGTTCCAGGACCCCTTTGGTTATTGTTAGAGGTGGACAGCTGGCCATGGTGGATCCCAGATGACTATTTTGGTCAAGATACTGGTGCCCACGATGAGCAGGCAGGTGTGTGTGTGCCTGGAGGAATGCTGCTTTGGCAGGCACATTTCCACAACACCTTACCAAGGCACTACCTACACGAGCAAGATGTTGGAACCATCTCAAGAACAAGCAAATGGCTAAACAGCAAGAGGAAAGAATGTCATCAAACTATAATCCAGGAATGTGCAGTATGTGGCTTCTTGGAACCACTTTATAAACACCAAGTAAAAAGAGTGCACAGAATCGATCATACTGAGATTACACGTGTATTTAAAGGATACATATGTCAGTAAGGATTTGAATAGAGTTTTATATTTTCTGTGATGTTTGTGAAGTGTATTCCAACTTGTCTGTGCATCTGGCAACAGCTTCCTGTCTCTGATCTTGCATAGAGTTGCTCAGAATTGCCTGGAATGCCTTCCAATGACTCCTTTTGGCTTGCCTCTTCTTGCTCCTGTCTTCACTGGCCTTCTAATCTCATTCCTCTCTGCTTCATCTCTCCCTACCTATCTCAATGCTACTTGTTAGAATAAAAGTCTTGAGTTCGCTGGCTACCCCCTGGCTGCTCTTGGTGTCTCGGCTCCCCTGTCATTAAGTGTGGGTAAGAACCTCTGGCTTCCTGCCCAGGCCTTTAGGGTCAATCAAGCCAGGCCAGCCCACAAGGCTTCACCTCCAAGGAGGGGGATCAGCGAGTTGGGATGATAATTCCTTTCTAGCAATGCATTGCTTGGAGAAGTTACAAGTGATTTACCAATCAGCATAGGAAAGACTGCATTCAGCCAGAAATTTTCCATAGCAACAGAAATCTTGGAGCTGACTCTGAATTGTGGGATCCAGAAAGGACATTATCCAATAACACCTTGATGGAGCAAAATAAAGAGGGGAGGCAAATTTTCCTTTAGAAGATTGGATAACAACATGGTTCTAATGTAGAATTATCCATTATATCAATTTAACAGTTACAGAGGAGGCAGAAGAACATAAAAATTTAAAAGCACAAACTCTGGGCCCAGATTTTCTGGATTCAAATCCCAGCTTTGCTACTTACTGGCTGTTGTTTTTCAATCAGTGGCTTAACTTCTCTTTATCTTTGTTGCTACACCTCCACAATCAGGATAAGAATAGTATCTGCCTTATTGGGTTTTTTGAAGACTATAGAAAGCACTTAGAATAGTGCCTGGAACATAGAAGCACTCAATGTATGTTAGCTAACTTATTTTTACTGGAATGTGTCCAACACTGTACATCACTGATATTTGAAATGGCTTTGCTAGCCCATCTGGCTTCTTAAGTAAGTGGCACCCATGAACCATACCCTACAGAGCAATGAAATTGTGCCTGTAGATAAAGAGCTCCACAAAGGCATCTTGACAGTTGCTGGGTAAAAAGCTGAAGCATGTTCTGCCTGGTGCAGTTTGTTGTAGGCGAGATACTAATGAGATCACAGCTGTAGAATTAAATACATTCATTCTGTTCTGTGACTCCAAACTAAAGTATTTGCTCCTCCAACCATCTCTCAGGCATATGCCACTGCTCCTAAGGACAGCCAGTCACCATCATTGGCTATTATAGGACTAAGAGCACCATTATTGGAGAAACTGCCACAGGTCCACAGATAACACATAATGGATCATTAGAATATTCCTCCTAAATTAATAAGAATGCTTTTTACCACAATCCAGGGGATCAAATTAAGGTAATTCAAAGATGATAAAGAGGAGAAGAATACTTATAAGAACATACTGGTACACAACTTCACAATTTTTTTGTAAGTGTAGCAAAGTATTCCATACAAAGAGGCAGAAACAGACTCACCTGCATGATCTCGGATAAGTCATTTTCACTTTACCAATCTGAATTTCAGTTTCCTTATCAGCAAAGCAGGCAGGGGCTAGTCTAGGTGACCCAATGTAATCACAAAGGTCCTTATAAGAGAGAAGTAGGAAGTCCAGAGTCAGAAAAGGAAGATGTGATGATATAAGAAGAGGTCAAAGTGATATGGGGTCATGAGAAGACAAATGGACAGACATATGGGTTCATCATGAAGGTCTCTCTCTCTCTCTCTCTCTCTCTCTCTCTCTATCTATCTATCTAACGCTACATCTCTATCTATGATTACATTTTCTGCAAATCCACGCATTTATACATCTTATCATGGAATTGTAAGGCATTCTCTGAAGAGTACAAAGATTTCCAGATGCTCTTCCAATGGATAAACAGCCTGCATGGGAAGAAGTTAGATGAAGCTAAGAAAGAAGTTTGACTCAGGCCGTAAAGATCATACAGACCTTACAGACATCTCTGGATATTATTCTGTTGGCAGCACAAATCCATCAAATGTTTTACATTTGTTAATCGTTTATTTTGTTTTGTGAATTCTAAAAACGTTATAAAAGGACATGCCTGTACATTATGTTGGACAAATAGACTTTGATTTCTATTGCCCAACTAACTAATATTAAAGTTTTTGGAAGGACATTTTTAACAAGTGAGCTGAGAAGCTTTGGGGGGATTTAGTCTGAGGTGTTTGTTATCCTGAAAGAGCTTGGAGCTGGGAAAAATCCTGCAAATGGGATAAACTGTAAATTGTTTCTATATCTAACTCCACCCAAACATCACAAAATTTTTCACATATTGAGAAAAATGAAAAGAATAGTACAATGAATACCTGTATTCCACTTAGGTTCAATGATTAAAATGTTGCTACATCCACTCTATTTATCTATCTATTTTTATTGTGGTAAAATATACTTAACATAAAATTTACCATTTTAACCATTTAACTAATCAATATTGGAATCCCTGCTTTCAATTCTTTTGTGTACATACTCAGAAGTGGAATTACTAGATAAAATTGTAATTCTACATTTAATTTTTTGAGGAACTGACATACTGTTTTCCATAGCAGCTGTACCAATTTACATCCCACCAGCAAAGCACAAAGGTTCCAATTTCCCCATATCCACGCCAACACTGGTTGTTAAATGGACAGTTCAGTGGTCTTAAGTACATTCACACTGTGTGCAACCATCGCCACTATCCATCTCCAGAACTTTTTCATCATCCCAAGCAGAAACTTTCTACCCATTAAACAATAACTCCCAATTTGTCCCTTCCCCCAGGCCCTGGTAAGCACTGTTCTACTTTTTGTCTCTAGGTATTTGACTATTCTTCATACCTCATATAGGTGGAATCATGCCATATTTGTCCTTTTGTATCTGGCTTATTTTACTTAGTACAATGTCTTTGAGGCTCATGCATAATATGGCATGTATCAGAATTCCATCCCTTTTTAAGGCTAGGAAATATCCCATAGTATGTATGTACCACACTTTATTTAGCCAATTATTAATCAATAGATATTTGGGTTGTTTCCAAAACATTCCAAATAGTGCTGCTATGAACATGGGTGTAAAATATTTGAGTCCCTGCCTTCAATTCTTTAGTGTACATACCCAGAAGTGGAATTACTAGATAAAATTGTAATTCTATATTTAATTTTTTGAGTAACTGCCATACTGCTTTCCATAGCAGCTGTCCATTTTACATCCCACCAGCAAAGTACAAGGATTCCAATTGCCCCATATCCCACACCAACACTGGTTATGTACTGGTTTTTTGTCGTTGTTGTTTTTCTATGGTAGCCATCCTAATGGGTGTGAAGTGCCAGCCGATGTTTCCAAGATCATTTGGGTGGGAGGACTTGCCAACACAGCCTAACCAAACTCATGTGGCCCAGACAGTTGAATACTAGGAGGGCATCTTTCTCCATCTACTTCTGGTACTATCGAAGCTCCTAGGTCACAAATCCAAATGACTCCAGGTCATTCAGTTATACCCTCCCAAGCTCCTCTAGCTCCTGAAAGGCAGACTCATTCTGTGCCTTACATATGTCCTTGATGACTTCCTTGGTACCTTTAAAAACTCAATAATCTGTACTTACATTAACATTTTAAAAAAACACTTTTTAATAATAGCTTTACTCAGATACAATTATCATAAGATAAAATTCACCTTTTCAGAGTAACACTTTTTTTTTTATTACACTTTAAGTTCTAGGATACAAGTGCAGAACGTGCAGGTTTGTTACATAGGTATACACGTGCCATAGTGGTTTGCTGCACCCATCAACCCGTCATCTACATTAGGTATTTCTCCTAAAGCTATCCCTTCCCTGTCCTCCTACCCCTCCGACAGGCCCCGGTGTGTGATGTTCCCCTCCCTGTGTCCATGTGTTCTCATTGTTCAACTCCCACTTATTAGTGAGAACATGCATTGTTTGGTTTTCTGTTCTTGTGTTAGCTTGCTGAGAATGATGGTTTTCAGCTTCATCCATGTCCTTGCAAAGGACATGAACTCATCCTTTTTTATGGCTGTATAGTATTCCATGGTGCAGCCACATTTGCTTTATCCAGTCTATCATTGCTGGGCATTTGGGTTGGTTCCGAGTCTTTGCTATTGTGAACAGTGCTGCAAAAAACATATGCATGCATGTGTCTTTATAGTAGAATGATTTATTATCCTTTGGGTATATACCCAGTAATGGGTTGCTGGGACAAATGGTATTTCTGGTTCTAGATCCTTGAGGAATCACCACACTGTCTTCCACAATGATTGAACTAATTTATACTCCCACCAACAGTGTAAAAGTGTTCCTACTTCTCCACATCCTCTCCAGTATCTGTTGTTTCCTGACTTTTTAATGATCGCCATTCTAACTGGTGTAAGATGGTATCTCATTGTGGTTTTGATTTGCATTTCTCTAATGACCAGTGTTGATGAACTTTTTTTCATATGTTTGTTGGCCACATAAATGTCTTTTTTTGAGAAGTGTCTGTTCATATCCTTTGTCCACTTTTTGATGGGGTTGTTTGGTTTTTTTCTTGTAAATTTGTTTAAGCTCCTTGTAGATTCTGGATATTAGCCCTTTGTCAGATGGATAGATTGCAAAAATTTTCTCCCATTCTGTAGGTTGCCTGTTCACTCTGATGGTAGTTTCTTTTGCTGTGCAAAAGCTCTTTCACTTAATTAGATCCCATTTGTCAATTTTGGCTTTTGTTGCCATTGCTTTTGGTGTTTTCGTTATGAAGTCTTTGCCCATGCCTCTGTCCTGAATGATATTGCCTAGGTTTTCTTCTAGGGTTTTTATGGTTTTAGGTCTTATGTTTCAATCTTTAATCCATCTTGAGTTAATTTTTGTATAAGGTTTAAGGAAGGGGTCCAGTTTCAGTTTTCTGCATATGGCTAGCCAGTTTTCCCAACACCATTTATTAAATAGGAATCCTTTCCCCATTTCTTGTTTTTGTCAGGTTTGTCAAGGATCAGATGGTTGTAGATGTGCGGTATTATTTCTGAAGCCCCTATTCTGTTCCATACACTTTTTTTTTTTTTTTTGAGATGGAGTCTTGCTCTGTTGCCCAGGCTGGAATGCAGTGGGATGATCTCAGCTGACTGCAAGCTCCGCCTCCCATGTTCACGCCATTCTCCTGCCTCAGCCTCCCGGGTAGCTGGGACCACAGGTGCCTGCCACCATGCCTGGCTAATTTTTTGTATTTTTAGTAGAGATGGGGTTTCACCATGTTAGCCAGGATGGTCTTGATCTCCTGACCTCATGATCCGCCCACCTCGGCCTCCCAAAGTGCTGGGATTACAGGCATGAGCCACCGCACCTGGTCCATACACATATTTTTAAAGACAACTTTCTGGTTCCTATGATTAAGATGGTTGCCCCTAGGCCAGGCAAGGTGACTCATGCCTGTAATCCCCGCACTTCAGGAGATCAAGGCAGGAGGATCACTTGAGCACAGCAGTTCAAGACCAGCCTGGGCAACATAGCAAAACTCCATCTCTACAAAAAATACAAAAATTGGCCAGGTGTGGTGGTTCACGCCTGTAATCCCAGCAATTTGGGAGGCCAAGGCAGGCAGATCACGTGATCAGGAGTTCAAGACCAGCCTGGCCAACATGGTGAAACTCCGTCTCTAGTAAAAATACAAAAAATTAGCTGAACATGGTGGCGCATGTCTGTAATCCCAGGTACTCAGAAGGCCGAGGCAGGAGAATTGCTTGAGCCCAGGAGGCACTCCAGCCTGGGCAATAGAGCCAGACTCCATCTCAAAAACGAAACAAAACAAAACAAAAATTAGCTGGATGTGGTGGCACGCACCTGTAATCCCAGCTACTTGGGATGCTGAGATGGGAGGATCTCTGGAGTCCAGAAGGTTGAGGCTGCAGTGAGCCATGATTGCACCACTGCACTCCAGCCTGGGCAACAGAGTGAGACCCTGTCTCAAAAAAAAAAAAATGCGCCTAAATTCAGGGTCACTTTTTAGAAGAGGAGTATTTTGTGATAGAGCAACAGTGTGCTATACCTCAGCTAGACATCTGCTTACAGGCATGGCCAGCTGTCTTGGTCAGGCTCTCTTTGTTGATGGAAACAAAGACTTATTTATTCCTTAGAAAAAGGCCATTTATGATAAAGTTCTTTGTGAACAGAAGCTAGGAAGCCATCTGGAACTGAGGCTACTTTTTCTTTCTCTTGGGCTACGTGATCTCTCTCTCTCTCTCTCTCTCTCTCTCTCTCTCTCTCTCTCTCTCTCTCTGTGTGTGTGTGTGTGTGTGTGTGTGTTTCTCATAGCATCATTGCTTCTCTGTGCACTTCTGTTACACTCAAAAATTTGACTTGCTCTTACCCTCCATGGCCCCAATTCTAATCTTCTGTCTTTCTGGGCATCCTTTTGTTTCCTGATCCTGTCACTAACAACTTTATTCTCTCAGAGAGAAACTCTGGCTGCCGCAGCTCATCTTTCCCAGCCAGGCCACATGATCAGTGCTGACCAACCAATGTAGTGCTGCTCGAGGGTCAGGTGCCCAGCCTGGAACAATCTACCTTGCTGTGAGGGGGCTGCAGTCACATAACAAAAGAAACACAGAGGAAAGGGTGAAGAGAGCCCAATGGCAACTGCACACACAATGGAGTGTGTTACAGTGGGATGAGGAAGCCAAAGATTAGGAAGCATGACTCTTTTAGAATGGGCAGTTATAATGGCCTTTGCTCCAGAGGGGACACTATATCTTCCAAGGCTGTTCACTACATAAACATCCTTAGACGAGGCTGAGAAAGACAGTCCAGGACAAAAGGAAAGTCAGTACCTTTGTGTTTAAAGGTACTGACTTTGTGTTTAAGTGCAACTGTAAGATGCCTACTTTCATAGGGAGTTACAAATGTAAATGCGTACAGGGACCAGGCAAGTAGGTGTGTGAGCGAGGTGACTAGATATAAGAACTGGGAGTAGTGGGGATTGCAGAAGATAGGAGAGGCCATGCTCTATTTGAAACTGGCAGCCAATACTCAGTTCCAACTGATTATTTCCACGGAAGAATGAGGATCCCAAGTTGTTTCACCTCTTTTTTCCCAAAAGAACTAGGAAATGTGAATTTTTATGTGCTATATCACCCACCCTTTAAATGTTGGTAATGAATTAGAATTTAAAATACAGGTGCAGTGGCTCACAGCTTAATCCCAGTACTTTGGGAGGTGGAGGCAGGAGGATTGCTTGAGGTCAGGAGTTTGAGACCAGCCTGGGCAACATAGTGAGACCTTGTCTCTATCACATTAAAAAATAAAAATAAAATAATGTTAAGTGGCCAAGAGAAAACCCGAAGAAGCAGTGGTTGGAACTGATGGAGCAGCCTTATAAAGGAAGAAGCAGGCTCTGATAGACACCTGATCTCCCCCAAGTGGGTAGTTAAAGCCCTGGTTGATCACAGCCTTAATGGTAAGCCCAATCAATTAAGAGAACAAAAAGCTAGGGATTGTGGAGAGAACTCTGCTAGAATCACAATCCTGTCCTCTTGCCCTACTCCAACTTCTTCTCCAAGAAAGAAAGAATAGCTTATTTTATTGGGAGTTCAGACAAAAGAACCATGCATGCCCGGACTGGCTCACTCCTATCCTTCTCTTTGAGATTTGCCTATCTCCAAAGAAAGTCACTGGATGTCTATGCCATATGTTTTACAGCAGCCAATCTACATAGCAAGAGGGGCAGGAGGTCAGGGAACAGGGTCCTGTGGGCTGTTTAACACTACCAGAGACCATGACACAGGGTCAGCCCCTGAATGTTATTCAATATGAACTTTTCTCAGTAATAAAGCTGACATTTTATTTGCCATCCTACTGATTTTTGAGACAATTTCTCAATTGTTTCTAAATTTGGTTAAGAAAAAGGTGTGGCATTTATTTATCCATTCCAACTCAAACAGGCATTATTATTATTTCCACTTTACAGGTGAGAAAACAGTCATTGATTGATCGAGCTATATCTGGCCCCATACTCTGTTCCTAACAACCACCAGTACAGTAGATTTTTGCCTGCCTATCAGCCATTTCTCCCTCTTCTGGTATCAACAGGTTGATTTTCCTTGGAATTTCCTCCATACATTTGACAGGGGTAAGGTTGACTCACTCACACCTAAGGGCTGACCAATCAGAGCCACAAAACCACCTGAACACTATGATTGGCTCAGGAACAAACATGTGACACAAGCTTGGCAAAACAGAGTCAAACTTAATCTGGCATAATGCTGGGGGACAAAAGTGCTCTCTTTGCATCGGGGTCACCAAAATGAAGGGCTAAAAGCCTGGAGTTGCCACCCACCATCTTGTCGTCATAAGGTACATGAGACTGTAGAGCCTGTAGAGAAAAAAAGGAAAGCAAAGTTGGTGTGCGGCTGTCAGTTTATTGCCTCTCAGCTCCATATTTACCCTTCATCGTTTGTTGAGCAAAAATCTAGCTGGGCCCCAAAGTATTTTTTTACTATTTGTCATGTTATTAAACTTTTTCAGTAGAGGGCGCTGAAGAGACACTGCAGAAGACATACAGTTTGCTTCCTGGTTCCAGTGTGTTCACTGGGAGCATGGCTGCTTCTCCAGTGTCCAGCTCTTGCAACACTGACAGCTCCTCTAGCACCTGGCTCCTTCAGTACCAGCAGCTTACCAGGGCACCTCCCTCAGGTACCCATGGGAAATACTTTCCCATGAATTGCTTTCCTGAGCATCCTAGAGATGAATTTCCAGCAAGTTCCAGGGAATAGATTTCTAGCAAGTTCCACTGACACTGCATAACAGCAACTCCTCTGTCAATCAATGAGACACAGCCATGTGCTCTTTGACAAGTTCTGGGTCTCAACCCAGGGGGTCAGGAGTGGGGGGCCAGCAGTAGCAGATTCTTCCTTAGGTGCTCTATCTCAGCCCTAGGAGAAGTAGTACTCCTTAAATCTGCTATTCCTGCATTCTTTCAAATTCTCTTTATTTCTTACTAGCCAATCCACTGTTATCCCAGCCCCCTGTTAATAGTTAATAATTCTTTAGATTGGCTGGGTGTGGTGGCTCCTGCCTGTAATTTCAGCACTTTGGGGGACCAAGGCATGTGGATCACCTGAGGTCAGGAGTTCAAGACCAGCCTGGCCAACATGGTGAAACCCCCAACTCTAGTACAAATACAAAAGTAGCTGGTTTGGTGGCGGGCACTGTAATCCCAACTACTTGGGAAGCTGAAGCAGGAGAATCACTTGAACCCGGGAGGTGGAGGTTGCAGTGAGCCGAGATCATGCCATTGCAGTCCAGCCTGGGCAACAAGAGTGAGACTCCATCTCAAAAATAAAAAAAAAAAAATACTTTTTTAGATTACACTTTTCCTAATGTTCAAATGATCACGTGGCTGCTCTCTCTTGATGGAACTGTGAATGACACAGATGGCAGGTGACACCAGGCCCTGATGGCACTGGCTGAGCCTGGATCCAGCTGGGTCAGAAGCTGCCTCTTCCTCTGCACTTTTCAGTTACAGAAGCCAATTTTTTTTCTTTACTCGAGTCATTTTGAGTTGGGTTTTCTGCCTCTGTTAAATTGAAGAATCCTGATTACAGAAGCCACAAAAGGGGAATGAACAATTAAGATAACAAGAAATGTTTACCTAGGAAGAGTCATCTTCTGAGGGGATGATATGAAAACTATGCATGTGTCCATCACGTGAAAGCAGAATTTCAACGTTAGGGTGCACTTGAATTATATGACTGTAATATAATTTGTCATATGATGACCAAATTAGGGCCAAGGGGTGGAAGTTACAGAGACAGTTCATCATGACAGCATGAGGAAGAGCCTTCCAGCAATTCAGTGTTCAATAATGGAATGAACTGTCCTGCCCAGCTGTGAGCGCCCTGTCTCTGGAAGTTGGGAGACAAGGAGTGCCCGCCACTCTCAGGTATGTTGTGGAAGAGGTGATTGCATTGGGTGGGAATTGCAACCAAGTAACCAATAAAGTCCCTTCCAAATCTAAGATTCTACTATTATGCTTGCAGAAATTCCTTAGCCTAAATCCCATTAGATGGTCCCAGCTAAGAGAAAACCAGACAAGGGCAACATTGTGCATTATGTGACTCACTTGGGAACTGAGGGTGCTGCCAGATGTTATCATCAGATGAAAAGAAAATGGACTAAGTCACCAGATAGGGGTGTTTAAATAAAGCCTTCTTTGCCCTGTTAAGAACACAATGTATTGCAGGCAATTACTATAAGTAAAATCATTCTGAAAATAAGCACATTAAACACTTGGTTTTAATTTGACTCAAGCATATTTACCTTGAGATTGCTTAAACAAATAGGTAAATTAAAAGTGCTCTGAGATTGGCTTAACCCAAGAAATGGAACATTAAGCTAGGAGGCAGCCAACACTGATTCTATTCCCGCTTTTTACGGTAACCTTGGGGCGAGGGGGGTCGGGAGGGAAGAGAGCAAAATAACTTGGTTTTGCTGAGCTTTGGTTTGTCCAACTGAAAGAACAAACAAAGTAATAGGCACACCTACTTTACAGAGTATGTGAAAGTTAAACAGGAAATGTCTACAAAAATAGAAAACAATGTATTAGTTTATGGACACAATGGATATTTTGAGTCAGAATCTTCATGCAAAGGTTTCTGGGTATAAATCATACTGGAAGCTGCGTCATTTAGCCAATACTTCCCAACCCCTTCTGAACTAATATAGCTTCTAAAGACGTCCAATCCAAAACTAAGCTAGCTCTCGCATACAGGATAAATTGGTTTAACATAAACAAACATAGAAAGTGAAACTAAGACTTACAGTAAATCAGTAACACAGTATATTCAAAGGCATAATATATTCAGGAAGCAGAGGCAACTTTGCCTCTGACATGGAGTAGCCCTCTAGACCAAACATTTCAGATCATTTCCTTTTCATTATCAATAACTTTTTCCTCTTCTTTAAGAAGAAAAAAATCCAGCCATACCTCCACCACAGTTTTTGTGGAGCAGAACCTGCTTTCAAGTTAAATTGTTCACTTTGTCTTCTATGTACTGTTGTTCTATTTATTTAATTTTTTTTTTTTTTTGCATGCAGACCACATCCTGAGGAGGAAATCACTTTTAAAACCTAATTCTTACGGGTATCCTCATTTCAGGAATGTTTGTGATTGCTCATTTATTCCTTACACAGCATGAACTAAGGCAGGAAATGATTAAGAGGGGAGAAAGGTAGGGAGAGCCCTGGATTGAGTCCCCACTTGGTTTAAATCAATTTCTAGATGAGATAGGCTAATCCTTGTTCAACTCACTCCAAGCCTCACGTATGATTTAAGCATCATTATCTGTAGCCCAGACCAGCACTAAAGAGCCTAGACACACCTGCGCATGTTCTCCCAAAGCCTGGGGCAATGAAAAGGCATCAGAGAAAACATTTAGAAGCTAAACTTCCATTAATGAAGGATTATTTTATAGGCACTTGCAGATGCCGTATTATAGGAAACGATTTAGTGATGAGACAACAGTAGTGGGGTAGTTAGGAATGAGAAGAGCTGAACTTCAAGATGGCTTTGTGCCCCCACCAAGCCCCGGTAAGATGAAGGCTGAAGCTCCATAACTGGGAGTGAGTAGAAAGAAAAAGTAGAACATCCAAGAAGAATCTAGTCTCCAGAAGCTACTGCTAGGGGAGCTCTCCTCTCTGCTAGGGGCAGGCGAAACACTAGGAATCCTTTGTTTATTCTTTTTCTTTCTTTTTCTTTTTTTTTAATTTTGAGATAGGCTCTTGCTATGTTGCCCAGGCTGATCTTAAACTCCTGGGCTCAAGGGACTCCCCTGCCTCAGCCTCTTTAGTAGCTGGGATTATACCATGCCTGGTATAAGAACTCTTTACGCTCAACCCCTTACATGAACTATCAGCAGTTTTGGCCAGATGACAGAAGTGGGTGCAGGCAGAGAATATGGAGGAAGGCACAGATGAGAGTGGCCATTTTTTTTCTTTTCTTTTTTTTTTTTCCAGCTGGAAGCCTGAGAGAATTGGTAGTCTCTGGTGGTTGCCCAGAAGAAAGAATATACTCTGAAAGAGACGCCAGCTTTTGTTTTGTTTTGTTTTTTGAGACAGGGTCTTGCTCTGTCACCCAGGCTGGAGCACAGTGGGGCAATCACAGCTCACTGCAGCCTCAACATCCTGGGATCAAGCAATTTTCCCACCTCAGCCTCCAGATTAGCTGGGACTACAGGCACCTGCCACCACGCCCAGCTAATTTTTTATTTGTAGTAGAGATGGGGTTTCACTATGTTGGCCAGTCTGGTCTCAAACTCCTGACCTCAGGTGATCTGCCTGCCTCGGCCTCCCAAAGTGCTGGGATTACAGGCGTGAGCCACCACACCCAGCCTAGAGCCAGTTTTTTGTTTTTTGTTTTTTATGTTTTTGAGACAGAGTCTTACTCTGTCGCCCAGGCTGGAGTGTAGTGGGGCGATCTTGGCGCACTGCAACCTCCACCTCCTGGGTTCAAGCAATTCTCCTGCCTCAGCCTGCCGGGTAGCTGGGATTATAGATGCGTGCCACACGCCCAGCTAATTTTGTATTTTAACATGGCAATATGATCTACTTTGAATTAGATCCAGTACTTTTGCAAAATGTTCATAGAGTTTTTAATAAGACTTAGTTTTTTTGTTTGTTTGAGACGAAGTTTCGTTCTTGTCGCCCAGGCTGGAGTGCAGTGGTGCGATCTCGGCTCACTGCAACCTCCGCCTCCCAGGTTAAAGCAATTCTCCTTCCTCAGCCCCCTGACTAGCTGGGAGAGATTACAGGTGTGTGCCACCATGCCCGGCTAATTTTTGTATTTTTAGTAGAGACGGGGTTTCACCATGTTGGTCAGGCTGGTCTTGAACTCCTGACCTTGTGATCTGCCCGCCTCGGCCTCCCAAAGTGCTGGGATTACAGGCGTGAGCCACTGCACCTGGCCAAGACATACATTTTTAGTAGAGACGAGGTTTCACTATGTTGGCCAGTCTGGTCTTGAACTCCTGACCTCAGGTGATCCACCCACCTCGGCCTCCCAAAGTGCTGGGATTACAGGCGTGAGCCACCAGCCCGGCCAGAAGCTAGTTTTTAAAGAAAATGGATCACTCCAGATTGGGGTATCCATTGCTTTAAACATCTTTCCCCCAGTTAGGAACGCTCCAGATGTAGCAGTAGAGATTCATTTTGCTTACTCTGTTAAGAAAATTCACTTTTGGAAAGCAAAAGGGACTCCAGATCAAAACATCACCACCAAGACATGAGCTGCTCTCAACAGAAACCTGTTACAAATGAGGAGCTGTAGAAAATAAGGAAACTCCTCTCACCTTTCTTACTGTTGCGTAGCAACCCCAGACAAAGGGATCCAGAACCAACCACAAGTCTCCCTCAAACTGTTGCATGATACTTTCTGCTCCAGTAGGCCTAGAGATCTCTCACTAGCCACAGATGAGGAATTTGCAAGGTATCTGACAGTCATCAGATCCTAAGCTTGCCAGTGCCTTTGCATTTTAGAAGTTAGGTCGTTTGGGAGCATACCAACTTCTAAATGCTTAATTTTCAACTGAAGAGCCACCAATACAGGCAGAAGATGGATTCTGTAACTATATTTTATTTTATTTTATTTATTTTGAGATGGAGTTTCACTCTTGTTGCCCAGGCTAGAGTGCAATGGCGTGATCTCAGTTCACTGCAACCTCCACCTCCCCAGTTCAAGCGATTCTCCTGACTCAGCCTCCTGAGTAGCTGAGATTACAGGCACATGCCACCATGCCCGGCTAATTTTCTGTATTTTTAGTAGAGACAGGGTTTCACCATGCTGGCCAGGCTGGTCTCAAACTCCTGACCTCAGATGATCCACCCGCCTCAGTCTCCCAAAGTCCTGGGATTACAGGCGTGAGCCGCTGCGCCCGGCCAACAGTATTTTAATGTATACTATTCTACATCTATTGTCGAACATTTAGGTTGTTTCCAATTATCTGCTTCTACCAATTAGGCTGTTACCAATAAGGGGTGTACTTTTGCTACATGAAATTGAGATGTCTTAGTTTATTTTTTTGTTATTCATTCTTAGTCTCATTTCATTTGTTGTCAAGGAATGAAGCCTACACCATTCTCCATTTGGAAATTTGAGGCCAGGGGCATCATGTATTTTGGTAATTTCCCATGGACATTTGAAAAGTTGGGACGTTCTCTCTAAGTTCATAATGTACATTTCCAGCCAGAGATGAAAACGTACAAATGAGTCTGTTCACTGGCCCAGGGGCCCAGAGAGTGTGCGTCTCTCCTTAACCCCCTGTTAGGCCTCATTGGGTAGGATCCCACCAGTATTGCTGCTGATGAGCTGCTAGAGGTCCCTGCCTAGCCCCTGGAGGTCTCCTCTCTGAAATTGCACAACATCTCTGCCTCCACTTTGGCAATTACGAGGAAAATGGCAAACACAGAACCAACCCCTTCCTGCTGTGTTTCTTGTGAGAAATTCACAAAAATCAGACTTGCACGTTCTTGCCCCATAGAAACTCAGGTAATGAACCTGGTATGGCAGTTTTGAAAAAAGTCAGTGTGGACTAAGGGCTGAGAGAATGATACAGGTGAAAACATGGTGATACGATCTGCTTTGAATCAGATCCAATACTTTTGCAAGATGTTCATAGTTTTTAATAAGACATACTGCAAATATTGTCAGAATGAATTCAGTCTCCTCTACTTACTACTTGTACAGCTTTGAGGTGCAATTTTTACATCCATAAAATGAGAAGAATGATACTAACCTCATCAGGTCACAGGGAGTGCTCAATAATATTAATTCTCTCTTTCATCAGCTATTGTTTCTTGCTGTATTAACTAAGGACTCCTTTTCATCCCCCCATTCATTTTTGTCACTTAGATTGTTTACAAAACCCGAAGGTGCTTTCAGATCTGGACTTGTGGAGTCCTGGCCAGTGACTTGCCCCAGGCATTGAGGTGATGTTGCAGGGAGGCGGAGAAACAGAACTTCTCTGCCTGACCTCCCCAAAAGGCCAATACTTTTGTTGAAGTCCTGTCTGCAGTGTCTCTTGCCCAGCAGTCTCCACCCTCCTGGCTGCTCAGCCAGTGCTCTCTCACTCCAACTTTCCATACCCACTGCCCCTAAACTTTCACACCCTTCTAAATAAAGGGAACCCTTGCATCCTGATTCGACTCCTTGTCAGCAATTAAACTATTTGTAAATTGGGCCAGGTATCAAAGACCCCTTAACAGTGATTGCTAAAACCTGCTACACTTAAAACAAATGATGTATAAACTTAAAAACTGAAGGAGCTAGGCTTTAGAAGGTGTTACGATAATAAATGAAATATTCATTTTAAACTTCAAAAACAGCGAAATCAGCCGGGCACGGTGGCTCACGCCTGTAATCTCAGTACTTTAGGAGGCCGAGACAGGCGGATCGCTTGAGGCCAGGAGTTCGAGACTAGCCTGGCCAACATTGCAAAACCCCATCTCTACTAAAAATACAAAGATTAGCCAAGCATGGTGGCAGGCGCCTGTAATCTCAGCTACTTGGGAGGCTGAGGCACAAGAATCACTTGAACCCAGGGGGCAGAGGTTGCAATGAGCTGAGATCATGCTACTGCACTCTAGACTGGGAGACAGAGTGAGAATTGGTCTCAAAGAAAAAAAAAAAAAGCGAAATGATCTTTTTTAGACACAAGAAAACTCTTGTATTGGCTAATGGGGGTGGAGTGAGCATGGAATGCACAAAATTTAGGAGAGACTGAGGAGCAATCAGCCCCAGGGAATTTAACAGCCTCAGGCCAGAACAAGAAAGTCTTGGGGGACAGACCTTCCCACGTGTGCTGGATTCCCCTGCACTCCACCCTGGGGTTCAGGGTGAATTGCCTTTAGTTTGCACCTTGGTTGAGAGGAGGCCACTGGGCACAGAGAGCGGCCAAGGATTAATGACCTGGATCCCATTCGGATGACTGTGTCCACCAAACCCTCACATCCTTCCTTCTCCAGCAGTACTAAGGTGACTATCTTCTCAGCTAGCTTCACCCCCATCTCTGGGTTGGTCAAACCACCAGATTTTCTCCTGATTCACGCTCTGAGGCACACTGTGCAAATTAATCATAGATGCCTGCCTGTGAGAGGGAAAGAATCCTCTACAACCATGGGTCAAACCCAAATCTATGGAGTCCACGGCTTTTTCTTTTTTTAATCTTTCTCCTATCTGACTGCGTGATGGTTAGTATCTGTTGAGTGCCAACAGACTTAGGTGAGGATCAATAGAAAAATGTGGGCCAGGCATGGTGGCCACCTCACTTTGGGAGGCTGAGGTGGGAGGATAGTTTGAGGCCAGTAGTTCAAGACCAACCTGGGCAACACAGTGAGACACCCCCCGCCACCCCCAAACTCTGCAAAAAATTAAGAAATTAGCTGGGCGTGGTGGTGTGCACCTGTAGTCTTAGCTACTCAGGAAGCTGATGCAGGAGGGTGTCTTGGGCCAAGGAGTTCAAAGTTGCCATGAGCTGTGATCATGACACTGCACTCTAGCCTGGATAACAGACGAAGACCCTATTTCTTAAAAAAAAAAAAAAAAAGAAGAAGAAGAAGAAGGAAAGAAAAAAGAAAGAAAGAGGCCAGACGCAGAGGCCCACGCCTGTAATCTCAACACTCTGGGAGGCCGAGGTGGGCAGATCACCTGCGGTCAGGAGTTCAAGACCAGCCTGCCCAACATGGTGAAACCCCATATCTACTAAAAAAATATAAAAATTAGCCAGGCATGGTGGCAGGCGCCTGTAATCTCAGCTACTTGGGAGGCTAAGGTAGGATAATTACTTGAATCCTGGAGGCAGAGGTTGCAGTGAGCCAAGATCGTGCCACTGCACTCCAGCCTGGGCAACAGAGTGAGACTCTGTCTCAAAAAAAAAAAAATCCAAAAAAAAAAAAAAGAAAGAAAAGAAAAGAAAGAAGGAAAGAAAAGAAAAGAAAGAAGGAAAGAAAAAGGAAAGACATAGAATAGTTGGGCACAGTGGCCAAAGGAAGTGGAAGAGGAAGGGGTGAAAAAGGAAGTATTTCTTGGTCGGGTGTGGTGGCTCACGCCTATAATCCCAGCAATTTGGAAGGCCAAGGTGGGCGGATCACCTGAGGTCAGGAGTTCAAGCCCAGTCTGGCCAACATGGCGAAAACCTGTCTCTACTAAAAATACAAAAAATTAGCCAAGCGTGGTGGTGCATGCCTGTAATCCCAGCTTCTAGGGAGGCTGAGGCAGGAGAATCGCTTGAACCCAGGAAGCAGAGGTTGCAGTGAGCCGAGATCACGCCACTGCACTCTAGCCTGGGCAACAGAGTGAGACGCTGTCTCAAAAAAAAACAACAAAAAAAGGAAGTATTTATTTCAGGTCTAAAGAAGGCCTTGAGGAGAGAAAACAAAAGAAAAGAAGGTAGCTAATTAAGTGAGGGAAGAACAACTGTGGGCCCTTTGCAGGGAAGATGTGTGGCAATCATACCACTAGCTACCTAACATTAACTGAATACTTAATATGTGTTAAGAATTTGTTATAAGGACATTGCCTATATTATCTCATCTAAGCCTCCCAACTGTTGACCTAAGGAAAGAAACTGAGGCAAAATTAATATAGTTTATTTGGGCCAGGGTTGAGGACTGTAGCCCAGGACACTTCCAATTTGCCTTGGGGAATGCTGCCTTTGGCCTTTGTTACTTTGTTACAAGCAGGTTTTAAAGACAAAAAGGGGACAGGGAGTGGTCTGATAAAAAAATCTTTTGGAATCCTCATTAGTTTACAGAAGTAACATTAACGAGTGATTGGGTATACATTGTTGAACTATAGGGTATGAGTTATGGTGTCCAGTGTATGCAATTTTATGGAGTCTTGGCATCAGATACTCTAGAGCTCACATAAGCAAGTGGCTTCAAGAAGTAATTATTTAGCTCAAGGGGCAATGAGACATGACTTCTGTCACACATTGTCATGTTTCAGTGCTGCTTTGGGCCTGATAATGAAAGGAGGCCTGCATTCCTCAGATAAGAAGTTTCTTTCTCACAACCCCAAAGATAGATATTATCATTCTGATTTTGCTGATGAGGAACCCAAGACATAGATAAAGTAGATTGTTCAAGGTCCTGAAATGAGTGGTGGGTCAGAATGCAAATCCACCAAGGCGGACTCTAGAACCCAAGTTACATCTCCACCCCTCCCACCCACCCCTTACACTCCCAAGGGATTAGAACAGCTACCCAGTGAGAAGCATAGGGTGAGCACTATGGTTATGAACTCAGCTCAAACTGACTCAGGGAACTCGGCATATGTTTTCTATAATTCAGATTCTTAGGGACAAATGTTCTCATGAAATTGCCGATCAGTAGAGAAACCGGTTTTATTTTGGATACTATTTCTGCAAAAGTAAAATGGATATAGGATTTTGTATTGCCCTTAAAAGGCTTCAGCAGGCCGGGAGCGGTGGCTAACGCCTGTGATCCCAGCACCTGGGAGGCCAAAGCAGGCCGATCATGAGGTCAGGAGATCAAGATCATCCTGGCTAACACAGTGAAACCTCATCTCTACTAAAAATACAAAAAATTAGCCGGGCGTGGTGGCACACACCTGTAGTCCCAGCTACTCAGGAGGCTGAGGCAGGAGAATCACTTGAACCTGGGAGGCGGAGGTTGCAGTGAGCTGAGATCGTGCCACTGCACTCCAGCCTGGGCGACAGAGCGAGACTCTATCTCAAAAAAAAAAAAAAAAAAAAAAAAGGCTTCGTGAGATATTAAATAGCTTTAGTGAAAAATGCTGACCAGTTTGGGGTTTGGCCTGGAGACAATTAGTGTGGAATCAAATTATGTCATAGGGGGCCAGGTGAGGTGGCTCACACCTGTAATTCCAGCACTTTGGGAGGCTGAGGCGGGTGGCTCACTTGAGATCAGGAGTTCAAGGCCAGCCTGTCCAACATGGTGAAACCTCGTCTCTACTAAAAATACAAAAATTAGCCAGGCATGATAGCAGGTGTCTGTAATCCCAGCTACTTGGGAGGCTGAGGTGGGAGAATCACTTGAACCTGGGATGCGGAGATTGCAGTGAGCCAAGATTATGCCTTTGCACTCCAGCCTGGGTGACAGAGTGAGAGTCCCATTTCAAAAAAAAAAAAAAATTGTGTCAAAGGGGAATTTTAAGTTAACCACATGGTAGATAGTTTCATTTAGAGACAGCAGAAGACACACAGGTGTGACTCAAAACTCGGAGTGCAGTGTGAAGTTGGGAACACTAAGTCCTGATATAAATAAATGAGAAAGGAGTAAATATGACAGGTAAATGACATCTGCCCTTTACAGTTAACATGCACTTAGGCAGTTTATCCAAGAGCATAATATTATATAATGGAGGTAAACAGAGTTGGGCTTGCCTTAAAGGAATTAAGAAACAGGAAAAGTCCTGGTGCAGTCATGGTGGAAGTATCGCTTGAGACCAAGAGTTTGAGACCAGCCTGGGCAACATACGAGATCCCTGTCTCTACAAAAAAAAAAAAATTAGCCAGGGGCAGTAGCACACACCTGTAGTCCCAGCTACTCAGGAGGCTGAGCTGGGGGGGATCGCTTGAACCCAAGAGGTCAAGGCTGCAGTGAGCCAGGATGGCGCCACTGCACTCCAGCATGGGTGCAGGACTCTGTCTCAAAAGAGAGAGCAAGAGAGAGAGATGAACAATTGAGTTATTTTCTTCTGCTTGAATAAATGCAGGGAAGAGCTTTTTGCAGAAAAGACTGACAAGGTTTTTTTGGAAGAGCTTCAGCATGAACATCAAATAGAGTTCAGCCATGGCGGGTGATATGGTTAGACTCTGTGTCTTCACCCAAATCTCATCTTGAATTGTAACCCCCATAATCCCCATGTCTCTAGGGAGATACCTTGTGGGAGGTGACTGTATCATGAGGACAGTTTCCCCCAGGCTGTTCTCATGATAGTGAGCGAGTTCTCATGAGATCTGATGGTTTTATAAGAGGCTCTTCCCCTTTCCCTCCTCACTCTTGTTTTTCCTGCCGCCATGTGAGAAGGTCCCCTTTGCCTTCCACCATGATTGTAAGTTTCCTGAGGTCTTCCCAGCTATGTGGAACTGTGAGTCAATTAAACCTCTTTCCTTTATAAATTACCCAGTCTCGGGTATTTCTTTATAGCAGTGTGAAAACGGACTAATACAGCAGGTGTTTGGCGAATGGAAAGGTCACCCTCTGTATTAGTCAAGGTTCTCTAGAGGGACAGAATAGGATATATAGGATATATATATATATGAGTTTATTAATATATATATGAGTTTATTAATATATATATGAGTTTATTAAGTATTAACTTACACTATCACAAGGTCCCACAATAGGCTGTCTGCAAGCTTGAGGAGCAAGGAGAGGCAGTCCGAGTCTCAAAACTGAAGAACTTGGAGTCCAATATAGAGGTCAGGAAGCATTCAGCACGGGAGAAAAATGTGGGCTGGGATGCTAGGCCAGTCTCTCCTTTTTGTGTTTTTCTGCCTGCTTTATATTCGTTGGAAGCTGATTAGATTGTGCCCACCAGATTAAGGGTGGATCTGCTTTCCCCAGCCCACCAACTCAAATGTTAATCTCTTTTGGCAACACCCTCACAGACCCAGGATCAATACTTTGTATCCTTCAATCCAATCAAGTTGACTGACACTCAGTATTAACCATCACACCCTCCTAGTATTAAACAATCAACAAGATGGGACAGTAAGAAACGGCGGGGAGAAGACAGGAAATGGGCGAACCATGACTCAACTTTATCTGAAGCCCGCAGAGGAGAAAAGCAGGGAGGGGAGAGTAGAAAGTTCACTGTAAAGAATCTCAAGTCTCCAAGAAAGGAGAAATGTCAGAACATAGAGCTGGAGACAAGGAAAGACATGAGATAAAGGCAGAACCCAAGAAGTCAAAAACAAGAGAAGGGGAGCTCAGGCCATGAACTAAAGAATGAAGTAAACACAATCATACAACAACTCACGTTATCATACTTAAGTCACAGGTGCAGGCGTGCTAGGTAAATGGCCTAGGAATGTGAAATTCTAGAGTCAGAGGGAGGAAAACCCTGATTTGATACAGAGAACCCACTTCCTGTGCACAGAGGCAGCTGTGGGGTTCTCCCCACAACCGGTGATTTGGGAAAGGGGCCACACCGAATAGACAGACATAATCTGAAATATTTAATAAGGAGCACCCACCTTAAGGTGTCTCTTAAGAAAAGACACCTGCTGAGGTGCAGGGTCTTGTAAACTGTCCCTCCCACCTCTTGCCGGGATGCCAGAAATGTGGGAAGTCATTTGGAGGAGGGGCTTGGAAGGACCTGGGGTAGAGGACCCGCAGGGCAGCAGATATTTATCCAAACAGTAGGAAAGTACAGTAAAACCCATAATAGTGAGGTAAGTGGAGTCTAATATGAAAACACAACACATGGGCCCCACTGTTGTGACGTTAACTAAAAATAATATTTTTCAACCTCTCTGGGATTTCCCAAAAAGCACATAAGATAAAGTTAGTCTGTGCCCACTGACTCCACAATGAGCTGAGCAAGTGCAGATGACCACTGGGCAGTGAACTAGTGACCTCACCTCATGCCTGAGATAGGAATTTGGGTCCATTTGGAAGAGGGGTACCCATTGCCAATTGTGGCATATCCTAGTCTGTGTTACGGAGGGTTTCACTGGGTTTGAGGCAGTGAGTGGCTGATACCACCATACTAGAAACTTCCTGGAGAATTACTGCTTCCATCCACTCTGTAAAACTCTGAGGTTGTGGAAAGGAAATTCTATTTATGAGATGTGAAAAGTAAGAATATTGACAATCTTGTCCTCTCCCTTTTATATATATATATACACACAGTTTACACTATGTATATATATTTCTTCTATATACAGTGATACTGGATGGGAATTTCAAAGAAATTTTCAGAAATGTGACTTGGAGGCTGGGTACGGTGGCTCACACCTGTAATCCCAGCACTATGGGAGGCGGAGGCAGAAGTTCATGAGTTCATGCAGGCATGAGTTCATGAGTTCAAGACCAGCCTGGGCAACATGGCGAAACCCCTTCTCCACAAAAATACAAACATTAGCTGGACGAGGTGGTGTGTGCCTGTAGTCCCAGCTACTCAAGAGGCTGAGGTAGGAGGATGGCTTGAGCCTGGGAGGCAGAGGTTGCAGTGGGCGGAGATCGCACCACTGCACTACAGCCTAGACGACAGAGCCAGACCTTGTCTCAAAAAAAAGAAAAACAAGGCTGGGCGCGGTGGCTCATGCCTGTAATTCCACCACTTTGGGAAGCTGAGACCAGTGAATCATTTGAGGTCAGAAGTTCAAGACCAGCCTGGCCAACATGGTGAAACCCTGTCTCTACTAAAAAAATACAAAAATTAGCCAGGCAGTAGTGGTGCACCTGTAATCCCAGCTACTCAGGAGGCTGAGGTAGGAGAATCACTTGAGCCCGGGAGGCGGAGGTTGCAGTGAGCCGAGATGGCGCCACTGCACTCCAGTCTGGGTGACAAAGTGAGACGCTGTCTCAAAAAAAATAATAAAATAAAATAAAATAAAAACAAGAAAACAAAAAGAAAACACACACACACACACACACACACACACACACACACACAAAACCCCAAAAAAGTGACTTGGCTGAAATTAACCTAAAATTGACTTCTGAAGCCAAAGCCTGAGATCACTATGAGAGAATACAGGGTCTAATCTCCAGTGTACATGTCAAAAAGGGGAATGGGCTGCAGCATCTAGAGAGGAGACCATCCTGTAGACCCATCCTGTTGTTTTACAAAGTGTGGGAAACCACTGATGAGGTAGGTGTGTTTTGGGTGGAGAAGGAAAGGCAGGGTAGAAGAGAGCGGAATCCAGCCAGGCAGCCCCCAATGGAAGAATATTCAACTCTAGCTCAACGTGGGGAAGGTAATGACTTTGATCCTTCCAGTTACCTTTTCTAGAGGGAATATGGAAAGAATCCAGAGTGGACAAGGGCAGCCTCACATTAGGACCCCATCCAATGGGCATATCTGTCACTTTCCAGCACACCAGGACTCTAGGGCGCCAGGATGGGCATAGCTGTGGCAGAGGTGAGAGGCAGCCTGTGGGAGGCTGTGAGCCCAGGTGGCCACCTGGTCCTTATAGCCATGAGGTTTGCAGGCAGTGCCTCAAGCATCACAGCAGCTGCAGTGCAGGCACCTGGCTGTGGACAACCTCATGGGGGTGGCGAGCAGGTGGCCCAAGGTGCCAGGGCCAGCATGGCATCCGCAGGGTCAGCTAGTCTTCAGTGCTGCCAAGAAGAGTTTATGAGCTGCCTCTCCTCTGCTACCAGGAAACAGCCTGATGGGGTGCGTAGGGACTGAAGTTTCCACAATTAGCTGGAGGAAGAGGAGATCTTGAGAAACAGTGGTAATTTCGCTGTAATTGTATGTGTGCCACTCCCCGGCCCTGAAGGGCATGAGCAAGAAAGACTGAAAGTTGTGAAATGTACCAGGGAAGACACTGCGGTTCTGTGGTGACGGTGAAAATGAACGTCTCAAAAGCTGGGTGATGGCTCAGCTGGACCCAGCATGTTAGCAACCCGTGTTTGAACAGAAGGAAATGAAAAATAAAGTAGAAGGACAAGGGAAGGAAATTGGGATCTCTTTTCATGGAGGCACAGAATGGTGAGAAATATCATTAAATGTTTTAAAGTAAAAGTGCTTTTGGAAAGGAGGAAGCCAAAGAAAGGTTTTATACTGCAAATAGAGTTGGCTGTATGGAAGTTTAAATGAAAGGCATGAAAGGCATGGATGCAGGAAACAGGTAGAGAAATGAACCAGCAGCCAGAAAAATGCAGAAGAACAATTGCTACAGCCAAATGATGGGATGAAAAAAAGTCCCAGGAAACTTTGGAGGAAATAATCGGGGGAACTTCAGTCATGACGAAACAGAGCCTCTTACTCCAAGAAAGGAAAAAGTACAAAGAATCACAGATATGGGTATAAAAAAAATCTTTGGGGATGCCTGTTAATGTATAAGAAGCAGTCAGTGGGTGGGGAGGGAAAACCACTGCAGGAAAGAGAAAACGGAAGATGCAAGTATGAAAAGTTGTATTTGCAGATCTTTCTGGACCTTTCCTATGTTGGCTACTCTTTAAGAATGAGAGCGCCTGTGTGTGTGTATCCATCACATTAAGCTTTCTATATTTTTGAAAGTTTTACCAAAAATATGCACCATGCAGAATTTTTTAAAAAAAAAGGCAAAAGAAAAGTTGTATTTGGTCCCAGGTAACTCCCACAAACTGCTAATGGTGCACCCAGTGGACAGCTTGCCCCTCCCTCAGATGACAGTGCCCATCACCCCTGCAGGGACTCTAGGATGTGTTGACCTGATCACACAGGGAGAAGGCACTCAAGAGACAAGAGGGGCCGGGGCGCGGTGGCTCACGCCTGTAATCCCAGCACTTTGGGGGGCGGAGGCGGGCGGATCACGAAGTCAGGAGATCGAGACCATCCTGGCTAACACGGTGAAACCCCGTCTCTACTAAAAATACAAAAAAAATTAGCCGGGCGTGGTGGGGGGCGCCTGTGGTCCCAGCTACTCGGGAGACTGAGGCAGGAGAATGGCATGAACCCAGGAGGCAGAGCTTGCAGTGAGCGGAGATCGCGCCACTGCACTCCAGCCTGGGCAACAGAGGAAACTCCGTCTCGAAAAAAAAAAAAAAAAGAAAAGAAAAGAAAAAAGAGAGAGACAAGAGGAAGGAGGGAGGTGCCTTTTGTCAGGTTTGCCTTCCCACTGAGGGATTCTGAGGAGGGTTTAAGGGAAGGAGGCCATTTCGGACAGTTTGCTATTTCTGAGAACAGGATCAGGAGAAGCAGGGATTAACTAGGGACTGGGTGCTGCCATGGGGCTAAGCAATATATCCACAGTAACAAATGAAAATAGCAAAGTGCATCTGGGGTGCCATTGGTACAAATCAGTAATCACTCAAAGATAGGATTGTGGCATGTTACAGTGTTGAGGGGAACACTGTTTTCTGTTTATTTTGCAGTTGGCATTACCTGTCGCTATCCTCACAGCCCGATTAAAGGTAGGGCTGCTTTTTTTCTTTCTCAGTTTGAGGTGATTTTTATTCTTCCAGTCCTGGTCAGGTTTTTCTCCTTCAGTCCCCTGTTTTGGCCATGGGTAGACAGGACGTTATTCTGGATTCTCACCATAACCCAGGCTGGTCTAGAGGCAGTTATGAGAACATAGCCTATAGATGCAAGGAAGTTTGTCGCTCTTCCTGTTGCTGGGTAAGCTGTGGATCATGTGACAGGATAATGGCTTTGCAAAAGTTAGCGTTTGGGACTCTGGAGGTCACATATTTAAACACTGCAACACAAATACTAGGAGAATAGATCATGATCAGAGTTTGTAGTTCATTTCTAAACCAAGACTCAAGTTTACTCAAATTAATAAAGCCCCATCCCTAATCCGCAGAACCTGCAGAACCAGATATGTGGGTATTATGTAAATTATCTCATCTGATTTTCATGTTTATGTCTTGAATCTTTTTAGAAATGTTAAAGAGTCTACAGAGGTCTGTGGAAATGCAAGCAAAGCATTCTTTTAAGGTGGCATAGTTTTTTAAATATCTCTTAAAATTTTTTTTTTTTTTTAGAAATGAGGTCTCACCATATTGCCCAGGCTGGAGTGCAGTGGCTATTCACAGGCACGAGCACAGCATGCTACAGTCTCAAGCCTCCCGAGTAGCTAGGACTACAGGCAAGTGCCAGCGTGCCTGGCAAAGTGGCATATGTTTCACCTTAAGAGGCCTTTTCAGGTATCTGGAAGAGTTCTGTTCCTAATCACCGCCTGTCCAATTTTATGAGTCTCCTGGCTGAGGTTTTCTATGACCATGGTGATATTGACAAGCTCTCCTGCTATTATTGAACCATAGTACGTAGGATTTTCTCATTCTTTAAGCCTTTGGTAAAGTGTAGAATGAAGAGGCATGGGAGGAGGAGAAGACAGCCCACAATTCCTCTTCCGTAGTTAAAGTTTTTGAACTTAGATCAAGGTCTAACTTTTCTCATCTTGAATCACATTATCTAAAGACTTCTTTTTCCAAAAAGGGAACTTTATGGGACAAACCGACCCTGGATCCTGTTAGGGCCTATCCTTGAAGCAGGCATTGATTACCAAGATAACAAATCCCTGTCCAATATGCAGGTAATAGCCAATGGGCTTTCATGCTCCAAAGCCAGTAGCCATTAATAACGGCCATCAGTCTTTGGCCAAAATACTAAGGAGTTGACAAGTGGTATTATAATGCCTTATGCCTCTATTGAGTGTGATTCAGGCCAATGATGTTTTTAGTATAGAGATTTTCAGGTAGATCTAAACCAAAATTACTTGGATCTGACTCTGTCCATATGCTATGCCTTTTTAAAATAAGGGCTATAAAAGTAAGGCAGCCTCTAACCATTCCCCAGTTCTTTCTCAAGTTCTATTTGTGGGAAAGTTTGGTTGCAAAAGCTAAATCCTACGACAGGTACCCAAGTGTTGTTTTGGTACAGACAGGAACCTCCCTGTCTAGGTAGGACACATAAGAAATTTTAGATTTCTAGCCATCTTATTTAGCATTTGCCATCTAAAGTCTCTCCATGTTTGAGTCCAATTACCTAGGAAGCCAAATGAATTCACACCAAGCCATGGAATTGGTACCCAAGGATGCTGAATAGCACGTATTGGAAAGTGACGCCAATGTGTTTTAGCCAAATCACAAGTTAACTCTAGCCAGGTGTTGGACTCAAACCAAGGAGAGACTAAGGATGCAAAAAACAATATGAAGAGTAAGGTATGGACTTTCTTTGAATCCTAACTTAAACAAAGCACTAAGTTTTAAAAAATATGATGAGGCAGTTGGGAAGATTTAAACACAGATGACGTTTTCTAGTATTAAAAAATTATTTATTTTTTAAAAGATGTGGTAGTAGTTTTTTAAAGTCTTTATCTTTTAGAGATATGTACTGAAATATATATAAAGAAATAATAGGGTGTCCAAATTTTGATTCAAAATAACTAGGGGACTTAAAAATTCATTAAATGGAAAATTTTTGCATTCACAATAGAAAAAAAATCCTAGGAATACCACCAAAAGAAATGAGAAACTTCTATGTGAAAAGCAACAAAACTTGGGTTTACTAATGTTCTTAGATAAATAAATAATGAAATAATAAATATAGGAAGAATGAATTTTTCATACCAGATTGATTTATCAAACTTACACAATTCCCAGTAAATATCCCAGTGAGTTTTTCTAAAATGTGACACATTTTTTTTCAGATTTTATCTACAACAGAAGTCCTTAATCTAAGATGCATGGATAAAAGTCAGGGGTTCTGTGATTTTGGATGGGAAAACATTATGCTTGTCTTTTTACTAGACTCTAACTGAAATGTAGCATTTTCTTTATTTATGAATGTAGGTAACGAAACATGGTCATATAAGCAGTCTCTGGGACTTTGTCTCCATTAGAAATCACAGATATTTTCGTATTACATTATGGTTGTTACAGTTATTTAGAAATACCACCTATGATCATTGCTACTTTGAGACTGTGGTAGTAGGGATGAGACCTGCTGCTAGATCTTGTAATTAATGCATTAATAAAGAAGTACATATTTACTGCATCATAAGGTTTTAAATATTTTGATGGCTATTTTTAAATTAAATTGACTTTCTTTTTAATCCTGCTTATTTTATCCGTTTAAAGTCATTATCTGAGAAAGGGTTCAAAGGTTTTAATAAAGGGAACCATAGCACAGTAAAGCTTAAGAACTGCTGTTCTAGATGAGTAGGCATGTGAAAAGTGCTAAAATTAACATTCAAGAATAATGTGAAAAAGTCTTAGGAAGTATTAAACACATTTAAAGAGCTCAAGAATTAAACAGATGCGGTCCTGATACAAAAATAACTAGATGGATAACTTATAATGATAGCTAGACTGATAAATGCTACAGAATAGCATTCAAAGCTGATCAGGTACAAATAAGAATGTAATGGATGATAAAGACAGAGCCCGTTTAGTGGAGAAAGGAAGAATTATCTACTACATGAAGCTGGGAAAATAGGCTGGCTGTTAGGGATCAAAAAAATTTTAGCATCACCTTACACAATTTACCAAAATTAATTCCATTTAGATTGAAAAGTTAAATGTAAAAACAAAGACAGATAAAACCCTGAAAGAATTCTAAGGAATATGGGTCAAGTGCAGTGGCTCACACCTGTAATCCCAGCACTTTGGGAGGCTGAGACGGGAGGACTGCTAGAGGCCAGGAGCTCGAGACCAGCCTGGGCAATACATACAGACTCTGTCTCTACAAAAAAACAAACAAACAACTCACGTCTGTAATCCCAGCACTTTGGGAGGCCGAGGCGGGGGATCACGAGGTCAGGAGATCGAAACCATCCCGGCTAAAACGGTGAAACCCCGTCTCTACTAAAAAATACAAAAAATTAGCCGGGCGTAGTGGCGGGCGCCTGTAGTCCCAGCTACTTGGGAGGCTGAGGCAGGAGAATGGCGTGAACCCGGGAGGCGGAGCTTGCAGTGAGCCGAGATCCCGCCACTGCACTCCAGCCTGGGCGACAGAGCGAGACTCCGTCTCAAAAAACAAAACAAAACAAAACAAAACAAACAAACAAACAAACAAAAAGAATGCTAAGGAACACATGAACATATGAAAGCTCCTCCCACCCCCGCCCCTACCACAGGAGAGAGATTATTTCATAAAACAGGAAATCCAAACTATTTTCATAAATTCTAGGTATCTGTTTGGAAATCATACAGTGTATTAAGTACCTTCGAGTGATTCTGAACAGAAGGAGATGATTCTGACAGTATGAGAATACAGCTGGGCACCAGGGCCTCTCTATTTACTCCTCACACCCTCCCATCCCAACAGCAGCAGCACAGCACCCACCCCATTTCCTACCATTGCTGCACTATTAGTTTTTCTTTTTTATTTTTTTAATGAGACAGGGTCTCGTCATGTTGCCCAGGCTGGACTCAAACTCCTGGGCTCAAGTGATCCTCCTGCCTCGGCCTCCCAAAGTGCTGGGATTACAGGCATAAGCCACCGCACCCAGCCTAATTCTTTTCTGGTTTCCACCATATGCCTCTTATTCCTCTTACTTCAGTTATTTCTACTAGCTTCAGCTTTGTTTCTCTCTTTTTCAGATTTTAACAACAGGAGTTTTTTTTTTTTTGTTGTTTTTTTTTGAGACGGAGTCTCACTCTGTCACCCAGGCTGGAGTGCAGTGGCGCGATCTCGGCTCACTGCAAGCTCCGCCTCCCGAGTTCACGCCATTCTCCCGCTTCAGCCTCCCATAGCTGGGATTACAGGTGCCCGCCACCACGCCCGGCTAATTTTATTTTTGGATTTTTTAGTACAGATGGGGTTTCACCGTGTTAGCCAGGATGGTCTTGATCTCCTGACCTCATGATCCGCTCGCCTCGGCCTCCCAAAGTGCTGGGATTACAGGCGTGAGCCACCACGCCCGGCCCAACAGGAGTTCTTAAACTAAGATGCATGGATAAAATTCAGGGGTTCTGTGATCTTGGATGGGAAAAACATTATGCTTTTCTTTTTACTAGACTCTCACTGAAATGTAGTATTTTCATTTCTCTCTTCCCTTGATTAATTTCTTTGTATTTGTGCTCTTGAGTATTATCGGAGTCCGTGGGTCATTAAATGTTTTCCTCTACCATCATCCTTCATCATTAAGGCCACCAATCAGCGTATCAGGATAGCTGAGTAAGCTGACAAAGAAGGTGGGCTGGGACCTAGATCTTTAGAATGAGGAATGCAAGACTAGCCAGGCGCGGTGGCTCAGGCCTGTAATCCCAGTACTTCGGGAGGCAGAGGTGGGCAGATCACCTGAGGTCAGGACTTAGGGACCAGCCTGGCCAACATAGCGAAACCCCATCTCTGCTAAGACTACAAAAATTAGTTGGGCATGGTAGTGCACTGTAGTCCCAACGGCTCCAGAGGCTGAGAGGCTGAGGCAGGAGAATTGCTTGAACTTGGGAGGCAGAGGTTATAGTGAGCTGAGATCGCACCACTGCACTCCAGCCTGGGCAACAGAGAAAGACTCCACCTCAAAAAAAAAAAAAAAAAAAAAAAAAAAAAAAAAAAAAAAGATGCAGGACTCAGGACTCCATGTAAACTCCCAAAGGGCGGAACCTGTGCTGACTTTTGTTCACTCTTTTGTTCCCAGAGCCTAAGACAGTGCAGCCATCAACATGCAGGCTCAGTATTTGTAGAAAGGATACATGAAGAAGCTGGAAGATCAGCACTCTGTCCTTGAGTACGAGGCTAGGTGGGCTAACATGGGGTGAGAGCACAGTGGGTGAACTGAGACATATTGGCCCAAGGGTCCAGCATCAAATCCTGGGATAACACAGCTTGGCCCAAAGCTAAGGCTCCGATTGCTGTGCTCAAACAGCTTGCTCCAAGAAAAGAAAATAAGTCATTTGGCCGGGCACAGTGGCTCATGCCTGTAATCTCAGCACTTTGGGAGGCCAAAGTGGGAGGATTGCTTAAGCCCAGGAGTTTGAGACCAGCGGGCAACATGATGAAACCCCATCACTACAAAAAATACACTACAAAAATACACTACAAAAATACACTACCAAAAATCACTACAAAAATACACTACAAAAATACACTACCAAAATACACTACCGAAAATCACTACAAAAATACACTACCAAAATACACTAGAAAAAATCACTACAAAAATACACTACCAAAATACACTACAAAAATACACTACCAAAAATCACTACCAAAAATCACTACAAAAATACACTACAAAAATACACTACAAAAATCACTACAAAAATACACTACAAAAATACACTACAAAAATCACTACAAAAATACACTACCAAAAATCACTACAAAAAATACACTACAAAAATACACTACCAAAAATCACTACAAAAAATACACTACAAAAATACACTACCAAAAAATCACTACAAAAAATACACTACAAAAATACACTACAAAAAATCACTACAAAAAATACACTACAAAAAATCACTACAAAAAATACACTACAAAAATACACTACAAAAAATCACTACAAAAAATACGCTACAAAAATACACTACAAAAAATCACTACAAAAAATACACTACAAAAATACACTACAAAAAAATCACTACAAAAAATACACTACAAAAAATCACTACAAAAAATACGCTACAAAAATACACTACAAAAAATCACTACAAAAAATACGCTACAAAAATACACTACAAAAAATCACTACAAAAAATACACTACAAAAATACACTACAAAAAATCACTACAAAAAATACACTACAAAAATACACTACCAAAAATCACTACAAAAAATACACTACAAAAATACACTACAAAAAATCACTACAAAAAATACAAAATTTAGCCAGGCGTGGTGGTGGGTACCTACTTGGAAAGCTGAGGTGGGAGGATCAAGTGAGCCTGGGAGACGGAGGTTGCAATGGGCCGAGATTGCAGCACTGTACTCCAGCCTAGGCGACAAAGCAAGACCCTGTCTCAAAAAAAAAAAAAGTCTAAAAAAATTAAAATGAAGTTATTTCTTCTTCCTTCAAGAATCAGTTTTTATTTTCCTCTATTAAGAGTTTGGTCCTATAGTTTAATTGTTGTCAATAAATTTCCTCCTTCTCTCATCCAGTTTTCTCACTGAATCTTCTTTAGTTCAATGGTTTTCAAACTTTCATCTTTAGAGACTTAGTGATTCCACAAACCTTTGAATGGAATGTCATGGGTACTGAAACTAAAAGAAAACCAAAATCATGGAGCTCTCTGATCAAAGCAACCTCACTTATCTCAGTGATGTACTTAAAAATAAAGACCTGCTATTCTTGGGCATTTACAAAGTAGATTTAGTCTAATAAGATATCCTTAATGTTTTTTATGTATTGCAAATTTTACAAAATATTTTATTTTAAAAAGAATTTATTGCCCCAAACTGGAAGCAATCAAGATGTCCTTCAATAGGGCCAGGTACAGTGGTTCACGGTGGCTCCCAGCACTTTGGGAGGCTGAGGTGGGCGGATCACTTGAGGTTGGGAGTTTGAGACCAGCCTGACCAACATGGAGAAATCCCGTCTCTACTAAAAATACAAAAATTAGCCGGCCATGGTGGCACATGCCTGTAATTCCAGATGCTCGGGAGACTGAGACAGAATTTCTTAAACAGAGGAGATGGAGGTTGCAGTGAGCCAAGATCACACCACTGCAGTCCAGCCTGGTGGATAGAGCAAGACTCCCTCTCAAAAACAAAAACAAAAAAAAAGATGTCCTTCAATAGGTGAGTAGACAAACTGTGGTGCATCCATACAATGGATGCCTGCGTGCATTATTCATCAATAAAAAAGAATGGGCTATCAAGCCACACAAAAACATGGACAAATCTGAACTGCACACTGCAAAGTGAAAGAAACCAGGTTGAGAAGCCTGCAAACTGTATGATTCCATTTATATGACATTCGAAATGATGCAAAACTAGAGAAACAGTAAGCAGATCAGTGATTGCCAGAGGTTCTGGGGAAGAGGGGAAGGCTTGAATAGGTGGAGTACAGGGGATATATATATATATATATATTTTTTTTTTTTTTAACAGAGAAAGGGGCTCACTGTGTCACCCAGGCTGGAATGCAGTGGCACAATCACAGCTCCCTGCAGCCTCAAACTCCTGGGATCAAGCAATCCTCCCCACTGAGCCTCCGGAGTAGCTGGGACTACAGGTGAGTGTGATCATGCCGGGCTAATTTTCTTTTTCTTTTTGTAGAGACAGGGTCTCATTGTGTTGCCCAGGCTGATCTTGAACTTCTGGGCTCAAGCGATCCTCCTGCCCTGGCCTCACAAAGTGCTGGGATCACAAGCATGAGCCACTGCGCCCAGCCTGGGATTTTTTTAAAGGCAGTGAAACTATTCTGCATGATTCTGTGGTGGTGGATACATGACATTATGCATTTGCCAAAACCACAGAAGTTCTCCACACTAAGTTCTCCACACTCAATGCATGCAAGCATATCAGCTGCAGAGCCATGCCTCAGGGGACCGACCCCAGCCAGAACCCTCTGAAACTCTCTCCACTCCAGTGGCCCCATGATGCCTGTGGCCTCCATCTCCACCTTTGATTCTCTCCATGGGCTCCTTTGTCCCAGGCTCACTGTTTAGCCTCTTCTCTGCCTCCTGGGTCTGCTTTATGAGTGGCCTCATATCTGTGGTCCCGTGGCTGCTGTTCACTACCTTCCTTCCGCGGCTCTCAGCTTCTTTTCCTGCTGCTGGCTCCATCTACCAAGGCAGATGTGATTGACTTGGCTGGTCCCTCACCATGAGCTCCATCTCGGGGGGCTGGCCATGCACCTAGACTGGCTTGCCTTTGGCTCATGTAGAAGCAGGATGATGAGATCCACAGCAAGCCCACCCATGCCTAAGAGCTTGCTTCTGGTCACCCTTGCACCCTTGGAGGGACAGGCACTTCTCATGACCTTTACAACCCAGAATAACATCCCCCTGGGAAATGTCCTAACACTACTCCTCGTCTCCCACAACTGAGAGTTCTATGCTTCTCCTGTCATGGTAGAGTAGTGCCCTCTTGTCCAAGGTTTTGCTTTCTGCAGTGTCAGTTACCCATGGTCACCTGCATCTGAAAGTACTAAATGGAAAATCACAGACATAAAGACTTTGTAAGTTTTAAATTGCATGCTGTTCTGAGTTCTGAAATCTGCCATTCGCTCTGTCCTACCTGGGACATGAATCATCCTTTCGTCCAGCATCTCCACGTTGTAGACGTTCCTATCCCTTAGTCACTTAGTTAGTGACTTAGTCATCTCAGTTACCGGATAGAAAAAATATAGTATATATAGGGTTTGGAACTATCCAAGGTTTCAGGCATCCATTGGAAGTCTCGGAACATATTCCCCATGGAGAAGGGGGAATGACTGTGCTTACAAGGCTGTGTTGTTCTTGCTTCTTTTCTTATTTGTCTCCCTCTCCAGACTGTAAGCCCCTTGTATTCATTTACTAAGGCTGCCATAAAAACATGCCACAGGCTGGGTAGTCTAAACAGAAATTTATTCCTCACAGTTGTGGAAGGTAGAAGTCCAAGATCAAGGTATCCCCAGGGTTGATTTTTTCGAAGGCCTCCCTCCTTGGCTTATAGATGGCCATCTTCGCCAGGTGTCTTCACATGTGTGCACGTCTCTGGCTTCATCTCCTCTTCTTATGACATCAGTTATAGTGGATTAGGGCCCACTCATATGATTTCACCTTAATCACTTCTTTAAAGGCCCTGTCTCCACATACGGTCACACTGTGAGGTACTGAGGGTTAGGACCTCAACAAAGGCAAAAACCAGGTGCTATGAATTTTTTTTTTTTTTTTTTGAGACGGAGTTTCGCTCTTGTTGCCCAGGCTGGAGTGCAATGGCACGATCTCGGCTCACCACAAACCCTGCCTCCCGGGTTCAAGCAATTCTCCTGCCTCAGCCTCCCAAGTAGCTGGGATTAGAGGCATGGGCCATCACACATGGCTAATTTTGTATTTTTAGTAGAGACGGGGTTTCTCCATGTTGGTCAGTCTGGTCTCGAACTCCCGACCTCAGGTGATCCACCTGCCTCAGCCTCCCAAAGTGCTGGGACTACAGGCATGAGCCACCGTGCCCGGCCTATGAGTCATTTTATACTCAGCATTCAGGGCCATAACTGGCACACAGTGAGCACTCAATTTTTTAAAAGGAAGAAAAAGACGAAGAGAAAGAACACAGGCAAGAGGGACAGTTCAGGGCAGCTTACACCAAGGTGTGGAAAAGGAGTGAGCAGGACTCATGTAAAGGAAATACAGAGACTGGCACGACCAGGGCAAAGTGTTCATTCTGGAGTGGGAAATGATGTTGATGGCTAAGGTCAGGCCCAATTCTTGAAGCCCTGAGTGCCTGGGTGAGGTGTTTGGAATTTACCCTGTGAGTACCACAGCTGCCCTGAGAGGTCAGGAGCAGAGGAGGAACTTGAGGTAAATTGTATGTGAATATTAGTGAAAAATCTAGCATTGGAGAGCTTCTGCCTAGAGATACGCAATTTTTATTAATAATTCCAGAAAATTGTGAATTGTGTGAGGAAGGAGGGAACTGCCTCTTTCTGGTCAAAGGTTGATTTTTCTAATGATGTCACATTAAGTAAAAAGACCATTGAGACCTCATGTAAAAATTGAGCCCTTTTATGATATAACCAGGGCAATTTCTAGGAGAGGTGAGTCACCACTCTTTAGAGATTTCAAAGCCCCGGAGTCCACCCCACCAGCCTTCTGGGAGATTCCAGCAAAGTGGCTCTCCTTTCCTGATTTTGATTTTGTGTAGTTGCCCAGTCTGGCTCACACTAACATCGACCTGTGTTTGTCAAAGATTCTCCTCTGGTAATTCAAAATAGCGCAAGGAGAAGTGTGTGCGTGTTCGAGTGAAGCAAGATTGGCCTAGAGCTAGTTAAGCAAGAAGGTTTCCAAGCTCAAGTACCTGGAGAAGTGCGCATGCCTAGAACCAGAGTCCTTCAAATCTCTCTCCCAGTTGGCTTCATTTTCCCAGGCTGGCTGGCTGTGCAAGACACACGCCCTGAGTGTCTGCATCCTTAATTTCCTGCAGAGAGGAAAGAGGACACTTATTCACCAAGCCAACTAGAAAATTCTAGGGAAACATTCCCATGCCCCGAGAGATGCTTATGGTTGGCCTGGGGAGGATAAAATCCCAGCTCCAAAAAGGGAGTGCTAATCTAGGCTGACAAAATAATAAATGTCTGTTTGGGGGCATCAGAGAAATATTGTTTTCATTCCAAGCATTTTGAGACTGTGTATTTGGCCCTGGTGACCTGACAGACTGAATTTTCCTGTATGGTCCTAATTTTATTTAATGTATTTTTTTCTTAATAAAGATGATTTTAAGTGTATAACTAAAAATGACATTATTGTATGCTTTTGTAAATTTCATCTGAATGAATGAATTCACATATCTGAAAGTCATTTGTCACGTCTTGTGTCCATGGTTTAGAAACCTGGTGTATTGCTCCATTTTAGAGCACGCTAGAAAAATCAGCAGGAATCTCTGGACTGTTCTGTCATTTGAGCTCTTTCATTTGTCTGTTGACCCACATGAATGGGATCCTTGTGACCCTGGGTTCTGCTTGTCAGCTGTCCAAGTCTGGGCCGTTGTTGACCTACCAACAATCAGTGAGGGATGTGTTTGCTTACCAATTGAGAAATAATGTTTTTCACGTTAGACTCTATTTGAGGGGTGGGGTTGCTGGCTGCCTGATAATCATTCCTGCTTTCTTTGAATGAAATTTTTGAGGTTGTAAAAGAAGGAATTTGGAGTTTGCAAAGCCTAATCATAACATGAGGCCCTTGATCTAAGGGCTCTCCAATGGGCAGTGGCAGGTGGGATCGCTGGAAGGAGGAATCTAAGGACAGGAAACCAGTGAGGAAGTAAATGTAACAGAGAAAATCCACATCTGGGATTAGACAACAGCAGTGAGAGTGGAGAGGAAGAGATGAGTCTGAGAAACAGTGAACAAGGAATCCACAGAACTTGGTGACTAAGTGGAGGGACAGAGAAAAGAGGAGGGGGAAGTCAAAATGGCTAGATGGCTTCTAGTCTGTGACAGAGGCAGAGGAAATGCTCTGCTATTCATAGAAATGGGGAAGTTAGGAGGTAGTGCATAAGGCTGTACAGTTTTAGACATAGGACATTGGAGGAGATGGAAAGTCATCTTCAGGTGGTTAGAAACCCAGGGCCACTTTTGGTTGGTGTTCAGGAAGGGAAGTGCAGAGAGGTGGAAATCTCAGCCACAGGTCAAACACTTCCCTGGCCCCAGATTAAAGACCAATCCAATTAAGCATGAGAGCACACGAGCCACACAAGTCGCACAAGTCAGTAACGAAAAGGACTCCCAGGTGATCTTAAGTCACATAATTAACATATTTTCAGGGCCCTACTTGTATGTGGCCCTGAAAACGTTGAGACTAATCAGCTGGAATATATCCATTTTTTTTTCTCCTTCTTTTTAAAACCTTATTATAGAGAATTTTAAAAATATACAAGAGTAGAAATAATTCTAGAACGAACTCCCATGTTTTCATTACCCAGCCTCAACAACGATCAAATCATAGCCAACCTTGTTCCATCCCAACCCTTACCCACTTCTCCCTGCGTTATTTTGAAGCTAATTCCAGACATAAATATTTCAGTCTGAATTTCTAAAAATAAGGACTCTATCCTTTAAAAATAAGCACAATGCCATTATCATGCCTTAAAAAATTAACTATGGTTTCTTATATCAAATATCAAGTCAGGTTCAAATTTCCACTAAAGTTTTAAGTTTCCATTAAAAGCAGTTGATTTGAATCAGGATTCAAATTAGGACATCAGGTTGGGATTGGTTGGCAGGTTTTAAAGTCTCTTTTACTCTTTGGGTTTCTCCCCTACCCTCTGGAGAGAGCTCCCCACACCGTGGCTTTGCTGACTGCATTCCTTGGGTGGACTTTCACTTGTGCCTCTGTCCTCGACATGTCCTGTAAGCTGGAAGCCGGGATCAGATTCAGATCCATTTTTATTTTAAGTGTTATGCAAAAAGACACCCAGTGAAGGTGTTAGAATGAGCCATGGCAGTGGATGGGGTTCGCAGGACCCCTGCGGAAGGGGGACGTTTAAGGGGCAAGCGGAAAAGGAGACACCTGGAATGGGGGAGGAGGAGCAGCGGGGCGAGGCGGGGGCGGTGCCGCGTGGTCTGCGAGCCCGGATATTCCCTGGGGAGCGCACCTGCGACTTCACCTCCAGTCCCTCCCCGGCTGGGGCAGCGGGGCGCGGGCGCTCGGGAGAGGTGGCGCTGCCTACTCGGCCTCATCTTGCTGAGAATGCGACGGGGCGACAGCTTCCTGTCTTTTCCAGTGGCTTTTGGCATCCCCAGAGGAAAAAACGGGGAGACCCGCTTTGGCCTCAGGAAGCGCAGAAACACTGTCCTGGCTGCGCGCGCAAGGGCGAGAACCTAGGGGACCCGCCTAAAGCGCCGTTGGGGCTGAGCACCGAACTCGCACAGCTCCGGGCAGCGACCCGCGATGCGGCATCCTTCCGTCCGGTCGGAGCCCTCCTAGCCCTCAGCGCGTCTATTCCTAGCTTCGGTCCCCGCAGCCATATAAGCAATGACACCCTCGCCGACTCGCCTGCCAGCTTGGCCGCCTCCCTGCAGAGGGCTGACGCTTCTCCAGAAGTTGTAAGAAAAGGAGGGAAAGCAGGCCAACCTCGAGGATCTCCCCAGCCTTGGCGTTCAGGTGCTGAGGAGATCGTCGAGGTTGGCCTGCTTCCCCTCACTCCTCGGGCCTTGCTCTTCCCCCAGGTGCCCACTGCCCTCCCTGCTGTGTACCACTTTCTTGCTGCCTGTGAAGGTATTTGTCCTCACTCTTGTGCTGCTCCTTCAATGATAGAACTTTGGGACTTTCTCATCCAGCAGCACCAGCCTGAAAAAGCAGTGGCTTGCACCACCACACACATACCTGGTCTCAGGTGGGTGGATCAGGGCAACTTGGCCACTAGTGCCCCAGTAATGCCCATCTGCCCAACCTCAATGCAGGAGCAACAAGTATTTCTCTGTCTTGGAGAGATCTAGAAAAAGGCTGAACATACCACGAGGGTGTTGCTTCAGAAGAAAATGCTGGTCAGGGTTCCAAGCCATCATAGGAACTTGTGAGCTGAGAAACATGGTCAACTCTACTCTCTCTCTCTTCTCTACCTACCCAGGCAGCCACAAATCTCAGTGTCAGTCACTGCTTTGGTTTGACATCTAAGGGCTCTGTTACAAGGGTAACTAAGATGAGTACCAGTAGATGCCCAATGACACTTGTAAACATGAAAGTGTATACCAGTATAAAGGATGCTGCAGCCTCAGCCTTGAAAAGTAAGGCTTTTAGGGAATGAAACAAAGGATAGTCAGGTTCTTAGGGGACAGGGAGGGTTCTGGCATGGGGAGCAGCCCTGGGCAGGTCTGGGGGTGCTGCGAAGTAGGGCACCGCAACATAACGGCCCTGTGTCTTAGGTGGCCAGGAAGGGGAAGGCAGGAGATACAGAAGGAAAGGAAACTAACATTTTATTGAGACAGGCATTGTGCTGGTCCTGAGGTTTATGCGAAGATTAATTTCTGGGGGTGAGAAGGTAAAAAATGATGAGGTGGAAACCAGCATCTTCTGTTACTCCCATCTGTGCAGAGTTAAAGAAGACTTGAAAGAAGGGGATGTGAGTGGCAGGAAAATCCCCAGTGACCGGCCCTGAACCTTCTGCCAGCGCAGCTCACCTCCTCCCCAAATGCCTCCCAATAGGATCTCAGCCCTAAACAAGCACAGGGCGTGGGGTGGTACAGATGATGATGTAGCTGCTTCTGAGATGCCCCTGGGCGCTGCTGGAGCTGAGCCCTGGGACTGGAATGACTTTTGCCCGCTGCCCTCAAAATTCCCACAGGCCACACCGCTACCACCTCTTGGGTAAAGTAGGAGGGACACATCTCCACCACCATCCAAATTGTTACCTAATGAGGAATTTTGCCAGGAACTACTTACAGCCCAATGGAGCCAGGCTGGGTATTTCCAGGACATGAGCCATTTTCTCTGTGCCCACTAAACAGGGTGCAGGTCCCTGAAGCCCTCAGGGAAGCTGCAAAGGTTACTGGGGTCGGCTCTGGGGCAACAGCTGACCTCTTAGCTCCCACTGCAGGCGTAGGAACCTCCAGGACAGCCTGTGGGGGTGGTGAGTCTGCAAAGCTGGCTGGCTAATGAGGGTGCAGTGCTGGTAGTGTCTGCCTTATGCTTTTTTTTTTTTTTTTTTTTCTTTTGGAGACGGAGTCTCGCTCTATCGCCCAGGCTGGAGTGCAGTGGTGAGATCTCGGCTCACTGCAAACTCCACCTCCCAGGTTCACGCCATTCTCCTGCCTCAGCCTCCCGAGTAGCTGGGACTACAGGCGCCCGCCACAATGCCCGGCTAATTTTTTTTTTTTTTGTATTTTTAGTAGAGACGGGTTTTCACCGTGTTAGCCAGGATGGTCTTGATTTCCTGACCTCGTGATCCGCCCACCTCAGCCTCCCAAAGTGCTGGGATTACAGGCTTGAGCCACCGCGCCCGGCCGGTTGCCTTATGCTTTAATATTAATCATATGGTATGAACACATGCAAAGCTAGCTGGTTTTACTGTTTAGGAAAGTAGATTTAATTTCTATGTGATCTGGATTATCACCATTATTATTTCCTTGGTATAGAAATTGCTTTTTACTGCTTGTGTTTTTCTAAAATTATATTCTCCCTCTGACCAAGGCAAGTAATAAAGGGCAGATGACTCGGGGAGGGGAGGGGAATAGGAAAAAAATCATGGGAGATATGCTTCAAAACCAATAGAGAGTTTTTCTGTTTTTAATTTCAGTTGAATTGCAAAGCAAAGACCCATAGAAGTGAACTGTGATACCAGAAATTCTCTGCCCAGCTTGAAGTTGTTGATATATTATAATCCTTATGTGTGACGTTAATGGTTTTAGTATATATTATCTGCCATCTAGCCTGTTTATTTCAAATATAGCTTCTGAATTCATGGATTTTTATGTGATTTTTGTTTTGTTTTATGTATATCTTTTTAATTTCATAATCCAAAGTGGAAAGAAACTCAACACTCATTTTTAGAAGCTCATTCTCTGAAGTTAGAAGAAGTAAAAATGTGTTTACTTTCTTAAATTTGTTTGATAACCTGAAATCTTAAAGCATCCAAGATGGAAAATATCAAATTTCAAAGCTTAATGTTAGCAATATTCCAAAAGATAAAATCTAGTGACCTGGTTTTCTCTGAAAGTGACACAGTATGTATATAAATAGATTAAAATGGCAAACACATATGTACACTTAGTAAGTGCCAGCCACTATTTTCGGCACTTTACAATTATTAACTAACTTAACCTTCATGATAATTCTAGGAAGTAGGCACTATCACTAGGCCATTTTACAGATGAGAAAATGAAGGCACGGAGAGGTTAAATGTAATAACTTGCTAGTGGTCAATCAGTAGGCAGTAGAGGAGCCAGCATATAAACCCAAGCTGCCCAGCTGCAGAACCACATTCTTGTCCCATATGCTATGCCTCTCAAAAAAGGAGGCCCTCTCCTTGGGACACAAAGGTAATAAAAATGCCTGCCCTGAGCTGTGTCTCTGTCTAGGTACACAGTTCATGAGTGAAGGAGCTCCTGGAGTCATGAATAATGGAAGTCCAGATTGGTCAAGTAACTTGTCCCAGCCCCAGCCTATGCATCTGGTATGTGGCTGGACAGGTTTCTAACTCATTATGTAACATCAAGAACATTTTAAACTGCTTTGAGACATTTGTGAATTAAGATCTTTGGAAAAAAATAATATTATACATATATATTATATATATATATATTTATATATATATATATAATTTTTTTTTTTTTTGACGCGGAGTCTCACTCTTGTCACCCAGGCTGGAGTGCAATGGCATGGTCTCAGCTCACTGCAATCTCTGCCTCCCGGGTTCCAGCGATTCTCATGACTCAGCCTCCCGAGTAGCTGGGATTATAGGCGCCCATCACCATGCCCAACTAATTTTTGTATTTTTAGTAGAGATGGGGTTTCACCATGTTGACCAGGCTGGTCTTGAACTCCTGACCTCAGGTAATCCTCCCACCTTGGCCTCCCAAAGTGCTGTGATTACAGGCGTGAGCCACCATGCCGAGCCAATATTTTATAATTTTAATTCAATAGAATTTTTAAAGACCAACTATGTGAAAGCAGAGCTTTAAAGCAAACCATCATACGAGTGCATATAAGGTGGTAGCAGTAGTCTTCTGTAGATAATGCAACTCTTACCCCCCGTAGTTTTTAAATCTAACAGATAATTGGGATTATGCATACAAAAGTTTACAAGTGTGATTAATATTGCTGATATGCTATGTGCTCCATAACTGTTGTTGTTTGTTTACCTCTGTGTCTCCCATTAGATATAAGCTCCATGAGAACAGCCACCTTGTTTACCTTGTTCATGGATACAGAACAGTGCCTGGTGCTCAATAAATGAACAGTGAGTGAATAAGTGAGTGTTGAGTCATCTAAGTGAGCTTAGATGAACTGACAATGAGACTGTGCACAATGAAGAGAAAGGAGGACTCTTGAGGAATTCCACCAGCTTGAAGATGGCTGAAGAAAGATGACAGAAAGCAATCAGAGGGATGGAGGGCAAACTAAGAAAGCAGAGTCAAGAGTAGGAAGATTGGGAAGTGGTAGACAACATTAGGAAATACTGCAGAAAAACCTAAAAGGATGAGAATTAGGAAAGACACTATTGAATTTGGTCTTTGGGGCTGAAAAAAAAGGCAGCTGCAGAAAAGAAATTGGAGTGGAACCCCATTTGCACAGAAATTATGGAGTAATTAGGACACCAGGCAGAAAGTTTGGCAATGAATGGAAGGAGAGATGACAGCCTTGGGCATTCGCTCGCAGAACGCAAGGACATTCATTCTTAATTCAGTAGAAAAGTGTCGTGTTGTTACTGTCTCAAGTGGAAGCGCCCTCTCACTCCTTCATTGTCCTAAGAGAACAAAAGGGGCCTTGAATTTCATGACTGCCCCAGTGATGCTTCTGAGAGCTTGAGCTTTGGAATCAGACTGCCCACATTCAAACCCCAGTTCTTCCTATTGCTGGCTGTGTGATTTGGGGAAAATTACTTGATTCCCTAAGTTTTCTCATCTGTGAAATGGGGATTCACTCAGTTAGTGAATATTATTCAGCTCCTACCATGTGCAGACACTGTTCTAGTGGGGGATTCAGCATACCAGCAGTAAATGGATCTCTGTACAATGCCAAAAACATGAAGCCAACTATTCATAGTATTTTTAAGTGATATCCTGGTGCTGCTTCCAGGAAGATGGAGTAGATATACTTTTCCCTATTGCTCCCACTAAGTACAACTAAAACCCTGGACATTATGTATAAACATGCATAAGAAGATGCTGAAAGGTGGTAAGAAAGCAGACTGGCCAGGGACTTTGCGATCCAAGGAACAACCTGGTGATGAGTTTCCTGTACCCCAGACTTGGGATAAAGGAGCTGGCAACCCAGAAATGCCAACGGGAGCAAATAAAAAATCCCCAACAAAAGCCTGTTTCTCTAGACAAAGGACTAGGACAGGGGCAGCCTAACAAAACAGAAAACTCTTAGTAACAACTTACTCCAGCTAAATAGCACAGAAAAACCTATGGTCCACTCCCACCCACACCACCCAAGGGTGTGGGAGTCCAGGCTATCACAAGGGGCCTCGCCTCCACTGGTGTGGTATCGCAAAAGCCACAGGGAGCTGGTTCTTTCATCCCCATCTGACAAAAGGCTCCCACCCCCATGGTGTCAGCGGAGACCACACTGGGAGCCTGAACTTCCACCCACTCACAGCTGTAACAAGGCAGTCCCTCCACCTCCCTGCTGGGGTGGTGTCAGAGGAGGCCAAGTGGAGAGTCAGGACTTTCACCATAGCCCAGTGACAATGAAGCCACCTCCCTATGGTGTCAGTGGAGGCCATAAGGAACAGTAACGAGGTCTAGTGGGAATCCAGAACTGCCACCCTGCCCAGCAGTAACCAGGAGCCCCTCCCCTCCGTGTGGACAGAGGCCAAGTGCTGAAGCTGGACTTTGCTCCCCCTAGCCCTGCTAGGTGGCTATTAGAACAGCCAGCTAAAACTGGTTTCACCAAGACAGATTTAGGAAGACAGTGCCCCGGGCAGGAAAATGAAGGCACGGAGAGGTTAAATATAATAACTTGCTAGTGGTCAATCAGTAGGCAGTAGAGGAGCCAGCATATAAACCCAAGCTGCCCAGCTGCAGAACCACATTCTTGTCCCATATGCTATGCCTCTCAAAAAAGGAGGCCCTCTCCTTGGGACACAAAGGTAATAAAAATGCCTGCCCTGAGCTGTGTCTCTGTCTAGGTACACAGTTCATGAGTGAAGGAGCTCCTGGAGTCATGAATAATGGAAGTCCAGATTGGTCAAGTAACTTGTCCCAGCCCCAGCCCATGCATCTGGTATGTGGTTGGACAGGTTTCTAACTCATTACGTAACATCAAGAACATTTTAAACTGCTTTGAGACATTTGTGAATTAAGATCTCAATAAATAGTCCTCCCTGGCACCAGCTCCATCCACATTAAATGAGACTTGAAAATTTCTTTGAATGGATATTAGTTTAGAAGGAGCTAAGTTATTAGTTGGCCTCACATTCCTCAGTTGGGCCCTGGGCCCAGCATGCCACTTCTCCTGGTTATTATGGTTCACATCTGAGGTAACCCATCGGGAAACTGGATGGGACAACAAACTAAAAATGTTTTAGTTTGGACCTGTCCAAAACCAAGAGAATAAAAACAAAATGGATAGTCAAGATGATTCAGAGCTATGGAATGTGTCATTTTTGCTCAGAAGCGTGCTAACTTGCAGTGTGGTTTATCAAAGCCTTGAATTTATCGTCTTCCTTGTTTCTGCTGCCTTTTCACTGTTAGAAGAGGGAGAAGGAGGAAAACAAAAAAGGAAACCAAAAAGAGAAAATGCCTTATTTTTCTCATTCTCATTAAACACAGTGAAAGAGAGAACTGAAGGGATTGACTGAAATTTGATTTTCCTAGACTCTACCCCACTTTAGACAATGATTTAAAAAACCTAGATTTATGAAAATGATCAAGTGAAGAGTGACTACCCACTTCAGAGTTTTTATTTTTAATAAAAGGGTTTTAGGAGAACTTTTTTTTTAAAAGTGATTTCCTTTATTTAAAATACCCTTCATGCTGGGCACAGTGGCTCACACCCATAATGCCAGCACTTTGAGAGGCCAAGACAGGGAGATTACCTGAGCCCAGCCCAGGCAACATAGTGAGACCCTGTCTCTCAAAAAAAAAAAAAAAAAAAAAAAGCAAGCAAGCAAGCCAGGCATGATGGCACATGCCTATAGACCCAGCTACTTGGGAGGCTGAGGTGGGAGGATCATTTGAGCTCAGGAGTTCAAGGTTATAGTGAGCCATGATCACTCCACTGCACTACAGCCTGGGTAACAGAGACCCCATTTCTCAAAATAAAATAAATACCCTTCAGGCTCAGATATATATAGAAATTGAGTACAGATATATGCTCAGAATGGCTTTTCAAATCTGATGGTATTGGCTTAAGTGGACAACCATCTGTGGATGCATACTTCACACCTTGCTTCAAATTCATTCCATGTGGATCTAAATGCAAGAAATGAAAACATGAAAGTACTAAAAGAAATCGTGGGAGAAAAGGTTTTATAAACTTCAAGGGGACAAATATAAAGAACTAAATCAAAGGATAAACAAATGGATTTTAAATATATAAAAGGTGCTCAAATTCACCCATAATAAAGGCAAATGAAACTATACCTAGAAGTGACAGAAGTATATAAATCCCATGTTCTATCCCACCCTAAAAATCCTTATCAATACTAGCAAAGGTTATGCTGGCTTTTCAGAGAATATTCCATGGGATGGTGGCTTAAGCAACTTTATTTGGTTATTAAAGGAAAGGTAGACCTCATAAGGCTGGGAGGCCTTAAGTACATTTGGATTATAACTGCAAAATAAGAGAAAAGAACATACTCCCACTAAATAAAACATCTTCTACAGAAAAATTAAGAATATTTTTCTAATCTCTTCTTTTCTACATTATATTACTAAATTAAAATGTAGACTAAAAAACAATATGTAGAATGTACTTATATGTATGCCAAGGGGGAAAAAAATAGAGGAGGACATAGACCAAAACGTTAATAGTGGTTGTCAGTAGAAATATGTGGAAATTTTTCCCCACCAGCAAGCCAGCAGTTCTGCAGCGGACACCAGCCAGGGGACTTCCCATTTAATTCCAGCACTATTTACCTAGAGATAGCGTCAGATCCAAGTTGAAGGCTCAGGCCCCAAGACTGCTCCCTATTTCCCATACCAATTGCATGCCCAAGGTTGTTTTACCTGTGCTTCTGACCAAACATCTATAAATTGGGGTGTCCATGACTCCTTCCTTGGGTTCAATTAATTTGCTAATACCTAGGCTCACAGAACTCAGGGAAACACTTGTTTACTGGCTAATTATAAAGGATACAGATGAAGAGCTGCATGGTGACATATGGGGGAAGGGGCATGAAGCTTTCATGCCCTCCCTGGGAGCTCCACCCTCCAGGAACCTCCACATGTTCAGCTATCTGGACATTCCAAACCCTGTTCTCTTGGCCTTTTATGGAGACTTCATTGGATAGGCATAATTGACAACTGTGCAGAAATATGAATGAACAAAAAGGGTATGATCTAAGCTCGTAGACTGAGGAAACCCAGCAAGGCCCGTCCGTTTAGATTCTTCTTGGCTTCTCTGAGGAGCATTCCTTCCCCCAGCGTATGAGGCAGCACCCCTTCTGAAATGGGAGTCTTATCACCCACAATCAGAAAGGTGAGGGAAGATTAGAGTCTTGCCTTGAGAAAAAAAAAGGAGCAGGTGAAGGGAGAGCAGAAGGTCAGAGAGATTGTTTTCCGAGGCCTGCTTCTGAGGCCTAAAGCACTCCAACATTATAACAAAAGACTGTAACAAGGGCTATGGGAGTTATGAGCCAGAAATCATGCACACGCACGCGCGCACACACACACACACACACACACGAATAAATGATAATATCACAGTGGCTATCTCTTACCTGGTGAAATTATGGGTGACTTTTAAAATATTTTCCCTTTACACTTTTGTGTTTATTTTTTCCCCCATGATTTTTGCAATGAACACATGGGAGTTAGTTGTGTAAGAAGAAAATAAACATATTCATTTTTCAAATGACCTCTTAAGAAAGAGTGTATTACAAATTCCCTCAAAGCAAGATTCAAACAGATCTATTTCTAACATCTTAAATGGAACAACTTACAAGAAAGGGGTGCAGGCAGCGTCTTTATGTTGATTAACTTGAGAAATTTCTTAATCAATTTAGAAAACTGACATCATATAAAACTGCAACAAGAGGCCGGGTGCAGGGACTCACGCGTGTAATCCCAGCACTTTGGGAGGCTGAGGCGGGCAGATCACGAGGTCAGGAGATCGAGACCATCCTGGCTAACACGGTGAAACCCTGTCTCTAGTAAAAATCCAAAAAAAAAAAAAAAAAAAAAAAAATTAGCCAGGCGTGGTGGCGGGCACGTGTAGTCCCAGCTACTCAGGAGGCTGAGGCAGGAGAATGGTGTGAACCCTGGAGGCAGAGCTTGCAGTGAGCAGAGATCACGCCACTGCACTCCAGCCTGGGTGACAGAGCAGGACTCCGTCTCAAAAAAAAAAAACTGCAGCAAGAAACAAATATAGGACATAGCAAAATAGCTTCTCAAATCAATGTTGTATTCCTAAAGAATCCTTGTGACACCCATAAAAGAGATCCTGAGGTTTTAAAAAAAAAGCTCTTGAACTTACTCCCTGAGAAATTCATTATGTAGGCCTGTGTTTAAACACACAGGATATTATTATATAACTAAGCAGCTGGGAAGATTAATCGTGATTAAAAATAAAAGGGAAAACAGAGTACACCAAGGCAGGACTGTTTTTTTGTTTTGTTTTGTTTTGTTTTGAGACAGAGTCTCGCTGTGTCACCCAGGCTGGAGGGCAGTGGAGCGATCTCGGCTCATTGCAACCTCTGCCTCCTGGGTTCAAGCGATTCTCCTACCTCAGCCGCCTAAGTAGCTGGGACTACAGGCACCTGCCACCATGCCCGGATAATTTTTGTATTTTTAGTAGACAGGGTTTCATCGTGTTGGCCAGGCTGGTCTTAAACTCCTGACCTTGTGATCCACCCACCTCGGGCTCCCAAAGTGTTGAGATTACAGGCGTGAGCCACTACAGGAAAACAGTATTTGTGGAGGGGAGTAAAATGTCAACCCACAGAGTTATCAAATAACAATAAAAACATTCTATCTCATATCTGATTCAAAAGGCACTGCTTATCTAAAGATATGATTAAATTAGAAACATTGTAGATAATCTCCATTAGGATATACACAAAATACATGTGTTATGGACCACCTGTGGAGAAGTGCTTGTTTTCAAATCTCATGTCACTCTTAAAATCCAAACACCTTAATGTGGCCTATGACTTCCTTATCCTTCCAGCCTCACTTCTTCCTCACTTTGCTTTCCAGCTGTACTTAACAACCTGGTTTCTTGAACGTCCCATGTGTTGCCCAGACACCACAGCTTTGACACAGACTCTTCCAGTTCCATCTTTCTCATATCCAGTTTGTACTTCACACATCAGACAGAATCCCCATTTACATTTCCTGAGAGCCCCCAGCCCACATTATACTACAGCATGTTCATTCGAACCACAAAGATTTTTGGAGCAGCAACAGGATCTACTTTAGGTTCTGGGTATACAAAGACAAATAAAACATTGTCTTACACTCAAGTAATATGGCTAAGTGAGGGAGAAATGTCTAACTAGTTAAAAGACAACAGGCATTTTGGGAGAAAGCATGGCTGTGCTTTGTGAAGTCAGCCTCAAATTGCAGATCCCTTGTTATTTATCTACCATTCACCAATTTTCCTGAACCAATTGGTCACAAGCACAAGTATTTAGAGTAAGCAAGTAACATGAATGTTTGAGTCAGGCTGAGTTTGAGATAATAGCTCATGCCTGGACCTGTGGCCAATTGGAGAGGACACATCCTGTCTAAAACATTCAATTTCTCATTCTTTTTCAAATGCCACTCTTGCAAAACAAAATATGCCTGCAGGCCTAATTTGGTTCAGGCTTCCAGTCTGTGTCTTTTGTACAATATTAACGTGTGTTTTTTACTAGATGTAGGTCACTATTCTAAGCACTTTACATGGAGAAATTCACTTATTCCTCACAACCACCACTGAGGTTGATATGATTTTGCCTATTTTACAAATGGAGCAACAGAGGTTTGGGGTAACTTGCTGAGGTTACACAACTCTTAGGGTGGCAGAGCTGGGACTGAACCCACACAGGCTCCTCTGGAGTCCAAACACAATTTTTTTTTTTTTTTTTGAGCCACGGTCTCTGTCGCCCAGGCTGCAGTGCAGTGGCGCGATCTTGCTTGGCTCACTGCAACCTCCACCTCCTGTGCTCAAACAATCCTCCCACCTCAGGCACCGGAGTAGCTGGGACTACAGACATTGCCACTATGCCCAGCTAATTTTTATATTTTTTGTAGAGATGGGGTCTTGCCATGTCGCCCAGGCTGGTCTTGAACTCCTGGGCTTAAGGGATCCACCTGCCTCGGCCTCCTAAAGTGCTAGGATTACAGGCATGAACCACCACGCCCAGCCCACACTCTTAAAAGTACTTCACATCACTGTACAATACTCTACTGTCCTGTAGCTAATAACTCTTTGTATCTTTCAGCGTATACTACAGAATGAGTTACATATTAAATAATTTATTGTGCCAAATATTCCTTTTTGCTGAACAAACTCTTAACTACTATATACTGATAGGATAGAAAATGAATGTCTACCTATCTATTTATTGTTCCATAAATTTAATCACCTTCGCATTCTACAAGCATCTTTCTCATTTGGAGAGTCCTAACTTTTAAGAAATAACTTTGTAGTTTTCCAAAAAATATACATTCATTATAGAAAAAAGTAGGTAAAATGAAGTGTCAAAATTATTTTAATGCATTCCCTCAACTCTTCTCCCCTCCTTCTGACCCATTTCCAACACCCTTCCCAATTCTGGACCTGTGTTCCTTGCAGGAACAAACAGTAGGATGTTTTGTTTTATTTTCAGTAAAGAACCACATAATGTTTACAACTGTAAGGATCTTTCTAGACAAGGCAATCGATTAAGCCAATATCTTCAGAAAAGTCCAATTTATATGAGCTAAAACAAATCCAAGGGCACCTAGGGATTTGCTGAAATGGAAAAAATACAAACTCGCAAGTCTCTGATCTTAATTCAGTGTTTCAGTAGATCAGGGGATGTGGTCACTTTATTCACAAACTTTCCTAAGAACTCTGAACATTCTGTTCTTTTTACATAAGTTAAAGGCAAAAAAATCAAGAGTCTTGACATAGACCATCCATTCCGTTTCCTGGCCTTTGTACACACTGCTTCTTCAGCCAGGACCTCCCCACAAAAACGTCAACAACCCCTCCCCAAGCCCTGGGTCCTACCCAATCTTCCTGACACTATTCACATGCCATCTCCTCTGGGAAACCTTGACTGCCAAGCCGGTGAAGCATCCCCCCACACTCCCCCACCATATACACCCAGTGACCAGCACCTAACACCTATTTCGATTGTCTATTTCTCTCTCACCTAATTTGTAGTTGGAACTTATGTAGTAATTACCTTTTTTAACCTAATTTGTATCTGAAATTTAAGCAGTAATACTTATTTCTAAAAAATGTGCCTTTGAGCTTTTAAACTTGGCAGTTTACTTGACAATCTCAAGAATGGTAAAAAAATAATGGGCTTTGGGCTTTGGCATTGAACTAATGTGGATCTGGCATCCAGCTCTAGTACTAATGCCTCCATGACCTTGAACTTAACATCTCTGAGACTGTTTTATCATTTGGAAAATAAAGGCCTACTTCACTATGAGAGTTAAAGCATAAAAGTGCGAAGTACACCACCTGTTCGAGTTTGTGTTCAATAAGTGTTAGCTACAGTTACATTTCTCAAGAATTCAATTTCATCAAAAGGAGAGCTTCAACCACAAGGAGAGAAAGAATATTGCCAATTGAGAACTACCCAAAACTTATTTCATAATGATATGCAACTTTACCTACATTGAGAATAATCTGTAATTTATACTTAATATGTTATCTGCTATCCACTTATTCAACAACAAAGCACATCTAAAATGGTTTGAAAATGTATCTGACTCCTTTAAAATATTCTAATAAAAACCCAGAGATTTGAAAAAATCAAAAAGAATGCCAGCATCATCTAAGGGAGTATCTTTTACACCAGGAAATTAATAGTACAGTAAATTTCACTGATAAAGACTCCACTTGAATCTCTAGATTGGTAACTTTAGTTCATCCAAATCTGTAAGCATCAAATTTAAAATGGTTTAGAAAGTATTTTGAAATTATTTACTTAATAAATTGGCTTCTGAGCCAGCAAAGAATCCACTAATCCAGTCGCGTAATTAAACCCTCCTTTTAAGACCCTTAGAAAGGAACCAAGACGCCTAGATGATTGCTGCCAAATTTAACTTGGGAAGACCTGCAGACAATGCTCCCTAACAAAGACTCTCTGATGAACTTTTCAACCCTGGATCACTCAGAATCCCAAGAGGAAACATGTCCCATTTCCTTGTATTTTTTCTTTTTTCTTTTTTTTTGAGATGGAATCTCGCTCTGTTGCCCAGGCTTGAGTGCAGTGGCACGATCTCAGCTCACTGCAACCTCTACCTCCCAGGTTCATGTGATTCTCCTGCCTCGGCCTCCCGAGTAGCTGGGACTACAGGCTCCCACCACAACACCTGGCTGATTTTTGTATTTTAAGTAGAGATGGGGTTTCACCATGTTGGCCAGGCTGGTCTTGAACTCGTGACCTCAGGTGATCCACCCGCCTCAGCCTCCCAAAGTGTTGGGATGACAGGCATGAGCCACCACGCCCGGCCCCATTTCCTTGTATTTTCATTTGAAGATAAGCTGAATGGCTCTCGAAAGCCACAGAATTAAAGAAGGGGATCTACTTTCAACATCAGTACCAACTAAGAGTCTACTAGCATATACAACCACATTGCACATTCATTCAACTATATATTTATTAATCTCTACTTGCTCTCAATCAGAAGCCATTCTAGGTGTGTGGTGGGGGTGATGTCAAGATGAATGAACAATGCATTCTTGTGCTCCAAAAGCTCTCAGTTTGAATTTGCAAAAATGTAACATTTTAAGCCACTCACAATTTAAGTAGGCACTAATTCATAGCTGATACCAAAGACTTAAATGAGAGAGCCGAATGGGGCAGGAGACAAGACTACTGAAAATACAGGAAAAAGGAAACTGGCATAATCCTGGTCCTGAGAGTGAGATTCATTTAGAGTCAGATCGACCGATTACCAGCAATGTAAAAAATTTGGGTTTTTCCAATTGGGATGCATTTTCTAAAAGTTTTATATTATTATTAATTATTATTCGTTTGTCTTTGAGACAGGGTCTTGCTCTGTTACCCAGGATGGAGTACACTCATGCCTCACTGCAGCCTCACCCTCCTGGGCTCAAGTAATCCTCCCACCTCAGCCTTCCTAGTAGCTGGGCGTGCACCACCACACCTGGCTAGTTTATGTATTTTTGGTCGAGATGGGGTTTTGGATGTTGCCCAGGCTGGTCTCAAACAATTTAAAAGTTTAATGAACAAAAATGTGCCTCATTTCACAGGTTTTTAGGAAAACCAAATGAGAACACTGATGCAAGTATACAGCACAGTGCTCATCACTGGGAAGCACAATGTATAGCGCAGAATGTACAGTATAAAGTGTAGCAACCCTTTAATGGATGTTCAATACAATACCGTTCATATCACTTATACAAACTTTCTCAGTACAATTTTGTTCACGATCATGATAATGCTGAATGACAGAGTGAGGAAGTGGGATTAACAAAAAAGTAAAAGCTTCCAGACCAGCCAGAGCTAAAGTCAAATTAAGGCTCTGCTCTTGCCAGCCACTCCAACCTTAAAGAAGTTATGTTATTATCATGGATAAATTTTTACACAAGATTGTAAAAATTAAACGTTAAGGATAAAAGCCCACAACACGTGACTGATATTCCTCAAATATTAATTTCACTATTTGTGACCCCTAAATAAATGCATCTTCCAGGTGTTCTGAACACCTAGGTTATAGCTGCTCAGCATGTAAGCCCCTATGATAACTTGAGCCCTTTCCCCTTTCCTTCCCCAGTGGTGAAGGGAGAATGACATTCCTTCTCCCTGCCCACTGGCTCAAGTGTGGCTTATGGCCTATGCACAGCTACACCAATATTCCCTGTTGGAGCTCCAGCTTCCAGGGACAGCACAGCAGACACTGTCTGGGCCAGGGGTGCCAATGGCAGTGCCTCTGCCAGAATCTCAGCAGTCTTGGCACCCTAGTCCCACGGCAACTTCTCAATTTTGTGAGCTACTTGACATCCCATTCAATAAATTCATTTTCTCCTTAACAGTCATTTCCTGTTGTTCCTAAATAAGAATCCTAACTTTTATAAAACTAATAGACTAGAATTAACATCAATGCCATGAAATTATTTTAATATGTTTTTCTCCATGACTGAATATACAAATATAATGGAAGTAATGTATTCTTCTGCTGTAAAGATGGGTGGAATATATCAAAATCCACTCGCTGAATTTTCTTTAGAAAGTCCTCTAGAGAAACCTGGAAAAAAGAGAATAGTGATCACCAGATCATAAAATGATCAAGACTTAAAAAAAAAAAAAACTAACTAAAGAATAATTACAAGTATTTAGGCTATTTTAGTTTCCCTGAGATGGTTTTCTATTTAAGTGAGAATTTTAAAAGAGAGAAAGAAAAAGACATCCAAGAAGTTTCTATTAGACCAGTAAAAGGGTATCACAGAGCTAGTACCAGAAAAGCCAAGCCTCTTCTGCTCATAATATAAAAAGCTTTGGTTAAGACAAAAGGATTAGCAAAATCACGTTTGCCTGGCCTTATTACTAGATTTGGTGGAATGCAAACAGGCTGTTTCAATCAGGGAAAATGAAACATCCCCACCCCGACCCCCCAAATGTAGTGTACCATGAGGGGGAGCTCAAGTTGTCTTTTAAGAAATTATTTTGTGAAGAAGTTGAACAGGTCTCCACGTTGTTGCTAGAGCACATGATTTTCAACCAGGCAAAATTATCACCCCATCCTTTCCCCACCACAAAAAACTTGACAAAGTTTTTACAAGGATAGCAGCAGGATAGAAAACACCAACGATGTGCAGTATCTTTCTTTTTTGGCTTTCAATTGTCTTGATTAATTTATAAATTTTTATTTCATTTTAATAACATTTTTGTTAAACAGGCAGGTCACTTAGTTTTGTGCTCCACCTTTCTAAGCGGCACGAGACCTCCTCGTCCACATAAGCAGCGCCCCCTAGAGTTCTGCGGCACAGAACCTGGGGGATTAATGCAGGGATTATGACTATAGATTCTTTAGAATATGCAGATGAGAACAAAAACAAAAAATATTTTCTTCCAGACTTTTTTTTCCTATACTTTTATAAATATATGAGTGAAATACAAACAAATTCATTATCTACTTTTTTTTTTTTTTGAGACAGAGTCTCGCTGTGTTACCCAGGCTGGAGTGCAGTGGCATGATCTCGGCTCACTGCAACCTCCGCCTCCTGGGTTCAAACGATTCTTCTGCCTCAGCCTCCAGAGTAGCTGGGACTACAGGTGCATGACACCATCCCCAGCTAATTTTTTGTGTTTTTAGTAGAGACAGGGTTTCACCACATTGGCCAGGCTAGTCTTGAACTCCTGACCTCGTGATCCATCCTCCTCGGCCTCCCAAAGTACTGGGATTACAGGCATGAGCCACCGCACCCGGCCATTATCTACTTTTTAAAACCCTAAACTTACATATACAGACAACAGGAGACACATGCATCAATGTCCCAGCTGCCTTGTTTTGTATTAGGAAGAAACTTAGAAACAATCCAGAGACCACGCGTGGTGGCTCACGCCTGTAATCCCAGCACTTTGGGAGACCGAGGCAGGTGGATTGTTTGAGCTCAAGAGTTCAAGACTAGCCTGGGCATCACGGCAAAACCCCATCTCTCAAAAAATACAAAAACAATTAGCTGACTGTGGTGGTGTACACCTGCAGTCCCAGCTACTTGGGAGGCTGAGGTGGGAGGATGTCTTGAGCCTGGGAGGTCAAGGCTGCAGTGAGCCTGCACTCTAGCCTGGGTGACAGAGACCCCATCTCAAAAAAAAAAAAACAATCCAGAAATTCTTTGATCGAAAAAAAGAGGAATCGTTTGTACAATGAAATATTAATATTATACTACAGTGAAGTGAAGGTACTATAGGTAGATACAGTAATATGTACAAATCTCAGAAACATTAAGAGTGTGTACATGTCCTAGAAGACATCAATAGAAAATGATCCGTTTTTATAAAGCTCAAAAACAAAACTAAGCAATATGTTGTTCAGGAATATATAAAATGATGAAAGACTTCTTGGAATAAAAGCAAGGAAATAATATGCACAAAATTGAGGAGAGCTACCTAAAAATGAAGGCAGTGGCAGGGAAATGAGATGGGAAAAACTTGAGTCCAATTTAATGGTGACAGACTAGTTCCTGGCTCGAGTGGTAAGTTCATCGGTGTTTATTATGCTATACATTGCAATATATATACCTAGACAGATATATTCATTTAATATATAGCAAATATTAACAAGTTTAAAAGAGAATAAAAAACTTTGAAAATATTTCAGTGTACTTTCTTTCACATGTTCTCTTGGTTTTGAAAATATTTTAGTGTACTTCCTTTCAGATGCTCCCTTTCTCTGCAAAGAAAGCTCATGCTATTTCATGTTCTGTAACTTGCTTTTTTATCCCTTAATATACTGTGATCAACTTGCTATCTGTAAGAATTATGCTAATTTTAATAGCTTTATGACATTTAATTATAAGGAATAGTTAACAAAATTAAGGTATAGACACATAATAGATATTATATAGCTATTAAGTGTTATATTTATACTTTTTTTAATGATTCAAAAAAATGCTCAATAAACAGTACACTAACATGAAGTGTAATTTCAACTAAACATAAAAATTCATTTCCAAAAACCCCAGAATGACTAGCAGTTATCTTTTGGTGTTAGAATTATAGGTGATTTTGTTTTTTTAATGGAATGCTTCATGAATTTGTGTGTCATCCTTGTGCAGGGGCCATGCTAATCTTCTCTGTATCATTCCAAATTTAGTATATGTGCTGCCAAAGCAAGCATGGGTGATTGCTATTTTCTCCTAATACTGTTTATATTGTCCAAATCTTTACTACGAAAATGTATTGCTTTTAGGATTAGGAGAAAATTCCATTAAAATACCAAGGAAATGTGACCTCAAAATTAGAGCTCAAGTGGGTATTTTTACATCAGGCTTTGGTTCAAAGGAAAGTCTGGCTGATGGTAAATAAACTGAGTAACAAATTGATTGTGAAACTCTCAAAGACATTATAAATTTCTGAATATGAATTCTTGAAACCTCATCTATGAAGAATATACCATACCTAGATTAGTCATATTCAAAGAGTTTTTAAACTGCAAATCCTTTCCTTGAACAAAATAATTAACAGATGCCCCATATATAAAACAATTAAGAGGCCCTGTCCAAGCTGGAATGAGGGTGTACGACAGAAGCAGCACCTCAGGAATTGCCATGTTGCCACTCTAGTCTCTCTTGGCACAGGACAGAAACTGAGAGCTGGGGCTGGGCACAGTGGCTCATGCCTGTAATCCCAGCACTGTGGGAGGCCAAGGCGGGTGGATCACCTGAAGTCAGGCATTCGAGACCAGCCTGGCCAACATGGGGAAACCCCTCCTCTACTAAAAATATAAAAATTAGCGGGGCATGGTGGCGCATGCCTGTAATCCCAGCTACTCGGGAAGCTGAGGCAGGAGAATCGCTTGAACCCTGGAGGCAGAGGCTGCAGTGAGCCGAGATCATGCCATTGCACTCCAGCCTGAGCAACAGAGCAAGACTCCGTCTCAAAAAAAAAAAAAAAAGCAGAAGCTGAGAACTGGGCCCCACCCCCCGAGTTTCTGATTCGGCAGGTCTGTGAGGGAGCCCAAGATCTGCATTTCTAACAAGTTCCCCAGTGAGGTAGATATTGCTAGTCCAGGAACATTTTGGGAACCATTGGTCTATGACAGTAGTTTTTAGGCCTAGCCACACCTCACAATTAAAACTAAAGGGGGCTGGGCACGGTGTTTTATGCCTGTAATCCCAATACTTTGAGAGGCCAAGGCTGGAGGATTGCTTGGGTTCAGAAGTTCAAGACCAGCCTGGACAACATACTGAGATTCCATCTCTTCCAAAAATAATTTTTAAAATTAGCTGGGTGTGGTGATACATGCCTGTGCTCCTAACTATTTGGGAGGCTGAGGTGGGAGGATCACCTGAGCCTGGGAGGTTGAGACTGCTGTGAGCCATGACTCCACCACTGCACTCCAACCTGGGAACCTGGGCAACAGAGTGAGATTTTGTCTCAAAAAAAAAAAAAAAAAAAAAAAAAAAGCCGGGCACGGTGGCTCACACCTGTAATCCCAGCACTTTGGGAGGCCAAGGCAGGCAGATCACTTGAGGCCAGGAGTTCAAGACCAGCCTGGCCAACATGGCAAAACCTGTCTCTACTAAAAATACAAAAAAATCAGCCAGGCATGGTGGTGCATGTCTGTAATCCCAGCTACTCAGGAGACTGAGGCCTGAGAATCACTTGAACCTGGGAGGCGGAGGCTGCAGTGAGCCAAGATCACACCACTGCACTCTAGGCTGGGCAATGGAGTGAGAATCTGCCTCCAAAAAAAAAAAGAAAGAAAAAGAAAGAAAAGTAAAACGGGAAGCTTTTAAAAAGTATCAATGCCTGGGTCCACCAATATAATTGGTCTGGAACGGGGAGGCCAAGCATTGTTTAGGTCTTTTTAAAGCTCTCCAAGTGATTCTAATGGGCAGCCAGGGTTGAGAACCACCTTTTTCCACAGAAGTTAATAAAACAAAGTCCTTAACCTTTACGAAGCTTACTTAGTATGTTAAACAGCTGATGGTATATCCATCAGATAACCACTAAACAGGGTGATACAGAATAACATGTTGACATACACAAAATACATGTATGATTATATGTATATGAAAGGTTCAGAAAGATGAACAGACATTATCTCTAGATACGGTAGAATTGTGAGAACTCTGATTTCTTCTTTTGTATTCTCTTACACTACGAAAATTTAAAATATTAATGTACTACTTTTATAATTAGCAAAAGCTCAATTAAGAAGCAAAATGACTTCTCACATACAGACCTGAACACTAAGACAGAGGGTGTGAAGGGATTGAAATGAATTTCTAAGTATATTTCAGGGGAAAAGGTAGAAGATATGTTTGGTATTACAGAAAATGTGTAAGTTTACAATTTTCAAAGATTACAAATCTTTGAACCTTCGTTTCTATCTATAAAATGAAGTAACCATATTTTTGCTAGGAAGACTAGGAATAATGATGGAATGACCTAACCCAAGCCCTGTCTCATAAAAGGTTCTAAGTAACTGGTAGCAATTATCACTTCTCTATGTAGTTTTAGAACAACAGTTCCCAAACCTGTCTACGCATCAGAATCACCTGGGGAACTTCTTAAAATCACAGATTCTCCTAGGAACTGGCCTCCTCCTCAATCCCAAAAGTCTTACTAAAAAAGAAGACTCCAGGAATCTATATTTTTAAAAAGTTTTCCAGGTTACCCCACTGCAACCAGCTCAGCAGTGGGCTATGAACCACTGTTCTGGAACTGGTGCTACAATACGGTCAGGTCACAATGGAAAAAAAAATGAACAGAATAGTAATACTTATATAGCTATAAGCAGCCTAACAATCCCACAAAGTAGTTTCTCCTATTATTCCCATTTCACCTAAGAGTAAACTGAGGAATGTGGTTCTTAAGGAATTTAAGGTCCCATTGCTAGTAAGGGGCAAAACAGATTCAAGCCAATGCAATCTGGCTGCAAAGTCCGTGCTAAAAACTCAGCTCACCTGCCTCTGAGAAATACAGAAATGGCCCTCAGCAAAAGCATCAGTAACTAATGAAAGCCGCCATGAGGGAGGGAAACAAAAACAAAGGCTCCGAACTAAAGAAGTTCATTGGGAACTTTATAAAATATAAAAACAGATCATACACATCTGCTTCACTAATTATACAGCCTTCTCTGTTAATCTACTTACCGTCTGAAGAAAAGCAGGAAATGCTTTCACAGGAACAGTTTTGTGAAAGGACCTAGCCTAAAAAGGAAGAGGAGAGGAAGCTCGTTCAAAATTAAGCAAATAAACACTCTCCCTCTGAAAGCAACACCAGCAGTTTAACAATACTGATAGGGCCTCTCTCAAATGCAAGAAAACAGCTCATCTCCTGCAGATTAAGATTAGTTTCCTAGGCCTAAAGGACTCAGGAAAAAGTAACTACTGTAGTAAAAATTCCATCCTTTCTTACAGATTGGCTTTAGCATTTTCCAGCGACCTTACAATATCTCATAATAATTTTGACTCCCCAGCTCTGTGGTAAGGGGAAAATGAAGAAATACTTGCATTACCAAGTCCTGTGCACCCCTAGCTTAGACTGACTTTCTCTCCTGTTTAAATGAGTAAGACCCTCCTAGGTGATCTTGCCTGTGTTCCCTGACCTTTAATTCGTTCCACGCAGCCGGACAAATTAATGTCCTCACATCATCATTTCATTTTTACCTTCTTTAATTCCCTGATAGGTCAAGTTTCAACAATTCATCCTGGAATTCAAAGGCCTCCACATCTTGACTCTAACCTCGTCCATCCAACCTAACTCCCTACCACTCTGAGCTACGAACACCTGGTCACTCAGGCTGATGCCCATCATCCTGTGTTCGCCAAGCCCACTCCTGTCTCCATGTCTTCATTTATATTGTCCCTAACACCAGGAAAAGCCCTCTACTTCCTGACTTACTTCTTAACCCATTATACTCCAGTTTGACCCCCAACCATCTACTGAAATTACTCTATGATCATCCATGATTTACTAATCACCACATCTATCTTTTCTCTTCAATCTCTCTGTAGCATGTAAAACTCTGATACTCCTCTTTCTTAAATCTTCTCCTCCCTTGATTTTCAAGACACTGGCTCTCAGTTCTATTCCTCTGAACATTCTTTCCTTCTCTTTCCTCCTAATAAATGGCCCTTTCTCCTTTTACCTTGTAAACAGAAGTGGGCCTTGGGGTTCTGCCCCTGGTCCTCTGTACATTCTCCTTCAGCAACACCATCCAAACTTGGAGCCTTAATTATAAGCCTTTTATGTGGATGACTCCCAAATATATCATCTTTAGTCCTGACTTCCTTTAAGTCACAATCCTGCATTTTTTTAATAGTCCATCTCCTTCTAATCCCCTCAAATTCAATTATGTCAAGCAGCTAGTCCAAAGTCTAATGATCCACACCAAACATACCTTTAGTTTCCGTTGTCACTGTAGCTTTTGAATGGCACCATCAAAGTGCCATACTTGAATTCTTCATGCAACCTTCAACTTTCCCTCTATCTGGTCTTGCCACAATCCAATTAGTTATCAAGCCTTGTTACGTGTGGGATTCTACTTGTTATGTGTGGGCACGTATGTATACATATATATATAAATGTATATACACATAAACATCTACTGTCTCTAAATCAGACACTCTTTCTTCCTCTCCTAAGTCTCCTAACTGATCACCCAACCTCTAAACTCTCATCAAACACTGCTAGCAGGGTTTCCTATTCTGCAACACTCATATCACTGCTTTATTTGATGATGATGATGAAAACTAACATATTTCATGTACAATATGCTGCACTTCATTATAAACTCTTCATATATGTTAACTCATTTATCCAAATAACCCTTTAAGCTGGGTGCTAAAATGATCCACTACTACAGATGAGGAAACTAAAGCACAGAGAGGTTAAGATTACATGATTAGTAAATGGCAGAATTAGGATTTAAAGTCAGGCTTCTGGTTCCAGAGTTTGCACTCTCATCCACAATACTCTAATGCCTCTCAAAAGCCTCTACAACTCCATAATCTCTTCAATCCACCATTCCAAACCTATCTCCCAGGACCATGTTTCGCATAACCCATACACCACCAGTGGTGTTCAAATCTGGCTGTTTAAAATCATTTGGAAATTTTAATTCCTGGCCCCATCCCAGATTTACTACCCCAGTCTCCAGGGAGTGAGGCCTGGGAATCGGTATTTCTTAGGTGCCTTACATGTCCATTGACTGGGACTGCTCAGGTTCCACACAAAGCTTTCCTGCCTCTCATGATTCTGTAGTGTGCTCAGATCTTACCCAAAACTCTGCTAGTTAGTCCTAAGTAATTTCTCATCTAAAGTTCCATGTATTTTATCTATACCTCTGTCAGGGCCGAGAACTGTTAGATATTCATGAAATTAAAAAGAAGCTGAAGATAGTCTTTGCCCTCAAAGAGCTTACAATCTGATTACTTACGTATTTAATATTTCACAAGTATTTACTGAGTGCCCATAATGTACCAGGTACTTTAGATGCTGAAGAATATACAACAGAATCAAACAAAGTAACTTACATTCCAATGAAGTGGGGAGGCAATAAGCAAACTTTTAATGTCAGGTAGTGAAAAGCACTAAGCCAGGTAAGGAGACTGAGGGTGATGGAAAAGGAAGATGTTATTTTAGGTAACGTGGCCAGGGAAGACTTTTGTGATAAGGTGACATTTGAGCACTAACTGGAGTGGAGGTGGGGTACAGGGGAAGAAGCAGGAAAAACAGCAAGTGCAAAAGCCCTGTGGTATGCAGGTAAGTGTCCAACTCTTTAGAATCTACTGAAGGCTAAAAAAAAGAAAAGGTTCACAAGAAGTACCAGGAAAAATTAGCATTATGGGAGCTAAGGAAATAGAAAGTTTCCACCAAGTCTTCAAGAGCCACTGAAATCAAGACACATTTCAAGGAGAACCAGAAAGGAATAACACCATGGAGATGAATGACAGACAATTTCAAGAAAGAGGTGTATAGTCAACAGTGTCAAATTCCAAACAAAAGTCCTGGAAAAGTTAAGAGGTGAAGAACCAACTCTTAGGGAACAACTAAAGTGACAGGCAGGAGAAATCAGGAACCAGTTCAGGAGCCAAGTCAGAGAATCAATGGAAGAAAAATCAGAAAGTGACACAGAGAGAGACGTCTATGGTGTCAAAAAAAGAAGAAGAGTTCAGGAAAACGAGTTGTAAATGACCATTAAATTTGGCAATAAGGAGAACTGCCAAACTCGTGATTGTTTATTAGAGTGGGCAGGATAGGAGCCAAATCATAGCATGATGAGCAGTGCCAAGGTGGAAAGGGCCCGAGGTAACAGTGAATGCCGACCACCTCCTTCCAAGAGTTCACCTAGGAGAGAAAAATACCAACAGAAGGATCCACAGGCTGCCTGTAAATTCAGAAGGCAGCAGCAACAAACCAGAAGATAAAAGAGGCCACCTATCAGAGAAGCAAACTGAAAACACCAGCTGGGGGTGGCTGAGGGTGCAGCCCCTGGGAGGGGGACGAGAGGCATCAGCCTTGGAAGGCAGAAAGACACCCTGTCTTCCAAGAGAGAAGTGGATGGAGCACAGAGGAGCCCACATGAGAAAGCTCAGGCTTGATTTACTCAGTAGAGAACGCATTCATATGCTGTGAGGTGGGGGGAGGGACTTTTTTAAGTGAAAAAAGTTTACAACAGACTCCGAGATAAATCTACTGGGAAATCAATGAAAAATGGAAAAAAGACTGCCAAGTTGGGAATATCATAACCATGTTCTAAGAAGAGCCACATCTAGAAATGATTATTCCCTAAATGATTTGGCAAAAAAAAGCCGACTTACATGCTTTAGGTGCAAGTGTGCTTGACTGGCAATGTCATATATTACATCTCTCACATTTTTATCTTGGTTCCTCCGTAGAAAGTCCTCTTGTGAAACACCATGCTGTGTGGGGAAATATACATTATATTAGGAACCTAAAAGCACTTCCTTCCAACAGTTCACCTAGGAAAGAAAATTAAACTAACAATTAAAACTAACTTAGCACAAGAGAACACGTGACAGAACAGTATGTACAGTTTAATGCCTATTTTGTCTTTAGAAATGTATGTGAGCACGTGCGTGTGTGTGCATGTGTGGAGAGAGAGAAAAAAAAACAAAAATGAGAGAGTGACACCTGGAACATGCAACAAGATTTTTTGTTTTTTGAGACAGGGTCTTACTCTGTCACCCAGGCTGGAGTGCAGTGGTGCAATCATGGCTCATTATAGCCTCAACCTCCCAGGCTCAAGGGATCCTCCCACCTTGGCCTCCTGAGTAGCTGGGACTATAGGTGTGCACCAACACACCCAGCTAATTTTTGTATTTTTTGTAGAGATGGGGTTTCCCAATATTGCCCAGGCTGGTCTCAACCTCCTGGACTCAAGCGACCCTCCCAAAGTGCTGGGATTACAGGCATGAGTCACCGCACCTGGCCACAACAAGATGTTAATTAACAAGTTGTAGGTAGAATGAAAATATACAAGCAAGAAAAGAAACATACAAAAAGTTTGAAAGAACAAATAATGAATCTCATATAGAAAACAAAGTTCTCGCCGGGCGCAGTGGCTCATGCCTGTAATCCCAGCACTTTGGGAGGCCGAGGCAAGCGAATCACGAGTTCAGGAGATCTAGACCATCCTGGCTAACATGGTGAAACCTCATCTCTACTAAAAATACAAAAAATTAGCTGGGCGTGGTGGCGGGCGCCTGTAGTCCCAGCTACTTGGGAGGCCGAGGCAGAAGAATCGCTTTAACCCAGGAGGCGGAGGTTGCAGTGAGCCGAGATCACGCCACTGCACTCCAGCCTGGGTGACAGAGCAAGACTTTGTCTCAAAAAAAAAAAAAAAAAAAGAAAAGAAAAGAAAACAAAGTCCTCATAAACAGATATTTAAAATGACTTACTCCAATAAAATAAAATAAAGAACAGGCTAAGGTGAACGCTAGGAATAATTACTGCAGTTGTTTGGAAGGGAGCAAGGCATCAACATGAAGCTATACCAAATGAGGTTCTCTAGACCTTCCTACTCATTGCTCCTCCAGAGACCTAAAATGCCTGATGGACACAATTCTGACTTGATAACTCTGGGATAAAAAGAGGAAGGCCATTTTTAGTAAGCAATAAGCATTCCTTTCAAAGCAATTACTTGAATAGACTAAGCAAAAAAGCAAAAGATAACTTCCTTCCCCATATTCCTGAGGTAAATTATTCAAAGGTACAAATTACAGCCTTACCAGCATACAAATATCCATGGGAAGGAACACCTTTCTTCTGCTCCCATGATATGGTGTTGCTCTCAAGCAAGTGACAATGCCTTGTGCTTTTCCAATATGACTTGCAGCATGATCTGCATGAAGATCCTTTATACCTATGATTTCAGAAATTACACAGGGCTGCTCTATTCTAAGTGCATAATAAATCAATAGAAATAGCATAGAGAAATAACCTAAACATGTAAAAGGAGACATTTATCCTGTTTTACATCTGAAAAACAGGATTTATGAGTGAAAAACTGGGCACAATAACAAGTTGACCATTTACCACTAGCAGATATCTAAATCTCAATCTCAACTTTTAAATAAGAGTTTTCCTCAGACTACAGCACACTAAGAACACATTTAGAATTTTAATCGGCTATCATGGAAAAACTTTACAAGTCTTCCATTTCTTCTCCTCTGTGCAATTTCCATATGATCTCATTTTAAGAATATGCTTAACAAACATTCTACTCTTTGCTCCCTCCTTTCATTGTGATGGCAAACATGTCACCAGAGCTGTGGGCCAGAATAGGCCTGGGAGATGCAATGGGGACTTGTATTATTCTTTTAGGGAGGTATAGAGATATATATTACCTTCTTCAAATGAGATGGTATTGTCCTTGGCCCAAATAATTTCCTTATTTCAATAAGACCTCACTAACTGGCAACAAAGTCAGAGAAGAAATCCTACCATCAAAATTTTGTTTTTAAAAAAGCAGAGAAAGAAAAATCTCAAAAACTTTTATAAATGCAGTTTTAGGCCAGGCACTGTGGCTCACGCCTGTAATCCCAGCACTTTGGGAGGCCGAGGCGGGCAGATCACGAGGTCAAGAGATCGAGACCATTCTGGCCTCGTCTCTACTAAAAGTACAAAATTTAGCTGGGCGTGGTGGCACGTCCCTGTAGTCCCAGCTACTCAGGAGGCTGAGGCAGGAGAATCACTTGAATCCGGGAGGCAGAGGTTGCAGTGAGCCGAGATTGAGCCACTGCACTCCAGCCTGGGGACAAAGCGAGACTCCATCATAAAATAAAATAAAATAAATAAAATAAAATAAAATAAAATAAAATAAATGTGTTTTACTTCTTCTACTTTTCTTTTTCCATGGATAAGTACTATTAACACGAAAGGAAGAGTCAGGCTATAGGCCTTCCAAATTGTAGGAGATGCTATAGTAAAAAAGTAAAGCCACTTGCAATTACCAGATTATTAATTTCAACATTCCCATGAGGTAAAGTAGTTGTATGAGAGCCTGAGTCTTGGATTACTCTGCATTACAAAGAAAGAGATATAAATTCTTCTTCTTGCTAATAATAATAACAAAAAAAACTGTTCCTTTACAGATAGTATAAAGGAAGGCTTTAGTGCTAAACTGGTTAGATTACCAAATTATGAAAAAGTGAAATCTCATAGGTATTTTATTGGAAAAAAGAAGTATGAAACAGAAAAACAACTTACCCAATATTTCTAGTGTTAAGTAAAGAAGAGAGCTCTGTGTGTTTTCAGCATAATTTTCCAGTTCCTTGATATTACGATATGCTTTGTCATCCAGATTTTTTTCCTACATCAAATAAAATGCAAATAAAGTCTGTTGAACTGTCAATATTTTAGAAAGAAAAGGTGCTGTTTTTTGCCCCAAAGAACTGAATAACGAATAAAAATATTCAGTATATGTTATTTAGTACACAATAAGATAAAACATTACAATATTGAAGTTCTACACATTCAATACTTTGAAATCACCACCTCAAAATAAGACATCAGGAATAACCTCAATATACAAATCACCATGGACATGGCATTTTTTTTAAATTTCATCTGAAGCCCAAGTTATCAAAATAAACTGACTTTACTGAGCTCTTACATAGGCACTTTAGACATTACGTAGGCACTTTAGACATTATCTTCTTAACCCAAACAACCCCCCCTCCAAGAGATAAGGAATTAATACTTTTCCCATTTTACAAATGAAGAAACTGAGGCATGGACACATTAACATGTCCAAAGACACACAGTTAATAAATAAATGGTGGGGACGGGAACCCACATATTTGACTCTTGAATCTACATGCTCAATGAGGAAAAGGTACCTAGAAAAAGAAAACAGAAACCAGTGCCCACCTCATCCCCTAAAAAGAAACCATGCTCAATAAAATAACAGGGTTGATTCCCTAGATACACTATATGCAAGAAACAGAAAAATGAGAATCTAATAGCGAGAACACTTAGCCACTTTTACAAAGACTATTATTAGGGCAAAATATTATCCCCTATTTCACCCTCTTTAAAATCAGAAAAAACTAACACCAGCATCAAATGCCACATGCAGGGTTTAAAAAAAAAAAAAAGAGGCTGGGTGCGGTGGCTCATGCCTGTAATCCAAGCACTTTGGGAGGCCGAGATGGGCAGATCACCTGAGGTCAGGAGTTCAAGACCAGCCTAGCCAACATGGTAAAACCCTGTCTGTACCAAAAATACAAAAGAAGTCAGCTGGGCATTGTGGTAGGCACCTGTAATCCCAGCTACTCGGGAAGCTGAGGCAGGAGAATCACTTGAACCCGGGAGGTGGAGGTTGTAGTGAGCCAAGGTCGTGCCATTGTACTCCAGCCTGGGCGACAAGAGTGAGACTCTGTCTCAAAAAAAAAAAAAAAAAAGAAAATGACATCAGCAATGATTCCAGGAAAAAAAATGCATCCTTTATGGTTTTTTTTGAGACATAATTAACATACCATAAAATTTATCCCTTCAAATAATACAATTCAGTGGTTTTTAGTATATACACAAAGTTGTGCAGCTATCACTACTATCTAATTCCAGAATATTTTAATGACCCCCAAAAGAAAAGTTGCATCCATTAAGCAGACACTTCCCATTTCCCCCCCTCCTCAGCCCTGGCAAACCACTAATCTACTTTTCATCTTCATGGATTTGTCTATTCTGGGCATTTCATACAAATGGAATCGTATAATATGTAGCTTTTTGTATCTGGCTTCTTTCAATTAGCATATTGTTTGCTTCATCTATTGGTACTTTATTCTTTTTAGTTGAATAAATTATGAATAATATTCCATTGTATGGATATACAACATTTTGTTTAACAACTCATTAACAGACTATGAGTTCTTTCTACTTTCGGGCTTTCATGAATAATGTTGCTACAAACATTCATATACAAGTTCTGGGTGGACATATGTTTTCATTTATCTTGGGTATAAACCTAGGGGTAGAATTTCTGGGTCTATGATAACTCCTATGTTTATCTCTTCGAAGAAAAAGTTGCCAAACTATTTTTCCAAAGCAGCTGCACCATTTCACATTCCCACCAGCAATGTACGAAAGGTTTTAACATCTCCCTGTTCTCACCAATACTTGTTATCGTGCATCTTTTTTCTTTTTTATCACAGCCATCCCAACAGCTGTGAAGTGATGTTTCTTTGTTTCAATTTGCATTTCTCTAATGAAAAGATGCTGAACATCTTTTCAGATGCTTATTGGTCATTTGTACACCTTATCTGGAGAAATGTCTACTCAAATCCTTTCCCCATTTTTAAATTAGGATTTTTTTTTTATTCTTGAGTTGTAAGAGTTTCTTGCATATTTTAGATAATTGTCCCTTATCAGATATATAACTGGCAAATAATTTTTTTCTTTTAGTCCAATCTATCTATTTTTTCTTTTCTTGCTTGTGCCTTTGGTATCACATCTAAAAAACCACTGCCTAGGGCGCGGTGGCTCAAGCCTGTAATCCCAGCACTTCGGGAGGCTGAGGCGGGTGGATCACGAGGTCAGGAGATCAAGACCATCCTGGCCAACATGGTGAAACCCCATCTCTACTAAAATACAAAAAAAAAAAATTAGCCGAGTGTGGTGGCGCACACCTGTAGTCTCAGCTACTCAGGAGGCTGAGGCAGGGGAACTGCTTGAACCCAGGAGGCGGAGATTGCAGTGAGCCGAGATCGTGTCACTGCACTCCAGCCTGGCAACAGAGCGAGACTCCATCTCAAAAAAAAAAAAAAAAAGAAACCACTGCCTAACCTAAAAGTCATTAAGATTTACACCTATGCTTTCCCCTAAGAGTTTCACAGTTTTAGCTCTTACATCTAGGTCTTTAATTTAGTTTGAGTTCATTTTTGTATATGGTGTGAGGGAGGGGTCAAAACTTATTCTTTTGCAAGAGGTATCCAAGTGTCCCAGCACCATTTGTTGCAAAGACTGTTCTTTCCCCAGTGAAGTGTCTTGACACCCTTGTCACTCAATTGACTATAAATATATGGGTTTATATCTGGACTCTCATTTCTATTCCATTGATCTATATGTCTACCCTTTATCAGTAACACACAGTTTGATTACTGTAGCTTTGTAGTTAAGTTCTGAAATCAGGAAATGTGAGCCCTCTAACTTTGTTCTTCTTTGTTAAGATTATTCTGGCTATTCTGGGTCCCTTGCATTTCCATATGAATTTTAGGACCAGTTTGTCAATTTCTGCAAAAAAGAAAGCTGGAATTTTGAAAAGGATTGCACTGAATCTATAGATCAATGTTTGTTCACAGTTCTTTACTTTTAAATATCCCCCCCTTCAAAAGCCAAGTGTTATTTTTCATTAAACTAAAATGGTATCTCTGTCTTGAGTTCCCTAATTTTCTTTACCTTGTAAAACAGAAAAGATGACACCTGAAAATAGGTCTTCTTAGCTAATATATCTTTTTGGCTTCTTCTTGTTATTGCTACAGCCTATAGTTAGCAAACTATCTAAATAAACTAAGTAAACTTACATATTTCCATGACAACAGCATGTAATTAATATCAGGCCAAGGGGAACACAGACCTAACAATGCATCAGAAAGGTCACACATGTTAGGCCAGGTCACACAGCAATTCACTGACTTGGCTGGACCTAGAACTCAGTTCTAAGAATTTAGTACAGGATTCCATTCACTGGAACTGTCAGACTTTCTTTATGCCCTCTACTATTTAGACACCGATCCAAGTACTGGGGTATATTTAAAGGTATGTGTATGACTAATCAAGTATTTGATGATATTAAGGAATAATTAGTAATTTTTAAGGTATGATAATCATATCATGGCTATGTTTTTTGTCTTTATCTTTTTAAGATATATATGTATTTACAAATCAAATGATAAGATGTCTGGGATTTTCTTTAACATGTCACCAGATACTCTACACATGTAGAGTAGTCTCTCTACTTTTATGTAAGTATGAAAATTTCCTTTTGAAAAAACCAAAATAGTGGAGTGTGGTTGTGCATACACATGCCTCTGCCTTGGTGCTTGTCTGTCTCAATGTGAGGGTATGGGGGGTAGCATGCAAGGGTAAAGTATGAATAAAATGGCATAATTCTCTAAAAGTTTCCTTCCTCCAAAATATTAATATACAGTCAAAAAATGTCCTTCTTGAAGAATTAGCTTAAGAATTAAACAGGAAGAAAAAACTTAAGACTTGAACAATTTTGACTCACTCTTTCATCGACGATTTTCATAAGCCATCTTTTAGTCAGATTATGTCTTTTAACAGCCTAAAAAACAAAGAGCATTATAAGTTTTTAGAAAGTACTAGAAATGACTTCTGTAGATCTGAATAAAATGAACAAACCAAATACAAAACTAAGTAAGGGAACATTTGTAATAACATCACCATATAGACAGCTATGTTAAAGAAGTATCAGGGAAAAAGAAAATGTCCCTAGAAAATATTTCAAAACATTTATAAGACTATACTTCTAATACTTTTCTACTAACTTGTCTTTTTTTCCTATACTGCTAATAATTTAACAATTCCACTTTCAAACAAAACAAAACCAGAATTAAGCATTAAGTACTGAGCTTCTCTATTAAGTGATATACCCTGACTTTTTTATTTTTTTAAATTGTAGAGACAGGGTCTCCCTATGTTGCTGGTCTTGAACTTCTGTGTTCAAATTATCTTCCTGCCTCAACCTCCCAAAGTGCTGGTATTATAGGCATGAGCCACTGTGCCTAGCCACCCTGACTTCTATACTTACTCATTATACGCAAATTGTTTTCCACAGGATAAAGATTCTATTTAGCAAAAATAACCACTCCTCGAAAAATAGAGTAACTAAAACTCCAACAAAAATAATCCACATGGTAAATTGTTACCTTAGCAAGTAAAGACACTCCAGTAGGAAAGAGCTCACCTAGTGCCCAGACACTTGTCTCTACTACCATTCTCCTTAAAGGAATCAGGGCTCTCGAGAAATGGGCGATTCCAAAGGTGAGGCAGGGGAGAGATTCAAAAGGATCCTAGAATATCTTATTGTGTCAGAAAATAAGAAAGTGCTCCAAAAAATGACGGAAGCGTGTCACAAGGACATAGCAGCCGCTGTGAAGGAGTTTCCGCTGTCCAAAGCTGGGACAACCTGAACACCAAAATCAGTACATGAGTGAATTATAAACTGTAAAAAACAAGAAATCATGAGTCTACACCAATAATTAATAAACAAATAAATATAGGAAAATAAGAGCTCATTCTTATAGCAGAATACTAAGTGCCAACTGGTAAATGTGGACCAAGTACTGAAGTTGAGAAGTTATCATTTTGCAACTATAAGAGTAAAGACTGAATCAGACAAGAACCATTAATGGCTACTAAGTTTAGGGAGAAATTTTGATGAGGAGCAGGATATTTGCAGTCTTAAAATGTCTCCTCAAAAACTGTTGATTACTGCAAGCAGAATTATACAGTGGGAAAACCAGGCAAAATTGTGACTAAGTAATAAAAATTAACAGTGCCATAAAGGACAGGTAGACGAATTGTGCCTCTACATGTGATACTCTGAGAAGGACATACCACCTATGAAGTATGGCTGCCAGCTAAGAATCCATAACTTCAATCTAATCATGACAAAACATCAGACAAATCCAAAATTAGTGTTTTAAAAAGACGAGGTCGGGGGGATACTCTTCAAAAATATACATGTCATAAAGGGCTAAAAAAAGCTACGGAAATGTTCCAGATTAAAACAAACTACAGAGACAAGACAATTAAGTACATGACCCAAGATCAGATCCTATACTGGAAGGGAAAAATGATACTGTAGACATTATTAGGTCATCTGACAAAATTGGAATATGAATGGAAAATTAGATGAAATTGTTCTATCAAAGTTAAATTTACTAAAGCCAGTAACTGTTCTGGCCGGGCACAGTGACTCACGCCTATAATCCCAGCACTTTGGGAGGCAAGGCAGGAGGATCACTTGAGTTCAGGAGTTCAGGAGTTCAAGACCAGCCTGGGCAACATAGCAACCTCATCTCTACAAAACATTTAAAAATTAGCTGAGCTTGCTGGTACGTGCTTGTAGTTCCAGCTACTCAGAAGGCTGACGCAGGAGGATAAAGCCCAGGAATTCAAGGTGGCAGTGAGCTATGATCACCACACTGCACTCCAGCCTGGGCAACACAGCGAGATCCTATCTTTAGGAAAAAAATAGAAATAAAAAAAAAAACTGTCCTGATTATAAGTATCACTATTCTTAGAAAATATTAGGCCGGGGCGGTGGCTAATACCTGTAATACCAGCACTTTGGGAGGATAAGGTGGGAGAATAGCTTGAGCTCAGGAGTTTGAGACCAGCCTGGGCAACACAGTGAAACCCCCCCTTTTTTTTTTTTGAGACAGAGTCTCGCTTTGTCGCCAGGCTGGAGTGCAATGGCGCAATCTTGGCTCACTGCAACCTCCACCTCCCCGGTTCAAGCGATTCTCCTGCCTCAGCCTCCCGAGTAACTGGGACTACAGGCGCACACCACTACGCCCGGCTAATTTTTGTATTTTTAGTAGAGACGGGGTTTCACCATGTTGGCTTGGATGGTCTCAATCTCTTGACCTCGTGATCCACCCGCCTCGGCCTCCCAAAGTGCTGGCATTACAGGTGTGAGCCAACGTGCCTGGCCACGAAACCCCATTTCTACAAAAAAAAAAATTAGCCAGGCATGGTGGCGGGTAACTGTAGTCCCGGCTACTTGGGAGGCTGAGGTAGGAGAATGGCTTGAGCCCAGCAGGTGAAAGTTGCAGTGAGCTGAGATAATGACACTCCACTCCAGTCTGAGCAACAGAGCAACACCCTGTCTCAAAAAAAAAAACAAACACAAAAAATAGGCCAGGTGCGGTAGCTGACACCTGTAATCCCAGCACTTTGGGAGGCCGAGGCAGGCAGATCACGAGGTCAAGAGATGGAGACCATCCTGGCCAACAACCCCGTCTCTACTAAAAATACAAAAATTAGTTGGGCATTGTGGCACACACCTGTAGTCCCAGCTACTCCGGAGGCTGAGGCAGGAGAATTGCTTGAACCCAGGAAGCAGACGTTGCAGTGAGCTGAAATCACACCACTGCACTCCAGTTTGGTGACACAGCAAAGCTCCGTCTCAAAAAAGAAAAAAAGAAAATATTTACTGAGGCCAGGCATGGTAAAGACTGAATCAAACAATTCGCTCACGCCTGTAATCTCAGCACTTTGGGAGGCCAAGGTGAGTGGATCACTTGAGCTCAGGAGTTCAAAACCAGCCTGGGCAACAAAGTGAGACCTCACCTGTACTAAAAATTAAAAAAACATCAGCCAGGTGTGGTAGCATGTGCCTGTAGCCCCAGCTACCCGGGCCTGGGAGATCAAAGCTGCAGTGAGCCAAGACTGTGCCACTGTACTTCAGTCTCAGTGACAGAGTGAGACTCTGTCTCAAAAAAAAAAACAAAAAGAAAATATTCGCTAAATTTTTTTGGTTAGGATTATGATGTATATAACTTACAATCAAATGCAATTTGTCACAAAAAAATTATGAATGTGGATACACATATGGGGGAATAGGAGAAGGAGGAGAGGAGAAGAGCGAGAAACTGAATATGTGAGTGAGGAAAAATGATTAAACAAATGGGATAAAATATTAACAATAAGTGGGCCATGCACAGTGGCTCACACCTGTAATCTCAACACTTTGGGAAGCCAAGGTGGGAGGATGGCCAGGAGGCAAGGAGAGGCAACACAGTGAGACCTCATCTCTAGAAAAAAAATTTTTTAATTAGCCAGGTGTGGTGGCGCATGCCTGTGGTCCCAGCTACTCAGGAGGCTGAGGCAAGAGGATCGCCTGAGCCCAGGAGGTTGAGGCTGCAGTGAGCCATGTTTGCACCACTGCACTCCAGCCTGATGAATCTGGATAAAGGGTATAGAGGTGTTTGTCCTGCTTTGAATTTCGTAACCTTTCTGAAAGTTTGGAATTATTTCCAAGTAAGTTTTTAAAATGTTTTTTTTTCTGCCATGTCAGCATTAAGCATAATATATTTTCACAAAAAATAAACATAGTAGTGAAACATAAAATCTAGGGATATGCTATACTTCAACTAAGACTCTCAGATGTCACTGATACTAAATGTAAAGGCCAGCGTGCTCATCAAAATGCATTACATGACAAAGGTGTATGTATGGAGAACAGAGCCCACTTTGCCTGGCAGGAATCTAATAGAAGTTAAAAAGGCGTTAGTTCTTAAGTGTTCTCGGCACTACTACTACTACTACATGGCAGGACTCTCCCCATAGGCCTCTCTTCCAAATTCCAGGAATCAGCCAATCGGTCATTACAGACTCATGCTCTTGTTTTATTTTACACATCTGGGCCGATGGGCATGTTTGATTTTGTGGACCTTCAAGCACCATTCCTAGCACATAAAAAAGTACTAAATAAATATTTAATAAATGAAAAGCCAAACTCCTATTTACTCAAGGCTGAAGCTGTAATGGCTGTAGATCCTTGATTATAAAATATAGCTCTGATTCAGAAGGAAATCGGAGACCAAGGTAAAAAAGTAAATATTTTAAAGAAGTTGGAAATCTGCTGAATGAAGTGTGAACTCTGGAAACTGAAGCCAAATAGAAGAAAGACCTTGGTTATAAACATAAATTCAAACTGCAGCTAAAATTCATACAGAGAAATGGGGAACCCATCTAGAATGGATAAGAAATTATAAATATTCAAGTATCTTGTACCCTAAAAATACCAATGAAACAGTGCAGCAGAAAAGTGCTCTCTGGATAACACATTGTCATTGTTCCCTCTATTTAATCTCCTCAAGAACCCAACACTTCAAATACCCAATATGCCCCATATGCTCCAGCAGAATGGGGAAGGATAGAGAACATGCAGCAAGGACAACTGCACTGAACATGACCTGCATCTTTCAAATATTCACGTTCAGCTTCAACACCGGTCACGTCAGAAAGCCAGCCAACATTAACCATCAAAATTTAAGCAGCTATTAAAATCGGACAATTTAGCAATCCTAAATTGGCAGATATGTAAACATTCTGTAATTCAGATTTGTCTTCTGGTTTTTTAAGGGAAGCCAAGGAAAGATAAATTTGCATCAAAGGACTCTCTAATCTTCCACATATTTCCCAACAAAGGCCAGAACCTTTTACGCAAGTCTTAACATAAACCTCCACCTCCACTATACTCCGATTTAGGTGTAAAGTAATAAATAGAAAGGGTTTCTGGATTTTAGGAAAACTTTTTAGTGAGTCACCTAGGTTGAGCTTCTTGAAGTGGGATGAACAGAGGTAAAGAACTAATCTAATACTCACAGCTTCCCATCCACTTTTTCTTCTCAATCCCCAGTTGGGGGGTTCTGGCTTTCCATCTTTACTGGGGCTCTGTGAAGTCAATCTGGGGCCCAGAAACTGGGCCTGCCTCTGCTGGTGTGCAGACCTGAGAAGAGGTGTACCACTGTCAGGTCTGTGGGTGGCTCCTGTTACAGAAACCCTCTTTTGGCAATCACTGCATTACAACAGGGACACAGATCAGTGATGAAAGGTATCTAATTCCCTTCCTCCTCTCATAGTTTAGAATATTTCTAAGCCATGTGTGGCTGCTTATGAGTGAGGGATCCATACAGCTGCTTTACTATAAAACCATTTATGGTATATATCTAGCTATACAAATAATACTCTAGCCCATAGGTTTCCATTCTCTAACACCTAAAACTCAACAATGGATAGATAATTCTATCAAACTAGACAAGGCAGTTTTAGATTTGTATCTGGACAACACTGAGAGCAAGTCTCCCATCACAAAAGATTAATACATGTTCTACAGCCCAGAACCTGGATTAAAACACTGGTATGCCCAAAACCTGGATTAAAACACTGGTATAAGGAGCTGCTGCTAGGCAGAGAGAACAGAACATTTTACTTGCTATTATATCAAAATGTGTAGGATTTAAATTCTGCAGGCAAATATGGAAATGTGGAAAATACAAGTTATTATGTAGAGACTAATTCTTCCTTTTTCCTTTAATAAACAAATATACAAAAGATGTGTGTAAATTATCAGTGGGTGATTTTAAATTTCTGTGCCAAAACTATAACAGCTCTGAATACATAAGCCTAAGAATATTTTCAGAATAGATTCCACTATAATCACCAGTACCCAAATTATATCCATCAAAAAGTAGACTCGAATAATATTCATACAAATTAAAAGTGGTATTTTTTTTTTTTTACCTTCCATAGTTCAATGGCCACAGGCTGATGTGGTGGATTGTCACAGTATATATCTTCCACAGTTTTTTTCCAAAACTGCATTCGCATCAGTCCAATTGTTTTCTCAGAGACTGAGTCTTTAACCTATAAACAGGGTTTAAAAACTTTAGCAAATGCATTGTCTACTGTCTAAAAAATCAGTATCTTTGAGGGAATTTTTTGAGTTAATGTAACTGTTCTGTATTATGACTATGGTGATAAATACATGACTACATTTTTTGGAACCTATAGAACACAACAAAGAGAGAATTTTACTGCATGTACTTTTAAATAAATTCATTCATTCATTCTTTAAGTAATTTTTAAAAAGAAGATTATTAGATTGTCTCCCTCACTCACTACTAAGAATGGCCTTCTGGTCAGGCACGGTGACTCACATCTGTAAACCTTAAACTTTGGGAGGCCAAGGAGGGTGGATCACCTGAGGTCAGGAGTTCAAGACCAGCCTGGCTAACATGATGAAACCCCGTCTCTACTAAAAATACAAAAAATTAGCCGGGTGTGGTGGTGGGTGCCTGTAATCCCAGCTACTCAGGAGACTGAGGCAGGAGAATCGCTTAAACCTGAGAGGCAGAGGTTGCAGTGAGCCAAGATCACACCACCACACTCTAGCCTGGGCGACAAGAGCGAAACTCCATCTAAAAAAAAAAAAAATGGCCTTCTTAGGTTCAGGCAAGAATCACCAACACAAGCTAAATCTAGGAGGTAAATTTTGATGAGGAACATGGTCTTAAAAGGTCTCCTCACAGGCTGCTTATTAGTAGCAAGGGAAAAAGTATTAACATCTTGACTCAGTGACTAAAATTAACATTACTGCTGGGAGTCAGACGGATATTTCATGCCTCCTTCTGACTCTGAAGAGGACACAGACCACTTAGGTAATATTACGCTAGGAATCCATAAGTTTAATATAAACCTGATGAAAAATAAAATAAACCCCAAATGAGAAACATTTTAATTCTTAAAAGGAATAGTATTGCTTAAAATATGTCAATGTCACAAAACGCAAAGAAAGGCTATGGAAATGTTCCAGAATAAAGGAGGCTAAAGAGACAGAAAACTAAATGTAATACATGATCCTAGATTAGATCCCATACAGAAGGGGGAAAAAATGCCATAAAAGACCTTACTGGGTCATTTGAGAAAACTGGAAACCAGATGGTAGATCAAATAAAAGTACTGCATCAATGTTAAGTTTATTTTTTTGTAAGTGTACTGTGGTTATGTAAGAGATTATCCTTATTCTTATGAGACACACAATCAAGTTTATAGCGATAAGGGTCATGATATAGTCAAGTTACTCTAAAATGATTCATAAAAAGAGAAATGTGTATATATACATATGTAGACAGAATAACGCAAATGGGACAAAATATTAACAACAGGGTCATGAGTATTGTTTGTACTACTCTTACTTTTCCATATGTGAAGTTACTTCCAAATATCCTGGTGGTGGGTGGGTTTCTTAGCAATGTTTAGTGTTCAGATCCCAGTGGCATACAGTACAGCAAGACAGCAGCAAGAGTAATCCTTTCAAAATATAACCAAGAGGTGATGTCTCTCTGCTCAGAACCCTCCAGTGGCTGCCTATCTCACTCAGCCAAAGTGATTTCAATGGTGTCTCCAAGACCTTACCTTTCTGACCCAGGTGCCCCTAACTGAATCTCCTCCCATGCGCCCCTCCCTGCTCTGCTGGACCACCTGCCTTCTTCTGTTCTTTAAGCAGGCACAATTGCACCTTAGAGACTGCACTCGCTGTTCCTTCTGCCTAGAATACTCTTTGCCCACATATCTGTACAGCTCACTCCCTCACCTCCTTCAGATCTCTGCTCCAATGCCACCTTCTCCGTGAGGTTTCTCCTAACCATCCTACATAAAATAGGAACCCCTGGTGTACCCAGCCTTCGAAGCCTCCTTATCCTGCTTTATTTCTCTCCATAGCACTAGTCTCCATCTGATACATTACACAATGATTTATTTGTTCATTGAGTGCAGACCCTGTTTTATGTCACGTGGGTATAGCATTGAATACAGACTATGTAAAGTCTCTGCATTCAATCAACACTTGTTGAATGAGTGAATAAACAAGGCTCCATGTGCAAAGCAGCAGCAAGATGTACAAAGTGTACAAAGAAGTACAAAGTGACAGAATTCAGAAGGAACTCTGGGGGTTTATTAAAAATAAAATTGTATTGACTGGGTGCAGTGGCTTATGCCTGTAATCCCAGCACTTTAGGGGCTGAGGCAGGAGAACCATTTGAGGCCAGGAATTTGAGACCAGCCTGGGCAACATAGCAAGACTCTGTCTCTAAAAAAAAAATTGTTTTTAATTAGCCAGGCATAGTGGCACATGTACAGTTCCAGCTACTTGGGAGGCTGAGGTGGGAGGATTGCTTTAAAGCCCAGGAGTTCAAGGTTACAATAAGCTGTGATCATGCCACTGCACTCCAGCCTGGGTGACCTGTCTGTAAAATTAAAAATTAAAAAATTAAATTTTAATCATTTAAAAATGATAATAAAGACCAAGGTGGGAACTATTTATGGCTAAACTGTGACTGATTTAACATGCTTATGTACAGTTTACACTTGAAAAAGGATGAGGTGAAAAATCATAACCCATGACTTCCAGGAAGATACCAGAGGAAAAAACAGCCAGTCTATTAGACTCTCTACAGACTCACAGTTGTGAATCTCAGTTGTGCCTCGGTGCCATATTCATATCCTTTTATTTGTTCCTTGTTCACTTCCTACCATATTCCCTGAGAATCTGTGTCAAAATTTGCTACTCTCTTCAAGACTCTGAATCCTCTCCTGCTCCCTCACTCCCAATATCTGACCTCTCAATTTATTACTGAGAAGACTAAGGCTGTTCCAGTTTTCACTCTCTCATCTCCATCCACCATTCCAATTTATTTTGTATTTGTACATATTCTTTCCATTCTAAAGAAGAAAAAAGAGGATCTCTCCTTCCTTTGGAATTCTTAGACAAAAGTGAATTAGTATGATCTAAGGTCCTGGTTTGCTACAATTGCTTTCATTCCCTACTGATATTAAAGCTAAAACCTCAATTTAAAAAATGCTTTGAAAAACTGCTATATACATGTAAATTATGCAATTGTTGGAAAGAATAAGCAGTAATTCTCTGACTAACCTATTTAATTAGCAGACAAATGTGCAATGTTAATGGCACAGTTTTATAATATCCTCGGGAAGAGAAATAAAAAATTCCAGAATGGCATTTCTAGAACCATTAAGTTCATTAGATAGTTTTATTTTTGGTATTGAATTACTAAGCCTAAACAGTTAGCAGGGAAAAGAAATCACTAGCAGAGACCTTAAACACATCTAACATATAAATTACAACTATATTTCTTTATTGTTCAGCATTAAACACCTTATATCACCATTTCGCAAATAATATTTTAAGGTATCTTAATACCAGCCTGAGCCAGTTCCACATTAAAGGCCCTCAGTGCAAAAACAGAGCTTCGGGATTCTGCAGGGAGCAGCAGGGAGCATAAATAACCTTCATAATCCCGTTTCCTGTAACAGACAGAAAAAAAAGACAGTTACTCTTCACTTTCCAAGCTGCACAAAAAAATACTGACTAAAATTAACTGAAAACAAAAAGGCTTCAAGTTGGGCGCGGTAGCTCATGCCTGTAATCCCAGCACTTTGGGAGGCCAAGGCGGGCGGATCACCTGAAGCCAGGAGTTCGAGACCAGCCTGGCCAACATGGTGAAACCTCGTCTCTACTAAAAATACAAAAATTAGTCGGGCATGGTGGCATGTGCCTCTAATCCCAGCTACTTGAGTGGCTGAGGCCCGAGAACTGCTTTAAGCCCAGGAGGTGGAGGTCACAGTGAGCCCAGATTGCGCCACTGCACTCCAGCCTGGGTGACAGAGCAAGACTCTATCTCAAAAAAACAATAACAACGTGAGGCTTCAGTTCAGAAAAGGCCTGACATGTCTTATTTTTTATAACCGTTCCTTAAAAGTTATGAAAAATGTACCCCAATGCCACCTAATCTCTATCAATTTACTATGACTTATGTAGTACTTATAATTTTAACTGTTTCAGAATCACTTTTGTTTTAGTAAGAATTCAAATGAGCTTCAAAAGAATAAATCAAGTTAAAATAGTTCAAGCAAATATTGGGGTGAATGTATGGTTTTTAAGACATATAGACAGATATACAGAAAGGCAGAGATAAGACATAGAAATTCATGTAGGACTGTGTGCACACATACGTTTCCTTGCAGCACCTGCTGAAAGAGCCTAGAAGTAATAATGCCCCCAGCCCCCACCCCACATTCCCGGTATTGGTGAACACACCTAGCACCCAGATCTTGGTTTCTGAAACCATTCTCCACTGAAAGAAACTAGGGCTCTGATATCTGGATATTTGTCTCCTCCAAATCTCATGTTGAAATGTGACCCCCACAATGTTGGAGGTGGGGCCTAGTGGGAGGTATTTGGGTCACAGGGGTGGATCCCTCATGAATGGTTTGGTGCCATCCCCTTGGGGATAAGTGAGTGTATTAGTTCACGCTACAGCTGGTTGCTTAAAAGAGCCTGGCACCTCCTCCCTTCTCTCTTTTGCTTCCTCTCTTGCCATGTGATACACCTGCTCCCCTTCGTCTTCTGCCACAAGTAAAAGCTTCCTGAGGCCTTGCCAGAAGCTGAGCAGATACTGGTGCCATGCTTCTTGCACAGCCTGCAGAACCATGAGTCAAAGAAACCTCTTTTCTTTACAAATTACCAAGTCTCAGATATTCCTTTATAACAATGCAAAACAGACTAACACAGGCTCCTGGAAGGAATAACTGACTCCATTCCTAGGGCAGGGAAAATACAAGATAAGTCTGAAACATTTTCTTGAGCAAAAAGTAAAGAAATGTTTAAAGGATGGAGGAAACTTCTCAAAAGAACACAGAAACTGGCTTGACAGAGTTCTCACTGGCCAAGTCCACAGCAATTTCAGGATCAAAAAATAATGACAGGGCCCAGCATGGTGGCTCATGCCTATAATCTAGCACTGTGGGAGGCAGAGCAGGGAGGATGGCTTGAGGTCAGGAGTTCAAGACCAGCCTGGACAACACAGTGAGACACTGTCTTTACAAAAAACTTAAAAAATAAAAAAATTAGCTGGGCATGGTGGCATGGGCCTGTGGTCCTAGCTACTTAGGAAGCTGAGGTGGGAGGATTACTTGAGCCCAGGAGTTCAAGGTTACAGTGAGCTATGATCATGCCACTGCACTCTAGTCTGGGTAACAGGAGATCCTGTCTCTAAAATAAATAAATAAATAAATAAATAAATAATAGTAACAATTTGAAACAGGACTCTATGAGCTTGTACCAATAAAAATTAATAAATAGGAAGAGAAGGAAAAGCTTGACAACCAATACAATGCCTACTACTAAATTTAGAAGACATGATGGAATTTTTAAAAATCACCATTTGATAACTATCATAGTATTAACTGATTCAGATAAAAATCATCAATAAATGCCTGAAAATGTTAAAGGGGTAAAAGTTTGATGGAAAAAGAATACTTACATAGTACTGAAGTATCTCCCCACGAAGTAAGTATGCACTTCTTGCTTATAATTAACATTCTTAATTAAATTTACAAAAAAAAAATCTGGAAGTCACCTTTTCAACCACGTAGTAAGAGGTTAACATCATAATAATAGGACAAATCAATGTCATGTGCTGCCTGATATGATATGGAGAGAAAAGCTGAGTGTCCCTTCTGTGATATTCCTGCCAAAAATGCATGTCAAGAGAAAATATTAAAAACCCAAATCAAAGGAGATTTCTACAAAGTAACTGGCCTATTCTCTTCAAAAAATATCAAGCTCATGAAAGATAAGATGTGAGGAATTGTTCCAGATTGGAGAAGACTAGAGAGATATAACTACATGTAGCACATGATTTTGGATGTATGAAAGACATAATAAGATAATCAGCAAAATTTGAATGGGGCCTGTGGATTAAATGGTAATACTGGATCAATTTTAATTTCCTGATTTTGATGGCTGTACTGTGATTCTACGGGAAAGCGTCCTTGTACTTACAATATACAGACCAAAGTATTAAGGGCAGTTAATGAAGTATCATGTCTGCATCTTATCCTTAAATGTTTCAGAGTGTTAAAAAATGAGGGAATCTGCTAAAGAGTATATTGGCTCTCTGTGTACTATTTCTGTAATTTTTATGTAAATTTACAATTACTTGAAAATAAAATGTTATGAACATATAGACCTTACCATATTCACTCCAGGAAAGATGACTTAAGTATAAGGTACTTACCTACTTTAATACATTGGAACCTTCTTATAAAACAATATTTAATATGAGTCTAACCTGGGCCTCATCCCATAGAGTTTAGGTACTAAAATTCAGATTTCTCCCACTTTTCAACTGGTTCACACTTTGTCATGTTCCTAACAGAGAACTTAAACTGCTTCTAGCCATTCCCTTGACAGTCTCCTCCAATTGCCACATAAACCAAAAGAAGAGGTCACAAACAGTAACCTTGCTATCTCAAGAGTACTGCTAAAAAGATCTCACCCTAAGCAGTTTCACCTTTGGGGAACAAAATGGTTCCCCAAAAGTTTCTAAGGACAGCGAAGGCAAAGCAGCTCTATAGTTGACATTTTTTAAATTGTATTTTGCCATAAAAAGTCTCCAAACTTCAGAAGTGTTTAAAACACTTGAAGTTAACATGAAACAGTGAGAAAAACACTGAATGGGAATCAAACTACAATCTTAACTTCCATCACCGAACTGGTTATTAATAGAAATGACACCAATCACTCCTGTCTATTTCCCAATTTGCAAATGAAGCTTAATAACCTACCAAGGTTATCTTCTAAAAAAAAGCAGTATGTGAAGTACTTCAAGCTTCTTAGAGGGAAATGAAAAATGAAATGAAGACATAATAGAACTGTAGTAACATTTGGAAAATAAAGTCTTCCACACAGCCAAGGATCTGCCGTATTAAATATATTTTTAAATTTTGGATGGAAATTTTTCTAAACAATATTACCCCCTTCACCACATTAAACATGATATACTGATTATTTAGCCATTTCTTCATCACTTAGGATCATCGTTATAAATGTGAATTATTGAACTATGGATATACAAGAATGTCCTAAGCATCTAACCAAGATCCAGTTACCTGAGATTATCCAGTCCCAGATAATGAGAAATGCCATATTACGGATGTATATATAACAGCTTTATATGGCAATAGGGCAAATAACCTCTCATTCATTCTAACATCTATGCAGTGCCTACTATGTGCCAGGCACTGTTCCAGACACTGAAGATGGGTACTGACTTCGATTGAGTTGAGAGAGACAGACATATAAGAAACAAGCACACGGGGTATTAGGATTGTTGTGTGTTAGTACCATGGACCTGTGCCACTGAGGCACAAAGGAAGTGATTCCCTGGTGAGATTGCAGCAAAGTAAAGAACATTAGTGCACTCCAACACCACCAGTAGTACCTCCTCACCTTCTCACTACAGCCTGAGGCTCTGTGTTTATCCTCCTCAAAGCCAAAGTCGGAGAAGCCTATGTAAATTAGGTTTGAGATTTTCCCAAAAACCTAAATTGCTAGGAGAGCCGAGGATGGTGAACCCGAAGTTATGGCCTGCTATTTTTCCTGCTATTTAGAGGCCTTGCATAAAATGCACGTCCAAAACAACCCTGCATAATTTCAGAGGCCAAATCTTGCAGAGATTATTGATGGACAATTAGAAGCCAGAAATTCTATTTCAAGTTTATTTTTATTTTTTAAACTTATATTTGTCATGTGTCTGAACTCTGCTAAGCATTTTTTACTATATCATCACATTTAATCCTCACAACACCAGGCTATAAGGTAAGAGTAAACATTTACAAATGAGGAAAAAACCGAATCTTTTTTTTTTTTTTTTTTTGAGACAGGGTCTCATTTTGTCACCCAGGCTGGAGTGCAGTGGCAAGATCTTGGCTCACTGCAGCCTCAACCTCCCATGTTCAAGTGATCCTCCTCTCTCAGCCTCCAGAGTAGCTGGGACTACAGGTGCTTACCACCATGCCCAGCTAATTTTATTTATTTTTTGTAGAGAAGGGGTCCCACTATGTTGCCCAGGCTGGTCTGGAACTCTTAGGCTCAAGCAATCCTCCCTCCTCAGCCTCCCAAAGTGCTAAGGTTACAGGTGTGAGCCATGGTGCCCAGCCAACATGGAATCTTAAAGAAACCTTCCCAAGTGATAGAGCTGGGATTAATACTCTCAAATCAGGTCTGCCTGCAAAATTCAGCATTTGAAATAAGTCACTAGAGTCAAGAGCCCCCATTCCACACAAATAACATGGACAGTTTAAGTAACTGACCATTTGTAAATACAGTATATATACTTGAGAAAAACTAGCATGTGACTGAAGTAAAAAATAACTAATAATGTACTTAAATATTTTTGTTTGTTTGTTTTGAAACAGGGTCTTGCTCTGTTGCCCCAGCTGGAGTGCAATGGAGCAAACTCGGCTCATAGCAGCCTCAGCCTCCTGGAGTGAAGTGATCCTCCCGCCTCAGCCTCGCAGTAGCTGGGACCACAGGCTGTGCCACCAAGCCCAGCTAATTTTTTTATTTTTTGTAGCAACAGCATCCCGCTATGTTGCCCAGGCTGGTCTCAAACTCCTGGCATCAAGCAACCCTTCTGCCTAGGCTTCCCAAAATGCTGAGATTACAGGTGTAAGCCATTCCTCCAGCCTTAAATATTTGTAAATCCACAGACTATCCCTGGAAAAATAGATAAGAAATTTTTAAAAGTGATTATCTCTGCAAAGTTATGACACTAGCGGCTATTGGGTGGTATACTCTGGCAACTTAAAGTTTTTATCATCAAAATATAACAACTTAAATATATAAAAATAATGCAATCTTTTCACAATTTTGGCTTTTACAATTTTTTTTGGCTTTTACAATTCTTAATGCCTGATTTCCATTACTGCTATCTTGTTTCTCTTACAAGTAATCAACAAATAAGGTAGGAAATAAATAATTTTTGTTTTTGTTGTTTTTGAGACTGTCGCCCAGGCTAGAGTGCAGTGGAGCGATCTTGGTTCACTGCAACCTCCACCTCCCAGGCTGAAGCGATCCTCCCACGTCAGCCTCTGGAGCAGCCGGGACCACAAGCGCGGGACACAACGCCCAACTAATTTTTTATTTTTTTGTAGGGATGGGGTTTCGCCATGTTGGCCAGACTGGTCTCAGACACCTGGGCTCAAACAACCCACCGGTCTCAGCCTCCTAAAGTGCGGAGATTACAGGCGTGTAGCCACCGCGGCCGGCCCACAATTTTTAAAAGGGATTATAAACAAAACACTGAAATGCATGCATTTTGTTGTGTTATGCTGCTTTTCTCTAAAATGGAATTAAAAAAAAAACGGTTTTACTTGCATGATCAACTTCAAGGTAGTTTAGTCATTCAAGTACTTTTGGTAAGTCCTTGAGACCAAGTACTTCAAGACCTTACCCCAGTCTTTCAAATGAGACATAGCAGAAGGGCAGAGGGGCTAAGCCACTGGTCTCAGCAGTCAGGCCTGGATTCCCAGGGGTCCCTGCCGCATGAACCAGGTGACCTGATTGATCCAACCCACCTCCACAAATGATTAAGGAGCGACACCCAAGTGCCAGGCCTTCCCAGCACTACGCCCGACAAACAAAACACTTCAGGGCTCTGACTTTATGAGGCTATTCTTGTGAACCTGTGGCAAATTCTCTAATCACTATAAAACCCAGTTTCCTTGTCTGTTAAATGAGATAATAATGACTTCCACTCACTGTGCCCTTACTATATGCCAGGAATTGTTCTAAATGCTTTATAACTCACAACCTTAAATGATAGGTCTACATTTGTCCGTCGCAACTTGTAATGAAGACTAATTACTCGTAATCTGCTTTGCATAATGCCAGGCACACAGAAAGAACTCAAAGTTGGCTACCGTTGTGGTTAAAACTAATAGACGTTCTGTGAATAACAAAGGTTATTCATGCAAAAACGCTGAATTCGGCTAAAATTAAGGTTCAGATAAGGCGACAAGCGTGGGCAGTCGAAGGAATTTTGCCATAATTTTGTGACCCATGTGAATGTTCCTGTGGGCCCGCTGCCTCCGCACACCCGCACCCGACGCCCACTAGAACGCACACCCAGAGGGGCACGAGGAAGGCGCCGGTCCGCTCGCTCAAACGTCAGGCCAGACGCGAGGCGCAGCCGCTCCCACCCCGGGACCCCGCTTCCCGCCGCGCCAGGGAAGGTCGTGCTCGCTCACCGCAGCAGCTCCAGGCAGTAGTGGTCAGTGCCCCAGGCGCCCGGTCCGCTGGCCGCAGCCACGCTCCGCCCAGACACCTCCGGCCCGGGCAGCCGCCGCATGCGCGCGTACAGACCCAGAGGCGGCCGGCGGCAGCACAGGCCGGGGATGCCAAGCCGCAACGGCCCCCAGACAGAGCCGTGCGCGGAGGCCGCCATGACGCCGGCACTGCGTGCCCTTCGACCCCCCGCCGTCGGCGCGCAGCTACGCCCCGGCCACGCCCCTGCAGGTTCCCCTATGCTCCTTTGAGTCGCGGGAAGGCAGCCTCTGGACGCCGCTCAAAGAAGAGCCAGGTGTCGCTGTGGTCCTCTGCATCTGGGCCGCCGCCGCGACTCTTTGGCCTTCGTTCCAGGAAAGACCCGCCCAAGTCCGTCCGACCCCTCCTGGGCTCTTCCCCTTCCCCCACGTGCATCCACAGGCGACCTCAGAGCACCTACAAGAAGTGATGGGTGCTGCTGGTGAAGGAAGTAGCTGCCAAAATCACGCCCCGCCGCCCCTATACCCCAAATCCACCATGAGAACAGAACACCTTGCACTGTTTCTCAACAGGGGCTGCCTTGGCACTTTGGGCGCAATAGCGCTGTCCCGCACGTTGCTGGAAGTTTGCAATAGGTGAATGCCCAGTCTTGGTGACCACCAAACGCCCACACACCACCAAAGGCCTCTGGAAATGTCGCCCTGTTTGGGAACCACTGGCCACCTAACACCTCCAGCAGAAAAGCACACACATCTCTCAGAGAAGCCACACAGTAGGCCATTATCAACCACTACCTATAGCTAACCTGCTTGCTGACTTTTTTCTCCCAGTATCCTCTGGGTTCCATACGGGCAGTGCCATTATTTTGTTTCCTGCTTTACCCCAATGGCTGTCACTTGAAAATTGTAGAAGCTGAAGTGCCTCAGTTCACATAAATAGTAAGTAGTCGGGTAAGATCCAAACATTCAAAATATCTGTGTTATTCCACAATCTTATTTGGACAGGGAAAGGAAGTGAAGACGGCCATAGGCCAGAGCCTGCTTGTCTGGGCCTCCAAGGTCCAGCATGGAACTCCAAGGAGTCAAAATTTTCAATGTAAACCTGACCTTTCAGGTCCTTAGGAAGATGTATTTATCAAGGCAGGAAGACAGAGCTTTTAACAGTTTACTAACTTGATTTATAACTTTTTTTTTTTTTTTTGAGACAGAGTCTCACTCTGTTGCCAGGCTGGAGTGCTGTGGCTTGATCTTGGCTCACTGCAACCTCCGCCTCCCGGGTTCAAGCGATTCTCCCGCCTCAGCCTCCCGAGTAGCTGGGACTACAGGTGCACGCCACCACGTCCAGCTAATTTTTGTCTTTTTAGTAGAGATGAGGTTTCACCATGTTGGCCAGGATGGTCTCGATCTGACCTCATGATCCGCCCACCTCAGTCTCCCATAGTGCTGGGATTAACTTTGAATATTTGTTCACATGGTATGTTGGCTTCCTTTGGTACTCTTACTTTCAGGGCCCTCAAATATTAGAGGTGGGTCTAGCTGCTACCAACTAGCTGATCCCAGCCAGCAGCTGCCTACACTTGAATCCCTCTTGCCTCCAGATTTGCCTAGACTTTTCTTGCTATGGCCAGACTGGTTCTTTCTAAAATGTCCATCTGATCATGGCGTTTCCCTACTTGACAGCATTTACTGTGTGTTATATGCAGTCCGTCCATGATGTGGCCTCAATTTACCTTTCTGCCTCAACTCTGGCCACTTGCCTTTGTGACTCCAAGTTAATGTTTTTGTTTAAACCCAAGGTAAAGCACCTTGTCCTCTGGCCCTAAGAACTCTAACCAATTCATGCAACTTTGGTTTTTACTCTCTGAAATTACCTTTCTTCATCCTGTGTAGTAGCAGAACCCCGGTGGTGGGTGTTACCCTTTCATCACCAGTGACTGGTCCAGGACAGTGCATATTTCCCTGATCTGGCCAATTAGACTTGAGAACAAGTCCACTGTGGTGCTTCTGGGAAAGTTGCTTCACTAATAAAAGGAAACATAAAATTCAATATACTACATATGAAATATTCTTGGCAAAAAGGCTTAACATAAAGTTAATTAAGCTTCTAAATCTAATTTTAAAGTTTATAAGAAAAAGACAAGAAACAAGATAAATCGACACCACAGGGAAACAAATCAGAAAAATTCGAAAGAAAAACCCAATGTCACTCCTGCGATTAGGTTATAAAAGGTCTGCACCTTCCATATTTCATCTTGGGTGCTCTCTCTCTCTCTCTCATCACTTACTCTGTGGGAAGCTAGCTGCCATGACACGTGAGGGGGATTAGTCCTTTGTCTGTAATATAGATCATTATTATTTTCCTCAGTTAGGTTTTAGTTTTGTCTTTGCTTGTGGAATCTTTGCCATGCAGAAATTTTGCAATATATTTTTATCTAGTCAAATTTACAATATTTACTTTTATGGCTTCTGGATTTTGCAGTCTTTAAAAAGGCCTTCCCCATTTTAAATGTGTTAAAAGAATCCCTTGCTTTCTTCTAGTCCTTCTGGTTTCTCTCGTACTACTTGTAGATTTCACTTTTTTACATTTCTTTTTTTTTTTTTTGGAGGGGTAAAGATTAGGAAGGTATGAATCTAACTTTTTTCTTTATATCTAGTAGTTGTCTTACTATCATTTATTCAGTAGTCCACCTTTTCCTCCTTTGATTTGAGATGCTTCCTTTTTCACAGAATAAACTCATGCATATACTTTGTGTCTATAGTGTTCCATTTGTCTATTAATGTTCTAGTAGTAAACTCTTTTAACTATTGCGTCTTTAAAATATGTTTTCATAGATATCTAGTAGGGCTAGTCCTTCTTCATTACTCTTTTTCTCTTCCCCGGTCTTCCTGGCCATTCTTGTTTATTTTCCCATTTGGCTTTTAGGATCAGCCATTCGATTAAAATAATTCTGAAGGTATTTTCATTACAGCTATGTTAAATTTATACCTAATGTATGGAAAACTGGTATTTTTATTATATTGAACCTTCATAAACATTTTTAATTACAGCATTATAGTTCATCTTATCAACAGATATAACACATTAACTATGCCCTTATTCAATCCTTATATTTTCCACAATTAAATACTTTTTAGATGAACCACTACTAAAAAGGAAAAACAATTTTTCTATACTTATGCAACCCTTCTGACACTACATGTATAGATCTTCCACACCAAGCATTTTCAGGACTACACAGTTAGGACAGAATCCACAGGTTCAGAGTTCAGTCTCACAAGGCTGCCCCCTACTTTGGACACCAGTAGCAATTAGTGAGTCCTTAGGTTACCCATGCTTTTGTTTGACTTGGCTACAAATCAAGGATTTTCAGGACCTTCCTCCTCAGGTTTGATAATTTGCTATGATGGCTCCCAGATATCAGGGAAACACTTATATATATTTACTGGTTTATTATAAAGGATATAGATAAAGGTCAAAGAACAAATATAACACATTTATAACAAAAGATGCTGTCCCTTAATGGTCCAGAGAACATGTTTCTGACTTCCTGCCAAAAGGACACATACTGAGTTTTTTTCTTAGAATGACAGTGACTTGTGAGGAGCTGTTCTATGCACATACTGCCTCCTGATTCGTCTAGCAACCAGTAGCACGTGCCAAGAAGGGAAAAGGCTCACAGAGTTGGAAATATAGTCTGTTGCCTTGGGATAGTGTTTCTGGACAAAACATTCTTCTAGGGAAATAAGAAATTTCATCCTAGCTGATCCACAATTCTATTGCATAACTGAAGGTCACACCTGGTGCTAAGTTAAATGTTTGTCACTAAAGAGATTTCCATTTGGCAAACAAAATATTGTGGGATTATGCTGTTCCCTCTTTCTGGATTGTCCTTGTGTGCTGTATCTTCAAGGAGGCCATTTGGTGATAATCCCAAATCCCCAGCCTTTAACCAGCCACCTACGGCCTCTACAGACTCCCAAGAGAGCTACACAGAGGACAGTCCTGGCAAATGGGCAATGTTTATTACACTGTTTTTACAAACCCCACTGCTAAGCTTGTCTGGATCACTTCAAAGGCAAAAAGACATGTAGAAAGACAAACCCAACAAAAATGGTGTGATTCAAGACCTAAATCAAAGTAAGCCGCAACCCAAGGCTTTCCTGAGATTTGGGGTTATAGGAGGAGAGCTCTAAGTTTGTCCTTGTCACCACAAAAGTTCTAATGCCCTTTTTCCCTTTCATGAACCTCTACTCATCCCCCAAACACCTAATTAAACACCTCTTCCTTCCTGAATTTTCCTTGACCATAACCCCATCCAAGAAAAAAAGAGTTGTTCCCCCAGTTTTGATCCTATAACAATTTGTGTTCATGTTTGATCACTTTGCCAGGTCTTACTGTGGTGATCTGCTTATATGGCCCTCTTCCCAGACTGCCAAAGGTAGATGTTTTCTTACTCCTCTTTTTATCTCCAGTGCCTGGCCAAGTGCCTGGCATTGGGAGGTGTTAGTGTATCGTTCTGAAGGCCAAGTTTTTTGGCACCGGAAATAAGACACCAGGTTATGCAGTGTGTGCACTGCACAAACATGCCTGGCTAAGGGAGCAAGAGGGGCTGGTGTGGGCTGGTGTGGCATTGTCTCTGCTCAGAGGAAGGGTAGCCTTTCTCTTCACACAGAGAGGCATGTGCCTGCAGGGCTGCCTCAGCCCAGATGGGGACCTTCTCATTTATAACAAGGCACCATACAGGCTTGCAGTCTTAGTGACTGAAAGAGCAAATCAGACTCAGCAAGTTTAAGAAGGGCAGAATATGAAGAAAATACAAAGTTGAAAGGAATATTTCCCCTTGTGAAGGGTTTCCACTATTCGTTTAATAGTCAAGCCTTACAGTTATCTGATTTTAAGGAACCTATTATCAGCAGCTATGAAAAAGAGGAACTTGAATGCATCATGCTTTTTGGGTAGTTTACTTATCCTCAATTACCTTTGTTTTTTTGAGACAAAGTTTCACTCTTGTCGCCCAGGCTGGAGTGCAATGGTGCGATCTCCGCTCACTGCAACTTCCACCTCCCGGGTTCAAGCAATTATCCTGCCTCAGCCTCCCAAGTAGCTGGGATTACAGGCACCCACCACCACACCCAGCTAATTTTTGTATTTTTAGTAGAGACAGGGTTTCACCATGTTGGCCAGACTGGTCTCAAACTCCTGACCTCAGGCGATCTGCCTGCCTCGGCCTCCCAAAGTGCTGGGATTACAGGCATGAGCCTTCATGCCTGGCCCTCAATTACCATTTTTTTAAAAAATATAGAATTGTACAATTTTAGATTTGAAAGAAAGTCATCTATCAATTCAATAGTTTTTGAGCATTTAGTACTGGTTATACACGTAGTATGGAAGGGGCACTAGAAACTAACAAAATTAGCCAATGTCAAATACCTATTAGGTGGCATATTTTTCATTTGCTAAAAGGACACCTACACACTGTTCTCTCAGAAACAAGAAGAGGCAAAGTGGTCACTATGTTATGCAATTGCAGTTTTATTCATTTCACTCTTTGGTTTCCACTATGATCTTATATTGCCAATTTTTCAATACCAAAGCTGTCATTTCTTTAGGTTTTTTTTCTCTTATCTTTTCACACCTACCAAAAATGGACCATCAGCCATTCTGGGGCATACCTGCGAAATGTTCCATAGATTTAATGCATACAAAATCACATGTAGGAAGAGGAAGATTGATGATGACCCCTACATAAGACACAGACAAGACTTGTCATAGTTGTCACATGGGTATGGTGGGTTGTCTCTGCACAAGTTGTTTCTAATTACAATAAAGAACTAAAGTTTGAAAATACTATTGTTTGCTTTGTGTATATATTAGAGATGAGGCGGGGTGCAGTGGCTCACGCCTGTAATCCCAGCACTTTGGGAGGCCAAGGCAGGCAGATCACTTGAGGCCAGGAGTTTGAGACAGCCTGGCCAACATGGCAAAACCCTGTCTCTACTAAAAATACAAAAATTAACTGGGCATGGTGGCGCAAACCTGTAGTCCCAGCTACTTGGGAGGCTGAGGCAGGAGAACCGCTTGAAGCTGAGAGGTGGAGGTTGCAGTGAGCCAAGATCATGCCATCGCACTCCAGCCAGGGTCTAGAGCGAGACTCTGTCTCAAAATAAATAAGTAAATATATATATGAGATGACTCCAAGTTATCCTGATGATAATGTCATTTTCAACATGGGAGAGAAATGGGTGGAGTTACAGCTATGTACCAGAAACCACAAATACCTTGCCTATGCCATAGCCCCTAAGTCAAGTACCCAGGGAATATAGCATATCTGTGATCATCACCCCATCACCCATTGTGTGTATTGTAGGGGGAAGTGGTTAGGAGCCTAAAGGCTTATGATGTCATTTCTTCTTCTTTCTTCATCTTGTCCTGTTCCTTCTCTTTCTCATTTCTCTTTTGGCACCTGAATTGGTTGCTGTCCACTAATGTACCAAGATCAGTTCAATCAGTTCAATACAATTTGTGTTTAATGGGCATCTTTATGCCTGTGTTTTTATCCCAATGTCTGGGTTGCACACCCCCTCTTCCCACCCCCACCTGTCTTCTCAGATGTTTTCTTGTCTGTCCCCACAAAACAGATTGGGAGCACCTTGAGGAAAGGGAACAAGACAAGCTTATTTGTATTTATCCCCTGGCTTTATAGTCTAGTGAGTAGTTGCTCAAACATTTTTCTGACATGAAAGTTAATGGATGAATGAATGAATGAATGAATGAATGAATAGGAGGTAATGGGAGGTAAAAAGAAACCCTCACTGTATTGGTGATATTTTATTTATTTAAAAATTCTAAAGCAGGCCAGGTGTGGTAGCTCACACCTGTAATCACCGCACTTGGGGAGGCCAAGGCAGGAGGATTGCTTGAACCCAGGAGTTCAAGACCAGCCTGGGCAACATAGGGAGACCCCATCTCTACAAAAAAAAAAAATAGCCAAGCATGGTGGTGCCCACCTGTGGTCCCAGCTACTCAAAGGCTGAGTTGGAGGGATTTTTCAAGCCCTGGAGGTTGACACAGCAATGAGCCACGATCACTGCACCCAGCCTGGGTGAAAGAACGACACCCTGTCTCAGAAAAAAAAATATTCTGAAGCAAACATGTCAAATTATTAAAATTTTCTAAATCAGGATGGCAGACATATGAATATACATTATCTTATTCTCCATATTCTTCATGTTTGGAAACTTCTGTAATACTGAAAAACCAAGATGAGCAGTGGAGGTGATAGCAGTATGACAAAATGTCTTTCTTCAAAGGATGTCATCATTTAATTAGGGACTTGTTCCAAGTGCACATGATTGCAGAAGTCTGTTGGATTGTTCATTTTTAGGAGGTGACTGGCTAGATGTTAAAACAAAAAAAACCCACAGTAAATAACTCTGAAACTAGAAAAGCAGGAGTTGACACTACCTATCCAATTTGTAGGGTATCCTAGGAATCAGCAGATAAACACTTTTGTTATTTTCTAATACATACCCAGCCTCTATGAACTATGAAATATTATCAGGAAAAACTGGATAGAAGTAGACAACCAGCTACTGGCTAGCTAAACACCTAAGGGTTGGTAGAAAGTCTGTGGAAATTTATGGCAAAATACATTTGCCTCTCTAGGTCAGATCTACTCTTCCTCTTCATCCTACTTTCTACCTGGAGGGCTGACCTGTATGGACCACATGGATAGATGCTCATGACTTCTGGCTTCTAGTTGGGTTCATATAGAATCAAAGAGAGGGAGGGAGAGATGAAGGAAAGGAAAGTCAGGTTGCTTAATCCCCTTGTTCCCTTCCTGTAAGGTTGTCTCCATGACTCTACATGACTCCACATGCCTCTGTATGACCCCTCACTTCAGTCTCCTCATCCCTTTGTGCCTACAGCTCATTAAGAAGCACCAGATGGGCGGGGCGTGGTGGCTCATGCCTGTAGTCCCAGCATTTTGGGAGGTCAAGGCAGGCAGATCAGCTGAGCTGAGGAGTTTGAGGCCAGCCTGGAAACATGGTGAAACCCCATGTCCCCAAAAAAAAAAAAAAAAAAAAAAATTAGCTGGGCATGGCAGTGTACACCTGTGGTCCTACCTACTCGGGAGGCTGAGGCAACAGAATCACTTGAGCCCAGAAGTTGAGGCCGCAGTGAGCCATGATTGTGCTGCTGCACTCCAGCCTGGGCAACAGAGCAAGACCCTGTCTCAAAAAAAAAAAAAAAAAAAAGAGGAGGAGGAGGAAGAAGAGAAGGAAGAGGAGGAGGAGGCACCAGATGCCTGCACACATAGACCTATGAAAATAGTCCCTTTGTATATAAAGCACCCCAAATTATTTTCTTCTGTCTCCTGTTGGGACTCTGATTGATTAAGGACTTGGACCATGATGTTCAAGTTTTGTTTTTTGCTTTTTGTTTTTTTGAGATGGAGTCTCTCTCTGTCGCCAGGCTGGAGTGCAATGGCGCAATCTCAGCTCACTGCAACCTCCACCTGCCGGGTTCAAGTGATTTTCCTGCCTCAGCCTCCCAAGTAGCTGGGACTACAGGCACACGCCACCAGGCCCAGCTAATTTTTGTATTTTTAGTAGAGACAGGGTTTCACCATGTTGCCAGGATGGTCTCGATCTCTTGACCTCATGATCCGCCCACCTCAGCCTCCCAAAGTGCTGGGATTACAGGCGTGAGCCACCACGCTCGGCCAGATGTTCACGTTTTAACTGCTCACCAGTAGTTAGAACCCAGGTCTCCATCCTTCACTTAGCAGACGCCAGAAGAGAACTTCCAAGAATTAACTTTAAATGTGAAATTCCTATCTACACTTGGTGTCTCCAGCTCTTTCTAACTCATTTCATCCTCTTTTTCATACCATGCAGTTATAAAAACAGAAATGTTAAAAGATTGCAAAACAATTGAAGACATATTGTCAACATGAAATAATTATATAATCATCCTTTAATAAATTCTACCTTTTGAACACTTTTATCACTTTGTGATCTTCATATATTAATACATTAATATATGTAAGGCACAATCGGAGGGGAGAAGCTAAACATTCAGTCTACCAGGTAATGATGAAAAGAGGATGTGTATGATTTAGTTCATTTGAAATATTATGAACATCAATAAACAATGGAAATGGTAAGCATCCGGGATAACAGTGGGCCTGGCCAGGAATGTCTGGTGATATCTTAAGCTCTTTAAAGCCTTTGCGTATGTCATTTCCTCTGCCTGGGATATTCTTCCTCTCTTTCTCATTCTTGATCTGGCTAATTTCTATTTATCCCTTAGCACTCTTCTTAAATGTCACAACCTCAGGTAAGTCCCTGGTCCCAGTCTAAATCAGCTCCCCACTTCTTGCTAATTTCTCTAATAGAACACAGTTCTTTTCCTTCTTGGTACTTATCACTATATAAAAGTATGTATTGTATGTTCATTGCTAAGTGTCCATCTCACTCTTGAGGAAGGGAACCAAGTTTGTTTGGTTCTTCTACTATATTTGCAATTTCCAACACAGTGCCTATCAATATGAATAGTTATCAAATAAGTGAATGCTCAAAGTTCTTAGAAGGAAGAACCATTGCATTTATGAATTATAACTCCATTTATACTATTGCTGTCAAAGGTGAATTATCTGCTTGTCCTAAGTTTAAAAGTGTACCGCAGTTAGGACTATTAGGTATTGTTCCCTGGGTAAATTAAAACAAATGTATTTATGTATCTACTGTAGATTAGAATTTTATGTCATATTTTGTTCCATGAAGCCAGAAGCCCAGCCAAGACCTTGTCATAAATAGTCTTTTCTTAAAAAAGTCCTTTCTTAAAATTACAAATGACTAACTTTGTAATTAGATACAGTAGGGGATGCCTGCTGTTTGGGCTGCCCAGCTTCCTTTCCTCCTTATTTAGGTTATAGAACCAAGAACCACTCTGTATGGCCTCTCAGGTTGTACACTGCACAACTCCAGGAGGTCCCAAACAGATGGACTACAAGATGGATTCGAGTCTGGAGCTGTGCAACACCACCCTGACAGAACTCTTTCTTTTGGTAAATGCTCATCCATCCAGACAGTCCAACCTGTGGGTCCGCTCTCTTTCCACTGTAGTAGACATGATCCAGGCCAGCCAATTAGAGTACTATCTCTAGAAATTATCATTGATTACTGCAGGTGTTGACACATGACCTGAGGAAGCCAAACAGCACTTTCAGGGGGGATTATATAGATGGTAGAGAAGAGAGAACATTGCCTGATATTTCCAACACTGGCAAGCATGCAACTCTAGAACTGGTAGGGGTTCTTTTGCTGCAATACTGTAAGAGCCTGCCTGCAAATGAAGTCAACAGAGAAAAAGCAGAGCTGAAAGAGGAATAAAAGGAGACAGATTTTTGACAATATGGGTTGATCCCCAAATCCTAGCTGTGCCTAAAGTATTCATAGACTGGTTGTTGGTTATGTGAGCTAGTAAATTATTTCCCTTGCTTAGGAGAGTTTGAGTTGGATCTTTTCACTTGCAACCCAAGAGTCCTGGCTAACACAGATGCATAAACAAAACCATAAACCAGGAACTTGGAACTTAGTTTCTGCTTAACCAAAAACTGAATTCTCTACTTGTGACAATGGGGATGTCACTTCTCTGCTCACAACCTTGCAATACCTTCTCATCTTACCCAGAGAAAAGGCCAGCTGTCCACACATGGCCACAGGTCACAACATGGTCTAGCCTGTCTCCTCCCTTTCCCCCCAACTTTGTTCATTATACATCAGGTACCCTGACTTGGTGTTCCTTACACATGCCAAGCATTCTCCCACCAGAGGACCTTCACATGTGCTGTTCCCTCTACTATTATATGTGACTCACAGTGAACTGTTTGACACAATTCAGTTATCTGTTCACATGTCAACATTCCTCACACTCCCCGCCCCATCTAAAATCTTCCTTTCCCTCTCTGTATTAGTTGCCTAGGGCTACCATAATAAAGCACCACAAATTGGGGTGTCTTGAACACCAGAAAATTGTTGTCTCACAGTTCTGGTAGCGAGAAGTCTGAGATCAGGGTGTCAGCTGAGTTGTTTTGTTCAGCAGGCTACAAGGAAGAATCTGTGCTGTGCCTCTCTGCTAGCTTCTGGTGGTTTGCTGACAGTCTTCAGTGTTCCTTGGCTCATAGAAGCATTGCCCTGATCTCTGCCTTTTTCTTTACATGGCATTCTCCCTGTGTGCATGTCTGTGCCCAGATTTCCCCATTGTATAAGGACACTAGTCATCTGAGATTAGGGTCTACCCTAGTGATCTCATTTTGACCTGATCAAAGAACCTCTTTCCAAATAATATCACATTTCCAGTACTGGGGGTTAGGATTTGGGGGAGGGGGAACACAATTCACCTTGTAACCCTCCACTTATGCTGCCCTATTTTTTTCTTTGCAGTATATATCACCATCTGACATATTATATACTTATGTTTTTACTGGCTTAATGTCACTCTCCCCCATAACTAGGATGTAAGTTCCACGAACATATGGATGTCATGTTATACCCACGGCACTTAAAACAGTGCCTAGTATATCGAGGTATGCAATCAATATCTGTTAAGTGAGTGAATACTAAACAGGGAAATAGGCTGTCTGATTTTAAGATACTAAAATTTGAAACTTCTTTTTGCATAATCAACTATTTGAAGAAAGCAAGACTTCTCAGATGTCATTTATGTATATATTTAGAGTTTAAAGGCTCAGTGGAGATCAATGCAAAATCTCTATCAGTGTGGGAGCAGTAGCTCACACCTGCAATCCCAGAACTTTGGGAGGCCATGGTGGGAGGATCCTTTGAGGCTAGGAGTTTAAGACTAGTCTGGACAGCATAGCAAGACCCCTGTCTCTACAAAAAATAATTTAAAAACATTAGCCAGGTGTGGTGGTGTACACCTGTACTTCCTAGCTACTCAAGAGGCTGAAATGGGGGGGATTGAGCCCAGGAGTTTGAGGCTGCAGTGAGCTATGATTGTGCCACTGCACTATAGTTTGGGTTGGAGAGCAAGACCATGTCTCTAGAAAAAAAAAAGGAGAAGAAGAAAAAGAAACCATATCTCTATCACAAACTTACAAGTACCATTCCTTTGAAAATAGAAGAGTAGAAAGAAACATTCTGAGGAAGAATGGAATTTGGGAGTAGTAGGTTGATAAGGGACGGGATAGAAGTTGAATGAGGTTGAAAGAGGTCAAACTCTGGCAAAACTAAAAGTACTGATCTTTTCCCTGACTTAATAATGAAAGTATGCCAGTAACCATCTATGGAGTTACATAGTTTTTATTACCCATTAAAAGGGGTTTTTGCTGTTTTTTTTGAGACAGAGTCTTACTCTGTCACCCAGGCTGGAATGCAGTGGCGCGATCATAACTTATTGCAGCCTCTACCTCTCATGCTCAAGCGATCTTCCCACCTCCCAAGTAGCTGGGACCACAGGCATGTGCCACCATACCTGGCTAATTTTTATTTGTTTATTTATTTATTTATTTATTTATTTTAGAGACAGAGTCTTGCTGTTGCCCAGGCTGGTCTCAAACTTCTGTCCTCAAGAGAGCCACCTGCCTAGGCCTCCCAAAGTGCTGGGATTACAGGCATGAGCCACTGTAACCAGCCTAAAGGTACTTTTAATGAGAAAACAAATTTAGCCTTCAAATATTAGAAATGCCCCATCTGACATTTATTGAGATGTATTAGCTGTGTGTAGCTTTATCAGGTTATCTGTCTTTCCTCTGATGCTTTCACTGGAATATGAGCTGAGGGGCAGGGGACTGTGTCTTTACTAGCCTATAGATAGTCAAAAGACAAATGGTAAATTAAATGAGCATAAACACGCAGAAAAGAGTTAAGAGCCCTTACTTACATAAGGGTTTTACAAAGCAGTAAGAAGACAAAAGATCCAGTGTATCAAAGGAAGTACAGATGCTATATAAGCATATAAAACAGTGCTCAATCTTGCCAGTAGACAGGGAAATGCAAATTAAAATAAAAACAAAATTGAATTTTTACCCATCTGCAGTTGAAAAGATTGATGATTTTCAGGCCAGTGATGTGCAGTTAATCAGAAACTCATACTTTTGAGGATGAGTCAGTATGTGGAACTCTATGTTGAAATTCAAAATACACTTACCCTTTGACCTGAAAATTCCACATTTAGGAACCTATCCTATGGAAAAGACAGTCTTCATAATGATGCATATCCATAAGGCTCCAGAATTTCAGTACAGGAAAGAGATAGGCATGCCCATTTGGTTTTAAACAAATACTCAGAAGTATAAGATACTTACTAGACTTTTGAGTTTGTAGAGTAAAATTTCTTCTTTGTACATAATTAATTATTAATTAAACATCCCAATCAACACTTATCAAATGTCAACTAGAGGCAAGGGGTGGTGTCTGAATCCCTGAAATTCTGTTTTAGGAGTTAAGGCATGAATATTGAATAAAGTAACTCTTTAGCTTCTATACCATTCCCACCCTAAACCCAAATCTGATCTATGTAAAACTTTAAGCCCCAAAAGTGAGCTTAGAAGGTGAAAGGTCAAAAGAGTGTACACCAGGAGGGCACCAGCTGCATCTAGGGCAGTAACATTCTCATATTCAGCTCCCAAATGTCACTCTCCGTTCTTACCATGCCCAGTTATTTCCCTCTGGAATAAGAAGTGGAAAGTGCCACTTAAAGCAAGAATTTCCCACAACCATTTTATCAGATTAAGGGAGTGACATGTTCATATCCAGGGAAAATACTCTTTGAAGATGACTCTGTCCACTAGGAAAGAAGAATTATTTTGATTGTGCTGAACTGCTCTGCGTAACAAAGTGAGAGGAACCTAGACTTGTCTCTTTGGGAAAGGGACAAGATGAGGGGCAGGGAAATGGATAAGATTTGAAGTTTTTTGAGAATGAAAGGTGGCGTCTCCTCCAGAAATGTAGTAAAAGTGTGGCTAGCACGTGTCACTGAAGGCCCTGGTGCTTCTCTGATGCTCCCACGACACATGGAGCCCAGCTGGAAGCAGCGTGGCTGGTGACAGCCTCCCGTTTACAGCTCCCTAAGGACTAGCATCAGCTTTGCAGCCAAGATCCCACTCTTTCCAGGGCGGCCCGCAGCAGTGATGGAGGCAGGCGGTAGACAAGGGCATAGACATTTCCGCCGCACAGAAGACTCCTTTAATGTACTATCTGTGCTCACGGCTCCCCTGGCTTTGCCAGAGTCTTCATCAAGTCTGATTGGGTCTGCTGGCTCCTTCTGCCCAAGCCTGCTTCCTTCCCCTTTGTCTTGACGGCCTTTACTCCCCACAAAACCTTTCCCACACCTACCGTTTCTCAGCATCTGCTTCCCAGAGAGCCCAACCAGCACCACTAGAGACCTCTCATTTGAAACTGCTAAACTTTAACACTAGTAGGATTTTTTTTTAAAGAGTCTGAAAGGAACTATTTCTCATATTCAAGTGTGGGAATTAAAACTGAATAGCTGCCAGTTGTTCTCTGAGGCATAGTCACTACTTGACTTAGTTGATGACTGACTTTGTCTTAGTGAACAATCACAAATTCTCTCAGGAACACAATCCTTTTCTTTTTTGCTCTTAAAGAGAAAGAAAGGGGGGAAACCCTATAAATATTGCTACAGTACTTTCTAACTTTTGTGAACAATAGATTCCAATTTTAAAATTAGAAAGGATCTTGACATTTATTCTGATTAAAGCCCTTCACTTTGCATAACAGCATATGTCCATAGAGCCCTTGAAAATTGTGGTCTAGGCCAGGTGCAGTGGCTCACACCTGTAATCCCAGCACTTTGGGAGGCCGAGGCCTCCTCCACTTGAGGTCAGGAGTTCGAGACCAGGCTGGCCAACATAGCAAAACCCCATCTCTAGTAAAAATACAAAAATTAGCTGGGCATGGCAGCACACGCCTGTACTCCCAGCTACTGGTGAGGCTGAGGCAGGAGAATTGCTTGAACTCGGGAGGTGGAGGTTACAGTGAGCCGAGATGGAGCCACTGCACTCCAGCCCCAGTGACAGAGTGAAACTCCATCTCAAAAAAAAAAGTACAACTAAGCTTTTTGTGTTTGTTTTCAGAAAAGCAGCATCCCTCACATAGGGGCCACTTGGCACTTGACCTTCCCAAACTCTGTGCTGGGGAATTTTGCAATCACATTAATTTGATACAGTGTACTTGGGGGAGGGCATTCTGTATTTTGCTAAGAAGAAAAAATACTTCAAAAATGTGTAACTGTTAAAAGAAACAACAATCATTACTTTAATAAACTTTTAAATATAATATTTAGGAGGAAACTGACATTCAAACGAGTATTCTGTGTGTTCAATAGAGGGATATATTTGTAAATTCCCTTTATTCTCTAAATACTCCTTTCTCTGCCCTCTTTTGAGATCTCTGCTGAAATTACATCTCTGCTTGGCTTTTCCTCCTTTACAAAAAGGAGAAGCTCAACTTTCTATCCAGACTGCTTAACCTTCATTAATCTACTTTCTGTCTGGGCTGGCCCGAAGCAGATGGGGTTATGTGAGCTTTCTCAGCCTCTTAGGAAGACCATGGCCCCTAAACCTTTCTCCGTTGCTGTTATGGGAATCTCTTCAGTGACATCCACCCTCTCTCCCATAACCCACTGACCCAGATGGCTGAGGATCTAAATCCAACTATATCTGGTTTCTATCAACACCATGGAACAGCCAATTTGTCTACACAAAAGGGTAGTTTCAGCTACAAATTACATGCAGATGGTTGAGCATCTCTTCTGTGACTACAGTTGAAACGGTATTTTCAAATCAAAGGCAATTATGTGAGTGAGTGATATTTGCTTACGTATGGAGGTATATATGTATTATGTGCTGGCTGACAGTGGCAGTGTCTGTGTTCACAAGTGTGGAGTTCAGGATATTTCCACATCTATACATAATTTTATTTTTCGTTTTTTTTTTTTTTAGAGATAGGGTCTTGCTCTGTGGCCCAGGCTGGAGTGCAGTGGTATGATCATGGCTCACTGCAGCCTCAACCCCCTGAGCACAAGCAATCCTCCCACCTTAGCTTCCCAAGTAGCTGGAACTACAGGCATGTGCCACCAAGCCAGGCTAATTTTTTTTTCTTTTTTGGTAGAGATGGGATCTCTCTGTATTGCTCAGGCTGGTCTCAAACTCCAGGCCTCAACTGATCCTCCCACTTCAGCCTCCCTAAGTGCTATGATTATAGGCGTGAGCCACCATGCCCAGCCCATATCTACAAATTTGTAAATGTATTACAAAATTGTAATGAAATGTACATGAAATGGAACGTCAGTGAAAATTGTTTTTCAGTTTAAATATTAAAACAAACAGTTTAGCCAGGCACAGTGGTTCATGCCTGTAATCCCAGCACTTTGGGAGGCTGAGGGGGGCAGATCACCTGAGGTCACGAGTTCAAGACCAGCCTGGCCAACATGGTGAAACCCTGTCTCTACTAAAAATACAAAGAAATTACCCGGGCGTAGTGGCACGTGCCTGTAATCCTGGCTACTCGAGAGGCTGAGTCAGAAGAATCGTTTGAACCCAGGAGGCGGAGGTTGCAGTGAGCCAAGATTGTGCCACTGCATTCCAGCCTGGGCAACAAGAGTGAAAACTCCATCTCAAAAAAACAGTTTAAATGGGCATTAACTAATAATATTAATTACTGTTTTTAGTACTAGCTCTGGATAGAATTCCTTTGTAAGGAGCTTGTGATCTAAACAAGACATAGCAAACTGACACGAATAAAAATTAGCTAAGGAAAAGCTAGGCTTTACCATTTGGGAGAGAGACTGATCTTAGAATCTGCCCTTTGCTGCACTTACCCAAGCTGGGATTATTCAGAGTTTTTCTTTACACAGTTGAAATGGGTAAGAGTTGATGATGATCATCTTTAATTCATTACATATTATTAAATAATAATGTGCTTTCCCCAAATCAACTAAATATTCTTGGCTTGTGGTAAGAGAGGAGAAGGATAAATGAGCACAGAGCTGAAAGCCATCTGGCCTGGGCTTTTAGGATTTAGGCTTTTAACACTGCCTCCAGAGGAAGTTACACAAAGATACTTTGGTGGAATTGAAAGAAGACACTCTCCTTCCAAGTTTAAAATTGAGACTCAAGGCTGGGTGCAGTGGCTCATGCCTGTAATCCCAGCATTTTGAGAGGCCAAGGTGGGAGGATTGCTTGAGCTCAGGAGCTCAAAGCTAGCCTGGGCAACATAGTGAGACCCCGTCTCTACAAAAATTCAAAAATTAGCTGTGCGTGGTGGCGTGTGCCTGTAGTGCCAGCTACTCGGGAGGCTGAGTTGGGAGAATCGCTTGAGCCTAGGAGGCAGAGTTTGCAGTGAACCTAGAGAAAACTACTCCAGCCTGGGCAACAGAGGAGACCCTGACTTAAATAAATAAATACATAAAATTGAGATCCATGACTAAACTACATGATCTTTAGTATACCACAGATTAAAAAAAAAAAAAAAAAAAAAAACAGAGCCTCACACTGTTGCCCAGGCTGGAGTGCAGTGGCATGGTCATGGCTCACTATAGCCTCAACTTCCCAGGCTCAAGCGATCCTCCTACTTCAGCCTCCCAACTAGTTGGGACTACAGGCTTGCACCACTATGCCTGGCTAACTTTTGTATTTTTTGTAGAAATGGGGTCTAACTATGTTTCCCAGGCTAGTCTTGAACTCCTGAGCTCAAGTGATCTTCCTGCCTTGGCCTCCCAAAGTATTGGGATTATGGGCATGAGTCATGTGCCTGGCGCATGGATTTTTAAAATTAAATATTTTAACTATATCCTTATTGGCACAACTATATTGTGCTGTAATTTTTTTTTTTTGGTATTACAGGCATTAGTTTGTTAAAATGTAAACACTTGAAACATCACAATTTTTAAAACCTTATTTTATCATTTTAAAAAATGTTAATATACAAGCAGCCTCAAAAAAAAGAAGGCAGCTTGGGTCTCTCTCAGCCTTTCAGAAGCTCTGAAATCAATTGGTTAGAGTGCAAATACTTCCATGAGGTAGCAGGAGCGTTTTTGTATAAGCCAAAGGAACTATAGTATAAGAAACCTGGAAATAAGGAAATGATAGTTAAGAATAAGTTGTATGTTTGCAATGAAAATTCAACGTATGCTTTTTTTTTTTTTGCCCTTATATTGGATTATATGGACTCCAAGGAGTCTTTCGGTCTTACTCTCCCAACATGTTAATGCATACTTAAAATATACAATATTGCACCTTTAAAGTATGCTTTTCTTTTGAGACAAGTCTGGTTCTGTTACCCAGGATGGAGTGCAGTGGCATGATCTCGGCTCATTGCAACCTCCTCCGCCTCCTGGGCTCAAGTCAACCTCCCACCTCAGCCTCCTGAGTAGCTGGGAATGCAGGCGTGCACCACTACACCCAGCTCGTTTTTGTATTTTTTGTAGAGACGGAGTTTCACCATGTTGCCAGGCTGGTCTCGAACTCTTAAGCTCAAGCGATCCGCCCGCCTTAGCCTCCCAAAATGCTGGGGTTACACGTGTGAACCACTGTGCCTGGCCTAAAGCATGCTTTCTTAATCTGAAGTTAGTAGCTTGCCTTGGTAAACTTATAACAATAGCATGTCTGTAAAGCTGTAAATGTTCAACCAGAGTAAACTACATGATGATGAACAAGTGTTCTTGGACACCAAGTCCTGGAGTCTGAAAATAAAACCTGATACATAGAGATTCTTTGAAAGATAAGTCTTACAGAGATGTCTTTTTTTCTTTTTCTTTTCTTTCTTTTTTTTTTTTTTTTTTTTTGAGACGGAGTCTTGCTCTTGTCGCCTAGGCTAGAGTGCAGTGGCATGATCTTGGCTCACTGCAACCTCCACCTCCCAGGTTCAAGCAATTCTGCCTCAGCCTCCTGAGTAGCTGGGATTACAGGCGTCCAGCATCACGCCCAGCTAATTTTTATGTTTTTAGTAGAGACAGGGTTTCACCATGTTGGCCAGGCTGGTCTCAAACTCCTGACCTCAAGTGATCTGCCCACCTCGGCCTCCCAAAGTGCTGAGATTACAGGCGTGAGCCACCGCGCCTGGCCTTACAGAGATGTCTTAAAGGAGAAAGGAGTGACAACAGAAACAACAGGAAAGCCAACTCTCACGAGTTAGAAGGGAAAATTAATTCTGGGTGTAGGTCAATAGAGGTCATCATTTGAATTAAAAATATCTTGAAAGGGAAGTTCTTCCTCTCGTCTGCCCGGTTTCTGGAACTGCATTGTCTCCTGGGGAAGCATGCATAGTTACTCAGCAAAACCATTCTGGTTCCTCTTAACAGACTAAAATATGAAGCCAGCTGTCCAGTTGGGGTGGAGACATTCTATCTTTGAGACCAATACGAATTGGTCTAATTAAAGGCATTTAGAGAAGGATAGAAGAGAAAAGACACAAAGGGCAGAAAAGGTGGAAGAGGGCTTGAGTCTGAATTCCATCTCTGCTACAGGGTTAATGTATTCCTAACAGTCTTATTCAAGTGCTTAAAACAAAGGCACAATAAAATGATGAGGGCTTATAATAATAAAAATAATAAATAATAAATATATTATTTATGTTAATATATTTTTTATATATATATATATATATATATATATTTAAAAGGACCAGTCCTCCCCTGAGGAGCTCAGAGTTCTAAAGTAAAATCCAATCTGTTGAATAATGATGGCACAAGTTGTAACTTTCTAGGATTCCATAAAATGGAAGGTTGAAGGAAGATTAAAAAATCTGCTGTGGTATTCCAGGAAGGGGTGTAAGAGACACAGGTAACCAATGGCTTGTGTCCTGGTAACAAGAAATGTACTTCAAAGAAACCCTTGTGAATGGTTCCTGATGCCTTTCGGTCTCTTTGTCACATCTCAAGATATCTAGCTTGGTGGGGGTCTCTCTCAGAGTGACTGTACGTTCGGCCTATATCATCTCAGTTACTCCCGACAGCAACACTATGAGTTGGAGACTTTTTTCTCCCATTTTACCAAGAAGGAAACTGACCTCAAAGAAAAGTGTCAAGTCATTTACTCAAGATTGGATGGGAAAGTTGGGATTTTAGATCAATCTGACCCTAAAAATCCTGCTATTTCTATACTGTCATTCTGTGTTATTATTACCGACTTTAATTACTACTTGCACATTAACCTGACTCCCCCCTTACTTGGGCCTACAGATTTGAACCTCAGAATTATCTTTGACCCTTCCGATAAATCATTTCACCAATATTTATTGAGTACCAAGAACTAGCTATTGAGGATAAAGAATGAATGAAATAGAATTCCTGCCCTCACAGAACAGATGGATCATGTGGGGAATCAGTTGCTAAATCTTGTAGGGTTCACTTATTATACATCTATCCTCACTTCTCTTTTCTGTTTTTCCCTGGTGCAAGCCCTCACTACCTTTGTTTGTCTCTGTTATTAGTCAGGATCACAGAAGAACTAATTACAGAGTTGTGGGTAGAGTTAAGAATTCAAAAAAGTGGGCTGGGTGTGGTGGCTCACGCCTGTAATCCCAGCACTTTTGGAGGCCAAGGCAGGAGGATTGCTTCAGCCCAGGAGTGAAAGACCAGCCTGGGCAACACAGAAAGACCCCATTTCTACAAAATATAAAAAATTAGTTGGGCATGGTATCATGCACCTGTAGTCCTAGTTACTTGGGAGGCTGACGTGGGAGGCTTGAGCCCAGGAGGTTGAGGCTACAGTGAGTTGTGATTGTGCCACTGCAGTCCAGCTTGGGTGACACAGCAAGACCCGGTCTCAAAAAAAAAAAAAAAAAAAAAAAGTAATGGTGAGACACTCAGAAAATACCAGCAGTGGGAAACCATGGCCATGCCAAGGGCCAGTGTTCCTGGAGCCCATAGCGAGCTGGAGACGTGCAAAAGCTGGTGCCCTTAGGAGCTATAGTCATGAAGGGAGGCAGCTCAGAAACTCAGCTTCTCTCTCCTCTTGCCATCTGATCAGCTGGCATCCTCCTCTGCTCAAACTCAATCAGAAGTCCCCCAGCCAGGAAGCCAGGTCTGCAGAGGACAGCCTCCCCAGGTGGAGAAGTCAGGGAATGGATCAGGCGAGGTAGATGGAAAATAACCAGCACTCTCTCTACTCGTTCCTCAACAAATACACACTGAACGTGTAGTCTGTGACAGGCACAGTGGCTACAGTGGCAAGCAGAACAGAGCTCCTCCTTTCCTTTCTGGAGGTTACAGCTTGGAGGAGGCTGCTGGGAGAAACCCAATAAAGCATTAATTATCCCAATTTAGACAGCATGAATGTAATTAATGCCAGTGAATTGCACACTTAAAATGGTTAAAATCACAAATTTTATGTTCTATGTATTTTACCACAATAAAAAACTTAGTAGCTAGAGAGTTTGGAAGGAAGCAAGAGAGTGTGGCATTGAGGAAGCCCAGGGAAAAGAATGTTTGCAGAAGGAGAAAGGAGATAAGAATGTTAAGAAAGGTGAACAAGAACTCCTTAGCAAGAACTCGCCAATGGAAAGATGGTAGTGAAGCCAGACACAAAGTGTTGAAGGGTAAGAGAAAGAAGAGAAAATGTGGCTGAGTCTCTGTTGTGACCAGCCCTACCCAGTAGGGCCCTGAAATAGCATTTTAGACCTGTCTCTAATAGCATTTTAGACCTGTCTCTAAATTCTCCTCTGTCTCCTTCTGCTCCTCTTAGTATACCTACCCAGTACTGAGCCAGATTGGACCACAAACAGCTCCATTGCTTTCCTACCTCTGTGTCCTTACTTATATATTTTGCTATCCCAGGAATGCCCTCTCCGTGACGTAAGTCACTCCATTATCAGTGTTCTAATGGCACTTAATACATATCTCTATTAGAGCCTTTGTCATATTTTATTGTAATTTTTTGTTTTCCTTCAGAGAGTCTCTTCTGCTCATCTGCCCAACATCTCTTCCTCCACGGCCCCTCCTTCCTTTGGTACCAGTTGCAACCTGTAGTTAGAGAATTGCCCCTCCTTCATTCATTGTGGATCTGCTATGGCTTCTGAATATGACTCCAGGGCCCTCTGGCTATAATTGTAGGTACATGACCAAAGCTGAGCCTACAAGCATCTCTTCTCAGGGTCATATACATGAAAGGTGAAAAGATCTCTCTTTCTTTGGGTCTAACAGCTGAGATGATGTAAGCCAGAAGTTGTCTGTGGCCAATTTCCACGCAATGCCTTCTAACCACTACCACATAGAGGAAGTCCAATTGTAAAGGGAGAAAAAAGAGGAGACCTAAGCAACAATCCCATTATTTGAGTTCCCGGATCCACTTACGCCTGACACCACCTCCCCTCCTGGACTTGTCAATTGTATGAGCCAACCAGGTGCCTCTTATGCTTAAGCCAGCAGGGTCTCGACAAATACATGTGTTGTATTCCCTACTAGTCTCTAAGTACTCTACAGTTGCAGAGACTTTGCATCCCAGCACCTAGCATAACAGGTACTGAATAATGTTAAGTAATGGTTGAAATCTTAACAGTCATCTAGATCCAATTCAAATTTCATTTACTAAAAACAATTTTACTGAACCCTCAAACAGGATCATTCAAATGCCTGTGATTCCTGGTAGCACTTTATAGATTCTGCTTCTTATTTTAATTGTTTGTGTTCTTGGGCCTTTCTATCAGATGATACATAAGTTGGATGCAAGGCTTAAGTCTGCATAGTAGGTGTGTTCACTAAAAGTTAACTGTTCTAAATTGGACTTGTATGTGTTAGTTTTTGCACAGAGGGGAAAAAAGAGAAAGAGAGGTGAGACTCATTTCTGCTCTTGAGGGCTCACAGCGCTTGTTCAACAAATAATGTTGTGACTTGCCTTGGCCTGAATAGAAAATGAATAATAGAGAAGAAAGAAAGTAACATATATTCTTTATGGAGAAACAAAGCTCTAGACTGACAGCAAAAGATATTTTTATCAGGAAGTGTCAAAAGAATGGGGAACAAGATCAGAAAAATTTTATAAGTAGATCAGGAACCAAATATTCTGGAAATATAAAACCACTCATAAATAAAGTCAGATGCAGCATTCCACTGAACATAATTTAACAACTACCATAAAAGTCACTAAATCCTCTTTTCATTGTCTTCAAACTTCTTTCCAACTAAATAAGTGCAGGTTAATCTGATCCTCTGAGTGTCTAATCCTGGGTGAACACAATGGCTGTAAAATGCTCTGCTTCTCCAAAGAATGTTCCATGAAGCTTACAATGTTCTAGCTCTCTGTTAAATATGGTGGAGAACTTTGTTCAACTTTGAGGCCCTCAAGGCTCCTCACACAGAAATCTGCAATCTGCAGATGCTCTGGGAATATCTGTGAATGACTCAAACCAAATCTTTTCCTCCAATGCATGATTGTATCCAACTTCCCCACACTATTTCCTCTTCAGCCTGCTTCAGAGGTTTAAGAGCCCAGCCCTGGACAGCCAAATTGAAGCAGAAGTTTATGCAAGAATCCAGAAATCTTAGTCTAGTTTTTGGATAATCTTGGGGGGATTCAGGCAAAAAAATACCTGGGCAAAAAATACCAAAAGTGATGATATAATCTTAGCAGTAATGGCATTGTTCAATGTCCTCAGTTACCTGGAAGCTTTCCTGCTGCAATTAACATATGGACAGGCCAGTTCGTTGGCCTCTAAGCAGAATGTCATTGAAATATGGCAATGTCAAGTTGAGGCACCAAAGGTTGAGGGCCTGGTGCTCAACTCTCCTGGATTAAACTAGCTCTCTCGAGGTGGGGATGATGAAGCTCTGGCAAGCAGAGTCACACTCCCCCAAAAGATTTCCCAGGGGGTCAGAAATTCAAGCAGAAATTCAGTCCTTCTATTCGAATAAAATAAATACAGAAACTTTATCCAAAAAAAGATAAGGAGGGCCAGGCACAGTGGTTCACTCCTGTAATCCCAGCACTTTGGGGCCAAGTAGGGAGGATCACTTGAGTTCAGGAGTTCAAGACCAACCTGGGCAACATAGCGAGACCTCAACCCTATTAAAAATTTTAAAAAATTAGCCACACATGGTGGTGCTCCTGGAGTCCCAGTTACTCTGGAGGCTGAGATGGGAAGATCACTTGGGCCTGGGACATCAAGGCTGCAGTGAGCCATGATTGTGTCACTGTACTCCACCTTGGGAGACAGAGCGAGACCCTGTCTCAAAAAAAAAAAAAAAAAAAGTAAGGGGAAGCAATTTGGAAACAGAGCCTCACTCTGTTGCCCAAGCTGGAGTGCAATGGTGCAATCTTGGCTTATTGCAACCTCTGCCTCATGGGTTCAAGCCATTCTTGTGCCTCAGCCTCCCTAAGTAGCTGGGGGTACAGATGTGTGTCTCCACCCCTGGCCAATTTTTGTAATTTTAGTAGTGACAGGGTTTCATGATGTTGGCCAGGCTGGTCTCCAGCTCCTGACCTCCAGCAGTCTGACCGCCTCAGCCTCTCAAAGTGCTGGGATTACAAGTGTAAGCCACGACGCCCAGCCAGAATTTTTTTTTTTTTTTTTGCTTACTATGTTATACTTTTTTATATAGTTTGAATTTTTTTACAATAAGCATATTTTACTTTTAGATTAAAATATGCATTTTTGCATATCTTATCTAATTCTAATAAAAAGATTAGAATATGCATTTTTAATTATTGCAAATCATTCAGGACACCGATTTTTGGTTCTATGAGGGTAGAGGCCAAGTTTCGTTTTCCTTCCCACCGTATCTCTAGCATGTATCATAGTGTCTAAGAAATTGTAGCTGCTGAATAAATATTTCTGAGTGAATGTCCAAATAAGCTTTCATTTTTTTCAGACAGGGTTTCATTCCTGTTACCCAGGCTGGAGTGCAATGGTGCAGTCTTGGGTTATTGCAACCTCCGCCTCCCAGACTCAAGTGATTCTCCTGCCTTAGCCTCCAGAGTAGCTGGGACTATAGGCATGCACCACCACACCCAGCTAACTATTGTATTTTTTGTAGAGATGGGGTTTTGGCATGTTGCCCAGGCTGGTCTCGAATTCCTGAGCTCAATTGATCCACCTGCCTCAGCCTCCCAAAGTTCTGGGATTACCGCACCCAGCTAAGCTTCTTTAAAAAAAAAAAAAATACAGCCTGTCTCACTATGTTGTCCAGGCTGATCTCCAATGCCTGGCCTCAAGGGATCCTCCCCCATCAGCCTGTCAAAGTGCTGGGATTAGGTATGAGCCACCACATCTGGCCCCCAAATAAGCTTTTTGATTCCTGTCAATATCTTCTAATTCAGAAAGTGGTCATGGTCATATAAATCAGGGAGAGGCTGACTAGGTTATAGAATATTAGTGTCTGTAGACACAATGTAGTCCAGAATTTTTCAACTCACAGATAGTGCCTATTAGTAGTTTGCAAAATCAATGTAGAAAGTTATGACTAGCATTTTAAAAAATAAATAGAATGGGCCCGGTGTGGTGGCTCACGCCTGTAATCCCAGCACTTTGGGAGACCGAGGTGGGTGGATCACCTAAGGTCAGGAGTTCGAGACCAGCCTGGCCAACATAGCAAAACCCTGTCTCTATTGAAAATATAAAAATTAGCCGGGTATGATGGCATGCACCTGTAATCCCAGCTACTGGGGAGGCTGAGGCCAGAGAATTGCTTGAACCCAGGAGGTGGAGGTTGCAGTGAGCCAAGATTGCACCACTGCACCCAGCCTGGGTAACAGAGCAAGACTCCATCTCAAAAGAAAAAAAGAGGCTGGGTGTGGCAGCTCACGCCTGTAATCCCAGCACTTTAGGAGGCCGAGGTGGGCATATCATGAGGTCAAGAGATCGAGACGATCCTGGCCAACATGGTGAAACCCCGTCTCTACTAAAAATACAAAAATTAGCTGGGTGTGGTGGCGTGCACCTGTAGTCCTAGCTACTTGGGAAGCTCAGGCAGGAGAATCGCTTTAACCAGGGAGGCGGAGGTTGCAGTGAGCTGAGATCATGCCACTACACTCTAGCCTGGTGACAGAGTGAGACTCTGTCTTCAAAAAAAAAAAAAAAAAGTAGAATGGAATTTAGTAGAAAAATACCGGAGTACATTTAATAAATATTAAATGTTTTATGACATTTTATGTCTGTTTTACACACACACGAACACACATATACACTGTGTGGTGGTGTAAAATACATTTCTTAACTGGATTGTGGTCAAGAAGTTTGAAAACCACTGATCTAATTTCATACACACACACACACACCCTGCTCTCCAACCGTAACAAACCCAAACAAACCTTCAATTCCCCAAAACACCAGGCTGTTTTATAATCTATAGGACTTGGCATTTATTGCTTCCTTTACCAGGAATAAACTTGCCTTCCTTTTCTACCTGCAAGTCCTTGGTTTACCCTTCAAGATGCTGCTCAAGCAGCATCTGAGCAAAGCCAGACACCCTCCTGCGTGCATCCACCTCCCCTTCCACCTGACCTACTCATAGCACTGTGCACTGGGCAGCAGCTGCTTCCAAAGGTGTCTGCCTCTTCTACTCATGTGGGCTTCTGAGAACAGGGACTTTGTGGTCCTCACCTTGATGTCACTAGGGCCCCACACCATGTCTATAGCACTCAATACATGACTGCTAAATAATTACAGGGAAAAGCTCTTATAAAGAACAAGGCAGCTCTTTATGTAATGAAATAGAATGGCACCCAACTTTCAGTAGTAAGTGGGGAAAAAAAGTTACAATACAGTATCCTTAATATGCTGTCATTGCGTGTGTGTGTGTGTGTGTGTGTGTGTGTGTGTGTGTGTATTTGATTGCAGAGAATAACTTTAGAAGAATACAAAGGAAATGGGTAACAATAGTTGTCATCTGGGGACAAGGATAGAAGGGAGACTAATATTTCACTGAATGCCTCTTGATTTTTGTGCTTTGTGCACGGGGCATCTGTCATTAAAATTAATTAATAAATATTCCTCCAAAATATTTTATAGGCAAAGAATATAAGAAAGACAAGATTTATGGCTTCCAAATATTCCTTAATATAGAAAGGCAAAATTGTTTTTCTCGAGTAATTTTTTTAAAAGAGTCTTTATTTTCTGTGAAGCTTAAGGTAAATCTAGTCTTTCTCCGATTGAGAGCAAGAAGGAGAAGATGCATTCCCTCTAACTCAAGAGCAGCCCAGGTGTAAGAGGCAGATGGGATTGGACAGCATTTCATTTTCTAAGAAATAAGAAAACCTCAATCTTTACGGAAAACCACAGATCTTCAGGGAGGTCTGACTAAAGAACACTCAGTAGTTGTCAAAGAAGGCAATTGTAACAAAGGACAATCTAAGCTAATTTTGTAACTGTTTAGAGAACAACGTTCTTCTTCCACCAGACCTCTGGCTGGGCTCTCTAAATTCTTCACCTCATTAAAATATTCTTTTCTATAAGCCTAATTGTCAGAATTGAAAGAGCTGCTTATTACAGACCTGGGTTCCTATGGCAACAGTAAATAAATGCCAAATTATCTAAAGCATTGAGAAAAATAATATACACTAATAATAGGTAGCCCTGTGAATCCTTTTAATAAGACAGCTAATTGAGAGCCAGCTATTCCTACATGTTGGAACAAGAATGGCTGTGGAGATCTTCAGACTTTTTAAAACCCAGTAAAATGTCCTCTATTAAAGTCACTGAAATGATACTGAGTCAAAAATACATTCATGGCTACTTTAGGGATATCATCATGATGTTCTAAGCATATCTGCTAGTGGAAGAAAAAATCATTTTTCCTTTTTACATTAAATACTCAAAATCTGTCTCTTACATTCTCTCTGTCTCTCTCTCTCTCTCTCTCTCTGTGTGTGTGTGTGTGTGTGTGTGTGTGTGTGTGTGTGTGTGTGTGTGTGTGTGTCTTTCTTCTTGCTTAAGTGCCTACTGAAATCCTGGCAGGGTCAGGTTGGCCCCAGGCCATTGCCTGCACTGTGGCTGCACAAGCCAGCCGGAAAACACAGGGAGCTCTCCCCATTCTACCACATCTGTCACGTTCCTCTCCACAAAATGAAGGATAAACTCCAAACAGGAGGGCCCTGAGATGGGACCTTTCCACTTCGTATTTCCTGAACATAAGTTCTTTTCCAAAATCAGCTCTTTCCTTGACTTATGGTGGCAGGTGACATAACCCTTTGTAGTAGTCAGCTCAGGCTGCCATAACAAACCACCAGGTACTGGGGCTTAAACAACAGAAATTCATTTTCTCACAGTTCTGGAGGCTGGAGGTCCAAGATCAAGGTGCTGGTTTCTTCTGAGGCCTCTCTCCTTGGCTTTCAGGGAACCATCTTCTCCCTGCGTCTTCATGTGTTCTTCCTTCTGTACCTGTTGGTGTCCTACTCTCTTCTTAGAATGACAGCAGCCATGTTGGATGAGGGCCCACCCTAATGATGTCATTTTAGCTTACTTACCTCTATGAAGACCCTATTTCCAAATCCAGCCACATCATAAACTACTGGTGGTTAAGACTTCGACTTATGAATTGGGGGAAGGCGGTGGGGGCACAATTCAACCCAAACAGCCTTTCTACTTTCTCTGCACGGTGAGCAGACATTGTATTTACCAGCACAGGTCACTGGAACCCAGGCTCCATCACCACAAGATCAACTATCCAATTATCTAATTCTATTTAGATAAGAGGCAATAATGATTATCTCCTAGGTAACAAAGATAAATGAAGAATTCTCATTCAGATGCCCCATTTTCATACTTATATGTCAGTTAAATACATGAAAATAGTTATAGACAACCCAACAGCAATAAGAGACTCAGGTATAAGTTATGGAGGACGTGATTAATTTTGAGGGTATAAGGAAAGTATCTTAGAGAAGATGTGTGATTCTTGACCTGGTTCCTGGGCACAGAAGGGATGAGAGAAGAGAGGGCATTTCCAGAAAAAGAGAGTGGCATTTGTTTCATTGTACTAAGCTGGTTGTTGTGTATGTCAGGAGACCCTGGAGGCTTGGGATTGCTATATTGAATCCACAGTGCCTGACCCAGGGTCAGTTTAACTTAACGTGATACATTAATGTGATGCACTATTTTGACTATCTAGGAAGAAACAGCTTGAAGGGAGTAAGCAGCCGGGTGCAGTGGCTCACGCCTGTGAGCACTTTGGGAGGCCGAGGTGGATGGATCACCTGAGGTCAGGAGTTTGAGACCAACCTGACCAATATGATGAAATCCTGTCTCTACTAAAAGTACAAAAATTGGCTGGGCGTGGTGGCATGCACCTGTAGTCCCAGGTACTTGGGAGGCTGAGACGGGAGATTTGCTTGAACCCAGGAGGTGAAGGGTGCAGTAAGCTGAGATCGCACCACTGCAATCCAGCCTGGGCGACAGAGCGAGACTCCGTCTCAAAAAAAGGGAGTAAGCAATGTAGCCTGGAACACTGAGGGAAGTCAGGGCCAGAGATCCAAATCTGAGAGTAGACTTGGTAGCTGAAACTGGAATGAGTTCTTGAAGGCAAGGATATACTGAGCAAGTCACTGCCCTGTTTAAAACTATGAAGCGATTTCTCAGTGCTTTTAGAATAAAGTCGGCCATTCTTTTTTTTTTTCAAGTTTTATTTTATTTTTAAAGATGGGGGCTCAAACTCCTGGCCTCATGCAATCCTCCCGCCTCAGACTCTCAAGTAGCTGGGATTACAGGTGCAAGCCACCATTCCCGGCTCAAATTTTATTTTTAATTGTGGTTACAAACACTCAACACTAACCATTTTGAAGTGTATAATTCAGGAATGTTAAGTATATGAATGTTATTGTGCAAGAGATTTTTAGAATTTTTTCATTTTGCAAAACTGAAACTGTATGCCCATTAAACACTAATTGCCCCTCCTTCCTCCCAGCCTTTAGCAACTACCTCTCTACTTTCTGTTTCTATCATTTTAACTCCTTTAGATACCTCATATGAGTGGAGCCACAGTATTTGTCCTTTTATGAATTTTTATCACTTAGCACAAAGTTCTTGAGGTTCATCCATGTTGTAGCATGTGACAGGTTCTCCTTTTTAAGGCTGCATAATATTCCACTGTATGTACAGACATTTTGTTTATCCATTCACCTGTCAATGGACAACTGGATTGTTTCCACCTCTTGGCTATTATGAATAATGCTGCAATGAAAATGGATCTCTTTGAGATCCTGCTTTGAATCCCTTTGGATATATACCCAGAAGTGGAATTGTTAGATCATATGATAGTACTACTTTTTAATTTTTTTGAGGAAGCTTCATGTTGGTTTCCATAGCAGCTGCATCGTTTTACACAGAATAAGGGTCCATCGTGTGTTTTTGTCTTGTCTTGTTTGGTTTGGTTTGGTTTGGTTTTTTGAGACAGGGTCTCCACCCAGGCTAGAGTGCAATGGCATATGATAGTTCACTGTAACTTCAATTTCCTGAGCTCAAGTGATCCTCCTGCCTTGGCCTCCCCAGTAGCTAGGACTACAGGTACATGCCATCATGCCTGGCTAATTTGTTAATTTTTGTAGAGACAGGGTCTCACTGTGTTGTCCAGGCTGCTCTTGAACTCCTGACCTCAAGCAATCATCCCACCCTGGCTTCCCAAAGTGCTGGAATTACAGGCATGAGCCACCGAAGTCCATCTTCTTTTTTTTTTTTTTCCTTTGAGATGGAGTTTCGCTCTTGGCACAATCTCGGCTCACTGCAACTTCTGCCTCCCAGGTTGAAGCGATTCTCCTGCCTCAGCCTCCCTAGTAGCTGGGAATACAGGTGCCAGCCACCATGCCCAGCTAAGTTTTGTATTTTTAGTAGAGATGGGGTTTCACCATGTTGGCCAGGCTGGTCTCAAACTCCTGACCTCAGGTGATCCACTCGCCTCGGCCTCCCAAAGTGCTGGGATTACAGGTGTGAGCCACCGCGCCCAGACCATCATTTTTAACATGGCTTTCAAGGCCCTGAATGACTGGCAGCTCCCAGAGGCCAGTAGAACCACACATTGGTCATTTCTAACCATGAACCATTGGCTCAAGAAAACCTCATGGCCAAGCCCAACATAAATGGGGCAGGGAAACATATTCTTCCCATGGAGCACAGGGCAGGGGAGAGAGTGAGTATTTGAATAGAATCTGACCTATACCTTCTCCTCCTACCCTTTACTCTCCCAAATTTGCCTCACTACTCCTACTCATCATAAACATCTCAACTTAAACATCCCTTTCCCAGAAGACCTTTTCCCCTTCCCACATGAATTTGGCTCCCACTATTTGCCTCAACATGTATTTTTCCTTTTATGAAACTTAATGTGTTGATAGTTTTTATATAATTTCTCTATCTCCCCCAATATCAATGACTGTTGTGTGTAAAAATAGTGATTTATAACAATAATCATGTTTTAGTGGCTTAAAACAACTACCGTGTATTCTTTCTTATTATTTTTGTGGGCTGGATGGGCACTTCTTTAGCTTGTCTTACCTGGGCTTACTCATGCAATTGCAGTCAGATGATGGCAAGAACAGCTGGATGGTCCAAGCTGACCTCACTCAAATGACTGGCAGTCAGTGCTGATTGATGGCTGTGATGCATTAGCTCTCCTCCTCCATGCCCACTTATCCTCCAGGAGGTTATAGCAACATCCATCCCTATATGGTGGTCTCAGGGCAGTGTTCCAAGAAAGTATAAGTAGAAACTGCAAGTCTAGACTTGGAGGTTGGTCAACATCACTTCTGCCACATTCTATTGGTCAAATCAAGTCACAAGGCCAGCCTAGCTTAGGAAGTGAAGAAAGAGATTAAACCCCTTACTGGGGAGGACAGCAAAATCATACTGTAAAGGGCATGCTTAAGGAATGGGCTGAATTGTTCCTCCCAACACATATGTTGAAGTCCTAACTTTTGGTGCCTCTGGATGTGACTGTATTTGGAGACAAGGTCTTTGAAGAGGTAATTAGGTTAAAACTGAGCTTGTTAGAGTGGGTCCTAATCCAATATGATTGGTATCCTTATAAGAAGAGGAGATAAGGTTCCTGACAGGTACAGAGGGAAGACAATGTGAAGACAAAGGAGAGGATGGCCATCTCTAACCCTCAGAAAAGAGGCTTCAGAAGTAATCAGCCCTTCAAACACCTTGATCTTGGACTTCTAACTGCCAGGATTGTGAGTAAATAGGTTTCTGTTGTTTAAGTAATGCAATTTGTGGTATTTTGTCACAGCCACCTTAGCAAACTAATACACTTACAGAGGCAGGAGGAATTGTCTCAACCACCTTTGCAAACAATCTGCCACACCCCTAAGACCTTAAACTCCTTGTGGTTTGGGGTTCTGTTATTCTTGTGCATCATCGGCATTCAACAAATATTGCCTATTATTAGGCCTGTTTTTTAAGGCAAGAGAAGAGAAGCCAGAGAAGATGGTAAAGGATCAGAGAATTATGAGCGAACCAAAAGAATGTTTGCGTCATGAACACCAAAGGAAGAGAGGATCTTGGGAATAGATCTTTAGATATCTCAAGGAGGACAGAAACTGAGAAATGGCCACTGGATTTAACAATTATTAATTGACACACCAAATAATTCACAACATGGGAAAGACTGGGACTGGTTGAAGGGAAGAAGAGTATCAACCAAGGGACACTTTAAATTCTTACCATATTTTACAATAAGAATATAGACCTATATGTAAACTTTTTTAACATGTCATTTTTTTTTCTTTTGAGACGGGAGTCTTGCTCTGTCATCCAGGCTGGAGTACAGTGGTGCAATCTCAGCTTACTAAAACCTCCACCTCCCAGGTTCAAGTGATTCTCTTGCCTCAGCTTCTCGAATAGCTGGGACTGCAGGTGCACACCACCATGCCCAGCTGATTTTTATATTTTTAGTAGACATGGGGTTTCACCATGTTGGCCAGGCTGGTCTCAAACTCTGACCTCAGGTGATCTGCCCCCCTTGGCCTCCCAAAGTGCTGGGATTACAGGTGTGAGCCACCGTGCCCAGCCACATGTCATATTTTTAAGGACAGTTGAAATTCTCTCTGGGCCCACCTATCCTACCTTCTGTAAGTGCCCACTTCTAATAGTTTACTGTACACCCTCATACATTGCTGGGTAGTACAAAATGGCACAACCCCTTTGGAGGGCAATTTGGCAAAAGCCATCAAATTACAACTGTAATAAATTTTATGTTAATAAAGTTGTTTTTAAAAACTTCAAATGTATAAACCCTTTAGATATACTCACATACATGCAAAATGACACTCTGTACAAGAATATTCACTGCAGCTTTATTTGTTGTAGGAAATATTTGGAAATAATCCAAATGTCTTCCGATAAAGAATGGTTAAATAAACTGTGCTACAGCCACACAATGGAATCTCGTGCTGCTTTAAAAAAAAAAAGGGGGGGGGGGCGAAGAATGAGGAAGCTCTCCTTGTACTGATATGGAAAGATTTCCAAGATAGATGAAGAGAAAAAAACAAGGCACAGAGCAGTTATATGCTACTTTTATGTAAGCTAGAAGGCAAAAGAAAAAAATATATTTAATTTGCTTATATTTCTGTAAAGAATCTCTGGAATGATAAGAAACAAAATTATCTAGAGAAAAGGAAGTAGATAGGGACAGGTATGGGATTATTCTAGATTATGTTCTCATTTACATACATAAGCTGATTAGATTCATATAGCAAATCTGAGGCTATTATTATTATCCCCATTTTACAGATGAAAATTAGAAACGCTGAGTCACTTCCCCAGTTTACCAATTTAGACAGCTGGTGCACATGGAGTCTGATTCTAGCCTACCTCTGCCTGACTCCAGAGTTCACGCTGCAGCATCACTCAAACTGTTGCCTGAGCAAACACAAGCCCCTGATCTTCAGATCTAAAATAAATAACATCAGAGGCAGAATAATCAAAAGTCATAGCCAAACATATTTTAAGATGTTTATCAAATCAGGGAGCTGGAGATTGGAAGATATTTTTTATTAAGGGAGCTGGTTTTACTAGTGGTTTGTGTTTGTTTCTTTCTTGGTTTCCTGGCTTTTCAGATGTCTGTTTTGGAAGAAATCAGTGGAGGAGGGGATGGAAAGATGATCTACTTTGTGTGGTATATACAGTTCCCTTAGACCAGTCATTTTTCACAGATGTTTTTGAAGTTTAGGGTATACTGCTGTTTAGCTCCAGGACATGATGTCCAAGTAAGTGACTAGAGGTACAGGGAGGAAAATAAAAGGTTAAGAAAAGTCCCTTCGCGAATAAGGCTTCTGCTGTTACTGCTGTCAGGTCTCCTGCATAGGAAGGGCTTATTGTCTGAGCATAAATGGGGAAACCTGGAGTTCATCTATCTGCGAGGAAGCTTTGGCACCCAGTTAAATTTCACTGTCTCAAGCTTCCCTTGTGTGTCCTAGAGCTTTTCTTTAACAGTTGTCATGAGGAAGTCTCATTTGTCAAGTTGACCAATTGTCCATTTTTTCCCTGTCATGAGGAAATCCTTTCTTAAGCCAGCTTTATTTTCTAAATGGAAATTTCCAGCCTTGAATGCAGTAGCTGTTGCTCTGGGTAGTCCAGGTCCTAAAGTTCAGTTCTTCAACCACGTTTCCATGGCTGTTACTCACACACAAGACATGAGTGGTCCTTCAGAGGGGTTCCAGTTAGAGTTTTTGGGTGACAAGGATTTTTTTTTTGGAAAGGTTTAGTGAAAAGAGAGCAGGGAACTCAAGAACCCATCAGAGGAAGTGGAGTGTTCTCCCCTAGAATTATTCTCCTTTTGATTTCAGCTTTTCGGATGTAAATGGCACTTGTTTGCCATGATGTCAATTTGGTCCCAAACTCACAAGTCTTTTCCCAAATGGCAAAAATAGAGAAATAGAGAATGGAGAATGGTTGCTTCTCCCCAAGGCTGGTGATTCCTGTCCCATCACAGTGGCCTACAATGGCAGGACTACACAAAATTGTTGCCCTAATTCCAAACCACCTTATATATGTGTTGTCCTTGTCTTTCAGCAAAGCAGACCTCTCAGCTTGCTCCACAGTCACTCAGGACTCCTGGCATGACTAGACCAAGCCTTAAGATCCTTTTGTTCTGGAGGCCAACCCTTTCCTTGACTCATAACAACTAGTAGAAGATAGAGTGAATCATAGCCACAATACTGATGAAGTTTTTTACATTAAAACTTTTGGCCAGGCGTGGTGGCTCACACCTGTAATCCCAGCACTTTGAGAAGCCAAGGCAGGCGGATTGCATGAGCCTAGCAGTTCAAGACCAGCCTGGGCAACACAGTGAGAGCCCATCTCTACAAAATAATAAAATAAAAAACTATTTGGGAGGTGGTGCGCACCTGTAGTCCCAGCTACTCAGGAGGCTGATGTAGGAGGATCGCTTGAGTATAGGAGGTTGAGGCCATGATAACGCCACTGCACTCCAGCTTGGATAACAGAGAGAGACCATTGTGATGTGCAACACGTGAAAGAGAATTATCACTCTCTTAGCAATGGAACAGGTATAATCCCCAAAAGTCCAAGTCACTGTCAACATTAAAATACGAACCTGAATTTGTGGGCTGGTAAAAGTTTATTGGCTGAGTGAAAGTGCCTCATCATTTTCATTCAGACCCCCAGTTCATTAGTTTGACCATTGATTCATTATTCACTCATTCACATTGATTGAGTCAGGCATTGTACTAGGCACTGGGATTACAAAAGAGAACAAGATAAAAATAATCCCTGACCTCAAGGATCTTACAAACCAGCCATTTTTTCCCTCCCCTCAACACTCTCACCAACTTGAAACTGTTCCTCCTCCCTGATCTTCATCCACAGAGCTGTAAGCAGAGGTACAATTCTGGTTTATAGAAATGCCAACTGTCACTGGAAAAATTCCTTTAGTATATCAGCCTCGAATTTAAGAAATAATTAAGTTTAAAAATAATTTTCATTGTATAGTTTTAAGTGGTTTTCTTATTTGTAAAAACAATTCATTTGAGCTTCACAACATATCTGGGCTGGGTGGAAATCACTGTTTCATTTTTTTCTCTTTTTTTTGAACAACTTTATTGAGATATAATTCACATAGCATACAATTCACTCATTTAAAATGTACAATTAAATGGTTTTCAGTATATGCAGAGTTTTAAATACAACCATCAGCACAATCAATTTTGGAACATTTCATCAACCCAGAATGAAACCTGTACCCATTAGCTAACCTACTTTATGTCCTTAGATTTAGCTATTCTGTACATTTCATGTAAGTGGAATCGTGAAATGTATGGTCTTTGTGTCTGGCTTCTTTCACTTAGCATAATGTCTTTAACGCACATCCACATTATAGCACATGTCCATACTTCATTCCTTCTCACAGCTGAACAAGATTCCCTTCTGTGGATATATCACATTTTGTTTATCCATTCATCAGTAGATGGTGTGTTTAATTTTATAAGTGAAGAAACTAAGGTAAATAAGTGCCTGGGTTGGGACCATTCAAAGCCAGGTCCCCTGGCTCCCAATCCAGGGCTCATTCCATTAAATCTACTAGGTCCCATAATTTTAAAGTGCATGTTCATTCCCACACATTTGCCTAAGACATTTTTGAATAGGGAATGAAACTAAGAAATGCAAATGCAGTGCAGACTAAGCTGCTTTCTTGGTTTGCTGTTGTTATTTGAGAATTTTTTCCCACTTTTGAGGGAAAAAAAAAAGAATTTCAAGAGAGAAAATGAATTCAATTAAAAATGGTTCTTTGTAAGACATAGCCCTCACTGTTGCCCCTGCTTGTTTATCTAATTCTATTTTTCTTTTCTCTGTTGTTCTGTGTATACAAGTCATGAGTCACCAGAATGGGCCTGTGGGAGCTGAGAGAGAAAGAGGGAAAATAAGTTCTTGATTAAAAAGTAGCACATCAGAGGTCAACAACCATCACAGTTTAGCTTCAGTTGCCAAAGTTGTCTCCAGGGATATTCCAAATTTAGAAAACCAATAAAGAAAGACATGGGGATGATAAGCACTGAATGCTGGATAGCTGTTACCTCTGGGTGACAAAGCAATGCATTCAGGGAAGGACACACATGGGATTCAAAGATATCAGTAAAGTTTTATTTCTGAGGCTTAGTGGTGGATACACCAATGTTAGCAACAACCACACAGTTCAGCTTCAGTTGCTGAAGCATAGGCTCCAGAACCCACAGGCCTTAAGAAAATGCTGTGCAGTTCATCCTGATTCCTCTCCTCTATTTAACAGCTTTATACACACTTAGATGAGACCTTTGAGAGGTAGGGGAGAACGCTAGGGGAGGCTACTATAGTAAGGATAATAAAGTTGAATAAATTAACCCAGAAGCATTGGAATTAAACACCAGCCTAGTAAGCCAGGCTAAGAGGAGGAGGCTGATATAAACAAGAAAACATTGTTAGAACTTATTATGCAAAATGTTACCTTGAGGTTGCAATCTGATTAGTTTTTTGCAATTCATCTCTTGCTTCCTCTTTTTGTCTCCAGCTTTCCTCTCTTCATAGGAGGGGGTGGGGCTTCTTATTCCAGGACCCCTGTTCCCCTAAGCAGCCTAAAACTAGGCAGATCTATTAGCCAGGACCGTCTCTGTCAATAATGGCTGCTCTTCCAGTGCATTTTTCAGTGTGTAAGATGTAATTCTAAACATATGCTGATTCCCACATGTTAGCTCCTATTCTAATGTAATGCTCTGTTGTGGCTGGGAACATATTGAGTCCCACAAATGAGTACTTGTGGACAATGGACCTCTTTGGGGGAAGGAGCCCCAAGGGAGAGGAGGGAAGAGTGTTTATTCCATTAATGTGTATGTGTGTATCTCCACCATAATTTCTGAAGGGACTGGAAACAAGACATCAAGGCAGCTAATAAAGTACTAGAGAGAACTGCCCCTCTGCTTTGGAGGGGGTTGGGTGACCAATGGCACCTGGAGGGGTGGATGAACCAAGTCAATAAAAGTTCCAAAATAATACACATACTGTGTTATGGCTGCATTGGCTTAAAAATTTTAAACTGTCTCTGGGGATATTCTAAATTTAGAAAACCCATAAAGAAAGACATGGGAATGATAAACACTGAATCCTGGATAGTCTGTACTTCTGGGGGACAAAGGAATGCATTCAGGGAAGGACACATATGGGGATTCAAGGATATCAGTAAAGTTTGATTTCTGAAGCTGAGTGGTGGATACACCAATGTTAGCATCATCTATTCATAATGGTGTTCCTTTGAAAAAAAAATCCCAGTTTTACTGACTACTAAGGTAAACATTGATAGGCATAGCCCACATAAACAAGAGCTCCTGTAGAGCCTCAATTTTTAAATATATACAGTGGCCAAATATGCATAACATAAAATTTACCATTTAACCACCCTGGTGTTTTCTTAGTCCTAACTGGCTCTCATGTGACAGGTAATAGGGGAATAGAATCATCATGTCACAGAAACCAAATTAGCTCATATGCTATTTTTCCAGTATGTTTTGAAGTGACTAGAATGAGCTTTCTCACAAAGACAAAGCCTTCCTCATCTTTGAGGACCCTAAGGAAAAAGCAGAAAACCGAAAACCCCATGGAATTGCATTTTTTTATTAGACTTAGTGGCTTCAAGAACCTCTCAATTTTTCACTATATTAAGCTATTTATGGAAATTGACAGTTCAGATGAAAAATTTTTAAGTCATATCTCTTTATGTTTAAAATGATTTCAGAAAGCTACCTCTAGATTGTATTTTTAATTTTGGTGACAATTTTCTCTCCAGGAAGCAAATGTCCTCAAGGACCTTCATGTCTCAGGAGGAAACAGGTGTACCCAGATACAAAGCTGCAAAGGAAGGCCTGGCTGTATGGTTAGCTGCAAACAGCAATAGAGAACAAACTGTGCCAAGATATTTATTAGTAGAGTTGTTTTTATCAGGGCTCTACTTAAAAACTTCTTAATGTTTTGAGTGGTCTGCCCTTGACCCTATTTTTTCCATAAAACTTGTGATGTATGATTTTGCTGAACATGAGATTTTTTAAAAATAGAAAATTGTGCCAGGCGAGGTGGTTCACACCTATAATCCTAGCACTTTGGGAGGCTGAGGCAGGCAGATCACGAGGTCAGGAGATCGAGACCATCCTGGTTAACACGGTGAAACCCCATCTCTACTAAAAACATGAAAAATTAGCCGGGCATGGTGGCACACGCCTGTAGTCCCAGCTACTTGGGAGGCTGAGGCAGGAGAATCGCTCGAACCTGGGAGGCAGAGCTTGCAGTGAGCCGAGATCACGCCACTGCACTCCAGCCTGGGCGATAGAGTGAGACTGCGTCTCAAAAAAAAAAAAAGAAAGGAAGAAAAAAATTGTACAAAATTGTATAAAAATGTATTGTTGCAGGGCATGGAGGCTCACACCTGTAATCCCAGCACTTTGGGACGCCAAGGCGGGCAAATCACAAGGTCAGGCATTTGAGACCAGACTGGCCAACATAGTGAAACCCTGTCTCTACTAAAAATACAAAAATTAGCTAGGCATGGTGGTGCATGCCTGTAATCCCACCTACTCGGAAGGCTGAGGCAGGAGAATTGCTTGAACCTGGGAGGCGGAGGTTGCAGTGAGCTGAGATTGCACCATTGCACTCCAGCCTGGGCGACAGAGTGAGATTCTGTCTCAGAAAAAAAAAAAAAAAAAAAAAAAAAAAAAAAAAAAATATATATATATATATATATATATATATATATATATATATATATATATAATTATTGTTTTTCTTTTCTACTTTCTGGGCTGATACTAACCCAGGGGTTGTGCAAATCAAAATGGCCTAAGTAATCAGGAAAATGTATCATTTTATACAATCTGATATTCCAAACAAAGAGTGGCATATGTAGAGTGGCATAATGATGTCATCAAGCACTAAATACTTTATATTATCTCCTCTGCTAGCCTCAGCACCTTGGCTTTCATCAGCAGCTTTTCCTCATGGTTACAGGATGGCTGCCATAGCTCCAGTGCTCACAGTGTCACACAGCTATGTTCAGAGGCAAAAAGAAGTTTTTGCTATAGAGTCTTTTTTGATTAGGGAGAAAATTATTTCTAGAACCCCCCACCTTAGATTTCCCTTCAGGTCCTTTTGGCCAGACTTGGATTACATGGCCATCCCCTAGCTGCAAAGGAGGCTGGTAAATGAGTATCTAGCATTTCTAGCCTTCAGAGAGGAAGGCAGCCCTACCACCAAGGAAAATACATTGAGAATGGCTCTTAGGTTGGCAATCAGCACTGCCACCTGAGGCAGGAGGTAACCAGACAGGTCTGTCTGCCAACAGAACCTACGCCTTTAACCTCTGCTCCATGATGTCACCTTTAAGATTCATCCAGCTCTTAAATTACCTTTCCATCACAAACACTGTAATGTAACCACACCCCCAAACTCACTCTACACCTTCTTCTCTCCCATCCGTGTACATGAAGTTCCCTCAACCTGAAATTCTGCCTCTTCCACATCTGCTTTTAGACATAAAGTCTACTCTTAATAGATGCTACTCAAACACCACTTTCCCAATAAAGTCTTCCAAACAACTGTGGATAGGCTTTGCAACTCCTCTCTGGTCTCCTGTAGCATAAGGGAACACCCTGTGGACTCCACAAGTTTGGTGATTGAATTGGACTGTTTTGCCCTCTGAGTTTCAGAAGGAAATGTAATAAAAAACAGATTTCTCTTCACATAATAGGGTATTGGGGAGGATTTGAGTAAAGTGATATTACACAAAAGAGCTACCAAAATACTTAACATTATCAGTTTTTTGTTTTATGCTATTTGTAATATATATACATATATGGCTCTTGCCCAAATCATTTAGGTAATTTACTTAAAAATAATTAATTTCACCTCCCAAATTATTTGAATGACGATTTTAACTCCCTGTTTTTTTAACTGTTAAGCACTGGTCTCTATGAGTTTTTAAACTGCTTCTCAAAATTAGCAAAATTATAATAATTATTGAACCTAGGTGATGGATACATAGGGATTCAGCACATTGCTCTACTTTTGTGTATGTTTAATACAATTTAAAACTATTTTGATAGGACCTCTGGTTTCTGCTTCTGCACGTAAGGAGCTTGGAAGTCCATTCTATCTTAACAGCAACTACAAAGCTGGACAGGCTGAAAAATCAACAACTCTTCTTGCACCTGTAAGAAAGGTGAGGCCATAGGAAAAACTGCTGTCCCCAAGATTGGAGACAGACAGGCAAATACAGCTCATTGGAGCAGAGGCTCATGAGTGGAAACCACCACAGAAACTAGGTCCCTCCCCTAGAGACCCTGATTTGCTATCTCTGAGGTAGACCCTGGAATCTGTACTTTAATAAGTGCCCCTTGGTGACTCTTCGGTACAGACACATTTAGGAAACCAGGTGAGTGATTAAGATGTGGACCCTGGACACTCTCTGGATGCACACCACCTCGGTTTGAATCCTGGCTCTACCACTCATAGTATGATCTTAGAAAAGTTACTTAATATCCATAAGCCTCAGTTTTCTCATTTGTAAAATGGTAACAACCATAGCTATCCCACAGTATTGTTGTGAGGTTTAAATGAGATCATGATAATGAAATAATACCAGTACAAGATTTGGGGGACTTGATTTAAGAAAAATTGGCTGGATGTGGTGGCTCATGCCTGTAAATCCTAGCACTTTGGGAGGCCGAGGCGGGTGGATCACTTGAGGTCAGGCGTTCAAGACCAGCCTGGCCAACATGCTGAAAACTTGTCTCTACTAAAAGTACAAAAATTAGCCAGGCAGTGGTGGCGCACACCTGTAATCCCAGCTACTCAGGAGGCTGAGACAGGAGAATTGCTTGAGCCTGGAAGGCAGAGATTGCGGTGAGCCAAGATAGTGCCATTGCACTCCAGTCTGGGCAACAAAGTGAGACACTGTCTCAAAAAAAAAAAAAAAAAAAAAAAAAAGAATAGCAAAGATATCTTGAATTTACAATTTTTATGAAACCAAAGGACTATGTGAACACATTGTTAGGGCCCAGGAAACTTTATTAACTTCATGGAAAATCTGCCTCTGTGTAGTTATTATTCTATTTTGCCTAGACTTCATGTATATCATTTCTTTTAGTTTTTGCAATGACCACATGCAAAAAGTGTTATTTTTACCACTTTATAGTAGAAGAACCAAAATAGAGGCTTAGGGAGATGGTGGTCTGCCCAAGACTACACCAAAAACAGTAGCTGTACAAACCCAGGACTACCATGTTCCAGGGCTGACCAGTATTGTGAGGACCACATAACGAACATGCACATTCTGTCTTTATTAGTCCTCCTTTTAGGTGAACAACCCTGTGGAAGTTAAAGAGAGATACAGAGTCTCAACTTAGTTGGCTCTTCCTTCCATATTACGGTGGGTCACCATGGAGCTGGGACTGTTCTCAGCTTTGAAGCCAGAATCTCAAGGTTTCTATTACATGCATGCTCTAGCAACTAATTGGTTAAACAAACTTGCAAAAGGCTGACTGAACAAATGTAATGCCAGTGTGTTCACGCATAATGGGAGGGTGCCTGCCTCATAATCAGTGCAGTCAAAGGGCTAAACCACAGATCAGAGGACAGCTTGGTAAACCTGGAATCAGAAATAGGAGTTGGGTTTCATGATGAGATAGTTTCATCAAACTAGGCTAACCAAATGAATTGCTATTTCTTCAGGGGAGATACGCAGTCATGCATCACTTAAAGATGAGGACATGTTTTGAGAAATGCATCATTAAGTGATTTTGTCATTGTTCAAATATCATAGAGTATACCTACACAAACCTAGATGGCTTAGCCTACTACACACCTAACCTATATGGGATAGCCTATTGCTCCTAGGCTACAAACCTGCACAGCATGTTACTGTACTGAATATTGTAGGCAATTGTGACACAATAGTATTTGTGTATCTAAACACATCTAAGCATAGAAAAGATGTATAATTTTTTTTTTTTGAGATGGAGTCTCGCTCTGTTGCCCAGGCTGGAGTGCAGTGGCATGATCTCAGCTCACTGCAAGCTCTGCCTCCTGGGTTCACGCCATTCTCCCGCCTCAGCCTCCCTAGTAGCTGGGACTACAGGCACCCACCACCACATCTGGCTAATTTTGTTTTTGTATTTTAGTAGAGATGTGGTTTCACCGTGTTAGCCAGGATGGTCTCAATCTCCTGACCTCGTGATCCACCCTCCTCAGCCTCCCAAAGTGCTGGGATTACAGGCGTGAGCCACCGCGCCTGGCCAATTTTTTTTTTTTTTTTTTGAGACAGGGTCTCACTCTGTCATTTAGATTGGAGTGCAGTGGCACAATGACAGCTCACTGCAGCCTTGACCTCCTGGGCTCAAGCGCCCATCATTGACCAAAATGTCATTATGCAGTGTGTAAGTGTACATCTGCCAATCAAATAGTGGTTGAGGTCAGGAATCAGAATATCAGCTCTCTCATGGAAGCATTGGTCAAAAGGCAACAAATTCTCTCTGTCTAGTTCTCTTTTAAAGCAAATTGCCGTAAGCATAGTTTGACCTGTTTTGGTTATCAGTGTCTAAAAACATAATTTTACCTGTTTTAGGAAATGTATTGGCTCACATAACTAAAAAAATCTAAGGGCAACTCATGGCCAAATTGGGGCTCAAAAGATGTGTTCCCTTCCATGTGTTGCTTAATTCTTAGGCTTCACATGGAAGTAAGATGGCTATAGCTGCTGCAGCCATCAAACTTCAAGTTCAAGTACATTAAGGTTCAAGTACAACATATGTCTTAATCCGTTTTCTGTTGCTATAACAATATACCTAAGACTGGGTAATTTATAAAGGAAAGAGGTTTATTAGGCTCACAGTTCTAGAGACTAGGACGTTCAAGATCAGGCAGCTGCATCTGGTGAGGGCCTCCTGCCACATTATACTGTGGCAGAAAAGTGGACGGGCAAGCAAAAGAGACCAAACGCAAAAGGCAGCCTTGCTTTATAACAACCCACTCTCATGGGAACTAATCCAGAACTGAGAGAACAAGAACTCACTGCAAGAGTAAGGCATTCATCCCTCTTAACCATCTAATCATCTCTTAAAGGCACCACCTCCCAATACTGTCACACTGGAGTCCAAGCCTCAACGTGAGTTTTGTGGGGATAAACCATATTAAAACCATGGTAATACTGGGGTGGGGGAAAGAGCCTCTTTGTGCTGGCACTAATTTAACTGATTTCAATTACTTGCTCACCTTTGAACCAACCATGAGGAATGTGAAATGCTGATTGGCATAGGCCTGGGTCATGTGCCGTTCCTCTTGAGCAGAGGGTGGAGCTCCAGACACTTCATGGGTTGTTGAGAGGTGGCTGCCTAAACAAATACAAGGTAGTCTTGATGGAGAAAAGGGGTAATGGAGGTAAACAACTATGCACTAAACTAAGGTTTTATGCCTTATTCATTAAAGTACAGTTGACAGGCCAAGCACGGTGGCTTACACCTTCAAACCCAAACTTCGGGAGGCCAAGGCATGCTGATCACCTGAGGTCAGGAGTTCAAGACCAGTCTGGCCAACATGGTGAGACCCCCCCACCCCCCTACTAAAAAAAAACAAAAATTAGCCAGTTGTGGTGACAGGCACCTATAATCCCAGCTATTCAGGAGGCTGAGGCTGGAGAATTGCTTGGAGCCAGGAAGTGGAGGTTGCAGTGAGCCGAGATCACACCACTGCACTCCAGTTCAGTGACAGAGCCAGACTCTGTCTCAAAAAAAAAAAAAAAAAAAACAAAAAAACCACAGTTGACAGTGTTATTTGTGTCCTAACAATAACCACATTCCCGTCACACCTTTCTTGGGATACACCCCAGTAGCTCCTTTGAGCCTGGGTGTCTCCCACAAACTGTTTCTTATGATATGTAACTTCTGCAGTTGACTAAACTCATTTAACATGAGTGGTTCAATTTCCCACCTATTATAAAAGGAGAATATACTCTTTTAAAATATATATATATATAATAAAAATGCATAAAGAACAAAAGACTTTCCCACATATAAGTAAGCATTTATCTCACCATGTAAGCATAACCACTATTTCTTTTTCTGGTTTTTTTTGTTGTTTTTTTTTTCGCTTTGAGACAGAGTCTCACTCTGTAAACCAGGCTGCAGTGCAGTGGCATGATCTCGGCTCACTGTAACCTCCGCCTTCCTAGTTCAAGTGATTCTCCTACTTCAGCCTCCCGAGTAGCTGGGATTACAGGTGCGCGCCACCACACCAAGCTGATTTTTTTTATTTTCAGTAGAGATGAGGTTTTTGCCATGTTGGCCAAGCTGGTCTTGAACTACTGGCCTCAAGTGATCCACCTGCCTCGGCCTCCCAAAGTGCTGGGATTACAGGCGTAAGCCATGGTGCCCAGCCCATTCCGGCCTGTCTTCTATGGATAAAGTTCGTTTTTTGTCATGGTCTTTTTTTACATTGTTGTGATCCTCCTGCACATATGTCTGCCTTTTCCCTTAGCATTATGTCATAAACATTTTCAAGGTTATTACATAGGCTTTATTAATATAAATTCTTTTTATAAAAACACTTGAAAAAATATTACAAAAACAATGTATTTGTGGCAAAATAATTCAAATAACACAGAAATATATAAAGTTAAAAAGTAAAATCCCCAGATTTCAGGAATGTGGACTAAACTCATGCTGAAATCTCCTTCATAAGACCCCAGGAAGAGATTTTTTAAAAGATACAAAAAGAAAGAGAGAAGGAAGGATGGAAAAGAGAGAGGGGTGTGAAAGACAATATAGCCACTTTTGAAAACAAGGAAGGACCCTCTCTTTAAAGGCTGGGCAGCATTCCTCAAGGAAGTGAGGAGATAGGAAAGCACAAGTCAAGAAGCCCCAGGTCCTCACCTCCAGGTGGGACTTGAAGCCCAGGGTGTAGGCAGAGGTGTAGCCCAGGTGGCAGAAGGTAAGCTTGGTCAGCCTCTGAAAATGGCCCACACCATCAAAAAGAAAATCTCAACAAAAGCGGGGATTTGCATCTGAGAAAAAATAATTACCAGAATGATGAGGATCTGAAAAGTAGTGACTTCAGATCCTCAGGACGGCTCTCAGTTTTAGCCGCATGCTAAAATCACCTGGGAGCTTAAACAGGAAACAAACACTGTTTTGCTCTACTACACTCAACCCTTCTGACACAAAATGTCTCAGGGCTTATTCTACCCCAAACACCCCAAACAATCCTCCAACTCTTTGGACACCAACTAGGTGTACCACAATTTAATTATGACACTAACTACCTGGAGTTACTGTAGATGCCACAGGTTAAGGGCTCAGTCCCACAAAACTGCCCCCAAACTTCAGATGCCAACTGCAGGTAGTGAGTCCCTAGGTTACCCACACTTCTTTCTAACTTGGCTACAAATTGGAGGTTCCCATTTGCTATGATGGCTCACAGAACTCAGGGAAACACTTATGTTTACCTATGTTTGCCAGCTTTTTTTTTTTCTTTTTTTGAGACAGGGTCTTGCTTTGTCTCCCAGGTTACAGCAAAGTGGAATGGCTATGGTTCACTGCAGCCTCGACCTCCCAGGCTCAAGCGATCCTCCCACCTCAGCCTCCCAAGTACCTGGACTATAGGCGTGCACCTCCAAGCCTGGCTAAGTTTTTATTTTTCATGGAGATGGGGTCTCACTGTGTTGCCAGAGCTAGTCTCAAACTCCTGGGCTCAAGTGATCCTCCCACCTTGGCCTCCCAAAATGTTGGGATTACAGGCATGAGCCACCATGCTTGGCCTGTTTACCAGCTTATTATAAAGGATATGATAGAGAATACAGATGAACAGCCAGATGAAGAGGTACATAGAGTGAGTCCAAAAGTGTCCTGAGGGCAAGAATTGGAGTGCGCCATCCTTCTAACACGCAGATGTGTTCACCAACCTAGAAGCTCTATGAGCCTTGTAGTCTTATGGAGGCTTCATCACATCGGCATGATGGGTTATTAACTCAATCTCCAGCTCTGCTCCCCTTCCTGGAGAATAGGGGATGGGACTGAATGTTCCAAGCTTCTAATCATGGCTTGGTCTTTCTGCTGACCAGTTCCCATCCCAAAGCTATCCAGGAGCCCCCCAAGAGTTGCCGAATTATTAATAGAACAAAGGACTCTTCTAGTACCCGGGAAATTCCAAAGGATTTAGGAGCTCTTTGTCAGGAACCAGAGTCCAAGACCAAGTATTAGAACAAACGATGTACCTAGCACCCCTGTCATTCAGGAAATTACAAGGGTTTTAGGAGCTCTGTGCCAGGGACTGGGGAGGAAAACCACTGATATGTTTTATTATATCATAATGTCACAGAGCTTTTCAGGGTTCATTGCCCACTACTCCCCAGAACAGATATTCCCTAGACTTAACTGTTCATCAGTTAAGTCAGAATTTCAAGTTCAAAAGCTTCAAAAGCAGGAAGCCAACAGTGCAGCCCTCAGTCTGAAGCCAAAGGCCTGAGACCCCCACAGAAGGCCACTAATGTAAGTTCCAGAGTCCAAGAGCTGAAGAATCTGGAGTCTGATGTCCAAGGACAGGAGAAGCGGAAGCAAAACATCTGGCACAAGGAGAGAGAGAGAGAGAGAGAGAACCCAGCAGGGTGCTTATGCCCCTTCTTATGCCTGCTTCGTTCTAGCCAGGTCAATTTTTTTTTTTTTTTTTTTTTAGAGACAGGGTCTTGCTCTTTGCTCAGGCTGGAGTGCAGAGGTGTGATCATGGCTCACAGCAGCCTCAATGTCCCAGGCTCAAGTGATCCTCCCACCTCAGGTCACCTGAGTACTATGAGTACTAGGGCTACAGTTGTGTGCCACCACACCCAGCTAATTAAAAAAAATTTTTTGTAAGGATAGGCTCTCTTTTTGTTGTCCAGGCTGGTCTTGTACTTCTGGCCTCAAGTGATCCTTCCACCTTGGCCTCCCAAAGCACTGGGATTACAGGCATGAGCCACTGCACCCGGCCCATATCAATATTTTTATGTACTTTTTATTGTAGTAGAAAAGCATAACATAAAATTTACCATCTTAACCTTTTTTTTTTTTTTTTTTTTTCTGAGTCAGGGTCTCACTCTGTCACCCAGGCTAGAGTGCAGTGGTGCAATCATGGCTCACTGCAGCCTTGACCTCCCTGAGTTTAGGTGATCCTCTCACCTAGGTGGGACCACAGGTGTGTGCCACCACGCTTGGCTAATTTTTGTATTTTTTGTAGAGATGGAGTTTCGCCATGTTTCCTAGGCTGATCTCAAACTCTTGGACTCAAGCGATCCGCCTGACTGGGCTTCCCAAAGTGCTGAGATTACAGGCCTGAGCCACTGTACCTGGCCTCTGAACCATTTTTAATTGTATGGTTCAGTAATATTAAGTACATTCGCATTGTTGTGAAACAGATCTCCAGAACTTCTTCACCTTGCAAATCTGAAACTCTATACCCATTAAACAACATAAACAACAACTTCCCTTTTCCTTCTCCCCAACCTCTGATGACCATCATTCTCCAAACATCAGTATTTTTTTTTTTTTAGATGAAGTCTTGCTCTGTTGCCCAAGTTGGAGTGCAGTGGTGTGATCTTGGCTCACTGCAACCTCCACCTCCCAGGTTCAAGCAGTTCTCCTGTCTCAGCCTCCCAAGTAGCTGGGACCACAGGCACCTACCACCGCACCCAGCTAATTTTTTTTTTTTTTTTTTTTTTTGAGATGGAGTGTTGCTCTGTCACCAGGCTGGAGTGCAGTGGCGGGATCTTGGCTCACTGCAACCTCCACCTCCTGGTTCAAGTGATTCTCGTAACTCAGCCACCCAAGTAGCTGGGATTACAGGGATGCGCCACCACACCCAGCTAATTTTTGTATTTTTAGTAGAGACGGGGTTTCACCACGTTGGCTAGGATGGTCTCAACCTCCTGACCTCGTGATCCGCCTGCCTCTGCCTCCCAAAGTGCCGGGATTACAGGCGTGAGCCACCACCACCCGGCCCAAACATCAGTATTTTTTTTTTTTTTTTGAGACACAGTCTCTGTCACCCAGGCTGGAGTGCAGTGGCACGATCTCGGCTCACTGCAAGCTCCACCTCCCGGGTTCATGCCTTTCTCCTGCCTCAGCCTCTCTGAGTAGCTGGGACTACAGGCGCCCGCCACCACGCCCGGCTAATTTTTTGTATTTTTAGTGGAGACAGGGTTTCACCGTGGTCTCGATCTCCTGACCTCGTGATCCACCTGCCTCTGCCTCCCAAAGTGCTGGGATTACAGGCGTGAGCCACTGCACCTGGTCCAAACATCAGTATTTTTAAGCTTCTCAGATATTCCAATGTGCAGCCAAAGTTGATTTCTTGTGCTCAGAAAACTAAAGCAGGGAATTATATCCACAAAATGAGAATGGGTGGCTGTAAAATAACAGCACATTATAATTAGAAAGAATTAGCAAAAGATGCTGAAAATAAAATACATGTAATTTTTGGAAGAAAAAAAATCAATAATGCTGTGAATATCAGGCTAGACACGACCATGAAGGCAGTCCCTTCGGATGCCTCACTTCCTAGCACTCATTCAGCCTCTTTCCTCCCACCTGTCCTCTCACCCTTTCTCTAACCCAATCCTAGACCCTGTGAATGTAGTTAAAAGAGCATCATAACAACAGTCTTCCAACCAAGAGCAACAAAGGAAGCTTCCAGGAGGCCAGCAGCTGCAGGTCACAGGGTTTCTGCGAATGTGCTCTTTCTAACTGCTATAGCTCCCCGCTGCCTGAGGCTCTGCTGGATTCCGACTCCCAGCATGGGAGACTCACCTGCAACTTTCGTTGAGAGTACATGGGGAGGGGCCTTGGCAGGAGCAGTTCAGTAGACATCTCACCATACCATTATCTCTTTTCTCCCCAACCTCCACCTTAGATTTATAGGAATATAAAATCTGATTAAAATAGCAATTAGGACAGCTTTAAAGGGAAAAATCAGCTCAAGGAAGCCACCTGCTGAATGTGAATGAAAGGGGATCCTCCAACCCACCCACACCTGCCCTCTGTCTCTACCTGGCCCTAACAGTTACAGGGGGTGGAGGAAGACTTGCTCTATCCCAGGGGCAACTCAGCATTGGAATGAGACAGTGGGAACTGGCAAACACATGACTTGGTTCAGGCTCCTCCAAGTGGTTATGTTGGTGGGCTGAGAAAGGAAGAAGCAAGGAGCTGGTGTTTTGGAACCTCGCAGATCTTGGTTTGACTTCCTGGGCTGCTACTTGCTTACTTGTTTTGGGCCAGAAGGCCCTGGGTTTGAATCTCAGGTTGACCCTTGGACAAACATCTACAGGTGTGGAAGTGAGCACCACGCCTCTAGCTGGACAGGCTTCTGAAGCTGGCAGGCTATGTACTTCCTGCATACGGGGAAAGGGACGTCCTTTGAGACCCCCTTAACAAGGAAAGGCTTGGCTACTGATACACTGGGAGCGGATGGACTACAGGCTCCAGGTACCTCTGCCCACAAGTTCCTTAGCATCTCTCCTATGGCATTCTACCTCCTGACAGCTTCCATGCCAGGTATGATGCTGCTTCCTTCTTCATCAACACAGCCTCACCGCTCAGCATATTGCTGCTTAAGCTGCCCCAATTCCATGGGGTTCCTATCTGCAGCATCAACAAATCCTGAGGGCTTGAGCTGGGGAAGGCATTGAAACAAACGGCTATAATATCCTTCCCTTCTTCTCCATACTGTCTGCAATATCTTGAAAGCTGGAGAACAATATACCCCTTCTTAAATGCCCAGGAAGAGAAGAGATTGGAAAATGGAGCTCCTGGGCCCAGTCTTGCTGGGGGCAAGTTTCTTTGAATCAGGAAAGTAGGTGAGGTAAAGGCCAACTCACTGTCCTCCCTCGCAGGAAGCCATGTCTGGTCATTATATTTTTCCGTGTCTTCCACCCCTACCACCTACCAGGTCTGTTTTACTGTGGTTTTTTTTTTTCCTTATAATAAAGATAATTTAAAAAAAAAACAGATTTGGCTCTAAGTAGACACCTGCTGCAAAGGGATGAGGAGATGGTATGGCCACAAGAGCTGGTCAGTGCCCTGAATGACCTTCCAGTTCCTGACTAATGGCCACAGTGCAGGGTGGTATGATGTTCCTGCTCTAACCTTGAGGACTGGCTGAGTGGCTTTCTGGAGTTCCCATAAAGACATTATTTGTTTTCCTCACTTTCATGAACACCCTTATCTTAGTTGGTTCAGGCTGCTATAATGAAAATACCATAGACTGAGTGGTTTATAAACAGCAGAAACTTATTTCTCACAGTTCTGGAGGGTGGGAAGTCCAAGATCAAAGATTCCATGTCTGGGGAGGGCCTTTTTTTTTTTTTTTTTAGAGACAGGGGTCTTGCTGTGTTGCCCAGGCTGGTCCTGAACTCTGGGCCTCAAGTAATCCTTCCACCTCGGCCTCCCAAAGCACTGGGTTTGCAGGTGTGAGCCACCACGTCTGGCCAAAGGTCACTTTCTTTTTTTTTTTTTTTTGAGACAGAGTCTCACTCTTGTCGCCCAGGCTGGAGTGCAGTGGTGCGATCTTAGCTCACTGCAACCTCCACCTCCCAGGTTCAAGCAATTCTCCTGCCTCAGCCTCCCGAGTAGCTGGGACTAAAGGTGCCCGCCACCACACCTGGCTAATTTTTTGTATGTTTAGTAGAGACAGGGTTTCACTGTGTTAGCTAGGATGGTCTCGATCTCCTGACCTCGTGATCTGCCCGCCTTAGCCTCCCAAAGTGCTGGGATTACAGGCGTGAGCCACCGCACCCAGCCCAAAGGTCACTTTCTGATTCATAGTTGGGCATCTTCTCACTATGTCCTCATGGGGGAGAAGGCATGAGGGAGCTCTCTGGTGTCTCTTTCATTTTATTTTATTTTATTTTTTGAGACAGAATCTCACTCTGTCACCCAGGCTGGAGGTCCTATCATCTCCATTTTACAGATAAGGAAAAAATACTGAGACACAGTGAAATTAAGTAGCTTGCTTAAGGTCACACAGCTAGGGAGTGGCAGAGCCAGGATTTGAACCCAGATAGCTTGCCTTCAGACATTTCAGTCCTAATCACATGGTAATTATTAAGGGTTTCTCTTAAGAAATGAGTATTTATTAATTTAGCTAGTTAGAGACAGAGTCTTGTTCTGTCACCCAGGCTGTAGTGAAGTGAAGCTATCATAGCTTACTGGAGCCTCGAACTCCTGGGCTCAAGCAATCCTCCCAGCTTGGCCTCCCAAAGTGCTGAGATTACAGATGTGAGGCACCATACCTGGCTAAGAATTGAATATTTATTTATTATTTATTTTTGAGACAGTGTCTTGCTCTGTCGTCCAGGCTGCATGCAGTGGCACAATCATGGCTCACTGCAGCCTCGACTGCTGGGCTTAAGCAAGCCTCCCACCTCAGTCTCCCGAGTAGCTGGGACTACAGGCATGCACCACCATGCCTGGATGATCTTTTTTTTTTTTTAAGTTTCAGTAGAGACAGGGTCTTGCTACGTTGCCCAGGCTGGTCCTAAACTCCTGAGCTCACACAATCCTCCCACGTTGTCCTCCCAAAGTGCTGAGATTATAGGAGAACTGAATTTTTAAATTGTACTTAATTTTATGATCAAAAACTCATTTTCCTTTAGGTTGGTCTTTGATCTATTTTAAAGATCACATTGTGGCTGGGTGTGGTGGCTCAGGCCTGTAATCCCAGCACTTTGGGAGGTTGAGGCGGGCAGATCACTTGAGTTCAGGAGTTAGAGACCAGCCTGACCAACATGGCGAAACCCCATATCTACTAAAAATACAAAAATTAGCCTGGTGTGGCGCACGCCTGTAATCCCAGCTACTTGGCAGGCTGAAGCAGGAGAACTGCTTGAACCCGGGAGGCAGAGGTTGCAGTGAGCCAAGATCGAGCCACTGCAATCCAGCCTTTGCAATGGAGCGAGACTCAGTCTCAAGAAAGAAAAAAAAAATCATGTTGTATCTATTCTTTGCTCTCTAAATCTGCCTTGCTACTCCATGGACCAAAACAGTTAAAGAATAACCTGGTTGGACTTTTCAGAAAGTAGCTTTCTAGGAGAGCTTTCTCTCTGACACTATCAGAATCTTTGTTTTTCTGATTTAGCATTTATTAAATAACTACAGTTTGATAGGTAAAGGAAGCAAGATGGAGGTAACACTGCCAGAAAATTTTAAAATGCAGCTAGTTGATTTCCAGCTACCAACTACATCATTCTTCAATTTGCAGATGAGTCAGAATTTTTTTTGAGACGGAGTTTTTTTTTTTTCCGCTCTTGTTGCCCAGGCTGGAGTGCAATGGCACAATCTTGGCTCACTGCAACGTCCGCCTCCAGAGTTCAAGTGATTCTCCTGCCTCAGCCTCCCGAGTAGCTGGGATTATAGGCGCAAGCCACCACACCCTGCCAATTTTTCCATTTTTAGTAGAGACGGGGGTTTCATCATGTTGGCCAGGCTGGTCTCGAACTCCTGACCTCAGGTGATCCACCCGCCTCCGCCTCCCAAAGTGCTGGGATTGTAAGCATAAGCCACCGCGCCAGGCCCAGAATTTTTTAAATATATGTGAAATATACATAAAAGAGTCTAGAAATACGAGGTGTCATTCTGTCATCTCCACCTGTGAGAAACCTGAAAATAGAGGCATTCCCACTGGCCCAATCCTGACACTGCAGCAGGAGCCTCCAAGCTAGTCATTGCCAAAGAGTGGGGCTCAAGAAGTAACCCAGGATGGAAGAAGCCCAATGATCCATCTGGAGTCACTCTGGTGGTTCTGAGCAGAGGCTGGGCAGAGGCACTGTTACACCAAACCACTTATAGCAGGAAGTTAGGCAACAATATTGTTTGGGAGTATCAGCTTCACTCTATGAATTCTATTAGCTACACCCTGACTTTCATTCCTTTGGAGTCAAGGCCATCTTTACTCTAGCACTGGGGTTTCCAAGAACTCAACTGACAGCTAAGTACGCTCCAAAATTTCCTATTGCCTCTGGGCAGCATCACTGTAGGCCCAGCTGTGTGGTCAACATTTACCTTGCAGGTGTGTTCATTTCTGCTGTGATATTTTTGGATTCGAATTATGCTTATAGCTTTTGAGGCTTGATTGTTTACTCACACAGAATAGTTTTTCGGATCATAGATGCAAACTCTTCAAGGGAAGGACTTTCTGAATTATCTTTATACTCCCAGGACTTGGCAGAGAAGCCAGCACAGAATTTAACAAAGTTGTGCTGGCTCATGCCTGTAACCCTAGCACTTTGAGAGGCCATGGTGGGAGGATGGCTTGAGGCCAGGAGTTCGAGACAAAGGTGTGCTGCATGAAAGAATGGTAGTCAGTCTTCCTGTGTGATGCTGAGGGAACATTTTGGTGAGTTTCCCTTTTTCTAGAAATATGTTCCCATAGGTGAGAAGAAAAGGTATATACAATTTACAATCCTGCTTTTTAAAAAAGTTAATATGATATAGACATTTTCCTGTGTTACCATAAATTCTTCCCAAGCATTTTTGGTATGTGCTTGATTAATATTCTATTGTATGAATGTGCCATACTTTTCTAAGCCAGTCTCCTGGTGTTCAGCATTTTGATTATTTTCTGTTATTTTTAATTTTTTTTTAGAGATGGGAACATGTCACCCAGGCGGGAGTGCAATGGCAAGATCATGGCTCACTATAACCTCGAACTCCTAGATTCAAAAGATTCTCTTGCCTCAGCCTCCTGAGCCACTGGGATTACAGCTGTGAGCCACCATGCCTGGCTATTTTCTGTTGTTAACTATTATAAACAGAATTGTGACTAGCTTTTTCATTTGCATTTTGGCTTAGTTTCTTAGGATTCCCTGACCTGGAATTTCTGGGTTAAATGATATTAGTAACTTTTTGCTAATTCAATAGTTGAAAACACGTCATTTTATGTTTTTTTCCTTCTTCTTTTTTTTTTTTTTTTTTTTGAGACGGAGTCTTGCTCTGTCACCAGGCTGGAGTGCAGTGGTGTGATCTCGGCTCACTGCAACCTCTACCTCCCACGTTCAAGCGATTCCCCTGCCTCAGCCTCCCAAGTAGCTGGGACTACAGGTGCGTGCCACCACACCTGGCTAATTTTTTGTATTTTAGTAGAGACGGGGTTTCACCATGTTAGCCAGGATGGTCCTGATCTCCTCACCTCGTGATCCGCCTGCCTCGGCCTCCCAAAGTGCTGGGATTACAGGCATCAGCCACTGTGCCCAGCCCATCTTAAGGTTTTAATCTGTATTTCTTTTCTTGCTAATGGTGCCAGTTTTCTTTATCTTTGTTTACTAGTTGTAGTTCCTCCTTTTCAAACTGTCTGTTCATGTCCTTTGTCGATTTCTTGGTAAGGTCTTAGCATTTTTCTTATCAATTTGCATGAGTTTTTTTCCATTGTAAAGATCCTAAGCCTCATTATATTTACTGAAAACAATTTACCTCTTTCTGTGTTCTGGGTTTTATTATAATGTTTGGTTATTGATATCAATATATTCTAATTTTGCATAACTTAGTGTTTTCCCTTGTGCTTTGTTTCCAACTTTAAAATTATCTTATTTAGAGACAGGGTTTTGCTCTGTGAACCAGGCTGGAGTGCAGTGGTATGATCACAGTTCACCGCAGCCTTGAACTCCCAGGCTCACCTGATCCTCCTGCCTCAGCCTCTTGAGTAACTGGGATTACAGACACGCACCACCAGGCCCAGCTAATTTCCCTTCCAAATCCAATATTGTCCAGCTGCTGACCTTATGACTTTGCAAGCTGCTCTCTCTAAAGTAATCAATGACCTTCTGCTACTTTTCAAATCCAGTGGCACCACTTGACCCTTGGAGGCATGTGAAAGGGCAACAGCACCTCTCTTCTTGCTCTCCTAGGTGGACCCTATTGGTTTTCTCCCTAGAATCATCTACCCTTTGTCATTGGTTTCTCTTTCTCAGTTTCCTTTGCCAGATTCTCCTCATCCTCTTATTTCCAAAGGTTCCAGGTGCTCCAGAGCTCATTCTCCATTAATACTTACTCCCTAGGTGATTCATCTCATCTAGTTCTCTGTTTTTAAATGGCAATTTGATCCTGATGCCTCTCCAATTTCTATTGCCAGCCTCCACCTCTCATCGGAACTCCAGACTCCAACTTCTTCTGCAACATCTTCATTTGGCTATCTAACAGGTGTTCCAAACTTAACATGGTCAAAATCTTGATTTGCTCTCTCAGGTTCATCCTCCCCACCTGAGCAAATGGCATCCTGACCTTAGAGATTCTTATGCTGAAAGGCTTGCAGTCATCTTTGACTCCTCCTTCTGTCCCACCCTAAGTCAATCTTTCGGCAAATCTTATCAAATATATCTAGAACCCAGTCACTCCTCCCCACCTGCATCAACATGACTCCATGATTTTGCTCTCTCTCCCCTGGGCCACTGCAGTAGAATCCCAACTGGTTTACCTGCTTTTACTCTCGCCCTTGGTACCATCTGCTGCCCACATCGTAGATTTTTAAAAGTAAAGCAGATCATGATATCACACCCCTGTGCAGAACCTTCCAGGAAAGTCTCTACCATCTTCTCTAAGTCTCTTCGTGATCCCACCCCACCTCTCTGACTTGGTCTCCTCCCTTGCTCACTCAGCTCCAGGCACCTTGGTTGTGTGATTTGTGAAAGACACCAAGCATGCTCCTGCCTCAGGGAGCTTGCACCTGTTCTTCCCTCTGGCTGGAATGCTCTTCCACAGATGCCCACATGGCTTGCTGCCCCGTGTGCCAGGTTTTACCTAAATGACATTTCATAATAAAGGCCTTCCCTTACTCTGCGTTGATTTTCTTCCTAGCACTTATCACCCCTGACATATGATACACGTTTGTTTATTGCCTGTCTCCACTGACTAGAATATTGTGGTAAGCAGTCTCAAAGTGGTTCCCCATGATCTGAACTTCCTGGTATTCATGCCCTTATGTAATCCCCTCCCCTTCAGCGTGGCCTGGACTTATTGGCAGTAATTCAAAATAAATAAAATATGGTAAAAGTAATGGGATGTCACTTCTGAGAATGTTTTACAAGAAGACTGACTTCTCTCTGTTCCTTTCCACCCGCAACTCCCAGCCCAGTAGAGATGTCCACGTTGCAATGAGCTGACATCTCTGGCCAGTAGCCAGCAGCGACCTGGGGCCTGCCAACTACCATGTGAGTGAGCTGGGGTTAAAGGCTGAATCCTCCCCTGGTTGGCCTTAAGATGACTGTAGCCCCAGCTGACTTTTTTTTTTTTTTTTTGAGACAGAGTCTCGCTCTGTCGCAAAGGCTAGTGTACAATGGCGCAGTCTTGGCTCACTGCAACCTCTGTCTCGCAGGTTCGAACGATTCTCCTGCCTCAGCCTTCCAAGTAGCTGGGATTACAGGCACATGCCACCACGCCTGGCTAATTTTTTATATTTTTAGTAGAGATGGGGTTTTGCATGTTGGACAGGCTGGTCTCGAGCTTCTGACCTCAAGTGATCCACCCACCTCGGCCTCCCAAAGTGCTGGGATTACAGACGTGAGCCACCGCGCCCGTGGTGCGGTGGCTGACATTTTGATAGCAGCCTTATGAGAGAACCGAAGCCAGAGGCACCCAACTAAGCCCTGCTCAGTTTCCTGACTCACAGAAACTGTAAAATAATAAATACTTGCTGTTTTAAGCCTCTGAGTTTCAGGATAATGCAACAGATGACTAAAGGATCTCTGTCATTATCTCTGGCACCTAGAAAAAAACCTGGCACACAGTAGGTACTCAGAAATATTTTGGAATGAATAAATGAATTTCAGGACTTTTTCTAGGAAGATGGTCAGTCTTGCTGTGGATGATGTGTGCAAATGTGAGTCCTGGAACTGCTTCAGCCACTCCATGGCCATTTGTGAGGTCAGCCTGAATGCAAGGCCAACACAGAGGGGCATATCCAAGAAAACAGTGAAGTTGCAAAGCCAGAGCCCCAACAAACACATCTGCCCTACCTGTAAATTGTTTTGGCTACTTTATCAAAGTTTAAGCTAGTTTGGTCTCAGCTTTCAAGAACTTGTAACTAAAAGCATCCTAATGATTACACTTTTCATGGCATCATTCCCTTTTTCTCTCTCTCCGCATGTTCCTTTTTTTCTTTCTTCTGCCTACCCCCTTATGGTAGAGATTACAATGGTCTATCCAATTTCCATTCCTTTCATTCCTTACCAAGGGAACCTGATTTAGTTGGTGCAGTGAGGGGCCTAGCTAAGAACTGCATTTCCAGCCTCCCTTGAAAATAGTTCTAAGTTTTGGCCAATGTAAGCAGAAGTTATGTAGTGAGTCTCCTGGAAAGACTTCCTTAAAAGCAGCCCCACTTGGCTGGCAGACACCTTTTTCCTTTGGCCTCTTCCGCTTTCCCGCTGCCTGAAATAGGATGATGGGACCTAAAATGACCATTTTGTGAAACTAAAGCAAATTTGAGGATAGGCCACACACACTAAGTATGGTGGAAGAAAAAGAGAGCCTGAGTGTCTAATGAAGCCAAGAGTCTAACCCTGAAAGCCTCACTGCTGAACTCTGTGATGAGAAGAAACCAATACTAATCTTATTCATTGCCTTTGTGTTATTTATTTATTTATTTAGAGACAAGGTCTCACTCTGTCACCCAGGCTGGAGTGCAGTGGTGCAGTCACAGCTCACTGTAGCCTCAAACTTCCGGGCTCAAGCAATTCTCCCACCTCAGCCTCCCAAGTAGCTGGGACCACAGGCGCGTGCTACCACACCTGGCTAATTTTTTGACTTTGTGTAGAGATGAAGTTTCACCATGTAGCTCAGGCTGGTCTTGAACTCTTGAGCTCAAGTGATCCTCCTGCCTCAGCCTCCCAAAGTGCTGGGGTTACAGGCATGAGCCATCATGCCTGGCCGTCCTTCCTGTTACATGTATAATAGTTTAACATCAACCTGACTGATATAAGCCTTACATGTGAAGTCCCCAGGGTCCGTCCCTGTCTTCTCTTTCCCCCGCATGCTCTCCCCAGGTGATCTCATCTGCTTCTGTAATTTAAGAATGATCTCCTTTATAAGGACTTACAAACCGATGCCTGTACCTCATGAGTATCTCCCAAGCTCCAGACTCAGAGTCTTGAGTGACTCCTATATGTCCCAAACTAGATGACACTTAGAAGCATACTAGGGAGCAAAGCGTGGGTTACAGATTATGGAGCCAGCTGGCTATAGTTTCCAATCCTGACTCACTTTCTGAGTAACCATGGGTGAGCAAACATTATTTCTCAGCCTTTGTTTTCTTATCTCTGAAATGACCATAAAAATATTACTTCATAGGGTTTTTATGACAAAAAATATCTCTAAAACAGTGCTGGCATATAACCAGTGCTAAATACATTGAGTTCTCTCCTACCCCATCACCTGTCTCCATCCCTGTCCATATTCCCAGTCTTCTGACTTCTCACCTTCAGGTAAATGACTTTACGAACTACCTAGTCTTCCACGCTAGACATCTTGGAATCTTCTTCAATTTCTGTCATTTGCCATCATTCCGTCATGGCCAATTGACTAAATTCTGTTGAGTTTTTATCCCAGAACCGTGACCTCGCTTTCCTACCTCCATTGCAACTCCTGGCTTAAACTCTTATTAGCCCTTGTCTGGCTTATTCCTATGGCCAACCACAGCCTCTTCACAACTTAATCTCCCACCCTTCTACCAAGGTTGTTTCCTTAAACATAAAAACAGGATCATGTCTCAGCATAGCTTACTGACCTTTCCTGACTTGTGTGGCCTTCAGAATAAAATCCAAATTCCAGAAGCAGTCATCCAAGGCTGTCCATCAAGGCCCTGACACCCTCCACCCTGTCCCAGCCTCTTCTTCCTCATTCCCCGGGGACTCACCATTCTCCAGACAGATCAGGCCCTTTCCTGACTGTCTTTGCACCTGTTGGAATGTGTGTATACTGCCCCGGTCCTTTAATTATATCATCACCTTCGATATGTATATGGCCCAGTAATTGTTTCAAAGTTTAATTTGTTTTTCTCCCTGCAGTTCCCCTTTTTTCTGTCCCCATTCTAAAAGGATCTGTTCTCAGCCTCAGGGCCGACTGGGCAGGATGACCACAGAGTTGACTGCAGACTCTTCCCTTTCCTGGCTCATATTTCCCAAGCCCTAAGCTCACTGAGGTGAACAGAGCTTAAGGTGAGGGTCTCTGATGGAAACAGTGCTAGAGGGAGGGATTTCCCTCATACCAAGAAGAGATGCTGGACCTGAGAAGAGGAAAGAGACATCTCTGGCGCCCATCAGTGGCAGGGATCTATACCATGCTTTCTGGATGTATCAGGCACTGGGTGGAAATTCCCATGGTCCATCAGGGAGATGGAGTGTGATATAGTTTGGATATTTGTCCCCTCCAAATCTCATGTTAAAATGTGACCCCCACCAATGTTGGAAGTGGGGCTCAGTGGGAGATATTTGGTCACAGGGGCAGATGATTCATGAATGGCTCGGTGCCATCCCCTTGGTGATGAGTGAGTTCTCATTCTATTAGTGCACATGAAATTTGGTTGTTTAAAGGAAGCTGGCACCTCCTTCTCGCTCTCTTGCTCCCTCTCTTGCCATGTAACATGCCTGTTCTCCCTTTGCCTTCTGCCATGAGCAAAAGCATCCTGAGCCCTCACCAGAAGCAGATGTTGGTGCCGTGCTTCTTATACAGCCTGCAGAACTGCGAGCCATATAAACCTCTTTTATTTATAAATTACCCAGTCTCGGGTATTCCTCCTTTTTTTTTTTTTTTTTTTGAGACAGGGTCTCTCTCTGTTGCCCAGGCTGGAGTGCAGTGGAATCATCATAGCTCACAGCAGCCTCAACCTCTTGGTCTCAAAATATCCTCCTGCCTCAACCTCCCAAGTAGCTGGGACTACAGGCATGTGCCATCATGCCCAGCTAATTTTTAAATTTTTTTGTAGAGATGGGGTCTCCCTATGTTGCCCAGGTCGGTCTCAAACTCCTAGGCTCAAGGGGTCCTCCCACCTCAGCCTCCCAAAGTGCTGCGATTACAGGCATGAGCCACTGTGCCCTGCCCAGGTATTTCTTCATAGCAATTTAAAAAGACTAATACAGGGTCCTACCGCCAGGGTTCCTATGTCACAGAAACAGCAGCACCAGGGACTGAAGGGCCCTTCAGGCTAACTAAGGCCACAGAATTTTAGCACAGCCTTGGGTGCAGGGGGAATCCCCAGGAAGGACTAAGATGACTTTCCCACAGCCCTAACAGGATGAGGGCTGAATGTGAAAATGAAGTTGAATGATAAGATAATGAAATGGGCTATTTATTGACCTGCTGAGCTTGTGCACTGAGCTTCTTAACTGCTTGAGAAGCAGGCCTCCACCTGTCTTCCCCAGCTACTGCCCTGTTCTCCCTAAATGCCCTCTGCTCTCTGGCTCTTGCCTTTCAGCCCCAGATGTCTGGCTCCCTAGACCTGCTGTCATGGGTATTTGCCAACCTTCACAATTTCCCACCTGGTTCTTTGGACTTTTGAGTTTCCTGAAGTTGGCTCTGCAGGCAGCTTGGGTTTTGGAATCCTCTATTACCTAGTTAGATGTCTGGCTACGGCCCTTGTTCCAACCCGTCTCCAGCTGAGCCAGCCTCTGGCCCTCAAGGGTAGAAGAAAGAAGGGACTCAAGCACAGAAAGCTTTTTTCTCTTTGCTTCCTGACATAACTGTATTCATCCTTCAAGTCCTTTTTCATATGTTATCTCCTGGGATCATTCCCTGACCTCCTTAGGTAGGGTTCCTTTTCTGGGTTTCCATAGCATTTTGTTTATACATCTGTCCCCTCACAGTGCATTCTTTATATGTTTATATGGTGGTCTTTCCACCCTGACTATGAGCACCTTGGGGGCAGGACCACTGCTTCATTCACTTAGCACAATGTCAGCTACAGAGTAAGCCTCAAAAATGCTTGTTAAATGCCATTTTTCATGCAGTCTCCACACTGCCATGTACTCTTCTTTTTCTAACCTTCTTTTTCTCTGTATCAATAAGACATGCCTTTGGCTGCAGGTAATAGAGAGCCTGACTGCAGTGATTTAATAGTTAGTGATTTTTTTTTCTCACACGAAAAGGAGTTTGGGCCAGGTGTAGTGGCTCACGCCTGTCTGTAATCCCAGCACTTTGGGAGGCCGAGGCAGGTGGATCAGTGGAGGTCAGGAGTTCCAGACCAGCCTGGCCAACTTGGTGAAACCCCGTCTCTACTAAAAATACAAAAATTAGATGGGCGTGATGGTGGGTGCCTATAATCCCAGCTACTCAGGAGGCTGAGGCAGGAGAATCACTTGAACCCAGGAAGCTAAGGTTGCAGTGAGCTGAGATCACGTCACTGCATTCCAGCCTGGGCAACACAGCGAGACTCCATCTCCAAACAAAAAAAAAAAAGAAAAAAAGGAGTTTGGAGGCCAGGTGCAGTGGCTAATGCCATAAAAGCAATTTGGGAAGCCAAGGTGGGAGGATCACTTGAGTCCAGGAGTTGGAGGCTGCAGTGAGCTATGGTCGCACCACTGTACTCAAGCCTGGGAAACAGAGTGAGACATTGTCTCAAAAAAAAAAAAAACAAAAAACAAAAAACAGAAGTCTGGGCTAGGTGTGGTGGTTCATGCTTGTAATCCCAGCACTTTGGGAGGTCAAGGCAGTCGAATTACTTGAGGCCAGGAGTTTGAGACTAGCCTGGCCAACATGGCAAAACCCCATGTCTACTAAAAATACAAAAGTTAGTCAGGCATGGTGGCACATGCCTGTAATCCTAGCTACTTGGGAGGCTGAGGCACGAGAATTGCTTGAATCCAGAAGGCAGAGGTTACAGTGAGCCAAGATCTTGCCACTGCATTCCAGCCTTGGCTATAGAGCAAGACTCTGTCTCAAAAAATAAAAAGCAGTCTGGAGGTAAGAAACCTAGGACCGTCAGAGACCCAGTCTCCTCCTGTCTTTCTATCCTGTCCATTTTAATGTGCGGAACATAAGGTGGCTGCTGTGCCTCTGAGCATTGTGTACCTGTTCTGGGCAGGAAGAAGTAGAAAGGGTGAAGGGCCAACTCTGTCCCTTTTCATCAGGAAAGCACAGTTGTCCTAGAAGACTTCTGCTGACATCTCATTGGCCGGAACTATGTCACATGGCCACCCCTAGCTGGAAGGGAAGCTAAGAAGGGGGAAGGCAAAGGACAAAGTGGAGAAGTGTGGGTGTGAATGAGAAAATTCTTGGGCCTCACTCCAGACCTACTGAATCAGAAATGCTGGAGACGGGCCCTGGCAATCTGTGATACAACAAGCCCTCCAGGGGATTTTGATGCAGCTGACACTGGAGAATCATAGCAAAATATGAAGGCCAGTATTATGGTAGGAAAAAATCCTGGACTAGAATTCAAATCAATTTCTTGGTACAAGTTTTGTTATGGCTAGCCAAGAGACCTTAGTTTTCTGTCTATAAAATGGCAGTAATAATGGTTGCTCTAGGCTGGGTACAGTGGCTCATGCCTGTAATATCAGCACTTTGGGAGGCTGAGGCGGGTGGATCACAAGGTCAGAAGTTGGAGACCAGCCTGGCCAATATGGTGAAACCCTGTCTCTACTAAAAACTACAAAAAAATTAGCCAGGTGTAGTGGTACGCGCCTGTAGTCCTAGCTACCTGGGAGGCTGAGGCAGGAAAATCGCTGGAGCCCGGGAGGCGGAGGTTGCAGTGAGCTGAGATGGTGGCACTGCACTCCAGCCTGGGCGACAGAGCGAGACTCCGTCTCAAAAGAAAAAAAACAACAATAATGGTTGCTGTGACTTCATTCTCTGAATTGTTGTGAGGACCAGTTTAAACAATGCAGATGAAAACATGTTGAAACTGTAAGTCATTAGACAACTGTACTGATTTAAAATGGTAAAAGTTCTTATTGAATGAATGAAAGGTTGGATGGTACTAAGGAAGGAGGAGAAGTTTTATATGAGGTAAGCCTGGAGTTCAAGGACAAAAATGAAATGTGAGAGAGTGTAGTGGTGAATTTTACGTGTCAGTGGAGAACACTGATGAATAAGAGAAAAAATTTTCTAATTGGGACCGAGTGGTTTATTTTGCTTCTCTGTATTGTTCGTCAAAATTCCAAAAGAATGATAGTCTCTTGACACTGTTTCTGTGTTCAGAGATTATTGCATATAATTAATAAAAGGTGAAAAATGTCTATGTGCTGGCCTTTTAGAGTTTTGGTCTCTCACAAGATGTTTTCTTGGGTAATAATTATAGAGCAATCTTGCAATAGCCTTGTCACAGTTTATGTAGCTGACGTGTTGGGCAGAGTGCAAATGCCTGGGAAAAGCAAAGCTACCCGTAAAAGGTATGAAGGGTTTGTTCGAAAAGTTACAACAGTCAGGGACAAAAATAGAAATTGAAACCACAGACGTTCAGAATACACTGTTATCAAAAACAAATGTTTGCAGCAGCTCCACTGGTTGCTGCTACAGGTGGTTTCCATGAGAGGAAAGAGGACATAAACATACATGGTCTCAAAACAAACACTTTGGAGGATACTGAAATGGAGCATTTAGCAGAAAGGTTGGTAAGAAGATGTGAAACAAATGAAAGGGATTTAGCGTTCTGCCAATTGGAATAAAATTACTGAGATGTCATTGTCTGTGCACCAAGCAAGGCATCCATCCTTTATTGTATTAAAACTGCTCACTCAATTCCTTGTTCATTAGTTCCACAACAGCCACCCATATAACAGACATGGAGCAGTTTCCACCGGATGAACTTAGACAAGTCATCAGCTGCTAACGAGGCACCAGGGAAGTCCCAGTCATATCTACATTTGCCTTCAGATAACCTTTACGGGTTTGGAAATTGCCATGATGAAAATAGCAGAGTCGTACTGAGGTTGGGAGTTTGACCTGTCTATTCAGGTGAAAACCACAATGTCAAGAAGGAAATGTTGGCAGCTATGTGAAAGCACCAAAAACCAATGAGTTGCGCGTCTTCAATGGATGAAGTATACAGTATGTCAATTTTATCTCTATAAAGCTGCTACCAAAAAAAAGAAGGAAGTGTTTTTAAGGCAAAGATCTGGTGACACAGAGGCTATGCAGTAGCTAAGAGACTTTGTTTGTATATGTCTTGGTTAAGTTTGTCTGCACAAAATGTGAAGCCAAGGTTTACTCATTGATCGATCTGTTTAACATCTGGACTCGGACATGCAAGTGCTGTGATAAGAGAGTTTGTAGAAGTAAAATCACAAAACCACGTGATCCTTGGTGCTGGGGACAGAGAATATAATCTGCACATGAAAAGCTGATGAAATGTAAACATCCGAAACTGGGGGGGACCCAAAGCCAAGGTCAGTTCATACAAATAGGCCAGGCCAGGCATGGTGGCTCATGCCTATAATCCCAGCACTTTGGGAGGGCAAGGCGAGAGGATCACTTGAGCCCAGGAATTCGAGACCAGCCTGAGCAACATAGTGGGATCTCATCCCTACAAAAAGTAAAAAAAATAAAAATAACAGCCTGGCATGGTGGTATGCACCTGTAGTCCCAACTACTCAGGAGGCTGAGGTGGGAGGATCACTTGAGCCCAGGAGGTAGAGGCTGCAGTGAGCCATGAATGTGCCACTGCACTCCAGCCTAGGAAACAAAGCAAGACTGTCTCTAAAAAAAAAACAAAAAAAACAAAAAGCAACAACAAAAAAATTGGCCAATGCTAAGTCAGGGATTCAAAATATTCAACCACCTTTGGAACTGGACTTTCTGAGGGTGTTTTAGTTGTCAATTAGGCAAATGGAGTCTTATCTGTTTGTCCTCTTCCCCTTCCAAGAACCCATTGACCTCCTTCCTCCTCTTCAAGCCTTGAGTACCTAGTATGTAGGTAGCCAGGACAGCTGTAATTTGATATGTGAATGTGTTTCCTCCTTTACATCCTGGGAGATTGTTATGGTTACTGCTGCTCTCAAAGACAGGAATTGAAATGCAGCTTGGTTGGACTGGAGAGTCTCAGAGTGAGGATTCCTGAGGTCAAGTGCCAGCCCCATCACTCACAGGTTATGTGACCTGAGTAAGTCATTGGATACTTCTTGATCCCATCCCTTCTCAGGTACTCAGGCTTTGCTACCGCAATCACCCCCTCTTTCCCGCAGCCATTTTCAGCTTCTCTGCCATATCATTCTTACCAGCAATACCAGTAGTTGTAATTCCTCCCATAGTAAAAGCCCAAAGTAAAGACAAAACCTCCCTGTCTTCCCATTCACATCTAGTTCCACTTTGATCTTTTGCTTTCCTTTACAACAAAATTTCTAAGAAAATAATTGCTTAGTGTTATGGGCTGAATTGTGTGCCTCGCAAATTCATATGTTGAAGCCCTAATCTCTAGCACTTCAGAATGTGACTATACATGACTGGGCGCAGTGGCTCACGCCTGTAATCCCAGTACTTCGGGAGGCTGAGGCTGTCAGATCACCTGAGGTCAGGAGTTTGAGGCCAGCCTGGTCAATACGGTAAAACCCTGTCTCTACATGGTGGCGTGTGCCTGTAATCCCAGGTACTCAGGAGACTGAGGCAGGAGAATTGCTTGAACCCAGAAGGCGGAGGCTGCAGTGAGCTGAGATCATGCCACTGCACTCTAGCCTGAGCGACAGAGCAAGACTCCATCTCAAAAAAAAAAAAAAAAAAAAAAAAAAAAAAGAATGTGACTATGTGTGGAGATAGGGCTTTGAGACAGGTGATCAACAGGTCATTAGGGTGGCCCCTAATCCCGTATGACTAGTGTCCTTACGAGAAGAGGAGATTAGGATGCAGACAAACACAGGCAGAGCATGTGGGCACACAGGGAGAAGACAGCCATCCACAAGCCAAGGAGAGAGGCCTCAGCAGAAACCAGCCCTGACAACACATTGATTTTGGATTTCCAGCCTCCAGAACTATCAAGAAAATACCTTTCTGTTCTGTAAGATGCCCAATCTGCAGTTCTTAGTTATGGCAGCTCCAGAAGTAAATACATTTAGACCTTCTATGTCTGCTTCCTCACCTCCAGTCTCTCTTTCTTGTGATTTTCCTCCTTCTTTTTAACCTACTCCAGTCAGGACTCCATGGCCACCAACCACTCCTCACGAACTGCCTGTGCCGAAGTCACCACTGACCACCATCTGTTGTGCTGGACTCCTGCTGACTCCAGTAGGGCTGGCACCATGTCAGAAAGGCCGAAGAAGAGACCTGGAGACAACAAACGAGACATAGGGTTTGTTGGATGGATTTACAAACAGGGATGGTCCAATGGCGGTGAGCTGGACAGGAGCACCACCACCATTTGTAAAAAGCATGCAGTTTGTATGGCATTTTCACTTAGCAACCTCCACCTAGCAGCAACCTTCATTTAACCCCAAACAAAGAGCCTCTTTCCCCTGTACAACCCTCATTCCAAGAGGTGGCCCGGGGGTTCAGATGTCCTTCATGAATAATGAGTGAATTTCTGGGTTGGCCGCTTCCACGTTCCTCAGCTCGTAACTCCAAACACACATCTTCTTAGACTACAAGGTCATTCTCAGGGTATGTGTAAGTGAAGTTATTGCTATCAATACATCTGCTGTAGACCATCTTGCTGGATCTAGAAGCCACCTCACTGTTCTCATTGTATCTGGCTTCTCTGCAGGTGGTCACACTTTCCTTCCAAAGACAGTTTCAGTACTTGGATCAGGCTACCACGCTGTCTTATTTTTCAGTCACCCCATTGGCTGTCCCTTCTCACTCTTCTTGGCTGGATATCCCTTATCTTCTTTCTTCTAAATGTCAGAGCCCTGGGCCCAGCTTTCAGCCCTTTCCTCTGTCCATAATCTCTCCCTAGCTCCTTGATCCAGTCCTATGGCTATAAATATTAAAGCTGATAAGTTGCACATTTACATCACCACTCCCACCTCCTCTTTGAGCTCCAGACCCAAATATTCAATTGCCCTGGAACTTCCACCTGGATATAAAAAGCATTTCAAGCTCAGTTTGTGTCCCTCATCCTTTCTTTGTTTCTCCCCATTTTTTATTTTTTGAGATGGAATCTCACATTGTCGTCCAGACTGGAGTGTAGTGGCATGATCTTAGCTCACTGCAACCCCCGCCTCCCAGGTTCAAGTGATTCTCCTGCCTCAGCCTCCCGTGCAGCTGGGATTACAGGTGCATGCCACCCCGCCCGGGTAATTTTTGTATTTTTTAGTAGAGATGGGGTTTCACCACATTGGCCAGGCTGGTCTCGAACTCCTGACCTCAAGTGATCCGCCCACCTCAGCCTAACAAAGTGCTGTGATTACAGGCATGAGCCACTGCGCCTGGCCCCCATTCCCTTTAATAGTATCATTATTCACAGTGGGAGATCAGAGCCCCAAGCACCATCCTTGATTCTCTTTCACATTTCACATCAGTCCACTAAGCAGCCTTATTGTCTCTATCTTCAAAATAAATCTTCATCTCAGTCATTCATTTACCTCCCCCTCCACTGCTGCCATCCTGGTCCTAACCCCACCCTCCATCCTCTGAATCACTGCATCTTATTTCCTTGCCTTCCATCTACCCACTACGAGTGTTTCCTACACAGTAGCCAGGGGGATTCTTTTGAAATTATTGAATCCTTTCATTTCCCATCACATTTTGAATGAAATCTAGACTTTTCATTCTGGTTTGCATGTTCTCTCCTGACCCAGACCCTGCCCACCTCTCTGATCTGGTCTCCTTCTCCAGTCTCTTTCCCTCACTGCACTCTGGCCACACTGCTGGTCCTCTAAGCACCCCTGTGGCATGGTGGGACCTTCACACTCACTGTTCCTTCTGCTACTAGTCACTGATTAGAGCTTCACAGAGCTTGCTTGCCCCTTTCATCATGCAGGGCTTGGCTCAGAACTCACCTTCTGGAGAGGCCTTCCTTGACCCCCCAGCTTATATAGCACTTGCCCAAACGCTGGAAAACCCAGCACACTCAGGTTACTCTTATGACCTTTTAATAAGCTCTTACTATAGTGCCAAGCATTGTATTAAATGCTTACATGCATTATCTCATTAACCTCGGAACCACTGAAGGAGGCATTCTAATCATCCCCATTTTATGCAACAGGAAATGGAGGCTAAGAGAGGTCAAGCCTAAAGTCATTCAGCTTGCACTAAGGTCTGATTCTAGAATTAGGGCTCTTAACCATTAGATTCAGCTGATTCAGCTGCTTCTCACTTTAAATTCTGTTCTGAGTTATGGATTATATGGCTTCCAGGAGTTTAATTTACAGGACTGATTGGTTTCTATTGCACTTGTGTTTGAGCAGGTAAAGTAACTCAGGTGTATCAGTGTGTGCTAGGGAGGGACTTCTTTTCCAAACTATGGTTTTAAACATTCACATAATACAAAATGCAGGTTAGGTAGGCACAAATTCAAGCATAGGTCAAGACCACCTCTGTGGTTTCTACTTATAGACTTATTAAAGAAGATGAAGATATTTTGCTGTTGACTTTATGGTTTGAGGGGGCTCAAGTTCTCAGAAGTTATTAAAGCTTTTAAGCATTTTTCCTTTTATTTTCTTTTAAAATCCTATTTCCTTTTAATCTATTTGGGGTTCAAAAAAGGGAAATAGATAAATAAATAACATCCTATTTCCACATGGTGATTAGAGACAAAATACTTCAAATGAGAAGCACTATAGTTTGAACGTGTTCCCCAAAGTTCATGTGTTAAAAACTAAATCCCCAATGCAACAGTGTTGACAGGTGGACCTTTAAGAGGTGATTAGGTCATGAGGGCTCTGCCTCATAAATGGATTAATGCTGTTATCCCAGGAGTGGGTTAGTTATCACAGGAGTGGATGCCTGATAAAAAGGATGAGTTTGACCCCCTTCCTCTCATGTGTGTGCACGTTTTCTTGCCTTTCTGTGGGTCTGTCGACCTTGGATTTGGCAGACTCCACAACTGTAAGAAATAAATCTCTGTTCTTTATGAGTTACCCATTCTCAGGTATTCTGTTATAGCAACACAAAATGAACTAGGACAAGAAGGGTCTATGTGCTGGTAAGAACACACACTTACCAAAGACCTACATGTGCCAGGCACCTTTCTGCCTTTATTGTCTCTCCGAGCTGGTATTATTGTCCCTCTTTTACAGGTGAGGAAACTGAGGCACTTAGAAGATAAGCAACTGTCCCCATTCCAGAGCAGGAACTCCATAATTATCTGTTCTTTCCTTCCTTACCAGACAGCACAGAGTGTATTTATCTCCAGGATGCAACAGAATTGATTACCTGAGGCCCATTCTGTGAGACCTGTTCTCAGGGCTCTACAATTTAGTTCCAGGTTATAATAATAAACACAAAAAGTGACTTCTCAGAGATCTGTGGGCCTTTCTGGAAGTGTTGGAAAAGCCAAAAAGACAGCAAAACAATTCAAAGTTCTACGGCTCTTCAGCTTATAAACCTATGGGTCTGGTCAGGTCACCATCAGATACCAGATCATGCCAAATCCTCAGTTACACTGTGTAGCCTGAGAACAGCACTGCTCTTAAGCACAGCAAAGACTCTTCTACCTCAGGCCTTTGCACTTGCTCTTCCTGCTCCTGGACCACTCTTCTATGCCCTTTGGTTCTCAATGCTCAAATGCCACCTCCTCAGAGAGGCCCTCCTGACCACACTACCTCCCCACCAACTTCTCTCTAACCCTTTACCCAGCTTATCTTTCTTCACAGCACCCACTAAATTATATATTTACTTGTTTATTGTATCTCCTCTACTAGATGGAAGGTTCTTGAGGGCCAAGACTTTTCTGTTTTGTTCACTGCTGTATCCCTGGTGCCTGGCATAGAGTAAGTGCTCATTAAATAACTGTTAAATAGGTCAGGTGTGGTGGTTCATGCCTGTAATCCCAGCACTTTGGGAGGCTGAGGCGGGCGGATCATGAGGTCAAGAGATCAAGACCATCCTGGCCAACATGGTGAAACCCTGTCTCTACTAAAAACACGAAAATTAGCTGGGCTTGGTGGCACACGCCTGTAGTCCCAGCTACTTGGGAGGCTGAGGCAGGAGAATCTCTTGAACCCGGGGGGCGGAGGTTGTAATGAGTGGAGATCACGCCACTGCACTCCAGCCTGGCGACGAAGCGAGATTCCATCTCAAACAAAAAACAAAACAAAAAAATTCATCTTGCAAAATGTAATGGATATTTAAGAGAAATAAATGCCTACTCCTATCAAAGAGGAATAAAGCAGGAAAAGAGGCCCCGAAAGGATACTATAGAAATAAAAAACCTTGCCTTGGATGATCAAAACGTTTAGGCCTGGCTTTGCCAAAGCCATGAGAAACATGGACATTTAAAAGCATAAATTCATCTTGCAAAATGAAATGGATATTTAAGGTAGTTCATTCATGCAAAAAGAAAAAAAAAAGAATCCAATAAACGAGTTTTCCTTAAATAGGTAGATTATTTAGGCAGTGTGTGGCTTATGTAAGTAGTAACCATATCATCTGCATCCTTTTGAGAAGAGCAGAAAGGCACTTGCACTCATGCTGTCACCCTAACAAAGCAATTCATGATTACAGACCCACCTCAGGTTGCCTCTGGCATATGCGGACTGTTGGGCAGTGCCCAGAAGTATCAGTGTGAGTGAAGAAGTCGCTTTGGCAGCGGGAGTTACAAAAGCCCTTTGCTCACACACTTCAACTAATCTCTGACAACCGCCCCAAGAACGAGTCACATCTGCCCCACACAGTGCGCCTCTTCAAGCTTCATGGCTCCTTGGAGCTAGGGTGGTGTATGAAGGGCCATTCTGTATCATGTCTCTAGACCATATCCAGTAAGGGATGACCTTGCTTTCTGCTCAAAGGTTTTTTTTTTGTTTTTTTTTTTCTTGAGATGGAGTTTCCGTCTTGTTGCCCAGGCTGGAGTGCAATGGTGCGATCTCGGCTCATGCAACCTCCGCCTCCCCGGTTCAAGCGATTCTCCTGCCTCAGCTTCCCGAGTAGCTGGGATTACAGGAATGCACCACCATGACCAGCTAATTTTGTATTTTTAGTAGAGACGGGGTTTCTCCATGTTGGTCAGGCTGGTCTTGAACTCCCGACCTCAGGTGATCCACCTGCCTCGGCCTCCCAAAGTGCTGGGATTACAGGCGTAAGCCACCGTGCCCAGCCTCTGCTCTAAGTTTTAACATAAATAATTGGGTTACCTGTACATTCAGCCAGAAACTAAGAAGCCTTGAAAGTACTTTCCAGAAACTAGAGAAAATACTCTAGGCCTGAAGCGATCATTAGTTACAATCCAGCGCAGGCTATCCCACCTCTTGGGGACTCCCCCCTAGCACTGGTTACTGAATGAAGGGGGCCCGCCTCCTTTTTCCTTTCTGCTGCCTCAGCCAGCACACAGACCCTTTTTATTTTAAGGATTTTATTTCTAATCACCACGTGGAAATAGGGTTAAACAAAAAGACAAACATACAAAAGTCACAAAGGTTGCAGGGTCTTGAAAAGCTATTACACTTATGGCCCTGGAATAATTCTTGACTCCTTTCTGAGATGGTAACTGGCAGCCCAGTTAAACGCCTGTTTTCTGTTTTTATTTCAGAAAGCAGAAATCACAGAATCTCTTGCTTCTTTGTTCCAGGCTTTCTGGAGACCCAGTCAGATCCTTTCTTCCCTTAAGACAATAGATGTCACTGGAATGCTAAGTGATTGTTTATCTAAAATGCAATTTAAAAAAATTCTTGTCTTTCCCAGACACTTGGCAACATGCTGTGTCCATGGTAGAAGCCCAGCAGATCCTAACTGTTGATGGGTAGATAGAAAACGACCTAAGTGGACTTCACTTTGCCATTCTCCTCAGTACAGACAGAACAACTTGTTGCTTTGTGTTCTGAGGCTGCCCCAAGTAGCCATCCTATGGGTTGGTAGGAAACAACATTCTTTAGCAGCCTCGATGCAACTGGCAGGGTTATGGCCACAGCCTGCTTTCATAAGCAGGAGGCAGAGGCATTAGTTGCATTGTATCTGTTTGTTGGTGTGAATGTGGTCCTGCACTGTGAGTCTTCCAAACAAAACTTGAGGTTGAATCCCTTTTGTTAGGGTAGATAAGGGAGCGTATTGAGCTCCATGGAAAACAGACAGGAGAACTCTGACAGATGGGGAAAGGGTCACCCCCACAGCAGGGGGTCAGCCTGGAAGTGGGTACTATAGCAACACGCTAAGAATTATTCTGTGAATTAAAGGATGGTTGGATTCACTGGATCTGCCCAGGCAGGGAACCTGGCTGGGTCTTTGTCAGTGAACAGATGAAAAGCTTGCTTGCATTTGTGTAATTTGACAGTTTGGTTGTGTTCAGACAGCTCTACGCTATGGAGATGACATTACTCCTGAGTTTCACTGCATGCATTTATGTAAACCAGTGGCATACCAGGAAGGGAGGCAGTGGGAGTGATCCACCCCAGATACAGGCAGTACACAGTAAATTTGTGTGTCTGCAAAGAATTTTAAAATAAAATTGACTAAAAGTCAGTTTGCTTTTTATTATTATGCTCCAACAGTTCCAAACAATGTCGTGGTAAAGTACTCCTCCCTCCTAGGGACAGACTTCACCTATGCTGCCCTGAGGCACGCCCTCCTTGGTGCACCACTGGGAATAAACAAGCACCAGGTGGGAAGATTATAAATCAGCAAGAGAGTAAACAGAAAGCAAGTGACTCCTGAGACAAGATGTTTTCATCACAAACACTATTTGGTAGAGTTTAGAGTCACTGATCTGTGATGGGCATTTCTGTTAGCTTTGTGTTTTGGTTATCGCTGCTTTAAAAACTACCCCAACATTTAGTGCCTTAAAACAATGATCATTTATTTGTTCACAATGCCGTCATTTTGGCAGTGCTCCGTGGGGATGGCTTATCTCTCCTCTGTTCAGTATGGTGTCTGCTGGAGCTGGAACTTCCTAAGGGCTTTTCCACTCATGTGTCTGGTAGCTCAGCTGGGATGAGCTGAAGAGCTAGAGCTGGCCAGGCATCTCTTTCTTTTCACATAGCCTCTCCCTGTGGCTAGCAGGGTGGTCTCTCCTCATGGGTGGCTGGCATTTTCCAGAGTACAAAGCAGAAGCTGTGGGGTTTGCTTAATGCTTTTGCTTAATGACGAGGCTTGGAAGTCCTAGAACATTCTTTCTGCCACATTCTATTGGTCAGAGCAATCACAGGGTCAGCCCAGATTCAAAGGGAAGAAAAATACACCCACTTCATGATGGAGATACTGTTGTGGTCATCTTTGGAAAAATGATCTACTTCATATTGAATTTTTCTATCATAACAAGATGATGATTTCACATGTTGCTTTAACCATGATAAACCTTATCAAACTGGAAAAAGGTAGGCCTTTTTCTTTTTAAAAATTAGCCCCTTGTAATTGTCATCATACCTTGGTTCTGAATGTGGAGATGGCCTCTTCAATGGATTCCTAGGGAGAAACAAGAGATCATGGGGCTCCTACCATAGCATGTGGGAGAAAATATTAGAACAAGCCTGATTTGCAAAAACCTAAAATCCAAAGCATGTTCAAGTCTGTGAGACTATCTAGAACACAGTTTTAGCTCTTTCTCCCAAGATAAGGTCCAATGACCATCATATTTTGATCATTACTCCTTGGTGTCTGACAACTCCCTGCACTGCAATTTACATCCTTTAAAACCAGCATTGTTGGAAATGGACTGACTACATTGTGAGGGTCAGAATGTGAGTGTCTTTCAGATACTGTAATGTGTGATAGGCATCCCTCCAGGGTTGCTATACAGCTCACCCCAGGTCAAAGAACTACATCCCAGTCCAAACAGTATCCACATGAGAGCTGATAGGCATCAACGTTACTCACCTGCCTTTGCCAGACAGTTAATCCACCTATATGTGGGACAGAGCCTTGGTCTGGAAAACACTTTCAAGCCCACTGTCTCACTCTCTTGTCACTATAAATAACCTGGTGAGTTGGCAGTCCCGGCGTGAATGCCCACAATTTGCAGGTATGCAAACAGAACAGAGGGGCTAAGTTCCGTGGGTCACATGAGAGCTAGGCTGCAGCGCCTGGGGAGGCGGCCGTTCCCGCCCGGTGCGCTTGTTGTCCGCTGGAGCAGAGGCCCCCGAGCCTGCTGACCTCTCTGCCTTCAGGCCTGGTCTCGCAGTCCCTTGTGCCTCGCCTATAGGCAGGCGGAATCCAGAGCGTGCAGCAAGCCCGGCCGGCTCTCGGTGGCGGTTTCTACAGCAGGTGGGGCCTGGCTCCGTGATTGAGCGGCCTCTACCCCTCTATCTGGGGCCCAGCAGCGGCCCCCTCCCAGCACCCTGGCTACACGTCTAACCCTAGGCTGACCAGGTGGGGCTCTCGGAGGCGTTAGCCCCAGCCCTCCCAGGAGTCTTAATGTTCCTCTCACAGGAAAAAACGTTCTGCGCCCTTTGTGCCCCAAACCCTCGACCCTTCACTCGGCGAGAGGGGTCGCTGAGGGAGAGATCCACCTCTGCCCTTCCCGTTGCCCGCCGGTTCTTCCTCGCCCGCCTCTTACGCACCCCGCTCCCGCCGGCTCCTGGAAAGCCGGCCCCGGCCCCAGCGCTTCCCTCCCCGGCCTAGCCCCTCTCTCCCACCCTTCCGCTCGCCCAGGCCTTCACGCTCAGCTCCCGGTTTTTGTTGCCCGGGCTTGTTTCGGAGCTGAGCGCGCCGCCGGCCGGGCGCCAGGTCACGTGCGTTGGTGACAACCTCTCGCAGGGCGGCCCCGGGGCCCCCGCACCGCCGATTGGTGGGGCCCGGCCTGGCGCGGCCCGGGGCGGGGCAGCGGGGCCCGACGGCGAGCGGAGCGGCCGATCAGCTGTTGCGAGCGCTGCACAACAACAAAAGGACTTGGACTGGCCGGCCTGGGCGCAGCGACCCGAGGGCTGGAGCCGGCCCCGCGCCTGCCGTCTGGGTACCTGAACGAGGTGCAGCGCAGCCCGGCCCCACCGCAGCTACCTCAGCAGTCCCGCCCCGCCCGCGTCCTTCCCCGCCGAGCCGGCGGCCGCTCCCTTCCCCGCGCAGCCCCGCACGGCCCGGGCCCACGTAAGTGCCGGGGGGGGGCGGGCGGGCGTCCGTCCAGGGCCGCCTCGCTGCCGGTTGGGGCCGCAGCGCTGCCCGCTCCTGAGCCCGGCGGGGCCGGCCGCGCGCCCTGCCTTCGGGGCGCCGGTTGCGCGTTCACCGAGCCCCCTCGCTGCCTCCCCTCGCCGCCGCCGGGCCCGGCCGCCCACCCAGTGGGTCGGTCCTCGGCGGCCCCCGGGGCCCAGGGCGCGGACAGAGGCTGACAGAGGCGGCGGCGGCGCGGACAAGGGCCCGGCCTGGCCCCGGCGCTGGGCGGCGGTTGGGAGTTTGGTCTCTGCCTCCTCCCCCGAGCGTGGCTTGTTTTCTTGGCCGCGGCGGGACCTCCTCCTCTCACCCCTCCTCACTCCCCTCCACTCCTCCTCCTCCGCCTGCTCTCGGCCGTTGGATGGGGCCGCCCCTTCGGGACTCGGCGTCGGGGCTCCCGCGGCCACCCCCGGGACGCATCTCCGAAGACAGCGGCGCTTGGGCTTGTGGCCCGGCGCTCTGTCCCCGCCCTGCGATCCCGTCCCCTGCGCCTGCCCTCCGAGTTCCGGAGGCCCTGCGGCTATGGGGAACCTGCTCCGTGACCCGGCCACCGGCCCCCGCCTGTCCGCGGCCTGTCCCTTGCTTGACCTGGCTTGAACTCAGTCTTCGCTACCTGACTTTGCACCTGTGGAAAGAGCGCTCTCCTTGGCCCTTAACATTTAGATCCTTTGGATCGCTCACGCTTACTGAGCGCTGAGTATGTGCCATATACTATGCTGGGGGCTTTGCTTTATCGCCCCAGTTGATTCTCATAATAACCTTATATGAAATAGGCCCGGCTATCTTACACATAGGAAACCCGAGGCACAGAGAGATTAAGTTGCTCAAGGCCACACAGCCAATTAATAAAAGGAAATGGTGTTTGTATTTCAAAGTGGCAGCTGAATTTTACCTGGAGAGTCTGTTTTGCTTGTATTTTCTGATTATATCTGCTCAGTAGGTTAATTCCAATACAGAGTGGATTAAGGAAGAGCCTCTTTACAACTGTGACTCCCAAGGACTTGGGCATCTATTGCTAAAAAAGCCTTTTCTCAATGCACAATAGTTTTGGGAAAAGGGGGAACAATGTGACCCTTGGGGTCACTGAACAGAAGTCATAATGAGTTCCCCCACGATACTGAAATCACCAGCCTGGTAATTGAAATACATTTTCATTTGCAGATGTGAAAAGCACTGGGAAGCTTTTAAGTCGCAATCAGTGTAATTCTGAACTGGCAGCATAATTTTAAAAGGCCCCTGCCTGGAACCAGGACCTTACTAATTTCTGTGACCAAGGTCTTGTTTTCTCATCCTATCTTTTGTTCTTTCCTGCCATTGCTTCCTCTGATGTCTGCTTTCAAAATTCAAGATTATCAGGCTATGAATTACCACTTACTCTTGTCTTTGTCCACTGTCTTTCAGCCTTAGGGGCAGACAGGGGTGGATCCCTGGGGGAATAACCTCCCTTGCACACTAGTTGAACAGTCTTCACATAAGTGGAACAAGCAAAGACAACTTTTTTGGCTTGGTTTTTTCTGCAGTTCAAAATCCATTTTAAATTACTTGAATCTAGTCTTCATATAAGTGGAACAAGCAGAGATAACTTTCTTGGCTTGGTTTTTCTCCAGTTCAAAACCCATTTTAAATTACTAGAATCTGCACGTTTTTAAAGTAGTGGAAGAGGGTGGGATAAAAAGAAGGATAATTCTGAAGCTGCTTTTCAATGACGGTACGTTTAGCCACCTGATTTCCTGAAACTGTGAAGGAGCCACAACTGTACACAGATTTAGAAGTTAGATCATCAAACTTGCGGGTTTTTTTTTTTTTTTTAATATTTTTTGGAGCCGCCTACTGGCAGCTGAAACTAACTGAAAAGGGCTGTTTTCTGAAGTTCGTAGACCCATAGTTGAGACTGGGAGCCTAAAAGAGCATGTATAGGGAAAACAAGGAATTGGAATCAGATGGATTTTTGCCCTAATGCTGACTCCACCCCAACCAACTCTGTCACTTTTGAACAAGTTAGTTAATTCCTCAGCCTCGGTTTCCTCATCAGTAAAATGGGACAAATAAGTACTTCAAGGCCCCGTTACATACAATAAGCATTCTGTAAATTGTAGCTCTAATTATTAAGTAGACATTTTATGGATAAAGAAACTCAAATGCAGCGATGCTAAATGACTTGTTGACAGTCTCACAACTGGCTTTGAATGAACCGAGGTCTGCTATTCTAAGTAGTATACACTTAATCCTTACACTGGCACTGTGAAGTAGGTATTATAACTATCATTCCCATGTTAAGGATGAGAAAACAGAGACACCAAGATGTTAGTAAATATCCTGAATTCACATAGGTTGCAAGTAGCAGAGCCAAGATTTCAAACTCCAGGGCCTGTCTTTTTTTTTTTTTTTTTTTTTTTTGAGACAGGGTCTTACTCTGTTGACCAGGCTGGAGTGTAGTGGTGGGATCACAACTCACTGCAGCTTCAAACTCATGGGCTCAAGCGATCCTCCTACCTCAGCCTCCCTGGTAGCTGGGACTACATGCACATACCACCACACCCAGCTAATTTATTTTTTGTAGAGATGGGGTCTTGCTTTGTTGCCCAGGCTGGTCTTGAACTCCTGGCTTAAAGTGATCCTCCTGCCTTGGCATCCCAAAGCACTGGGATTATAGACATGAGCCACTGCGCCCAGCCTCAGAGCCAGTCTTTAAGTACCACAATATACTGCCTCTTGGTGGGCTGTCTTAAAAGTGACAAAATAAATTATGCTAACAAGATCTTCCAAATTAGCAGTTCCTTTTCTAAGTGGTCAAACTAGAATGCTCTTCCCCGTGAGTATTAGACTCAGTCAGCCACCTTTCTCTGCCTACAAAGCATCTCTACTCATGTAATAATATGAAAACCATTGATGATAAAATGTTAAGTAACAGTGAGATACAAAACAGTGCATTCACAAGACTATAACTATGATAAAAAGAAGCCTTATGTGTAGAAGAAAAAAAAAAACAGAAGAAAAGGCACCAATGTGTTAAGTGGTGGGAACAAGGCAATGGAATAATACTTATTTTTCTTATTTTCTAGACTTTTTATAATGTGGTTTTGTTCAGTTTATAATTGAAAAGACATAATTTATTTTTTAAAGGGAGGGATGGAGGTCTTTTGAGCCAAGCAGAACAAGGACAAAGCTGCCTTCTTGAAATGCTAGGGCCCAGACACTTTGTTTCTTTTCTGTATTGAGGGGTTCTTTTCTCTTGTCGGGGAAACTGCTGGACTGACGCTGGTTAAAGCTGTTCAAAGAACAACAGCGCTACTTCACCTAACCTTCTTTGCTTCACCTCTTTGCTGAATTCCAGAACTGTATTTGTAAGTTTGTCCTCTTAGGACACATGCTTTCTCTGGAATTTTTATTTTCGTTCTATGATTGCCCTAGCATTGTGAATATTAGTGGTGATCTGGGGAGGAGAGGAGTCTAAAGCTCTACTTTTCCATTTACCTCCATGTAGAACCAGCCCAGTTGAGAGCCTCCATCCCTGGGCAGGAGCCAAGGTCAACAGTAGCAGTGACTGGGCAGGGACAGTCTCTGGGTCATCAGTAGGAGGGTAGGCCTTTAAGACTTTTTCTAGAACAGTCCTGTTCAACAGAAATAGATAATGTGAGCCACATGTATGTTTGAATTTTCTAGTAGCCATATTTAAAAAGGAAAAAGAAACTGGTGAAGTTAATTTTATTAATGTATTTAATATACTAAAATTATTTTTTCAACATGTAATCAATATAAAAACTGTTTTGCATTTTGGGGGGTACTAAGTCTTTGAAATACACTCTAGTGTGTACTTTACATATACAGCACATCTCAATTCAGATACAAAGTTTTCATTTGAAGTACTTGATCTATATTTAGACTTCGTAAAATTTATAGGTGAAAAAGTAGATTCATACCCTAACTGTTCCAAACATACTTGAAAGTTTTCAAAAAACTAAATTATCAGCTTTTAAGTTTAACTGGATTAAACTTAGTAAATGGATTAAATAGTAAAATGAAAAATGCAGTTTCTCGATGATACTAGTCACATTTCAAGTGTTCATGTGCACAGTGTGCCTGGTGGCTACCTCAGTGGACAGTTTTAGCAATGGGGGGAGGGTCTCTCCAATAGCTCCTTGCCTTTTGTGACACCTGCAGAAAGCAGGGCCAAAGGAATTTGGCTTTGCTAGTTAAACCAGCCTCACTTTTTTGTGCTAGAAGTTTGTGGGGAAAGAGAGTGACGAGGTGATTCAGCGCAGTCTCCCCATTTTCCCAACAGTGAGACTGAAGCTCAGAAGGGCCAATTTAGCTCCAGCCACCTGTAGTAGAGCCACAGCCAGAACTGCTGCTGTGGATGGCCAGGCCCCTTTAACCCTCCCCAGGAACTCCATTCTGTGTTCTTCCCACGGGTGTCAGCAGATGTGCCATGTAAACACCAGCAGTGGCTTGAGTGAGATGAAGGATGAGCTCCTCCCTCACTTGGCTGGGCTTCTGAGCACTCTGTCGCCCAAGGTTGGTTGTCCTTGCAGAGATATGGGACATCTGGAGGCAGCCTCTGACTTTGGGAAACCAAAAGAGCACTGACTTGTACTGCTCCCTAGAAAGCTCCTCCAGAGAAGCCTTTCCTGTATCTTACTTGCTACTTGCATATATTCCAGGCAGAAGCTGCCTTCCTGGGTTTGGACCTGTGGCCAGAGGGGGCAATTTGCATGTGGGAACCCAGCAGCTGTCACAACTGCAGTGGCCCCAGCAATGTTTTTTGGCCTTACAGCTGCCAGTTATCTGACCTGGGCCCCAGTGCCTTACTCTCATGCAGCATCACAGGTTGGGGACAAGGCATTCGTTCAGGACAAGCAAAGGTTCCCCTGTGTGGTTCTCCCCTCCCAGTGGCTTTAGCTGATTCAGGGCTAGAGTCCAGCACCATGCTCTGCAGAATTGGGCTTATTCTCTCAACTGGTTCAGCAGACACAGAATTGTACGTGGGGCCAATATCTGCCTCCACAATTTAAAATAAATGGAGGAAGGATTTTGAAAATATGTTTTTCCCTCTAAGCATGTATCCTCAAAAATCTTTATTTACATCAGACCTTATGATAACTTATTTTGGAATATAACTATCACACCACAGCAGGTCAAACAAACTACACTTTTCTTCTGATTGTTCTTACATAGAGCATAAAGCTGACTTTGAATTCTGCTACAGCTCCAGCCTTCATGATTTGGCCGTGCTGCTTTCCAGAAGGTTTCAGGAAGACTGGTTATGCAAGTGACACTTCCTGTTTACCTATTTTTAATAATTAGTGGCTGAAGAAGATGAATTGTGACCACAAAGTGTTCTAATGTTATTTATTTGAAATGTTTAACTTGTGTAGTAGTGTGCCAAACAACTGTAGCAGTTCAGTTTACACACAAGGAACTGAACCAGGAATCTCATTAGCTACAGATCCCAACTACTTTTACAGCTAAAGATTATTTTGAAAGTGAACTGTCAGGAGCCTGAAGTTGTAGATTCAAGGCTGATGCTTGTGATAAAAAGAGGTGGTGATTAGTGAGGTGCATTTCTTCAGCCCTGGATGATCTCATACATATATATAACTTTTTTTTGAGACAAGGTCTCGCTGTGTCACTCACACTGGAGTACAGTGGCACAATCATAGCTTACTGCATCCTTGAACCTGGACTCAAGAGATCCTCCCACGTCAGCCTCCCAAGTAGCTAGGACTACAGGTGCACACCACTGTACCTGGCTAATTTTTTAAAATTTTTTTGTAGAAACAGGTTATTTTGTTGCCTAGGCTGGTCTCCAACTCCTAGGCTCAAGCATTCCTGTGGCCTCAGCCTCCCAAAATGCTAGGATTGCAGACATGAGCCTCCACACCTAGCCTCATCCATTCCTATGCTTTTTATCACTGTCTTTGTGTCATCAGCTCCCAAATCTATGCCCCTAGCTGAGACCACACTCCTGAGCTCCAAAGCTCTATATCCTGCTGCCTGCTGGACATCTCCAACTGCATTATTTTGCATATCCCCCCAATTTACCATATTCGAAATGCCTAACCTGTACTTTCTGCAGGATTCATTCCTGTTTCCCTAAATGGTTCCACCATCCTCTCAGTTGGCCAAGCCAGAAACCTGGGTCTTTGACTTTTCCCTTCCCCTTTTCCAGGCTTACAAGGCCCTGCAGGACCTGGTTCCTGCTCAGCTCCCCTAGCCTGCTATTGTGACCCTCCCTCTGGACCTTGAGCGGTACTGAAGGTGCCACATTCTCACTCATCCACAGGCTTCCATAGTGTTCCTTTGCCCCCTTCCTCCATTACTGACCTCAGCCACTCAAGAGTAAAGTCATTGCAGGAGTCCACCCAGGTAGCCTGGAGAACACCAAATACTTCTTCCATGGCATTCATCACACTGGATTGTTAAACTTGTGGGAGGGCCCTGTTCACAGCCATCTCCCCTGTGCCCAGCACTGCACCTGATGCATAACAGGTGCTCAGTAAATACATGTAGAATAATAGTTGACCTGGACTGAGGACTTTATTCGAAGTATTTTGCTAAGTCCATTGCCTTTAACAAGAGTAGGATCAGGGAGACTGTCTAGTAGACAGTTTTGGCAAAGTCTCAGAGACAACAGTTTGGCTTAAACTAGGATGAGAGTGGTGGATGGAAGCAGGCAGATTCGAGCTGCCTGTGCTCCTGGGGTTGACGGGACTTGGTGGTTGGGATGAGGGGTGAGTAGGAGGGAGCAAAAGGCATGCGGGTGCGGCAGCTCACGCCTGTAATCCTAGCACTTTGGGAGGCTGAGGTGGGCGGATCATGAGGTCAGGAGATCGAGACCATCCTGGCTAACATGGTGAAACCCTGTCTCCACTAAATAAAAAAAAAAGAAATTAGCCGGATGTGGTGGTGGGCGCCTGTAGTCCCAGCTACTTGGGAGGCTGAGGCAGGAGAATGGCGTGAACCCGGGAGGCAGAGCTTGGAATGAGCCAAGATCGCCTCACTGCATGCACTCCAGCCTGGGCAACAGACAAAGACTCCGTCTCAAAAAAAAAAAAGCGTGAAGGGTGACTGCTAGGGTGTTGGCCTGAATAACTGCCAGCTGCTGCTGCTTCCTGAGAAAGGGATGAAGGGCAGTGTATATGAATAAGTTTGTGGGGGAAAAAAACCTATCTTTGGTATGTGTTTGGTTTGATACGCCCATCAGGTAGCCAGGTAGAAATGGATAAATATTCCAAGATCAAGCAAGCCTGGAGTTCTTCATTTAGAACTCACCAGAACTCCCTAAGGTAGGAGCTGTTGCCAGCTGAAGTCACATAACTTCCTAACTCACACAGCAAGTGAGCAGCTAGCCAGGGTTTGAATGCAGGTGGCTGACCCAGCACCCACCTGCTGAGCTGCTACACAGGAAGGGTGTTTCCAGTTCTAGGTTTGGCCAAGCTCAGTTTCCTACAGTGTAAATTTCTTCATGCCAGCTGTAGGAATTGTTTAGAAGGTCAAAGTATGCTTGCTGGGCTTACAGATTTTAAGTGTAATCAGGTGTGCTTACAGTTATAGACAAGAAGTACAGAGTAGAAGAGAAAATGAGCCAGAGGAGGATGAGGGCCTGGCATAATGGTGGTCACCAGGCACTGTTGCTGGGACTTCTGAGCAGTTGAATAACATATAGCAAGACTGTTACTATCTAGAATTTGCTCATCTGCTTGCAGAAAAGTTTGAAGGATATTATTCAAATTCACCTTATTATAAAAGCATAAATATGAAAAAGAACCAACTCTTTCCCTTTTATTTCACATTTTAAGATATTTATAGGTTGAATTTGAGTAAGAGTATTTACAAAACATTATGTTGCATTTCTTGTGTTTGACTCCTGCAGAAAGGGAATAGCTGTAGAATGTAGGCCAAGGCATATGCTTTCTTCTAAGGGTATGTGTGTATGTGTATGTACTTATGTATATATGTGCATGCTGATTTGAAATAACTTCCTTTTTCTGTTTTATTTTAGGTACAATGACTCTTCTTGCTTTTCACCTAAGTTGAATAAGCACCCTGTGCACTTTAATCTCCTGTCGGTACCATTGGGCCAACTAAAGACAAGGTTTTGAAATCTCAGCTATAAAAGACATCCAGCCAAACTCTCAGTCTTGCCTTAACAATGTTCCAGAGGCTGAATAAAATGTTTGTGGGTGAAGTCAGTTCTTCCTCCAACCAAGAACCAGAATTCAATGAGAAAGAAGATGATGAATGGATTCTTGTTGACTTCATAGGTAAGGTACACTTGGTTACTTGGTGGTTCATCTTCACAGTAAAAATGGAAACTTGCATCTCAGTTTTTGCATAAGGAAACCAATAACTGAGGGGTTTTCAGCCTTAAAAGTAAGCAGGAGTTTGTCTTTAAAAAATTGCAGGAAACCATCTGTGCTAGATAATGTCAGTGAAATTGACTGACATCAGACTTTTTAGTTTTGCAACTCTCACAGATTGATTAGATCAAGGGCACTTCATTAGAAGCCCCTTTTATTAGACAAGTAGTAACCAATATGTCTCATTACATAGTTATCCAGCAGAATAGAAACAGTCTTAAAATCACTCCTGCAAAGCCAACATAAATCTATCCCATATAGTGACACACACACACACACACACACACAGAATTTCTGTGCTCAGAAATAAATTTATAGTCATATAGATGAATATAAATGGTTTTCTGAACTAAATAAAAGAAGATACGTGAGCATCAGCTAATAGTATCATCTCTTCTTTTTCTGTGCTGTGAATTTGATGGGTGACTTTATAATGACTGCCCAATGTGATAATCATCCTCCTGTGGGACTCTTCAACAACACATGTGGACTGCAATGTGGACTACGATCTAGATACTTGCACTGGTTTCTCAGCAGAAGAAGAAGAAGAAGAGGAGGACATCAGTGAAGAGTCACCTACTGAGCACCCTTCAGTCTTTTCCTGTTTACCGGCATCTCTTGAGTGCTTGGCTGATACAAGTGATTCCTGCTTTCTCCAGTTTGAGTCATGTCCAATGGAGGAGAGCTGGTTTATCACCCCACCCCCATGTTTTACTGCAGGTGGATTAACCACTATCAAGGTGGAAACAAGTCCTATGGAAAACCTTCTCATTGAACATCCCAGCATGTCTGTCTATGCTGTGCATAACTCCTGCCCTGGTCTCAGTGAGGCCACCCGTGGGACTGATGAATTACATAGCCCAAGTAGTCCCAGGTACGTTACAAGTATTTAACTCTCTGTAGGCAGTCCACTGAGCATGCATTTTGTCTCTACTGTAATTCAAAGCTAAGTTATTAGAAGATGCAAAACTAATTTTGTTAGAGATTTATGAAAGCATGTGCATAGTACACAAGATGGTCCGTAAGATAACTTGTTGACCAGTCACAGTGTCTCACACCTGTAATCCCAGCACTTTGGGAGGCCAAGGCAGGCAGATCACTTAAGCTCAGGAGTTCAAGACCACCCTGGGCAACATGGTGAAACCCCGTCTGTACAAAAAATAACAAAAAATTAGCCAGGTGTGGTGGTGCACACCTGTAGTCCCAGCTACTCAGGAGGCTGAGGTGGGAGGATGGCTTGAACCAGGAGGCAGAGGTTGCATTGAGTCAAGATTGTGCCACTGCACATCAGCCTGGGTGACAGAGCAAGACTCTGTCTCAAAAACAAAAACTTGTTCATTTTAGATTTTTTTAAGAAAGTTAGATGTAGCATGGCCCCAGTTATATAATAGCATTCTCATTTACAAAATTCTGCTACTGATTAGAAATAAGACTGGCATTTCTGTTAAGTATCTTAGAACATAACTCTGACTTTATAGACTGGATTATTTAGGGTATCAAATTCAACTAGAATATCATGTCTTAAAATTTATTTTCTTCCAAGTATTTCTAGCTACATCTCATCAAATGATGTAACCTTGAAAACCTTGTCTGAGAATTTAACAAACTCAGTTTCTTCCTGCAATACTCACACTGCACAGTCACCCAGTGCTTCTGACACCAGATGTGTGGGTTTTTTCCACACACCAGGCAAACAGTCCTCCAGCAGTGGACACCCTCTAGTGTCCTCTGATTCAATTCAATTCTGACACTGTCTACCTCGAGATGGCATCAGATCCCATAGGTTAAAGGCTTAGTCCCAAAAGACTGCCTCCCATTTCTGATGCCAATCTCAAGCCCCAGGTTTTACTTATGCTTCTGACCAACCAGCTGTAAACTGGTGTTCCCACGACCCCTTCCTTGGGTTTGATTAATTTGCTAGAGCATCTTATAGAACTTGGGGGAACATGTTTACCAGTTTATTAAAAAGGATACAGATGAAGGGATGCATAAGGCAAGGCCCATGCCCTCTGTGCACCCCACCCTCCGGGAACCTCCACATGTTCAGCTCTCCAGAGGCTCCCTGAACTCAGTACTATTGGGGTCTTATGGAGGCATCAGTACATAGGCATAATTGATTAAATCATTGGCCATTGGTGATTGGCTTAACCTTCAGACCCTCTCCCCTCTCTGGAGTTTGAGGGGTGGGGCTAAAAGTCCCAACTGTAACTTGGTCTTTATAGTGACCACATCCCATCCTGAAGCTGCCTAGTTGCTGCCAACCACCAGTCAACTAATTAGCATACGCTTTCCACATTGGAGGTTCCAAGGATTTTAGGAGTTGTATGCCAGGAGACTGACAAGACCGAATATATATTTTACAGTATCACAGTCCAGCCTCAGTCTTCAAACTTGGATTCCTTACAACAAAAGGATATGGAACTCAAAAAATACTGGCACAACACCAGAATCCCATTCAGTCAGTAATTCATTCCATCCATCATCGTACTGTATGAGCATGTCTCCCAGGGTGAGGCCACTCAGGTTTGCAGGTTAATTGATCTTGTTGGTTTCCAAAAGCAGAAATGGTTTTAGCAAACACGTAGCTTCACCCTTTCAGGCATCTGGTATACCTGAGCTTAGAAACAATGTCATCTTTTTCTCTGAGCCTGTTTCAAGGTATTAATATAATGAATTGATCCCAATTCATAACCTATTTATTCATTCTTTTATCTTCTTTCTCTTCATTTATACCCAAACTTTTCCATCTCTGGAAGGGACGTTAGCTTTAGCCACTGTGCTGGTCTAGATTGCAGGTAGCAATACTAGTTTAGCAAGTACCTCTCCCTCAGTCCACTCCCATTCAGATAGGGTAAGGTGACATAGGTACAAAATTAGTAGGCTGTTTTTACCACCAGACAATACAGCTGCATTCGTTGTTGGCTCCAGTTTTGCAAGATGGGGTCTAGGTAACCCCCATAAGACCCTTAGGAATTTTGACATAAGGTTTAAAAACATAGTTACAGCTTCTTGCTCAGGAACCATCCCTGCTTCCAGTACTTGTAGTTACAGCCCTGGTCCTAGGACCATTGCATCCAGTAGAGGAAAAAAAAATGAGGTGATGTGGGAAAGAAAAAGTTAAAGTCATTATACTAGCATACTTAACCCTTGGCTAGAATTGCATAAGTCATGCCAGCATCCTCCTCCCCATCCCTTCTTCCTCAGATACCAGAAAAACAGGAAAATCTTGTGGGGACAGCCAGCCCTTCATGCTTTTATCCCCCCATTTTGTTTTTGGGTTTTTTTTTTTTTTTGAGATGGAGTCTCACTGTGTCACCCAGGCTGGAGTGCAGTGGCAGGATCTTGGCTCAGCGCAACCTCTGCCTCCCGGGTTCAAGTGATTCTCCTTTCTCAGCCTCCCAAGTAGCTGGGATTACAGGCGCCCGCCACCATACCTGGGTAATATTTGTACTTTTAGTAGAAAGGGGGTTTCACCATATTTGCCAGGCTAGTCTCGAACTCCTGACCTTTGGTGATCCACCGCCTCTGCCTCCCAAAGTGTTTTTGGGCATTATGGGCTGTATAGTGTGTCCTTTGGTCTGAAGAAATGACAGTTAACTATCCACATCCAGGCAGTATCTTCTGTTGTAGGTTTTTTTGGCACTCTGAGCATTTGCATCTTCCATTGGTTAAGTAAAGCCCACTCCAGAGACTGTCTTTTCTTCTCAAGACCCATTTTGTAGCTCCCCAGGGCTACCAGCACTAGTCTCACTTGCAGCTATGCTCAGGGCCTTCCCACCAGGGAATCTGCCCCTCATCAGTAGTCTGTCTCTTTTGCTGGCTGGCAGAACGGTTCTCATTGGTATTTGTGCCTGAGAGAGTAGAAGAGGAATGTCTAGATGCAGCCTGTCTCTGCACTGCCTGTACCACTCATTTAATGAACCCAGGATGGCACCTCCAGGGAGCACACGGAGATATATCTGCTTCCAGTCCCAGTCACCTTCCAAACCTGGAAGGGAGTTCTTCTGATGGCCACTGGCATGTCCTAATATACCCCTCAAATTTCCGTAGGGTTGTGCTCCCTATGGAAGCCATCCCTTTAAAAGTCCAGGTTTTCATTGTGATTCTGCCTGACCATGTCCACTAGCCACTGCCCATGAGTCAGTAAAAACCCAAACCTAGGGGCTTCCATCATCGCTAGGAAAACAGCGTGCAGTTCAGCCCACAGAGCCGATTTGTTTTTACCTTCTTTGATCAAAGTAGCATCCTTCCAAACAAGATGCTGTCTGTTCACGTTGGAACTGCCATCCACAACCAAGCAGCTCTTTGTCAGTCAGTTGAGAGCTATTGGCAGTGTGGAATCCAGCTCCTCACACAGTTCCAGAGTCAGTCCAAGGTGGGGAGAGGCTCCCTGCTTGTGGGTGTGTCCTTCTTACATTCCCTACATAACATGATCCTGTATAAACCATTTCCATTTATTATGGAACTCTTCTGGGCACTGCCCTCCTAATTAGTGTTTCTCTGACATCACCAAACACAGCATGGGTATTTCAGGTTTCAAGATCATTTTATGTCCTTCAATCCTAGGGGTAGCTTCAATTAATGTCCTGTGGCAAGGGAGTAAATGCCTCTCATGTGGAAATTCTCTAGTCCAAAGTGCTAGTAGTTGTTACTGAGAGGTGTTCACAGTCTTTTGCCATAAGTGCCAGTTTCCCTTCCACATAAGACTATCAGACAGATAATTTGTCCCTACCACCACTCCAGCTTCTACTATACACCATTGGGCCTGGGCAGTGCTGTTGGTCCCCATTTAGCATGTCCAGTTAATATTGTCATGAAGGGCAGATTTACATGCCTTTTGTTTTACAGTACTAGGTAGGGGAAGTGTGTCTCCAGCCAGACATATCCATTCTCATAAAACATTTAGGTAAAGGGGATATAACTTCTTTACGTAAAGCTCACTTAAACATCCTAACTTTCATAATTCTATCAACCCTTGCATTTTTATGTTCTCCAATCTAATTGTAGCCTGAATCAGGGCTTTACCAATAGATCTTGATACCACAGTACATGGAGCTCCCATACCAAGGAGTCCCAGGAATTTATCTTCACCACCCCGACCATTTTACCCACTTGTGTAGGAGAGGCCTTTGGTTCCCAGCAGAGACAGAGAAATAGATCCTTGCCCATTTGTCAGTCATTATCTTGATTAATCAATCTGTCTATTGCCCCAAGCAATTGTTGGTCACTTTTCTTGTAATCTCTGCCTTCTGGCTTTTTAAGTTTCCCCGAATTTACAGACATCATATGACCTTTGTCCAGAGAATATAGCTAGGAAATATCTGAGATTGCTCCCACCCACTAAAGTAAACCCCATTACCCAGTTAATTAGCTGAAAGTCACACTGTTCTATCGTGTACCTTAGTGGAATGTTTCCTGTTAAAGTATTTTGGGAATGTTGGCATTCCCTCTCTTAGGTTGAGGGTCCAGGTGGATTTGGATCCTTGGAGCAGTTCAGAATATCCCTATTGTTAGTGTTGTCATGTCCAGGCTCTGACTCTAAGAAAAGTATTGTATTATATCTATCTATCTATCTATCTATCTATCTATCTATCTATCTATCTATATCTATCTACCTATGTACCTACCTACCTACCTACCTACCGTTTCCTGTTTTCCAGATATAAACAAACCCTAGGCAGCACATTAATTTATTAACTTTACCAGAGTTTGCCATACTCTCAAGTCTCAATATTGTAGATGATTTTTTATGAGGCTAAACATATTTCATTTTGCTTGTACCAAAATGAAAACAACTTTCTTATGTTACATGATGCCAGGCTATATCCTAGGTAAGGTCATGGGTGGGGAATGTTACTTTAACTGGCACTTTATTCAGTGCTACAAGTTTATTAAGAGGTGTTTCAGGCATTCCAACAAAAATTTAAAATATAACTTTGTGGAGTTGCTATTGATTTAATTGCTTTAGAGTTGCTTCAGATTCATTTCTTGAAAATTCTTCCCTTCTGATTATGATTTTACCTCTGAGGAATGCCACTCAAGAATTTATAATTAGGCCAGGTGCAGTGGCTTACACCTGTAATCCAAGCACTTTGGGAGGCTGGGGTGGGTGGATCACGAGGTCAGGAGTTCAAGACCAGCCTGGACAACATGGCAAAACCCCATCTTAAAAATACAAAAATTAGCCAGGCTTGCTGGTGGGCGCCTGTACTCCCAGCTACTAGGGAGGCTGAGGCAGGAGAATTGCTTGAACCCGGGAGGCAGAGGTTGCAGTGAGCTGAGATCACGCCATTGCACTCCAGCCTGGGTGACAAAGCAAGGCTCTGTCTCAAAAAAAAAAAAAATAGAATTTATAATTAATAGTCACTTTAAACTTACTGGCATTTATATGTTTACTTTGCAGTGTTGTGTGTGTGTGTAGTCAGCAGCTTTGCAAAAGAATTTACTACAGAAACAGTACAAATGCAATGTAAAAAAATTAGAAAATACAAATATGCAAAAATTGGAAATGACATTTTCATGACCCAGAGATGAATACTTTTAACATCCTAGAGTATATCCTTCCAGATTGTGTTTTTTTTTTTCTGTGCCTGTACGTACACATAAACTTTTAACCTAAATGGCAACATGCCATATATACTTCTTTTTTTTTTTTTGAGACAGAGTTTCACTCTTGTTGCCCAGGCTGGAGTACAATGTTGCAATCTTGGCTCACTGCAACCTCTGCCTCCCGGGTTCAAGCAATTCTCCTGCCTCAGCCTCCCAAGTAGCTGGGATTACAGGCATGTGCCACCGCCACTACGCCCAGCTAATTTTTGCATTTTTAGTAGAGACGGGGCTTCACCATGTTGGCCAGGCTGGTCTTGAACTCCTGACCTCGTGATCCTCCCCCCCCCCCCACAAAGTGCTGGGATTACAGGCATGAGCCACCATGCCCAGATGTATAGTTGGTTTTTTTGGGGGTTTTTTTTGAGAGAGTCTTGCTCTGTCACCCAGGCTGGAGTGCAGTGGCGCGATCTCAGCTCACTGCAACCTCTGCCTCCCAGATTCAAGCAATTCTCATGCCTCAGCCTCCCGATTAGCTGGGACTACAGGCGTGCACTACCACACCTGGCTAATTGTTGTGTTTTTAGTAGAGACAGGGTTTCACCATGTTGATTAAGCTGGTCTCAAACTCCTGACTTCAGGTGAGCCACCTGCCTTGGCCTTCCAAAGTGCTGGGATTACAGGTATGAGCCACTGTGCCCGGCCCAGATATACTATTTTATAAACTACTTATTTAGGCAATGATCTCCACCATTTTGTTTCAGTAGATTTCTTCTTCTTTCTTCCTTCTTCTTCCTTCCTTCTTTTTCAAGGTTGTTATGGTTTTCTAGTTTTGGTACAGTGAGAATGTTGTTTTTATATCTTGTTTGTTTTTGCATTCATATATGATAGTTATATAGGGATAGTAAAACAAATACATACTTTTCCATATATAAAGGGTCAAAGGAAGGCACTGAATTTTATTTATGTATTTTAACACGGAGTCTCACTGTTGCCCAGGCTGGATTGCAGCGGCGCAATCTCGGCTCACTGCAACCTCCGCACTGGGTTCAAGTGATTCTCCTGCCTTATCCTGCCGATTAACTGGGATTACTGGCACATGCCACCATCTCCAGCTAATTTTTTGTATTTTAAGTAAAGATGGGGTTTCACCATATTGGCCAGGCTGGTCTCAAACTCCTGACCTCAAGTGATCCGCCCACCTTGACCTCCCAAAGTTCTGGGATTACAGTCATGAGCCATTGTGCTCGGCCAGAATGCACTGAATTTTATGTGAATCCTTTTTGTACACAGGAAACTCCTGTAAATTATTAGTTTTAAAATAGTAACTATAATTTTTTTAACATCCTTATTTTGGGATTTGAAATTCTTTTTTTTTTATTTTTGAGACGGAGTCTCGCTCCTTCGCCCAGGCTGGAGTGCAGTGGCGCTATCTCGGCTCACTGCAAGCTCCGCCTCCTGGGTTCATGCCGTTCTCCTGCCTCAGCCTCCCGAGTAGCTGGGACTACAGGCGCCCGCCACCGCACCCAGCTAATTTTTTGTATTTTTAGTAGAGACGGGGTTTCACTGTTTTAGCCAGGATGGTCTTGATCTCCTGACCTCACGATCCGCCCGCCTCAGCCTCCCAAAGTGCTGGGATTACAGGCGTGAGCCACCGTGCCCGGCAGGGATTTGAAATTCTTATAAGGAAGTCTTGCTAAATCAAGGTGGAAATCAGGTGTTACCAAAATTAGGCTAGCTTTGTAGTAAATATCTGTTTTCTTAGCAGGAAATGAATCATATGTCTTTCAGAAGTCAGATTGCTTCCATTGTGTCTATCATTGGGGATATTACCATAAAGCACAGAAAATTGAGGTGCTTTGTAATTACAGTGGGCTTCAGGGTATACATTTCATTGCATTTTAGCCTTTATAAGTATTGTTTTTGAAGGTTTTACATGTTATCTTAAGCACATGTACGTGCCTTTAATGGCACATAGTAAACCAGTTTTAATAAAAGTTGACCACGTCCTAATAGTAAAGTTACAATAGCATTTTAAATCTTACTAGTGATTTAATAGTTCACCATTTAACATTTGTAGGGCCAGGAAAAGCTGCTTATAAGACTCACGGGCACAGAGTAAGTATATTCACTTTGAGACTGTGTGATATATGTATGCATAGGGAGGCAAAGGACCCAAATGCTGACCTTTTAAAAATGACTTTCTTTCTTTTTTTGAGATGGAGTCTCACTCTGTCACTCAGGCTGGAGTGCAATGGTGTGATATTGGCTCACAGCAGCCTCCACCCCCCAGATTCAAGTGATTCTCTTGTTTCAGCCTCCCAAGTAGCTGGGATTACAGGCTTGCATCACCACACCTGGCTAATTTTTGTATTTTTAGTAGAGATGGGGTTTCACCATGTTGGCCAGGCTGGTCTTGAACTCTATTAAGGTGATCCACCTGCCTCAGCCTCCCAAAGTGTTGGGATTACAAGAGCGAGCCACAGCGCCTGGCCTAAAAATAATTTTCTTTATATTAACTTTTTTCTATTAGTTTCTTATTGTGGCCTCTTAAAATTCTACTTTAAAAAAATTTTATGTGTGTGTGTGTGTGTGTGTGTAATAAATATGTGTGTTTCCTCAAGTGATTTTAGGCAGAATGTGTCACTGCCCTTCCTGTGTAAAATAACTCTTAAAAATCATACAGCTCTTCATGTTACGTGTTGACATAGTTTACAGCAATCCTACTTGATTAGCTTTTTTATATGGAAAACATAATCATACTGTGTGTAGCCAATTTTAAGATTGTGTTATTCAAGAGTCTTATATTGCCATGTAAATACCATCTCAAAATGTGCCCTGTTGTGAGATAAAGAAAAACTTAAGAGATTTATTCTATTAAGCTATAGCTTTTTATCTAGAAAAATGGCAAATGAGTAGAATTTCCATATGCAAATTTCTATTAAATAAAGATTTAAAGCATGTTTCCTGGAACATTTTACTTATAGACAGGAAATGTCTTGTGAAGGTATTGTGAGCACACTGCTTTCTGATCAGTAAAATTTGGGAATTAAAATATTTTCCTTTTAAGATTATGGTGAGAATTAAAATATATATTTGCAAAAGAATTGGCAAATGCAGATATTCAATAAATGTTAGCTCCCCTCCCAGACAAGCTTATATAAATGTGTGTGCTCCGTAAATGAAATTCAAAGTTTAAAGTGTATTTTTAGAAAACAGTCTACTTAGTGAGCCATCTGGGGCTTATATGGCATCTTTCTAGTAACAGTTGGCTCTCCTTTCCACCACTATCAGTCAGTGGGGTCACAGAATAATAAACTTGTCTGTCAGCCATGAAACACAAGCTCTCATTCAGCCATAAACAAATTAGCGTGGCAAATTGAATTGCTAAGTAACTTTTCCAGTTTTGTTAATAACATACTCTGTTATTTAATACATCCCCACTTTTTTCTGTTTCAGAGTGGAAGCTCAAAATGAAATGGGGCAGCATATTCATTGTTATGTTGCAGCTCTTGCTGCTCATACAACTTTTCTGGAACAACCCAAGAGCTTTCGCCCTTCCCAGTGGATAAAAGAACACAGTGAAAGACAGCCTCTTAACAGAAATAGCCTTCGTCGCCAAAATCTTACCAGGGATTGCCACCCTCGGCAAGTCAAGCACAATGGCTGGGTTGTTCATCAGCCCTGCCCGCGTCAGTACAATTACTAATAGTTTCAAGTTTTGTTGGTTGGTTTCTCTTGGTTTGTGCTTACATGTATGGATGTGTGTATATGTACAGTGAAAATGTTGTCTCTTTACAACCAATTGATAACCAATCACATAGTTTTATCAGTGTATTTAGACACTATCTTGAAAATCAGATTTATATGCTGTGTATCACATAATGCCTTGCCTTTAACATTTACTTTTTTTGTACACTTTTTCAGATTATTTCTGGAAACATATCAATATAATTACAGTGTTTGGGGGTGTCTTTAAATATATTAGGTTATACATTAGTCAGCATTTTAAAGACATTTCTTCCCAAGTACGAGAATAGGCATCTTTCATTTTCATTTTATTTTGTATTACTTAATCTTTTAAGCAAGCAAAAATTTATTCTCAGGGTCAGCTGTACACTTTATTGACCAGTACTTGATAATCTCTCTGTATATGATGAATACATTTTTACACACTAACATTAGCATTAACAGGTGATAGTTGCCATGGATATAATGGAATTATGGCTGGACTTTCTTTTGAAAGAAAACTTGATGTATTCTGTGTGTATGGTTTTTCCCCAGATTAGTCATACAGTTCATTTGGAATTCAGGTACATTAAGCTTTAGTGAAGAGTGCATGCAGTAATTCCAATGTGACTGCATGACGTGGTACAGACATTACAGGTGTTGTAGACAGAGGCACTTGTCTCGTGCAGAGGGATTAAATTAGACCTGTGAGATTATATTTGGAAAAATTCATGTCTGTAACTAACCCATTAGTGCAGTATTTAATTTGTTACTATTCCTTCCCGCCAATTCTGTCCACTCCTCACCTCGCATCAGCTATAAATTTGGAAGTACTTGTCCAGGCACTCAAGTGACTTCATATTTCTCTCTGCCCATGGGAAAAGAGATAGGCTTTATATTTCCACAGAGTGAAAAATCCTCTGTCATGGAGCCTGTCCTGCCAAGTGGCAAGAGTGTGGGGACTGTCTGGTGATGATGTCTTTCATGGCATCTGAGTGAAGAGTGACAGGTTGGCTCAACTTTTTTCTTTTTTTTTTTTTAATTGCCTTGTATTGTAAGTATTCTTCCCTGCAGTCCAAGTGACTTTTCATTTTTTGTTTTAACTTCAGGCAAAATCTTTAACCACTCTGGCCTCTGTTTCCCCCACCAACGGGGAGCAGTGACATTTACCTCCCTCACAGAGTCACTGTGAGGATTCTATACTGATTTGAAGTGGAGCTGTTCAGAACTGAACCTTGTAGGAAATTCCAAGGGCCTTTCTACTGAATCTGGTGATGGGGTGGGGCCGTGGCACTTTCTCTGCCACAGCTGTTCTTCACAGTGTTGGTGCTAATGAGGCCAGGGTGCAGGGTTCGATTCACACGTAGGCCAGTTAACTTAGAGAAAATCTATTTCCTTACCTCTAGCCAGTCACTTCCTTTTTCCGCAGTTGTGATGGGTTTTGCTGAGCCATCCACTCTGACTGATTTCCTCTGAAGTAAACATATTTACAATCCAAAGCAATTCTACTGACAGAAGTGTTGCCTTCATAATCAAACAGCTTGTTTTTCCATCTCCTCTGCAACCCTAATTAAATGAGTACAGGTCTACAAAATGTTTTCAAGGAGAAAAGCAGCATATCCTTAAGTGAAGTATTATATTTTTCAATAACCCTGTAGTGGCTTGATGCAGGGAACCCTGGGGGACTTTCAGCGAAGAGCTGTGCTCTTTTCTGACTAGATTAGAGCGTTTGGAGTGGAAGACGTCAAATGTGTAGTGAGATGGAGGTTTTACATTGTTCTTCTACTGGCTGTGATGAAGTGCCAGAATGTCTCTTTAGAACAAGAGTTAGATTCCCCCTTTCTCCTTATTGCCCCTTCCGTTTTGACTTCCCCTTTATTTATTTGTTGTCTAATTAGGGGCCAAGTCTGTAAAGTTTTGTCAAAGTGAGTTAGAAGTTGTTTTCTCTTACTATTTGTGTTTACCAGAGTTGGGAGATAAGATAGTTTCCATGAAGGTGTGTATGTTTTATACGATGTTTGTTATAGGGCCATGCATTGGTAACTTGAAAATAGACCAGCTTAATGTCTTCAGGATGTAAAACTCTGAATACACGGCGTCTCTTTTTCATACATTGCATGTAAGTTGTTAGTACCTCACAAGCTACAGAAGTTCAGCCATGAGATTTTGTTTGGCAACATGAACAGATTTGTGTATAACTGCAATGGCCTTTTTTTCCAGATTTCCTTATTGACTTTTTGTTTGCCTTACCTGGGGCTAGTTTTTTATGCTTTGTACCTAGAAAACAAAAAATTACATTCGTTGGGCTTTTTTTCAAGGTTGGGATTACCACACCACCTGGAATATCATACTGTGGTTTCTGCCTAAAATTGGCACATGTAAGTATTGAAGAAAATGGTTATATAATTCAGTTGAAACTCTTGGTTATTAGATGTTAGGCATCTCCTGTATGTAAGACACAAGGCCAACCACAACACAGAACGATGTTGACCTGTTAAGTATTCTCTGAAACATGGCCAAAATGCATTTTATGAGCTTTTTTTTTTGCTATTGTAAATATTAGTGGTTTACAATGCGCTTTAGACATATTTCTTTAAAATGCAAGCAGTGAGAAATAAGACCTCTCTGAATTAGTAGCTCTAAACTGTTAACATAGAATGTTACTTGGAAAAAGTCTGGAATATGTGGTGTACACAAGCAGTGCTTCGTGAATGAGTTTCTTAGCTTTTATAGTGCGCCATGTTTCTCAAAGTTTGTTTTTGTTGACAAAACATTTTATAATATATATCTTATGTTTATTTTTTTTCTCAACTAATTGTGTACTGCACTGTAAGGTGAAAATTAGCCATCCATTATTTATCTTCTGTGGCAATGCATTTATATGGTTGATTGGGTGGGGAATTTTTTGCAGAAAGATGCAAAGTGATTGGGTTTTCGACTTCCTATCGCAGGGAGCTTTTAAGAAATATTAATTTCCTATACATTTTTCCAATCCCCATGCAAACTGTTCCTGTTTACATACCTTCTCTGTTGTATCAGTACTTTGAGTGAGAAGACAGTTTATTTAAAACTTGAGCAGGCTGTTCAGCATTGTTTCTGCTTCTGAAATCTGTATAGTACACTGGTTTGTAATCATTATGTCTTCATTGAAATCCTTGCTACTTCTCTTCCTCCTCAATGAAATACATTATATATTATCTTTATGTACTCTTAAGAAAAACGAGCAAGGAAGAGTATCTTCATTATTCTCATTTTCTCTGAGTTGGAAACAAAAACATGAAGGACTCCAACTAGAAGACAGATATTTACATTTAAATAGATTAGTGGGAAAACTTTAAGAGTTTCCACATATTAGTTTTCATTTTTTGAGTCAAGAGACTGCTCCTTGTACTGGGAGACACTAGTAGTATATGTTTGTAATGTTACTTTAAAATTATCTTTTTATTTTATAAGGCCCATAAATACTGGTTAAACTCTGTTAAAAGTGGGCCTTCTATCTTGGATGGTTTCACTGCCATCAGCCATGCTGATATATTAGAAATGGCATCCCTATCTACTTACTTTAATGCTTAAAATTATACATAAAATGCTTTATTTAGAAAACCTACATGATACAGTGGTGTCAGCCTTGCCATGTATCAGTTTCACTTGAAATTTGAGACCAATTAAATTTCAACTGTTTAGGGTGGAGAAAGAGGTACTGGAAAACATGCAGATGAGGATATCTTTTATGTGCAACAGTATCCTTTGCATGGGAGGAGAGTTACTCTTGAAAGGCAGGCAGCTTAAGTGGACAATGTTTTGTATATAGTTGAGAATTTTACGACACTTTTAAAAATTGTGTAATTGTTAAATGTCCAGTTTTGCTCTGTTTTGCCTGAAGTTTTAGTATTTGTTTTCTAGGTGGACCTCTGAAAACCAAACCAGTACCTGGGGAGGTTAGATGTGTGTTTCAGGCTTGGAGTGTATGAGTGGTTTTGCTTGTATTTTCCTCCAGAGATTTTGAACTTTAATAATTGCGTGTGTTTTTTTTTTTTTTAAGTGGCTTTGTTTTTTTTTCTCAAGTAAAATTGTGAACATATTTCCTTTATAGGGGCAGGGCATGAGTTAGGGAGACTGAAGAGTATTGTAGACTGTACATGTGCCTTCTTAATGTGTTTCTCGACACATTTTTTTTCAGTAACTTGAAAATTCAAAAGGGACATTTGGTTAGGTTACTGTACATCAATCTATGCATAAATGGCAGCTTGTTTTCTTGAGCCACGGTCTAAATTTTGTTTTTATAGAAATTTTTTATACTGATTGGTTCATAGATGGTCAGTTTTGTACACAGACTGAACAATACAGCACTTTGCCAAAAATGAGTGTAGCATTGTTTAAACATTGTGTGTTAACACCTGTTCTTTGTAATTGGGTTGTGGTGCATTTTGCACTACCTGGAGTTACAGTTTTCAATCTGTCAGTAAATAAAGTGTCCTTTAACTTCACACTTGTCAGATTCTTTTATCTTTATACTCATTAATATTAAAAGGAGGTACAACTTACTGTTTAGTTTTTTTGTCCAAAAGATGTATTTAATACACATTTTATATATGTTTTTAAAAGCTTGTATATATTAAGGCTGGGCGCAGTGGCTCATGCCTGTAATCCCAGCAATTTGGAAGGCCAAGGCAGGCACATCGCTTGAGGCCAGAAGTTCGAGATCAGCCTGGCCAACATGGCAAAACCCTGTCTCTACTAAAAATATGAAAATAAGCTGAGCGTGGTGGTGTGCACTTGTAGTTTCAGCTACTTGGGAGGCTGAGGCAGGAGAATCCCTTGAACCTGGGAGGCGGAGGTTGCAGTGAGCTGAGACTGCGCAGCCTGGGCAACAGAGCAAGACTCTGTCTCAAAAAAAAAAAAAAAAAAAGGATTTCTTTTTAACCTAAAATGAGGAATCACTTAAGTGAACAGGAATTGGATGGTGATCCCCAACCAGTACCTTTCCCTCCAATCAATGTTTAAAAATATAGAATGTAATACACTGGCTTTAGCCTTTTTGAAGCCAGGTGGATGAATTCCCAATGGATCTTCTCCCAAATGAATGGAGATGGAATCTTATAGAAGTGTTTTAGGACAATATGGCCTTCCCTGATGCCATTGATACCCCTATTGTGGAGCTCTAGTTTCAATAGGCCAGTAAACATTCAGAATAATGGAACACGAAGCCCAAAGAATAACTCCCATGTGAATGAATGTTTGGGGCAGATCAGCATTCTACAACTGTAGCTTATTTAAAGTCAGATTTTTATTATCTGAGTCTTTGCTGAGATGAAAAGATTGGGTGCCAGGGGTAAGAAGGAGTCACCCAAAGATGAAAATAAGGTCATGAACGTTGACTTGAGAAGCAGCAGGTTGAAATGAAAGCCCCACTTTGGGCTGGGCATGATGGCTCGTGCCTGTAATGCCAGCACTTTGGGAAGTTGAGGCAAGTGGGTCACCTGAGGTCAGGAGTTCAAGACCAACCTGGCCAACATGGCAAAACCCCATCTCTACTAAAAATACAAAAATGAGCCAGGCATGGTGGCACACGCCTGTAATCCCAGCTCCTCGGGAGGCTGAGGCAGGAGAATTGCTTGAACCCAGGATGTGGAGGTTGCAGTGAGCCAAGATCATGCCACTGCACTCCAGCCTGGGCAACAGAGTGAGACTCTGTCTCAAAAAACAAAACAAAACAGAACAAAAACCCTACTCTGGAATGGCAGGGGAATGGCTGCTGCTGAGAAGACTGTTGCTAGGCCCACTTACAGAGTGTCCAGGGAATCTAGCAGCTTGATCAGGTCTCAAGGCAGTGACTGTATGGAGTCTAGAAGTGGGCAGTCAAACATGAAGGTGGCTTGTGGGGATGGGCACATCAAGGCTTCACAGTTTGATATGTGGCCTAAGATTATCTTGCTCCTTTGCTGTAAATTTGTACAGACCACAAGGTTATTCATTGAAACACTGTCTGCTGTAAATGCAAAATTGAAAAACCTAAATGCTATGCATAGATTAGTTGAATATATTATAACACATCCCCACAATAGAGGTCAATGCAGCTTTTTTAAAAACTGAGGAAGGGGCCGGGTGCGGTGGCTCATGCCTGTAATCCCAGCATTTTGGGAGGCCGAGGCAGGCAGATCACAAGGTCAGGAGATAGAGACCATCCTGGCTAACACAGTGAAACCCCGTCTCTACTAAAAATACAAAAATTAGACGGGCGTGGTGGCGTGCCCCTGTTAATCCCAGCTACTCAGGAGGCTGAGGCAGGAGAATCGCTTGAACCCGGGAGGCGGAGGTTGTAGTGAGCCAAGATCGTACCACTGCACTCCAGCCTGGGCGACAGAGCGAGACTACGTCTCAAAAAACAAAACAAAACAAAACTGAGGAAGAGCTTTATGAACTGCTTGATTTGATTTCTAAACATACTCAAGTGAAAAAAAGCAAAATTCAGGCTGGACGCAGTGGCTCACGCCTGTAATCCCAGCACTTTAGGAGGCCAAGGCGGGTGGATCACAAGGTCAGGAGTTTGAGACCAGCCTGGCCAGCATGGTGAAACCCGGCCTATACTAAAAATACAGAAAAAAAAAAAAATTAGTCGGGCGTGGTGGCGGGCACCTGTAGTCCCAGCCACTTGGGAGGCTGAGGCAGAAGAATTGCTTGAACCCAGGAGGTGGGGGTTGAAGTAAGCCAAGATCCCCTCACTGCACTCCAGACTGGGCGACAGAGCGAGACTCTGTCTCAAAAAAAAAAAAAAAAGTAAAATTCAGAGTATCTATTGTAAGCTACACTTCATGTAAGAAAGGAATATAAGAAAACACACCACTATCAGCTCATTATGCAAAAGAAATACAGGAAGAAAAAGCCAGAAATGAAGGAGTGGTTACTTACAGAGGGTGGATAAAAAGGGTTGGAATAGAAGACAGGAAGTGGAATAGGTTAGTGGGGATGAGAAGAGAGCAACATTTCTTTGAGCATCTAGTTGTATAGATAGCTTTGGCCTTTAGAACTATTAGTAATGTTTCCAACAGTTCTTCAGTCATACTAGTAGTATTTCAAGTGCTCCACAGCCACATGTGGCTAGCAGCTACCATACTGGACAGTGCAGATAGAGAACATTTCTATCATCCAAAAGGTTCTGTTGGACAGTTTTCTCTGGACCTAACAGTTCCACAGACTCTATATAGCAATCTTGGACCACTACTCTGCTAACTTTTTCTCACACCTTACCTGCTTCATGCTATCAGAAACATTCAGGTTGTCACCACCTTTCTTCATGGCCACCCTCCTTCCTATCCGGCCTACAGACTCCCATCTGCACGATTTTGGCCATTCTCATGGTCGCATGTCAACTTTCAATCGTTTCTCTTTCCGACATGCCTGTTCTGCTAACCTCCAACTACAAGTCAATCTGAATGCAAGGCTTGCTTCTACATTTGAGCTGCCTAAGAGCAACTGGAAAAAAAAATGACTCTTGTGGGGATCACGGCCATGAGACATGGAGGGGGTACGAGCTCAAGTGCCAGTTTGGCAATTCTTTTGTGTGCAACTGGTCAATTCTCTATACGATTCCTTCTCTACTCTCAAGATCCCTAACATAGTGCTTATCAAACTTTAAAATGCAAACAAATCATCTGGGGGATCCTGTTAAAAATGCAGATTCAGCCAGCGCAGTGGCACATGCCTGTAGTCCCAGCACTTTGGGAGGCCGAGGTGGGTGGATCACCTGAGGTCAGGAGTTCGAGACCAGCCTGGCCAATGTGGTGAAAGCTCATCTCTATTAAAAACACAAAAATTAGTTGGGTGTGGTGCCGGGCACCTGTAATCCCAGCTACTCAGGAGGCTGAGGCAGGAGAATTGCTTGAACCCGGGAGGCGGAGGTTGCAGTGAGCCAAGATTACACCACTGCACTCCAGCCTGGGTGACGGAGTGAGACTCTGCCTCAAAAAAAAAAAAAAAAATTGCAGATTCTAATCCAGTAGGTCTGTTGTGTATGGGGCCAGAGATTCTGCATTTCTAGCATGATACGCATGCTGCTAGCTCAAGAGCCATGAGCAGCTAGGCCCTAACCCAGTGGTTCTCCAACTTCAGTGTGCACAATTTCCTGCAGCGCTTATTGAAACACGGATTTGGCCGGACTCGGTGGTTCATGCCTGTAATTCCAGCACTTTGGGAGGCCAAGGTGGGCAGATCACAAGGTCAGGAGATCGAGACCATCCTGGCTAACACGGTGAAACCTCGTCTCTACTTTAAAAAATACAAAAAATTAGCCGGGCGTGGTGGCACATGCTTGTAGTCCCAGCTACTTGGGAGGCTGAGGCAGGAGAATCCTTGAACCCGGGAGGCGGAGATGGAGGTTGCAGTGAGCCGAGATCATGTTACTGCACTCCAACCTGGGTGACAGAGTGAGACTCCGTCTCAAAAAAAAGAAAAAAACAAAAAAACACGGATTGCTGGACCCCATTTCTGAAGTTTCTAACTCAGTAAATCCAGGATAGAGCCTGAGAATGTGTGTTTCTAATAAATTCCCAGGTCATGCTGCCACTACTATTCCAGGGAATACACTTTGAGACCATTGCCCTAAACCACTGCTGGCCTTCTGCCTCCTATTTCACAGAGGCAATTGAGGCTAATGAGTGAGAAGCCCTATTTGAGCTCCTGTGACACCTGCTCTTCCCATATTTCAGCCATCATCACACTACTGAAGGATGTTAATCTGCATTTTTAGTAGGATTCCCCAGATGGTTTCTTTGCATTTTAAAGTTTGATAAGCACTGTGTTATGGATCTTGAAGAGAGTAGAGAAGGCATTGTATAGAGCATTGGCCAGAAGAATTTATTTGTAATTAAGAAAAACATTGAGTAAAGAAGGGATGTATTTGTGAACATTCTGCATCCATTTCCCTTCTGATAACAGTATCCCAATTTTCTTCTAGGGATCTATTTCTCCCTCCAGAATCGAGGTTAGTTTCAGATGGCATTCACTATTCCCAGCTCCAGGAGTAAGCATATGAATCAGGCCTGGCCAATCAGATATGCATTCCCCCTGGCCAAGGATAGCTCAAGGATAGGACTATGCCCCAGTCAAAGCTAGTAAGATACACTGAGGCTTTCTGGGACTGCCGAGAGAAGCTGAGACTCATCCCCACTTAACTTCAGTCAAGAAACACTTGAAGATTCGAGAACTATGGCAACTATCTTGCTCCACAAGTGGGGGAAGTTGACAGAGATACAGCCAATGTGCAAGAAGGACAGAAGGGGAGATGACTTGCCATAGTGACATAATTTAATATCTTGATCAAGCTCTACCCTTGGACTATTATGTGAGATAAAATTCCTTTTTGCTTAAGCTAGTTTGGGTTGGGTTTCTCTCACTTGTGAGTAGGCTGTTTGTATGTCTCATTGGCATCCAGTAGAGGACTTTAAGAGCTTTTTCTTAAATTTTCTTAAGGCTAGTTCTAGCCTTATTGAAGAGGATTAAGCAAGGTGATCCCAGAGCTGGAGAGGATGAAGGTGAATGCTTTAAGTGTGGAGATTGGTCCTAATAGGCAGCTAAAAACTATGAGCAGGGATGGGAATTAAAGGCTTTCATTTCTTCGGAGGCTCAGCTGCAGCTGAATGCAGAACCCTAAATGAGAGGCAGCTGCGGGATGCTCATAGAGAATGGCTGGCAACACAGCCTGTGAGCAGTGTGCAGCTTTCCAGGAGCAAGCTGGGGGTGGAGGGTCCAGTATAATAGGGCTCTGGAGTGGCATCCTGAAGCACCCATGCCTGGGCAGACATTCTGCAACAACACTGGGCTACAGCAGCCATGATGGAAAGCAGTGGGACTCAAACCCCAGCCCTCCCCTTGTTCCCTTCTACTGCATACTGGGGTTCATGTACCACCCTGGGTGGGGGACATGCAGGGACTGCAATCACTGCTCCAGTGATTAGGCCCTAAGTGCTCTGCCCTTACGAATGAAATTAATGTCCTTATAAAAGAGGCTTCAGAGAACTGCTTGGCCCTCCCCTCCTCCTGCCATGTGAGGATACTGCAAGAGGAGCCATCTTGAAGGTAGAGTGAGACTTTGCCAGACACCAAATCTGGCCTGCACCTTGAAATCGAACTTCACAGCATCCAGAACTGTGAGAAATATATTTCTATTTATAAATTACCAGTCTATTGTGTTATAGGGCAGGAATGAACTAAGACACCTAGTTAGGATCTTTCAATCTGTGATCCAAGACACCGAGTTATATCCAGATGGTTCTTATATAGTGTTATCACTATATGTATAGATATACACACACACTTACTATTATCATCTTATCCATGTAGTGTTATCATTATATATCAAACTGTTACAGCAGCCATCTCTACCCCCTTTTAACATTTTCTTTTGGAGGTCACATCCTCCAAGAAGAGTATTTTAACATGAAGTGTGACCTGCCAAAGTGAACAGACTATAGGAAATTCTATGTTAAAAAAAAATCCCACAGAGCCTTCCTGAATCTGCTCCACTTTAATTTTGAAATTTTGTGACCTAACATTTAGGTCCAAGTGTGGATTTCTTAATTTGTCATGCTTTAGACCTTGTTGCTAACTTGCTTGGTTTACAATGTTGATTTGGATGACAAATTCAGATAATACAGAGCACCTGGAATTCCTGACTTTCAGGTCAGCATTGAGAACATCAGGGCTCTCCTGCTGCATGTTACAGATGCAGGATATTGACCTGTTTCCAGGAGACAGGATAGTAATGTTCAGTGCCACCAGGGGGTTCCAGTGTGGCCTGGGAGGAGTGGCTATCACTCTAGAGGGCTTGGAGCATCCTCTCTGTCCCTGGGATGGAACAACAGTAGCCAAAACAAGTGGGCAGATTCAACGCTATGTATTCCTGGTAGCTCTGAAAATGACAGAGCAAATCATGGGAACTGCACAAAATGAATGACATTCTAAACTGTTTGACTTCTTACTTGAGAATAAACAAGTGAACTAGGAGTCTCTCTGAGCCTACTCTGGCTCAGGTAGCTGCCTGATAAAAAGAAAAATAAAGAAAAAATAAACAAGAACCAGTAATTATGGGGTACATTCAATAAAAAAGTAAAGTAATCACAGGCGCAGGAGCTCACACCTGTACTCCCAGCTACTCGGGAGGCTGAGGTGGGAGGACTGGTTGAGCCTGCGAGATCAAGGCTGAAGTGAGCTGTGATTGTGCCTCTGCACTCCAACCTGGGTGACAGAGCAAGACTCTATCTAAAAAAGGAAAAAAAAAAGTCAAGTAATAACCACTTAAAAGGACTTTCAAATAATTACACTGGCACATCTAGTCATCTATTGGGGTAAGATTTTATTTCTAAGTTCTTTAAGCTGGAAATAACATGTATTTCAAAAGATAGTCCTAAAAGAAGTGAGGAATTTGCTTCCTCTATAACAAGAATAAAACTTAAGTTTTTCAAGTTTTTTTGCCATTGAATTATCTGGCTAAAGAGAATGTGTCCCAAAGTTGCTTCAATACACCGTGGCCTAAAGGTTTTAAATAAAACTTAACTAAATTAAAACTAGTGTCATATCCAAATGCAAGGAATAAAAAGGGAAATGAATTGTATCAGTTGGTCAGCATTTACTAAACACCTCCCAAAGGTAAAACACAGGGAATGGGTTGGAAAGAGAAGGATGTTGGAGATACTGTGAACACAGAATTGAAGAGTGTGATTGGGGTGCAGGGGAAGAGGGCAAAAGGAGGAGGAAGCAAAGGATGGGAGATTTCCAGTTTGGGTGAACCTGGGGATACAAACAGAACACTCTGGCTTATGTATCCCCATGCGGGGTGCTCTCTAATGCCAAATTACAGGAATAAAATTATTCCTGTCAAAGAAACGTTTGACAACTCTATTCAAGACTATGTCATAACATAGAAATCAATGAAATGATATAGCTATCTCACAGGGTAACAATAGCCTCTAGAGAAGTCTGCAAAGGTGAAAAATGGATTAGTAATTAAAGAGCTGACCAGGATTGTCTGTGATCATCCCAGCCTCTGAAATAACATTAACAGAGTCTGAAGTGGTGGCTTCCCTGGCAGCTTATTTCTCCACCAGTCTCCCAGGGCCTACTCTGCACTATCACCTCTGGAAACCCTGGGAAGTGCAGGCCAGGGTTCTCTGCTTCAAACCAAGTCTGGGCCCTAGGGGACACGAGCCCCTCTGTGTTTAGATTACAGTGATTCTTTGAGGCTGGTTTTGTGTCTCTGGTGTGCCTGGACTGCTTCCATGGCACTGATCAGGAAGGGAGTCAGATTGGTCAGGTCGGTGCACTTAGAAGTTTGAGTTTTAAAAGTCAGGCAGAATTTCATTCTGGAAAAAAAATTACAAATATTTACCCAAAAATCCAGAGCAAGTTAGAAAGTCTTGGAACTAAGAAACAACTTACAAAGTTTCGCTGATCAAAAAAGAAACTTGACAAAACAGGCACTTGGCAACATGTGCTGCAGAATATCAATTCACAGCCCCCAGAGGGACCATGAGCATAAAGAGGCTTCCACTAATATTCTTGCACGTAAGAAGCAAACATGATGAAGAGATTGATGTATTTTATATTCTTAAAGCAAACTGAATAAACTTAAGAATTATCACTTGTACATCTTGTTATAAAATGGGCTTGGAAAAACACTAATGCATGTATTCATAACATTTAGGGGAGGATTTGACAAAGAGCAGGATAACATTAGTTTTAGCTTCCAACTAAAATGTTTGCCCTATTTTTTTAATAGAATTTGTACATTTATTTGACATTTTCTGTAAGCTCTATAGTGTTGATGCACTAAATTTTTTCTAAGACTGAGAGATTCTTTGTGGTTGAATTTTCTATTTTAAAACCAATTTTGGGGGATGCCATTGCCAATACACATTGGTAATTCAACCACCTGATCATTACACAAAAAGAATTCATTTTGGACCCAAAGTTTTGTATATCTCACTATCAACTTTGGCAGAACTTACATTAATTTCTATTTCGCAATTGTTATATTAGGAGGTAAATATACTAGTCTGAGAAATGTGGATTCTAGTTGTATTCCACAGCAGTACTTGTGTTATAGTATGAATTCCAGTAAGTACGTTAGACTACCTTGCTGATTTGAGGTTAATGCAAAGATATTTGTAAATGCCTCTGTAGCTCTCACAAGACAGACTGGAATAGGTAAAAACAAGAGGACTAAAATCCTTAGGTTATTGAAGTAAGGTTACTTTTTATTATAGAACCTTCTACGTTAACGTACACTGTTTAACCATTGGTCTTCCAAGTTTATTATTTGTGGCTTTTTTCTTTCTTTTTTTTTTTTTTTTTTGAGATGGAGTCTCGCTCTGTCACCCAGGCTGGAGTGCAGAGGTGTGGTCTCGGATCACTGCCAGCTCTGCCTCCTGGGTAGAGGATTCTCTGCTTTAGCCTCCTGAGTAGCTGGGACTACAGGTGCCCGCCACCATGCCTGGCTAATTTTTTGTATTTTTAGTAGAGACGGGGTTTCACCATATTAGCCAGGATGGTCTTGATCTCCTGACCTCGTGATTCGCCTGCCTAGGCCTCCCAAAGTGCTGGGATTACAGGTGTGAGCCACCGCGCCCGGCCTTTTTTTTTTTTTTTTGATATGGAGTCTCACTCTGTCTGTCACCCAGGCTGGAGAGCAGTGGCGTGATCTCGGCTCACTGCAACCTCTGCCTCCCAGGTTCAAGCAATTCTCCTGCTTCAGCCTCCCGAATAGCTGGAATTTAGGCACGTGCCACCACACCCAGGTGATTTTTGTATTTTTAGTAGAGAAGGGGTTTTGCCATATTGGCCAGGCTGGTCTCGAACTCCTGACGTCAGGTGATCCACCCGCCTCGGCCTCCCAAAGTGTTGGGATTATAGGCATGAGCCACTGCACCCGGCCCATTTTTGTTTTTTAATAGGTGGAATAAGCTAAAATTTGGCTTTATAGTAATTCCTTTAAATGTAAATACTAAGTAAACTTTAGTGGCTAACACTTAGGATGACAGCCGGGATGGGTCATTTATGAGGTGTTAAAGCCACAGCACTGACCTTTACCCCTTCAGACTGATAGACTAGTGGACAATAGTCCTATTGCAGGAAATTTCTTGTTGCTGGCTGGCACTAATCCCATGGGACAAGGGCATGGCTTGCCTCTGTTGTTTTGTCAGGACCACCTCCGATTCCATGTTGAATGTGCTACTGAGAAACAACAGATGGAAAGGTATTGCATCAGGCTGTAAGAAATTGCATGAACTTCGTTTTTTTCTTTTCTACACTATCTTGCTACTTCCCCCAGCTACCCAACAACCTTAAAACTCCTCACACTTTATGCCTCACTGCCTAAAGTACACACCATTTTGCTTAAATTGCACTGACCATAACTCATTCAATGGCCTCTCCTAGCTTCAAGGGAGAATGGGAAATTTAATTTTTATTTCAGCTAAATTAGGGGTTCTATTGCTAACAAAGAAGGAGAACACAGATATCAAAGGAGGGATATCCTCACAATCTCTCCCACCACCCAATACAATTCCACCTATCCTACAAGGTCTGGTACAAGTATCACTTATTCTGTAGTCCTCCTATTTGTTCCCCAGTTCCTAGACAGAAACTTAACCACTCATTTCTCTGAAGCCCCTTGTAAGTATATGATCTGTGTACCTGTTCTGGTCTCATTCTGAATTGTAAGCCCTGAAAATAACAGATGCTGACAAGGCTGCAGAGAAGAGGAAACACTGACACAGTTGGTGGGATTGTAAATTAGTTCAGCCCCTGTGAAAAGCAGTTTGGAGATATTTCAAAGAAGTAAAAACAGAATTACCATTCGACCCAACAATCCCAATACTGGGTATACACCCAAAGGAAAATAAATTGTTCTACCAAAACAACACCTGCACTCGCATGTTCATCACAGCACTATACACAACAGCAAAAGTATAGAATCAGTCTAGATGACCGTCAAAAGTGGACTGGATTTAAAAAACATGGTACACATATACCACAGAACACTACACAGCCATAACAAAGAACAAAAATACGTTCTTTGCAGCCACATGGATGCAGCTGGAGGCCGTCATTCTAAGTAAATTAATGCAGAAACAGAAAACCAAGTATCAGGTGTTCTCACTCATAAGTGAGAGCTAAATACTGGGTAAAGATGGACAGAAAGATGAGAACAATTGGCTGGGGGCAGTCACTTACATCTGTAATCCCAGCACTTTGGGAGGCTGAGGTGGGAGGATCACTTGAGCTCAGCAGTTCAATACTAGCCTGGGCAACACAGGGAGACCCCATCTCTTAAAAAAAAAAAATTTAAGATGCGAACAACAGACACTGGGGACTCCAAAAGCGGGGAGGGGGGAATAGGGGAAAAGTGTTGCAAAATGACCTATTGGGTACTGTGTTCACTATTTGGGTGATGAGTTCAATCAAAGCCCAAACCTCAGCATCACAAAATATATCCATGTAACAAACCTGCACATGTACCCGATGAAGCTAAAATAAATAAATAGCAATAATAAAACATAAATGGTAAGCTCTGAGTTGTGGACCTCTATGTATATGTGGTTCCACATGTTACTCACTTTTGTATTTTTTTTTTTTTGAGACGCCTCCGCCTCCCAGGTAGCTGGGATTACAGGTGCGCATCACCATGCCCAGCTAATTTTTGTATTTTTAGTAGAGACGGGGTTTCACCATGTTGTCCAGGCTGGTCTCGAACTCCCGTGATCCACCTGCCTTGGCCTCCCAAAGTGCTGAGATTATAGGCGTGAGCCACCGTGCCCAGCCAAGAACCTTAGTCTTGAGCAAATCAACAGTGCTGAAGAAACAGCTCTTTCCTGGTGGCATATTCTGGAAAAACATTTCACAATGCTAGTGAGTGAGCAACCATAGGCTTTGAGGAACTGGCTGACTATTCTGGGGTGTGCCACTATTGTTGGCCACATGAGATAAAACTGGCGGTGGCTGGAAAGAGCAACATCTAAAATGTTTGAGAGGTACATGTAACTCACCCAGGCCTTACTATGCAAACAAAACATGAGTAACCAGGTAAGTACTTTCTGGCTGGTCAATAACTACTCCATAGCAGCTGCATGAGTTCCCTGCAGTGGCATGGATGCTGGCTTACAGCGATGTTTGAAACCAAATCTACAGATGAAGACTTCAAAGGATTTTATTTCACTAATAAGAAGACTACCTTATTCCCAAAGTTTATCCACTAAAACTATAAAACCGACATCAAATAAATATTCCACATTGACAGTGAAGACCCTGATGTGCCTGTCTTAAGCAGAGAAACCACTGAAAAAAAAAAAAAAAAAAAAAAAGAGATAAGGTCTCAGGCCGGGCGCGGTGGCTCACGCCTGTAATCCCAACTCTAGGAGGCCAAAGCGGGCAGATCGCTTGAGGTTAGGAGTTCAAGACCAGCCTGGCCAATATTGCAAAACCCCATCTCTATTAAAAATACAAAAATTAGCTGGGCGTGGTGGTGCATGCCTGTAGTCTCAGCTACTCAGGAGGCTGAGGCAGGAGAATCGCTTAAGCTCAGGAGGCAGAGGCTGCAGTGAGCTGAGATCGCGCCACAGCACTCCAGCCTGGATGACAGATTAAGACTTGGTCTCGAGAAAAAAAAGAGACAAGGTCTCGCTCTGTCACCAAGACTGGAGTGCAAGGATGTGATGGGAGCTCACTGAAGCCTCAAATTCTTGGGCTCAAGCAATCTTCCCACCTTAGCCTCCCGAGTAGCTGGGACTACAGGTGCATGCCAGAATGCTAAGCTGATTTTTAAAACTGTTTCGTAGGGATGAGGTCTTGCAATGTTGTCCAGGCTAGTCTTGAACTCCTGGCCTCAAGCGATCCTACTGCTTTGGCCTCCCAAAGTGTTGGGATTACCGGCGTGAGCCACTGCGCCTGGCCCAGAAATGGTTTTAAATACAGATAATCATGAGGGTTATAGTGATGATGAAGAGGAAATTATAAACATGGGTGGAACAATAATCACTAGATGATATGGTGAAAATGTGTGATCAGTCAATGGTGGGCTTTGAGCCATGTACATTTATCAGTGAACATGAGTTTATGGCAGTTTTCATAATTAAAAAGGAACAGATGGAAACCCAAATTAATGAACCATTATGACATGGGGGGCAACGAGTCCTTAAAAAGGGCACCTGCTAGAGTGCTGCATTTAATCCTACTCCTGCTGGCATCAGATGTCCCCTGCCAGCCTACTGCTGGGACAGGCACTGATGTTACTCTCCTCTAGGATGTACAAACACCAGAGGTTACACATGTTCATCCTTTGTGTATGCACAGGCATAGTTAGCCAAATTTGAACCTGTATATATTGAAAGAGTTATAAAATGTTTTCCTTAGAAAAATGACTACCAGAGTACTTACAATCTATATTTGTTCCACTCTTTCACTGACTGGTTTATTATCTATTGATTGATTGAGATGGAGTCTCGCTTTGTCGCCAGGCTGGAATGCAGTGGCGTGATCTGGGCTCACTGCAACCTCCCCCTCCCAGGTTCAAGTGATTCTCCTGCCTCAGCCTCCAGAGTAGCTGGGACTACAGGCATGTGCCACCATGCCCAGCTAATTTTTTTTTTTTTTTTTGAGACGGAGTCTTGCTCTGTCGCCCAGGTTGAAGTGCAGTGGCATGATCTCGGCTCACTGCAAGCTCCGCCTCCCGGGTTCACGCCATTCTCCTGCCTCAGCCTCCCGAGTAGCTGGGACTACAGGTGCCCGCCACCACGCCCAGCTAATTTTTTGTATTTTTCTTTCTTTTTTTTTTTTAGTAGAGACAGGGTTTCACTGTATCAGCCAAAATGGTCTCAATCACTTGACCTCGTGATCTGCCAACCTTGGCCTCCCAAAGTGCTGGGATTACAGGCGTGAGCCACCGCACCCAGTCTACTGGTTTATTATTTAAATAAACTACAGAGTTTGTCCTAATTAGTTCTTCGTACATTTCACTGCAGAAATATTAATGCTTTATCATAGTGTGTTACCTTAGACCCTGCCAGGGCTTTTATGTGATGTGTGGTTTTGTATACATACATATTTCCTTTCAAAAAATCTGAAAAGCTCTGAATTCTAAAACTCATCAGGCCGCAAAGATGGATGATAGTGGACCTTATTTTACTCAAAAGGCAAATAATGCACTTGTAGGAAATCATTCCACTGTTCCAGGTTAAGATCCTTTTTGAACAATTCCTAATGTCTGTCACTTTTGGTTATGTATATTTCTAACTAAAGGCAGCTACTCTATCTTTCCCTCGTAGGATAGAGACCACTGTTAAATTCTGGCACTGATATGAAAACAAAACTTAGCAGAAAAACTGAGGGAGTTTAATCATATCTGGTGGTAATACCTCCTAAATGATATCATACTCTAAGAGCCTTTGCAAGATTATATGAAGAATGAATTAATTTCTCTCTAATAATGCAGCACTGTCATTACGAACAGCAGTTACTCACTGTGAAAACCAAGTGTGGGCCCAGACCATCCGGCTTCTTGAGCTATTGTGTTTGAGTATCAGTATTCCACAGACCCCTCAGCTCAAACCAGGCTATCACTTCTGGCTGCTCTCAAGGAACCTGCCATAGCATCCTCACTAACGTGCCAAAGCTGGAAAAACCTCATTTTGTTGTCTAAATTAAGAATAAATGATCCAGGTGAGCTTGAACTTTAGACATCTGTTTTGGCTGTTCAGAGGCCCATCTCCTTCCTTCCTGCTTCTCAGCTGGGTTAGTAATAACTGAGGTACCAGGTAAATAACCCCTGGAGGGCCAAGGTACCATTGTATATTATTCTTACTTTGTCTCTAAAAGGATTAAAGGGAGAAACAGTGATTATCTGCTGGATCTTTGTGGAGACACTAATCCACCTCTTTGGAAGTCCAAGGCCAAGTTGAGAACATGAAGAGAACACACACCAGAAGCGGAGCCAACGCATTCTGCATTTATTTTAATATTCTACTCCAAATCACTTATGTGGGAGGAAAAAGAAAGTAACATTTATAAAAGGATAATGTTACAAGCTTCGTATACTTCCTTTAATTATATACTGTGAGGTAGGTGTTATTCCCTTTTTATAGATGAAGACTGAGGTTAGGTAATTTATTAATTCCAAACCTCTCATGAATATTAAGTGATAAAAACTAGCTTATAATCCATCTGTTTATCTCAAACCCATGCTCCTCAAAATTTTCACTTTATTAAAGAATCACAATATCAATACATGCTTGCTGTAAAAGTCAAATACAGACGTGTTAATATCTCCTCCCCCAGCCCAAATCTGCTCTCACGGTAACAAATTTTAATAGCTGAGGTGGCATCTTGCCACTTCTTTCTCCAGGCTCATATAATCATGTATACACACGTATGAAGATTTCCTTATTTTTCTCCAAAGTAAGATCTTACTTTAACATTTTCCATTAACATCACTCTGCAATGTTTATCACTTACGAATGTATCACAGCTTTTCAAGTCCACATAGGTAATCTCAACTCATTTTTAAAAAATTGCATGATATATTCTATACTATACTATAGATGAACCATACTTTTTAAAACACTTCCTGATAAAATTTAAATTATCTCTAGGTTTTTGCTATTACAAACAAAGCTATAGTAAACTTTCTTGAACATATATTCTTAAAAATTGGAACCCTGATTTTCATAAACTAAATGAAAAGTGATATTACTGAATGTAATCTGTGAACTTTTTAAGACTGAGCTGTTCCTATTGTCAGGTTTTGACTCATAGAGATATGCAAGGCCAAACAATGGAATCCATCTTCCCGACAGTCCTAGTAAAGTCATTCCCACTGGACAGAAGGCAAGATTCTTTTAGATTCTGTGCAATGTGAACTCTCAGTAGGGCTAGGGTCTACACGAGGAGGTATCAGAGAAAGAAATGGGTTATTATTTTATTAACTTTCAAGCTCAGAGGCCTCTATCAAGACCAGTTCAGGCCAGGCGCGGTGGCTCATGCCTGTAATCCCAGCACTTTGGGAGGCCAATGCAGGTGGTTCACCCGAGGTCAGGAGTTTGAAACCAGCCTGGCCAACATGGTGAAACCCTGTCTCTACTAAAAATACAAAAATTAGCTGGGCATGGTGGCACATGCCTGTAATCCCAGCTACTTGGGAGGCTGACGTATGAGAATTGTTTGAACCCGGGAGACAGAGGTTGCACTGAGCCAAGCTTGTGCCACTGTACTACAGCCTAGGCGACAGAGCGACTCCATCTCCAATAAAAAAAAACCAAAAAAACAAACAAAAAAAAGTTCCTAAATGGGCAGGAGTAGGGAACCCTGGCTGGTTACCTTTTCCACAACTCCCGCCCACCTTACCCCTATGCAAGGTATACAAGAGAGAAGGAAAAAAAAATGAAGGAGAGAACATGAGTTTCCTACAAGAAGGGCCATGTCAGAAAGGGGCCTAGTTTTCAGGGGCCTCTGATGCAGACAAAGCAGAGGGCAACTTGGTCTCTCACAAGCTCAATGCACTCTCTCAGGCTGAGTGAAACCAGGTGACACACAGAGGCACTGGCTGGAGAAGCCAGCTTTTTGTAATTCTTTTATATATATATATGTGTGTGTGTGTGTGTATATATATATATGTGTATATATATACACATATATAATTTTTATTTATTTATTTTAGAGATGAGGTCTCACTATGTTGCCTAGGCTGGTCTCAAACTCCTGGGCGAAGTGACCCACCCACCTTGGCCTCCCAAAATGCTAGGAGCTACCACGCCCGGCTGGCTTTTTGAAAAAAATTTTTTTTTGTTTTTGAGATGGAGTCTCACTCTGTCGCCAGGCTGGAGTGCAGTGGCGCGACCTCAGCTCACTGCAACCTCAGCCTCCTAGGTTCAAGCGATTCTCCAGCCTTAGCCTCCCAAGTAGCTAGGATTACAGACGCCCACTACCACACCCGGCTAATTTTTTGTATTTTTAGTACAGACGGGGTTTCACTATGTTGACCAGGCTGGTCTTGAACTCCTGACCTTGTGATCCGCCTTGGCCTCCCGAAGTGTTTTTTTTTTTTTTTTTTTTTTTTTTTTTTTTTTGAGACGGAGTCTCCCTCTGTCGTCCAGGCTGGAGTGCAGTGGTGCAATCTCAGCTCACTGCAATCTCCGCCTCCCAGGTTCAAGCTATTCTCCTGCCTCCGCCTCCCAAGTAGCTGGGATTACTTACAGGTGTGCACCACCACACCTGGCTAGTTTTGTATTTTTAGTAGAGATGGGGTTTCGCCATGTTGGTCAGGCTGGTCTCGAACTCCTGACCTCAGGTGATCCACCCACCTCGGGCTCCCAAACTGCTGGAATTACAGGTATGTGCCACTGTGCCTAGCCAGCTTTTTGAAATTCCTAAACTGGATGTGTACCTTTGGATACATATATAAACTTTCCAATTCTTATTTTCCTCTTTTGAAAAATGAGTGAGGGGTTCAGGATTTGTGATGTGTGAGGCCACTTCTAATTCTATAATTCTAGTTATAAAATGTGGATAATTTCCTATGACATTTGTATGAATTCATACAAATATAAAATTAGGAGTCAAGGCTTGGGTTCAAGTTCCAATCTGCAAGCTAAATAATCTTAGAGAAGCCCTCTGACTCCTCTGAGTCTTATTCCTCAGCTATAAATCTGGCAAAATAAACCTCATAGAGTTGTTGCAAGACTCAAGTAAGGGGATACCTGTGAAATTACTTGTGAACGATAAAGATGTTAAAATAAATGTAGCATAGGCCACGAGCGGTGGCTCACATCTGTACTCCCAGCACTTTGGGAGGCTGAGATGGGAGGATTACTTCAGGCCAGGAGTTTGAGGACAGCCTGGGCAACATAGCAAGACCCCATCTCTACAGGAAATTTAAAAATTAGCCAGGGAAGAGGGTGCATTCCTGTAGTCCCAGCTACTTGGGAGGCTGAGATGGGAGGATTGCTTGAGCCCAGGAGGTTGAGTCCATAGTGAGCTATGATCATACAACTGTACTCCAGCATGGGCAACAGAGTAAGACTGTCTCTAAAAATAAACAAATAAATGTGGCATAGTATTCTTAGTAAATCTAAGCTACTAGTTCTCCTTTCTTTGCTCAACTTAAACTTCATTAATCAAATATTTAAGTCATTCATTCCACACATATTTATGGAATGTCTTCTGTTTTAGGCACTATACCTCAGTGAATAAGACACTGAATTTTTATTTACTGTCCAACACTGGCCAGGCACAATGCGAGGTACTGGGCACACAATGGTGTAATTGAGAGCTTTTAATGGGAGACACAGGCAAACTCAAGTCATGGGACTTAGACTTGAAAATGTCCTTTCACAATGTGTATCAAATACAGAAATTTAAACATAAATATTTTAGCAAGGCACACACAAGGGAAATAAACTGTATTAAACATAGTAGAGAGGTGAATGTAGTACCTGCTATGACCCAATACATAGGGGCCAGCCACTATTTTAGGTACTGGAGATTCAGCAATGAACAAAGCAGACCAAGTCCCTGGCCTTCTGGAGCTTACATTCTACTAGAAAGCCTGAATCACAGGCATATGTTCTCAGGACCTCCTGAGGGATGTGTCACAGGACTAAAAGAAAGGTTGAATCAGCCAGACTATTACTAATTACATATGGAAGATACAGGCAAAGAAAAGTATGAGGCTGATGTGAAAATTATGAGACAAAGTTCTGGACCCAGAGCTTCTGGCCTCTTCTCTTGGTAGTACTCAGTTCCCCTTATCAGAACTGAAGGCATGATGAACTCTGACTTGCTCACCTCATTTCTCATTCCAATTATTCAGCTTGGACAAGTAGCAGCTTTTACCAAGGAGTGAGATGTTTGGGTATATGGGATAATCACAGCTATGTTTCAGCTATGGTAAACTGTTATGGCTTTAGATTTTCAAACACCATTCATATATTCTGCAAATGTATGATTGAGCTCTACCCTTTTCTAGGGTCCTTTGAATCTATCTGTGTCTCACACAGCACGAGGACTCCTGCAGCCAATAATGGATCACTAGCCTCCATCTAACCTCTAACTATTGCTCACATATGCATTCAGCAGTGTATCCAACAACTGCAGATTCTTTAGTATGATGCACTGTGCAAGGTCCTTGCTACCTGGCATTTACATTCACATTGAAAACTTAAGAGAAATGCAAACTCTAGTATTAGACAGTATGAGTTGATGCCATTTGATTAAATGACATATAGGAGCTACAAGGAGAAAGACATCACTTCTGGCTAGAGTAACCGCAGGAGAGAAAGATGCAGCTCTTGTGAGACTGTTTTGTGCTGGCCACACTGCAAGACATTTTACATACATTCTCTCACTTGCCAGGAAAGCTTCATGAAGGACTTGGTAGTCTAAGACCCTGAGGAAGAATTTGGTAAGGCAGACACGTAGTTTCAACTGAATTTTCATTTACTGTCCAACATTGGCCAGGCACAATGCTAGGTGCTGGATACATAATGTTGACGGTGCAATTAAGAACTTCTAGTGGGAGACACAGACAAATAAACAGGCAATTACAACTACCCTATAGTGTAATGTATACAAATAGATAAAGCACAGGGGCAATGGCAGAACAAGGTCAAGTGTATTTGTCATGATCCTCTCAGTTGCACATGATAAAACTGACTCAAAATAATCTTAAGCTAAAATGTGATGGACTGGCTTTCATTACTAGGAACCACCAAGGTGGATCCACGACTTAAACCAGGACACTCCCTCTGCTCTGTGTCAGCATGTCCTTTAGTGCTGCAGATGGGAGGTCCCCCAGGTGAACATTCTTTGACACAGTGACCCTAGAGGCAAGAGGCAGGCTTCTTGGCTAGCTCACGTGGAGGGAAGGACTTTGGCCCTGCTTGGAACATTTGTCCTATCATGAAACAATCCCTGTTGCCAAGGGAAAGGGCACCACAATCAACAAACTGGGTTTACACACCTAGCCCTGCTGGTGAGTGGTGGGTTAGGTTCTTATACCAGCAGAAAGGGAGACGGGAGAAATACATATGGGGTCACCACAAACAACAGCTACCACATGGAAGCCCTGAAGTGACAGTGCAGTTATGGGAACAGCAGGGACACAGGGAAAGGGACGTGTGGGATGAGTTCCTGGGATGGTGAATAGATTAGTTCAGCTGGAGCAGTGGTCATACCTAAGAGCACAGAGAAGAACCAAAGAGGGCAGGGCAGACTGTGGAGGGCCTTGAATACCTGCTAAGGACTCTATAGCAGCCTGATGGGAGCACGGTGACAGCTTTGCTCAGAATCTGTAGGGCGATCCTTTGGAGTTCATAAACATGATGACTAGGTGTTCACGTGCACGTGTGAGATGTGCCGCCCTTGAACCTTGTTATGATGCTGGTACATTACCTATCTGACATGAAAAAATATAAACAATTTTTTAAAAAATCTACAGGGCAACAAGAATGAAAGTGTGAAACACCTACAAACTGTATCTTCGGTGAAATGAGGAAGTGACAAAGTTTACAAATTTCACATTGTGTGTGGCGTCACCCCCAAACCAGCACAGTAATCTACAACGTGTGGGCAGGTGCCATAGGAAACACCAGAAACTGCACAGCAGTCCAGCTGGTGGTGGATCCCAGCCATCCCCAGGGAAATTCAACCCCAAGAGGAGAAGACTCACCCTGGATGAGAACCACTATGAGCAGGACCAAGAAGGAAGAGGGCAAGAACACTAGGAGAGGAAGAAGGAAATCACCAGAGTGCCTAGAGGGCACCCAGGTAGCTTTGGGAAGTGCAGCTTCCAAGAGACAGAGGAGTACCTTGGTAGGAAGGGGCAGGATGCCTCCGAATCAGTGGCTGGGGAAGGACCAGGGAAGCTCTGGGCTTGTTGAAACCCACCCAAGTGAGGTTAGGATCCTAAAGTCAGAGGAGGTCTGGCTACACAGAGATGCCATTCAGTAAACAGTAGGCCTCTCACTACAACAGAGGAGGGAGCCCTCGAGCTGAGAATCAAGGAAAGCTGCCTCCCCTCTCACATCACAGGACTCACTTGCTAACTGTTGCCTCAGAAAAATCCGACCCGTCAAAAAATAAATGATTTTTAAAATCCACAAAAGGTTCTCCCAGAAAAAAAAAAAAAAACCTGAAAAGGAGTGGCAAAACTTCCTCCCTGCAGAAAGAAAACTCATCCAAAAAATCCTGCCACAAAGAAGAAGAAAAAAATTTTTTTTTCTTGAGACATAGTCTCCCCTAGTTGGGCTAGAGTGCAATGCCGCAATCTCAGCTCACTGCAACCTCTGCCTCCTAGATTCAAGCGATTCTCCTGCCTCAACCTCCCAAGTAGCTGGGATTACAGGTATGCACCACCGGGCCCAGATAATTGTTATGTTTTTAGTAGAGACAGGGTTTCACCATGTTGGCCAGGCTGGTCTCGAACTCCTAACCTCAGGTAATCCGCCCGCCTTGGCCTCCCAAAGTGCTGGGATTACAGGCATGAGCCACCGCGCCTGGCCAGAAGAAGAAAATTTTAACCCAATATTCTATTATGATTTTTTTTTTAAATGTAATAAGGCAATGACAGTTATGCAGGAAGATGACAAAGCAGAAATAAAGAACTCAAGGAAGGGGTGGTCAGGAAGCAGAAGGTGACAAACCATGGGAGGGCATGAAAAAGGAGCCTGGACATTAAAAACTGCTTTAGGAAAGAAACAGGAAAGAAATACAGAAACACTGCAAAAAACAAACAAACAAACAAAAAACAAATGACAAGGAACACAAGGGAGAAGAGACACTACTGTGAAAGATACCGTGGAAGACATAAAGAACAGAATCAAGAAAAGTAAAAAATAGAAACTTAAAATCATTAGAGAAGTGACAGGCAAATGAAACTGCATAAAGTTAGAGTCTCTGAAGAAAAACAATGGAACAGAACAAATTATTTTAAAACATGGTTCAGGCCAGGCGCGGTGGCTCACACCTCTAATCCCAGCACTTTGGGAGGCCGAGGCGGGCAGATCACGAGGTCAGGAGATCGAGACCATCCTGGCTAACACGGTGAAACCCTGTCTTTACTAAAAAAAAAAAAAAAAAAAAAAAAAAAAAAAAAAAAAGCAAAAAAAATTAGCCAGGTGTGATGGTGGGTGCCTGTAGTCCCAGCTACTCGGGAGGCTGAGGCAGGAGAATGGCGTGAACCCACAAGGCAGAGGTTGCAGTGAGCCGAGATCGCGCCACTGCACTCCAGCCTGGGCGACAAAGTGAGTCTCCATCTCAAAAAAAACCAAAAAACAAAAAAACCACAAAAACAAAAACAAAAAAACACATGGTTCAATTTTAAGTAGGGTTTGGAACTGGGATTGGAAGGACAGCTTGGCCCAGTTCACAGACCTAGATTTAGGAACCAAAAGGGGAAAGAAGGCCTGGAAGTTATCTCAAGACTAGGGAGCCAGGGGCAGGTCAGAGGTGCTCTTTGTCCACAGGATCCCTCTGCCCTGGGTCTCTAAGAAGAGAGAGGCACAGGAGTGGGAAAGGACAGTGCTGCCTGCCCCACACATCCTGGTTCAGCCTAGCATCAATTACCTACAGAAGCAGGGGTTGACAGGGTGGGGAGGAGTGAGTAAATAGTTCAGAAACAGCGCCTTAAAAACTAACAAGTTACCAACTAGAGAACCAAAAAGTAGAGATTAATCTCTGTGCATCCATCACTCAGTTTATTAACTATTAACATTTTACCCTACTTGTTTCAAATGCTTTTAAGGAAATACAAATGTTACAGATATAGCTGAAGCCTATTATAAACTCCCCCCGAACCCAAGATGCCACTGTCCTGAAATTGATGGCTACTTTGGTGAAGCACGCTTTTATGCTATTACTGCGTAAGTATGTATCTACAACTACTGTAATTTGTATTACATGCTTTCAAATTTTATATAAATGGTATCATATTGAATGTGACCTATAATTTGCTTTTGTTTTTGAAAAACATTGTTTCTGAGATTTATCCCGGTTGATACACATGGCTGTACTTCATTTTAACTATGACAGTTTTGTTGTTGTTGTTTTCTTTGTTTTTTTCGAGACAGGGTCTCTCTCTGTTGCCCAGGCTAGAGTGCAGTGGTACAATCTCAGCTCACTGCAGCCTCGACCTCCTGGGCTCAAGTGATCCTCCACCTGAGCCTCCTGAGTAGCTAGGGCCACAGGGGCACACCACCACACCCAGCTAACTTCTTTATTTTTTGTGGAGCCAGGGTTGCCCAGGGTGGTCTCGAACTCCTAGGCTCAATCGATCCTCCTGTTTCCACCTCCCAAAGTGCTGGGATTATAAGTGTGAGCCACTGCACCCAGCCCCTATTAGTTCTCAAAATAAAATATATACCTACCCTGTGACCTCACAATTCCACTCTTAGGTATATGTTCAAAAGAAATGAATACAGGCTGGGCACAGTGGCTCACGCCTGTAATCCCAGCACTTTGAGGCCGAGGCAGGTGGATCACCTGATGTCAGGAGTTTGAGACCAGCCTGGCCAACATGGTGAAACGTCATTTAGTAGTCTCTACTAAAAATATAAAAATTAGCTGGGCGTGGTGGTGGGCGCCTGTAATCCCAACTACTCGGGAGGCTGAGGCAGGAGAATTGCTTGAACCCAGGAGCCGGAGGTTGCAGTGAGCTGACACAGTGCCCCTGCACTCCAGCCTGGGGGTGACAGAGTGAGACTCCATCTCAAAAAAAAAAAAAAAAAAGTATGTCCACAAAAAGACTTCCTTGTGGACATACAAGAATGTTCAGGGTGACTTTATTCACAATAGCTAATAATTAAAAAATAACAAAGTGTAGCATATCCATACAATGGAATACTAAGCAACAAAAAGGAGCAAAGTACTGATACATTCAACAACATGAATGAAATTAAAAAACACTGTGGTGGTAATGTTCCACAACTTGATAAGAGTTTGGGTTACACAAGTCTATTTATTAAGATTATATACCTGAGATTTATATCTTTTTTTTTTTTTTTGAGACAGGGCCTCACTCTGTCACCCAGGCTGGAGTGCAATGGCATGATCTGGGCTCACTGCAATGTCCACCTCCTGGGTTCAAGCAATTCTTGTGCCTTAGCTTCCGGAGTGACTGGAATTACAGGCATGGGTCACCACACCAAGCTAATTTTTGTTTTTGTTTTTTTGATAGAGTTTCATCATGTTGGCCAGGCTGGTTTTGAACTCCTGGTCTCAAGTGATCCACCTGCCTTGGCCTCTCAAAGTGCTGGTATTACAGGTGGGAGCCACCACGCCCGGGCTATACCTTTCATATTGAACTGTTAATGCTAGGCATGCTAAAGTACTTAGGGAGACATGTACTGATATCTCCTTTTTTTTTTCTTTTTGAAATGCACCAGAAAATAAGATGGAATGATGGATGGATAGATGGAGAGATCTGTGATGAAGTAAGCATAGCAAAATGTTGATAGTGGAATACAGGTGGTATGGCATATGGGTGTTCATTATAAAATCCTTTCAACTTTGCTGAATGTTTAAAATTTTTCGTAAAAGGCTGGGCACAGTGGCTTATGCCTGCAATCCCAGCACTTTGGGAGGCTGAGGCCAGCGGATCACTTGAGGCCAGGAGTTGGAGACCAGCCTGGCCAACATGGCGAAACCCTGACTCTACAAAAAATACAAAAAAACTTAGCCAGGAATGGTGACGCATGCCTGTAATACCAGCTACTTGGGAGGCTGAGGCATGAGAATCACTTGAACCTGGGAGGTGGAGGTTGCAGTGAGCTGAGATCGCGCCACTGCACTCCAGCCTGGGTGACAGGGCAAAATTCTGTCTCAAAATAATAATAATAAAATGTAGAGGGAAGTTAAAAACATTTAACCTGTCCAAAACCAACTCCTGATTTTGTCCTATGCCATAGCTGTTCCTCTGAGTGACAGCCATTCATCCATCTAGTTGCTTGCCTTTTACTTGTCTCAGTCGCCTCAGTCTATTCATCAGCACAGCTCTACTTTCAGCGTATATCCTGAGTGTGCTTCTCCCAATCTCCACCACCCAGCCTGCTCCCACAAACTAACCCCTTCCCTGCATTGCACCCATCTCCTATCCAGTCTCCCTGCTTCTACTCTTTTCCCCTGCTGGAGTCTACGCTTCACATAGCAGCCAGCTGGATGCTTTTAAAACATTCTCACTGCATCTCCTTCCCATCACTCCCTTGCTCACTACGTTCCAGCCATACAAACCTCGTTGTGCACTAAATATGCCAAGGTCCTCTGGGCTTTGTTCCTCTGCTTAGGATGTTCTTCCTTCCTATTTGTATGGCTTATTCTCTCTTCATAGTTCTCTGCTCAAATGTCTCATCAGGAGGCCTTCCCTAAACAGCTAACATAGCACCTCCTGTTCTCTTACCCTGCTCTTATTTTTCATCTTAGTTATTACTATCTGACACATTTATTAGTTTCTATGACATTCCCCCTCCCTTACACTAGATTTAAGATCTAAGGGGCAGGAATTGTTTGCTTTACTGTGCCCTACTGTTGTTGAATTAATGAATGAACTAAATAAAATGTCACCTCCTCTGTGAGTCCTCCCCAGATCACTCCCCGCCCCTGCAGTCCCCTCTGCCATATCATCTTATATTTTGCATCATGCTTAACAATAGTTATCCGTTCCACATTTATCCTCTGTTCCCCAGTCCAACAGAACTCAAGCTCTGGGGACAGAGAACAGTGTTTCTTGGTGACTTCCATATCCTCCTCAGTGGAGAGCAGGGCCCCGCCCAGAGCACTCTGTGCCCTCCCGCCTACTCCAACCTCCCAGAGCTTCTGGATTTCCATCACTGCCGGACTTTTCTGTTCTCTCTCCTCACTGTGGAGTTTCAGGAATCATGAAGGAGCTGAACTGACCATCTCTGAGGTGCGCTGTCTACGTCTCACAATCTACAATGCCTTCCTTTTTAAGGGCCCTCCCTCTGAGGTGGCAGCCAAGTGCAGCACTGGCAGAGCCAGAGGCTCATCTACCTAGACTCCCTGGTGCCTCTGGTGTCCTCAGAGCTCAGGAGCAGAGGGCAGTGCTCTGCTGCCACCCTGCTGAGCCCTCCAAGGTGCCAGCTGCAAAACTCTTTCAAGGGACTGTTCCCTGGAGTTAGGTTCCAAGGGCCCCCCACCGAGAGCACACCTCTGCCCCCTCCCCTCCATTTATCCCACAAAGAGGGTTGCGGTCCACCAGGCCCCAGGCCAGCCCTGAAAGAGACAGCCCCTGTCCCCAGGGGCTCCCTACAGCCTGGCAGAGACAAGCAGGGGTAGAGGCAAGCATAAGTTGGAGAAGAGGTGCTACAAAGGAAAGTCCTACTTCAGAACAGGGCAAGACAGCTTTCTAGAAAAGGCAGTGTTTGAGTATTAATGAATAAATGGGATCTAGCTGGGGAAAGGCAATGGAGGTGGGGAGAATGAGGTGCAGGTGCCAAGGTCCCAAGGTGAGAAGGACAGGGGATGTGGACAGCTCCATGTAGGGGGATCTCCTGGGCGCAAGAGGTCTTGTGTGTTTAAGTTTTGGGGTTTGACTGTTAATCCAAGCGGAGGTACAGAAAGGTTTTAAGGAGTGGCATCTGTGCTTTGGAAGGGCAGTTTGGCAACAGGTTGGAAGGCAGACTGCAAGAGGCAATGCATGTCAGGAAAACCAGTTAGAAGAGTATTGCACTGAAGAGAGAATGGTGTCCTGAACTAAGGCAGAGGGAAATAAAGCATGAATGTGGAAATGACTTGGGAACAGAAGAGAAAGGAATTTGGTGATAAATGGAGGCAGCACAGCACAGGTGAGCTGGAGTCAGACTCTACTGTGGATCTTAGGCAAACTACACTTGTGCCTCAGCTTCCTCATTTATAAACCAGGAATGACAGTCATTAGCACCTGTCTTATAGTGTTGGTGGAAGATTGAAGGAGTTAATAGTATGTGAAGGCTTGGGGTACAGCCTAGCACATTATCTTACCCAGGAAATATTAACTATGATTATGAAGCTCAGAAAAGAAGAAAAAAGGAATGACTAAGTTCACTCCCAGGATTCTGGTTTGGGCAACTATGTATGCAGTTCTCAAAGTGTGTTCTGTGGACATCTAGAGGTCTCAATGACGCTTCAAAGTAGAATGTGAAGTCAAAACTATCTTACAGTAAAATGTATTTGTTTAACAATAAAATTGTTTTTAAAACTGCATCTCACCTGATTCTAATTTAAAAAATTGGCCAGGTGCAGTGGCTCATGCCTGTAATCCCAGCACTTTGGGAGGCCGAGGCGGGCGGTTGATTTAAGGTCAGGAGTTCAAGACCAGCCTGACCAACATGGTGAAACCTTGTCTCTACTAAAATACAAAGATTTTTTTTCCTTTATGTATGTTTTAGATAAGCATGAAGGATAAGCAAGTTTCATTAAATGGGAAGAAAATGTTTTATTCCTTTCTTGTTACATGAGAAATACTATTATTAAGCACCATTCATTTTTGCTTAGCTTCAAATGAGTCTCATGACAATAAAAACGTATGAAAAATACCTTGGTGAAAGTTTTGAACAATCTGACCAACAAGATAAAGTATTATTGAATTATAATTCAAATTATAAAACGAATATCCATGAGTGCATACTGATAGGAATAAATGACTAAGTTAATGAATGGGGAAAAAGAGACAAATCTCTAATGCAGAATAAATTAAAATAATACAGATACTTCACCCTAAAAAAGATCACTCCTCACTCCTTAGGTGTGGGCTGCACACAGTGACTTCCTTCCAAAGAGCACAGTATGGAAAGGGAGGAAAAAGAGTAATTTTACAATGGAGAAACCTGACAAACATTACCTCAGCCAAGCGGTCAAGATCAACATCAACAGTAATAAATCATGATGTCGGTATGAACTCTTAGTATGATGTGATGAAAATGGTACTTTATCTCTATGATCTTCCTCCCCAAACCCATAACCCCAGTCAACTCGTCTACCGGAATTCATCTGATGTTTTTGTCGCATGGTTAGCCTACAAAATACTTGACCAGCACTCCTCAAAACTGTTAAGGTCATCAAAACAAAAGTCTGAGAAACTGCCATGGCCAAGAGGAACCTAAGACATGACATCTAAATGTGATGGGTATCCTGGACGAGATCCTAGAGCAATAAAAAGATATTAGGTAAAAACTAAAGACATAGGAATAAAGTATGGACTTTAGTTAATAATAACACATCGACATTGATTCATTAAATAGCAAACACATCATAGGGTAATAAATATGCCATACTATAAGATGTCAATAACAGGGGAAACTGTGCATGTGTGGTGGGTGGGAGAGGGGAGTGAGTATATGGAAGTCCTGTTCCACCTGCTCAATTTTTCTTTAAAACTGTTCTAAAAAATAAAGTCTATTAATGTTTTTAAAAGCCTGGTATTTATTGGGAATAATTCCACCATCCGTCTATCATCCATCATGGTAACCTAGAGACCTAAAATTCTATAATGGGATATCCTACATACAATTCAAATCAGCATTTACCCAAGTCCTACTATATATGCCTTTGAACTGCTGAATACTGGCTATAAAAAGATGAACAAAACAATTTCCGAGGTCGAGTTGGAAATAAAAGACATTTAAATAAGTAATTTTTGTCCTGTAAGATGAGCATAACTGTAGCACAGGGAAAAGGATCTGTGAAGCTTCGACAGAGGAGATATACAAAAAAAAAAAAAAAAGGCACAGAATAAAGAAATGGGTGGGCTAAGCCTGAATTTTTTTTTTTAAGCCTGTGCCTCCAAGCATCTTCTGGGGTTTTTTCCTCCTGAAAATGAATGTCGGAGCAATCAAAATAGTTACCCCAGAGAAGCATGGTAGAGGCCAACAGTTTATTTACCATGGTGTTTTAACTTTACATGTACAATAGGGGAAATATACTTTAGGTGAATTTTAAAACGGATAAGTAGGAAAAGAGCAAGCTAAAAACAAACATACCCGCCCCCTACCCTTTATTTTCTCTTTTTTTAACAGACCCACTTGTCTATTGACCAGGTATCTGTAATATGGGAGAATTCACTCTATTCCTTTCCACACAAAGACGTCTTGGAATTTTCTAATTTCTCCTTTACTATGATTGCATTCTGTTCACATAATAGTCAAGGGTATGGAAAGAACATTTATAAGAGCAGTGTCTTTTAAAATCAATTTACTAGTTAACTCAGTACTGAGCATACATTCATCATTCAAAGATGATTCCCACAAACGTTACTCGACATACTGGTTTTCAGTATATTTTATCAAATTCAACCACGAGGGCCACCAGTTCTGCTTACGATCAGGTGACCCTTGTTGGGAGACCCCTGACCCCTTTTCTTGACATCATGCTGTTAGACCTTTAAGCTAGCTATACCGCTAACTGCGTTTTGAGTGACTGCAAAAGGGAGGCAACTTCTGCCCCGCCGAGAGCCATCCTAAGCGTTAGAAATGGCAGAAAGTTTCTTGGGACTGACAAGGCATGGGCTTCTCCTGATGCTGTCACCTTGGGCAAAGCTCCTACAGGTAAATTAGGGAGAGAATTATTTTGCCGGCGTCACGAGACGAAGAATCGAAAAAGTGTGAAAAAGGACTTCGCCCGCCCCAAAGCGCCCATCCGGCGGCGGCTATTTCCCGGGCCTCAAGCGCGCTCGAGCGGCGCAGCACAAAAGGCCGGGCGGGAGCGGGGGTCGCCGGGCGCCGCCTCCCGGTGCATCTCGGGAAGGGCTCCCGCCCGCGAGGCTCCGTCTCCCCGGCGCGGCCCGCTCGCCGTCCGGCTCGCTCAGGGCCTGGGCAGACGCGGCCCGCCCGAGCTACCGCGGGTTCCGAGACGCCTTCGCACTGCTCCTCCACCCGGGGGATCTTTGTTCCCGGAGCTGTTCCCCGCCTCGCTGCTCCCGCCGCAAAACCTGTTTGCGGAATACCCGCCGCAAGTCTGACTTGACGATGTGCAGTTTTGGGGTGCGCCAGTTGTGGGGGCATTCATAGAGGCAGCGAAGGGACCCCTAAGTTTAAACACCCGGGGAAGGATAAAGGAAGAGCGTCGGGCCCCCCTCCTCCCAACAGCGCTCGGGCGCGAACGGCGCCCTCCCGCGCTGCCGGCTCGCGCGGGCTCCGCAGGGCGCGCTGGCGGCGGCGGCGGGGCGGGGCGCGGCAGGCGGGCCCGGGGCCTGCACGTGGTGGCGATCTTTCTTCCCACCCGGCCAGGTCCCCGGGGACCACCGCGCTCAGGGGGAGGAGGAATGCCGTTCCCGGGCCCCGCTCCGGAGAGGGGTTTTACCCTCTGGGATCCCGGAATTGGAGGTGGAGAAGAGAGGAAGCAAGGGAGGGCGCGGCGTGGCGCGAGCGTTTCCTGCGCGGGGACTGCGGGGTGGCAGCTGGAGGCCACTGCAGGGGCAGAGCGGCGGGTTGGGGGAGCGACCGACCCATGGGGAGGGAAACCCGGTAGGGGGAGCAGGGAGCCGGAAAGCAGGGTTGATACATACCTGGGTGGGCGGGCTGGAAATGCCTTCCCTGGGCGCGCCGCGCAAGGCCGGCGGAGCGGGCTCCGGGTGGTCGCGGACCGGGACTGGGGAGAGCAGAGCCGCACTTGGCCAGGCGCGTGGCTGAGTGGTGTTTACATTCTGCAGCCACTCCACGTTGTGCTGCCGCCCGTGCCTCCCATTGGCCAGCTCTTCAGCCAACGCTTTGCTCCTCCCCGAGGGGCGGGCCCTCGGGTCCCCGCGTCGCTCAGGAAAGACCTGGGTTCCCTGAGGCCTTGGCGGGACAGCTAGGGCGCGCCCCTGGACGGTCACTTCCCAGCCACCCTATGGTCGCCCGAGTCGTGTCCCCCTGTTATGCGCCCGGGCTGAGCCGCAGGCTGACACCCCCGAAATCCAGGAGTTGCAGTGGGAGGAAGCAAAAGCAAACTGGCGGGAGATGCGCGAGCCAGGCGGCGGGGAGAACAGCCGCGGAGAAGGAGCCCCTGAGAGTTTCCCTACCGCCGCCGGCCGCGCCGTGGAGCGCGGTGGACGCGGGCAGAAGGCCCGGTAGAGTGGACCCCACGGCCGCTCCGGGTGGCGGGCGCGCACTGAGAGCAGGGCGCGGCGCGCGGGCACGCGGGCGGACGGGCGGGAGAGGGGAGCGCGCTGTCCGGAGGTGTCAGTCTGAGGCGCATGCGTGCGGGGCGGGACCGGCCCGGCCTATATATTGGGTTGGCGCCGGCGCCAGCTGAGCCGAGCGGTAGCTGGTCTGGCGGTGAGGAGTTGCTGCGCGTAGGGGGGATGTGGGAGGAAAGAAAGCCCAGTTGGGCCGATCACTTACCACAGGCGGGAGCCTCAGGGAGGAAAATCGGGAGGGCTGAGAACTAGACGACTGGGGGTCATGGGTTCCCGCGTTCCGTCCCTGTCAGGAACCTTGGCAGGGGACCGGGAAGCGGCTGGGCATGGAGAGCCGCCCCTCATTCTAGGGGCTTCTCTATCCCACCCTCATTTGGGGAGCTATCCCGTGGGAGAGAGGATGGGAGGCCGGGTCCCCTCCATGGGGAGAAAAGTTCCCAGCCAGCCCAGTCTCCCCTTTCTTTAGCTCCTTTTCCTGCCCTCCCCCACGCCCTCCGCTTCCCATCTGGAGTTGGGGTCCCGGCGCCCCTCCGAGCGGCGGTAGGGCGGCAGGGCCGGGAAGGAGGGAAAGGAGACTGGAGGCCGTGACACCAGTCTTGGTTCCTCCGCCCCCTGCTTCCCCGCCACCGCCGCTCTCCAAATTGGCGCGGAACCGGCTTCTCCACAGCATTTCGCCTCCACAACCCCCTCTCCCCGCTGGTCCAGGAGGGAGGCGGGACGTGGGGGCGCTGCCCAAGCCCCACTCCCGGTGTACGGGGGAGAGGGTGGAGGACCCAGAAAAACCCGTTTGAGGAAGATGTGCCTCCCTGCGCGTTCAAGGTGTCAGGAGTGCTTGGTAAATTTTTGGACACTCGCGTTCCAGCTGTACATTCAGTTGAGGAAATGCAGGCTTGTATCCAAAATGAATTACCATGAGCTAGCTAACATAGCACAGAAGATGGCAGGGTCACAGGGCCCAGGCCCCCTTCGGAGGGACTGAGCTTTCACCTGCGAATCAGCGTCTTACTGGCACTTGGAGAATGTGAATGACAATGTACTTGACTGCGGCTTTTCCTCTCCCCCCTTCAGAGGTTTTATACACCTGAAAGAAGAGAATGTCAAGACGAAGGTAACATTATCTGTCTTAGAGACATGTTTCAAATTAGTTGCTGCCTTTAACTTACTAATTACACTTCCTTTTTAAAAATTCACTACAGTAGCCGTTTACAAGCTAAGCAGCAGCCCCAGCCCAGCCAGACGGAATCCCCCCAAGAAGCCCAGATAATCCAGGCCAAGAAGAGGAAAACTACCCAGGTGATTTAAGGAGAAAGAGGGAGGAACGAAATTCCATGCTGGGACTTTAGTTTACCAATGGTCTTTTCTATTTTCCAGGATGTCAAAAAAAGAAGAGAGGAGGTCACCAAGAAACATCAGTATGAAATTAGGGTAATGCAGAACTGGGCTGGGTGGGTTTGGGGGAAAAATGGAGGATAGATGAATAAGAATAGAATTATGTGTTTATTGCTTTGCGATAGATTCCTCTGACACTTTTACTTTTAATGCCCCTAGAGGTCAGCAGGAAGGCGCCTATCTTTGGGTGGTTTCTATGTGCCCGAATCCTACTACAGCTGCAGAATAAGTGCCTTCAAGCAGCTGGTTCCTTTTTGTAAATCCCTCCCTCTTGGAACTGCCTGGTGCACCAGGGCCCGCCTAATCTGTCCAATATACTGCTCTTTGTTCCCTCGCAGACTCTAGTAGACGGTCCTAATAGCTGCTTCTTGGGCATAAATAGGATGTGAGATCACTGACAGCCTGGCACGCAGCCCTTTGGTACCTCTTCTTCCTATGTGTTTTACAGAAAGCAGCACTTTGGAGATAGTGATTGCGTTTGAAACCAGCATTATTGGGAAAAGAATCGTTTAAGTAATCGATTCCATTTTTAAGGTTTTGCTTTCAAATATTCAAAAGTATCAGAGCACACTTTTTTTAAAAAGAGCTTATTTGAAAAAAAAAAAAAAAGGTCCCTGCTACTATTGCTAGATACAGAGAACGATTCTGTGATCTTGAAAGTGATTAGTATTTTAGACTGCAGATGCATTTTGTTATTACTGTCCTTCTTCGACACCTGGTGTCTTCTATTACCAGAATTGCATTTTGTTGTCTAAAACATCCTATTACTCTTTATAAAAATCAATATGAGCTATATGGCTTGTTTATAAAATGTGAATGTCAAATTAGCTATATTGCCATCTATGTTAGCTAAAATTATGATTCTTTAGACATATTAGCTTTCATTTATGAAAGATCCATTACAAAAACTAAGGTTTTCCTTGCACAAATTGATATTTTTCTTTTTTTTTATGACAGAATTGTTGGCCACCTGTATTATCTGGGGGGATCAGTCCTTGCATTATCATTGAAACACCTCACAAAGAAATAGGAACAAGTGATTTCTCCAGATTTACAAATTACAGATTTAAAAATCTTTTTATTAATCCTTCACCTTTGCCTGATTTAAGGTAAGAAAAATTTCAGTAATTTTATTTCAAAGATATAAAGTTGTGCTGATTTAATACATGGCACTATTTTGTCTTTTGCTTTCATAAAGTAGAAAAACGTGTAAAAATTGTTTACTAATATTTAATCATATGTCATTTTATCTGAGAGTAGTGCTGGTTGCAAATGATATGGGTATTTAAAACACTGATTCTATAAAATTATTTTCATTTGCTTGCTGAGTACTATAAAGACTTAACAGGACTGAATTAGTTTTTTGTTAAGATAGAAACATTTTTACATGTACAGCTTTTTCCTTTAAAATTTTTATTCGTGTTTCTTGCAGCTTCAACTCAAAGGAAGCTTTTCCAATTGATGTATCAACCCTATTTATTTCTTACCAAACTTAATAAGGTCTATACTTAATTCTTTTTTCTAGTCCATGAGTGTAACTAAGAGGTACAGCTTATACAAAACATGTACTGTATTAATTTATGATTGGCCTTAATAAGCAATTTAATGGAATCAGACACTTAAACTCACCAATCCCCCTTTCCCTGCATTCTGTCCCACCTTACCCACCCCATAGGTGATCCTGCTGTAGATGATCTATTTAGAGGTGATTGAGACTTCTCTTGACTGTGATCACATGCCTTATGTGTTTAACTTTTTTGTATTGCTCTTGAGAAAACATTTTTTTTCACTTTTAATTGCATTTATTTTAGTGCTGAATTTACTCCTGTGCCATAAGTTTTTGTTTCTTCAGTTTCTTCTGGGATATCTTTTTCTTCTGGGCAACCGCCTCTTCTGGTTTAGGAACAATTTGTTCCTTTTCACTAAAGATCATTTCGATGTGGCAGGGAGAGATCACGTGTGAGTTAATCCGACCATGAGCTCTGTAGGTCCGTTGGCACATCGTAGGTGCTTTGTTCACTTGGAGATGCTCAATGACCAGAGAATCTACATCTAAACTCTTAAGTTCAGCATTACTCTCTGCATTTTTAAGCATGTGCAGCAAAAATTCAGCACTCTTTTTGGGCCACCAACCTTGTGTCCAGTCCCACTGCTTGGCCTGGGTACACCTACCAACTCCACCATTGTAATGTCAGAATGGCACATGCTGTTTCTGTAAAGTGACATTTTAAAAATACTTCATGGTGTTTTTTTTTTTTTTTTTTTTTGGAGACAGAGGTTTGCTGTTGTTGCCCAGGCTGGAGTGCAGTGGCACGATCTCGGCTCACTGCAACCTCCACCTCCTGGGTGCAAGTGATTCTCCTGCCTCAGCCTCCTGAGTAGCTGGGATTACAAGCATGCCACCACGCCCAGCTAATTTTTTGTATTTTTAGTGGAGACGGGGTTTCACCATGTTGGCCAGGCTGGTCTCGAACTCCTGACCTTAAGTGATCCACCCACCTTGGCCTCCCAAAGTGCAGGGATTACAGGTGTGAGCCACTGTGCCGGCCACTTTGTGGTTTTTCATATATGCATACCCTTGATAGCCTGGGCAGTTTCACGAGTGTTCTTACAGTGAACACAAAGATTTGAACCTCTTGATTTGCATGATTTTGTGGGGTTTTCCAGGTAAAGTGAATAGCCAGCTATTTTCACAGATTACTTCAGACCACTTATGGGAAAAGCAACGTGGTTATCTTTTAACAGCAACCTTTGTAAAGTATAAATAAGTGGAACTAGAAAGCACTCCCTTGAAATCTGCAGGTTTGGATGATCATAGTCCAGGTTCCCACTGTGTTACTTCAGGCTTCTATTTATTCATGCAAAGGAAATTGTTTCCAAAAATTAAGGCAGAAGTTTTTTTTCTTATTTACTTTAAGAGCTTCTTCCAAGTTCTAATTAAAAGTTGCATTTCAATGTCTGAAAGTTGAATTTTATCTATGTGAAACAGAGTTTGTATATTACATGGATTGCACAATTTAAATTATGTTTTTTAGCCGGGCATGGTGGGTCACGCCTGTAATCCCAGCACTTTGAGAGGCTGAGGCAGGTCGATCACTTGAGGCCAGGAGTTCGAGACTAGCCCAGCCAACATGGTGAAACCCCATCTCTACTAAAAATACAAAAACTAGCCAGGCTTGGTGGCAGGCACCTGTAACTCCCAGCTACTTGGGAGGCTGAGGCACAAGAATCGCTTGAACCCAGGAGGTGGAGATTACAGTGAGCCAAGATTGTGCCGCTGCACTCTAGCCTGGGCCACAGAGCGAGACTCTGTCTCAAAAAAAAAAAAAAAAAAATATATATATATATATATGGTTTTTTTCCTCTCTTTCCATAGCTGGGGATGTTCAAAAGAAGTCTGGCTAAACATGTTAAAAAAGGAGAGCAGATATGTTCATGACAAACATTTTGAAGTTCTGCATTCTGACTTGGAACCACAGATGAGGTCCATACTTCTAGACTGGCTTTTAGAGGTATGTTACAGCAATACAAATTTCCTTTGTCTCTGTATGATGGAAACATATTTAGCTGTAAATGTGCTTTCTATGTACTCTCAAGAGTTTATTGTTCATCCCCAGGAAGCTGTCTTTTTTGAGGTACTTACTGTAGTTGATTGCACCCAAAGTGGAAAGTGACTCTATAAGAGTAAAACCATGACAAAGCTACTACATATAACTAAACCCAATTCAGAATTCCTGTTACCTGTGGATACTGCTGTGTACCAACCACTTTCTGGGTGCCACAGATACTCAAGGTGAATGGAATGTATAGTTGATTAGGTTTTGAATTATGCTATACAAAGTGAAGAACTAGAACTAGGCTTCAGGGCCCTCTGAAGTCTTTTTCTGTATTAACAAAATCATGATGATGAGGAATCCTGATTTCTATATCCTAAACCATAATGAGACTATGGATATCTGGAAGCTCTACGCCCTCTATTGTCCAGATACCTTCTCTTTATTATATTCTTCTATTCTTTTCCGAAATATACCATTAATTTAAAGGAATAGTGATCCTGAAGCCCCTATAGATTTGTGCCAGATTTTTCTCTCTTGTTTAGGTCCATTCCCTTTCCTCTGGATAATAGCTCTAAAAAAGTTTCTAAAATTATTATTAAGGAAATCATTACTTATGTTGATGACAAACTGATTTTTCCTCCAACTCTTGGATATTTGCTCTGTAGTCTGTCTTTAAGACAAGAGATGAAGCATTCTAAGGGAAAAAGACCATAGACTTTTTGGAGGAGGAACACATGGCAGAATAGATCTCAGAAGCTATCAGAACAGTTTTTAAGACTAAAATGTTATCCTTTTGCATCAGGTCATCTTTTTCCTTATTCTGACTAGAAGGAAAGATTGTATTTTAATTGTGGGCACAAGAAGGCATTGGGTTTTGACTTTTTCTGACTGTCTAGTGATCATGGAATCAACTTAAGCACAATTATGTTAATTTTTAATTTGTTTCCTTTTTGTTATACTGATATTCATCCAGTGGTTATCCAATTCAATTTGTTCCTGTTTTTACCTAAATATGATTATGTATGCAACAGCATACAGAATATATCAAATCCAGCAGTGTTAAACTCTATCTTAGTGTATTCTTCAGTCTAGGAATGCAAACTTGATTCAACATTTGAAAATCTATTAATTTATTACCTTAACAGTAAATAAGAAAAATGCTAAGATCTCAATAGATGCAAAAGACATTTTTTGAAATTCGACATTCTTTTTTTTTTTTTTGAGACGGAGCCTCGCTGTTGTCACCCAGGCCAGAATGGAATGGCACGATCTCAGCTCACTGCAACCTCTGCATCTCGCGTTCAAGCGACTCTCTTGTCTCAGCCACCCACATAGCTGGGATTACAGGCGCAGGCCACCACACCTGCTATATTTTGTATTTTTAATAGAGATGCGGTTTCACCCTATTGGCCAAGCTGGTCTTGAACTCCTGACCTCAAGTGATCCGCCCGCCTTGGCCTCCCAAAGTGCTGGGATTACAGATGTGAGCCACCGCACTCGGCCAGCAAAAGAGATTTTCTTAACTCATTATTAGAAACTCATGTGGCCAGGTGTGATGGCTCATACCTGTAATGCCAGCACTTTGGGAGACTGAGGCAGGCAGATCAGTTGAAGCCAGGAGTTTGAGACCAGCCTGGCCAACATGGCAAAATCCCATCTCTACTAAAAATACAAAAAATTAGCTGGGCATGGTGGCACACACCTGTAATCTCAGCTACTCAGGAGGCTGAGGTAGGAGAATCGCCTGAACCTGGGAGGCAGAGGTTGCAGTGAGCCACTGCACTCCAGCCTGGGTGACAAAGTGAGACCCTGTCAAAAAAAAAAAAAACTCTGGTATATATCTCTATTTCCTCACCTCCAAAATGGGGATAATGGTACCTACTTACGGAGTTACTGTGAGAATTAAAATCTTTCCCTAAAAGTGTAGAAATGACAGATACTATTTATTATTAATAACAATAGTGAAACATCAGGGCAATTCCTATTAAAGTCAGAAACAAGGGATAAGATTTTGTTTATCACCAATGTTAACCATTCAGTATCCTTTGATAATTTTTAACAGTGCAGTAAAATATGAAAAATAAATGAGGTAAGAAAAACTATAAAACTAGTAAATGTGCATAGTAATAGATTTGTTTATCCTAATAGTACATCTTAGTTTCTTTTTTTCCTTTCCTATCTTAGCTTTGCTATCAGTTTGGCTTAAACATATTTTAAAGTCTGATATGCTAAGAGATGACTTTCTAATTTGGAGAAATTCAGAAGATAATATTTAAATGTTTGGATTCTTCTCTAGGTATGTGAAGTATACACACTTCATAGGGAAACATTTTATCTTGCACAAGACTTTTTTGATAGATTTATGTTGACACAAAAGGATATAAATAAAAATATGCTTCAACTCATTGGAATTACCTCATTATTCATTGCTTCCAAACTTGAGGTAAGTTCTTAAAAGTTTATCCTTAGATATATTTATCCCAAACTTTTTTTTAAATCAACATATTAATCCCAAAGAATACTATGTTTTATATTAACTCCTTAGAAAAGTGAATGTTTTTGTTTCTCAGTACATTTTCTGAACATTACCACAGGGATGAATGATAAATTATCATAGTTCCCTCTGTAATGTCTGAGCCTTATTACAAATCTCTAGTTTAGATTCTGGGATTAGTATCTAAGTGAAATGTCCCATGGCTCATTCTGCCAAACGAAACATATTGATGCTCTATTTATATACATAATTATAGCATTTGTATTCAACAGAATGACCTTTGAAAACTAAACAGCTAATAAAATGAAATGAAATGCATACTGTGTTGGGTTAGAATAATGGTTTATCCAGCCTTTTTTTTTTCTTTTTTCGAGACGAAGTCTCACTCTTTTGCCCAGGCTGGAGTGCAATGGCGCGATCTTGGCTCTCTGCAACCTCCGCCTCCCAGGTTCAAGCGATTCTTCTGCCTAAGCCTCCCGAGTAGCTGGGATTACAGGTGCTTGCCACCACGCCCAGCTGATTTTTGTATTTTTAGTAGAGATGGGGTTTCACCATGTTGGCCAGGCTGGTCTTGAACTCCTGACTCAGGCGATCCACCCACCTCGGCCTCCCAGCGTGCTGGGACTACAGGCATGAGCCACCGCACCCGGCCAGCCTAATATTTTTGTATCTGATGGTGCAGCCCTGATAGAAGGCACCTCCTTTCTTAAGATTTTCCTTCACATAAGCTCAATTTACTTTTCTTAATACATGATGGATATCATCAATACTTTCATCTAAGACTTTTATAGCTGGTATCATTTTGAGAGAAGAGGGATTGTGATCATATATTAATTTTTTAAGTGTTTTCCTTTTTCTTTTAAATGTCTTTTGAGCTTTAAGAGCCATCCCCAAATTCTGCTGAATTTGGCACATAAACTTGTGTTCAGTCTATCCTTACTTGAAATTATACTGTTTTAGACAACTTTCTAGACTGAAATCCTGATCTTTTAGCCTGTTCTCCTATGTGGGAGACACCTAATCCTTTGATGATTCTAATTCTTCTCAGGAGTGCTAAAACAGACCTGTTAGCCAAACTGCATGAAGTATTTTTTGATTAACTGTATTTTTGTACTAGGGTAAAGGAAATGTTTTTAGTTTCTAGACCTTATTTGTTGGGTGCTTTGCTTTTGTTTTTTGAGACAGGGTCTTGCTGTCACACAGGCTGGATGCAGTGGCACTATTGCAGCTCAGTACAGCCTCGACCTCCGAGGCTACAGTGATCCTCCCACCTCAGCCTCTGGAATAGCTGAGACTACAGGGATCCACCACCATGCCTGGCTATTTTTTCTTGTAGGGACAGCGTTTCTCTTTGTTGCTCACGCTGGTCTTAAACTCCTGGGCTCAGGTGATCCTCCTACCTCGACCTCCCAAAGTGCTGGGCTTATAGGTGTGAGCTGCTGCACTGCACCCGGCAGGGTGTCTCCTTTTGATCTGACTAACCATATCAGGCAATCTTAAAGCAAGTTTGGCTGTTCTTTAACTGAAATGACATATTCTAGTTGTATTAATGAAAATTCAAAGTCAATTCTATGAAAAGAAGTCTTGATAATCAATATAGTTACTAGATACCTAGATATGAAAATATCTTCCTTTGTTTTGACTTTAGAATTATTTTACTGAGATTTATAGTTAGTGAAGCTGTCCTTAAATCTGAAGCCTGTGTGTGATTTGTATATAGATGGTCCCCTACTTACCACGGTTTGACCTACGATGTTTTGACTTTATGATGGTTGAAAACAACCTGCATTCATTATGCCCCTTGACGTACAACAGGGCTATGTCTGCTTAGGTTGAAAATACTGTTAAGTTGAAAGTGCACTTTCTGGCCAGGTGCAGTGGTTAATCCCAGCACTTTGGGAGGCCAAGGCAGGCAAATCATTTGCAGTCAGGAGTTTGAGACCAATCTGGCCTACATGGTGAAACCCTCTCTCTCCTGAAAATGCAAAAAATAGCCGGGCACAGTGGCACACACCTGTAACCCCAGCTACTGGGGAGGCTGAGACCCAAGAATCACTTGAGCCTGGAAGGTGGAAGTTGCAGTGAGCCAAGATTGCACCACTGCACTCCAGCCTGAGACTCTGCCTCAAAAAAAAAAAAAAAAAAAAAGAAAGAAAATGTACTTTTTGTCTTTGCTTATTTCTCCAAGAAAATGAAAATGCACTTTCTACTTAAATGATATTTTGGTTTATTGGGATGTAACCCCATTGTAGACTGAGGAACATTTGTAATTAATTTCTATCTCAATTGTACTCAATAAAAATATTACAATTTAAAGGAAATCTATGCTCCTAAACTCCAAGAGTTTGCTTACGTCACTGATGGTGCTTGCAGTGAAGAGGATATCTTAAGGATGGAACTCATTATATTAAAGGTAATAATAATTATGTTTTCCTAGTTGCAAAAAAGAAACCATGTTACTAAGTAACATAAGTAGTTATAATTGAATCTCAAATACTACAATGTAAAAAGTCAAAACTGAGGTATTAGGATCCAGTTCTAAGAGGTTAATGCATCAAAATATTGACAATGGTTATGGTTGGATGGGGAATGTACTTAACCTCTAAGCTCTGCTGTATAATGTGGTGTATGTGTCTACATTCATTAACAGGCATTTTTAAATTTTGTTTAATAGGCTTTAAAATGGGAACTTTGTCCTGTAACAATCATCTCCTGGCTAAATCTCTTTCTCCAAGTTGATGCTCTTAAAGATGCTCCTAAAGTTCTTCTACCTCAGTATTCTCAGGAAACATTCATTCAAATAGCTCAGGTACTGACATTTTTATTGATTCAATGGTAATGTTATTAATTACAGGTTTTAGTGTATATATAGTCTTAAATAGGCTATACCACAAAATGACATATTGACTTCACTCCTTAATTCTAGAACAAAACTTTTGACGCATAAAGTTCTGTCCCCAGTGTTTATGTTGCTTAATATTTCTAGAAAAACAAAGTCCTTACACTTTTCTGAGTACTTTCATTCTTTAGGAGTCCAAACTAAAGTATCTCTTTTTGATATAAAATGGGGAAAAGCATTTTTTTCGCCAGTTGTGTTTAAGCTTTATAATGGCATAGAATTATTCTGTATGATGTCTTTACATTTGGATACACAGAGTGCCTATCAAGTTAAATATCAGAATTAAAATTACTTTGTTAAAAAAATTTTTTAGAACATAAATTCAAAGTAAACTTTTCCAGGCTAGCATATTTAACAAAGTAAGTAAGTAGAGGAGGAGGAGGATCTGGCCGGGCACTGTGGCTCAGGTCTCTAATCTCAGCACTTTGGGCGGCTGAGGCAGGCAGGCAGATCACTTGAGGTCAGGAGTTTGGGCGGCTGAGGCAGCCTAGCCAACATGTTACTTGGGAGGCTGAGGCAGGAGAATCGCTGGAACCTGGGAGGTGGAGGTTGCAGTGAGCCGAGATCGCACTACTGCACTCCAGCCTGAGCAACAGAGCAAGACTCCATCTCAAAAAATTAAAAAAAAAAAAAAAGAGGAGATCCCATTCTTTCTTGCTTACTTCTCGTAAGTAATCTTAAGGCTGCTGTATCTGCCATATAACAAAAGTGAAGAAAATCTACCCTCTTATTCTATGTGGGATGTGAAAATCTAACATATGGAAGACATTTGGGGATAATTATTAAGTCACCTAGGTTAAAATTTGTGGGCAGTGGTGCTTAAATCTAGCACATTATGAATACTCAAATTGGATAACCACTAAGTATACTGAAATTGGTTTATTTTATAAAACTTTTTATTAAAAGCTTAATTTTTTCATCCAGAATTCCTAGCATCCCAAATTGTCCTAGGCAGCTATACCCTTCTGATAGTGATGGTAAATCTTTGATAAGCCGATAAACAATGTGGACTTTCTAGAGGTATATAACAGTAATATTTCACTTCCAATTCCCAGCTCTTCTCCCATTTCTCCTACCTTCTGGACCAATGAGGACAAACAGAATTGAAGTTTAATTCCACTGCACAAGTATCTTCTCAAATCTGTGAAATCTACCCCTTTTACACTATACCATTCCACTGCTACTAGTTCAGCTCTTATTGCCTAGATTATACAGCCTTTTAACTAATCTCACTGCTTAATAAACATGTTTTCTTCTAGTCTGTCTGCTTCACTGCATTCTAAGGTATCTTTCTTAAAATGGAACTTTGATTTAAAAATCTTCCAGTAGCTTCAAGAATCAGCCTATAAAATTCTGACTTCTTAAAGACCCTTTGTGATCCAATCTAGACCATGCCTCTTTCTAGCCACCACCCCTCATCTTTCTTGATAAGAAATGAAGGTACTCCTTATTTATTTTTCACCTTAGGAGTTCTGAACTGTGAACTGAGTTCCAAGTAATGTCCCTATACCTAGAACATTCTCTGCCTCCTACTCTTCCTGGCTCCCTTATCTTTTAAGACCCATTTATGGCAATTTGAGGCCATCACTATCTTTTCCAATCTGGATTAGGTGCCCTTCCTGCTAGTACATGTCACACTGTATTGCAACAGTCCTTCCTTGTCTACTTCCTTCAGGTTGGTGGCTTGTTTTTTTTTTTTTTGAGACGGAGTCTCGCTCTTTCGCCCAGGCTGGAGTGCAGTGGCGCGATCTCTGCTCACTGCAAGCTCTGCATCCCGGGTTCACGCCATTCTCCTGCCTCAGCCTCCCGAGTAGCTGGGACTACAGGCGCGTGCCACCAAGCCCAGCTAATTTTTTGTATTTTTTAGTAGAGGCGGGGTTTCACCGTGTTAGCCAGGATGGTCTCGATCTCGTGACCTTGTGATCCACCCGCCTCGGCCTCCCAAAGTGCTGGGATTACAGGCGTGAGCCACCGCGCCTGGCCGGGTGGTGGCTTATTTATCTCTAGATCCCTAAGGTTTTAGCAAGAGACATTTAGTACTCATCTTTCTCCTAAATTGCTTGTACTTTTGTTTTTCCTGTTAGCTTTTAGATCTGTGTATTCTAGCCATTGATTCATTAGAGTTCCAGTACAGAATACTGACTGCTGCTGCCTTGTGCCATTTTACCTCCATTGAAGTGGTTAAGAAAGCCTCAGGTAAGACTCTCTATTTGTTGTCTTCTTACCTTTTCACAACTTCTAATGGGACTACAGTCTCTGAACTTTAACATTCTGCTAAACATGCATTTAAAACTTTGGCAAAAAAAAAATTAGCTGTTCAGTAATTATCTTTCTGTTAGAAGTACTTTCCAATCCTGAATGTGTATCAACAAAAAGACCAAATGGAATTTAAATACAGTTGAAATGAATCAACATTATAGTTCTGCTTTAAGAGTTCTTTGGGATTTGACCATTTCAATTTCATATGTAGAAGGTACTGGTTAAGAAGTTCTGAAGTCCTTTTTCCCTTCAACATAGTCATGTAAATAGTTTGAGAGTGATAATCTGTTTTGACATGCTAAACTTCTTGGTTATGATTTGGTTTCTTTTAAAATATCTCAAAAACAGCAACAAGTACATCAGACATATGTAAGATAGTTTCTGATGTACAACCTTCATGCTTTTCTAACTTTTTTCTATCTATCTAGGTTTGGAGTGGGACAGTATTTCAGAATGTGTAGATTGGATGGTACCTTTTGTCAATGTAGTAAAAAGTACTAGTCCAGTGAAGCTGAAGACTTTTAAGAAGATTCCTATGGAAGACAGACATAATATCCAGACACATACAAACTATTTGGCTATGCTGGTATGTTTTTTTGTGAGTTTTTTGGCTTTGCTATCTGAATCTAGTAAGTCACCAAAACTGATGGTAGGAATAGAGTACTCCTTCAGGCAGTTTCAGGGGAAAGAAAGTTCTAAGGGGCACACTGATTTCAAAATGTAGAAAAGTTAATAAAATTACTTTGAAATCAAAGCAAGATTTGTGAAGTGTCTCAAGATCAATGCCAACAGTCTAGATAAAGAGTTTAAAAAATATATAACGTTACAGAAACTTTCAGAATATGACCCTTCACACTTGCAAAGACATAAAAAGACTATTAAAATTAGGCCTAAATAATCTCAAATAAGTACCCAGAAGTCTGGTTTGACTTTGATTTATGAAATCAGTGCATGATTTCTTCCCATGTATAGGAGGAAGTAAATTACATAAACACCTTCAGAAAAGGGGGACAGTTGTCACCAGTGTGCAATGGAGGCATTATGACACCACCGAAGAGCACTGAAAAACCACCAGGAAAACACTAAAGAAGATAACTAAGCAAACAAGTTGGAATTCACCAAGATTGGGTAGAACTGGTATCACTGAACTACTAAAGTTTTACAGAAAGTAGTGCTGTGATTGATTGCCCTAGCCAATTCACAAGTTACACTGCCATTCTGATTTTAAAACTTACAATTGGCACTAAAGAATACATTTAATTATTTCCTATGTTAGCTGTTAAAGAAACAGCAGGACTTGTTTACAAAGATGTCTTCATTCCCAAGGTTACTGGATAGAAGCCAACCACAGTCTATACCATAGCAATGTTTTTCCTTTAATCCAGTGTTACTGTGTTTATCTTGATAAACTAGGAATTTTGTCACTGGAGTTTTGGACTGGATAAGTGCTACCTTAAAGGGTATACTAAGTGATACAGTACTTTGAATCTAGTTGTTAGATTCTCAAAATTCCTACACTCTTGACTAGTGCAATTTGGTTCTTGAAAATTAAATTTAAACTTGTTTACAAAGGTTTAGTTTTGTAATAAGGTGACTAATTTATCTATAGCTGCTATAGCAAGCTATTATAAAACTTGAATTTCTACAAATGGTGAAATTTAATGTTTTTTAAACTAGTTTATTTGCCTTGCCATAACACATTTTTTAACTAATAAGGCTTAGATGAACATGGTGTTCAACCTGTGCTCTAAACAGTGGGAGTACCAAAGAAATTATAAACAAGATAAATGCTGTGGCTCCTTCCTAACTGGGGCTTTCTTGACATGTAGGTTGCTTGGTAATAACCTTTTTGTATATCACAATTTGGGTGAAAAACTTAAGTACCCTTTCAAACTATTTATATGAGGAAGTCACTTTACTACTCTAAGATATCCCTAAGGAATTTTTTTTTTTAATTTAGTGTGACTAAGGCTTTATTTATGTTTGTGAAACTGTTAAGGTCCTTTCTAAATTCCTCCATTGTGAGATAAGGACAGTGTCAAAGTGATAAAGCTTAACACTTGACCTAAACTTCTATTTTCTTAAGGAAGAAGAGTATTAAATATATACTGACTCCTAGAAATCTATTTATTAAAAAAAGACATGAAAACTTGCTGTACATAGGCTAGCTATTTCTAAATATTTTAAATTAGCTTTTCTAAAAAAAAAATCCAGCCTCATAAAGTAGATTAGAAAACTAGATTGCTAGTTTATTTTGTTATCAGATATGTGAATCTCTTCTCCCTTTGAAGAAACTATACATTTATTGTTACGGTATGAAGTCTTCTGTATAGTTTGTTTTTAAACTAATATTTGTTTCAGTATTTTGTCTGAAAAGAAAACACCACTAATTGTGTACATATGTATTATATAAACTTAACCTTTTAATACTGTTTATTTTTAGCCCATTGTTTAAAAAATAAAAGTTAAAAAAATTTAACTGCTTAAAAGTAAAGTTTTGCCATTGCTTGGAGAAACTTTTTTTTCCTTCTCTGCGCTGCCAGCTGTAACACTTCTTCTGGATTGCTTGCATTCAACTCTGTCTGGCCGATGGCTTTGATCTTCCAAAACAGAAAAGTGATGTTATTAGAGGTGTGTCAAAAATTAAGTTTTGTTGGTACAAGTAATATAAAGCTACCTACGTGCTAACAACGATACAGTTTAATGATTAACTGAACCTCTTAACTGTAAAACCCAGGAGTCTTGGAAAAAAATTAACATAAAGATTAACCAGGGCCACTCTCAAGGAAAGATGGACTGCTGAGCCATAGTTTATGGAATTACTTAAGTGGCATTTTAATATATTAAGTAAATTCATGTAAATTTATTTGAAAGTATAAGTAAGCTCTACATGGCGATTTTTAGAGTTAAACTAGGGCTCCACTTGTTAATGTGCAAAAATAACTGGTGGCTCAGCACTATGGTAGCATATAGTTGCTCAACTTTTCATGATTAGAAAGAAGTGCCTCAACCAACTAAATATACACACTAGTTTTTTGCTATGGACTGTTTAGGGCCTTAAAATCTATAGATGATTTAAAAAAAAAAAAAAGGTTTTTTTTTGTTTGTTTTTTGTTTTTTTTGAGATGGAGCTTCATTCTTGTCGCCCAGGTTGGAGTGCAATGGCGTGATCTCAGCTCACTACAGCCTTTGCCTCCCAGGTTCAAGTGATTCTCCTGCCTCAGCCTCCCAAGTAGCTGGGATTACAGACGCCCGCCATCTCGTCCGTCTAATTTTTGTATTTTTTAGTAGAGACGGGGTTTCACCACGTTGGCCAGGCTGCTCTCAAACTCCTGACCTCAGGTGATCCGCCACCTCAGCCTCCCAAAGTGGTGGGATTACAGGCGTGAGCCACTGCACCCGGCCTAGAATTTCTTTAAACAATAAGACTTCTGATATGTAGCTTGAAGAGAGAAATGACTATTCAGATATGATCGTCAGGTATGGGAAGTTGGGGAATAGGAGAAATTGCTGGATGATGCCATTTCAACATGAAGGAATGCATGTGGCAAAAGTTGGTAGTAGAGTATAACCAGAGTTGTTTCAAACAGGTATCCCAAAGATAACTGGCTATAAAAACCCGAAGTGTGAGACAGAAGTTGGAATAGGAGCCAGATATTTGAGAGCAGTAATACACCCCATGTGGACAGTAATCAAAACCGAGAGTGGATTAAATTACCTAGGGAGAATGCAGGGTTACAGAAAAGTAACCCAAGGACTAACTTCTTGAGAAAACCAAGTTTAAGGAGTAGGCAGAAGGAGACACCCAAAACAAAAAGGAAGAAATAGAGAAAGTAATCCAATAAAAATGATGTCAGGGAAGCCAAAGGAATAAAGACTTTCAAGAAGGAAGGAGATGTAATCAGGAAAAGGACTGAAAAGTATCCACTGGATCTGGCATTTGGTGGCTCTTGAGAGAAAAGTAAGAGCAGTGATGGCAGAAGTCAAATTGCTGGCTTGAAGAGCTTCAAAAGCTAGGCAGAGAGGGCTGAGGGGGCTGGAGGTGGAGGCACAGACAACAAAAACTTGTATTAGGATGAAATATTTTATAGACTATGGGAGAGGTTGACTATATAGGAAATCAATTCATTAGAAGGTTATTGAGGGGGAGAGAATTCAAAGCATAAAAATTTGCCTTCATCAAATAGTATAACCTCTTATGGGCTGCATAGCGGGCTTAACAATGAGTACAGCTGTAGATTATTTTAAAGGCAGGAAGCAGCGAATGAAATAGGAATTTTAAGCTAGCACTCACAAGGTCACCATTCCCAAGACTCTTAACATCCATGAGGACAGAGCCTGGCCAGTCTTCACTGGTATATCTCAAGCATAGAAGAGGTAAAGAAGTTACTGAGTATGGAAAAGGTAGAGAGAGGACAGGGGCTTAAACAGGAAAGTCTAAAAATTAGAGTCCACGAAGAGAATGTGGACCACTGAACTAGTGGCAGGTAAAACAAAAAAGCTGACGGGTTGGAGACTTGTTTGGCAGTGGCACCAGTCGTAGGACTTTTTCCAATAGTCTCAGTGGCCCAAGAAAATAAAACACGTAAGTTTCTGGACTTATGCAGGGCTAGGGCTTTCCCAGGTGAGGTAAAGGATAAAGGGAAGACGCTAAAAATATTGATCAAGAGTAGTTCTATCATAGCAGGGGTTCCCACACCTGGTTCATCACCAGACTACCCGGGAAACTTAAAAACTGGATTCCAGGGTCCCACTTCAGACCAACTGAATCGGTACCTCTCAGTGTGCAGAATAGTATTTGTTGTATTTGAGATGAGCAGAGAAGGGAAGATGGAAGGGAATGACTGGGAAAAAAATGTCACAAAACTCAATATCCCACTGATCGTGAGGGGCTCAGGAGCAAGGAAGTAAGAGAAGGATAGGTTATGGGCAGAGAGTGGGTTGCAGTATAAGATCTAACAGAACAATTGTGCCTGACAGTAAGACATGGCTTTGGGTGTGAGTGGCTGGTACAGAGTAAAAATAACACCTCATAGATGTGAGGCTGGCAAGGACTTGTAAAGCTCAGGGTGACAGGTAAATTCCTCACGTCTTTTGACACATGTAGAGGAACAACCAGATACTTACAGGAGCTAGTAAGGAAGTAAGGTATGAAGCATAAGGGTCTCAAAAAATGATACAAGTAGAAGTGGTTTGGAAATAGCAAAAAGGAGCTAGGAAAATTTTTCAATATTGCCTTCCAGCCCCAGGTAAATTAGAAAAGGGAGAATGAATTGCCTCCAATCAAGTGGAACTGGCCTTCACATTCTTTTTCCTTTTTGTTTTTAAGTGCTGTTATTATTGTTTCTTCTAAACAATGGGCATATATTTTAGTCCGAGTACAAAGTTTAAAAGACCCTTAATAAATAGCATTTTTTTAAATTAATATAAGTGAAAGAGCAAAGAAAAGATCTGTGGTGATACTGCCACAGTAAATGTTAGACAAGTAAATATGGCCATACAATTTAAAATGTTTTGGCCCATACATCAAATTTAGATAAAGAGTTCATCTAATCAGTGATTCTGGGGCACCTAATATGTGCCAGGCACCATTCTAGGGACCAACTATGACAAAACAAGTCCTTACCCTCCTGGGGAAATAGATATTAGGAAAATATACAGTATGTTAGATGTTGATAAGTGTTCCGGAGAAAAATGTAAAAAGAAATGAGAGTAAGAGTACTGGAGGGAAAAGGGAAGCAGAAATTGTTACTTTATAAGATGATCAGGAAAGGATGATTGACGAGAGATCTGAGGGAAGTTGGATGTTCTTGGAAGAGAAAATTTCAAAGCCCCTTCTTAGGTGGTGAATGTTCTTGGCTTGTTGAAAGAACAGGAGGGGTACTGGTGTAGCAGAAATTAGCAAGGAGGAAAAGTCAGACGGACAGGCTAGAGGTCAAGTTGTATATAGCCTTATAAAGCCATCGTAAGACTTTTAACTTTGTATGAGATGAGAAGCCATTGGAAAGTTTGGGACTGAGAAATGACATGATCTAACATTTTAAAATAATATATAATGACATGGAACAGTTAAAATTATCAAAAAAGGATCTTTTATAAAGTAAACACTGATAATAAAATTCTGGCAGTAACTAGGTACACAAAATCTATTTTTTGTTGGTTCACATCTTAACAATTGTTTAATATTCTGGAAACTGTACCACTGAAGAAAGGCATAAGGTAACTTACTGCAATTTGTCTTTTATCTGTTTCTCCTCTTTTATGATGAAGATCTAATGAATCAGTTAAGGAAAATAAATCTGATAGTATTAAATATAATGAGAGAATCTCAACTCATTTTCAGTTTTGATTTGGAAAATATACAATATTAAATATTCCTTTAATTTATAAAAATGGATCATTCTAACATCACACACATGGATGAAAGGATACAAGTCAAGTATTCCAAAATGGTAACATCCCATATGTAGTCGTAGTAGGAGTCCATAGCATCATGACTGAAAGACAGAATTCAGTTACTTCTTAAGCAGAAAAATGTTGACCTCATTATTTTTAAAATATTATTCATACCTGTTTTGTTCTTGCAGAGATTTAAACGCTGTTTTGTAGTCAATTTCTCTGAGGAACTGACATAAAATGGCCACCTACATTAACAAAGATTTGAAAATGGTTTCATGTAATGAAAGCTTGGTTTTACAAGGTAATCTTGAATTACTCTTATATTAAGCCTTATAGATCACATTGAATCCGCTCATAGTTATGGATTCCATCCAATTTTAATTTCAAAAACCTTTATACACGTGTCTGTCTGACCAATATTCTCTTCATCAGTGACCTCAACCACAAATTTTAGAGGTTTGTTTGAATGAGAAGCTGGCAAAAAGCCAGTTCAGAAAACTGAAGGGGATGGAAAACTGCCAAGCAAAAGTGTCATGACATTCAAGGACATACAGAGTGTGCAATTAAACCTTTCATAGCTGGCAAGTATAGACGCTCATTTTGGAAAATTTAGGCTGCCAATCTGCTTAACATAGAAAACATTTCACTCAGGTCATAATGTCCATCTCTTTAAAAAATAGTTTTTATTAATTTAATTCAGAAACCATAAAAGTTACCCTCTTAAAGTACCCAATCTGGTGGTTTTTAGTATATTCACCAAGTTGTACAACCATCACCACTATGTAATTTAAAAACATTTTCATTACTTCCCCCAAAAAAGTCCATTAGCAGTCACTCTCCATTCCCTCTCACCTCAAGCCTCTGATAACCACTAATTTACTTTGTCTCCATACATTTGCCTACTCTGAACATTTCATATGAATGGAATCATAGACTATGTAGCCTTTTGTGTCTAGCTTCTTTCACTTAGCATAATCTTTCAAGGTTCAGCCATGCTGTACCACGTAACAGTAACTCATTCCTTTCTATGGCTGAATAATATTTCATTGCATAGATATGCTGCATTATGTTCAGTCATTCATCATTTGATGGGCATTAGGGTTGTTTCTACTTTTTGGCTATTATGAATGATGCTGCTGTGAACACTTGTGCACAATTTTTTCTGTGGACATATGTTTTCAGTTGTCTTGGGTATACACCTAGGAGTGAAACTGCTGGGTCATATAGTAATTCTTATGTTTACCTTTTTGAGGAACTGGGAAACTGTTTTCCTGAGTCTACACCATTTTGATGCTACACCATTTTATATTCCCACCAGCAACATATGAGGGTGCCAATTTCCCCACATCCTCACCAACATTTGTTTTTAAATGTGTTTAGATTACAGCCATCCCAGTGGGTAGGAAGTGGTATCTCATGGTTTTGATTTGCATTTCCCTAATGACTAATGCACATTTCTAAAGTATCTTTAAAAACCTGAAAAATGCTTTTTTCCCACTTAGGAGGTTTAAAGGTCAATGTTTTTAATTCATACTTTCATTTTAGTTGACATTCTATAAACTATTTAAAAAAATTTAAAGAATATGCCAAACTCTTACATACCCTAAGTGATTTTGATATGGAAAATAAAAGCTAATTTCCAGTTCAATGCTTTATATTTATTATAAACTCTAACATATGTAAAAATAAAACAACTTCATAATATTATAAACTAACCTGTGTGTGGCAATTCAGCAAAGAACAACATTTTATCATTCGTTTTATTACCTACAAAAGCAAAATTCTCATTATTTTCAAAAACCAGCTAACATGGATTCTAACAAATGTGTCACTCTGGTATGGGATGTCAAAAGAGGAAGCTGTGTGTGGAGGAACGGGGGATATATGGGAACTCTGTACCTTTTATTCAATTTTGCTGTGAACTTAAAAGTGCTGTAAAAAATAAACCAAAAATCTAATAAATGTTCAATCTTATTTTGAAAGCCATTATAAGTATTTTTAAAATATCATTTAAGTTATGGTACTGGTAGCCTACATCAGAGGAAATGGCAATGCATATCAAAAAAAAAAACGGACAAAATTTGACACCAGGTGCAGGAATGGGGAGGAAATGGGAAGAAGTAGGTCAAATGGCACAAATTTGCAATTAGATAGAAAAAGTCTAGCAAACTGATATACAGTATGAGGACTAGAATTCATTATACCATAATGTATACTAAAAAATTGCTGAGAGTAGATTTTAGGTGCTCTTATCACAAAAAATGGGTAACTAAGGAAGGCAATGGATATGTTTTTTTGTTTGACTGTAGTAATCATCTCACTGTGTATATTAAAACATTATTCTGTATATCTTAAATATATACCAAAGAAATTAGGAAAAAAAAATAGGGATTTAGGAGATAGAATCCACAAGATGTGAGAGCTAACTGGATGGTGGCAGGAGGGTCAGTAAAGAAAAAAGCCAAAAATGATAGTCAGGGTTTGGGCTTGAACTACTCAAATGGTTAAACAAAAATGTTTGGTATTTTGCAGGTTTTTTGTTTTTGTTTTTGAAAGGACAGGTGAATTTATTAGGAGTGTATTAGGAGTTTATTACTTTATGGTAAAGACAGACACAAATCAGTTTGGACAAGTTGAATTTGAGGTGTTTTGGGGGAATCAAGACAGCAATAGGTGCTAGAAATAAGGACAATGAAAATACACAGAGCAATGTGTTCTAGAGCCATGAACCTGGGACTTACGATCACATTACAAGGAAATGGGTAAGTTCAGCCAAAAGGGGACCCAGGAAGAACATATACAGGTAGGCAAGAAACCAGCCAGCCCACGAAAACAATTCACCTGGTCTGTATAAACATCAGGGGGCACAGCCTTGTTAAAGAAGTCAGAACACACAGCTCCTGCCTGGAGGTAATAGTGAAGAGCTGCTGAATACTGATTCGTTGCTGAAACAGAAAAACAGACATAAAGCATTAGAGGTAACAGTTGAAAAACAGGGATTCCTTTGTAAAGAGTCAGGTGTAACTTCATAAGTTAACAAAAGCAGATTCAAACCACAGAACTAGAAATAAAATGTTAGTTCGTATTTCTTGCCAAATGTCCTAGTACAGAATTTAGTATCTGGAGATTTTATTTCCCAAATGTCCAAACGAGAAACAAATTATAATTTTGTGAAGTAGTTCAGAATCGGTATATCAAGAAATTGACAGCTATCAAGCTGATATCTTGAACTTGATAGATATCGAGAACCTGATAGCTTCTTTTGGGGGCTGGGGTGGAAATGAGCATTAAAATCAGCATTTGCATCAAAATAATCCAGAGGAGAGAGGAATGATGTGGGAAAGGGAACACGTGAAACAAGACTGGCCATGAGCTAATTACTGTTAATTAGTAGCTGGGTGGTAGACCCACGGTGTTCAGCACACTATCCCTTTTATCTTCATATCTTGAACTTTCCCTTTAAAAAATTCAACTCATTAGGAAACAAGCATGATAGGAAAAAATCTTAAAAATTAAAAACCAACTCCTAAAACACAGATTCTGAAATGATTCTAGTCAGAAATTTTATTTGATCTGTAGAGTAATAGAAGCATTGAAAGTTTCGTATCAAGTGGGAAAACCTTATCACATATAACCCAGCAGAGGAGTAATGGGGAGAGTTAGGATCTATCTTCAAGAATAAAAATAATGATCAACTGTACCTGCAGAGATTTTAGAATCTCTAAACAGCATTTTAAAAAGAAAACCTCATTCTCCTTAAAGATTAATTAGATTTAAAAAATTCATGCTGGGCGCAGGGGCTCACGCCTGTAATCCTAACAATTTGGGAGGCCGAGGCGGGCAGATCACCTGAGGTCAGGAGTTCAAGATCAGCCTGGCCAACATGGCGAAAACCCGTATCTACTAAAAATACAAAAATTAGCCAGGCATGGTGGTGGGTGCCTATAATCCCAGCTACTTGGGAGGCTGAGGCAGGAGAATCGCTTGAACCCGGGAGGCGGAGTTTGCAGTGAGCCAAGATCGTGCCACTTCACTCCAGCCTGGGCAACAGAACAAGACTCCATCACACACACACAAAAAAAAATTCACTGTTTTTTTGAAAAAGAGAATAAAGGTAGTCAACGTAAAGTTAAAAGCATCTGAACCAAAGGCTCTACACTAAAAAAAAGTACAAATACTTTTACTGCTTTAATTTTACTAAAGACAAGTAAATCTCAACAAAACTTAAGTATTGAAATAAAATAGGTTATATATTTACTTTCACTTCAAAAAGTGCTATAAAAACAAAACACAAAGCAACTAAACATCTCACTTACCAAAGTAAATATCTGCCTGGATAATTAACCAAGAATGGTTATTTGGATTTATACTGAGTGTATATCGAACTAGCTCTTTCACTGTGATTGCCACAGCTTCAAAGTCCACAGACTGGAGGCTAAAAGGAAAGACACACAACATTAATCTCTATTTTAAAAGTCAACTTTAAATTCCATGCATGTATTTATTAAAAACAAAAACTCAGCCAAGATTTAGGTGAACATAAATATAATGCTAAATACTAGGAGTAAATGTATTATAAGAACTATCAACACAACTAAGTCTAAGAAAGTGTGATGGGCTTTTTATGAGGGGTTGAAAACAATCTGATTTTTGTTCTCTTTTCTTCAGAATGTCAAAGGTAGACAAGGCTGCACCAAGAAAGTGTATTTGCCTCTTTTACAAATGTTTAAAGCATACAGAAGTAGTGAGATAAAACCCTTACCTCTGCTTAGCACAATTTATGGGCAACAAAAGAGACTCATAAAATTTCCCCAAATTATTATTATCATTTTTTTTTTTTTGAGACGGAGTCTCACTCTGTCGCCCAGGTTGGAGTGCGGTGGCACGATCTCAGCTCACTGCAACCTCCGCCTCCCGGGTTCAAGTGATTCCTCTGCCTCGGCCTCCTGAGTAGCTGGGATTACAGGCGCTCACCACCACACCCAGCTAATTTTTTTTTTTTTTTTGTATTTTTAGTAGAGACGGGGTTTCACCATGTTGGCCAGGCTGGTCTCAAACTCCTGGCCTCAGCCAATCTGCCCATCTCAGCCTCCCGGTGCTGGGGATTACAGTCCTGAGCCACCACACCTGGCCCCCAAATGATTTTTAAGTTCTGTTATCTATGAGAAGTTACATAAAAATCAAGGACTCAGACACTGACAATGTTGCCTTGTGGCCTTACATCCACCTTAAGCCTTCTTGCAAGAGTTACTGACTCCCCTCGAGATGCTTCAGGGGCCTAATGGGGTCAGGGGCTGGATGTCCAAGTATATCATATCAGTGCATCTGGCAGCCCCCAAGAATCAAGAAAAGAGTACTGTGAGCCTGGCTAAATGTGGACACCTTCAGGTACAGAGTCAGAAGATTGAACTGTGAAGAGAAAAGCGAGGCCGGCACCCAAAAAACTGCTAACTGCTCCCACCTCCTAAGAGCAGTAAAGCACAAGGGTAGAGAATACAGGCTGTGGATTCAGACGCATGGCTCTATCATTTACAAGGTGAATTTAGACAAGGTACTTCTGTTGCCCTGAGGGGTTACAGTTTACCCTAACTCACCAGAGCCCAGTACAGTGGAAAATGAATTGTGGGATTATTAGCAAATAGTCCATTATTTATTTAAATTTAAATAGTTATATAAGTTAGATTGGCTTACAATTTTACAGACATTTACAAAATGTTACAAGTGTAAGAATTCTATATATCAAGTAGTTGGTTTTAAAAACGTAATCTTCAATCCAGTGCCATTCCCACTATTCTTGGAATCAATAAAGAGTCCCACTCAGGAGAAATACTTTTCTCTAGTCAAACATTTAGTCATATTTTGTTTTCTCTGGGTCAATTTAAAGTACTTTCATCATGAAGATAATAGTTAAGCCTACTATGTACCAGTCTTTATTCTAAATATCTAGCTTAGAAAATGTATTATTTCAGGCCAGGTGCGGTGGCTCACGCCTGTAATACCAGTACTTTGGGAGGCCGAGGCAGGTGGATCACGAGGTCAGGAGATCAACATCATCCTGGCTAACATGGTGAAACCCCGTCTCTACTAAAAATACAAAAAATTAGCCAGGCATGGTGGTGGGCGCCTGTAGCCCCAGCTACTTGGGAGGCTGAGGCAGGAGAATGGCGTGAACCCGGGAGGCAGAGCTTGCAGTGAGCCAAGATCGCGCTACTGCACTCCAGCCTGGGTGACATAGCAAGACTCCATCTCAAAAAAAAAAAATAAATAAATAAAAATATATTATTTCATCCTCACAATTCTTAGGCAGGTACTATTTTAGAGATGGGGAACATGGCACAGAAACCAACTTATTGAAGGTCATATACCTCTAAGTGAAAAGGCTGGGGCTCAAACCCCGTGAGTCTGACCCAGAGCCCCTAGGGTAAACAATTCTTTTGCCTCATTTACAAACACGCTGGAAACCAATCATTACAGTCTAAACTTAGGCCACAGAGGTAATACTACAGAGGCTAAAAAACACAACCATTAGGTGGGGCGCAGTGGCTCATGCCTGTAATCCCAGCACTTTGGGAGGCCGAGGTAGGCAGATCACAAGGTCAGGAGTTTGAGACCAGCCTGACCAACATGGTGAAACCTCATCTCTACTAAAAATACAAAAATTAGCTGTGTTTGGTGGCACGTGCCTGTAACACCAGCTACTCAGGAGGCTGAGGCAGGAGAATTGCTTGAACCCGGGAGGCGGAGGTTGCAGTGAGCTGAGATCATGCCACTGCACTCCAGCCTGGGCAACAGAGCAAGACTCCGTCTCAAAAAATAAAAATAAAAATAAGTAAATAAATAAATAAAAATAAAAATTAGCCAGGTGTGGTGGCACACGCCTGTAGTAATTGCTCAAACCTGGAAGGTGGAGGTTGCAGTAAGCCGAGATCGTACCATTGCACTCCAGCTTGGGTAACAGAGTGAGACTTTGTCTCAAAAAAACCCCCAAAAAACAAAAACACAACCACTGAAACCACCAATTAAAAAATGCAAAACTGGGCTGGCCGTGGTGGCTCACGCCTGTTAATCCCAGCACTTTGGGAGGCTGAGGTGTGCAGATCACCTGAGGTCAGGAGTTTGGGACCAGCCTGACCAACATGAAGAAACCTGTCTCTACTAAAAATACAAAATTTACCCAGTGTGGTGGCACATGCTTGTAATCCCAGGTACTCGGGAGCCTGAGGCAGGAGAATTGCTTGAACCAGGGAGGCAGAGGTTGTGGAGAGCCGAGATTGCGCCACTGCACTCCAGCCTGGGCAACAAAAGCAAAACTCTGCCTCAAAAAAAAAAAAAAAAAAATCCAAAACTGGGTGGGCATGGTGGCTCACGCCTATAATTCCAGAGCTCTAGGAGGCCAAGGTGGGCAGATCTCTAGAGGCTAGGGGTTCAAGACCAGCCTGGGAAACAGGGTGAAACCCTGTCTCTACTAAAAATACAAATAAATAGCTGGGGGTGGTGGCATGCACCTGTAATCCCAGATACTTGGCAGGCTGAGGCATGAGAATCGCTTGAACCTTGCAGGCGTAGGTTGCAGTGAGCTGAGACCTCACCACTGCACTCCAGCCTGGGCGACAAAGCAACGTGATGTCTAAAAAAAAAGAAAAGAAAAGAGAAAAGAAAAGAAAAGAAAAACTGTCTCTACCTGATTCTTGAATTGGTATCTAACAACAGATTTTATATAAAAATCAGGAACACAGGATGACGGACTCTGCAGTTCAAATGCTGTGGAGCATGCACATGTGCTTCATGCAGCATGGTGCTCCCTTGGGAAACAAGCCTCAGTAAGTGGAGGGCAGGGGCACTCACCTGCTCTGACCCTCCAAATCCCTGGATGAGACAGAGAGCTTTTCCAATCTCTAAGATTGAGACGGAAACAAATTCTTTACTATTATTCTATTATCAGCTTGTCTATGTACCGAAATCTTTTCTTCTTCAAAGATGCCACTAAGAGTAATAACATAAGGCTTGGACAAGCACAAACTAAGAAGACTGAGAGGGAGGGCAGGGAGGAAAAACATCTGTGAGGAAACAAGTTGATTCCCCTACATGAGAAGTGCTATGTGTGGGAAAAGAAAAATGTACATGATTTCTTCAAGTAAATGAACCCTTTTTCCTCCCCTAAAAAAAGTCCCCATCATCTTACTGTGATTCTCAGGTAGTGCATGCAAAAGGGAATATTTCTCAAAGTAATTAAAGAAGTTTAGTTTAGTTCCTACAGCAACTAAAAGAGATTGGGAGCCTTTTGATAACTGCAGCATTAGATGAGACATACAAAAAATTATGAAAAAAGAAATCACTTTCAAATAGATACTTGTAAAAGAAATAAGATGCTGGAAACCTGATAGAAAGTCATTCTTTCATTGGCCCCAATTTTCCAATTCTACTGAAAATCAGGACCACTTATATCTTCTGTTCCAAGGCTGATAAATCTTAACTCCTACTTAAGAGTTATGCTGGGCCAGGTGTGGTAGCTCCTGCCTGTAATCCCAGCACTTTGGGAGGCTGAGGTGGGCAGATCACTTGAGGTCAGGAGTTTGAGACCAGCCTGGCCAACATGGCAAAACCATGTGTCTACTAAAAATACAAAAATTAGCCAGGCGTGGTGGTGGGTGCCTGTAATCCCAGCTATTTGGGAGGCTGAGGCATGAGAATTGCTTGAGCCCAAGAGGCAGAGATTGCAGTGAGCAGAGATTGTACCACTGCATTCCAGCCTGGGCAACAGAGTGAGACTCTGCCTCAAAAAAAAAAAAAAAAAAAAGGGTTATGCCTTATCCACAATTTACAGGAAGATAATTATCATTATCATAATAGAGAAACACAAAGACTGTAGAATCTTAGATTTCTGGCCCTTTAATAAAATTATCTAAGGGTATCTATACTAGTCAGAATGGTTTCCAAATACATAACTCAATTAATAAAATAAAAGCTATACCACTACTTACTTGGGAATGGAAGATGGCCAAATAGAAATGTGTTCAGCTGTAATATCATTCACAATGTCCTCCTTTAAAAAGAAAAAAAAAGGTGTGATTTACAAAGAAATTTCTTTTAAATTTTTCTAAATGAAATTATGAAATACTTACCCGAACATTGTGAAGTTTCACAAAGAGTGATAAAATAATAGTCAAAACGAGTGGTTCCTATGAGAAAGAAAACACAGAATCCTTAAACAGTGTATGTATATTTATTTAATATTGCTCCTGTCAACCTCACAGACATCAAGCATTCTAAAAGACCCTTGCCTTTTGAAAATGTAGCATCTGTTTTAGCATGTGCTTTAGCACACTAAAAATCAACTTTTTAATCGCATGTGGGGGCGGGGCGTGGACCATAGCACATAATTTACATAAAATTAGCATAAATGTTTGGCTTATGGTGCTATCTCCACGCTCAACTCCTCACATGACTCTCAAGTAACTTTTTATCCCTTAAAATAATGTTCAAAGAGTGAAACCTAGGTTACGTCCAATAAGTAAATATGACATTGATCCTACTAAGCAAAAATTAAAGCCAGGCTTCACACATCTAGCCCCTATTATGAAGACTTCTTTACAATTTAAAGAAATACCTGCTCCGTTCACTAAAACATGGTAAAGTAAATGCAATACAAACTTTTCCAGTCAGAATATCCCACCCACCAATAATGATCACTGAAGAAAAGCACATTAACAGGTCACTTTAATAATTTAACCAGAGGCCAGGCAAGGTGGCTAACACCTGTAATCCCAGCACTGTGAGGGGCCAAGAAGGGATGATAATTTGAGACCAGGAGTTAGAAACTAGCCTGGGCAACAAGGGGAGACCTCATCTCTACAAAAAATTAGCTGGGCATGGTTACATGTGCCTGTAGTCCCAGTTCCTCAGAAAGCTGAGGCAGGAGGACTGCTTAACCTCAAGAATTAGAAGACGCAGTGAGTTACAATCACACCTCAGCACTCCAGCTTGGGTGACAGATCAAGACCCTGTCCCTTAAAAAAAAATTAAAAAACAAATAATAATTTAGTCAGTATTTGAAGTACCCAATAATTTTTAGTCATATTCTACAAAAACCAGCAATAGTAATTAGAGCAATTTTTAATAAAACTTACTCGTAATTTTTTGATAAAAGAAAGCAGTTCACTCCTACAAAACAAAAATTTTTGAATACACATTTAATATTAGAAATAAAAAATAAAATCAAGAAAGTAAATTATAGGTGAAGGTTTATTCTTAATGCTCCAATTCTGCAAGTGTGAAAAGGAATGTAATATTCTACTGTTATACTAACCTAATAACATTTCTTCCCTGTTTTAATCACATGTGAAGTCTTCAATACTATCCAACCTTAAATACTACTGATTTTGAATTCCAGTTGATTAAATGATTAATAGTTTCTTAAAATGACATATAAACAAAAGATCTTTCCAAAGGTGGCCAAGGCAGACAGGTTCATCACAGGTGAGTACTACAGAACTCGTAAGATTGTCCAACTTTATGATATACAGAATAAAAGCTGATGTTCTTGAAATCAACCTTTAATAGGTTAATAGTATAAATAGGATAAATATTAAGAACTCAAACACAACTAATAGAAACGTACCAATACATACCGATACATGATACCTAACGTAGATTCCCTCTGTTTTATTAAACTAACTCTGCCATCATTTCCTCGTTTGTGCTGACTGGACACACTACAGATTTGAACAACAACTTCCCAAAGGTCTTTGGCAGTCCGTCTACTTTCTTTAGGGCCTGGAAGTTCTTTGCATGTAGCTGCTAAAAGCTGTCCAAGCTATAACATGAAAAACAAAATACACAAAAGATAATCTGTAATGTCGTGCACATTAGTTCTATTATCAAGGCACACTGGAGGAAAGATGGAATGACTGCCCAAACATACTAAGCACAGTTATTTTATGCTGTGCATTCTGTACAACCTTTGAGGAATTTAGGGCTCATTGCGTACTGACAGATCTGAATCTGAGAAAGATCCTCTGGTTCGAGCATACGAACTTTGTTTCTGAACAGTTATAGTCTAATGAAAACGAAAATGAGACAACGCAAAGAGATAGGTGATTTATTAAGTGGAAAAAAAAACGAGTTGCTAAATACACATAGTATGATCCCACGTTACATAGGGAAAAAAAAGTGTAATGGAAGGCATACACCAAGATGTTAACTGTGGTAAAAGCCCAGGGGGTGAGGTTAAAATAGTGCTCAGATCTCTCTCTCTCCCACGTGCAAATACACACACATACAACTTTTAATCACTAAAAAAAAAAATTGTTTCAACGAAAAAAATAAGGAAAGGAATAAGGAAACTGAAGTTGGCAGAATTAAGGGATATAGATTTAAAGCAATTTTTCTCTAAGAAAATTGGTAGCAACTGGGAATGGAGCTACTGCTCTTCTGAGGAGGTAGAATTAAGGCAGGACAGGTTACACAAAGTGACTGGTATGAATAAAGGCAGCCTCAATGACCTAGGATGTAGGGAGGACCCAGAAATAAAGAGTGGGAAAGCTAAAAGCAAAAGACAGGGAAAGATTGACTTACAATAAATTCAGAATTTCTTTTATTTTCTTTTCTTTTTGGAGGCAGGGTCTTGCTCTGCACCCAGGCTGGAATGCAGTGGTATAATCTTGGCTCACTGCAACCTCCGCCTCCCAGGCTCAAACGATTTTTGTGCCTCAGCCTCCTGAGTAGCTGGAATTACAGGCATGTGTCACCATGCCCGGCTAATTTCTGTATTTTTAGTAGAGACGGGGTTTCACCATGTTGGCCAGGCTGGTCTCGAACTCCTGGCCTCAAGTGATCTATCCGCCTCGGCCTCCCAAAGTGCTGAGATTACAGGCTTGAGCCACAGCATCTGGCCAAATTCAGAACTGGGCCCCTTTACCCTTGTTCATATTAACTTTTATACTCCATCGCTCTTGTAGAGGGTGCAGTAGCAAGGATAATTTCAAATCCATCAGGAACCCCTGGTTTCTACTTAAAATGGACCTAGGGGTCCCTACTGCTTAAGGCGGCTTTTTTAAGGAGGTGGCAAGATTGTGACAAGGACAAAAATTGGTGGTTTTTCTCTACATTTTTTTGTTATGAAAAATTTCAAACAGAAAAATAAAAAAAAAAGTTCAATAAATACCTGACACATTGTGACTATTCTGCCATGTTTGCTTTATATATCTACATAAATTTTTTTGTTAAACCATATTAAACTAAGTTAGACACAATATTTCATCCCTAAATACTTCCACATACATCTTCTAAGGACGAGGACATTCTTCTCCATAACCACAACTCTGTGATCATGCCTAAGAAAATTAACAAGAGTACTGTGGCTTTCCGAAGCTCGTGAGAATAACATAAAAACCCTGCCTATACTAGGTGAATAGACATGGACCAATGGCCTAGCAGGATATTTCATCCTGCAAGCTTACCTAAAATACTCTTCTCTGACAAATGGAATCACAATACATGCAGCTATTCACTGCAGTGTAATGCCAGGGCTACTGTAGCTCTTAGCTCAAATTCATCTTCTGTTGTCAGGGATCATATGCTTTAAGGTCACTGAATTTATTACATAAATTTAATTTAAAAAATTTTCAAAGTCTAAGGCCTCAAATCAATTGAATTCCACAAACATTCTTGAGCACCTACTATGTGTGGTGGGCATCATGGAAAGCACAACATAAAAATTAACTGCCCTGAAGCAGTTCATTGTCTTATAGAGAAGACAAGTGGATATATAACTTACTATTCAGCATAAACACAACAAAAGAAATAAGTCAACAGTACAACAGTAGCAGGATCAGTACAACAGTACAAAGGAAGCAGGAAGAGGAAGTGATTTACTCATTTACAGAGAAAAGAATATGGGAAAGCATCAGAGAAATCACACAAACACGCAAAGCTGGAAAGGACATCCTGGCTAATGTGACAAACAGCGTGTGCACAGGTGCAGAATGGAAACATGGCGTGGGCATGCTGGTGCTGCCAGCACAGGGCTGGAACGCCAAGGGGCAGGGGAACTGCACCTGGAGGAGGAGAAGCATGCACACCTTAAGAAGCCTGGTAGGCCACATGAACAACCTAAGGTTTTAGCCTATACTAGCACCACTGTGGCTGCCAACCCCCCACTACTACCTAGGTTCTTATCATCCAAGTGCCTATAACCTGTGCCCTTTCCATTATGTGACACTGCCACCCACTCTGATCCAAGGGGCAGACTAGACAGTTTTATATTATTTCAAAAGGGTATATTTTAGTGACATGCTTAAGAATTTTCTGTTCCTATTTGTGATTACGTAATATATGAGTAGGAAAATATGTTCCTATGTAACAGAATAGAAAACATTAAAATCACCAAATTTCCCATTATCTAGAGATAATGGCTGTTAATATCCTTTCAGACTTTTTCCTACACGTGTGTGCGTGTGTGTGTGTGGTGCATTCCACACCAGCTTGGAAGTGTGGAAACTGATTCAGATTGTATTTTTTTCAAAACACAATCCCTCATTCTAAACTTCTTTCTCTAATTCCTTTTTCCTTGACATTAACAAGGCAGTGAGAGGCCAATTATGTATGGAAGGTGGCACACAAAACCCTAACCACCAGATGACATATGAAGAGACATCTAAGTGACAATTCTTTCGCAAAGTCACCACACATCCTTCCTCCTTTTGGACCAGATCAGGGGAACTGCAGGAAGCAGTGAGACAGCCTCTCCCAGAGTTAGGCAACCAACAAAACAATTTCCTGTGTCCTTACACATTGCAGACCCTCAAGCATTCATTACACAAACACATGCCTATCTCTCCTGGTGCACAGCTCCACAGAATTCACTGCCAGAGGTAAAGAGAAGAGTTACTATGCTGTCTTTGCACTCAGTGACAAGCTATGATTGTAAGTGTAAATGACAGTAACCTTGGAACACAACGGTTCCCTCATCTGATTTTCTTAAAGGCTAAGAAATTACTGGTGTCCATAATGAGACAAGTGCCCAATATATTAAGAACTCACATGCCAGAAAGTTCACTAAAGAGATAGAAATGATTCAGGTCGGGCACGGTGGCTTATGCCTGTAATCCCAGCACTTTGGGAGGCCCAGGCGGGGGGATCACCTGAGGTCAGGAGTTCTAGACCTGCCATGGCAAAACCCCGTCTCTATTAAAAATACAAAACAAAAAAAAACTACCCGGGTGTGGTGGTGCATGCCTGTAATGCCAGCTACTTGGGAGGCTGAGGCACAAGAATGGGTTGAAACTGGGAGGTAGAGGTTGCAATGAGCCGAGATTGTGCCAGTGCACTCCAGCCTGGGCGACAGAGGGGGACTCAGTCTCCAAAAAAAAGAAGAGATAGATATGATTCAATGTCTGAAATTTCAAAGAAAAGGGTAATTCAAGTATGGCAGTTTTCACGAGCAAGTGTAAAGATAACAAAAAGGGCCGGGCCGGGCGCGGTGGCTCACGCCTGTAATCCCAGCACTTTGGGAGGCCGAGGTGGGCGGATCACCTGAGGTCGGGAGTTCAGACCCGCCTGACTAACATGGAGAAACCCCATCTCTACTAAAAATACAAAATTAGCCAGGCGTGGTGGTGCGTGCCTGTAATCCCAGCTACTCGGGGGGCTGAGGCAGGAGAATTGCTTGAATCTGGGAGGCAGAGGTTGCGGTGAGCCGAGATCGTGCCATTGCACGCCAGCCTGGGCAACAAGAGCAAAACTCCGTCTCAAAAAAAAGGGCCGGGCTCGATGGCTCACGCCTGTAATCCCAGCACTTTGGGAGGCCAAGGCGGGCAGATCACGAGGTCAGGAGATTGAGACCATCCTGGCTAACACGGTGAAACCCCGTCACCACTAAAAATACAAAAAATTAGCCGGGCATGGCAGTGGGCGCCTGTAGTCCCAGCTACTCGGGAGGCTGAGGCAGGAGAATGGCGTGAACCCGGGAGGCGGAGCTGGCAGTGAGCCGAGATCGCGCCACTGCACTCCAGCCTGGGCGACAGAGCGAGACTCCGTCTCAAAAAAAAAAAAAAAAAAAAAAATTACAAAAAGGGGGGAAAAACTGAAGAAATCAATAAACTCAATAAATCCTGAAAGGGTTAAAATGAAATGAGCTCAGTTTTTAAAAGGACATACGTGAAGGAAGAAACAAGTAACCAAACACAAATGTTACAAAGTGGCACAGTTTTACAAAAGTTCCCAGAAAAACACAGATTTAAAGGATTTTTTTTTTTTTTTTTTTGAGACAGAGTCTCACTCTGTCGCCCAGGCTGGAGTGCAGTGGCGCCATCTCGGCTCACTGCAAGCTCCGCCTCCCGGGTTCATGCCATTCTCCTGCCTCAGCCTCCCGAGTAGCTGGGACTACAGGAGCCCGCCACTACGCCCGGCTAATTTTTTTTGTATTTTTAGTAAGGACGGGGTTTCACCTTGTTAGCCAGGATGGTCTCCATCTCCTGACCTCGTGATCTGCCCGTCTCGGCCTCCCAAAGTGCTGGGATTGCAGGCGTGAGCCACTGCACCCAGCCGATTTAAAGGACTTTGTATTACCAAAGACAAGTTGGGACAAACAAAGAATAACAAAAGGTAATAGGAACAATTAAAAATAATGGGAAAATCTGAAGCACCAAATATACCCAAAAAGGAGACAGGGACGTATAATGTTAAATCACTACATGTTTTACTTTGTTTTTTGGGTTTTTTTTTTTTTTTTTTTTTTTTTGAGGTAGAGTTTCGCTCTTGTTGCCCAGGCTGGAGTGCAATGGCACCATCTCAGCTCACGCAAACTCTGCCTCCCGGGTTCAAGCGATTCTCCTGCCTCAGCCTCCTGAGTAGCTAGGACTACAGGCACCTGCCACCACACCTGGCTAATTTTTGTATTTTCAGTAGAGACAGGGTTTCACCATATTGGCCAGGCTGGTCTTGAACTCCTGACCTTGTGATCCGCACGTCTTGGCCTCCCAAAGTGCTGGGATTACAGGCGTGAGCCACCACGCCCAGCCTACTTTGTTTTTTTTTTAACTGTAAAACCAGAAAGTGAGAAAAACCCACTACTTACTCAGAGTGTGTATAATATTAACACATGAAAGATATAATCTTAGAAAAAACCTCCAGTTTCTTATTAGTTTTGATATTTTCTGTACTCAGAAGCATTTTAGGTTGCAAAGGATATAATTAAGACAACAAAATAACTTAGTGCCAATTTACTGAATAAATTCTTTCACTAGGGGAATAATTACTAATAGCAAACCTATTGGAGATTCAGACATAGCAAACTTAGAAGGATAAAATTCTAAAGAAGAATAAAGTGTTCAAATGGAAACAAGGAGAAGTGCATCCCTGACGGACTCCATCAGTTCTAGAGTGTGATTAGAGCAACCAAAGCAAAGAAAGCGAATCTCTCATTACTTAGGATTACACCAATGTGTTATCTGTTAACTAAATAATCTGTGACTACATGCTCATGAATTACAGGGCATTAGAAAGAAATATTAGAACAAGGTCAAGTGCATGAATTATCAAAAACTCTATCCTTTAACTACAAATCAACAAGCATTTGTCCAATCATTTGTATCACAGAAATTAGACAAGTTCCCAAAGTAGTATAAAGTTAAAGAAACAAGTATAATAATACCATCCTAACAATCCTTTTATTTAAACATTAACTACCTTTACATATGGATTACTCTGAAGCAAAAATGCAGGAACTTGGAGTGTAAGGTATTCATTTTCTCTCCAGTTTAACATAAAGGCAACACATTCCTCAGCTATAACTTGACGAAGAGGAATATCTAAAAAGCAAAGAAGAAAACAGTTGGAATTACCATCACAACATTAAAATAGGAACAAAGCAAATACTTGCTCAGATTTCAACTGAATAAAAAAACAGGACGGGTATGGTGGCTCACACCTGTAATCCCAACACTTTGGGAGGCCAAGGCAGGAGGATCACTTGAGGCCAGGAGTTTGAGACCAGCCTGGGCAACAGAGTGAGACCTTGTCTCAAAAATAAAATTTTGTAGAGACAGGGTCTCACTCTGTCGCCCAGGATAGAGTGCAGTGGTGTGATTATGGTTCACTGCAGCCTTGAGCTCCCAGGCTCAAGCGATCCTTCCACCTCAACCTCCCCAAGTAGCTGGGACCACAGGTCCCACCACACCTGGCTAATGCTACCACACCTGGCTAATTTTTGCATTTTTGTAGAGATGGGGTCTCACTATGTTGTCCAGGCTGGTCTCGAACTCCTGGACTCCAGTGATCTGCCCGCCTCGGACTCCCAAAGTGCTGGGATTATAGGCGTGAGCCAGCATGCCCAGCCTCCTTCTTATTTTAAACACTGTTTATAAGCATAAGCTATAGGACAAGTTGCTGAACATTTAATAAGTTAGGAGTTTACAAAAATTATATGCAGAGCTATCAGTCCTTTACCCTCCCTATCCCCAAAAAAGTGATGTGAACTACAAACTGTTCAGCCAAAAAGGTAGCACAAAGAGACTAATGATTTAAAGGAACTTTCACCCATTCAAAGAGTAAGAGCACAGGCTTTGAAGCTGGGCTGGAGTACAGTCATAGTTCTGTCTCTTCCTGTGTGACTGTGGGCAAATTCCTCAACCTCTCTGCACCTCGGTTTCTTAGTTACAAAATGGGGATAAGGAAACAGTAGCTACTTCACAGAGCTGCTATGAGGACTAAATGAGTTATGCACCTGAAGCTTAGAACAATGCCTGACACGTAGTTAGCACTCAACAAACATTAGGGTTTAAACATTCTTTCTCATTTTAGAAAACCATGTATGGAAAACCTACCTCCCACTTTTAAAAAGTAAATATGTATACAGCAGCATGCATCCTTTAGTGCCAGCATATTATTAGATCAATCCTCATGAAGACATTACAATATTTAAGAGCACTGATGTGTTAAAGCTCAAAGGCATTCTCTCTATAGGGTACTAAAAAGTTATGATCTATAACTGCATGCCCCTGCTGGAAATTAGACTTTAATTAGAAATTAAATTAACCCATAGGACTCAAGACGGTAGCACTTGCTTCTGTTCTGACACATTACTATCACCTTCCTTTTATAATGCAATTCCACTGTTTATACTATTAAATGTGTACAGTATGATTTAATTGCTCTAAATACTTCTAAAGCAGAAAAATAAGAAACGGCTTTAACTAAGAAAGATTTATGTGTCGTAGATGATCATTTATATGGTAAGCCCCTTTTCATAGTAAGACATTTACAATTAGAATTAAACACTCAAGATCTGTTCCTAAAGTAGCCACAAGTGAATTTCTAGCCCACTGGCAATCAGTGTGAAGGCATTTTATGGCTGTAACAAGGAAATAAAACTTCAATCTGTACACTCAAGGACATTTTGATTCTTTCAAACACCTGAACATTGCAATATAGTTTCTCTAGTGTGTAGAAGTATCCCCCAAAATTCATGTGTATCTGGAACCTGAGAACGTGACCTTATTTGGAAATAGTCTTTGCAGATGTAATTAGCTATGATGAAGTCAGCTGGATTAGGGCAGAACTTAGATCCAATGACTGGTGTCCTTGTAAGAAGAGAACACAGACATACACAGGGGGAAGGCCATGTGAAGACAGCAGCAGAGACTGGAGCAATGCAGCCCAAGCCAAAGATTGCTGGGTCACCAGAAGCTAGGAAGACGCAAGGAAAGAGTCTTTCTTGGAGCCTTTGGGGGCAGCACAGCCCTGCAGACATCCTGACTTCAGACATCCGGCCTCCAGAACTGGGAGATAATATATTTATGTTGTTTTAAGTCACCCAGTTTGTGGTACCTTGTTACAGAAATCCCAGAAATGAACAGTTTCCTTCATTTTTCCCAATGTTCTCCAGTGAACACCAAACCCAAATTCTGTTTTAGGAGTGAAATAACTTTTTTCAAAGATGATAAAAACTCAGCTGGGCATGGTGGCTCATGCCTCTAATCCCAGCACTTTGGGAGGGCGAGGAGGGTGGATCACCTGAGGTCAGGAGTTCAAAACCAGCCTGGCCAACATAGTGAAACCCCATCTCTACAAAAATACAAAAATTAGCCAGGCATGATGGTGGGTTCCTTTAATCCCAGCAACTGAGGAGGCTGAGGCAGGAGAGTCACTTTAACCCGGGAGGCAGAGACTGCAGTGGGCCGAGATCGCGCCATTACACTCCAGCCTGGGTGACAGAGCTACACTCCATCTCAAAAAAAAAAAAAAAAAAAGATTACAAACTCAAATAAATCTGCTTTTAAATTTTCCCCCACAATTATGTGAGTACTGAGTTTCTGAAATTTGTCTTTGTGAACCAGTCTTACCAGGAAGCCTCATTTCCAGATAGCCTCGTACTCTACTTATAAGGTCGGATGGCGGTCTCTCTCCTGCCTGCCCTGTCCCAGCTTCGTGTGTATGAATATCCAAAAGCAACATCTCATTCAGCATGACCTGACGAAGCTTCGGTGAGAACTCTGTTACCAACTCCAAACAAGCAGCAAAGAGCTGTTTAGCATGGGAAAAGTCCTATGAAAAGAAAAAGAATAGCCTGGGTCACCTTTCCTTTGGCGCCAAAAAATGTGTGCCTTTATGTTGACAGAGCAAAGAGGAGAAGGATTATTTCAAATGGTTAACGTTGCTTTTCTCAGGCAGTAAGGCTAGATAGTATTTTCATCTCTGTATTGTTGATTTATTCCAAAAAATATTTAATAACTTTGTAATTTTAAAAAATCCAATAAACAATATAAAATACTTATATTATTATGCAACTTTTATAAAAGTTATAAGATAACCAAAGACTTCTGTATTACACAGGTGTAAATTCTATAACAAGCACCCTCCTCCATCCAACATATTCAGAATTAGACCTTACACCATTCAAGGGTTACACATTCCAAAATCTTTGCACACCACCGTACTAGACGATAAAATTGGCTAACAAATAAAATGAAATAAATCAGCTATGATCCAAGTCCTTTCCTATGCATCTCTTATGTTTCCAAAGACTATATTCTATTGCTCCACATATTTCATTCACTCCCATAATCTGGCTTCTACCCCCATCATTACAAAGAAGTAACTCTCACAAGCCAAAGATCTTTTAATTGTCCAATCTACTGAACACTGTTATCTTACAGGAATTAGGGGCTTCAACTCAGTGCTATGTATTGCCCTTTTCTTGACATTTTCTTTTCCCCTAGCTATTCTACATTTGTGTGGTCCTCACACCCATCACACCACTATTTCTTGGACCTAGTATTGCATTCCCTAGGGTCTCACGCTCTTTATATTCTCTCTGGGTGATCTTTGGTAATTCCCAAATCTGTAACTCCAGTCCAGACCATTCTCCAAGCTTTAGGCTGTTTCCAACTGTAGCTTCAAATTAAAATTGTAAAAATAAACTCATAATCTGCCCTGCAAAAATGTGTTTCTGCACATTCACTTGCTGGTATTGCCACTTGTTCTCTGACTCTCGAACCGGAAGTCTGAGCATCATGCTCAATTCTTTCTCCCTATCTTGCCTTCCACATTAAGTCAGTTGCCAATTGCTTCCAGATTTTACCTCCTAAATATTTCTCTAATATGTTCTCTTCTCTCTATCCCTTGTAACACTTGTGACACTTACTAGCTGTGTGCCCTTGGACAATTTAACACCTTTAAAACTGAGATAATACCTTCCACAAACTTTTTGTGAATAAATGAAACAATAAATGTATATGAAATTTCAGAAGTCTCTGTGCCCAGTAAATGTTATGTTAGGTGTAGAAGGAGATAAAGCTGCTAACTACATTCCTCCTATTAAAACTTTTCAATGGCTTACAATTGTCTCATGATGCATTGTCTAATATGGCAGCCACTAGATAAGATGTGGCTACTGAGCATGTGAAATGTGACTAGTCCAAGTTGAGATTCTATAAGTATAAAATACTTACTGGATTTTGAAGACTTAGCACATACATTTTCAAAAGAATGCAAAACATCCCAACTTTTTATATCGATTACACATTGAAATTAGACATACTGAGTTAAATAAATCATTTCAATCAACTAAACTTTTTTATGAAATTACAGATTACATATGTGGCCTACATTATGTTCCCACTGGACAATGATGGTCTAGAGCAGCAGTTCTCCAACTTTAGCATGCAACAGAATTACTTTGAGGGCTTATTTAAAAAGATGTTGGGCCCCATCCCAGAATTTCTGATCCATTAGGTCTAGGACAGGGCCCCAAAATTTTTATTTCCAGCAAGTTCCAGCCACGTGCAGTGGCTCATGCCTGTAATGCCAGCACTTTGGGAGGCTGATGTGGAAGGATTGTTTGAGCCCAGGAGTTTAAGATCAGCCTGGGCAAAATAAGGAGATGCTGTCTCTGCAAAAAAAAAAAAAAAAAATTCTTTCAAATAAGCTGGGCATGGTGGCACATGCCTGTGGTTCCAGCTACTTAGGGGGCTGAGGTAGGAGAATTGCTTGAGCCCAGGAAGTCGAGGCTGCAGTGAGCCATGATCATGCCACTGCACCCCGGTCTGGGCAACACAGCAACACCCTGTCTCAAACAAAAAGTTCCCAAATGTCACAGGTGCTGCTGGTGTGGGGATGTAGTTAACTTATTTAAGCCTCAATTTTAGTTCATTTCTGCCTTCCAAATGCTGCCTTTAACCTTCCTAAAGAACTCAGTGTATGATCAGTCACGCAACTGCACTATCTTATGTGATTTAACATTCCACTTATGTCTCAACATCCCAGACTGCAAACTCATGTAAAATACACTACAAAAGTATATTTTTAGAAAGTTTGTTTTTTAATCTTGGTACACAATCTTTACTAGCTGAATCCTAAAGAATACAAATAATATCTTTGCATGTTCTCTCAACTTTTAAAAAGGCACAGAGCAGTATTCATTTGATCAAGACCATTTTAGTATAATTATAACGGTAAAGCAAAAAGAACAAACCAAAATGCCTTTTTAAATATCCTTTTAGGCCTATGACTGTGACTTTAAAGATTAGGAAAAGATTAGGAAAAGGTAAGTTCTGGTTCCTGACTTCCTGCTAAAATTAGTAAAGCATATTCTTTTCTTTTTTTTTTTTTTTTTCCGAGATGGACTATCACTCTGTCACCCAGGCCGGAGTGCAATGATGCAACTCCAACCTCCACCTCCCATGAGATTCTCCTGCCTCAGACTCCGAGTAGCTGAGATTATAGTCACCCGGCTAATTTTTGTATTTTTAGTAGAGAGAAGGTTTCACCATGTTGGCCAGGCTGGTCTTGACCTCAGTTGATCTGCCCACCTCAGACTCCCAAAGTGCTGGTATTACAGGTATGAGCCACGGCACCTGACCATAAAGCATATTCTTAACAAGTGTTTGATACACACTTTTACTCACCTTAACAGTACTGCAGTGCAAACCTTTGGCCATAAGAATATAAACCAAATCTCTTGTTAAATTGTCTTTAATTCCCAGGATAACACCACTATAGACAGAAGGTACTTCCCACTAAAAGAAACAAAAAATACATATATATATGCACACATAGAGGAAGCCAAATCTAGATAAGAATCTTTCAACAATCTTCAATCGCATTTAAAACAAATAACTCACGGGTCGTCTCTTAAAGAGAAAGGAAAATGACAGCCATAATATAACACTAACGAAAATGAACACATTCGCTACAATCAACAAGTAATAAATAATGGACTGGGATTACTATTAGGAAAAAAAGGCACACAAAGACTAGGAGTTTTATATATATTAATTCAGGTAATCCTCACAACAATATCAAGGTAAGTACTATTATGCTACTACTGTCATTTTGCAAATGAGAAAACTGCAACACAAAGAAGTTAAATAACTTGTTCAAGATTATACGGCTATTTAAGTATGAAGCTGGCATTCAAGCTTAAGCACGCGGTTAGTCCCAGAATCCCCTATCATAACTATCATGCTATACTTGTTCATCTTAAAAATTTTTGGTTTGTTCTTGATTTTTGAGATAGAGTCTCGCTCCGTCACCCAGGCTGGAGTGCAGTGGCGTGATCTCTGCTCACTGCAATCTCTGCCTCCCAGGTTCAAGTGATTCTCCTGCCTCGGCCTCTCAAGTAGCTGGAAATACAGGTGCGCGCCACCATGCCCAGCTAATTTTTATATTTTTAGTAGAGACGGGGTTTCGCTATGTTGCCTAGGTTGGTCTTGAACTCCTGGCCTCAAGTGATCCACCCATCTCAGCTCCCCAAAGTGCTGGGATTACAGGCAATGAGCCACTGCACCTGGCCTTCATCTTAAAAATTCACACTAATAAATAGCATCAATGCTAAAAAAAAGCCCAACTAATTTTTAGAGCAATTTTTTATTTTCTCTCTACTAGTATGTTTAAACCCAATTTTTAAAAATACAGGTCGGGCACAGTGGCTCATGCCTATAATCCCAGCACTTTGGGAGGCTGAGGCAGGCAGATCACCTGAGGTCAGGAGGTCAGGAGTTCGAGACCAGCCTGACCAACATGGAGAACAACATGGAGAAACCCGTATCTACTAAAAATACAAAATTCATCAGGCATGGTGGGGGCATGCCTGTAATCCCAGCTACTCGGGAGGCTGAGGAAGGAGAATTGCTTGAACCCGGGAGGCGGAGGTTGCAGTGAGCCAAGATCGCACCATTGCACTCCAGCCTGGGCAACAATAGTGAAACTCAGTCTCAAAAAAAAAAAACAAACCATACATTTCTGGCTGCCTTTTTACTACATCTTCAGCAGGGGAGGAGTAAGTATGTAGTTAGTTACGAGCATTACCATATTGCTTTAATTTCTCCTGTATCTGTCGATTACTTCCCTTGTATCTCTAAGCTACATTCCACTGAAATGGTGTTTTAAAAGCTATTTTTATTTGCACTTTCTATGCTGGAAAACTTTCTAATAGATAAACTCAGAAACAGGTAAATGTATTAGCTGGGAGTTTTTAAAGGAACATTTAAAGCCAAAAATGTTCCATAATGAAGCATTATGCTACAGAATGCATAAATAATATACCATTTACATATATTTACAACTATATTTAAAATGCAGCCAGACGTGGTGGCTCACACCTGTAATCCCAACACTTGGGGAGGCAGAGGCGGGTAGATCACTGGTGGTCAGGAGTTCGAGATCATCCTGGCCAACATGGTGAAACCCCATCTCTACTAAAAATACATAAATTAGCCGGGCATGGTGACAGGTACCTGTAATCCCAGCTACCAGGGAGGCTGAGGCAGGAGAATCACTTGAATCTGGGAGACAGAGGTTGCAGTGAACCAAGATTGCACCACTGCACTCCAGCCTGAGCGACAGAGTGAGATTCTGTCTCAAAAAACAAATGAATGAAATAAAATGCGTATATTTTGTCAACAAATGGAAAAACTCATTTTTAGATGTTACTCATTTAATGGTATCTTTTTGTTTCTGACATTTCCTATTTTCTCTGTCAATGGATGTTAAAAATGCAATTATGTTCATATGAAGGTCTTAAAACTGTTAAGTAAGAGGTCCTTATTATCAAAAAGGTCAGGGAACAGCTTTTCTATTAAATTACCTCAGAAAACAAGGGCAATTTTCTTATCTGTTCTTGACATAGGGTTTACCTTATTAGACACTGTCCAGAACTGGCGCTCTGAAGTCATACCATGTAATTCAATTAAAATTTGTCTAATCCTCCAAGGATCCACTGACAATATAAGTTGATGCTCTAACTGACCAATGTTGACACTTGCTGAAGCTAAAAAAAGATTTATATTTCAATGATTTAATTCAAAGATATACACGAGAATAACAATTTACTTAAAATTATGTATTTTGTATTATATCTATAAATTAAAAGCTGCTATCATCTTGAGAACTGATGCATTCAACATTGTATAAATTACACATTAACTTTATCCTCACACAGAAAACCTAACAAAATTTTACTATATCTACATTTAATAAATGAATGCATTTTAAAAATAAAGATAATGAAAATATAAACAAGATAAAAATCAATATTTCATGCAAAGAACTATGTGGAATATATGAAAATAATTAACTTACAGACTTATACACAACTTATACACTACTTTTGAATATAATGTGTTAACAGAAGCATATATAAAATGTTAATTTTGAGTAATAAACATTAAGCATGTGTTTTATGAGAGAAAGGGGCATGCTCTTCCCAGAGAACCAAAAATGATTACCAAAATCCCTAATTACAGCTCAGATATCAGATACGGTCTTCAATAATGCATTTCCAGCATTTCTGTGTTAACCTTACCCTTTTCCTTTACAACTGGACATTCAACCAGTTTAAATCTAGTGAAGGTCAAAGAAGCTAAAAGTTTGCTTTTGTTAAACCAATCGAATTCTCTCTCATCTATATTAAATGTTGAAGTTTATGTTTCTTATTTAAAAACAGCATTGTATTTTCTACTTATATTTGTAAGGGCAAAAATGGAAAAAAAAATCAAACAAGGCAAAAACAGCAATACTGCCAAGCTGTTCAGTCAGCAGATACTAGCACAGTGATATAGACTGACATGCACGAAAATCTGTCCTCTTTTTGGTCCCAGCATTTCTCACCACTCCTCTCCTGCTTTCTGTTTTTACCTCCATGAACATACTGGCAGCAGTGTTACCTTGGTCTATTTCTCCGGTGAAAATCTTTTTTTTTTTTTTTTTTTTGAGTCGGAGTCTCGCTCTGTCACCCAGGCTGGAGTGCAGTGGCGCAATCTTGGCTCACTGCAAGCTCCGCCTCCTGGGTTCACGCCATTCTCCTACCTCAGCCTCCAGAGTAGCTGGGACTACAGGCGCCCACCACCATGCCTGGCTAATTTTTTGTATTTTTAGTAGAGGCGGGGTTTCACCGTGTTAGCCAGGATGGTCTCTATCTGCTGACCTCGTGATCCGCCCGTCTTGGCCTCCCAAAGTGCTGGGATTACAGGCGTGAGCCACCACGCCCAGCCTTCCCCAGCTAAAATCTTTTATGTATCTAGGACTGAATCTGTACTAATCATTGGCTTGGCAGAGCTCCAGAGCATAACTGCTTATACAGAAATCTGATACGGAAGACAGGTGAATTTCTATTAATTACCAACACAAGTGTTAATTAAAACAAGAGAGAATCCTCAAATATATTTCAAGGTTAATTTGAATAGAGGGGCAAAACATGCCAACATTTTGGCTGGCCGACTAGAGAGCTAACCTGGGATATCATAAAATGAAGTTACAGGTTTAATGCACAGATTTACTCTAGGGGATCTCTTCCTCATCTGATCAACAAGTAGCTTTCGTTCTTCATCTTTCAACAATGTAATGAAAAGCTCATGTGAAGAAATCATGAAAACATACTGCAGATCTTCCAACCCCAGACACACATTCCTAGATCAGTAAGAAATATTGTAAAACAAAAAAGTGTATAATTTAGTTTGAGAAAAACAATCATATCAACCAATTTTAATAAGCCATTTAAAAAGCCACCATTACATAAACTGTATAATGATATTTTAAAATAGATTTTAAAATTTCCCTTTGGTCCTTATTTAAAATTGTGATGTCAATGCCACAATATTAAAAAAAGGTAACTATATAATCCTAATGTCTCACGTGGCTATACAAATTTGAACTTAATGGGTTCTCAAACACCAGTTACTGCCTGGTTAAAAGATACCCAAGACAAAAACAAAAGATAATACAGATATTTTGTTCACAGGACTAAGTTCAAAGTTAAAAAAAAAAAGAAAAAAGAAAAGAAAGGTACTTACTTTAGAAAAGCAGCCATGTTTCCTTTCAAAGACTCTGAAGCTTTTTCTAAATTTACTGATCTTGAACATACCTAGGAATTTGAGTAATTTTCATTTGAATATGGGTACTTATAAAAATGTAAATTATAATTTGAAAAGGCTGGATTTAAAAACAACTGAATTTTCCTTTTTCAACAATGTACCAATCACAGATTTAGTTAAGTAACTTAACAGAAGAGACCAGACCAAGGAATAACAATCCATCACAAAGAGGGAATGGAATGTGACCATTTTAATAAGTGCAGGTGTATACATGTAGCAAAGAATAACCTAGTTACCATGCTATACAGTTCTCACAGAATTTATCAACTATGTTGCCAAATTATATTAAGTGATAAACCATAGAAATCAGTAGCTCCTGTCAGAAAAGAGTTAAAAAAATAAAAAATTTTTAAAACCAAAAAGAAAATAATTGAAAAGAGTAAGTGATTTATCATGAATATAGAACTAATGGTTCTATATTCATGAGCTATTCATGAATAGTTAAAAAGGTAACCAAGGTTTAAAAAGTAAACAATGCAAACAAAGAATAGAAACTAGTTATGGTCATATTAGTTATCTACAAATAATATTTTCATATTATGTTGAATTTATTCATTAGATTAGGATTCCTCCTAATATATTATTTATAAGAAGCCAAAATAAAATATAACTAGTGTAAAAGTCCATAATCTCAAGAAATTGCTAAATATTTTTTACGTTGACACACACACAAAATAGAATGTTCATAGTAGTATTAATCATAGTAGCCAAAAAGTATAAGTAACCTGCAGTCTACCAACTGATGAATAAACACACAAAATACAGTATATATCCATTCAATTAAGTATTATTCAGCCATAAAAAGTGAAGTACTGATACATGCTACAATATTGAAAACGTGCTAAGAAGCCAGTTACAAAAGATCATCTATTTCATAGTTCCATTTACATAAAATATCCAGAACAGATAAATCTATAGAGAAATTAGATTAGTAGTTGCCTCAGGTGGTGCGAGATTGAGGGAAAATGAAGAGTGACAGGTAATGAATAAGAGATTATCTTTTTGGAGTGAAAAAAGGAAGTGAAGTGATAGCTGCACAACTCTAGGAATACACTAAAACGCACTGACTTATACACTTTAAATGCGTGAACTGTATGGTATGTGAATTATATCTTGATGAAACTGTTATTAAAAAAACAGGCTTGGTGCGGTGGCTCCTGCCTCTAATCCCAGCACTTTGGGAGGCTGAGACAGGTGGATCACCTGAGGTCAAGAGTTCCAGATCAGCCTGGCCAACATGGTGAAACCTCGTCTCTACTAAAAATACAAAAAAAATTACGTGGGCATGGTGACACGGGCCTGTAGTCCCAGCTACTTGGGGAGGCTGAGGCAGGAGAATCACTTCAACCCAGGAGGCAGAGGTTAGAGTGAGTGGAGATCAGGCCACTGCACTCTAGCCTGGGAAACAGAGAGAGACTCCATCTCAAAAAAAAAAAAAGCAGTGTTTTAAAAGTGCTATGTTCAAATACCATTTTCTGATTAACAAATTAACCTATCAGTAAATAACATCTGAGCATCTTGGAGTATGTATTATACACTTACATTCTAATAACTTTGTTTCTTTGCTGCCATATGTAAATATCTTATGGTGAGTAATAAATATCTGAGTCTCCTTTTACAACAGATTATTTATTCACATAGTGAGAAGCTTTGTACATGTGTCATGGAACAATGTAGGGAACATGTAACTTCTAATAAGCAAACCTAACAGATCATGTTATGTGAATTTCATGCACTTCAATTTAAAAAAAGAAAAACTCAAACTAGTGGGCATCTCTGTAGATGCTTTAATATTAAAATAATAAATTTTAATACTAATAAACTTAAGATGAAATGGACAAATCCTTAGAAAATAACTTCTTAAAACTAACTCTAGAAAAACGAGAATATAGTTCTATGATCACTGATCAAAAACCTTCCCACAAAAAAATTACCCAGGCCCAGACTTTACTGGTAAATTCTACCCAACACTGAAAGAAGCAATGACTTCATTTTTACACAAACTTTTCCAGACAATAAAAAAGACAGATGCCTCAACTTATTTATAAGGCAAGCATGACCTTGACACCAAAATCAAAGGAAGGACAAGAAAGAAAAAAATGTGTGCATCGGCCAGGTGTCATGGCTCACACCTGTAATCCAGGCACTTTGGGAGGCAGAGGTGGGAGGATCACTTGAGGTCAGGAGTTTGAAACCAGCCCAGCCAACATGGTAAAACCCCGTCTCTAATAAAACTACAAAAAAATTAGCTGGGCATGGTGGTGGGTGCCTGTAATCTCAGCTACTGTGGAGGCTGAGGCAGGAGAATCACTTGAAGCTGGAGAGGGAAGTTGTAGTGAGTCAAGATTGCGCCACTGCACTCCAGTTTGGCCGACACAGTAAGACTTCGTCTCAAAAAATAAAAAAATAAAAATATGTGCATCAATCTCATACATGAATGTAGAAAAAAAATCTTCATATATTGGCAAACCAAGTTCAGCAATTTCTATTAAAAAACGATCATGACCTAGTTGGGTCTATTCCAGACATGCAATGGTGGTTTAACACTTGAAAATCAATTATACTTTATCACATGAACAGGTAAGGAGAGAAATTATGTGACCATTTCAACAGACACAGAAAAAGCATTTAATACAATCTAAAAATAATTCGTTATTTTAAAAACAGGACCTTCAGTGAACTAAGGAGAGAAGGGAACTTCCTTAATCAGATAAGGAATAGCAACAAGAAAAACCTACAATAAACATCATTCTAAATGGTGAAATAGTGCAAGCTTGCTTTCTGAGACTGGGAGTGAGACGAGGCAGTTCTCTATTCCCACTTCTACTGAACACTGTACTGGAGGTAATAGCCAGCACATTAAGAATAAGTAAAAAGAGGCTGGGTGTGGTGGCTCACACCTGTAATCCCAGTAATCTGGGAGGCTGAGGCGGGTGGATCGCCTGAGGTCAGGAGTTCGAGACCTGCCTGACCAACATGGAGAAACCCCATCTCTACGAAATATACAAAATTAGCCAGGCGTGGTGGCACATGCCTGTAGTCCCAGCTACTCAGGAGGCTGAGGCAGGAGAATTACTTGAACCTGGGATGCAGAGGTTGCGCCAAGCAGAGATCACGCCATTGCACTGCAGCCTGGGCAACAAGAAAGAAACTCCATCTCAAAGAAAAAGTAAAAATAAATCAAAAATAAAAGGTTAGAAAAGGAATAAACAAAATGCATTCTTCACAGATGACTGCATACATAGAAAAATGGAAAAAAATATGAATAGAATTTTTAAAAGCTAAGCAAAGTTGTTGGATACAAAATTATTAGAAAGTTAAATTATACCTCTGTATCAATGCATAAACTATTTTCAAGTCTACATTTTAAGAACTATTTAAAAATTTAAGACTTCTATGGAAAAATTAGGAAGTTCTAAAGGACACTAAAGACTGCCTAAAGAAATCAAGAGCCATCATACCCGTTCATGGATTAGGACACCCAATAATGTAAACATGTAAATTCTTAGGGGTCTCCCTAAGCATACTTTGGCTTAGGAGGCCGCCCATAAAATTTTTTCTAATAAAGAAAAGAGACATAATTTCTTTCTAAACTGGCTTCTAAATTTAATGTAATTCCAAACAAAAATCCAACAGATTTGTGGAACTTGACAATCTGAGTCTAATGTTGACACATAAAAATGCAAAGGACTGCCGGGCGTGGTAGCTCACACCTGTAATCCCAGCACTTTGGGAGGCCGAGGCGGGCAGATCATGAGGTCAGGAGTTTGAGACCAGCCTGGCCAATATCGTGAAACCCTGTCTCTACTAAAAATACAAAAATAAGCCAGGCATGGTGGCGCGTGCCTGTAGTCCCAGCTACTCAGGAGGCTGACACAGAAGAGTCACTTGAACGCGGGAGGCGGAGGTTGCAGTGAGCCAAGATTGTGCCACTGCACTCCAGCCTGGGCAACAGAATGAGGGACAAGAATAACCAATACAACCTTGAAAACAAGGTAGAACTTGCTCTCGATGGTATCAGGACATGGACATAATAAGGTATGGATAGACAAATAGAAAAGTGGTATAAAATGGCTCAGAAACAGGCCCATACATGTATAAACACCCGGCATACAATAGAGGTGGCCCTAGAGATTGGTGGGAAAAAAATTAACCTTTCAGTAAATGGTGCTGGCACACTTCCTGCTTCACACAAAAATCAACTGTAGGTTGATCAAAGACCTAAACGTGAAAGGAAGGCTATGCTATAAAGCTTTTAGAAGATAATAATAGAAGAATATCTTCATGACACAATAGGAAAAAGCTTTCTTAAACAACACACAGAAATCACTACAACGGAAAAAAATCGGTAAATTTGATATTAAATTTAGGAGCTTTGGAACAATATAAAGAAAACTAAGCTGGGCGTGGTGGCTCATGCCTGTAATCACAGCACTTTGGGAAGCCAAGGTGAGTGGATCACCTGAGCTCAACAGTTCGAGCCCAGCCTGGACAACGTGACAAAACCCCATCTTTACCAAAAATAAAAAAAATTAGCCAGGCGTGGTGGCACATGCCTGTAGTCCCAGCTACTCAGGAGGCTGAGGTGGGAGGATGGCTTGAACCCAGGAGGTGGAGGTTACAGTGAACTGAGATCACAGCACTGCACTCCAACTGGGTGATAGAGTGAGACCCGTCTCAAACAAAAAAAAAAAAAAAAGAAAAACTAAAAGTCAAACTCAGTGAAGATATCTGCAATATTTAAAATTGGTAAAAAAGAGAATATATATAGATCTCCTACAAAAAAGAAAGCTCCTTCCAAAGAACAGACAATATAATAGAAAAATGAGACATAACATGGCCGGGCACGGCTCATGCCTGTAATCCCAGGACTTTGGGAGGCTAAAGTGGGTGGATCACTTGAGGTCAGGAGTTCAAGACCAGCCTGGCCAAAATGGCAAAACCCCGTCGCTACTAAAAATACAAAAATTAGCAGGGCGTGGTGGTGGGCACCTGTAATCCCAGCTACTCCGGAGGCTGAGGCCGGAGAATCACTTGAAACTGGGAGGTGGAGGTTGCAGTGAGCTGAAATTGTACCACTGCACTCCAGCCTGGGCAACAAGAGCAGAACTCTGGCCAGGCACGGTGGCTCACACCTGTAATCCTATCACTTTGGAAGGCCAAGGCAGGCAGATAACCTGAGGTCAGGAGTTTGAGCCCAGCCAGGCCAACATGGCAAAACCCTGTCTCTACTAAAAATACAAAAATTAGCCAGGCGTGGTAGCGCACGCCCGTAGTCCTAGCTACTCAGGAGGCTGAGGCAGGAGAATCGCTTGAACCTGGGAGGCGGAGGTTGCAGTGAGCCGAGATCACGCCACTGCACTAAAGCCTGGCCAGGCAACAGAGGGGGCCCCATCTCAAAAAATAAAAAAATAAAAAAAAAAAAGCAGAACTCTATCTCAAAAAAAAAAAGAGGCATAACACTTGGAAAAGGTACCTCAAAAAACAAAATCCATGAGTAAAAATTAAATGAAGAGTTGTAGAAATGAAAACCTCAATGAGGTACTGTTATACAACCACCTCACAGGCGATCTGACAATATCAAATGTTAACAAGGATGTTGACTGATGAGAACACTCAGGCATGCTGGTGGTTATAAGCCACTTGGTTTTTAAAAATTAATGTTGCAGATATATTATTCCCTAGGTATGTAACATAAACTGGTACGTATGCACACCTAGATATATGTACAAGTATGTTCCAAGCGGCAAAAACTATAAACAACACAAATGTCCCTCCATCATATGTGTATACAGCCAAAAACTATAAAACACACAAATGTCCCCCATCATAAGACTGAAGAAATTGTGGCGTGGTCCATATAATATTCTAACTTTTTTTTTTTTGAGATGGAGTCTCTCACTGTTGCCCAGGCTGGAGTGCAGTGGCGTAATCTCCACTCATTGAAACCTCTGCCTCCTAGTTTCAAGCGATTCTCCTGCCTCAGCCTCCCAAGTAGCTGGGATTACAGGCACTTGCCAGCACGCTCGGCTAATTTTTTGTATTTTTAGTAGAGACGGAGTTTCACTATGTTTACCAGGCTGGTCTTGAACTCCTGACCTTGTGATCCACTCGCCTTGGCCTCCCAAAGTGCTGAGATTACAGGTGTGAGCCACTGCACCCAGGCTCTAACACCTTAAAGCAATGAAAAAAATTGTTATTTATATACAACTTGAATAAATCTCACAAATAAATCTCTTTAGTGAAAGAAGATGATGAATACACATTGTATGATTCCATTTATATGAAGTTCAAAATAGGCAAATTAAAGAATGTTCTTTAAGGATACATACAGAGGTGATACAAATATAAAAGAAAGCAAGAAAATTATGATCACAAAAGCCAGGGCAGTAGCTACCTCAAGGGAAGGTAGAGGAGGTTGTAAAGACCACAACAAAGGCTTCTAGAGTGCTGGCAACGTTGTATTTTTGGAAGTAAGTGGTATTATCTGTGCTTTATGTACTTCTCTCAATGTCTCTAACATTAAGACTGTTAAGAAAGAAGTAGAGTGATCCAGTAGAAACACAGATTCCACAGCACACATGACAGACAAGAGGCTTGATTTGGGAGTTCTTAGTAAACAGGTGATGAAACAGATGAGTGAAGCTTTGGAAGTAAATAAAAAATGATGAGTGAGCCAAGGACAAAAGTTCTATGAACAGAAATACTAAAGGAAGAGCAATAGAGAAGTCAATGAAGGACTAAGGAGAATCCAATAAAGATGCTGAAGAAACATGGAGCGAACTAGAAAAAGAGCTACAGCAGAAGACCAGGCGGAAGGGCATAGTCTGTCAAAAGTGCCAATTGTCAGGCACAGAAACGCAAGGCAGACAGGAAAAAAGGAACTGGATTTGGCAATTAAGAGGTCACTGGTAAGCTTAAAGCAAATTATAAATCAAAAGGGGAAAGAAAAACATGTCATACCTCAAGAAGAAAGTCTATTTTCTCTTTATTTGGTCTAAGAAATAGCTGGTTAAATTGAACACTAATTGTTCTGCCTTCCAGTATATCACGGACTGTATTACAGGCACAAACTTTAAAACAGATTTCATCTAGAGCTTCATTTCTGTAGAATACAAAAGTAGATCAACTAATGTTATTTTTACTACAAAAGAAAGGTGTATATTATACAACTATATTCACAAGAATGAGCCATTTATTCTTAAGAGGTAAGATTTTAGAATATTCAAGCATACCAATAAATATATACCAAATCATGGGGAGAAAGAAAGCAGAATAGGTTTTGAATTTATCAAGGGACAATGTAGTTACATATTAGACAACAGAATGGAATTTTGCTATGTATAATTTTTCTCCCAAGCAGTTTTTTTTTTTTTTTCTTTTGAGACGGAGTCTTGCTTTGTCACCCAGGCTGGAGTACAGTGGTGCAATCTCGGCTCACTGCAACCTCCACCTCCTGGGTTCAAGCGATTCTCGTGCCTCAGCCTCCTGAGTGGCTGGGACTACAGGTGTGCACCACCATGCCCAGCTAATTTTTCTATTTTTTGGTAGAGACGGGGTTTCACCATGTTGGCCAGACTAGTCTCAAACTCCTGACCTCAAGTGATCCACCCACCTCGGCCTCTCAAAGTGCTGGGATTATAGGCATGAGACACCTCGCCCGGCCCTGCAAGCACTTTTAAAACAGACTAGACGGAGGAACACCAGAGTGTTCCTCCACCCTATGTTAATTTCCCTTATATTAACAACATGAAAATAATGTCACAGAGCCATAGGAAATTTGAAAATGTGGTTTTGATAAACCAGAATGCACTTGCTGTTTTATTCAAAAATCAAGAAGTAATTTTTCAACTTACTTACCCCTGTTGAGCTTTCTTAAAGAGTTCTCTTAGGACTGACTGTCGGAACTGGACAGGTAAACTCAAGGTTAAGTTGTCTTCAATGAAAATCTGTATTACCTCCTAGAACACACACATAAAGTTGCACCCATTTCAAAAATCATGGTAAAGTTTTTTTACTTTAAACAAGTCTTTCTATAATGGAAAATACAAGTTGAAAAACAATCACAAAAATATCTTACTATGAAAACCTTTTCTTCCTAAAATTCTAAAATTTGATTAAGGGCAAAAACAGCCCTGCTACCCCTTTTTTAAAACTGAAGATCACAGACCAAAAATGAGAGGTAAGAAAGGAATCAGTCAATGAGAGGCAATCCAGCTATGTTATTAGAAAAAAATTTTAGGCCAGGCATGGTGGCTCACGCTTGTAATCTGAGCACTTTGGGAGGCCAAGGCAGGTGGATCATGAGGTAAGGAATTTAAAACCAGCCTGGCCAACATGGTGAAATCCCGTCTCTACTAAAAATACAAAAATTAGCCGGGTATCATGGCACTTGCATGTAATCCCAGCTACTGGAGAGGCTGAGGAAGGAGAACTGCTTGAACTCAGGAGGCGGAGGTTGCTTTGAGCTGAGATGGTGCCACTGCACTCCAGCCTGGGTGACAGAGCAATACTCCATCTCAAAAAAAAAAAAAAAAATTATTATTCTCTCTAAACACAAGCTCATAAAACAAACTAAAAAAATACTAATTAAATGGCCAGACACGGTGGCTCATGCCTATAATCCCAGCACTTTGGAAGGCCAAGGTAGGTGGATCACGAGGTCAGGAATTCAAGACCAGTCTGGCCAAGACAGTGAAATCCCGTCTCTACTAAAAACTACAAAAATTAGCCAGGCACGTTGGCAGGCGCCTGTAATCCCAGCTACTCGGGAGGCTGAGGCAGAAGAATCACTTGGACCCGGGCAGCAGAGGTTGCAGTGAACCAAGATCGTGCCACTGCACTCCAGCCTGGGCAACAGAGTGAGACTCTGTCTCAAAAAAAAAAAAAAAACTAATTAAAAAATTCAGCTGAAAAAACATGCTAACAAGTGATTATAATAAATTTAAATGATTTAAAATATATTATCTGTGAACTACAAAAAATACCCAGATTATTACATACAGACTTTTTCTTAGCTACTTCTCAAGAATGGAAGAGCAGGAAAGAAAGAAAGGGTGTTAACGAGAGGAGGGGGAAAGGAGATATCTGAAAATTAAACTAATCAGCCACTACCAGAAAAGTACTGACATAAGTGGTTTCAAAAATATGGAGCAACCACTAGCTTCACCTCCATAACAAAACATGAGCAAGGCAGGGCTCCACAGGAGCAACACAGCAGCTTCTCAAGTGTGAGAAGACACACCTGTTACAGCTGCTCAACTCCTACTTCATCAGCACTAAACAAAACCCACATAGTTCATAAAAACACAATGCCATTCGAAGAAATACAATTTCTAAGAGAGTCCTGCATGTATAAGTAATGAATCTCAAAGATGCAACAAAATTCCTATTTTCCCCGTCTTAGCTACCCATTACACTATTTTCTGATTTTTGTGGAACTTTATTACAGTCACAGTAACATGTACTTGTCTCTGGGTGATATTCCTAAGGTCTTGTTGGCACAGGTCTTACCACTCCAGAGAGGTTTTTTTGTTTTTTGGGTTTTTTTGTTTTTGAGGCAGGGTCTTGCTCTGTCACCCAAGCTGGAGTGCAGCAGTGCTATCATAGCTCACTGCAACCTTGAACTCCTGGACTCAAGCGATCCTCCCACCTTGGCCTCCCAAGTGCTGGGATTACAGGTGTGAGCCACGGTGCCCAGCCAACTTGTTAAAGAATCTGTATTTTATGATAATTGATCTCACCCTTCATAAACCTTTACTAGGGAGCTATAACTGAGAGAGCTCTAGTCTTTATTAAATTCACCTGTGTCGGTAATTAAACTTCAAGAAAGTTTAATTTTCTTTCCTAGGACAAAGCAATACTTTTAAAAAGGGCCAAAGATAGGGGAAAGAAGTGCCATCTTGTTTCCTCTCTTCACCTATTTTCTGTGAAAAACAAAAAAACCCCTAGGTAAGAGAACTATAAAGCTGGAATAATACCCAATTGGAGACACAAAACTAAGTTATGGCTTTATCATTTCATGATTCCTATTTTGAGTTAAACATGAATGAATGCACTGTTTATTCTCTAGAATGGAGGCTTTCCAATAAAGACTTTAAAAGCACAATTCTAATTTCCAGTTATTTTCATAACAAAACTGAAGATAAACACCCAGAGGTGTGTGCGTGTTGGTGGGGAGGGTGGGGCGCGCACAATAAAAGTCTCAAGAGACTCATTAAGGCGTTTTCATGAACCAAATCAAGATGGTGAGTAGGCTCAAGAGCAGGTGGGCTCTGTTTCTAACAGACCATCCAAACCCACCAGAACAACTGCCGTGTTCACTGTGCTCCCTTTCTCCTTCAGTCTTACTATTTGGAAGGGCTACTAAAGCTGGGCTACAAGCCACACATCCAAAAGACACAAGACTTAATGTTTTGTAAAACTAAAAGCTATTAATATCTTAGCAGCCAACAATCCCAGCTGCTAAACAAATGCACACACACACAACTAAAAGCTGTCTACCTGCAATTTTTAAATGTTAAAAGTTCTGCTTACAAGCATTTCTTACAAAATTTATTTAAGATAGACCAACTCTATACCTTTAAGATAACAGCAATGATGAAGTAACATCTGTATAATGCTTTGCCTTAGAATTTGTGCACTATAACTTCTCACTAGATTCTCATAAGAATCTTAGGAAATGGGATAATTATTACCATTATGTTACAGGCCAGTATGACAGTGTAAATGACTTGCCCCAAAACGCGTAACTGGTAAATGGATGGTGCGAGGATTTGAACTTAGTTTTGTCTGGCTTCCAAAACTTCACTGCATCCCCCTCATACACCTTACCTGATAGTTGCCAGATCTCAAACAAATATGGACTTGACTATATGGAGTCAACTGTTGAGATGTACTATCAGAAGAAGGTACAAGAACATCACATGCTTGACAATAGCCAGCTAACCGCTTCTCATCTATGGTACAATGAAGAGATAATGAACCTATCTGTAAAGTAAGAGGTATACACCATTATCCATTCATGTAATATAAACAATAGTCTAGCACCCCCTTAGCATGTTTTAACAGTACAAGGAAATGCTAACGAAAAATTCAAGCCGGGCTGGGCACAGCGGTTCACGCCTGTAATCCCAGCACTTTGGGAGGCCGAGACTGGCGGATCACAAGGTCGGGAGTTCGAGACTAGCCTGGCCAAGATGATGAAACCCTGTCTCTACTAAAAATACAAAAATTAGCCAGGCATGGTGGCGGGCACCTGTAGTCCCAGCTACTCGGGAGGCTGAGGTAGGAGAATGGCTTGAGCCCGGGAGGAGAGGTGGAGGTTGCAGTGAGCCGAGAAGGCGCCACTGCACTCCAGCCTGGGTGACAAAGCGAGACTCCGTCCCAGGAAAAAAAAAAAAAAAAAGAAAAGAAAAATTTAAAACTGGAAGAATCAAAAAACAAAAAGGTTAAAGGTTTAGAACAGGGGTCAAAAAACTATTGCTCATAGGCCAGATCCAGCCTATGGTCTGTTTTTGTTCGTCCCTTGAGCTAAGAACAATTTTTGTGGGCCGTAAACTATGCAAAGGGGACCAAAAAAATGGTAAGAATATGCAATAGAGACTGAATGTGGCCCAGAAAGCCTAAGATATTTGCTAACTGACCCTTTACAAAGAAAGTTTGCTGAAGCTTAGAGTTTTCAGGCCAACATACAAAAGGTGGACATCATTATCATACCAAGTATGTATGACAAGACATTAACAAAGAGCAAACAGTGTTAAAATTAAAAACAAGCTTAAAGGTTTTAAAAGACACATACCAGCAGAGATTTAAAGGAGCGAGCAAAGAGCATAATCATCACTCAATTGGAAAGAATAGAAATGCTTCTACCCAAACAGGATTAAAAAAAAAAAGTTTGAAAAAATATTTGTTTTAAATTACTATACCTGAAATACCATAAAATTAGAAAGCAGATTAATTTCCTAGCAAAGTAAAATGAGTATTTCTAATGGGTCTATCTAGAATAGTCAGAGCATTTAAACCTCTAGGGCATTTAATCAATATCTCTACTAAGGACAGCAGATTGAAGTGGGAATTTTTCCAGGCACCAGCCATATAAAAACCTAGTTATAGATATACTAGGTTTACAATTCAGTCATCTGAATCATAAAAAAGAAAAATGCAAATGATAAACACAGTAAAAATGTTTACCCATATTAGGAATTAATGAAAGCCAAGTTTATAAAAGATACTATATTTCACCAATCAAGTTAGCAAAAAAATAAAAATAAAAATTTGTTAAACACTCACTGCTAACTGAAGTGCTCTGTGAGAAATGTACCTGGAAAGTAATGTGGTTTGATAAATTATAGCCTTAGAAAAATACATAACCATTGACATGGCAATAATTGTAGGAACTTAAACATATCTGAAATCTGAAGAAAAATTTAGGCTTGCAGATACAAATATTGCAGCTGTATAATAAACCTAAATGCCCAAACATAAGGGAAATGAAGTAAATCAGAGTACTTCCACATAATATGATACATTTATAATGCCTAGTCAAAGATTTAAGCAAGATACAGAGTATTTACAATATGAGCTTAACTGTACAAAAACAGAGAGAAAAAAGCTGGAAGAAAATTTACTAGATTTATAAAAGGGGCTATATTTCCAGGTTATATTACTACAGATTTTTAAAAACCAGTTTTAGTACTTTCTTGAACATCACACATTTATAATAATGAACACGTTTTTATCATCAGAAAAATCAAAGCCAAAAAAATGTATAGATGTTTTAAAGAACTGAACATTAAGTTCCTATTATGACTGGATTTACCTCTGCAATTAGTTCTTTGGTTCTAAAAAATTTTTCCCTGGCATTTTCATAGACAGCTGAATTTGTGGAGCCTTGCTGGAAGTATGCTGCGCCCAAATCATAGCACACCTGAAATAATAATGAACACCAATTTGCTTAACAATTTCTCAGGTACTTAAGAGGTGACAGAACCAAAACTGTCTTTATCTCACGAAAACACAGAAAAAAAGACATAAAAAAACACATATTCCAAGGAGAGGTGCTACCACCAGTGTTCTTAGTCACAAGCAACATAAACCAACTCTGGTCAACTTAAGCAGAATATTGATTTACTGAGTAGATTTTAGGTCGCCTACAGAATTATTAAAAAGGCTAAAGAATCTGACTAGAAAAAAGGGCAAAGGAGGCATGCAGTCAGGATGAGAGCCAACACTAGTCTGGTGAAGAATCTCAACAGTAGATTCCACAGCTCCTGTCACCCATAGCCACCCGGACCAGACCCTGAAAGCAGCAGCTACACTCCTGCAAGTGCTGTCCCCGGAAACTAGATTTTACTGTCGCTGTTGCCGCTACCCACCACCACAATGGATTCTCCATCACTCTCAATGCTATGACTTACTAGGACCAGCTCATGATTCAGTCTAAAAGAAGCATACCCATCTGTAAAACTTACGTGATATGCCTGCCCTCAAGCCAGATAAGGCTAGAGAAAGCTAGTATTGGGAGTTTTTAGTTGATTCTATAAGAAGAAGCCTGGCTGGGCGCAGTGGCTCACGCCTGTAAACCCAGCACTTTGGGAGGCCGAGGCGGGTGGATCACGAGGTCAAGAGTTCGAGACCAGCCTGACCAACATAGTGAAACCCTATCTCTACTAAAAATACAAAAATTAGCTAGGCGTAGTGGCGCACACCTGTAATCCCAGCTATTTGGGAGGCTGGGGCAGGAGAATCGCTTGAACCCGGGAGGCAGAGGTTGCAGTGAGCCAAGATTGCACCACTGCATTCCAGCCTGGGCGACAGGGCGAGACTCTGTCTCAAAAAAAAAAAAGAAGCAGGCTCTGCCTCCTACAAGTCTGAAAAGATCGGGAATTTTCTAACACAGGAGAGGGAAAAAACGCTGGGGAGCCCCTCAAAAGTGAAGATGGTGCACGTCTACCGTAACATACTGGTTAAAGTGAGAAATGTATGCTAACCATAAAACTTTTCCAGTCGTATGTTTCTATGACAGAATTTGTATGTAAGATGTGGACACTAGGCAAAAAAGAAAATAATTTGTATGTTTTTCAAAAAGCTTATATTGACACCTGGAATTACTAAATGCAAAACTCAAAAAAGACTCAGATTATTTAGTTCAACTTGGCCATTTTATGGATAAGAATACAAACGCCCAGAAAGTGACATGAAAAGCATATAACCAAGTAATAGCAGAGCCAAAGTTTGAATTCAGATTCCTAAGCTCGTAATATTCTGACTCAAATTTATTCTACACATGGCTGACAGATCAAGTCTTCTTGATCTGACTGACTTAAGAAGACTTCAATTACTCCCCAAAACAGAAGAAAGTTCAAACTCCTTGGCCTGATCTGTAAGGATCTCAGAATGTGGCCTAATCTCTCTTTCCAAACCTCTCCACTGTGCTCTATTTTAATCACACCAGTCTTCTCAAGTCCCCATTCACATGAGATACTAGAAATATGCTTCATTCCACACCCCTTACTCCTTTTATACCACAAAACCAACCTTTGGCAACAGATACTTACTCCTCTTCCAAACTCCTAAGCTATAATCATGCCTGGTATTCATCATGAAACCACTCTTCACTGATATGCTTTATAAATATGGTTCTGTCCAATTCAAAGAATCCAGGTTAATTCTCCTTAGCCTCTACAACATTGCTTTGCACTATTTAGTCCACACTACATGTTTGGCTGACTTTTTTTTTTTTTTTTTGAGATGGAGTTTCACTCCTGTCGCCCAGGCTGGAATGCAATGGGGTGATCTCGGCTCACTGCAATCTCCTCTTTCGGGTTCAAGCGATTCTCCTGCCTCAGCCTGCCGAGTAGCTGGGATCACAGGCACCTGCCACAACGCCTAATTTTTGTGTTTTTCGTAGAAACAGGATTTTGCCACGTTAGCCAGGCTGGTCTAGAACTTCTGACCTCAGGTGATCCGCTCATCTTGGCCTCCCTTGGCTGATTTTCATTCTAGAGAGTTCCTCCTATCTGGAGTAAAGGGATACTAAAAGAGCAAAAAATACACACACACACACACACACACACACACACACACACCCATGCACATATATGCATACTTACTACAGTTATATATAATTCCCCTTTCTAGGCAAAGATAGACTGCAAAATACCAAAAACATATTTTCAAGTATTACTCTAGCAACTGACTAGCCATTACAATGAGTTTAGAGGTTAAGAGGTGCTCAATAGATTTACTGTAAAAACAAAAAAGCCTGATAATGAAGCTGCCCTGAAGGGCATTAAGGCCTGGTTTTATTGGGGGAAAAAAATAACAATTTTTCTTTTTAAGTCTAAGGTAAATTTTAGTAATGTAAAGAACCTACTTTAGATATGATCTGGTGGCTCACACCGGTAATCCCAGCACTTTGGGAGGCCGAGGCGGGCAGATCACTGGAAGTCGGGAGTTTGAGACCAGCCTGATCAACATGGAGAAACCCCATCTCTACTAAAAATACAAAAATTAGCCAGGCGAGGTGGTGCATGCCTGTAATCCCAGCTACTTGGGAGGCTGAGGCAGGAGAATTGCTTGAACCTGGGAGGCGGAGGTTGTGGTGAGCTGAGATCACGACATTGCACTCTAGTCTGGGCAACAAGAGTGAAACTCCGTCTCAAAAAAGAAAAACATTGTCATGCCAGGAAATGAGTGTTACCACTAATTTGCCCTTCAAAAAACAGGAATTGTCACTCAGCTATGTAAGTAAAAGAACATTTGATAGTTTGCCTAGCACATACAGATGTTTTACAGGAGTTTTGTTTTCAGGTTGTATCATCCACCATGTTGCAAAAATCAGAAGTGTCATCAACAACTTTTAAACGGGTTCTGAAAGATTATGAGATACTACATACCAGTAACACTCCTATATGCAAGTTTCATCAGTGATTTTAAAATGTTACCAAGTATCCTGTAATCCCAGCACTTTGGGAGGCCAAGGTGGGAGGATCCCTTGAGCCCAGGAGTTCCGAGACCAGCCTGGGCAACATAGGGAGACCCTGTCTCTATAAAAAAAAAATTAAAATTTTTTTTTTTTACAAAAAGGGTTACCAAGTATCAATACTTCATTAACTCCTACTCCTGCTGCAAACTCCAGCTCATCAGGCCTTGAATAAATGATTACCTTCAGCTCTGGAAACAGCTAATCTGAAAACGCACCTTCCCAAAACTGTCATAACTATTTTTACCCCTTTCCAGAAAAGGAATTAGTGATAAAAGAAGCCATGCCAACTCATACGAATAAGGAAAGACAATACAGTTTAGAAGGTACAATCTTAGTAGCCCTCTCTAGACAATCACTGAATACTTTAAAATTTCTATTTTACTCAAGGTCCTACTCTGGAAAGTAAGACGCAGAACATATTAAAAAAAAAAGAGAGAGAGAGAGATGTCAAAGAGTTATAATCCAGTAGGGAAAAAGAAGACATAAACACACAAAGTAATATCTGACAACGGCCGGGCGCGGTGGCTCACGCCTGTAATCCCAGCACTTTGGGAGACCGAGGCGGGCGGATCACGAGGTCAGGAGATCTAGACCACGCTGGCCAACACGGTGAAACCCCGTCTCTACTAAAAACACAAAAAATTAGCCGGGTGTGGTGGCAGGCGCCTGTAGTCCCAGCTACTCGGGAGGCTCAGGCAGGAGAATGGCATGAACCCGGGAGGCGGAGTTTGCAGTGAGCTGAGATCATGCCACTGCACTCCAGCCTGGGTGACAGAGCAAGACTCCGTCTCAAAAAAAAAACAAAAACAAAAACAAATAATACCTGACAATAAGCATCAACTGAAAACTGTGAAAGGAACAAGGGGCCCAGAGTTATAGAAAGAGGGCAAACTTAAGATCCCTGAAAAGCTAGACACTCTCTCTTGAGGTCTAGATTTTTCAAAGTCTAGCATAATATTAGTTTTTATCTTCTTTTGGTCTGATCAGATTTCTGATAATATGAAAGAACTGTAAATCAATTACATATAACTGTATTCTCAGTACTTAAACTCTGTCTCCTAAATACAATCCGGAAACTATTTCAGAGACAACAGATGACATAAAATTTCTCTTCCATTTCTTTTAGAAAAATGTCAAATCTTATAAATGTATAAATTAAATACAATGCAGTTTTAATAGCATCTTAAGAGACAAAGGCAGAAATAAATTCTAATTAAAAATAGGAGGATGATCTCATATTAAGATTTTCCAAAAAATTGCCCTACGTAAATTAAGTATCAAATGAATACCTGGCACTGCATTTCTTCGGTTTTGACTTTCAATCCAGCAGTAGAACTCTCAGTTTCTCCATTTACCATGCCTGGTTCCATGGCCAATAAATCTAGAGTTCTCATCGTATGGACATAAAGATCCTTGTTTAATTTTAGGGCTGCTTCTAGTACCAAAATAGAATCAGCAGCTTGTTCTTTGAGCTACAGAAATCAATAAACAAATAAAAATACAAAAATAGCAACTGATTATAATAACCAAAAATATTTACAGTCTATTTAGTAACTCAGTACACTAAGCTATTAAAAAAATTTTTAACACAGCAAGAGTACAATTACATTTGTTGAAATAAAGTTACCTTAAATGAAGGGAAATAAGTTCCTATTGTGAGGTTAGAAAATATGAAAAACAGGAGGGCCAGGCATGGTGGCTCACGCCTATAATCCCAGCACTTTGGGAGGCCGAGGCGGGCAGATCACGAGATCAGGAGTTCGAGACCAGCCTGACCAATAGGGTGAAACCTCATCTCTACTAAAAATACAAAAATTAGCCGGGCATGGGGGCAGACGCCTGTAATCCCAGCTACTCAGGAAGCTGAGGCAGGAGAATTGCTTGAACCTGGGAGGTGGAGGTCGCAGTGAGCCAAGATCGTGCCACTGCACTCCGGCCTGGGTGACAGAGCGAAACTCCATCTCAAAAAAAAAAAAAAAAAGAAAAAGACAATACAAAAAACAGGAAAGACTGGTATCTTTTTTCTGTAGAAAAGTTGATACTTTAGGCCAGGGGCAGTGGCTCACACCCGTAATCCCAACACTTTGGGAGGCCAAGCGAGGCAGGAGGATCATCTGTGGCCAGGGGTTCGAGACCTGCCTGGCCAGCATGGAGAAATCCTGTTTCTACTAAAACTACAAAAATTAGCTGGCCATGGTAGCATACACTTGTAATCCCAGCTACTAGGGAGGCTGAGGCACAAGAATTGCTTGAACCTAGGAGACAGAGGTTGCAGTGAGCTGAGATCATGCCACTGCACTCCAGCCTGGGTGACAGAGTAATATTCTGTCTAAAAAAGAAAAGTTAATGCTTTAAAGATTTAGCTGGTGGCCAGGCACGGTGGCTCACACCTGTAATCCCAGCACTTTAGGAGCCCAAGATGGGCAGATCACGAGGTCAGGAGTTCAAGACCAGCCTGACCAACATGGTGAAACCCCATCTCTACTAAAAATACAAAAATTAGCCAGGCATGGTGGAGCACGCCTATAATCCCAGCTACCTGGGAGACTGAGGCAGAAGAATCGCTTGAACCCGGGAGGCAGAGGTTGCAGTGAGCTGAGATCGCACCATTGCACTCCAGCCTGGGCAACAGAGCAAGACTCCATCTCAAAAAACAAAAAAGATTTAGCTGGACACAGTGACTCATATATGTAATACCAGCACTTTGGGGGTCCGAAGTGGGTGGATCGCTTGAGTCCAGAAGTTCGAGACCAGACTGAACAACATGGCAAAATCCCATCTCTACAAAAAATACAAAAATTAGTCTAGTGTGGTGGCACATGTCTGTAGTCCCAGCTACTGGCAACACTGAGGTGGGAGGATCGCTTGAGGCTGGGAGGTGGAGGCTGCAATGAGCCAAGATCAGGCCACTGCACTGTAGCCTGGGCAACAGAGTCAGACCCTGTCTAAAAAAGAAAAAATTTGCACTGTTCCACTTGATTTATTCAAGAAATATCTGTATACTTCAATGTGCCAGTCATTTTATTAGGAACTAGATAACAACAATGAAATGATGTAGGCTTTGGCTTCCACATTCAAAATATTACAGCATATTTGCTATAGTGAGATACAGATCGTTTCTTACCTTTTTCTCTCCTCACCCAGCCCCTACACCTCACATGGTAATATGGAACATTGTAGGTGTTAATTACAGAAATCATTTCTAAATTATAGAAACTGTCAGGTTTCTAATTTTCCATTATGTAGATCAATTAAAAAATAACTGCTAGGCTAGGTACAGTGGCTCACACCTGTAATCCCAGCACTTTGGAAGGCCAAGGTGGGTGGATCACTTGAGGTCAGGAGTTCGAGACCAGCCTGGCCAACACGGTGAAACCCGTCTCTACTAAAAATACAAAAAATTAGCTGGGCATGGTGGCAAGTGCCTGTAATCCCAGCTATTCAGGAGGCTGAGGCAGGAAAATTGCTTGAAGCAGGGAGGCGAAGTTGCAGTGAGCTGACTCCGCCACTGCACTCCGGCCTGGTAACAGAGCAAGACTCTGTCTCAAAAAAATAAAAAATAAACTGCTGTAATTTATTATAAAAGTAATTTTAAAATATAAACTATACATGTTTGTCATAGAGTTTTTAGAAAATACAAAATATAAAGACGTCACCTGTAAAATCAGTTTCTCGTATCTACTAATGTATCACGAAACAGAATCAATCAGTAGTACTCTACTATTAAAACTGAAAGACTATGTGTGATTTAGAATATTACCTATATCCTAATAGTAAAAACCTTAATGTCACGGCACTTAGACCTTCACAACTCTCATGTCCCCAAGATTAGAAGACACATCTATAAATGGTATAAAGGCAGGGGTCCCCAACCCCCAGGCCATGGACTGGTACCAGGAACCAGGCTGCACAGCAGGAAGTGAGCAGCGGGTGAGCAAAAGAAGCTTCATCTGTATTTACAGCTGCTCCCCATCGCTCGCATTATGGCCTGAGCTCCACCTCCTGTCAGATCAATGGGGGCATTAGATTCACACAGGAGCGCAAACCCTATCGTGAACTACACACGCGAGGGATCCATGTTGTGTCCTCCTTGTGAGAATTAATGCCTGATGATCTGTCACTGTCTCTCATCACCCCCAAATGGGACCATCTAGTTGCAGGAAAACAAGCTCAGGGTTCCCGTTGATTCTAAATTATGGTGAGTTGGATAATTATTTCCATATATATTACAACGTAATAATAATGGAAATAAAGTACACAATAAATGTAACGTGCTTGAATCATCCTGAAATCATCCTCGCCCCCCGCCCCCCACACCACATCCAGTTTCCTGGAAATTGCCTTCCACAAAACCAGTCCCTGGTGCCAAAAAGGTTGGGAACTGCTGCTCTAAAGTTGTTCCTGAAGTGTTACTGTGTAACTGATGCCAATACTTACCACTTTCAAAATGTTTTCTGTTAGCTCTTTTTCCTGTTGCATTTGATTCATACTAAAAGAGAAACAATTGAAAACAAAAGTATCAAAAGTTACTCTCAAGACTAAAAAATTCAAAACTTAAGAGCATCATTCTTGAAAGTCAGGTTCAATTTAAGAGTGTTTTTAATGTTATTCATTTTCATGTTTGAAAAAACAAAACCCTCAACTATTATGATGCTTATTAACGTACCAGTATTTTCTCATTTACTTTGTTTGGGTTTTTTGTTTTTGAGACACCCTGTCACCCAGATTGGAGTGCAGTGGCAGCCTCAACCTCCTGGGTTCAAGTAATCCTCCCACCTCAACCTCCCAAAGTGTTAGGATTACAGGTGTGAGCCACAGCACCCAACCTCATTTACTCAACTGAAGAGCAAAACTTACAACAAAAGCTCATTTGTATCAAGTTAGAAACTATGCTTTCTAGCTCCAAATTTGGCTAGGCTGCCATGTGGAAATTAAGAATCAGGTTTAAAACTCCATCCTCCACTCCTGCTGCTTCACTTGACAAGCCTTAAAAATAAAAAATTTAAAAAAAGAAAACCTCCAGATACGATCAACTTTTGTATTGTACTCTAATATTGACATATATTAATTTCCCCACATACAAATCTTTTTCAAGACAATTTAATTAAATGAAAAAAATATCAGGCTGGGTGCCGTGGCTCACACCTGTAATCCCAGCACTTTGGAAGACCAAGGCGGGTGGATCACCTGAGGTCAGGAGTTCGACACCAGCCTGGCCTACATGGTGAAACCCAGTCTCTACTAAAAAATGCAAAAATTAGCCAGGCTTGGTGGCCCACACCTGCAATCCCAGCTACTTGGGAGGCTGAGGTGGGAGAATCACTTGAACCCAGGAGGTGGAGGCTGCAGTGAGCCGAGATCACACCACTGCATTCCAGCCTGGGCGACAGAGTGAGTCTCCATCTCAAAAAAAAAAAACAAAAAAAAAAACTTGACTGCTTTCAGATAAATGGCACAATTCCCAAAGCACTTCCCTTCTTAGAACTCTGTATCTAGCACATTACCTGACTCTCCAGCCCCTCTAACTCCTTCAAACAAACCTTCACACAGGCCTTCTGCCCTCCTATTCCTGCTCTACTTCTTCTATAACAGAGGTTATTAAAAACTTGCAAACATTTTTAAAACTCCAATGAAAAAAGTGCCAAGTAAAGGTCATAGCCACCAACTTACACACTTAACTGAGGGGGTCCGGGTTTTGCCTGTTTGACTGGAAAACTACTTTGAACAATTGTCCTAATTGCCCTGAAGAAAAGACAGGAAAAAGAAAATTTCATACATTATAAATGTCATCTCAATTATTTTTTCAAGTACTCCTTAGGTTTGTATAAATTATATGAAGCATTAATTGACACATGGTAAATCCTGCATAAGTCATCCACATTTTTATCAGATTGCTTTTCATCTATGCAGTCACAAATTTTCTCCACCATTAGACTCACAGTTCCCCAGATTTGAAAAATCCCTGCAGCAGAATGGGTCCATTAAAAGAATATCCTTGAAAGCCACAGTGCAATAAAACAGAGGTTGCCCAACGCCTTCTGAGTTTATGAAAACATTTACCATCTATTATAGAGAAGTACAGCCATGGCAGTGGTCGGAGGTAAAGTGGCCAGATCCATGTCTACATGCTTTGTCCCAGGAGGAACTTTACTGATGCAGAGTAGTTCATTTAGTAGCATATTCAATACTGGAACAGACAAACTTGAAGAAGCAAAACGTACATGTTTGCACATTAATTGTGAAAGAAACACAAAATACATACAAAATTCCATATCCTCGCTGAAAATACCTACATTGTTAAGGAACCACATCTCTGGGTTTAGCTATCAAATGTGAAAAAGTTTTTTTTTCTTTTTTTTGAGACAGAGTCTCGCTCTGTCGCCCAGGCTGGAGTGCAGTGGCACAATCTTGGCTCACTGCAAGCTCCGCCTCCCGGGTTCATGCCATTCTCCTGCCTGAGCCTCCTGAGTAGCTGGGATTACAGGCGCCCGCCACCATGCCCAGCTAATTTTTTGTGTTTTTAGTAGAGACGGGGTTTCACCATGTTAGCCAGGATGGTCTCCATCTCCTGACCTTGTGATCTGCCTGCCTCAGCCTCCCACAGTGCTGGGATTACAGGCGTGAGCCACCGTGCCCGGCTTAAATGCGAAAAGATTTTTAAAACTTTTTATTATGAAAAAACGTAAAACATAAAAGTAGACAGGATATAATGAACCCCTATGTACCATCATCTAGCAATTATCACCTGATGGCCAATCTTACTTCATCTCTATTCTTCCCCACTTCCCAAATCATTTCGTCCATAAATATTTCAGAATATATTTCAAAAAATTAACTCTTAACATAATCACAATATTAATTTCACATCTAAAAAACTTAGACTTGCTTACTGTCAAACAGCCTATCAGTGTTCAATTTTCCAGCTGCCTCATATATGTCATACTTCTTTGTACCCATTGCTATCTGTTGATGTCTCTTCAGTCTATAACGTATAGCTTCCCCTGCTCAGATTAAAAATACACTTTATGGTGGCGGGCGCCTGCAGTCCCAGCTACTCGGGAGGCTGAGGCAGGAGAATGGCGTCAACCCAGGAGGCGGAGCTTGCAGTGAGCGAATATCGCGCCACTGCACTCCAGCCTGGGTGACAGAGCGAGACTCCGTCTCAAAAAAAAAAAAAATTCACTTTAAAAATTCTAATATTTAATGCTGAAGAATGTGGTTAAAAAGAGGGTTTTTGAATACTACTGGTGAGAATATAAACTCTTTTGGAATGCAATCCAGCAATATTCATGTGTCTTAACAATGTTTATACTGCACGATCCAGCAATTTAAGGAGCTATCCTAAGAATACAACTCAAAATACAGATAAACTTATTTTATGGGCAAAGATATTTAAGGCCCTGTGATTTATATCAGTGAAAAACTAGAAATAAACTAAATGACTGTCAATTAAGGAACAGTTAATAAATTACCCATACAACGGAATTCTCTCCAAAAAATAAAAAAGGGGAAATGCTCATGATACAGCTAGGTGAAAAAACCAGGAATAAAAACAGTATATAGGGTATGATCACAACTTTAAGCCTATGGAGAACAAAGAAAAAAAATTACATGAAAATGTCAAAAAAAACCCCTCTCCTCCCCAATTATTTCCTATTTTTTAAATTTTTCCCAACTTCCTATAAGGGATGTTTTAAATTGTGATGAGAAGGGGATGATAATAAATCATTTTCTAATAAAAGGCTTGAAATTATTTATATTTAAGCAAATAAGCACTGACTCTAATCAGCTGTTTTAATAGGAGATAGTGATTTATGACCAGTAAAATCAACTCAATTATTCAACAGCAAATCATTCATATTACACAACATCTATCATTAATTTTTATTCATTTTCTTCAGATATGTAAAAGTCACTTGAGAAATTTACAACAGTTTAGGTGTGGATTTTCTCTAGTTACCACATCAAAAGTAATGTTATACTTGCATATTTTATCAAGAATATATAATATTTATTTTATTATTTTTTTTTTTTTTCCGAGTCTTACTCTATCGCCCAGGCTGGAGTGCAGTAGCGCCATCTCGGCTCACTGCAACCTCAGCCTCCCGGGTTCAAGCGATTCTCGTGCCTCAGCCTCCCAAGTAGCTGAAATTACAGGCGCCCGCCACCATGCCCGGCTAGAGACGAGGTTTCACCATGATGGCCAGGCTGGTCTCAAACTCCTGACCTCAAGTAATCTGCCAGCCTTGGCCCCCAAAGTGCCGGGATTATTATAGGCGTGAGCCACGGCGCCCAGCACGTAATTTTTAAGAGCCGATATCATAAAAGCATATATAGAAATAAACCAAGATATCTAAATAGCACTTCAAATGAAATTTCACTGAAATCTTGGATACCTTTTCTCTAATATGTCTAAGTCCCACTTCAAATGTGCAGCAACTTTAAGAGCAAGTAGTTTTAAAATACGATTTCTCTTGTTATCAGGCGGAGGTTGAACTTGGTTTTGTTCATTAACTGAAGGTTTGGAAGCCTGTTCCAAAAACTGAACTATAAGTTGAACTGGTGCAGGATCTAGGGTTTAAAAGAAAATAAATTCTTAAATTTAAGTTTTAATTATGTAGATACAAAAGGATTCACTATTGGTTTGGTTTTTTTGGGGGGGTGGGTGGGGGGGGGGGGAGTTTGGGTTTTTTTTTTGCCACAAAAGGAATCCAAACAGCTGCGCTGTTAAAATGACTAAGGAATACGTATGTAAGAAGTGTGCCTGGGGGTTAAAGGAGATGCGGAAGAGTGGTAAGGAGGAAGGGTAACAGATTAGAGTGGAAGAAAGCAAAAAAAAGCACCTTACGGGGAAGAACATAACAGTCATAGATTTCTGGTTCTGCAAATAACCACTGCCAATTAGAAGAATGAGATATAAATATTAGAACTATTATTTTGACACTTAATTAGGGGGACCTCCATCAAGTGACCTCTCCGTACCTGCTTCTTCCAATGCAAAATAGAGGATCATTTTGAAGATTAAATTAAAGGAGGTAACGGATGTGAGCAATTAAGCACAGTGCATGGCACCCGGAAAGCACTCAACAAATTATCTTTCAAAAGGAATGAATTAAGGGCATTATACAGGTGCCAAAACTGCCTAAGTACACTAACTTCTTACACAGTGGTCTCTATCAGTGAAGGCCAGTCTGAGACTGAACAAGCCATATCTAGATTTGAATTTAGAGAAATGCTATCCGAGGAACTTACCTTTTTGTGCCAATACCTTTTTTGAGAATGCCTGGAGTTTTCCTCCTCCCCCATCAATCACACCCATTTAACTGGGCTATTAATCATTATCATCACTATACAAAGCCATCTTGCAAATGTGCAGCAGTTCCTACTTTCAAAGATTTTCTTTTAACTTACAGCCCAACTTTGGAATAAGAGTCAATAAAATTCCCTCACTGAAGAAAAAAATGTTTAAATAAAACCTAAGATAATAACTAGCGTCACGATCAACACCCAACAGCTGGTTTCTCCCCAGCTCCCTGAATTTATTCAGCTTGGGGTTGAAGGAGGCGTCTGGTCAGCCTCCCCGACCCAAGCAACCACAAGACCCGCCTCGCAGCCTCTAAAACCCCAACAGTAAAAAGGTAAATCGTAAAAAGGACCAAAGGGTTTAGGATGACAGCACCAAGCCCTCCCCTCCGGGGGTAGGAGAGCCTTTGTTTCGAGCTTTTCTTTGACCCTCCACCCGGGCATGTTTAAGGGAAGCGAGGAGCCCGGCCGGAGCTGGGCTCCTGTGCGCGCCTCCCAGGCCGCAGCTTCGGTGACCGAGAAGGCGGGGAGCGGAGGGAAGCTGGGCGGACAGCGCCGGTGGCCGGGTCCCGCTCCCCAGGTGCAGGCGCCGCGCTCACCCGGGCAGGGCTTGCGCAGATGTTTCTCCAACAGTGACTCCTCCAGCAGAAACTCAAACCAGCAGGTCTGCGGCGGGGTGCAGGGCCGGCTGGAGGTGGCCGCCTCCCGGTCCGCCGCCTCCGCGCTCATCCTGCCCCCGCCGCCGCTACCACCAGGGCCGCTTCCCGGCTCCAACCTGACACTTGGATGCGGGCCGGTGCCTGGGGTATGCGGAACCCGGTGGGAGAGAGGCCACCCTCCGAACGTCCCGGAAACTCACACAATCCAAAATGGCGGCGCGGGCCAGCCGGAGCTGCGGTCCTGGATCCGCCTCCCCGCGCCACCGCCGCGCCTTCGGACCAATCGTTGTTCGGGTTGGAAGGAAAGGGGCGTGACTAACCTTCGAACCACGCCTCCTCCCGGTTGCCATAGGAGACGGCGCCGCATGAAGCCGGGTCGCGGGTGGGTTTTCCGTGTTCCCTGACAGTTCTCCAGCGAGAAAATGAGACAACCTCATCTAGGGTTGCAACGGGCCTCAATATTTTCGTAAAGGCGAAGCGAAGGGTTCTAGTTGTGACCCAAGCAAAGTTTATCTCCTGTGCTTTCAATTTCCCCGTTCCCATTTCTGAGATTTCCTCGCACCTGGGTCCTCTCCTCAGATGCTCCCGCCGTCCTGCCGAGAACACCAGCTTCCCACTCGCTTCCTGGACGGATGGCAGCATACGGTGAGCAGCCCTTGCTGCTAGCTCCCGATACTTAGAGCCTAGTTGATCCTTTCGATATCCCCGCTAGAGGCGCTGTTAACCCTATACATTTACCTCCGTTCTGTGATGTTCTTGTATTTTTCATTAACGATTAAAACTGAAAAAAGATGCATTCATAGATCGTGAATACAAGGCCAGCCTGACCAATATGATGAAACCCCGTCTCTACTAAAAATACAAAAATTAGCCGGGCTTGGTGGCGGACGCCTGTAATCCCAGCTGCTCAGGAGGCTGTGGCAGGAGAATCGCTTGAACCCGCGAGGCGGAGGTTGCAGTGAACCGAGATCGCTCCATTGCACTCCAGCCTGGGCAACAGAGCGAAACTCTGTCTCAAAAAAAAATTTTTTTTAAGTAGCCGGGTATGGTGACACACACCTGTGGTCCCAGCTACTCAGGAAGCTGAGGCGGGAGGATCACCTAAGCCTAAGAGATTGAGGTTGCAGTGAGCTGTGATTGTGCCGCTACACTCCAGCCTGGGCAACAGAGTGAGACCCTGTCTCACAACGAGAAAAAAAAAAAGAAAGAAAAAAAAGGAAATCAGTACAGATTAACTTGACATTTTGACATTTGTATTACATATGTAAAAATAAGTTTTAATTAAGGAAGAGTTCATTATTCCACTACCATCTAATACAATAACAACATTATATATTTCAAGTCCCAAGGTGTTTTATTTAGACTCAAAAATGTCTTGCCATAAAAGTGTTACAGCACTGAACTCCCCTTTTCAGAGTGGGTAATTGAATACTTGAAGGTTGACAGAGATCTTGAAGTTTATTAAACTTAGAGACCATCTCTTAGAGGGAGTCATAACTTAAGACTTCATCAACATTGGAGGAGTCTAATGAACTCAAGCTTCCAGCCAGGGACTCTTGTCCCTCTAATGCAGGGCAGGTGACCCCAAATTGGAACTTCACCCCAGAGAGTTCTTTGCTTTGTCCAGGAAAGAATTCAAGTGTGAACCAGTGGTAGAAGAGAACAGCTTTACTGAAGTGGCAGTGTTACAGCTCTGTGACTGCCCCTGCAGAGCAGGGCTAACCCACAGGCAGTGCGCTGAGAATACCAGCTCAGGGAGGTTCTGCAGGCATATTTACACCCACTTTTAATTGCATGCAGATTAAGGGGAAGTTTATGCAGAAATTTCTAGGAAAAAGGTAGTAACTTCTGGGTCATCGGGTCATTACCATAGAATGGGGTGGCAATGCCCAGGTGTTGCCATGGCAATGGTAAACCGACATGGCACACTGTTGAGCATGTCTCATGGAAAGCTGCTTCAGCCCCATCCCTGAATTTGGTCCGGTGTCCAAACCCTGACTCCAGAGTCGCATCTCACCTCCTACCTCACTTCTGAGCAGTATGTTTGGAGGGTGTCTGTCAGAAGACCCTCAAAACTACCAGTTGCTTCTGCTTTGATGCAAGACACATATCCCAGCTGTGGCCAAGTTTGCTTGCCTGGGTCTGGAGTGACACATCTTTCCCTGTCAGTGTGTGACAATCCTGGTGTGGGTTCAGTGTTCTTGAAAGGTGTCCCAGAATGTCAAAAAGCCAAGGCTTCTTCAACTTGCTATGTCTTCGGCTCTCAGAAACAACAGAGGCAAAAGAAATATTTAAAATTTTGATTTAAAAAATAATACACTTGGAAAGATACCATCAGGAAAGTGGAATGACAACCCAAAGACTAGAAGAAAATATTTGCAAATCATGTGTCTGATAAGGGACTTACATCTAGAATATGTAAAGAACTCTTACAACCCAGCAACAACACAGTGAGTAAAGGATTTGAATTGGCCAGGCACGGTGGCTCACGCCTGTAATCCCAGCACTTTGGGAGGCCGAGGTGGGTGGATCACCTGAGGTCAGGAGTTCAAGACCAGCCTGGCCAACATGGTGAAACCTCATCTCTACTAAAAATACAAAAATTAGCCTGGCATGGTGGCGGGCACCTGTAATCCCAGCTACTTGAGAGGCTGAGGCAGGAGAATTGCTTGAACCCACGAGGCAGAGGTTGCAGTAAGCTGAGATTGTGCCACTGCACTCCAGCCTAGGCAACAGAGCGAGACTCCGACAGAGCGAGACTCCATCTCAAAACAAAAAAAAAAAAAAAAAAAAAAGGATTTGAATTGATCATTCTCCAAAGAAGATATTACAAATGGGCAATATGCACATGAAAATGCTCAATATCATTAGTCGTTAAAGAAACACAAATCATCGGCCAGGTGCGGTGGCTCACGCCTGTGATTTCATCACTTTAGGAGGCCGAGGTGGGTGGATCACAAGGTCAGGAGTTCAAGACCAGCCTGGCCAAGATGGTGAAACCCTGTCTTTACTAAAAATACAAAAATTAGCCGGGCATGGTGGTGATGCGTCTGTAATCCCAGCTACTCGGGAGGCTGAGACAGAGAATCACTTGAACCCAGGAGGTGGAGGTTGCAATGAGCTGAGATCATGCCACTGCACTCCAGCCTGGGTGACAGAGTGAGACTGTCTCAAAAAAAAAAAAAAAAAGGAAAGAAAAGAAAAGAAACGCAAATCACTAGCCTGGGCAACAACGTGAGACCCCATCTCTACAAAAAACACAAAAATTAGCCAGGCATGGCGATACATGCCTGTGGTCCCAGCTACCCTGGGAGACTGAGGTGGGAGGATGGCTTGAGCCTGGGAAGCAGGCTGCAGTGAGCTATGATTATGCCACTGCACTCTGGGCTGGGTGACAGAGCGAGACTTTGTCTCAAATAAATACATAAATAAATAAAGCAAAACAAAACTGTGTGAAATACCACTTCACACCCACTAAAATGGCTATGATCAAAAAGACAAAAATAAGTATTGGTGATGATATGAAATTAGAACCTCCATACATGTCAAATGTAAAATGCTACAGCCACTTTTGAAACCAGTTTGGCAGTTTCTCAAAATGTTAAAAATAGGCCGGGCACGGTGGGTCACGCCTGTAATCCCAGCACTTTGGGAGGCCGAGGCGGGCGGATCACCTGAGGTCAGGAGTTCGAGACCAGCCTGACCAACATGGAGAAACCCCATCTCTACTAAAAAATACAAAATTAGCTGGGCTTGGTGGCACATGCCTGTAATCCCAGCTACTCAGGAGGCTGAGGCAGGAGAATCGCTTGAACCCGGGAGGCAGAGGTTGCGGTGAGCCGAGATCGCGCCATTGCACTCCAGCTTAGGCGACAAGAATGAAACTCTGTCTCAAAAAAAAAAAAATGTTAAAAATAGGCTTACCAGATGACTCAGCAATTCCCCTTCTAGGTATGTATCCAAGAGAAAGGAGAAAATGTACCCACACAAAGACTTGAATGTTTAGAACAGCAGTATCTACAGTAGCCTAAAAGTAGAAACCAAGGTCTATAACCTGGTGAATAGACAAATAAAATGTGACATACTCATTGTATCTGTTTCAAGTGGCTGCTGTAACAAATTACCACAAACTTTGTGGTTTAAAACAACAGAAACTGGCCGAGTGCAGTGGCTCACGCCTGTAATCCCAGCACTTTGGGAGGCTGAGGTGGAGAGTCCAGGAATTCAAGACGTATCTGGGCAGCATAGTGAGACTTCTGTCTCTACAAAAAAATCAAAATAAAAAATAAGGCTGGGATGGTGGTGTGCGTCTGTAGTCCTGGCTATGTGGGAAACTGAGGTGGGAGGATTGCTTGAGCCCAAGAGGATGAGGCTACAGTGAGCCGAGATTGCACCACTGCACTCAGGTGGGTGACAGAGTGAGACCCTGTCTCAAAAAAAAAAAAAAAAAGAAAAGAAAGAAAGAATGAGAACAGACTGTGGTCATTCAGACTTGGGTATTTAGCAGACATTTTCTTGAACAAAGTGAGCCTGTCATGTCACTTTATGGAAAACAACTAACACCATTTGTGGCGAATAATAACATTCAATTTTTTTTTTTTTTTTTTGAGATGGAGTTTTGCTCTTGCTGCCCAGGCTGGAGTGCAATGGTGCTATCACCGCTCACTGCAACCTCCACCTCTCAGGTTCAAGCGATTCTCCTGCCTCAGCCTCCCGAATAGCTGGGATTACAGGCACTGCCACCACCACACCTGGCTAATTTTTCTATTTTTAGTAGAGATGGGGTTTCACCATGTTGGCCAGACTGGTCTTGAACTCCTGACCTCAAGTGATCCTCCCACCTTGGCCTCCCAAAGTGCTGGGATTACAGACATGAGCCACCGCTCCTGGCCAACATTCAACTTTTTAAGTAAAATTAGAATTTTAGAAAACTGTAAACTTGGCAGCTTCCCAATACTTGACAAGACTTTTCTGATGACACCAATGGCGATATTAACAAATGTATATTTAAATGTGTCAACTTTCAGATGATCATCACAACTTGACAAATCAATCAATATTTTCCTAATATATGGCTAAAAGATTTATTTAAATTCCAAGACAAGCCGAGCACAGTGGCTCATGCCTGTAATCCCAACACTTTGGGAGGCAGGGGCAGGATGATCACTTGAAACCAGGAGTTGGAGACTGCAGCGAGCTATGATCATGCCACTGTACTCCAGTCTGGGTGACAGAGCGAGACCCTGCCTCTTAAAAGTAAATAAATAAAAAATTTCAGCTGGGCACGGTGGCTCATGCCTGTAATCCCAGCACTTTGGGAGGCCGAGGTGGGAGGATGACGAGGTCAGGAGTTTGGACCAGCCTGGCCAACGTGATCAAACCCTGTCTCTATTAAAAATACAAAAATTAGCTGGCATGGTGGCAGGTGCCTGTAATCCTAGCTACTCAGGAGTCTGAAGCAGGAGAATAGCTTGAACCCGGGAGGCAGAGGTTGCAGTGAGCAGAAATCGCATCACTGTACTCCAGCCTGGGCGACAGAGCAAGACTCCATCTCAAAACAAAACAAAACAAAAAATTTCAAGACAGACTGATGAATTGTAATGGAACGGAATTTGAAAAGTTAATTGGTATGATTTCAGATTTAAAATTGCAGCTAATCTTTAAGAAACAACCACTTTCTCAGGTTTTGGTGAAGAAAGTCCATAATTATCCGAAAAGATATAAAATACTTCTTTTTTTAACTACTCATCTATGTGAGCAATGCCACTCTTCTAGTTTTTAAAATGAAAATAGTTATTTTATATAAAATTGTATTTGTCAGCATGTAATAGGATTATTTTTATTTTTATATGATTATTTTATTTTAATTTAAATAAATTAAATATTTTTAAAACTTCTCAGTGTTAATTTTTAATATGGTAAATATAAACAAACACTCTTTTAAGTGCTTAATAATTTTTTGGTCTAACAGGGCCCTGAGACTAAAAAATCTGAGAAACTATTTTATTGAGGCATGCACATCAAAATCCTACTGTGTTTGGCTCTGAAGAGAAGAGGGAAGGAGGATAGAACAGGGGTGGGTTAGAGAAGGGGAGAGGAGAGGTGAATGGGGGGAAGGAGTGGGGGAGGGGGGTCACAGGTACTTCAACTTTATCTGTATTTTTTTTTTTTGAGACAGAGTCTTGCTCTGTTGCCCAGGCTGGAGTGCAATGGTGCGCTCTTGGCTCGCTGCAACCTCCACCTCCCAGGTTCAAGTGATTCTCCTACCTCAGCCTCCAGAGTAGCTGGGATTACAGGCACGCCACCATGCCTGGCTAATTTTTGTATTTTTAGTAGAGACAGGTTACACTATGTCGACCGGGCTGGTCTCGAACTCCTGACCTCAGGTGATCTACCCGCCTCAGCCTCCCAAAGTGCTGGGATTACAGACGTGAGCCACCGCACCCCGTTCTGGTTTTTGTTTGTTTGTTTTGTGATGGTATCTCTCTGTTGCCCAGGCTGGAGTGCAGTGGCATTTAGCTCACTGCCTCCTTGACATCCTGGGTTCAAGTGATCCTTCTGCCTCAGCCTCCTGAGTAGCTGGGACCACAGATGAATACCACCATGCCCAGCTAATTTATTTATTTTTTTGCAGAGATAGGGTCTTGCTATGTTGCCCACCCAGGCTGATCTGGAGCTCTTGGGCTCCAGTGATCCTCCCACGTTGGCCTCCCAAAGTGCTGGAATTACAGGTGTAAGCCACTGTGCCCAGCCATATATAGATGCTTTTAAAGTCCCTGATATTTCCTCAAAACCCATGAAAAATTCTATGGGCTCATAGAAACAAACTATTATGGAGCATTTGTTACATACCATGACCCAAATTAGGGCCTTTATATCCTCGTTTTCTCATTTGATCTTTCAACATCCTAGAAAGTAGGAATTATGAGCTCACCTTACAGCTGAAGAAGCTGAGGATCAGAGAAGTTATTGTTCTTAATTTTTTTTCTGTGGATTTACAACTATTTAAAAAACAAAAAATCAATAGCACACAAATTTGGTGGAACTTTTATTATAATTGCACCAAATCTATAGATAAACTTGATAATACAGTAATGAGACTCCTTATCTAGGAGCAGAATAAGTAGATCAGTAGCTTCGTCAAAGTCTCCCAGAGAATAAATGTTAGAACCAGGGTTTGGTCCCTGATATGACCTTCGTTAAATTGAACCACTGCTATGGTCTGAATGTTTGTGTTCCCCCCACATTCATGTGTTGAAAACTAGACCATGCATGGTGGCTCACGCCTGTAATCCCAGCACTTTGGGAGGCCGAGGCGGGCGGATCACCTGAGGTAAGGAGTTCAAGACCAGCCTGGCCAACATGGTGAAACCCTGTCTACTAAAAATACAACTATCAGCCAGGCGTGGGCATGGGCGCCTGTAATCCCAGCTACTTGGGAGGCTGAGTAATGAGAATCGCTTGAACCCAGGAGGCGGACGTTGCAGTGAGCCGAAATCGCACCACTGCACTTTTGCCTGGGCGACAAGAGCGAGATTCCATCTCAAAAAAAAAAAAAAAAAAAAGAAAAGAAAAGAAAAGAAAAAGGAAAGCAAACTAACCCCCAAGGTTAGAAGGGAGGGGCCTCCTTTGGGAAGTGATTAGATCATGAGGGCAAGATCGCATGTGGAAGACCTATATGAAGAAAATAATAAAAATGTTATTCAAAAACATGAAGGATCTAAATAAATGGAGAGAAAAATTCTGCTCCTAGAGAGGGAGGCTGATTACTGTATTCTCAAATTTATCTACAGATTCAGTGAAATGATAATAAAAGTTCCATCAAATTTGTATGCTATTTGTTTATTTACTTATTTATTATTTTTTTAAGACAGAGTCTTGCTCTGTCACCCAGGCTGGAGTGCAGTGGCACAATCTCGGCTCACTGCAACCTCTGCCTCCCAGGTTCAAGCAATTCTCCTGCCTCAGCCTCCCAAGTAGCTGGGACTAACCACCACGCCCAGCTAATTTTTGTATTTGAGTAGAGATGGGGTTTCACCATGTTGGACAGGCTAGTCTCAAGCTCCTAACCTCAGGTCATCCGCCCTCTTCGGCCTCCCAAAGTGCTGGGATTACAGGCGAGGGCCACTGTGTCCAGCCGGTTTTTTTGTTTGTTTTTAAAAATAGTTGTAAATACATGAAAAAAATTTAAGAACAGTATAAAGAACTCTCCTATCCCCTTCACCCAAATGTGTCCATTGTTAATATTTTACCATACTTCCTCTCACCCTCTCTCCACAACAGCTCCCTACTTCCTTGTATACTGGGTAGAGTGACCAACTCTCTTAGTCCATTTTGTGCTGCTATAATGGAATACCTGAGACTGGGTAATTTCTAAGGAACAGAAATTTATTTCTCACATTTCTAGAGGCTGGGAAGTCCAAGATCAAGGTTTAGCCTCTGGTTCTGAGATGTCACCTTGTTGCTGCATCCTACAGAGAGGACTGCTGTGTCCTCACACAGCAGAAAGGCAGAAGAACAAGGGAGAACGAACCACTCCTGCAAGCCCTTTTTTATGGCAGCATTCATACTTTATGAGGGCAGAGTCCTCACGACCTAAACACCTCCCAAAAGGCCTCACCTCCCAATACTGTTGCATAAGAATAATTATGTTTCCAACACATTAATTTTGGAGGAGGCAAAAACATTAAAACCATAGCACCAACTCATCCCCGCTTGGCCAGGACTATGTCAGTTTTAAAACTGAAAGTCCTGCATTCCGGTAACCCCTCAGTGTGGGCACACTCTAACCCCAGGCACACCACCTGTGCAACCACACCCCTCACCTTGTCCCCATCTGCTTGGATACTGCGTGCTGACATCTCCACATGGAGAAGATGAGAAAGGAAGCTTGTAGTTAATTATCAATTAGTCAAACAGCCTGGAAAATGTCACAAGGCCTGAAATGTTCTAGAGTGTTTAGCTTCAGATCAAGGAAAAATTCACAAATGAGGTGGTAGCAGATTTAGTAACATCATAAGAATAAGTGAAATTCTGGCAAACCCCTTTTATAGTGATAATTATGTATTTGCAGGGCCCCTGGCAAGGTTCATATGCTGTATATGTTTACCAGTTACCATCAAGTAGAAGTTTCTGTTTTATGTTGATCATAAACCACAGTATCTAGTCCTGCTCTCCTCCTTCATGATAGTTTAAAATGTTTTCTTTTACATCCTCCCTGCTTCCTTGTTATTCTGGTAGCTCAGAGACTCGTTGCCTCTGAAATCTGGGTCTCTACAAAGTACAGCAAACTAGATGAGCTACAGTGAAAAAATAAAAATAAAAAAGCAGAGATATTATACAGTCTAAGGATGAAAATTATTTTCACCAAGGACTTCTGAAAATCACATAAATAAAAAAATAAACTAGGACGGGCACGGTGGCTCACGCCTATAATCCCAGCACTTTGGGAGGCTGAGGCGGGTGGATCACCTAAGGTCGGGAGTTCGAGACCAGCCTGGCCAACATGGTGAAACCTCATTTCTACTAAAAAATAAAAAAATTAGCTGGGGGAGGTGGCGCACGCCTGTAATCCCAGCAAATCGGGAGGCTGAGGCAGGAGAATCGCCTGAACCCAGGAGGCAGAGGTTGCAGTGAGCCGAGATCGCGCCGCTGCACTCCAGCCTGGGCAACAGAGACAGACTCTCTCTCGAAACAAACAAAAAACTTGAAATCGGTTAATTTCTTTGGTATTTCTTTAAAAAAATATGCAATACAATTCAGACATAAACATACAATTTAAAACTTTATTCAATAAATATTTTTGAGGTGGGGGAAACTGGCTGATGGATTCTACTGCCATCTTGTGGCCATTAGGGATAGTGTCCATATCTACCGGTAATACCGGCTGGCTGGTATCACCTCTTCCTTATACTTTCCAGTATGGAAGAAGGAATATGACTTGAGGATTGTGATTGGAAGTAACTAATTCTTTGTACAAGCTATCCTGCAACACCTAACTGAATTACATCTTGTTAGGGACTTCCAAAAACAGATCTGTCAAGAGGTAATAAGCGAGTCCTACCAAACATGACTTTTCTCTGCGGTCTTCACTACCTCCTTGGACAGGTAGGCACCCTGTTGTATGTGGCCATAGAGCTGTGCATCCCGGTCATGGCATTCATATCACCTCCTTGCAGTTACCTATTTAACAGTCTCACTTCCCCGGTAGACTCCAAGATCTTGGAGGTGGGGGTGGGGGAGAGCAGAATGGTGGTTATACCGTTTACCTGGTACAGCCTCTAGTACACAGCAGGCACCCAGTAAATATTTGCTAAATAAATAAATCTTTTATTAAACACAAAGCACCTGCCTTTTACATGCATGCAAATGCTTCCCTATAAACCAGATCTACAAACCTTTATTTAATCTTTGCTTTATCTAACCTAAAGCATTATTAACCTGTTCTTAAGATATTTATGACTCACTCTATTGTCTAGGTTTTATAATCAGCAATAAACTTAAAGCTTGTTGGGGCTCAGAAAACGATACCCTAAAATGAAGGCCCCAGAGACATAAGTTTCTCTCTGACCCTCTCCTGACCTCCTGTCTCTGGACCATCATTCTCCCCTAAGGCTTGCCATAGAAACCAGAACCCCTTTTCCCTGGAGCTAGCCATCAAACCTAATAATATTACTCTAACTTCACCCTCCCACCCATTTTTCTGTGTAAAAACTGACATTAAAAAATTATGTGAGCTACCTTGGTTTTGGGGGTTTTGTTTGTTTGTTTGTTGCTTTTTGAGACGGGGTCTCACTCTGTCATCCAGGCTGGAGTGCAGTGGTGCAATCTTGGCTTACTGCAACCTCTGCCTCCCAGGTTCAAATGATGCTCCTGCCTCAGCCTCCCTAGTAGCTGGGACTACAGGCGCACACCACCATGCACATCTAATTTTTGTATTTTTAGTAGAGATGGGGTTTCACCATGTTAGCCAGGCTGGTCTCGAACTCCTGACCTCAGGTGATCCACCTGCCTCGGCCGCCCAAAGTGCCCAGCTATGTTGTTTGGTTATAGGTCATGAGACCCCCATTCCAGAGAGGGTGCTGCCCTGTCCCCAGTAGGAAGGAATGCTGCACTGAGAAGCCAAGAAGAATCTAGACAGACCTTGCAGGGTGTCCCCACTCAGTCTATTATGGTTAAGTCATACTCTTTTTGTCCAATTACATCTGTACATGGCTGTTCATACTTTGTTGAAACTAAGCATACAATGGACAGGTTCCCCGGTATCTTTGAGTCTTCATTCTGAAGGCTCTCATGTCACAAAAAGCTATGATCAAATAAACTTATATGCCTTTTCTTCTATTTACCTGCCTTCTGTTAGCTGATTTTCAGTGAACCTTCAGAGGATGAAGCAGAAGTTTTCCTTTACCTCTACAGCTCTTCCAAGCAGTGTCCATGTCTATACATCTGTATTTGTGTTATCCATACAGCACCTAGCTGAATGGATAACCGAATGTAGGCCTTATTCACCTAATGGAAGGAACAGGTGTGTCCTTATTGCCATGACATAGCCAGAGCAGAGGTCATTCCACTTTCATCTGGCAACCGCCTGCTACCTTCCTTTATAACCTTCTGTACAGTGATTGCTATAGTTTGGATGTTGTCCCTTCTAAATCTCATGTTGAATTATAATCCCCAGTGTTGGAGAAGGGGCCTAGTGGGAGGTAACTGGATCATGGGGGTGGATTTCTCATGAATGGTTTAGCACCATCATCTTGGTGTTGTCTTTGTAATACTGAGTGAGTTTGAGATCTGATTGTTTAAAAGTGTGTGGTACTTGGCCGGGCGCAGTGGCTCATGCCTATAATCCCAGCACTTTAGGAGGCCAAGGTGGGCAAATCACTTGAGGTCAGGAGTTCTAGTCCAGCCTTAACAACGTGATGAAACCTCCATTAAAAATACAAAATTAGCCAGCCATGGTGGCACATACCTGTAATCCCAGCTACTCGGGAGGCTGTGGTAGAGGTCGCAGTGAGCTGAGATTGCGCCACTGCACTCCAGCCTGGGTGACAGAAGGAGACTCTGTCTCAAAAAGAAGAAAAAAAATGTGTGATACCTCCCCTGAACTCTCTTGCTCTTGCTCTCACCCTGTGAGATGCCTGCTCCCCTTTGCCTTTTGCCAGGATTGGAAGCTTCCTGAGGCCTCCCCAGAGGCAGATGGCAGTACCATGCTTCCTGTACAGCCTACAGAACAGTGAACCAATTAAATCTCTTTTCTTTATAAATTATCCAGTCTCAATTATTCCTTTATAGCAATGCAAGAATGGCCTAACAAAAAGATAGACAGGCTTGATTGGGGACTGGGCCAGACAGACTCCTCCGTCTCCATTTCTGCATTGCCAGGCTCACTGTGGGGAAGGGCTCAGTTCTTCAGACTGGCTAGTGGTCTGTCATGTACATTCGACCAGCTGGCATCTAGAGGAGAAGTCACAGGAGCTTTCATGTTAGTCTCTCTTTTTGTTTTTACTTCCAAGTACTATATGTTTACACTAAAGGCTTTAAAGCATAAAAATCTCTCTGCATACAGATAAACAGGACAAAATTTTAAGGTGTGCTTTTAGAGTCAGAACTTTCCTGACATTCTCAGTAGGTAGAAAAAGATTGTCATATTAAAATACTATCAGGATACCACAGGCTGTATTTACTCCTGTATTTCCCCATGCTGTTGAAAGATCATAATTGTCTGTGGTAGGCACACAGCTCTTAGCAAGCAGTTGACTTCATTCGTTATAATGGAATAAGCCAAGTTTCCAAAGTCTTATCCAGACAATTTCAGAATTAGAGCAGATGAGCATGTGCGGGCAAATAATGTGATTTCTTCAAATATCCAGTTCTTAGACCACATACACACAAAGCAGAGAACAGAGATATTCAAAGTATGGTTTGAAGACTGGTGTCAGCTCCTAAACTGTTTCTGGTCGGTATCAAGATAAGCACGGGAATTGACAGTATGAATTTACAAATTTTTACTGCAATTTGACATTGTCTTGATAGCCAAGTTAATGATCAGTGGTCTTGTCTGGGGGAGCAGGGACAGAAGAGTTTGGGTGTTGGGGGACTTGGGTGGCAAATTCAACATGCAGAGCTGGGAACTAGTCCTAAACGGTAGGACCACATATCAGTGTGCAACAGATTGCAACATGGAACACAAAATAAAACTGCTTCTCCACCATAGATATTTCGAGAAGCACTATTCTTTTTTTTTTTTTTTTTTTTTTTGAGACAGAGTTTTGCACTTGTTTCCCAGGCTGGAGTGCAATGCCGCAATCTCTATCTCGGCTCACCGCAACCTCCGCCTCCTGGGTTCAAGCGATTCTCCTGCCTCAGCCTCCCGAGTAGCTGGGATTACAGGTATGTGCCACCACGCTTGGCTAATTTTGTATTTTGAGTAGAGACGGGGTTTCTCCATGTTGGTCAGGCTGGTCTTGAACTCCCGACCTCAGGTGATCCTCCCGCCTTAGCCTCCCAAAGTGCTGGGATTACAAGCGTGAGCCACCACACCCGGCCGAGAAGCACTATTCTCTAGAATTCATATGGAAGAAATTCTCAGCCACACTTATTTACACATTCCTTCATATTTTTTGATAGAGATGGAAATCTTGCCCTGTTGCCCAGGCTGGTCTTGAACTCCCGCCCTCAAATGATCCTCCTGTCTTAGCTGGGATTACAGGCATATGAGCCATCTCCTTGGGCCTCTCAGCCACATTTAACAAAATTGAAGTTCACTGTACTGTAGAGATGGGGTTTCACCATGTTGGCCAGGCTGGTCTCGAACTCCTGACCTCAAATGATCCTCCCGCCTCAGCCTCCCAAAGTGCTGGGATTAAAGGCATGAGCTGCAGTGCCTGGCCTAAGAGTTGATTTTTTTTTCTTTTTTTGTTTTTTGAGACAGCCTCGCTCTGTCACCCAGGCTGGAGTGCAGTGGTGCGATCTCAGCTCACTGCAAGCTCCGCCTCCTGGGTTCACGCCATTCTCCAGCCTCAGCCTCCCAAGTAGCTGGGACTACAGGCGCCCACCACCACACCTGGCTAATTTTTGTACTTTTAGTAGAGACGGGGTTTTACCGTGTTAGCCAGGATGGTCTCAATCTCCTGACCTCGTGATCCACCTGCCCCAGCCTCCCAAAGTGCTGGGATTACAGGCGTGAGCCACCATGCCTGGCCTCTAAGATGATTTTTAAAGAAGAATAATATTAGACCTAGATATAAGTATGCTATTACAGTGCTATTTATAAAAGCAAAACAAATAGTAAGAAATTAAAAAAATAACCACAATGTTCTATAGCAGGGGAATAATTAAAGCAGTGTATTTCACCACAAAATGAGACATTGTATAATAACACAATTTTTGCTTTTGGAGAATAATATATACATAATTATATAAATTTTATAAATATTATATAGTTTATATAAATGTCATACATATGATACATATATGTTCATGATAAAATATAAAGCATAAAAGCAGGACCAAAAAAGGGTACAGAAAATTTTCCTAATTTTGTTAAAATTAGAAACACACACACACAAACACAATACAGTCTGTAAAGAAATATACCAAACAAATCAATATAGGGGCCATCTCTGCACAGTGGAACTCAACAGTACAGCAGTTGTCTCAGGTGATTTTGTGGCTCTCCAGGACTCCAGGAAGCTGGAAACTAATGCTTTTCAGGGACATATGCAACGACTCTCCTTTTTCCCTAGAGGAGGCTGTGGCTCTAAGTCTGGTTCACAAACCAGGCAAGCCCAGGGTTTGTAAACATTCCCACTGGTGGCCACACATTCATGGTTGGATAGGTTCTCCCACGGAGGGCAGAGAAAGCCCCACAGATGCCTGTGATACAGAAGGAAATTTAGCTTCTCTGGTTTGGCCACATAGTGCCAGTAAGATTTTGCATTCATGACTAATTAAATCAAGATCTCAATTAACCTGAAGGTAAGAGTCATGTATAAATAAATGTGTGTGCACTCAAATGGTTTCTCCCCCACAATCCTCAGTCCACTTGAATTTCACACTTTTTTCTTTATAGGTTTCTCTCTTTTCCTGATTTCCTACACTGATCATGGATTGCTTTTGATCCATACTATTTAAGGATAGAAAAAACTAGCAGACAGAGGCAGCTTAGCCATTAGGTGAGGAGCAATCACCCAGGGCTCCCCAAAGTCCAGGGTGTTACTAGGCCATAGACTTCAACTGTCAGCACTGTGGCCTTCGAGCCTAACAAGAAAATATGAAAGATCAACCATTGTTTGTAAACACATTCCTGCTCCTCTAAAAAAGAATGAGATCCTGTCATTTGCAATAACATGGATGGAACTGGAGATCATCAAGTAAAATAAACCAGACACAGAAAGACAAAGTTCACATGTTCTCACTTATTTGTGGGAGCTAAAAATTAAAACAATTTAACTTATGGAGATAGAGAGTGGAAGGATGGTTAGCAGAAGCTGGGATGGGTAGTGAGGGGTGGGGGGAGGTGGGGATGGTTAATGGCTACAAAAAAATAGAAAAAATGAATAAGACCTAGTATTTGATAGCACAACAGGGTTACTATAGTAAACAATAATTTAATTGTATTAAAAATCAGTAAAAGAGTATAATTGGATTGTTCGCAATACAAAGGATAAATGCTTGAGGGGCAGACACCCCACTTACCATGATGTGATTATTATGCATTGCATGTCTGTATCAAAGTATCTCATGTGCCCCATAAATATATATACCTACTATATACCCATGTAAATTAAAAATAAAAAATGGAAAAAAGAATTGATTTTTAAAAAATTTGAGCCAACTAATAAAACACACCATGACTCCATGACTTCATCCTCTAGCAAAAAGAGCTTCTCTATTTATAAAAGGAATTTTCTGTGAAGCACCACTGAAATGTTTCAGAGAACACGGAAACGGGGCACCATGGAATCACAGCTGGTCACACACATGCTTGGGAGGAGCAGTGGAGAATCCCCACTCTTATTATCATGGAATGTTGAAAATAGAGAATGTGTTATGTGTTCTTTGAAGAAAGCAATGTATGAAGAAACCTTTAGTAAATCCCTGGGTGGTGGTGTTGGCTTCCAGACTGACCAATTCAAAGGGAGAGAGATACCTTCTCAGCCTCACCCTGCCACCTGTCCCAGCATTACCCATCACTTTCACTCAAGTTATAAGATATAAACAGGAAAAAAAAATTCCAATGACATTTTCTAATTTTTCTTCCTACTTGGAAACATCCCTCTTCATGACACAGCTTTTCTTTTATTTTTTTTATTTTTTTGAGACAGAGTTTCACTCTTGTCGCACAGGCTGGAGTGCAATGGCGAGATCTCAGCTCACTGCAACCTCTGCCTCCTGGGTTCAAGCGATTCTCCTGCCTCAGCCTCTAGAGTAGCTGGGATTATAGGTGCGCACCACCATGCCCACCTAATTTTTGTATTTTTAGTAGAGACGGGGTTTCACCAAGTTGGCCAAGCTATTCTTGAACTCCTGACCTCAGGTGATCCACCCACCTCGGCCTCCCAAAGTGCTGCGATTAGAAGCATGAGCCACCACACCCAGCCAAAACAGCTTTCCCAAACAATGTACTCTGCCTTGGTAGATATTATACAACTAAATTAAAGGAGAATCACCTGCTGCAGGACAGTTCTCTGGGTGACCCCGTTATTTCTTCTTTCTTGCTTGTACTTCTCAATAATAACTAGGCTGGGCTCAGTGGCTCAAACACCTGTAATCCCAGCATTTTGGGAGGCCGAGGCAAGAGGATCGCTTGAGCTCCAGAGTTTGAGACCAGCCTGGGCAACATTGTCAGACCACTGTCTCTAGAAAAAAAAAAAATTAGCCGGGCATAGTGGTGTGCACCTGTAGTCCCAGCTACTTGGGAGGCTGAGGCAGATAAGTTGCTTGAGCCCAGGAGTTTGAGACTACAGTGAGCCACGAGGCATCGCTGCATTCTGGCCTGGACAACAGAGCAGGATCTTGTCCCTTTAAAAAAAAAAAATCTGTGGAGTGGTGGTCACCTATGGAGACTACTGGTATTGGCTCTCGGTACCAATGAGCCACTGGGTTTGTGTGTGTAACTGCACTTTATTGTAGGTTTGTACAGCTGAGAGTTTTCTTTTTTCTTTCTTTTTTTTTTTGAGACGGAGTCTTGCTCTGTCACCCAGGCTGGAGTGCAGTGGCGCCATCTTGGCTCACTGCAACCTCTGCCTCCCAGGTTCAAGCAATTCTCCTGTCTCAGTCTCCTGAGTACTTTATTGTATTTCTTGCACGTGTTTCCAATGGATGAACTTTATTGGTTTTCTTGCAAGTGTTTCTAATGGATGAACTTTAATAAGGTTGGTAAGAGTGGCCAAGAGGGCATCTAACTCTACATCCAAATGAGAGAAGACGCTACAAATGTGTGTTAGTAAGACAAAAACAGGGCTCACCTAAGGTTTGACATAAAAGAAATTTAGAACAGTGCTATTCATACCAGTAGCAATTAAAAGCTCTAATGTTTATGCATATTCTTTGTTCGCTTTAACTGGCGGGGGGGAGGTGCAGGAAAATTTAGGAATTGTTCTGTAAGTTCACTTTTAAAATTAATAACATATTTATTTGCCCTTGTAAAATAGCAAATGTTTGAGAAATTTTTACAATGTTCACTTCTTCCCCCACCCAGCTTATAAAAATGCTTTTATTAAAACAAGCCAAAGTGAAAACAAAACAAAAAAATAGTGTTCTTGACATGCAACAACTTAAGGAGGAATTGGATGGAACAGCCCAGACTCTGCTCCTCTTCTTCTAGAGCAGAATGTCCTACAATACTTTAGTCCGGTGATCACATGCCCCTGGGGCATAAAACCCAGGGCAGACTGCTTTCCAGGGTCCCCCAGCTGTCGTGAAAGTGAGGCATGTGCGGACAAGACTTCACCCACCCTGGACAGCCTTCCTGAGCTTCTGTTGCCTATCAGTCAGTAATAGACCTGTTGATAGTCAGCTGCCTATCAGTCAGTAATAGACCTGTTGATAGTCAGCTGCCTATCAGTCAGTAATAGACCTGCTGCGTGCGGCCTGTGTGCGAGTGTTCTGTCTTCTCAGACTCTTGGGAGTCATAGAAACTGGTATAGCCCAAGGTGCAGTGGGTGAGATGTTTAGTCTTCCTCTGGGAATGACACTGGCCCACAGTGAACCTGCTTCACACCTATTACTTGGCAGGTTGATTTGGAAGATAGGAGCTAGTGGGTAGAAAGAATAGTTAACTGGCCTCACCGCAATCCACTGGTGCTCAAAGTATTGTTCCTGAACCAGCAGTATCAGCATTATCTGAGAACCTGCTAGAAATGCACATTTTCAGATACTACCCCAGACCTACTGAATCAGAAATTCTGGGGTTGAAGCCCAACCAGCTGAGGTGTATCAAGCCCTCCAGGTGGTTCATAACGCATGCTCATGTTTAATGCACATTACAATCACCTGGGGAGCTTTTACAACTCAGCTGGCTCAGCCACACCCAAAACCAATTAAGTCAGAATCTCAGCAGGTGGGACACAGCTTATCAGTATTTTTGCTTTAATTTCCCAGGATTCCATTGTGCAGCCAAGGTAGAGAACCAGTGTTGGGTCTAATCTTTTATTTTTATTTTATTTTATTTTTTTTGAGATGGAGTCTTACTCTGTCACCCAGACTGGAGTGCAGTGGCGCAATCTTGGCTCACTGCAACCTCCACCTCCTAGGTTCAAGCGATTCTCCTGCTACAGCCTCCTGAGTAGCTGGGATTACAGGCGCCTGCCACCACAATAGCTAATTTTTGTATTTTTAGTAGAGACAGGGTTTCATGATGTTGGCCAGGCTGGTCTTGAACTCCTGAACTGAAGTGATCCGCCCACCTCGGCCTCCCAAAGTGCTAGGATTACAGGCATGAGTCATCGCGCCCGGCGCATTTTATTTTATTTTTTATTTTTTATTTTTTTTTTTTTTGAGACGGAGTCTCGCTCTGTCGCCCAGGCTGGAGTGCAGTGGCGCGATCTCGGCTCACTGCAAGCTCCGCCTCCCGGGTTCACGCCATTCTCCTGCCTCAGCCTCCCGAGTAGCTGGGACTACAGGCGCCCGCCACCGCGCCCGGCTAATTTTTTTTTTGTATTTTTAGTAGAGACGGGGTTTCACCGTGTTAGCCAGGATGGTCTCGATCTCCTGACCTCGTGATCCGCCCGCCTCGGCCTCCCAAAGTGCTGGGATTACAGGCGTGAGCCACCGCGCCCGGCCCGCATTTAATTTTTTGACTGAGCTTTCTTTTCTGCTGTCTTTCCTCATTACTAACAGTGGCTATAAATGAAAACGGAAGTATACTTTTATTATTTGTATACTTTTATTATTTGCTTAAATCTGACATTCAAATTTTTATGGTTATAAAATAAAGGCTTTTGCTACTTTAAAACTTGTATTTCCTTTAGTTGGGTGTGGTGGTGTGTGCCTGTAATCCTAGTTACTCAGGAGGCTGAGGCGGGAGGATTGCTGGAGTCTAGGAGTTAGGGGTTGCAATGAGCTATCATCTTGCCACTGCATTCAAGCCTGGGCCTGGGTGACAGATCAAGACCCCATCTCAAAAAAAAATTATTTCTTGCACAGCCATGTGAATGTACTTTATATATATATATACACGTAATATATATATACATACTTTATATAAGGTATGTTCACATTGCTCTGTATATATTATATATAAAACAAATGCAAGTATTTCTTTTAAAAGATAATCTCTCTCTTCATAAGTGCCTAAGTCCTTTTCTCCTAAAAAGTTTAATTCACAGATCAACATAGAACATATTTCAATACCCCAAGGAACCATTTATGACATTATAGCAACATATATAATAATTTTCCTAATTTTTACATATTTATTGAAGTGTAACTGATATACAATAAACTGCATGTACTTATGTAAGTGTATGTATTATATAGTATATATATAATGGTATAGTATATAGTATATTATAGTATTATAGTTTATAGTATTATATAGTATATAGTTATATGGTATATAGTATAGTATTATATAGTATATGTTATAGAGTATATACAGTTATATTGGGTAAGATTTCACATTCATATACACTTGTGAAACCTTCACCACAATCGAGATAGTGAATGTGTCCATCATCTCTAAAGGTTTCCTTGCATCTTTTACAATTCCTCCATCCTGTCCCTCCCCAACCTCTACACCCCATCTGCAGGCAACCATTGACCTGCTGTATATCACAATAGGTGAGTTTACATTTTCTAGTTATATAAGTAAAATTATACTGTATGTACATTTTGACTTCTTTCACTTAGCACAATTATTTTGAGATTCATTCATGTAGTTATGTTTATAATAGTTTATTCTTTTTTATTGTTGAGTGGTATTTCACTATATAGATGAAATACAATTTGTTTATTCTGAACTTATATATTTTTCTGTTTTTGGAGTTAAAGTGTCTTTTTCTTAGAAAATGGTGTTTTTAATAAATGATGGTTACCTTTCTAGTGTCCTCATGTACCAAAAGAAAAAGTTAGGCTGGGAACAGTGGCTGAAGCCTGTAATCCCAGCTATCTGGGAGGCTGAGATGGGAGATCACTTGAGGCTAGGAGTTCGAGACCAACCTGGGCAACATAGTGAGACACCCCCTCCCCCCGCCATCTCTAAAAAAGTGGTGCATGCCTGCAGTCTCAGCTACTCTGGAGGTTGAGACAGGAGGATTATTTAAGCCCAGGAGTTCGAGGCTGATTGCACCACTGCAGCTTGGGCAATAGAACAAGATCTTACCTCTTAAAAAAATAAACAAAAAGTTGGCAACTTAATGTCAATCCCCCAAGTACATATATTTTAGAAATATAAGGATCTGCAAAATCCAGAAGCCTGGAAAGAACTGCCCAGTGACTTCCCATTGATAGACTCAGTCTCCTTTTCTCAGACAAGTGGTGTAGGGGAAGGCAAATAACCTGGGCCTACCAAAGCACTGTACTTTTGCGGGGGCCATCATGAAAGATGTTCCCTCCTTTTCTGGAATTTGAAGCTGCTAGCAGACACTGCTGTGGTGTGCAGAATGCCTGCTGACCATGAAGCCAGGTGAAGGTAACGAACTGAGAGGTGGAGGCAGGCAGAAGGAGTCATGGTAACACTGGGTGAACCTCTGGATTTATCCCTTCCTGTACTCATCAACGATTGAAAATTCCCTAGTACAAAAGCGAATAAATTCCTTTTCTGCTCAAGCTAATTTGAACTGACTTTTTGTCACTTGCAGCCAAAGGTCCTGACTAATAAATCTGTTCATATACATCATGTAGCTCTGGTCAGGTAGAAATATATGCAGGAGAAAACATGGCTCTTAGAGGCTGGGCGCAGTGGCTCACGCCTGTAGTCCCAGCACTTTGGGAGGCCGAAGCGGGTGAATCACGAGGTCAGCAGATCGAGACCATCCTGGCTAACACGGTGAAACCCTGTCTCTACCAAAAATACAAAAAATTACCTGGGCGTGGTGGCGGGCGCCTGTAATCCCAGCTATTCGGGAGGCTGACGCAGGAGAATGGCGTGAACCCGGGAGGCGGAGCTTGCAGTGAGCCGAGATCATGCCACTGCACTCCAGCCTGGGCCACAGAGGGAGACTTCATCTCAAAAGAAAAGAAAAGAAAAGAAAACATGGCTGTTAGAATAGGTTCTCTCATGTGGTGAGGAGAAAAAGCTCTGTACTTTTCTCCCATCACTTTTTGGAAGCTGTAGTGACTCCCATTCCTATGCTAATTTACCTGTTGCCCTTCACAGAACTATTAAAATTCAGCCTCCAAGTCCTTATCTGAAAACTGTGATACAGGTTACCCCTGATAAGCACATGACCCTGTAGTCTAATTCCAACATTAAGGGGACAGCTTAGTGCACTGATCCATCACTTCCAGTAACAGAGAAGAGGAAGAAACCAAACTTCTGCTTTTTATTTATTTATTTATTTATTTATTTATTTATTTATTTATTTATTTATTTATTGACGGAGTCTTGCTCTGTTGCCAGGCTGGAGTGCAGTGGCACGATCTCGGCTTACTGCAACCTCCGCCTCCCGGGTTCAAGCGATTCTTCTGCCTCAGCCTCCCGAGTAGCTGGGACTACAGGCGCCTGCCACCGCGTCTGGCTACTTTTTTTGTAATTTGAGTAGAGATGGGGTTTCACCATATTGTCCAGGCTGGTCTCGAACTCCTGACCTCATGATCTGCCCGCCTTGGCCTCCCAAAGTGCTGGGATTACAGGTGTGAGCCACCACGCCTGGCCTCTGCTTTTTATTTATATTTTAACTCTATCAAGGGCTAATTTTTTTTATTTTTTATTTTTCGAGATGGAGTTTCGCTCTTGTTGCCCAGGCTGGAGCGCAATGGTGCGATCTCAGCTCACTGCAACCTCCACCTTCCAGGTTCAAGTGATTCTCCTGCCTCAGCCTCCCAAGTAGCTGGGACTACAGGTGCCTGCCACCATGCCCAGCTAATTTTCTATTTTTAGTAGAGACGGGGTTTCACCATGTTGGTCAGGCTGGTCTCGAACTCCTGACCTCAAGTGATCCACCCACCTCGGCCTCCCAAAGTGCTGGGATTACAGGCGTGAGCCACTGCGCCCAGCCTATCAAGGGCTTATTTTAACTCGCAGTGGCATGATGACAGCTCACTGCAGCCTCAACCTCCTGAGAAGAAACACCTTTCTTTTCAGTAAACCCATCCCAAACTAAAACATCCCAATTCTCAGCCCACAATTGTGTCAGGGCTCAACTCCTCCTGCAGAGCAGTCACGGAGAGTGCAGTGGTACTACAGCCCCTCTTTCCCACACCAGATATGTCATGATCCTTTACAAACACCAGCATCAGCCAAAAGTCAACATGCTGTTTGGCTGCAGATGACTACTGCATTTTAAAGGCCAGAGCAGCAAAAAATGCACCAGAAATCGAGGACGCTCCCTTCTCAGAAACTCCTACTCATCCTTCAGATCTCAGCACCAAAGCTCCTTTCTCAGGGACCTTTTCTTATCCCAAAATCCAAAGTCATGTCCCCCCACCACCTGTTTTTTTTTTTTTTGTTTGTTTTTGTTTTTTGAGACGGAGTCTCACTCTGTCACCTAAGCTGGAGTGCAGTGGCATGATCTCGGCTCACTGCAACCTGTGCCTCCCGGGTTTAAGTGATTCTTCTGCCTCAGCCTCCTGAGTAGCTGGAATTACAGGCGCCTACCACCACGCCTGGCAAACTTTTGTATTTTTAATAGAGATGGGGTTTCGCTACGTTAGGCAGGCTGGTCTTGAACCCCAGACCTCAGGTGATCTACCGCCTTGGCCAACCAAAGTGCTGGGATTAAGGCGTGAGCCACCACATCCGGCCAGTCATGTCCCCTTGTTACACTTACATAGAATCCTGCATTTACTCCATTACATTAACCCATTTCTGCCTAGTGTTCCATTATTGAAATGCTAAGCTTGTGAGAGTTATTTATATCCTACTGCTCAAGGTCATTGCCAAGGTCTGATTGCAAAAATTCAAAAAATTGCAACCTCCAGCCTAAATGGGTTAATGATGGTTTTTACTCACATTTTTATTTGTATCATTCGTTTTCTATTCCTCTTCCCTGTCACCTTCCCTTAGATCATGAGCTCTGAAAGCCCAGTCACTTGCAGCCTTTCACTCCCCAGTGTCCCGGCATCTAGGGACACAGCAGGTGCACAATCAATAAGGAACAGGAAAAACACCCTTTCCTTTCAAACTTTGCTGTTGTCCTGAAAAAGATCTTCCAGTCTTTGATGCATGTGCCTGACCATGGGTGCAGCCTTGGCATTCATACATTTCTCTATTCCAGTCTTCAGAGTCATTCTTCATGGGAGAGCAGAACTTTTTGTTTCACTCTAGCGGCAATAGTCCTTTTAAGAATCAGTTCTCAGCTCCCAAAACATCTTTCTTCATGTTCCATGCTTTCCAACTGTGAAACCCACAGGCAGGGCCAAGTGTTAGGAAGACAGGACATTTACCACTTCTTGGCACCTTTGCTCCAGAAGAACTTAAGTGCCCAAACCTACCCCAGACCCACTTCAGATGGCCAGCAGGCAGCCGCTGGATGCCCCGCAGCCCAGTGTTGCCATAGCCTACGCTCTGCACCCACTCTAAGCACCAAAGAAGCTGCCAAAGGAGCTCCCAGGACCCATGCCTTGGGCTCCCTCCCTCCACCTTGGTGCCTTAGTCTCCTCCCTGCATCGTCTTTGAGAAGCATTACCTTGAGGGGAGACTTAGGTTTTGCCATTTTACCAGACAGAATGAGAGCCTCGGGTGAAATGTTTTTGTTCGAGAGCTGTGTTTTGTAGGAAGACACTTCTTCTTTTATTTATTTGTTTGTTTGTTTCTTGAGATGAAGTCTCACTCTGTTGCCCAGGCTGGAGTGCAGTGGCGTGATCTCCTCTCACTGCAACCTCCGCCTTCCGGGTTCAAGCGATTCTCCTGCCTCAGCCTCCCGCGTAGCTGAGATTACAAACATGCGCCACCATGCCTGGATAACTTTTGTACTTTTAGTAGAGATGGGGTTTTGCCATGTTGCCCAGGCTGGTCTCGAACTCCTGACCTCAAGTGATCCGCCTGTCTTGGCTTCCCAAAGTGCTGGGATTATAGGCGCGAGCCACCGCACCCAGCCTCAAGACACTCTTTTTGTGACAGGTCTGAAATCTGTGGCTACAGGGCTGTGGGGAGATCCCTGCACCACCTGAAGGCCAACTCAGCTCACAGGCTGGTCAGGAGAGAGATGGACAAGGCATCAATTAACAACAAATGTAGGGGAGAGGAAGTAATGCATTTTCCTTACTCATGGTAAAGGTCATGGCTGAGGTTCATAAAACTTTAAGAACACTAATTTAAGGGAATCATATACTTGCTTCCCCCAAACCCCATCAGCCTTGCAGTTCTAGATATAATAGAGTTGGTCTTGGAGAAGACCACTTAACCATGAGAGGCTGGGAGAGGGTTGCAATGATGGGCCACCCAAGAGATGAGAGTTCTCAACCCCTCAGGCAGAGGCAGAGCCCAGCAGAACTTCCAGGTCGGGTGGGACAGGGATGCCTCGCTCCGTTTGTATTTATTTGTAGCTGTGCCCCAAACTTCCTGTTGCAAACTTCATTTGCATCTGCCCCCATAAAATCAGAAACAAGTGTGCGAATATCAGTGCCTTTGAGTGAGACCCAAAGAAAGGGAGACCCGGGCTCTTTAAACCAAAAAACAAAACAAAACAAACAAAAAAAACAAGCAACGAATTGGGAAAGAATATTTAGGAAACACATATCTGATAAAGGACTTGCATCCAAAATATACAAAGAACTTTAAAAATTCAACAATAAGAAAAAGACAGAATAGGCAAAAGATGAATAGCTACCTCACCAAGGAAGATATACAGATAGCAAATAAGCATACGAAAATATGCTCAACATCATATGTCATTAGGCAATTGTCACTTAAAGTAACAATGAGAGGCAGAGGCAGAGCCCAGCAGAACTTCCAGGTTACTACACACATTAGAATGACTAAAATCCAAAACTGACACCACTAAATGCTGACAGGGATATGAAGCAACAGAACTTTCAGTCATTGCTGGTGGGAATGCAAGACGGTACAGCCATTTTGGAAGAGAGCTCGGCAGTTTCTTATTAATCCAAAGGTTAGTAGTACCACACCATCAAGCAATTGCACTTCTTGTTAGTTACCCAAATGGGTGGAAAACTTATGTCCACAAAAACCCTGCACATATTTATGGCAGCTTTATTCACAATGGCTAAACTTGGAAGCAACCATGATGTCCCTGAATAAATAAACGCCCACATACTCATACAATGGAATGTTTTTCAGCAATAACAAGAAATGAGCTATGAAGCCATAAAAAGACGTGGGGGAGCCTGAAACGCATGTTGCTAGTCAAAGAAGCCAATCTGAAAAGGCTGCATACTGCATGATTCCAAACAGCTGACATTCTGAAAAGGCAAAACTACAGAGACAGTAAAAAGTCAGTGGTTGCCAGGGACTCGGGAAGGGAGGGAGAGATGAATACGGAGAGCACACAGGAATTTTAGGGCAGTAAAACTGCTTACTCCAGATGCTGTGATAGTGGACATGTGAGACCCATAGAAACATTTGTCAAAACCCACAGAACAGTACACCACAAAGAGTGAACCCTATGTAAACTATAGTCTTTAGTTAATAATAATTTGTCAATTTGCCTCAATTGTAAGCAATGTGCCATTCAAATACAAGGTGTTGAGTTAGAGGAAACTGTGTGTGTATGGGCGGAGGGGAGCCCGAGTGTATGGAAATTCTCTGTATGTTTTGTCCAATTTTTCTGTAAGCCTAAAACTGATCTTTTTAAAAAAGCAAAATAAAGACATTCCCAGATAAACAAACACGGAGGAAGTTCATTGCTAACAGATTCATCTTTTAAAAATTACTAAAGGAAGTTCTTGAGGCTGAAAGCAAGTGATCCCAGACAATAATTAGAATTCGCTGAAAAAAACAAGGAGTATTGGTAAAAGTAACTATTTAATTATAAAAGATAAATACATATTTCTTCTCTAAACTGATTTTTAAAATAACTGTATAAAATAATCCGTATATAATTATATTGTTGAACTTACATTATAGATACATATATATTTGACATAACAGCACAAAGGAGGTAAGTTGAAAGCAAAGCTGTACTGGAGTAAGACAATGACACCAGATTGTATCTTGAATCCATGGCAACAAATAAAAAGAACCAAAAATGGCAAATAAGGTTAATATAGCAAATACTACATATACTTTTCTTTTGTTCTCTCAGTTTCTTTAAAAGACAAAATTATCTAAAGTAATAAGTATATTTATTATAGTGTTTATAACATATATAGATGTAATATGTATAAAAATAATAGTATCAAAGAGGGAAGAGGGAATAGAGCTTTTTAGGACTAACGCTTCTGTATCTCACTGGAATTAAGTTAGTATAAATCTGCTTAGTATGATAGCTGGGTGCAGTAGCTCACACTTGTAATCCCAGCACTTTGGGAGGCCAAGGCAGGGAGATCACTGGAGCCCAAGAGTTTGAGACCAGACTGGGCAGCATGGAGAAACCCCGTCTCTACAAAAAATACAAAAATGAGGTGGGTGCAGTGGTGCCTTCCTGTAATCCCAGCTACTCGGGAGGCTGAGGGAGGAGGATGGATTAAGCCTGGGAGTTCAGAGCTGCAAGTAAGCCATGATCACACCATTGCACTCCAGCCCGGGCAACAGAGCAATATCCTGTCTCAAAAAAAAAAAAAAAAAAAATGTATATGATAAATCCTTAGAGTAACCACTTAAAAAAAAATCAAATGAAACATTTAGAAAAATAGTAAAATAGCAAGTGTAAAGCCAACTACATCAAAAATATTAAATGTGAGTGAAGAGCCTGAGAGTTCGAGGCTGCAGTGAGCTGTGACTGTGCCACTGCACTCCAGCCTGGGTGACGGAGCAAGACCCTGTCTCAAAAAAAAAAAAAAAAGAATGAATTAAATAATGCAAACAAAACTAAAAGCATTTGTGCTTCAAGGACACTCAAAAAAGTTAAGAGAATCAACTGAATGGAAGGAAATATTTCCACATCATATATTTGACCTTATATCTAGAATACATAAAGAATACTTAACATCTCAATAATAAAAACACAACCCAACTTAAAAATGGGCAAAGAGGGCTGGGCGCAGTGGCTCACGCCTCTAATTCCAGGACTTCGGGAGGCCGAGGCAGGTGGATAGCTGGGTGTGGTGGTGTGCACCTGTAATCCCAGCTACTCAGGAGGCTGAGGCAGGAGAATCGCTTGAACCTGGGAGGTGGAGATTGCGGTGAGCCAAGATTGTGCCATTGCACTGCAGTCTGGGCAACAAGAGCAAAACTGTCTCAAGAAAAAAAAAAAAAAAAAAAAAGGCAAAGAATTTGAATAGACATTGCTCCAAATAAGATATACAGACAGCCAATAAGCACATGAAAAGGTGCTCAACATAATTAGCTATGATGGAAATGTGAATTAAAACTATAGTGATAAATAGCTGCATTCACTGGGGTGGGTATAATCAAGAAAATAATAAGTATTGGCAAGGATGTGGAGAAATTAGAATCCTCATCCCTTGTTGGGGGGATCGTAAAATGGTGCAGCCACTTTGGAAACCAGTCTGGTTGTTGAAGTTAACCAGTTACCATATGACCCGGCAATTTAACTCCTAGATATATACCTAAGAGAAACGAACATATGCCCACACAAAAACCTGTATACAGATAATCCTATCAGCATTATTCATAATAACTAAAAAGTAGAAACAACACAAATGTCTATCAACTAATGAATGGATAAAATGTGGTAAATACATACAGTGGAATATTACCTGGCACTAAAAATGAATGAATGATACATGGAACAACATGGATGAACCTTAAAAAGATTCCAAGTGAAAGAAGCATGTTGTATGATTCAATTTATATGAAATGTCCAGAACAGGCAAACATAGAGATAGAAAATAGATTAGTAGTGGTTGCCTAGGGCTAGGGAGGACAGAATGATTGGGTTGACAGCCAGAAGGGTATGAGGTTTCTTTTGGGAGTAATAAAAATGTGTTAAAATTGATTGTGGTGATAACTGCATAGCTCTATGAACGTACTAAAAACCACTGAATTGTATATTTTATTTTTATTTATTTATTTATTGAGACAGGGTCTCCCTCTGTCATCCAAGCTGGAGTGCAGTGGTGTGATCACAGTTCACTGCAACCTCCACCTCCCTGACCTAAGTGATCCTCCTGCCTCAGCCTCCCAGGTAGCTGGGACTACGGGTGTGCGCCACCACGTCCGGCTACATTTTTGTATTTTTTTGTAGAGATGGGGTTTCTCCATGTTGCCCAGGCTGGTCTCAAACTCTTGGGTTCAAGCAATCTGCCCACCTTAGCCTCCCAAAGTGTTGGGATTACGGGCATGAGCCACTGCACCCGGCTGAATTATACATTTTAAACGGGTGAATTGTACGGTATATGAATTATATCTCAGCGAAGCTGTCACCAAAAAAGCTCATGTATAAATAAAATAACTTAAAATTCTGAAAATAGTTTTATTATGGAAACAAAATAAGGAGGGTAATTAAGCATGAAATAATTTCCTTCTTGATAAAAGTATATTGATTATTACAAAATTTGAAGTGTTAGTTTATAGCCCAAATCTTTCAAAGAATTTGTGTCTGCTGAAATGAACTTTGATCCTTTGCAAAGATGCAACTTTAGTTACAGGAGGAACATATTTAATCTAAATACACATTGTCACAGATAAGACTCAGAGGATAATATATATAAAGCTAACTATACTCATCTGTGTTAAATAGCTATACAAAGCTACTAACTTAAAATACGAAAGGGTTGTTTATGAGACATTTCAAACTATAAGTTTGGAATTCTTGTTCCTTTGTGATACCATTATTCTACTAAATACATATAGTGGTTAGAAGTCCAGTGTACCTCTTACAGAACAGCACATAGGATTAGATATGCCAAGATTAAAATGTTGCACATTTTAGGAAACTCAGAAATAATTCAAAGACGCCTTTATGCTAAACTCAGCAAATTTGGTTCCAAAATTTCCTTTATTATGAAAAAGTAAGTATAATGTTTAGACATTAATGTACAGAAAATAATTGTCATATATATTCCTTTATAATTTTCACACCTGTTTATTTTAAAGTGTTAATTCTACACATTAAAAAACATACTAATGAGATCCTGTTTGAATAGGAAATTGCTAAATTTTACTTGCAACTTTTTGTAGCTATAATTCTAATACACATTGGGATCTAAAACTATTAGTAAACAGCAACAATAGAGACTACGTATTTTTTAAATTGGGCAAATGAAAGAAGAATATATTGAGATGTAAATCAGGAAGTAGTTATTTGCGTTACAAATATGCAGATTAATTAATAACATACACCCTTTAAATACTAAAGCATTTAAAATAAGTTTAACAAAAAAGGCAATTTACACTTTTTAAAACCCCATCAGTTGTATAAAGAGAGGCACTACTTTTATCCACGAAAAGCATCAAAATTTTTTAACAGTTCAAAAATAGGGGCCCAAAACAACTGATTTATCAGAAACAAAACAATACAATGGCTATTCACAGTGTAAGAAATTAAATCTATTTTTTAAAGCATGTTTTTCAGTCTCAATTTATAACACACTTTGACTTCCATTTCTGCTTTTCCTTAAATCAATCTGGACTGTGTGGAAGAATGCCGTAACATGAAGCTATTAGCAATCTGGGTTAATGTTCTACAAAAAAAATATGCTGCCTATATACACAGAAAGTAAATGAAGAAAAAAGTTAGCACTGAAGTACAATGCATACTCCTTAGGTTCTTAAACTCTACCAGTCTAACAGAAAGCACCAAGATACAGATGCCAAAGTCAGAAAAAATACAAAGCAGCTCAGAATCAATATCATATATCTTATTCAAGGTAAATTTTATGTTAGATTCTTTGTCTGGCATTTGGGAGGCTAAATTAACTTAGGAGGCTAGAGATCCCATCTCTACTTTTTTTTTCTTTTTGAGATGGAGTCTTGCTCTGTTGCCCAGGCTGGAGTGCAGCGGCATGATCTCGGCTCACCGCAAGCTCCGCCTCGCCGCTTGACGCCATTCTCCTGCTTCAGCCTCGGAGTAGCTGGGACTACAGGCGCCCGCCACCCTGCCCGGCTAATTTTTTGTATTTTCAGTAGAGACGGGGTTTCACCGTGTTAGCCAAGATGGTCTCGATCTCCTGACCTCGTGATCTGCCTGCCTCAGCCTCCCAAAGTGCTGGGATTACAGGAGTGAGCCACTGCGCCTGGCCTCCATCTCTACTTTTAACAAAGACTTGCGCCGGGCGCAGTGGCTCACGTCTGTAATCCCAGCACTTTGGGAGGCTGGGGTGAGTGGATCATCTGAGGTCAGGAGTTCGAGACCAGCCTGGCCAACATGGCGAAACCCCGTTTCTACTAAAAATACAAAAATTAGCCGTGCTTGGTGGCAGGTGCCTGTAATCCCAGCTACTCCGGAGGCTGAGGCAGGAGAATCACTTGAACCTGGGAGGCGGAGGTTGCAGCGAGCGGAGGTTGCAGTGAGCCAAGATCGCGCCATTGCACTCCAGCCTGGGAGACAAGAGTGAAACTCCATCTCAAAAAAATAAAAAATAATAATAATAATAAATTCAAGGCACTTGTATCAGTGGGTTTGCAGTATCAAGGGCAAAGAACATTTTTTATTTCTTTGAGAAATTCCTTCCACCCAAAACCCATAAATTCTTCTCCTCTCATAGTAGATCTTTATTGTCAAACCTAACAACTGTAAGTTACCTAAGTGGAATTACTTGTAGAATTGTGAATCATTTGTTCACTCTACAAATAAGTGAAGAAATAAACTAAATGCTTTCCACTTAAAGTTGTCTAGTACTATTAACTGCAGTTAAAACAGAAGCAAATAAACTTATCTGTCATATTCAATATTGTCATTTCCATAATGAAGCTTTCTTTTCCTTTTCAACTGATGCTGGATGAAAAATTCATTATTTAAAACATCCCATTAACAATTTTTCCAGATCAATTTTATTTAAAAAATAAGTTGACAGAAAGAAGCAAAAGCAACTTACTAATATGTCAAACAAAACACAAGTACCAAACCTAATTCAGCACAGGTAACATAATATAAATCAACAAAAATTCGATTAAATATTTCACACTAGATAAAAAGTAGGGTGTTCTATTTCCCCTACAAAATATGGAAGCTGACTTTTCAATTACATTGTTTTACATGCTCTAATCACAAGTACTACCATGTGACTATTCACTGTGTGCTTAGGTAACTATGGTTATATTTTCAGAAGGCTTGAAGCAAAATACTAGTGACTCACTATTCAGATGTACAGAGTCAACCTGAGGTACACTGCCTGCAACTATCTTAATATAGTTAAGAAATTACGTATAAAAGTGAAATGAGAACCACTGAAACTAATCTATCAGATATATGACATCACCATCAAACAATTCTTCAGCTCCAAAAGAGCAAAGCATCTGAGAGTTAGTCTAAGAATGCATGTACTTTAACAACACATGTATAACAGAAAATAAAGACAACGGAAAAGCTCCCTTCTAATGTAGTGTACTTTTACAACACATATATAACAGAAAATAAAGACAATGGAGAAATGCTCTCTTCTAATGTAGTAATTTAGAGTACTGAAAATGCAATTTTTGCAGCACTTTAACAAGTGAGAATTATGAAAATCTGTTCACTGAACAGGAATATAAGGAAAAACTAAACATGTATCCCAACTTATTAAAATGACACATCTATAGGCTACATCTATCCTGAATCTCTCTATAAGGCCAAATTAACTTTTCACAATTTTCTCTTAATAAATGATTAAAAATATGAAAATACTTAAAGGAACATAGCATTTAGACTGTGAAACTGTGTTGTAAATTTTATTATAGTTGTCATTTTTTCTTGATGTTGAAGACTGCATCACAGTTTCATAAATAACATTGCTTGTGTTTTATAATATATCTGTATGCAGAGGTACGTTTAACAACATCTGCATGTATCCCCAGAAATTGTTGCTAATTTTAGAACACATATTTTTATTCTGATAATGATTTAATTTTTTTACTTAGTACTTCAGTAGAAAACATGTGAATAGATTGTATGCCCCATATCAGTATTTAAAAAAAAAACCTGAACAACATTCTTTTAAATGTCCATTTAACAAAATATATGTTAACGGTTATTGTTTTATCATGATTAAATTGGTATCAAATTAATAGGCATAAGTGAAAAAACTAATCACTTACTAGTCATTTAGAAAATGCAGTAACATCATGCATTATGTATTACTAAGAAAGTTCTCACTTAACATAAGCAGTAGATGAGGAGAACAGTATCATGAAAATTCTAAATATATCTTTATGTATATCCTTAAAAATCACTTTCCTTTATATAATTTCCATTTTAATTTAAATGCCACATATCTTCAGCTAACATTTAAATTAGTTTTTATTGTAAAACTTCAGTTGTTATACATCATAAAATACCTTCAGAAACTTGCTTGAAGGTCGGAATTATTCTTTCTATTAAATAATTATATCACATTATTTATTAAATGTTATGTTTGAGAAATGTATCTGACCTTGCACATATTCAAATTCAAGATCAATATTATAATAGAATGAAGATTTTATGGGGAAAATATTGCAATCAGTAAAAGTGTTAAAGACCATGTAACGGTAAGGAAGACACCTGTCTGGAATATTGCAGAGTGGTAGATATCACATTTAATCAAAGGACAGTAATGCTTGATCTTCTATTTCCCACAGAACTCTGGATCCAGTTAACAGCAGAAGGGGGAAAGAAGCAGCAATATTTCAAATGTCCATACTCTGATCTGCAAAAGACACCGAGTAGGTAGAAGAAAACTGCATTTTACTTCAGGTAGTCTTTGAAATGAAGGCTCTGTTATTTTTCAAGACTGGAAGGATATCACAGTGTTGATTTTATATACAAAGTAGGATCTGTTCCAGTATACTCTAGTGAAATAATTCACATATGGAGAATAGTTAATTTTGACCTCATGACAAAATCGCCCATATTTTGAGTAGGTTAGCTTGTCACCTTCTTCACAAACCATCTATTAAAAGATATAAAACATAATATTAAAAAGCTTATTAAGCTTATAGCAGAAATGCAATCAATATACAAATGAGTATATTTATATGAAAAAACACATTATTGCTAAACATTGTCTATAAAACATCTCACTGTTAGCAAATAGAAGCCTTCTTCATAAGTGAGTCACCATGCCCACTATACTCCTGAACTTCTCATTGACACTGAGAAACCAGCACAAAGGTTTCCAATTTTTAAAAGATTTAATCCTAAAATTTAGAAGGCAGTGTTTCCATAATCCATTATCATCGCTCCGAAGACCTTATCATGCACCCTACCAAGGCTGAGAAATGAACATATTATATTCCTAAATATATTCACTCTTCTCGTGTAGAATTATTTAGTAAGCAAGGAAACTTTCGTGACTTAGTGCAGACCTTTACAATTTCACCGAATGATGTTCACTAAGATAGCTTAGTTAGCTTGAAGAAGTTTTTATAAAAAAAATTAAGTAATATTTTAATGGCTATGAAAGATGTCAGATAGCCAACTTTAAAAGGATGGATTAGCTTAAGTCCATGCCAGGCATGACATGAAAGGAGAAGTAAGCTGATCTTCAAAACAGCAGAAAAGTGGGTATCAGAGCAGAATAGAAAGGCTTCAGAGAGCAGATAGCAAGACAGCACCAATTACTGAAACTGTACCCGAGGCTTCATAAAATTCCATTTGTGTCACCAGTAAACCAAAGATCACAGCCACTAAGTACCAACAGAGAAATTCAAAATACATGTACCATAAAACAGAGTAAGTTTATATTACAAGATTAAGGGGTCATGAGGAAAAGATAAGTAGAAATCACAAAAAGTAATTTCTTACCTCCAAACTGATCTTGGATAAGACAAAGAGCTATGATTATTTAGGAAAAGACAGAAAAAATCTTGGCTGCAACCTGAATAGTATATCTACTACCACTTACAATGACTTACTAAACTTTTCTTATGATCCCTCACTCCCAGCTTTCTCAGGAGTCAAGAATCCATTCCAGCTAGCATTAAGTCTCAGATATACACACTGCCTTCATTGGAAGGCCATGGGGGCTGGGGGGGAAGACACATGCGCGCGCGCGTGCGTCAGTCTTAGGTGGTCTTCTTGTGGAAAACACAGCTTGGTAAAACAGCCGAAATCAATATAGAAATTAAGATACAGCCAAGTCCTAACAACTAACATGGCTTTTAATACATTCGTTTTTGTGGATAATAGGGACTCAATGTACAGGCACTGTGTTAATTTAGCATGCAATTTTTCTAGATATGAATCAAATTACAAGAAATTTCTCAACATAAGAATATAACAAGGTAACCAGTTGCTCTTTAGATTATTATAATAAAATAAAATCATCATTCAAATCAAATTATGCCATCTTTTGTTTATGAATGTTGAAACCTGAATAAGTACAGGCAATGAATAAGGAATTCCAGTATTGGTAATACCATTATTATTTTTTATTATTTTTGCAAAAATGCCCAGATTTTCTTTTGTATGTTGAAAAAATACTCCAAACTACTTTTAAGAAGCTTTCCCCATTATTACATAACTCAATTATATTCTTAGTTAAGTTCTAAAAATAAAGTTTAAAGATTATAAGTTTAAAGTCATTTTTCTAAAAAAAAAATATATATATATACATATATATAACTTTCCAAATGGTTACTTACGTGGCCATTTGCAATGTCTAATAAATCTTTAACCCTACAGCCTCTCATGGGTCCCACCTCATTGCAGATAGCATCCTCTACAATTAGGTAATTAGCTTTGTAAGATGTCAGTATTTTATAAATATCCTCAGCAGATCGCTTTGAATAGATTTGGTAGATCTGAAAGAATATAATTAAAATAAAACTGAAAGAATATAATTAAAATAAAATTTAAAGGACATTTAAAACTTCAGTAAATTGAAACTATACATCAAGCATCTACTGTGTTCTAAGTACGATTATATATGAAAAATATATTTATTTTTATAAATAAATGTAAATATTCATCTATATATCAAAACTCATGTTTGGATTATGTGGTGCTTTTTACTATAATTTTTCTGAACTTATTAGATAATAAGCTCTGGATCTTATTAGATAATAAAGCTTTTCAGTCTTTCTGAAATGTTAATATTGGATCAACTCTTGATATCCTTCAAAAAGTAGTAAAACCACAAATATTAGGCCCATAGTATCATATACTATTTGTCCTGAAAATACTGAGATTTGAAATCTAGAATGAATAAGATTCCAATCTATTTGCAGAATATCCAGTAGCTGCCTCCTACCTGTCACCATAGCTGCCTATCTAGTACCTTCAGTTCCCACGTCCACTGACATGCTAGGAATACCCACCTTCAACATTCTGTGGCACACAGAATGCCAATACATCAAGAGGAAGTGTCTCCCTCATTTCACTACACTAAATACGTTTCAGTGGGAATGGTTCTATCCTATCTAGCCTATACCTATTCATAGTTATTTACAATTTTATTTATTTTTAAGTGTTAAGAAACTGAAACATACTATTGGGGCATTAAAAAAAAACCACTTCTATGCGATTGTAACAACATTACTGATAGCCTACAGCACAGTTTCTCAACCTTGGCACTATTCACATTTTAGGCCAGATCATTCTTTGTTGGGACACAAGGGAGGATGTTCTCTGCAATGTAGATCAGCATTCCTGGTCTCTACCCACAAGATGCTCGTAGAACCCCTCTTCCAGTTATGACATTGAGACAACCAAAAATGTCTCCAGACACTGCCAAATGTCCCCTCGGGGAACAATTCTCCCAGGTTAAGAATCACTGGCCCAGGGGATTATATAAGGATTAGCCACATATTATGAATTAGAGACTCTGTGTAATTTAAATGATATGGTTGGCCAGGCGCAGTGTCTCACGCCTGTAATCCCAGCACTTTGGGAGACCCAGGGAGGCGGATCACTTGAGATCAGGAGTTTGAGGCCAGCCTGGCTAACATGGCAAAACCCCATCTCTACTAAAAATACAAAAATTAGCTGGGTGCGGTGGCATGCACCAGTAGTCCCAGCTACTCGGGAGTCTGAGGCAGGAGAATTGCTTAAACCTGGGAGATGGAGGTTGCAGTGAGCCGAGATCATGCCACTGCACTCCAGCCTTTACGAAATTCTCTAAAATTGAAAAACAGAATATTGGGAACTTAGGTTCAGTTCATCATTGCTTTCAGATATGAAGTTACCATTTAAATCCATACCGTACCAGAGTGAGACTCTATCTCAAAAAAATAAATTAATTAAAAATAAATAAATAAATAAATAAATAAATGGCCGGGCATGGTAGCTCACTCCTGTAATCCTAGCACTTTGGGAGGCAGGGGTAGGCGGATTGCCTGAGCTCAGGAGTTCAAGACCAGCCTGGGCAACATGATGAAACCCTGTCTCTACTAACATAAAAAATTAGCCAGGCGTGGTGGTGTGCACCTGTAGTCCCCGCTACTCAGAAGGTTGAGGCAGGAGAACTGTTTGAACCTGGGAGGCGGAGGCTGCAGTGAGCTGAGATTGTGCCACTGCACTCCAGCCTGAGCGAGACTCGTCAACAACAACAACAACAAAAATTAAAATTAAAAAATAAATAAATGATATGGTCTCATTTATGGAGTTCAGTTTGGATTTTAGCTTAACAACAAATTTACTCAATACCTGCTATGTGCTACATACCATAGAGAAAGACAAAGGTTTCAAAAACCATGGTTACTATTCTCATAGACAAGTTACATAAAACTTAAAACTCTAAAATGTTTAAATTAGAACCTAAATAGAACTCTGACCTAATTACAAGTAATTCTGAAATTCCATATTAGAAAAAGACCAATCAAAGAAAACAAAGTCACAGAGTTTGTTGTTTTAAATCCACAAAAAATAAAATTCAGGAATATGCTGTCTATATTCTGCCTAAGCAACTCTATCTTTTGGAGGTGCAGCAAATACTCATCAGAGATGGCTGCTGTCTCTCAAGGAAATCATTCTCAGGTAGATCTCCCCATCTCTGATCTCTCCCCTGCCTGCTTCAATCTGTTCTTTCTGCCATGACCATAATTAACTCTCCAAAGCAGATCTAATCATTCGACTGCCAGGTTTACTAAAAGTCATGTCTCTTAACTGCCTCAAGGATAAGTCTAAATTTTTCAGCATGACATTCCAGGTCTGTCAGAATTCTGCCTCATTTTCTTTCCTAGTTTCAAGACTATACAAATTCCTTGGCTCATGTTACTTTTTCAGCCTGGAATCATATATATTTCTTTTCCAAACAAGTTTCCAATCATTCTTCAAAGCCCAGATCAAGGGACTGCCTTTTATGACAACTTCTTAGACTTTTGTAGGCGGAATTGTTCGATTGTTCCTGCTTTTTTACTCCTCTTTGTACCTTGTGTGTGTCTATGTATATGTGTATGCATGCAACAACCACTTAATAGTACAGAATAATAACATAATAGCAAACTTTAAAATTTTACTGTGTTTCAGGCATTGTACATTATCTCATTTAATTCTCACAAGTAGGAGGTGAGAACTATTATTCTCACTTAATCTCGAGATTTAGTAACTCGCTTAAGGTCACGAAGCTAATACACAGCAGAGCTAGCATTTGGGTTCAGGTACTCAAATTTCTGAGTCTGCATTCTTAATCTCTATATTACTGTATTTCTTCCTTAACTTAGAATATGCTTAAAAACTCTATGAAATTATCTAAAATTGAAAAACAGAATATTGGGAACTCATGTTCAGTTGATCATTGCTTTCAGATATGAAGTTACCATTTAAATTCATACCAAACATTCAAAATAAGACATTATCTAAACTATAATTAATTAGATACCATTCTAATGTTATACTGAGTCAATAACTGCCCATTTATTAAAAAATAAATTAGTGTTTTATAAGCAATAATAGAACTTTAGCTGAGAAAGACAAAATGTAGTACCAAGACATTAATTGACAGCCTTCTTTTAAAAATTTGATTGAGGGCTGGGCACGGTGGCTCACGCCTGTATTCCCAGCACTTTGGGAAGCCAAGGCAGGTGGATCACCTGAGGTCAGGAGTTTGCCACCAGCCTGATCAACATGGTGAAACCCTGTCTCTATTAAAAAATACAAAAATTAACTGGTCATGGTGGCTGGTGCCTGTAATCCCAGCTACTCGGGAGACTGAGGCAGAAGAATCACTTGAACCCGGGAGGTGGAGGTTGCAGTGAGCCAAGATCGCACCATTGCACTCCAGCCTGGGTGACAGAGCAAGACTCTGTCTCAAAAAAATAAATAAATACAATAAAAAATAAAATAAAAATTTGATTGAGAACAATATTTTAAAAAGAACGTTAGCTGGCTGTGGTGGCAGGTGCCTGTAATTCCAGCTACTCAGGAGGCAGAGGCAGGAGAATCGCCTGAACCCAGGAAGCAGAGGTTGCAGTGAGCCGAGATTGCGCCACTGTACTCCAGCCTGGGTGAATTAAAAAAATGTTAGCCGGCTGTGGTGGTGAGTGCCTATAATCCTAGCTACTCAGGAGGCTGAGGCAGGAGAATCGCTTGGAGGCAGGAGAATCGCTTGAACCCAGGAAGCGGAGGTTGCAGTGAGCTGAGATTGCACAACTGTATTCCAGCCTGGGTAAAATATTACACATTAGGTCCCTTGATACTTTGTGGAAAATTAAGTATTTTTCCTAGAAACATATCAGTATTATTCATAAAACAAAGAACTTAGTATTTTAATTTTGGGTCTCCTCTTGGTTAACTGTATTATTAATTAAAAAGGTTTTTTAAAATGGAAGTTAATTAACTCTTCTAAAATTGTTTGGACTTTCCTAGCTACCTAGAAGCATATGTATACTGCAGACTATGCTAAAATACAAAGTGCTGGAAAAGAGATCCAAATGTAGAATTTAAAATGTCTTACATTTTCATTTCTCTTGAGAAGATCATCATCATTGTAAAGAGGCAAACTTGTCACCATCCATCCAGTGCATAATTTAATCGCACCCATTAACTGTGGACTCCCTGCAAACACAGCTGCAACTGGAGCTTGCCTTCTGCAAAGAACCATAAAGATTTGCACACTGAAAAGGCAAGTATACTATTTAGATCACTGATCTATATCAACTCTGAAATACCAGACAACTTACAATGTTTACACATTTCAGTTTCAATGCCAGTTTTCATTTCATTTCATTCATGGATTCATTCAAAAAAATTGGGCACCTAACTATGCAGCAGACACTTGTGCTGAAGATATAGAAACTTTTCTAAAAAGAGGGAGCAGGGGGAAGACAATAAGAAGTAAACACATATATTGGGTGGTAATAATATGATTAAAAATAATGCAGAGTAAGGGGATAGTAACAAGAATATATTATTTTAGATAAGGTGGCTAGTTCAGTGATGATACTGTGAATTCTCAACTCCATCTTTTGCAAATTAACCACCTACAACCCAGCTTCTTCCAAATCCACCTCTCCTCCTGCTCCTTCACTGTCTTTACCCATGTGTCTGTCTCCAGGCAGAACATATAGGACTCCTCCACTCTGAATCATTATCCCAAGTCCCAGACAGATGCTACTTGCAAAGTGGAAAACCTACAAGCAGGTCCCAAAGGGCTGTTGTAATACATTCACTTATTTATTCACTGTCTAAATTTAACATTAAGCACCCACCTCTATGCGCCAGGGATAGTGCCCGGCTATTGAAATAAAGAGATGGCATATATGGCCACTGTCCTCAATAGTGAGGAAACAGATACAAAACACAGTAATTGTACCCAGTAACATAAATATTCAATAGGTAATTGTTTGGGCCTTTGCTGTCTTTGAAAATACTGTGGTAAATCATACAGAGATGTAACTTCCTCTTTTGTTAATGATAACACAAGGCAGTGTTCAACAATAGAAAACAGAATTTACAAAAAGTATTAATGGGTAATAGTTAAGGGTGATCTAAAGAAAACTATTTGTATAAAATAGAAGATATGTTATAGTAACAAGACATTATAATAAAATCTATTCTTGTTTCTATATACCTATTCTATAAACCAATTTTAAATTTCTAGAAACACTTTTTGTCTTTTTTCCCATATTTTTCTGGTCTTTTTTGATAGTATTTCATCACTTTTTCATGTTTTCTTATCTTCTTTTATGTCTTTAATAAATTTCAATGTAGTTATTTCATAGTTTCCATCCATGGAATAGACTGGTTACAAAAATGGCCACAGTAATTCCTCTCCCTATGGTCATGGTCTTGGAGGGAATGCTAGTATTAATCATGTGACTTGCTTTGGCCAATAGGACAATAGTAAGCACCGTGTAAGCAGTGACTTAAAACATGCTTGACATTGAGAATTGCCCTCTTTTGCTGCTCTTGGGAATTCTACAACTACCTTGTAAACAAGCCCAAGTTAACCTGCTAGATGATGAGAGACAGAGGGCCAAGTAAATTTGATCCCCTCAGCTGACACATAGCCAACCCTAGACTATCCAGTCCCAGTGGAGCTGGCCCAGACCAAAACAATCCTCCCCAGCACCCTAACCCTGCTAATTCTCAAGATGGTGTGGAATAACAAATGTTTATTGTTTGTAAGCCACTAAGTTTTGTGGCATTCTGTTATGTAGCAAACCCTAAATGACATAAATTTTATTATCAGAAATAGCTAGAGGTCTAATTCTGCTGTTTATCGCACACTGCATTGAGCTGTTTATGTGTTTTATAATTTCAGAGCTTACCTTTATGAAACTTTACTTATGGAATCCTGTATAACATGGGTTGAGGATTTGTCACCCATTCCAGACCAACCCCAAACCACTTTTAATGTTAATTTCTTAATTTGGGATTTCTTAGATTAGACAAGCATAATTTCAAATTACATTAGCCAAGTATAATTTCGAACTATAAAACCACATGAATTCAGATCCATTGCTATAAATTGAGAGGGGAGAATTTTTTTGACCAAGAGATGAATGCAAGAGAGATCTGCTTTCTCATCTTCTTTCTCTACCCCTTGGTATCTTGCTACTCCATCCTTTCACTGACTAGGTATTTTGCTCTTCTATCCTTTCACTGCCAGTGTAGCCTTTTGAGGGTCCCTGAGTTACACATGTGTGTGTTGGGGGGTTCTCAATTCCAATTCCCTGCTTCCATAGGCCTAAGACCACATCTCCTGTCCTGTGTGGGCATTAAAATCTAAAACCCCTGGTTATCAAAACTAATAATCCACTGACAATTCACCTCCAACACAGGGCAAAATAAGCATCCTCTTGAGTATCTAAATAAAAGGATATCTCTTCTTTTTTATCCCATATTTCTAAGTGTTTGACAATGGCAGTTTCAAATCTTATACCGACCAATGCTATATTTTCAAGCCCATGGAGATGAGCGGAAAATTAGTATCACTAAGTCCAACCAAAATCTAAATATCCCTAAAACGCCTGAGTTTTATGAAAAAATTTGGAGAAGTATTAATTTATTATTTCCTGTGAATTCATTAGATAGCATGCAGTGATTAATTAATAGCTTAATAATAGTCTTGGGCACTTCAATCCTTACTTTATCCAGGTCATAAGTTCCACTGTATCTGGGTCATAGAATTCCTGTAGTTCCATTAATTCTGTCATTAATCTGGGAAAAAACTAAAATGCAAAAAAAAAAAAAAAAAATCCCCAAAAGATGTATGTCAGTAATTAGAAAGTTTAAAACTGTTCCACAGTATTTCAAAAGACTAACAGACTAACTTAAGGCAAATGATATTACAACACCGTTCGCATGGAAAAAATGTCATGATGGATCTCTTTGCTTTCCTTCAATGGCCTGCTTATTTTTCTCAATCCAAATCATCTATTTTATGGTTAATTCACTGCTTTGACTCAATAAATAATTTTATCATTACCAAACAATAATAAATTGATCATCTTTCAGGCACATACATACTAAATAAATAAATAAATTTTCAGGTCCAATAATTTGCAGAATTTATATCATTTCATAGATGATAAAGTTTTGGAGTTACCAAAACGTGTTTTAATATTAATTCCTATTTACTCAGCAATTTCCTTTGCCAATTATAAACTGAATTAACACTAGCATTAGACTGCAGAAAATGGCATCAGGTGGCATTCTAGAAATGTTTTAGCTCTTCTGCAATGTTCCTAATAACAAAAAAAATTAAGCATTACTAAGAATGTTACATTTTATTTTGTTAGGATAGTGTCTCAACATGTTTCCTACCCACACATATAAATTTATCACTACCTTTGTAGATAAAGTACATTTTATTAATATAAAAATCTAATTTTTTTACCTCTTTCCATAAGCTGAGACCTATTATAGTAGGCACGGCCATGCTCAGAATAAGAGCCTAAAATATTAAAGCAAAAAGGATTACAAATAAATACATTTCAGAACACACGTTAGAGGTAATAGACACTGATTCTATGACCAATCATATATCTCTATAGTTATACAAATTTCAAAAAAAATGAAGTCAACATAGAACCTAGTTCACAGAATGAGATGGGTGAAAACTAATGACTTTCAAAGATATTAAGCTGGAAGTAAAGTGAGACATAAACATTTACTATAAAAATTTAAGGCAGAACATTAAAAAGGTAATGCTCATAATAATATTTCAAATGGCAAGTGGATACTTGAAAAATTTGCCAGAAATTTATGTTATACAGATCTTACAAAGGATAGTACACTACTACATGAAAAGCTAACAACAAAAAAAACAATGAATTAACACAAGAAAAATAGCTAATATACATCAGTATACTAGTCTGTTAAAATAAGAACATATAAACTCTCCTTGAAATAAGACTGGCAAAATACAACATAAGTATTATTAAAGATAATGTATCATCATCCTGCTATAATAAAACCTGCTCTGCCTTCTGTCCCATGTCTTTTAGTGACCCTGTGATCCAGTCATACCAACCAGAAACCCAGGAAACATCTAAGTTATCTCCCTCTTCCTCATTTCCCCATACTTAATAAGCAGTGAGGCTTACTGATCTTCTAACTACTTTTTTCATTCCAATCTGGCATACTATTAATCAAATGGGCTTTTGAGTCAGAAAAACCTGGGCATGGCTGGGTGCGGTAGCTCACACCTATAATTCCAGAACTTGGGGGCCAAGGTGGGAGGATTGCTTGAGTCCAGGAGTTTGAGACCAGCCTGGGCAACATAGTGAGACCCTGTCTCTACAAAAAAAAAAAAAGTTTTAATTAGCTGGGCATGGTGGCGTGTGCCTGAAGTCCCAGCTACTCAGGAGGATGAGGCAGGAGGATTGCTTAAGCCCAGGAGTTTAAGGCTAAAGTGAACTATGACTGTGCCACTGCACTCCAGCCTGGGAGACACCGTAAGACTCTGTCTCAAAAAGAAAAAAAAAAAAAGAGAAAAGAAAATCCTGGGTGTGAATCATGATTTCCATACTTACAAACTTGGTAATCTCAAGTAAGTTATTTAAACAATTAAAGCCTTGGTTTTTTTTTTTTAATCTATAAAACAGAGAAAATCTAGGATTAAATAGCATGTGAAATGCTTCAAACAGTACCTGACATAGTGAACATTCAATAAATTGAAGCTTCAATTACTTCTAGCCACTCTGGCCTCCTCTGTGACTGAAGTCTGTTGCCTGTAGGACTATCCTTCACAGAAATGTAAGAGTGAGCAAATAGAAAATGTAAGTCTGACTCTCTCACTTTGCATGAGGCAGACACATCCCAATTTCTTCCCACTGCTGACAGCATGAGAGCCAGCTCCGCAGCATGACACCCAGGGACCCCATGGCCTCACCTTCCTCCACTTCTCCAGTCTCATTTCTTGACCACCCCTACCTACCTCACACTTTATGTGCCAAGAAAACTAAATATATTGTGCTTTTTTCCCAGTCCCTTTGATTACATCATGTTCTTTGCCTACTTCTGTGTCTATTCCTTCTACCATGAATACCCTTTCTTTCCCCTTCATTTGCCTAATAACTAAATATATTTCCAATCTCAGATTGGAAAGCCTTATTTGAGTCCCTAAAAGAAAAAAAAAAGAAAGAAAAAGAAAAACAGAATTGAGTAGCCCTTCCCTATGTTCTAACAGCACCCTATGAAAATTTATTTTTGTTTTTTAGGAGGCAGGACAGGGAAAGAAGGAAGAGCTGGCAGGTTGAAGAAAGTGGAAGCGGAGGGAGCAGGGGACAGAGGGCCGAATTCTTATTATCTGTTTTTACACCCAGAGATTATAATCCACTTGATGAAATTAAGTGTGCTATAATTATCTTTGTATCCCAAGCACATAGCAGGCAGAATGTAATGTTCCATTCACATAGAAAATATACCATAGTTCTAAATCAAACCAAGAAAGATATCATAAAAATTGATTCTTGATGACCTCTCACATTACTGATTCACGTACATTTTTATCTTTTATTTTTTAAGTTGTATGCATTAAAATGCATTACTTTGATAATCAGAATTTTTTTTTTTTGAGACAAAGTCTTGCTCTGTTGCCCAGGCTGTAGTGCAGTGGTGAGATTTTGGCTCACTGCAACCTCTGCCTCCTGGGTTCAACCAATTCTCAATTCTCAGCCTCTTGAGTAGCAGGGACTACAGGCATGCGCCACCATGCCCAGCTAATTTTTTTTTGTATTTTAAGTAGAGACAGGGTTTTACCATGTTGGCCAGACTGGTCTCGAACTCCTGGCCTCAAGTGATCCACCCACTTCAGCCTCCCAAAGTGCTTGGATTACAAGCGTGAGCCACCGCGTCCAGCCCAGAAATTATTTTTAAAAATGTTTTGCGCAGGATCTGTTTTTCTACCTGTAAGTCATCATGTAATTTACTCATGCTATTTCAATTGTATTCAATGTAGTTTCCATTTATTAGCATTTGATTTTATATAATTAGAAGAGAAACAATGCAAAATAATGACTCACCAACAATATTGGGTGTACAGTTCTTAATCGAAGCCACTTGAAAAGTGTCATCCAAAGTTCGGGAGAACATACACCAAATGCTGCTAACATGCACACATAAGGAATCCAGATGTACTTCAAGCTAGAAAACACAAATGGAGTCATACATGAGACATCCTGTGAACATCATTATTATCTAATTTTTGTTCTCTGAGCTCTTTCCTACTACTCACGAAAATACCAAAATGCTAAGGGACAGTGAAAAAGCTTAGACTCTAATTTTCAGCAACAGATTGTTATCCAGTTTTTTAAAAATCAAGCAGACATGTGGGCTAGCAAATTAGGATAAAATAAAAGCATTAATACTGATGAGGATGCAGGAAAATTGTATTCTTGGAGAGAATATAAGCTATGACAGCTCTTTCAGAAGGCAATTTGGTGGACTGGGAGTGGTGGCTTATGCCTGTAATCCCAGCACTTTGGGAGGCTGAGGTGGGTGGATCACTTGAGGCCAGGAGTTTGGGACCAGCCTGGGCAACACAGTGAAACCCTGTCTCTACCAAAACTACAAAAATTAGCCAGGCATGGTGACACATGCCTGTGGTCCCAGCTACTTGGGAGGCTGAGGCAGGAGGATCACCTAAGCCTGGGAGGCAGAGGTTGCAGTGAGCTGAGATCGCACCACTGTACTCCAGCCTGGGTGAAAAGCGAGACTCTGTCTTAAAAAAACAAAACAAAACAAAAAAACTCTAAGATAGACAATGCCATTTCTAGTAATGTAGCCTAAAAATATATTAGCATAAGAGTATAAAGATAGACATACAAGGGTTTTTTTTTTTTTTTTGAAGCGGAGTCTCACTGTCGCCCAGGCTAGAGTACAGTGGTTGTGATCTTGGCTCACTGCAACCCCCGCCTTCTGGGTTCAAGTGATTCTCCTGCCTCAGCCTCCCAAGTAGCTGGAATTACAGGCACATGCCACCACGCCCAGCTAATTTCTGCATTTTTAGTAGAGACCAGGTTTCACCGTGTTGGCCAGGCTGGTCTCAAATTCCTGACCTCAAGTGATCCACCCGCCTTGGCCTCCCAAAGTGCTGAGATTACAGGCATGAGCCACCGCACCTGGCCACACACAAGAGTTTTAACTATAGCATTTTGTTTTACTAGCAAGAAAATTGGAAAAACAACAACAACAACAAAAAAAACTTCTGTTCTTCAATAGGTATTGATTAAATAAATTATTATAAAAAGCAAAATGCAAAACTTCATGTGCAATGTTAACCTAATTTTTGCTTTTTTTTTTTTAATGTAGATATATGGCCCAAGCAAAAATAACACCTGGGGCTGGGTGCAGTGGCTCACACCTGTAATCTCAGGACTTTGGGAGGCTGAGATGGGCAGATCACTTGAGGTCAGCAGTTTGAGACCATCCTGGCCAACATGGTGAAACCTCGTCTCTACTAAAAATACAAAAATCTGGCCATGTGCGGTGGCTCTCGCCTGTAATCCCAGCAAATTAAGAGGCCGAGGCAGTGGATCACCTGAGGTCAGGAGTTTCAGACCAGCCTGGGCAACACGGTGAAACCCCGTCTCTATTAAAAATGCAAAAAATTAGCTGGGCATGGTGGTGGGCGCCTGTAGTCCCAGCTACTCGGGAGGCTGAGGCAGGAGAATGGCATGAACCCGGGAGGCAGAGCTTGCAGTGAGCCAAGATTGTGCCATTGCACTCCAGCTTGGGCAACACAGGGAGACTCCATCTCAAAAAAAAAAAAAAAAAAAAAAAAGATTTAAAAATTGAACTCTTAAATTAAAAAGATTAAAAATCCAGGTGTACAGAAAAAATTAACTTGTATCATTAGAAGAAAATACATTATGTTGTAGATTTTAAAGAAAACAAAAGGAGCCCATCTCCGTAGGAGATGCTAACTGCTAAAAATGGAAGAGGAAAAGTTTAGAAAAATTAATAGATATCAGTGCTTAGTATAGATTATCAAGAAAAAAAATAACATTTCAAGGGATAACTTTTGTAATAAATACTAAGGAGAACAACCAGACCCTTCTATGATATATTCCCTGGTGTCAAACTCGGAAGAGACTGGAAGAATCTGGGCCTAGAGTATAAATGTTAACCTCTGTGGTTTTATAAAACAGCAAAGCCATGGAATGGAGAAAATGAAGAAATATCCCTGGGTACAGTGGCACATGCCTGTCATCCCAACACTTTGGGAGGCCAAGACAGTAGGATCATTTGAAGCCAGATGTTCACGACTAGCCTGGGCAACACAATTAGACCCTGTCTCTACAAAAGAATTTCTTTTTTTAGTTTTTAAAAATTAAGAGGCTGGGTGCAGTGGCTCACACCTGTAATCCCAGCACTTTGGGAGGCTGAGGCGGGTGGAACAACTGAGGTCAGGAGTTTAAGACCAGCCTGGCCAACAAGGTGAAACCCCATCTCTAATAAAAATACAAAATTTAGCCAGGCGTGGTGGCACATGCCTGTAATCCCAGCTACTCTGGAGGCTGAGGCAGGAGAATAGCTTGAACCTGGGAGGTGGAGGTTACAGTGAGTCGAGATGGCGCCTCCAGCCTCGGCAAGAGAACAGGACCCTGTCTCAAAAAAAAAAAAGGAAAGCTCTGCTCTTGTTTGCAGCTGATCTAGGGGCACAATGGTTTTGGCACACACAAAAAAATTGGAATACATGCATAGTTTTTTCACAATATGCATTTTTCATGAACTTTTTGAAGACCCCTTGTATCCACAGTGAAATATTTTTTAGCCTTGAAAAAGAAGAAAATCCTGTCATCTTACAACATAGATGAAATTTGATGACGTGACATTAAGTGAAATAAGCCAGTCACAAAAAGATAAACACTACAGGATTCCACTTACATGAGGTATCTAAAGTAAACAAATTCATAGAAATGGAAAATAAAGGCTGGGCGCGGTGGCTCATGGCTGTAATCCCAGCACTTTGGGGGGCCGAGGCGGGCAGATCACCTGAGGTTGGGAGTTTGAGTCCAGCCTGACCAACATGGAGAAACCCCATCTTTACTAAAAATACAAAATTAGCTGGGCATGGTGGTGCATGTCTGTAATCCCAGTTACTCAGGAGGCTGAGGCAGGAGAATCGCTTGAATCCAGGAGGTGGAGGTTGCGGTGAGCCAAGATCACAGCATTGCACTCTAGCCTGGGCAACAAGGTGAAACTCCATCTCAAAAAAAAAAAAAAAAGAAAGAAGTGGAAAGTCAAATGGTGATTATTAGAGGTTGAGGGTAGGGAAAAAAACGAGAGTTGTTCATTGATACACAGTTTTAGATTTACAAGATGAAAATGTTCTGCAGATCTGTTGTACAACAATGTGTGAATATACTAAACACTGCTGAATTGTATACTTAAAAAACATTAAGATGGTAGATTTTATGTTATGTACTTCTTTATCATAATTTTAAAAAAACTTAAATGTAGCTGGGCACAGGGGCTCATGCCTATAATCCCAACACTTTGGGAGGTTGAGGTGGGAGGATGGCTTGAGCCCAGGAGTTTAAGACCAGCCTGGGCAACATGGTGAGACTTCATCTCTACAAAAACTTTAAAAAATATTAGCCAGGCATGGTGACACCAGTCTGTGGTCCCAACTAGTTGGAAGGATATCGTGGGAGCACTGCTTGAGCCTGGGAGTTCGAGAGCACAGTGAGCTGTGATGGCACCACCGCACTCCAGTCTGGGCGACAGAACGAGACCCTGTCTTTTTTTTTTTTTTTTTTTTTTTTAACTAAAGACACAGCCTCACTCTGTCACACAGATTGGAGTGCAGTGGTGTGATCATGGCTCACTGTGGCCTAAAACTCCCAGGCTGAAGCAATCCATCCACCTCAGCCTCCATAGTGGCTGGGACCACAGACGCATGCCACCATGCCTGGCTTTTTTTTTTTTTTTTTGTAGAGATGGGGTCTTGCCATGTTGCCCAAGTTGGTTTCAAACTCTTGGGCTCAAGTGATCATCTGCCTCCGTCTCCCAAATTGCTGGGATTATAGGCGTAAGCCGCCACACCCAGCCTGTCTCTCAAAAACACAAAAACAAGGCCAGGCACAGTGGCTCATGCCTGTAATCCTAGCACTTTGGGAGGCTGAGTCAGGCGGATCACCTGAGGTCAAGAGTTCAAGACCAGCCTGACCAACATGAAGAAACCCCATCTCTACTCAAAATACAAAATCAGCCGGGCGTGGTGGCGCATGCCTGTAATCCCAGCTACTTGGGAGGCTGAGGCAGGAGAATCGCTTGAACTGGGAGGCAGAGGTTGCAGTGAGCCAAGATCACGCCACTACACTCCAGCCTGGGCGACAAAGACTCTGTTTCAAAAAACAAAAACAAAAACCAAAAACTTAAATATAATAATCTTCAATTCTATTAAACATTTAGTTTGTACACAAGTAACCTAATTGAAGAATTTAAAGCTCCAAACTTCTAAAGATGGTAACATTTTCTTCTTTCCTCTATTAAAGAAAGATAAGATGCTCCTATATGAATTACAACTTAAGAATAATTAACTTTAATATGCAAAGGATTTCATATATTGCCTTTTTTTTTTTTTTTTTTGATACGGAGTCTCACCCTGTTGCCCAGGTTGGAGTGCAGTGGCACGATCTTGGCTCACTGCAATCTCCGCCTCCCGGGTTCAAGCGATTCTCCTGCCTTAGCCTCCCAAGTAGCTGGGATTACAGGTGCCTGCCACCACACCCAGCTAATTTTTTTGTATTTTTAATAAAGACGGGGTTTCACCATGTTGGCCAGGCTGGTTTCAAACTCCTGACCTCAAGTGATCCGCTCGCCTCAGGCCCCCAAAATCCTAGGATTACAGGCATGAGCCACCATGCCTGGCCTCATATATTGCCTTTTATGAAATTTATTCCCATGCATCTTACTTATTGTGCAGTAAAGGATTAACCTTGCCTAAAAAGAGATTTGGCCTTTGCCCTCAACTCCTAGGAGGTAACCTCTTGCCTGATAAGAGCATCTTCATTTGCCTGGGTCCTTTGGGTCATGCATAAGAGTCTATGCTAACAGTGTGATTTATGGTGGGAGCCTTGGAGCATGTGGTGTCAGTTCAACCTGTGAAGGGCTGAAGGCTAAGGTCAGCCACACAGGTGGTCAACCACATATATATGACTGAGCCCCAATACAAACCCTAAACACAAAGCATGGGTGAGCTTCCCTGATTGACAGTACTCCGTGTGTACTGTCACACATCGTTTCTGAGAGGAAAACAGGTGCTGTCTGCACGATTCCACTGGGAGGGAACAAATGGTAGTTCTGTGCTTTGGTGTCTCCTGGACCTTGTCCTATGGGTCTCTTTCCTCTGCTGATTTTAATCTGTGTCTTTTCACTGTAACCAACTGTAACTTGAGTATGACTTTCCTAAGTTCTGTGAGTCCTTGTTAGTTATCAAGCCTGAGGGTAGTTTGGGGGACTCTCAAACTTGCAGTTGGTGACAGAAGTAAGGATGGTCTTAGGAATTTCTGACCATTGCATTCTGACCAAGCACACATTCCTAGACTGTGTGCTTCTGAGGAAGGGGGATCCTATCATGTATATAGCTATATCTCCCACTATTGCTAAAAGAGTATGAAAAAACTAAAAACTTGTGCAGAATGAATACATTTTAATAAAGTTTATTAACAAGATGGCATGATTTTCTATAGAAGCAGGAACAAGGGAAGTTTAAAAACTAAAGACTTAAAAATAAATAGTGCAAGATATGTTTCAAGGATTCAAACTCCCTAAAAAATTATTACATAACTTATCTAAATATTAACATGTGAATACCTATTTTGCCTTAACAAATTTAAGGTATACAGAACACTAAAATGATCAAGCAAGTGAAATATAAAAATTCTACCTTATTGAACATTAAATGGGGCCCTATATATATATTTTGTAAATGTCATTTGCCATTGAAAGACAATAAAAGAAATAAGGTAAGGAAAGGATAAAAGGGAAAACTCCAAAGTCCTCAACAAAGCCTGCCACATGCTCCCTGTGTTTCAGCCAGACTGAACTCCTTTTCCTCCCGCCAACAATGTGCCATGATCCTTCCTGCCCAGGCCTGGGCATATGCCATTCCCTCTACCTGCAGTACTCTTGCCTCTTTGGTTCACCTAGTCCACTCCTACTCACCCTTCAGGTCTCAGGCACTTTTTCCTTAGAGAACTTTTCTGATCTCTTTAAGTCAAATTCTGTTTTATATGTTCTTATAGCACCATGTACATCTCCTTCACTTACCAAAGTTGTAATTTTATTTTTGTATGATTGACATCTGTCACCTCCATTAGGCCATAAGTTAAATAAGGTTAGAGACTGTCTGTTCCACTATTGCTTATTGAGGTACCTTTAGCACCTAGCACAATGCCTAGAACTTGGAATATGTTCAATAGTTTTTTAACAAATGAATGAATAAGTAAATGTCAGTTCATTATAATATAAACACCTTTGTAAACTCCAGATAAATTAAGAAAGTTTATAGGTTTTGAGTTTTTATGAAGTTTTATGAATGCATTCTTGGATGTATCTACTTATTACCATTAAAAAAGACAATCTTTGCTGGGTGCGGTGGCTCACGCCTGTAATCCCAACACTTTGGGAGGCCAAGGTGGGCAGATAACGAGGTGAGGAGTTCAAGACCAGCCTGACCAATGTGGTGAAACCCTGTCTCTACTAAAAATACAAAAAAATTAGCCAGGTGCAGTGGCGCACGCCTGTAATCCCGGCTACTTAGGAGGCTGAGACAGGAGAATTGCTTGAACCTGGGAGGCGGAGGTTGAAGTGAGCTGAGATTGCACCACTGCACTCCAGCCTGGGTGACAGAGCGAGATTCTAAAAAAAAAAAAAAAAGACAATCTTTGTGGGTTTTCTGACTTTTTTTTTTGACGGGGTCTTGTTCTGTCACTCAGGCTAGAGTGCAGTGGCGCAATCTCGGCTCATTGCAACTTCTACCTCCCAGGTTCGAGAGATCCTGCCACCTCAGCCTCCCCAGTAGCTACCACACCCAGCTAATTTTTGTATTTTTAGTAGAGACGGAGTCTCACCATGTTGAGTGTTGACAGAGTCACACTGTCTCAAACTCCTGAACTCAGGTGAGCCACCCGCCTTGGCCTCCCAAAGTGCTGGGATTACAGGTGTGAGTCACCGCACTCAGCCAACAATCTTTGTTAAAACAAAGGGATCAAATAAAGTACACTTACCCTTCTATAACCATTGCAAGAGAACCCAATAAAATAGTGTGAATTACATGATAAATTATTTCTGGTCTTTCTCCAATTCGTCCATCTTCAAGAGTAACAGTTTCCTTCAGGGACTTACCACTACAAAAAGAAAATGTATTTTTTAATACTTTGAAAATGTATTTGTAAAAAACCAAAGATACATTGTTTATCATCTTTGAAGGACATACCTAAAATTTTATATTTCGTCATAACAAAAAATATAGGTGATCTTTTAAAATTTGAAAGTATATTCTGCTAGTTAAATACCTAACATATGTCTCTAAGTTTCTGCGAATGGCTTTTAGAACCTGAAGACAACAAACTCTATGAAGACTAAACATGAATTTTCAGCAAAATAAAAAAGGGTTAGGGGCAGTGACTTACGCCTGTAATCCCAGAACTTTGGGAGGCCAAGGTGGGCAGATCACTTGAGGTCAAGAGTTCGAGACCAGCCTGGCCAACATGATGAAACCCCATCTCTATTAAAATATAAAAATTAGCCGGGCATGGTGGCACATGCCTGTAATCTTAGCTACTCCGGAGGTTGAGGCAAGAGAATCGCTTGAACCTGGGAGGTAGAGGTTGCAGTGAGCCAAGATCACGCCACTGCACTCCAGCCTGAGTGACAGAGTAAGACTCTGTCTCAAAAAAAAAAAAAAAAAGAAAAGAATAATAAAGATTTGTAGGTTCTTCTTCCAAGATCAATTATGAATCAATTAGCAATTGCTAAATTAATATAGTTAAATGATAATTTGAATAACTAAATTCTTAAAATGAAGAAATTATATACAACCACGTTTCAAACATGATAAAAACATCAAAGGTTAGTCAAACTTTATAGCTTTTTTTTTTCTTTTTCTTTAAGAGACGGGGGTCTCACTATGTTGCCCAGGCTGGTGTTCAGCTCCTGGCCTCAAGCAATCCTCCTGCGTCAGCCTCTCAAATTGTTGGAATTACAGGCATAAGCCACTGCACCTGGCCTCAAACTTTATAATTTAAAATTACTTATACTGCTAACTTCATTTAAGTTAAATAGAAGAAATTATTCTTACGTTAAGTAAAAATTTGTATAAATTAGTGAATCAGTCTGTAAAAGTTTAACTGATTATTTAAATATCAGTTATATATTAAGTCTCTAACTATATTAAATCTGGACATTACCTATTTAGATATATAAAACTAAGTTTAGGGCTGAGCATGGTGGCTCACACCTGTAATCCCAGCACTTTGGGAGGCCAAGACGGGTGGATCACCTTGAGGTCGGGAGTTTGAGACCAACCTGACCAACATGGAGAAACCCCATCTCTACTAAAAATACAAAATTAGCTGGGTGTGGCAGCGCATGCCTGTCATCCCAGCTACTCGGGAGGCTGAGGTAGGAGAATCGCTTGAACCCAGGAGGTGGAGGTTGTGGTGAGCCGAGATCGTGCCACTGCACTCCAGCCTGGGGAACAAGAGCAAGACTCCGTCTCAAAAAAAAAAAAAAAACAAAAAAACTAAGTTTAAATTTTTCTGGTCAATACAACTTTTTTTTTTTTTTAGAGAGGGAGTCTCACTCTGTCGCCCAGGCTGGAGTGCAGTGGTGCAATCTCGGCTCACAACCTCTGCCTCCCGGGTTCAAGCGATTCTCCTGCCTCAGCTTCCCGAGTAGCTGGGATTACAGGCGCACCCAGCTATTATTAGATGGGCACCCATCACGCCCAGCTAATTTATGTACTTTTAGTAGAGATGGGGTTTCACCATATTGGACCGGCTGGTCTCAAACTCCCAACCTTGCGATCTGCCCGCTTCGGCCTCCCAAAGTGCTGGGATTATAGGCATGAGCCACCGCACCTGGCCAACACATCTTATAATGATATTTTCCATGTCAATGAAAAGAGAATGGAAATAGAAGCTCTAAAACAAATACAGAAATCTTGGAAGAATATTAAAAATAAGTATTTTATATATTTCCATAATTTATGTTAGTAATATGATTGATTCTCATAGGTACTTACTTAATCCTCCTAAAAATAACTTGCAACATAGAAAGAAAACAAATAATTAACACTAGAATGTAGAAAGGTAATAAAGAAGACTGTGTCAATCGCAGAAAAAAATCTTGAGATGGTGCCTGCAGGGATTCTTGACAGAGGAGCCAATTCATTGTAAAATTCCTATAGAAGACAAAAAGTATGATATTAAATTCATAGACGTTTTAAACTGAACACAGAAGTATTTTTTTTAATATCAGCAAAAACTAAGAAAAAACACATTTCCTAAACCCGTTTACTTATATTAGCAAGGTACTATCCTTTATAAATGAAGATAATAGTATCATATTAGTAAACAAAGCATGTGCTCTCACCAAAACTGCTCTAATAAATGTAAAACTGCTGCTTTTTATTACCAAGTAACGTGACCATCTCTAAAGCCCAATATAGCTTTTAGGGAATTTTGGTTTCTATCTTTATCTAGAAGACAACAAACAATTCGGCCGGCTAACCTCTACAAATGCATTGTTGAATATGGTAGCTACTAGAGACATGCAGTTTTTAAACAGCTGAAATGTGGCCAATTCAAATTGAGACATACTTTAAGTACAAAATACACCCAGGATTTCAAAGAAAAAAAGAGCGAAATAATGATTTGAAAAACAAAATATCTCCTTAATAATTTTTACATTGTTTACAAATTATTTTTATATATTAGAGAAAATATATTAAAATTAATTTCACTTGTTTCTTTGTATTTTTTAAAATACAGCTACTAGAAAATTACAATTACATAAGTGGTTCACATATTATTATTGGATAGACCTACTGTATATTGACAAATGTAATTCAACTAGGACCCATTTTAAAAAGAGATACCTACTTATTAAGATAAATCATAAAATCTGAAATGTAAACCTTTTGAGCAGTATGAATCAGGATAAACATTTTTCAACTCTAAGTATGATCAACAAGACTCCTCGTTGAGCCAGGCAAGGTGGCTCACGCCTGTAATCCCAGCACTTTGGGAGGCCGAGGCGGGCAGATCACGAGTCAGGAGATCGAGGCCATCCTGACTAACACAGTGAAACCCCGTCTCTACTAAAAATACAAAAAATTAGCCGGGCATGGTAGCGGGTGCCTGTAGTCCCAGCTACTCGGGGGGCTGAGGCAGGAGAATAGCATGAACCCAGGAGGCGGAGCTTGCAGTGAGCCGAGATCGTGCCACTGCACTCCAGCCTGGGCAACAGAGTAAGACTCCATCTCAAAAAAAAAAAAAAAAGACTCCTGGTTGTATATATGTTTATCTGCATTCTCATTTCTCATCCATCTCTAAACTCCAATCCTCAATCCCTAGCCGTGGGAAAAGATGTTAGAGATGGAGTGATGTTCAGGAATGCTCAGTGATGGACTGAGAATGTCTACTTCAAATCACTGGGTTTAGAACAAAATGTTAAAATTTAACAATATGGCAAATACATTCTAAGTGGTATTTTTTTTTTTTTTTTTTTAGACAGGGTCTCACCGTTGCCCAGGCTGGGGTGCACTGGCGTGATCTTGGCTCACTATGACCTCCACCTCCCAGGCTCAGGTGGTCCTCCCACCTCAGCTTCCTGAATAGCTGGAACCACAGGCATGCACCACCACACCCAGCTAATTTTTTTTGTTTTTTGTTTGTTTGTTTGGTTGTCTTTTTTTTAGAGATGGGGTTTTGCCATGTTGCCCAGACTGGTCTCAAACTCCTGGACTCAAGTGGTCACAATCCACCCACCTCGGCCTCCTAAAGTGCTGGGATTACAGATGTGAGCCACTATGCCCGGCCATCGAGTATTTTTTATCTTTATTTTCTAAGTGGTATCGATTTAGGTAAACTTACATAATCTAAAACTTACTTGGTCATATTTAGTCCAAATTTTACTTCAAGGAATTTCAGCATGTGCCCATTTTCTTTGTGTGGGACAAACATCTAGAAGAGAAAAACACCAGTTAAACAAAGAAATATTAGCTATGCTTACAAACATATGCTTTCCCCAATACTAGAGACAGAAAACACAACAAGACTACAAAACAAAAATATGAATAAATAATATACGGTATGACTATGAAGCAAGGAGATTTACTGACATAAATCAATCCCATGACCTTATGCTGAAGCATAAACTACAATGGCGTAGTAAGAACATTTCTTTTTTCTTTTTTTTTGAGACAGAGTTTCACTCTTGTTGCCCAGGCTGGAGTGCAATGGCACGATCTTGGCTCACTGCAACCTCTGCCTCCCGGGTTCAAGCAATTCTCCTGCCTCAGCCTCCCAAGTAGCTGGGATTACAGGCGCAAGCCACCACGCCCAGCTAATTTTTTGTATTTTTAGTAGAGACGAGGTTTCACTATGTTGGCCAAGCTGGCCTCAAACTCCTGACCTCAGGTGATCAACAACATTTCAACCTTATCCCACCAGGCTCAAGTAACTCACCCACTCTTCTAAACACTTTTCATTTGTCTCACTTTATTCCATATATTGCTTAATGTTAACTGGGTAATGATGACATTTTTAACTTAATGAAAAATATGCATTCCCTTTTTCAACTACATACAGAAAAGAATCAGAATCCTACTTTCTTACCCAGTATGCTAGTTATGATTGTTGTTTAACTCAAAATTATACTGTTCAAACTCTATTACGTGCTATCTCATTATTCTCATTAAAATGTAGTCCAATATATTTCATTATTCATTTTGTTTTACTATATGAATCCCAGAGAGTTACTTACCTTCATTATAATATTCAATGTTATTGTCAGAGTACACACCAAGTAAAAATTAATCACTTTTATTATTTTAGCTACAAAACTTCCTTTCTTCACATTCAGCTGTGGAGGAAAAATCATATGAACAAAGAAGTGAGGTGTTAAAAAATTAACAATTTAAAAAGTAATCATAAGAATGGCCGAGCACAGTGGCTCAAGCCTGTAATCCCAGCACTTTGGGAGACCAAAGATAGGGGATCACTTGAGGTCGGGAGTTTGACACCAGCCTGGCCAAAATGGTGAAACCCAGTCTCTACTAAAAATACAAAAATTAGCTGGGTGTGGTGGCGCATGCTTGTAATCCCAGCTACTTGGGAGGCTGAGGCAGGAGAATCACTTGAACCCGGGAGGCAGAGGTTGCAGTGAGCTGAGATGTACTCCAGCCTGGGCAACAGAGTGAGACTCCACTTCAAAAAAAAAAAATCAAAATAAGAACAATAAAAAGATAATTCTAGTTACCTGAAGGCACTTAGCAAGCATTAAGGCTGCTACTAAACTTAATAAAGGAGATACCAACAAAGCTGGATTCTCAAACTGTAGTAAATATCCCAGAAAGAGGGAAAATATGTAGATTTTATAAACTTCATAAACCTGTTGTGACAAAAATAAAATAAGTGAGAATAAGTTATATTTTATCATACATATTTTCATTTGTTTTATATAGATTTAACTATAATTATACAGTTAATGCTCTACTATAATTTAGGAAAGTATTATGCAAATGTTTAATCAATATTTTTAATGTTGGCCGGGCATGGTGGCTCACATCTGAAATCCCAGCACTTTCAGTGGCCAAAGTGGGTGGATCATTGAGGTCAGGGGTTCGAGACAAGCCTGGCCAACATGGTGAAACCCATCTCTATTAAAAACAAAAAAAATTAGCTGGGCATGGTGGCAGGAACCTGTAATCCCAGCCACTCGGGAGGCTGAGGCATGAGAATCGCTTAACTCAGTAGGTGGAGGTTGCGGTGAGCCAAAATCGCACCACTGCACTCCAGCCTGGGCAACAGCACAAGACTCTGTCTCAGGACAAAAAAAAAAAAAAAAAAAAAAAAATATATATATATATATATATATATATATACACACACAGACACACACACACACGCATACATACATACATACATATATATATAATATATATGTATAAAATAGTGTGTAATTAACTTATCACTGTTTTCTTTTTTTTTTTTTTTTTGAGACGGAGTCTCGCTCTGTCGCCCAGGCTAGAGTGCAGTGGCGCGATCTCGGCTGACTGCAAGCTCTGCCTCCCGGGTTCACGCCATTCTCCTGCCTCAGCCTCCCGAGTAGCTGGGACTACAGGTGTCACCACCACGCCCGGCTAATTTTTTTGTATTTTTAGTAGAGACGGGATTTCACCGTGTTAGTCAGGATGGTCTCGATCTCCTCACCTTGTGATCTGCCCGCCTCAGCCTCCCAAAGTGCTGGGATTACAGGCGTGAGCCACACACCCGGCCCTTATCACTGTTTTCTTAAAACTCTCTGGAAACAAAATAAAGAGCTTTAAAAGCATCAGTGTCTAAATCAGACTGGAAGAACCTTCTTAATTTCACTTAGTTTGCCCTGTTATTAAAATTCATCTATGCAACCTCAAATTACATAAATCAAAAATCATAATTTTTAGCAGTAGCCCCCAAAACCTACCCAGTGAAAATATACTGCCATGAAATGCACCATCAGAGTAAAGTATTGTTTTTGGTCCAACTAGTGAGCATAACAAAGTTAAATGCAATGTTTTATTAGAAGATCTCCCAGAAAATAGTTATATGCTAAAAAACAGGCCAGACTCGGTGGCTCACATCTATAATCCCAGCACGCTGGGAGGCAGAGGCGGGAGGATGGCTTGAGCCCAGGAGTTTTAGACCAGCCTGGCCTGGGCAACATGGCAAAACCCCATCTCTGTGAAAAACAGAAAAATCACCTGGGGCTGGGCGCAGTGGCTCACGCCTGTAATCCCCCTGCACTGTGGGAGGCCAAAGAGAGCGGATCACTTGAGGCCAGGAGTTCAAGACCAACCTGGCCAACATGATGAAACTCATTCTCTACTAAAAATAAAAAAAAAAAATGAGCCCGGTGTGGTGGGGCATGCCTGTAATCCCAGCTACTCAGGAGGCTGAGGCAAGATAATCACTTGAACCTGGGAGGCGGAGGCTACAGTGAGCTGAGATCGCACCACTGCACTCCAGCCTGGGTGACAGAGCAAGACTCTGTCTCAAAAAAAGAAAAAAAAAAAAGAAAAGAAAAATCAGACGGGCATGGTGGCACGCACTTGTAGTCTCAGCTACTCAGGAGGCTGAGGTGGGAGGATTGCTTGAGCCTGGGAGGCGGAGGTTGCAGTGAGCTGTGATTGAGCCACTGCACTCCAGCCTGGGTGACGGAGTGAGACCCTGTCTCCAAAAAAGTAAAAATAAATAAAAATAAAATAAAAAACAAACAAAAAGACAGAAAAAAAATCAGTCAATAGCCAGAGCCATTTAAAAAAAAAAAAAAAAAAAAAAGATACCTTGGCCAGGTGCGGTGGCTCACACCTGTAATTCCAAAGCTTTGGGAGGCTGAGGCGGGCAGATCACAAGGTCAGGAGTTCGAGATCAGCCTGGCTAACATGGTGAAACTCTGTCTCTACTAACAACACAAAAACTAGCTGGGCATGGTGGCAGGCGCCTGTAATCCCAGCTACTCGGGAGGCTAAGGCAGGAGAATCGCTTGAAGCCGGGAGGCAGAGGTTGCAGTGAGCTGAGATTGAGCCACCGCACTCCAGCCTGGGCAACAGAGTGAGACTCCATCTCAAAAAAAAAAAAGAGAGACCTCACTGTTACAAGTCAGAACAGTAGCTACCCTGTTGGGGGTTGAAGTAATGACTGGGAGAGAGAGCAAGATGGAGTCTTCTGGGTGCTGGTAATGATCTATTCCCTTTTTTAATTTTTTAGAGGTGGGATCTTACCATGTTGCTCAGGCTGGTCAAGTGATCCTCCCGCCTCAGCCCCCACCCCACCCAGTTAATTTTTAAAAATTTTTTGTAGGGATAGGGTCTCACTATGTTGCCCAGGCTGGACTTGAATTCCTGGGCTCAAACAATCCTCCTGCCTTGGCCTCCTGAGTAGCTGGGACTACAGGCATGTGCCACCACACCTGGCTTACGTTCTATTTTTGATTTGGGCTCTGGTTCTACAGATGCGTGCCAGTTACCAAATAACTCTCTTAGCTCCAAACTCCCTTTTCTATCCTTTGCCTGGCAATGCTGGGCCTGGGACTCTGCAATCTACATTTCTGCTTTTCCTGTTGGTTCCCTATGAAGCTCTGCCAGTAGGAAATGGTAGAGGGAAAGTGCAAGCCTGGCTCCTTCCTCTTGCTTCCTGATGGCTTGAGGGTCCTGTGATCTCACCTCAAGGATGCTTCTTCACCCCAACAGAGCAATTACTTCCTATGGAAGCACCGGATGCAGCTGCAGTTTTTCCAACACTTCAAGAACCAGCTTCATCACATCTTCCAGCTCAAGAAACCCAAGAGCAGCCAGCCATAGCCACATCCTCAGACGCCTGGGTCTCATTTCTGAAGGGCCCTACTTTTGAGCAAAGCTGATATTTCTGAGCTCAAAAGTCTGAGTATCAGCTCTGTGAGGTCCCTGTTCTACATTTCTACATTTTAATAATTTCATCTTTTTCCCTAGCAGTTAACTGCTTTCTGCAGTTGCGATCTCTATGAAACTTTCAGGCTCATATCACCCTTTCGTTTAGCAAGTTAATGACTTTATACTTGGTTAACAATTTATATTAACTTCTCTCTGTCCAAATAACTTAAATATTGTATGCATCGGGGTTCCCATATGAGTGTATGGATGAAGAAAAGAGAGGTTTTAAGATACAATGCTATAAATACATTTATTCTCTTAAAAATCACCATTTCAAAATGCCATAATACCTTGTCACTTTGCTCCACTGAAAAGGTATCTAGCAGGAATAGAGATATTGCTTGAAGAAACAGGAGATAGTGGCTATACTCCCACATCATCATAAATGTGTAAGTTGAAGCACTCATCAACAAGTAGCAAAACCTCTAGGGAAAACAAATGAAAGAAACTAAATATCAATAACTTTATTACAATAAAAGCCTATGAGACTGTTACCTCAAAGTTGTAGCTCTGTTACTCGTTCAACTTTAAGCTATATAATTATTGAAACTTTGTTTTTAAATCACATAATTATTATTAAATCCTTACAAAAACGACAAGAGCTCAAATAAGGCACTTGAGAGAAATCAACTACTTGTCCTTCAATGTTCAACATCACATTGAGAATTTCAGGAAGACAAAGGGGAAGAAAAAGAAAATTCAATATAATTTTCTTTCATCCCAAAAGAAGTAAAGCAATAAATACAAGAAAGGGTGGCATTTACTAGACCTGGCTGGTGAGCTTTTGTTATTGGGGAGGCAACTCCTTTTGCTGTGAAAATAACATTTCACTTCCATGGTGCTTCAAGTTTTAATAATTTCCTATTTTTCCCTTTGTTCCCTCAGTCCTGGTGGTGGTAGCTGCTTTCTGGAGTTGCGATCTCTATGAAACTTTCAGGCTCTATTACCCTTTCATTTAGCAAGTTAATGACTTTATACTTGGTTAACAATTTATGTTAACTTCTCTCTGTCCAAATAACTTAAATGCTGGTATTCATCAGGGTTCAGAACTTATTTTCCTAAGAACTTCATTTAAATAGTCTGCTTACATCTCAGCCTATTCCACAGCCCATGTCTTTGCTTTTTTCATTTCCTGTCAACAGAAGTATTATCTTTCCCCAATGCCTGTACTGTCAGCCATATTAAACTTTCAGCTGTTTTCCTCTGCTAAATACTAAACACAAGGGATGTCCTTGCCCTTGCCGAAAATCTGCCTGGCTAAGTCAATTCTGTCCTTCAAAATGTCATCTCCCATGTGATCCCTTGGCAAGTTACCAAGTCTGTGACAAATCCCATAACGTATGCAACAACAGCCTCTCCTTCTTCTATGGACCTACTTTTAAATTCTGGATCCCTTCACTGGCTGTAGTGTCAAATGACCTTGCTCAGATAAGAACAGTGAAGGAGAAGGACAATAAAGGTCAGTCAAGAAACCTAAGATAAGAACTGTGCTCTCTGAAACTAAGTCTTTCATACTCAGCTGACTATACTCAAGGATAAATTCCAGAGTCAGAAATATCTCAGCCATCAGCAGATAAAATAATTTTCCAGCATCCTGAATAAGATTAAGACCAGAGAACCGAATGTAAGAAATGGCAAACTTCCACCTGTTGGGCAAATAACACCAACTGCAAAGCACAGAAGGGCTCTGACATAAGCTTCTGCTCTTCCTGTCACCATAGCTGTGCACAGGGCAAGGGTTCTGGAAGCCTTCTAACGTGGAACAAACAGAACTGTAATAACCAGACACCATCATCCCCAGAGAAATCAGTTCCAGAAAGCAATGAAGGCTCAAATCTAGACCCAGCCTAATTAATGTACTGGGCATTTGGAGATTGCTTCTGAGATTCTGGGGGAAACCTACAACATACTAAAACAAATTGTTAATTCCAAGGGTTGACTCTCAAACTACTCTAAGAGCATACAGTAAAAATGTCTTAAAGATAGAACTACGTATCAAACACAACCTGGAGAGTTAGCAAAGTTATTCCTTTCCCTGAGCATTTTCAAGGTTCTGTGCAGTCTTGCCTACCCTGACCTTGCTTGCTGTGTCTCACAGGGCTTCACTTTCACTGTGCCTGTAGTGTGAACTTTTTACACATAGGATTTATGTGATACATCAAACAGGCTTCAATAATCAACCACAAATGTTTCTGAATGACTCCAGATAATTGCACAAAAGATTGAACTGAAGTTGGATATCCTGAGGCAACTGGGACCACGAAACTTAGCCTCAAGAATGGGAAGCAAAATACAAAATATGTGATTTTAAAAAAGTACATGGGCCGGGCACAGTGGCTCACACCTGTAATCCCAGTACTTTGGGAGGCTGAAGCGGGCGGATCACCTGAGGTCGGGAGTTCGAGACCAGCCTGACCATGGAGAAACCCTGTCTCTACTAAAAATACAAAATTAGCTGGGCTTGGTGGCACAGGCCAGTAATCCCAGCTACTTGGGAGGCTGAGGCAGGAGAATCGCTTGAACCTGGGAGGCAGAGGTTGCAGTGAGCTGAGATCATGCCATTGCACTCTAGCCTGGGCAACAAGAGCAAAACTCCGTCTCAAAAAAAAAAAAAAAAAAAAAAAGAACATGTAGACCAGGCACAGTGGCTCACACCAGTAATCTCAGCGCTTTTGAGAGGTGAAGCCAGCTGAACTTCCTGGGTTGAGTGGGGACTTGGAGAACTTTTCTGTCTTACAAGAGGATTGTAAAATGCACCAATCAGTGCTCTGTAATATGCACCAATCAGCGCTCTGTAAAATGCACCAATCAGCAGGATCCTAAAAGTAGCCAATCACAGGGGGGATTGAAAAAAGGGCGCTCTGATAGGACAAAAATGGAACATGGGAGAGGACACATAAGGGAATAAAAGCTAGCCACCCCAGCCAGCAGTGGCAAACCACTTGGGTCCCCTTCCATGCTGTGGAAGCTTTGTTCTTTCGCTCGTCACAATAAACCTTGCTACCGCTCACTCTTTGGGTCCATGCCATCTTTAAGAGCTGTTAACAGTCACCACAAGGGTCCGCGGCTTCATTCTTGAAGTCAGCGAGACCATGAACCCACTGGAAAGAACCAACTCCGGACACACTTTGGGAGGCCAAGGCAGGCGAATCACTTGAGCTCAGGAGTTCAAGACCAGCTTGGCCAACATGGTGAAACTCCGTCTCTACTAAAAATACAAAAATTAGCTGGGTGTGGTGACGTGCATCTGCAGTCCTGGCTGCTAGGGAGGCCGATACATGGTAATCGCTTGAACTTGGGAGGCGGAGGTTGCAGTGAGCTGAGATTGTCCCACTGTACTCCAGCCTGGGCAACAGAGCAAGAGACTCCGTCTCAAAAAAAAAAAAAAATTGCTAAAATACTACTCAGCGATGACAAGGAGCAAAGTATTCACATACAGTAACTCACATGGATGTCAAGGGCATTATTAGGCTGAGTGAAAAAAGCTAATCTTAAAAGGTTACATACTACATGATTTGATTCCATTTATATAACCTTTCAAGGTGACAAAATTATAGTGATAGAGAATAGATCAGTGGTTGCCAGAGGTTTGGGTTACAGGAAGGATGTGATTATTAAGGTACACAGGATTTTCTTAGTGGTGACGGAAGAGTTCTATGTCTTGATTATGATGACAGTTACTCAAATTTATACGTGTGATAACAACTAATATGACTATACACCCACTTTCCACAAAAGCAGTATATGTAAAACCTGGTGAAATCTGAAGAAAGTCAGTGCCTGAATTAACAGTATTATATCAATGTCAATTTATTGACTTTGACAAGGTATTATGGTCATGCAAGATATTACTGGGGGAAGCTGGGTGAGGGGTCAAAAATGTAGTAAGCCTAGATCACGCCACCGCACTCCAGTCTGGGTGACAGAGCGAGTCCACGTCTCAAAGAAACAAAGAGATAAATATAAAGAAACTTAGGCAGTTCATTTTGCTATACCAAACTCTATTTTTTTTTGGAGATGGAGTCTTACTCTGTTGCTCAGGCTGGAGTGCAGTGGTGTGATCTCAGCTCACTGCAACCCCCACCTCCGGGTTCAAGCGATTCTCCCACCTCAGCCTCCCAAGTAGCTGGGAGTACAGCTGTGCACCACCACACCCAGCTAATTTTTTGTTATTTTTAATAGAGAGAGGGTTCACCATGTTGGCCAGGCTGGTCTCGAACTCCTGACCTCAGGTGATTTGCCTGCCTCAGCCTCCCAAAGTGCTGGGTAATATTATAGGTGTGAGCCACCACACCCGGCCTATATGAAACTCTTTTACTTAACAATTGAAAAACTATTCTTCCCTGACAGCTGTACAATCAAACAGGAAAATATTCAATCATAGACTACCTGACTATTAAAGAAAATATACTCTTGGCCAGGCGCAGTGGCTCACGGCTGTAGTCCCAGCCCTTTGGGAGGCTGAGGCGGGTGGATCATTTGAGTTCAGGAGTTCGAGGCCAGACTGGCCAACATAGTGATACCCCGTCTCTACTAAAAATACAAAAATTAGCTGGGTGTGGTGCTGGGTGCCTGTAATCTCAGCTACACAGGAGGCTGAGGCAGGAGAATCGCTTGAGCCCGGGACGCAGAGGTTGCAGTGAGCAGAGATCACGCCATCACACTCCAGCCTGGGCAACAGATAGCAAGACTCTGTCTAAAAAAAAAAGAAAATATACTCTTGTGCAGAAAGATCTTTATACAAATACAACATAAAGGAAGATCACAAAGCTGAAATGTGTTCATGTTATTTTACATGCAAAAAAGGAAATGCTAGTTATAAAAATGAAATAATAAAGTTTGCTATGCTCAGGACATTTGTCACCACTGAAAGGAGAAAAGAATAGCACATTTTTTCAGAGATTTTTATAAAGGACCCATAAGTGCATCCTGTTTCCTGGACAACCAGGTTTAATAATCTCTGCTCTCTTTTTCTAGCCAGTAATTCTTAACCCCAGATAAGAAGACTATCAAAGGACTGTTACAATTCAGTCAATTTCAATATAACTGGTTGCCTCTATAATCATTTTATGTATTTTAAATCATTATTCTTTTTCTTTTTGGAGACAGGGTCTCTCTGTCGCCCAGGCTAGAAGGCAGTGGCGTGATCTCAGCTCACTACAACCTCCGCCTCCCAGGTTCAAGGGATCCTCCCACCTCAGCCTCCCAAGTAGCTGGGATTACAGGCGTGTGCCACCACACCTGGCTAATTTTTGAATTTTTATTAGAGATGAGGTTTCACCATGTTGGCCAGGCTGGTCTCAAACTCCTGACCTCAGGTGGGTCCGCCCCTCTCAGCCTCCCACAGTGCTGGGATTACAGGCATGAGCCACCATGTCTGGCCTAAAATCATTATCCTGAGACAGACTCCACAGGCTTCTTCCAACTGCCAAAAGGGCTGTGGCAACAACAATAACAATAACAATGTAAGAATCTAAACTACCAGGGACAGTCTCCTGAAATTTTTACCAACCTACCTATACCTCAGTCACAGAAAACATGAGAAGAAACAGAATACGCAGTGCTGCCATTCAAGTTAACACTCCTGTCATTTGTGGTCACTCTTTACATCTTGTTTAATATATCTTTAAATCATGGTGATTGAAGGCCATCAATGTTCCAGAAGTCCGAGAAGTGATAAAATAACAGTGGAACAGATTTTCAAAATAAGATATGTTTCATATATTTGTCAAGTTAACTATATTAAAATGATAAAACATCTCCTTTCTCCTAATTTACTGTTAATCAGATTACAGAGTAACAGTGTTGTAAGAAAACTACCTAACTATATCTTTTATTATGTAGTAACCAGGCTTCATTAAATATGATTTAATTCTTACTAGGACTAAAATTTATTTGCTATTATGTGCCACATTTGCAATACATCAGAATTAGCTGCAACAGATAAAACAGATTTGTATCTTACCTCTCCATAAGTATTTAAGTTGCTTTTTAAATAGCCTGTAAGTGCAGCAATTTGGCATGCAAAATATGGTAGTGCCCAGTTTTCTCTTAAAGGAATGGAGTATTCAATTCTTGTTGTATCTACCCTAAAATAAACCACAGATGAACAGTAAAAATAAGACATTATATTTGTGTTACACTATACTTTTCAAAGTACTTTAACACAAATCTCATTGTTCTCCATAACAATCCTGTGAGGTAGGCATAGCCAGATCCACCATTGTCCTTTTTTTTTTTGAGATGGAGTCTCGCTCTGTCGTCTAGGCTGGAGTGCAGTGGCACGATCTCAGGTCACTGCAACCTCTGCCTCCAGGATTCAAGTGATTCTCCTGCCTCAGCCTCCTGCGTAGCTGGGATTACAGGCGCGCGTCACCACACCCGGCTAATTTTTATATTTTTAGTAGAGACAGGGTTTCACCGTGTTGTCTCAAACTCCTGACCTCAGGTGATCCACCCGCCTCGACCTCCCAAAGTGCTGGGATTACAGGCATGAGCCACCGCACCCAGCCCAGATCCACCATTGTCTATACAGCATCTTTGAGCAAATTAATAGGGTCTCACCCCCAGCCCCCGCTGCCCCCAAGAAGCTGCAGAGCTACTGTGCACTACTTGGTGAAACAGATGGGCCTCTGTGAGAGATTGAAGAAGGCATGCCTTCTCTGGACAGACCCCATGCTAAGGTACACAGCTTGTTGCACAGAGTACCCCAGATTTCAGCCCCACCCTCCCTTCCCTTAACCAGATGGCTATCCTTCACTAGAGTGTACAATCTGCACCGCATAATTAGCAGCATGGTAGATCCAAAGTTCTTATTCCCCTTTACAAAAGGAGTATGAAGTTCAGAAATGTAAGGTAACTTAATCAAAGCCATCCAGCTAGTAGGTGGCATAATTGGGATTAAAATGCTTATCTTTTGATATCTAATTCAATAATCTTTTCAGTCAGCAGGTTCCCCAGAATTAATATCACAGTCTTATATGTGATATACTTAGAGACTTTTGAAAATTCCCAGAATCAGAAATATAGGAATGTCAGGCCGGGCACGGTGGATCATGCCTGTAATCCTAGCAATTTGGGAGGCTGAGGCAGGTGGATCACTTAAGCTCAGGAGTTCCAGACCAGCCTGGCCAACATGGTGAAACCCGTCTTTACTAATAACACAAAAATTAGCCTGCCGTGGTGGCGCGTGCCTGTAGTACCAGCTACTTGTTAGGCTGAGGCAGGAGAATCACTTGAACCTGGGAGGCGGAGGTTGCAGAGAGCAGAGATCGCACCACTGCACTCCAGGCTGGGTGACACAGCAAGACTCTATTTCAAAAAAATGAAAAAGAAATATAGGAATGTCTTTGTAGCTTCCTCCTAAATTTCTCCTCAATCAATTTTCATTGAGAGCTTGTTGTGTTGTGTGCATATCCACATACCACAAGGGGACTACCTATCCAGCAATCATAGAATTTGGCTCTCTTGCACTCAATAGCTATTTTCTACACAAAAATAAAGGTGCTATTGTTTTTTTGAAAATTTATGAAAATTGCTGCCTAACTTTCCTAAGTAATAATGATGAACATACTTGCATGTTAACTTGGTTCCCTCAAAGGCCAAGTAATACACTCCTGAATACTGGTATCAGAGTTGGTAATTATATTTCCAATTACACCAATCAGGAACTACTGAATTGTTTGCAAATAATCAAAATTACAAATGTTACATCCTCACAGACCAAGAAGATAAAGTTGCAACAGCAATAAATCCAACCAGGCTCGGCACGTTATCACAGCCAAAAGAAACAAACACATACTTCAAAATGCCATGAAAACAAAGGAACAAAACATTTCTGAGAAAGCAGTTTTCTCCTTATATAACAGCAGCATACATAATAAATCTTAAAAATCATTTTTACTCATCTCTTTTCCTAGTCTCAGACCTCTAAGCACTAATAACTTTTTTCCTATTCCCTCCCCAATTGCTGGAGTACAGTGACACGATCACGGCTCACTGCAGCCTCGACCTCCCAGGCTCAGATGATCCTCCCACCTCAGTATCCCCAAGTAGCTGGGATTACAGGCACATGCCACCATGCTCATCTAATTTTTTGTATTTTTAGTAGAGCCAGTGTTTTGCCACGTTGCCCAGGCTGGTCTCAAACTCCTGGGTTCAAACAATCTGCCTGCCTTGGCTTCCCAAAGTGCTGGGATAACAGGTGTGAGCTACCACGCCCGGTAGCACAATGTACTTTCTTTTCTTTTTTTGAAACGGAGTCTTGCTCTGTCGCCCAGGCTGGAGTGCAGTGGTGCAATCTCAGCTCACTACAATCTCCACCTCCCAAGGTTCAAGCGATTCTCCTGCCTCAGCCTCCTGAGTACCTGGGACTACAGGTGCCTGCCACCACGCCTGGCTAATTTTTTGTATTTTTAGTAGAGATGAGGTTTCACTATGTTGGCCAGGCTGGTCTTCAACTCCTGACCTCGTGATCCACCTGCCTCGACCTCCCAAAGTGTTGGGATTACAGGCTTGAGCCACCGCACTTTCTTATGTCAAGTCATCTGCAGCCCTCTCTGTGAGTCTTCAAAATTATATTTTGACCATTTTCTGTTTAGCACAACAGTTCAGTAGCTAAGCAAAAACAAAAGAATTTCCTAGGAAGAAAGAGATAAAAACAGGGTAAAAAATAATTACACTTAAATATTTTTGTTCTTGTCAATATGTGTAACAATACTAATCACTATTATAAAAAATCAAGGATCTCCGTTGCCCTATAATCCATTCAAGTATTTATCCCTTATATAAATATTTTACAGAATCAAAACTCTTCAATTAATTTACATTCTGCTTTTTAAACTTAAATGTATTTTGCATGTTTTCCCTTCTTCATACTTATTCTTTTTTGAAAAATATTTTATTATAAAAGCAGTATATGTTTGTTAAAGAAATATTAGAAAATGTATACAAACAAAAAGAAGAAAAATCTTAAAACACCTATAATCTCATCCATTCAGAGGCCAACATTGTTAAATTTTCTGCCATAGCTTAGCCAGTACAGTACGATAAGGAAAAGAAACACAAGGAATCAAGTTGCAAAGGAAAGTAAAACTGTCAGGTTTTTTTTTTTTTTTGCAGAAGATACTGTGTACATAGAAAACCCTCAAGAATCTTCAAAAGCCGGGCACTGTGGCTCACGCCTGTAATCCCAGCACTTTGGGAGGCCGAGGTGGGCGGATCACGAGGTCAGGAAATCGAGACCATCCTGGCTAACATGGTGAAACCCTGTCTCTATTAAAAATACAAAAAAATTAGCCGGGCATGGTGGCGACCGCCTGTAGTCCCAGCTACTCCGGAGGCTGAGGCAGGAGAATGGCGTGAACCGGGGTGGCGGAGCTTGCAGTGAGCCAAGATCACGTCGCTGCACTCCAGCCTGGGTGACAGAGCGAGACTCCATCACACAAAAAAAAAAATCGTAAAAAAATACTAAAACTAATAAATGAATTTAGCGAGGCTGTGGGCTACAAGGTTTCTATTTTTTTTTTTTTTTTTTTTTTGAGATGGAGTCTCACTCTGTCACCCAGGCTGGAGTGCAGTGACACAATCTCGGCTCACTGCAACTTCCCCCTCCTGGGTTCACACCATTCTCCTGCCTCAGCCTCCTGAGTAGCTGGGACTACAGGCGCGTGCCACCATGTCCGGATAATTTTTGTATTTTTAGTAGAGAGGGGGTTTCACCATGTTGGCCAGGATGATCTCCTCGATCTCTTAACCTCATGATCCGCCTGCCTAAGCCTCCCAAAGTGCTGGGATTACAGGCGTGAGACCCTGCCCCCAGCAATCTAAGCTTTTAAAATGGGCAAAATACTTAGACATTTCACAAAATACTTGAATGACCAATAAACACATGAAAAGGTACCCAATATCATTAATCATCAGGGAAATACAAGAATATAGACGACATGGAACTCTCACACAATTTTGATAGAAAAATAGAATGGTACGATCACTTTAGAAAACAGTTTGGCAGTATCTTAAAAGTTAAATATACACCAGCCATATGACCTAGCCATTCTACCCAAAAGAAATGAAAGCATATGTCCCCACAAAACTGGAAACTACCCAAATGTCCATCAGTATCTGAATAAATGCACTATGATATATCCATACTATGTAATAGAACTTAGTGATAAAAAAGAATGAACTATTAATATAAACAACATACATGAATACCAAAATTATGCTGAGTAAAAAAAGCCGGAGCCCCACCACCAAAAAGTATATGCTGTATGACTCCATTAATATATAATTCTAGAAAACACAAACTAATCTATAGAGACTGAAAGCAAATTATGCTGGGCATGCTTGCTCACACCTGTAATCCCAGCTCTTTGGGAGGCTGAGGCGTCTGAATCGTTTGAGCCCAGGAGTTCGAGATCAGCCTGGGCAACATGGTGAAACCCCATCTCTACTAAAAATACAAAAATCAGCTGGCCGTGGTGGTGCGCACCTGTAATCGCAGCTACTTGGGAGGCTGAGGCAGGAAGTGCTTGAACCCGGGAGGCAGAGGCTGCAGTGAGCCGAGATCATGCCACTGCACTCCAGCTTGGGCGACAGAGTGAGACTCAGTCTCAAAAAATAAATAAATAAATAAATAAGAAACCAGACACAGGTTTCCTGGGAACAACAGCATAGTAGTGGTGGTTGGGTAAGAAAAGAGGGAGGTCCCGGGCGTGGTGGCTCACGCCTATAATGCCAGCACTTTGGGAGGCTGAGGCGGGTGGATCATGAGGTCAAGAGATCGAGACCATCCTGGCCAACATAGTGTAACCCCGTCTCTACCAAAAATACAAAAAAATAGCCAGGCGCGGTGGCGGGCGCCTGTAGTCCCAGCTACTCGGGAGGCTGAGGCAGGAGAATGGCGTGAACCCAGGAGGCGGAGCTTGCAGTGAGCCGAGATCACGCCACTGCACTCCAGCCTGGGCAACAGAGTGAGACTCTGTCTCAAAAAAAAAAAAAGAAAAGAAAGAAAAGAGGGAGGTATTAGAAAGGAAATTTTGGAGACTGGGCTTAGTGGCTCACGCCTGTAATCCCGGCACTTTGGGAGGCTGAGGCAGGCAGATCACTTGAGGTCAGGAGTTTGAGACCAGCCTGGCCAACATGGTGAAACCCAGTCTCTACTAAAAACATAAAAATTAGCCAGGCATGGTGGCACGTCTATAACCCCAGCTACTCAGGAGGCTGAGGCAGGAGAATTGCTTGAACCTGGGAGGTGGAGGTTGCAGTGAGCCGAGATTGCGCCACTGCACTCCAGCCTGGGTGACAGAGTGAGATCCTGTCTCAAAAAAAAAAAAAAAGGAAATTTTGGGTAGTGATGGATATGTTTATTATATTGATTGTGTTGATGATTTTGTGGGTATATTCAAATGCCTAAATTGATCAAATTGGACACTCTAAATATGTCCAGTTCATTCTATGTCAATTATACCTCAATAAAGCTGTTAAAAAAGCATTAAAATAGTTATTCACATATACATTCATAGAAGATAGGTTTGCATATATATACACACACACACACACAGATACACATATATATGCAAAAACAGGATCACATGTGAGAGTCAAATGAAACAAAAGCTGCAAGGAAGTTAGCAGTGCCTAGAACCTAGTAAACATTCAGTATTATAGCAAATCTTAGCTCTTTTCTAATTCTCTAACAAACTATTTTTTACTTAACAATATATTATGAACATCTTTCCAAGATACACGTCAATAAACATACTTCAAGAACAGTTAATGACCATGACACACCATCGTGTAGATCTACTATAATCTAACCAATTTCCTATTGTTATACACTTTGTTTCCAACTTTGTCTATGACAAATAATTTTTTAAAACATGAACCACGCGAGGCACAGTGACTTTGGGAGGCCAAGGCAGGTGGATCACTTGAGGCCAGGAGTCCAAGACCAGCCTGGCCAACATGATGAAACCCCATCTCTACTAAAAATACAAAAATTAGCTGGCTGTGGTGGTGCACGGCTGTAGTCCCAGCTACTCAAGAGGCTGAGGCATGAGAATCACTTGAACCCACTAGGGAGAGGTTGCAGTGAACTGAGATTGCACCACTGCACTACAGCCTGGGTTACAGAGCAAGACTTGGTCAAAAACAAACAAACAAAAAACATGAACCAATATTTTTATATAGTAATTATTGATTTCATTGTTTAAGCTCATTAATCCATCTGAAATTTATCTTAATGTACGTGCAATAAGGATTTATTTTCCAGATTTGGTTGTCCCAATACCATTTAATGAACATGATGTCTTCTGTAGGGAATAGAGAAGTTCTTCTTCAAAGTTTCTTAATCCATAAAGGGTTTATCATTCCCTGGTTAAATGTTTGTATGTGTATATTCCAAGGCTGCTCCAACTTGTTCTGGTAGGTTGAGATAAGGCTAAATGAGTCCCAAATTAGGATGCATGCCATTCCTTATTTGGAAACCCCTCTGACCTCTTATCACTAACTTCCTCTTTTCTTTGTCCTCTTTCCCTTCTCCCTATTTAGGAAAGTTTTAAATTATTCGCCAATCGAGTTAAGTTTAGAGTGTGAGGTCCCATCCCAGTCAATGGGAACAGGACACAGCTCTAGGGGGTTGCATCAGGATGTAAAGGTTATAAATGTCCTCCACTCCTTTGTTCAGTGTGCTCTCGTGGCTGGACTGCTGCCGAGTACACCCTTTCTGCAGAAAGTAAACTAGCCTTGCTGAGGGACCTTTGTCTCAATGTTGATTTCTTTGCAACATTGAACTCCCGTGCCCAACATCTTCTAAAGCAGCAGCCCCCAACCTTTTTGGCACCAGGGACTGGTTTTCTGGAAGACAATCCGTGGATGTGGGGTGATATGGTTTGGCTGTGTTCCCACCCAAATCTAATCTTGAATGTAGCTCCCACAATTCCCAAGTGTTGTGGGAGGGAGCCAGTGGGAGGTAATTGAATCATGGGGGCAAGTCTTTCCCGTGCTATTCTCGTGATAGTGAATAAGTCTCACAAGATCTGATAGTTTTATAAAGAGGAGTTTCTCTGCATAAGCTCTCTTCTCTTGTCTGCTACCATGTGAGACGTGCCTTTCACCTTCTGCCATGATTGTGAGGCCTCTCCAGCCACAAGGAACTGAGTCCATTAAACCTTTTTCTTTTGTAAATTTCCCAGTCTTAGGTATTTCTTTATCAGCAGTGTGAAAACAGACTAATACAGGGGAGTTGGGGAGATGGTTTGGGGATGAAATTGTTCCACCTCAGATCATCAGGCATTAGTTAGATTCTCATAAGGAGCACACAACCTAGATCCCTCAAATGCGCAGTTCACAATAGGGTTCGTGCTCCTATGAGAATATAATGCCTCTGCTGATCTGACAGGAGGCGGAGCTCAGGCAGTAATGCAAGCAATGGGGAGTGGCAGTAAATACAGATAAATCTGCAGTTGTCATCATCATCATCATCGTCATCATCATCATCATTGTCACTGCTGCTGCTGCTGCCACTCACCTCCTGCTGTGAGGCCAGGTTCCTAACAGGCCTCTGATGGGTACTGGTCTGTGGCCTGGGAGTTGGGAATCCCTGTTCTAAAGATGACCTATTTTCATATAATATTATCCCAAAAAATTTTTTTGAAAGGTAACTTTCTAAAAGACAAACAAGAAATTCACATATCATAAGGTAAGAGGTGGGGCAGAAGGACCCCAGCAACCACTCCATCAGCCCAGGACCAGGAAGCTGAACTCAGTAGTTCCGTTCCCAAAGGTTTACCTACCACCCCTACCCAACTCACATATTAGTGCAGTCAAATCTTTAAAACTCTGCACCAGAAACACAAGGTAGGTGTCTGGAATACAGATGGGAAGAATCCTTCTCCAGTGTCTGCTGCACAAACTGAGTAGGATCTCTGCCAGCCATTCCCTGCACCCACAAGTGACATCCTGGACAAGCCTCCCCTTTACCACCTCCCTCGACACCTATGCTACTCACTCTCTTCCCCTGACAATGTGTGGTGGGAGTAAGAACCAGAAGGCTAACAGTGGGAGGTGACAAAATCAAATGAGACCCACTTTTTTCCTGCAGTAGCAGAGTCTGACAGATTGTAGCACAAACTAACAGTTCAAAACAGTAATTAGATCAATTTTGGAGTCCACAGACCTGCTGATACATTCACAGGGTTCTGCAACTTCTCTTTGAGTTTAATTTCGTGTCTTCATTTTAATGTTTAGAAACATCATAGTATAGGCCCAGCGCGGTGGCTCACGCCTGTTATCCCAGCACTTTGGAAGGCCGAGGCGGGTGGATCATGAGGTCAGGAGATCGAGACCATCCTGGCTAACATGGTGAAACCCCATCTCTACTAAAAATACAAAAAAAATTAGCCAGGCATAGTGGCAGGCACCTATAGTCCTAGCTACTCGGGAAGCTGAGGCAGAAGAATGGCGTGAACCCGGGAGGCGGATCTTGCAGTGAGCCGAGATCGTGCCACTGCACTCCAGCCTGGGCAACAGAGCGAGACTCTGTCTCAAAAAAAAAAAAAAAAAAAAAAGAACCATCATAGTATAAACACTATACATCACATGGATGACCCCCATGGAACTCACTATTGCCAAAGACTTCAGTGCTCACTTTCGTGTGGTGTTAACATCTAGTTGGCAATGCGGTACCACTTTAATTGGTTTGGGCTAATCAGAAAAAATGACATAGTCTTAATAATAAATGCTACATTGCCAAATAAAAACAAAACAATCACCCAGGCACAGTGGCTCATGTCTGTAATCCCAACACTTTGGGAGGCTTAGGTAGGCAGATCGCTTGAGCCCAGGAGTTCGAGACCAGCCTGGGCAGCATGGCGAGACCCCACCTTTACTAAAAAAAGCAGGGCGTGGTGGTGTACACCTGTTATCCAGCTACTAGAGAAGCTAAGATGGGAAGATCACCTGAGTCTAGGGAGGTTGATGATGCAGTGAGCTATGATCACACCACTGCACTTGAGCCTGGGTGATGGGAGTGAGACTCTGTCTCAAAAAACCCGAAACAACAGCAACAAAAAAAAACCAATGTTCTGATCACTATGGTAAAAAAAAAAATTGTTTGTAGTAGACTAACAGAGCCAAAATGATGAGAACTGAGTCATTCACAGCACCCAGTTGTACAGGTGTATTACAGTTGCAAGGACCTGCTAACCTTGTCTCCAAGAAAGAAAGAAAAAGAAAGAAAGAAAGCAAGAAAAGAAACGAATGAACCTGTTGCTACACTGGTATCACATTTACACTGAGGGTTTACAATTTGGTTTCGGTAAAATATCACTTTTACATAAATTAGTATTTTCAAGTAATATTTTACTGGTTTATTATTTTATTGGTAAATTAGTTTCAATTTTATAGCACATTTAAGTATAAGGAGCTTTACCTAGTTTTATGTTTTATATTTAAGTAGCATTATAATTCAAATTATTTAAGTCAACACATGAATCCATGAGAATAACTTAAGTTTTAAATATCTATAACTGAAGTTTGAGAAACAAGGAGTTAGATGACATATGTCTAAGTTTGTCATGTCAATATGTAATATGTGAAAGCTGAAAACCACCTGTACAATGTCAATACAATGACTGCACATTCCCTTGTACTAATGTATTACAACTTACCTAACCATTCTCTTCTGATTTTTTATATTATTACAAGTGACTATATTACTATTATAAATTATAAACGTATTGTTTTTTAAATCATTACAAACAAGCTGGGCATGGTGGCTCACGCCTGTAATCCCAGCACTTTGGGAGGCCAAGGCAGGTGAATCGCCTAAGTTCAGGAGTTCAAGACCAGCCTGGCCAATATGGTGAAACCCTGTCTCTACTAAAATACAAAAATTAGCTGGGCATGGTGGTGGGTGCCTGTAATCCCAGCTACTCAGGAGGCTGAAGCAGGAGAATCACTTAAACCCAGGAGGTGGACATTGTAGTGAGCCAAGATCGCACCCCTGCACTTTAGCCTGGGCAACAGAGACAGACTCCATCTGAAAAAAAAAAAAAAAAAAAAAAAAATGGCCAGGCATGGTGGCTCACGCCTGTAATCCCAGCATGTTGGGAGGCTGAGGTGGGCAGATCACCTGAGGTCGGTAGTTTGAGACCAGCCTGACCAACATGGAGGAACCCTGTCTCTACTAAAAACACAAAATTAGGTGGGTGTGGTGGCTCATGCCTGTAGTCCCAGCTACTCGGGAGGCTGAGGCAGGAGAATCACTTGAACCTGGGAGGCAGAGGTTGCGGTAAGTCAAGATCGCATTATTGCACTCTAGCCTGTGAAACATGAGTGAAACTCCGTCTCAAAAAAAAAAATTTATTACAAACAATGCTACAATACATAAATCCAAGTAACAAACTCTTTCCTTCTTTTTGAATTACTTCCTTGGAATAAAACGGAATTCCTGGGAGAAACTGCTCCCTAAAATTGAAAAAACTTATATCTCCACCAGCAGCCTGAGTATACCAACATCATCACCACAGAATCAGTATCATGTGTTCCATTATTGTCTGCCAATTGTATCTCTGGGACATGTACATTTCCTTGCATCTTATTCCTTAATTGTTACCATTGTACAACTGTACAATGTTACAATGTACAGTTGCTTTTTTGCCAAAGATTAAATTTAATACAGACTTTTAATCAAACATATTTTCAGCACTCCTCAAATATAAAGATGTTTCCCCTGAAAGTGAAACCTAGGTATGTATTTGTAGATGAGAAGATCATGGGGAACAAGACAATTTCCACATTGCTTCTACGTGGAACCTGGACTCTGTCAGTCCATTTTGGTGGCAAGTCTTCAAAGGGAGTCACTCACCTCTGATTTTTTCCCCCTATCTGTACAATGCCGTTTCCTGAAATCTCTTTGAATTTTCTAGTATACCTACACCTTTTAGTTTGAACAAACAGGAACGATTTTATAACCCTGCTTTCCCCTTCCAGTGTTAAGGAACAAGTAACATAAAATACCATTAAGAACACGAATAATCATAATATAATGGAATGACTTTAATATCTTTTTATACTTTTCTAAGAAGTCATATATAAATAAAAGCTATAAAGCTGATGAATAAAGAGACAGCATATTCTTTCATGGCATTAAAATGTATTTTGCAGTACAAGATACATACCAATAAAATATAAACAAAAAGCAAACAAACGCATTTTTTAAAACTTAGCTATTAAGAACATTTCAATTGTCAAAAGATACATTTGAGTAGAATATACCAGGTCAATTTTTCTATTTAACTTCTACTCCAGCAATACAACATACATCAGTGACATCAAATAAGGCAGTCAGACTTCTGTTTATTTTATTTCTTACAATTCTCACTAAGATCTCTAAAGAGAGTCTTATTCTTTTGTTTAAGTAGCATAAGAGAGTCTTATTCTTTAAAACCATTATGTTTACATGAGAAAGTATCTTTTCCTCTTCAAATATGAAGACAGATATAGGGATTACATGAAATTAATAGCAAAGTTAATTGAATGTGGTAGCCAGCCTCCAAGACGGTCCCAATGATTCCTGCCTCCTGGTATTAATATCCTGTGTTGTCACCTCCCACACTGTACCAGGGGTCTGTGCAACTGACAAAATATGGCAGAGTGATGTTATATCATTTCTAAGATGAGGTTATAACAGATACCTGGCTTCCATTGTGGCACACTCTCTCATACTCTCTTGGATCATTCACTGTAAGGGAGACCAGCTGCCAAGTTGCATGCTGCCCTATGGAGAGGCCCATATGTAAGAAATTAAGGCCTCCCTGGCCAAAAGCCAGTAAGGTACTGGGCCTCTGGGAAATGGCCACATGAGTGAGCTTGGAAGCAGATGCTTCAGCCCAGCCAGGCCTTCAGACGACACAGTACAAGCCAACATCATAACTGAAACCTCATGAGAGACCCTGAGCTAGAACCACCAATCTAAACCTCTTGGGATTCCTGACCCACCGAAATATGTGAGATGTTTGTTGTTTTAAGCTGTTAAATTTCGGGTGATTTGTTATGCAGCAATAACTAATACATCACACAATCAAAAAAGCAATCCTTTTATTTTTATTTATTTTGAAACAGACTCTCACTCTGTCACCCTGGCTGGAGTGCAGTGGCATGATCTCAGTTCAATGCAGCCTCCGCCTCTCAAGTTCAAGCAATTCTCCTGCCTCAGCCTCCTGAGTAGCTGGGACTATAAGCACCTGCCACCACATCTGGCTAATTTTTGTATTTTTAGAGGAGATGGGGTTTCACCATGTTGGCAAGGCTAGTCTTGATCTCCTGACCTCAAGTGATCCACCCGCCTCAGCCTCCCTAAGTGTTGGGATTACAGGCGTGAGCCACTGCACGCAGCCAAGAAAGCAATCCTTTTAGAAAGTCTATATTTTAAATAATACAATAATCATTTGTATTAAATACAACTTCATTCATTCATTTATTTTTGAGACAGGGTCTCTCTCTGTCACCCAGGCTGGAGTGTATGGCACAGTCAATAGCTCACTGCAGCCTCAGGCTTAAGTGATCCTCCTGCCTCAGCTTCCTGAGTAGCTGGGATTGCAGGCACACACCACCAAGCCTGGCTATTTTTTTTTTTTTTTTAAGTAGAGATGATGAGGTCTCACTATGTTGCCCAGACCGGTCTCAAACTCCAGGTCTCAAGTGATCCTCCTACCTGGGCCTCCCAAAGTGCTAGAATTATAGGTGTGAGCCACTACACCTGACCCCACTTCACTTTAAAATACAAGAATTGGCTAGACACAGTGGCTCACGCCTGTAATCCCAGCACTTTGGGAGGCCGAGGCGGGTGGATCACTTGAGGTCAGGAGTTCAAGAACAGCCTGGGCCAACATGGCAAAACCCCCACCTCTATTAAAAATACAAAAATTAGCTGGGTGTGGTGGTGGGCACCTGTAATCCCAGCTACTCAGGAGGCTGAGGCAGGAGACTCACTTGAATGCGGGAGGCAGAGGTTGCAGTGAGCCGAGATTGTGCCATTACACTCTAGCCTGGGCGACAAGAGCAAGACTACATCTCAAAAAATAAATAAATAAATAAAATAAAATAAAAGACTTTTGGTGGGGCATGGTGGCTCATGCCTGTAAGCTCAGCACTTTGGGAAGCCAAGGCAGGCGGGTCACCTGAGGTCAGGAGTTTGAGACCACCCTAGGCAACATGGTGAAACCACAACTCTACCAAAAAATATAAAAATCAGCCAGGCATTGGCCGGGCGCGGTGGCTCACACCTATAATCCCAGCACTTTGGGAGGCTGAGGTGGGTGGATCACTTGAGGTCAATTCAAGACCAGCCTGGCCAATATGGTGAAACCCCATCTCTACTAAAAATACAAAAAAATTAGCTGGGCATTGTGGCATGTGCCTGTAATCCCAGCTACTCGGGAGGCTGAGGCAAGAAAATTGCTTGAACCTGGGAGGCAGAGGTTGCAGTGAGCCAAGATCGCGCCACTGCACTCCAGCCTGGGCAACAGAGAAAGACTCCATCTCAAAAAAAAAAAAAAAAATTAGCCAGGCATGGTGGCATGTGCCTGTGGTCCCAGCTACTGGGGAGGCTGAGGTGGGAGAATCACTTGCATCCATGAGCCAGAGGTTACAGTGAGCCAAGATCGTGCCATTGCACTCCAGCCTAAGCAACAGAGTAAGACTCTGTCTCAAAAAGAAAGTAAAAAAAAAAAATAAGTAAAATATAAGACTTTCTTTTTTTTTGAGACGGAGTCTCGCTCTGTCGCCCAGGCTGGAGTGCAGTGGCGAGATCTCAGCTCGCTGCAAGCTCTGCCTCCTGGGTTCACGCCATTCTCCTGCCTCAGCCTCCCGAGTAGCTGGGACTACAGGCGCCCGCCACCACACTTGGCTAATTTTTTGTATTTTTAGTAGAGATGGCGTTTCACCGTGTTAGCCAGGATGGTCTCTATCTCCTGACTTCGTGATCCACCTGCCTCAGCCTCCCAAAGTGCTGGGATTACAGGCGTGAGCCACCGCACCCGGCCATAAAATATAAGATTTTCTAAACCTAGTCTATGAGTATTATTATAACTTTCTGTCTTTCTAAAAATAAATCCTAATAGAATTTTAGAAAAGTACACAGCAACTCAAAATGTCCTGTAACAGGCACTTTCTGACATAACAAAAAATCATCTTGTCCTCCTAGTTGCCAGACTGGATTTTCTAATTCCATTCTATACTAAAAGGAACCAAAGCGCCAATGAGAAATGGCTATTTACAAATCTTCTGCAGCAAAAGTGCAAACCTACTCACCTTGTTGAGCCAGAAAACAAGAAAGCTTTCAAAGATTAACAAAGTTGTGTCAAAAGAACTCAGGAGCCGGCCTGAAAGGTACTCCTATTAACCAAGGGTGTGACAATTTGAGCAACAGAAGAACATTGATCAAAATGTTCTGAATCAATGAAATCAATTAAAATGAATCACTGAATCAATAAAAATCCATAAGTACAGAAAGATGCTTAGAAAAGAGAACACCAGAATCAAAGGTTTTTGTCACTGAGAAAGCTATTAAATTAATCTCTTATTTAGAAATTGGTAAATTGAAATTAAGCATTTGTCTTCACTTTCTAATAGTGACTTGAAGGTAACCAAAAAGCCCTGGTTAATGAGGAAAAATTCTACTTTTGAAGAATGAAGAATGTAGCTAATGAAAATAGAAAAATATAATTTTATAAAACCTAATAAAATTACTACTTTAAGGCAAAGGTTACAAACTGGTGTTACAACTGTTAGGTAAATGCTTAATGGTAAAAAGGACATTCATTTGGTGCTAAAAAACGCCACACAGATTATTCTCCAGTTATTAGAGAAAAACATAACTATTCAATGGAGAGATCTGACTGCCATTCCCCCAAACCAGTAGTCAATCTCAGCTTCACTAGGGGTTGATCAATTAACTATAATTTCTACTGTCATGGAACATGAAAAATATATAATCTACCATATATTTCAACCAGAACTGTTTATTTTGAACCCATCAAGCCTTTACACATAACTTTCAGATTACAGAAACACAGGAGATAAAGGTAAAAGCTAAATGACACCACAGGATGCAACAAGACTTAGTCTCTTCAACATAAAAAGGGGGACTATGTTAGATTTACAGAGTATTAAGGAACATAACAACCAGATGCACTATGGAGTCCTGGATTAAATCCTGATTTGGATAAATCAGCTATATAGAGTATTTTAGGGTCAACCAGGGAAACTGTAATAAGGTCTGGGTATTAGATAAGATAAAAAGTTATAGAAATGGAAAGGCAGTGACAGTTGAATAGAGAAAGCAGCATAAAAAAAACAGTATTGCAGCCGGGCGCAGTGGCTCACACCTGTAATCCCAACACTTTGGGAGGCCAAGGTGGGTGGATCACGAGGTCAGGAGATTGAGACCATCCTGACCAAGATAGTGAAACTCTGTCTCTACTAAAAATACAAAAAAATTAGCCGGGTTTGGTGGCGGGCGCCTGTAGTCCCAGCTACTCCCGAGGCTGAGGCAGGAGAATGGTGTGAACCTGGGAGGTGGAGCTTGCAGTGAGCCGAGATCGCACCACTGCACTCCAGCCTAGGTGACAGGGCAAGACTCCGTCTCAAAAAAATGAAAAACAAAAACAAAACCAAAACAAAACCAAAACAGTATTGTAAATAGACCTGATTTTGGTAAAAAATACATATACAAATACACAGATGCATACACACACACATTCACCTAGAAGACCCAAAATTCAGATTCTAAGGATTAGGATGAATAAAAAAAGAAAAAGATCCAAAAGAATATGCTGGCATATTATGTCTCAATTTTTGCATATAGTGGCATAAAACAACACAAATTTATTATCTCACAAAGGCCAGCAGAGTATGGCTGGATGCTCTGCTCAGTATCCCTAAGCTAAAATCAAGGCATCGGCCAGAGCTACAGTTTTCATCAGGGGCTTGTAGTCCTCTTACAATATCATTGGCTACTAGCAGAATTCATTTCCTCCTTGCTTCATGCCTGCAGTGGTGCAGAAAATCCTCTGATCTCTCTTTCTACACAGGCTAGAGAAAGCACTTTGGTTTTAAGGGCTCACGTGATTAGACCAGGCCCACAGGGTAATCTTTCCAATCTGTCTAATGTGCTATACAAAGTATCATAATCATGGGAATGGCATCTCATCATATTCATAGGTTCTGAGGATTAGAGTGAGGACTGTTGGGGAGGGGAGGCATTTTCAGAACTCTGACTACTACAGCCACAAAAAGTTTTTAAAAATCAATTAAAACAGCTTTCTTACCTGTTAATAACGAACCACGCAACAGTAAGCATTCCTGCTAGCCATGTTCCACTCATAAGCCAACTTGTAACAAATAAAGCAGTAACATATATTCCTTGCAATCCAAAAACAATGCCAATATAGAAATACACTGGCTCAATAATCTCCTATGTGGAAAAAACAGAAAGAGAACAAGACAATAGGATGGCATTAAATAATTTGAGGATTCATGAATACATGAGAAAATAAATATTAGGGTCCAACGAAAAATACATACATTGCTACCAGTGGCTTGATATAAAATGCTAGCAATAAGTTCCGGATACAGAGACATTTGCTGCACTGCATTTATAGTCTTCAGAGATACAGTTTTGTTATTGTGTGTCAGTTCGTAAACACCTAAAGACAGAAAGATTTTTCTCCAGATTATTTATTCTGCTTCACAGTAATTAAACATGTCATTAGTCCTTAAATATTTAATATTGTTATCAAGAAAGATCCCAAATAGAATACTCCATGCTGCATTTTCCATTTTTTAAAAATTTAGCACAATAAAGAGAAATATCTATATCCTGAGACAAATCCCCACATTGAAAGGTCCCAATATAGCAGAATAGAAGTTATCAGAGGCTGGGAAGAGTAGAGGGGAGGGGAGGATAGGGAGAGACTGGTTAATGGATACAAAATTACAGCTAGATAGGAAAAATAACTTCTAGTATTCTGTAGTACTATAGAATGAATATGGTTAACAACAATTTAGTGTATATTTTCAAAAAGCTGAGAGTTGATTTGGGATATTCATAACACAAGGAAGTGATATATGTCCAATGTGATGGATATACTAACTACCCTGATTTGATCATTATACATTGTGTATAATATCAAAATATCACTCCCCATAAATATGCACAATTACTACATGTAAAGTAAAAATAAAAGGAGGAGGAAAGGTTCTAAAATAGAAGAACAAAGTTTTATTTAAGAAAAATATTGATATTACAGCCGGGCGCAGTGGTTCACACCTGTAATCCCAGCACTTTGGGAGGCTGAGGCGGGCAGATCATGAGGTCAAGAGTTCGAGACCAGCCTGGCCAACATGGTGAAACCCCGTCTCTACTAAGTATACAAAAATTAGCCGGGCATGGTGGTGCATGCCTTTAATCCCAGCTACTAGGGAGGCTGAGGCAGGAGAATTGCCTGAACCGGGAGGCAGAGGTTACAGTGAGCCAAGATCGCACCACTGCACTCCAGCCTGGGTGACAGAGCAAGACTCCGTCTCGGAAAAAAAAAAAAAAGAAAAGAAAAGAAAAAGGAAAATACTGTTATTAAAAATATAACTGTGATTATCATACCTCTTTCAAATGAAGGTGCCTTTAACATATCTTTATAATAGGAGTAATAAATGGCACTGTCACCCTGAAACGTGATTTCCCGTTCAAGCTCCTAAAAGAAAATGAAATTATTATTTAAAATTTAATTTTTTTTTTTTTTTTGAGACAGAGTCTCGCTCTGTCGCCCAGGCTGGAGTGCAGTGGCGCGATCTCGGCTCACTGCAACCTCCGCCTCGTAGGTTCATGCCATTTCTCCTGCCTCAGCCTCCCGAGTAGCTGGGACTACAGGCGCCTGCCACCACGCCCGGCTATTTTTTTGTATTTTTAGTAGAGATGGGGTTTCACCGTGTTAGTCAGGATGGTTTCGATCTCCTGACCTCATGATCCACCCACCTCAGCCTCCCAAAGTGCTGGGATTACAGGCGTAAGCCACCACGCCCAGACTTAAATTTAAGTTTTTTGTTTTTAAGAGACAGAGTCTCTCTCTGTTACCCAGGCTGGTGTGCAGAGGCACAATCATGGCTCACTGAAACCTCAAATGATCCTCCCACCTCAGCTACCCAGTAGCTAGGACTACAGGCACATGGCCAGCATTTTTGTTTTGTTTTGTTTTATTTTTTTGTAAAGAAGGGGGTCTCACAATGTTGCCCAGGCTGGATTATTTGAAGTTTTTTGTTTTGTTTTGTTTTGTTTTGTTTGAAACAGAGTCTTGCTCTGTTGCCCAGGCTAGAGTGCAGTGGCGCCATCTCTGCTCACTGCAACCTCCGCCTCTTGGGTTCACGCCATTCACCTGCCTCAGCCTCCCAAGTAGCTGGGACTACAGGCACCCGCCACCACGCCCGGCTAATTTTTTGTGTTTTTAGTAGAGACGGGGTTTCACCGTGTTAGCCAGGATGGTCTCAATCTCCTGACCTCGTGATCCGCCCACCTCGGCCTCCTAAAGTGTTGGGATTACAGGCGTTGAGTCACCGCCTGGCCCTTACTTGGTTTTAAATTTCAGCCTCTGGCCCAGCGTGTTGGCTCACGCCTGTAATCCCAGCACTTTCGGAGGCCGAAGTGGGTGGATCACTTAAGGTCAGGAGTTTGAGACCAGCCTGGCCAACATGGTGAAACCCTGTCTCTACTAAAAATAGAAAAATTAGGCCTGGTGGTGTGTGTCTGTAATCCCAGCTACTCGGGAGGTGGGAGAATCGCTTGAACCCAGGCGGCACAGGTTGCAGTGAGGCGAGATCACACCACTGCACTGCAGCCTTGGGACATGGAGTGAGATTCTGTCTCAAAAAATAATAACAATAAAATAAATTTCAGCCTCAATCTTCTGTCTCCCTCCTCACCTTCCAAATTAACATATTAATAATATTTATCCTTTTTATTCAAAGACATGTTTGAATTTTCTTTAATTACTAGTGGCCCCATTAATGAGGAACTTAACTTTTTAGTAATCTGGCAATAATTTTAATGAAACATTAAGGTTTAAAATGAATTGTAAATCACAAGTCATCACTTGTTATATATAACATATATCCGGAAAATCTAGAAGGAAAACCACAAGACATGCCCTAAGAATAGCAAGAATAGTGAGAGAGGCAATAACAAATGATATTTGAAGTGTTAGAAGTCCATAATAAAAAGACAAGTTTAAGGAGAAAGTCATATTTTCTATTACTGTTCCACATCTCTATGTATGCAGAACAGCAAGTCTTTAATTAGTACTTTGCAAGAGCAGCAGATACTTAATCAGTGCTCTTCACATGAACTTCCAGAGGTACAGCAAATCTTAAAATTCCTACAATCAGGCTAATAGAACTAAGAATATAATAGTAAAAATCACCTTAGGAGGCTTTGTGCTTTTTAGACTGAATCAAAATTTTATGAATCTATAATCTTTTAAAATCAAATGAATTATTTTTATGCATAATATGTATCAATTAATACAAAAATAAAAATATTAGAGCACTTTTCACAAAGTTTGATCAACAGAACTTCCTAAAATGTTAACGGATGTTACCAAAAAAGAATTCTGTAGTTAAATAAGTTTTGAGAAAGACTAGATTAAACAAAATCAAACAGCTTTATTGTAAGACTTTTCAGAGTTTCAGTATATCTTATATATTGTGACTCTCCAAGAGGAAGTCTTTTCAGATCTATTTTTCCCCATCTTGAGTTTGCTGTGATCTGAATACATGTGTCCTCCTAAAATACATATGGTGAAACCTAATACCCAATGAGAAGATATTTGGAAGTGGGATGTCTGGGAGGTGATTAGGTCATGAGGGCAGTTCCCTCAAGAATGGGATTAATGTCCTTATAAAAGAGGCCCCACAGCGATCCCTTGCTGCTTCCACCATGTGAGGATGCAGCAAGATGATCCCTGCTATAAACCAGGAAGCAAGCCCTCACCAGACACCAAATCTGCCCATGCCTTGATCTAGGACTTTTCAGCCTCCAGAACTGTGAGAAATAAATTTCTGTTGTTTACAAGCCATTCTGTTGTTTATAAGCTTATGGTACTTTGTTATAGCAGCCTGAATGAACTAAGAGCTTACTGACCTAAATAAATTACTTTAAAATTTTTTTTATGAATGCAAATACTTGTTTCTAAGATTTCAAAGATGTAAACTCTCAATCAGTGCTTCTCAAATCTACTGGGTATATGAAACACCTGGAGACCTTATTAAACTGTAGATTCGGATTTTAAAGTGGGGTCTGAGAGTCTATGATTCTGAAAAAGCTCCCAGATTCTGCCAATGCTCCTGACCCATACGCAAAGCTTTGTAAAACAAAGTTCTTAATGAAGGCCTTCTAATTTTCAAAGCTTTGGTTATTCTCAGTTCTGCCTATACAACATAATCACCTGAAAATATTTATCAACATACTGATCGCAGCCTGTCCCACTGCCCCTACCTAAGAATCTGAGAGGGAGGTTATCTTTGAAAGCTCCCTAGATGATTCTATCATATATCCATTGTTGAGAACTGCAGTTAATCTGCATAACATTTTCAGGGAAATAATATATGCTACAGTAATAGCTAAATCAAGACAGATATAGTCAGTAATTACTCAGTTAAATGTCTTGATGGTGTTAATTAAACCAATTGCTTTAAAATACTCAGTCAGCTTGACTAAAAAATAAGAAAAACAAAAAACCCAGTTTGGGCTCAAAAATTAAAAAACTCTACAAAGCCAAGAGGACTTTGCAAACAAACTTATTCAAAAGTCAAACTATGAAATTATGAATACAACTATAGTGACTGAAGAATCTGTGGAAATATACATGATTGAAAACCAAACACTAAACACAGTAATATGAGACAAAATCTTAATACTATGTGATGCCTGTTAATCCCTTTCAACACCCTCAAAAACATTCTAATCATGTGATCTAAAAATTAAAATATTTTAATACTAAAACTTCCACAGATTGTTTCTGAAATGTGAACTATCTATCAAAACTATGAAAAGGCTGACTAAACTCCATAACATTTCACTGTCATCAAAAGTCCCTGATAAGTTAATTGCAGAAAGGGGAGCACCCTCATAGTTTTATTCTATGAAATACACTATTAGTATTTTAAGGTTGATACTGTAACTATATTCTCAAAACAGCTTCTGGAGCATTTTGTTCCTAATAGCCATAAATAAGACAGCACTTGTCATACTTATCATACATACATTCTGGTTCCCTGGGAAAATAACTTTCATATGCTCAAAATTCTTTCTTCTTACCTGCCTGTTGGAAAACCAGAATTTCCGTTCATGGTATGCTGATAAGTAGAGAGCATACATCATACCACTAGTAACCGCTGCAAGACAGCCAATGAAAATCTTTGCAAAGCGTTGAAATAATACATCTGAAAAAGTATATTAAAAGTAATGAAAAGGTAATATGTACCCTTGATATGATGTAATTAAAAATGGCATTCTACCTCTATGGTCTTTGTCCCCAAAACCCACAACTCGAGTCTAATTGTGAGAAAAGCATCAGATAAATTCCAACAGAGGGGCATCCTATAAATATATCTCTCAAACTGTCAAGGTCATCAAAAACAAGAGCTTGAGAAAGTATCAAAGCCAAGAGGAGCTTAACAGACATAATAACCAAATGTCATGTGGTATTGTGGATGGGATACTGGGACAGAAAAAAGACATTAGGGGCTGGGCATGGTGGCACTTTGGGAGGCCAAGGCAGGCAGATCACTTGAGGTCAGGAGTTTGAGACCAGCCTGGCCAACATGGTGAAACTAAAATACAAAAATTAGCTGGGTGTGGTGGCGCACACTTGTAATCCCAGCTACTCGGGAGGCTGAGGCACAAGAATCATTGAATCAGGGAGGTGGAGGTTGCAGTAAGCCGAGATCATGCCACTGCACTCCAGCCTGGGGGACAGAGCAAGATTCCGTCTCAAAAAAAAAAAAAAAAGACATTAGGTAAAAACTAAGGAAATCTGAATATCTGAATAACATATGATCTTAAATTAATAATAATGTATCAATATTGCTTCATTAATTGTAACAAATGTACCATACTAATGTAAAATGTTAATAATAAGGGAAACTCCATATGTGGGAGAGTGTAATACAGGAACTCTATCTGCTCAATTCTTCTGCAAATCTAAAATTGTTTTAAAAATTAAAGTATAGGCCGGGCGCGGTAGCTCACGTCTGTAATCCCGCCACTTTGGGAGGCCGAGGTGGGTGGATCACCTGAAGTCAGGAGTTCGAGACCAGCCTGGCCAACCTGGTGAAACCCTGTCTGTACTAAAAATACAAAAATTAGCTGGGTGTGGTGGCGGGTGCCTGTAATCCCAGCTACTCGGGAGGCTGAGGCAGGAGAATCACTTGAACCTGGGAGGCGGAGGTTGCAGTGAGCAGAGAGCGTGCCACTGCACTCCAGCCTGGGCAACAGAGCAAGACTCTGTCTCAAAAAAATAATAAAATACAAAAATAAGATAAAATTTAAAGTCTATATTCTGCAAGAGGAAGAAGTTCTAAGATCTGTGTCACAACATAAATATACTTAACACAATAGAACGCTACACTTAAAAATGGTTAAGATGGGCCTGGCACGGTGGCTCACACCTGTAATCCCAGAACTTTGGCAGGCCAAGGCGGGAGGATCACAAGGTCAGGAGATCGAGACCATCCTGGCTAACACGGTGAAACCCCGTCTCTATTAAAAAATACAAAAAATTAGCCGGGCATGGTGGCAGGTGCCTGTAGTCCCAGCTACTTGGGAGGCTGAGGCAGGAGAATGGTGTGAACCCAGAGGCAGAGCTTGCAGTGAGCAGAGATCATGCCACTGCGCTCCAGCCTGGGCGACAGAGCGAGACTCTGTCTCAAAAAAAAAAAAAAAAAAAAAAAAAGGTTAAGATGAAGCTAAGTGTGGTGGCTCAGGTCTGTAACCCCAAAACTTCCAGAGGCAGGCAGATTGCTTGAGCTCATGAGTTTGAAACCAGACTGGGTAACATGGTGAAACCATGTCTCTACAAAAAATACAAAATATTAGCCCATGTGGTGGTGGCGGGTGCCTGTAATCCCAGCTACTTGGGAGGCTGAAGCAGGATAATCGCTTTAGCCCAGGAGGCAGAGGTTGTAGTGAACCGAGATGGCAACACTGCATTCCAGCCTAGGTGACACAGCCAGATCTTGTCTCAAAAAAAAAAAAAAAAAGAAAGAAAAAGAAAAGGGTAAGATGGTACAAAAATTAGTCTATGAATATTAAAAAGTAATCCAAAGGAATGTATGACCCAATATCAAAAAAAGTACAGGTTCATTCAGAAATTTTTTTTTTCCTTTCAGGATTTTTTATTCATTGAAGAATAACTAACTATAAACCTAAAGCCATGTAAAATGTACAACTCAATAAGTTTTGATTATCATGTTTTAAAAGATCACATACAACTGTTATATATGGACACAAACTATTTCTTTTTTAAATTTTATTTTATTTTTGTAGAGACAGGATTCTTGCTATGTTGCCCAGGCTGGTCTTGAAATCCTGGTCTCAACAGATCCTTCCACTTTGGCTTCCTAAAGTGCTGAATTACAGACATGAGCCACTGCCTCCAGCCTGTAACTGCTTCTTAATGAAATAACATAAGACACATTTGGATTTTGTATACAAAAGATGATTCAGTCTTGCTACAGCCATTGAGTATAATAAGCATAATAAAAAAAATAAGGGACTAAAGGCCTAAAACCCAGCGTTCTGTTACCGAATGACTGACAGTAAAAATCAACTTGTTGATTTTTTTTTAGCTAAACTAAAATTTTAGTTATTTTTATAACATTATTTAATACATAATAGTTTGCATAGCATGTTGCAGTTGTGCTGTTATGCAAACTAGTATAGAGTAACTAATTAAATATCAATAAATAATCATATTCTAAATGTTTGAAAAACACTCTGCAGGCCGGGCACGGTGGCTCACGCCTGTAATCCCAGCACTTTGGGAGGCCGAGGCAGGCGGATCACGAGATCAGGAGATTGAGACCATCCTGGCTAACACAGCAAAACCCCGTCTCTACTAAAAATACAAAAACAAAATTAGCCAGGTGTGGTGGCGGGCACCTGTAGTCCCAGCTACTCGGGAGGCTGAGGCGGGAGAATGGCGTGAACCCGGGAGGCAGAGTTTGCAGGGGGCGGAGCTTGCAGCGAGCCGAGATCGCACCACTGCACTCCAGCCTGGGCAACAGAGCGAGACTCCGTCTCAAAACAAACAAACAAACAAACAAAAACACTCTGCAATAAATCCGATATTAGCACCAATATGATACAAGTGTCACACCTGTAATCCCAGCTTTTTGGGAGACTGAGGTGGGCGGATCACCTGAGGTCGGGAGTTTGAGACCAACCATGGCCAACATGGTGAAACCCCATCTCTACTAAAAATACAAAACTGGCTGGGTGTGGTGGCGCATGCCTGTAATCCCAGCTACTGGGAGGTTGAGGCAGAAGAATTGCTTGAACCCGGGAGGTGGAGGTTGCAGTGAGCTGAGATCACACCAGTGCACTCCAGCCTGGGCCACAAGAGCGAAACTCCATCTCAAAATAAAATAAAATTTCTGTTACCAGTAGCATGTGTAAAGCATCTGGCATGGTTCCTGACATACAGTTAAGAGCTCAGCAAATATTTGCTATTACTATTATGCTACACAAGCATACCTGAAAAAATATATGAAATCATTAAAGCAATGTTGAGACAATATGAACTATAAAAACTAGTAAGAAAAGTAATCTAGGGTGGCAGTTTGGCAAAAGCACTTAGAAATTTCTAAATGGATTTCTTGGGTTTGTTTTTTTCATTAAGGCTTAGACAATGACAAATTAATCCTACTTATCAGGAACTATTATAAAAAGTATATTCAACCAATTTCTATATATAAATGCCTAACCTTAATACTAATTTTTTTTTTTTTTTTTTTTGAGACAGAGTTGGCCGGGAGTGGTGGCTCACGCCTGTAATCCCAGCACTTTGGGAGGCCGAGGCTGGTGGATCACCTGAGGTCGGGAGTTTGAGACCAGCCTGGCCAACATGGAGAAACCCCGTCTCTACTAAAAATACAAAATTAGCAGGGTGTGGTGGTGCATGCCTGTAATCCCAGCTACTCGGGAGGCTGAGGCAGGAGAATCCCTTGAACTTGGGGGGCGGAGGTTGCGGTGAGCTGAGATCACACCACTGCACTCCAGCCTGGGCAACAAGAGCGAAACTCCGTCTCAAAAAAAAAAAAAAAAAGAGACAGAGTTTCGCTCTTGTTGCCCAGGCTGGAGTGCAATGGCGTGATCTCGACTCACTGCAACCTCTGCCTCCTGGGTTCAAGCGATTCTCCTGCCTCAGCCTCCCGAGTAGCTGGGATTACAGGCATGTGCCACCACGCCTGGCTAATTTTGTATTTTGAGTACAGATGGAGTTTATCCATGTTGGTCAGGCTGGTCTCAAACTCCCGACCTCAGGTGATCCCCCCACCTCAGCCTCCCAAAGTGCTGGGATTACAGGCACGAGCCACCACGCCCAGCATTACTAAATATTTTACTTTTGTAAGGAGTCAAAGATGGAGTAGACATCAAGCTTTCAGTGTTTGGAATAAGTACATGTATTTTAGAGAAAATAAGGAGCTCTGGTTCCTGGTCTCAAACTCTTAAAATACAACCATTTTAGTTTGAAAATCAAAAAGTAAAGGATCTGACTTTAAGTTGTTAGTCACAAACCAGCCTAATCAGATAACTTCTATGTGCCCCAGTCCCTTCATTTGTAAAATGGTGATCAGGCACACAAAATTAAAAACAGATTATGAAATGTCACTATCAGAATATAGAACACAGTTAAGTAATATTTAATGCACATAAAAAAGCCAATGATATGTTGAGAAAAAAATGCAGGATTCAATTTCACAAAAAGTGAAAAAAAAAACTATAAGTACATAGAAAAAAGCCACACTTATGCCAAAATTTTAAGAGTATTTATATCTACTGAAATTATGGATGCAGTTTTGGTTTTTTTTTCTCTACTTTCCACATTTTCTACCCTGAAAATATATTTTTGTAGTTGGGGAGGAAATACTATTTTGTAATCGATATTTCTAGACTATTTAATTTTCTTTCTTACGTTGTATTTTTCAAATTTTTTAACTTTTTTGTTTGTTTGTTTTTTGAGACAGAGTCTTGCTGCATCGTCCAGGCTGGAGTGCAGTGGCGTGATCCTGGCTCACTGCAAACACCACTTCTCAGGCTTAAGCAATCCTCCTACCTCAGCCTCCCAAGTAGCTGGGACTACAGGCATGAACCACCACATTCTCAGCTAATTTTTTTTTTTTAATTTTTTTGTGGAGATGAGGTCTCACTGTATTGCCTAGGCTTAAATTTTTTTTTTTTTTTTTTTTTTTTGAGATGGAATCTCCTCTGTTGCCCAGGCTGGAGTGCAGTGGCACATTCTCGGCTCACTGCAATCTCCACCTCCTGAATTCAAGCAATTCTTGTGTCTCAGCCTCCCAAGTAGCTGGGACTACAGGGGCACACCACCACACTTGGCTGATTTTTTTTTTTCTGATTTTTTGTAGAGATGAGGTCTCACTATATTGCCTAAGTTTAAATTTGTGTGTGTGTGTGTTTTAAGACGGAGTCTCACTCTGTCACCCAGGCTGGAGTGCAGTGGCACAATCTCGGCTCATTGTGACCTCCGCTTCCCAGGTTCAAGCGATTCTCCTGTCTCAGCCTCCCAAGTAGCTGGGACTACAGTTGCATGCCACCATGCCCAGCTAATTTTTTGTATTTTTTTAGTAGAGACGGGATTTCACCATGTTAGCCAGGATGGTCTCGATCTCCTGACCTCATGATCCACCTGCCTCGTCCTCCCAAAGTGCTGGGATTACAGGCTTAAGCCACCGTGCCTGGCCTCCCATTTCTTGATTTTAACTTTCATTGGTTGAAAAAGACAAACAGCTTTTTCTTTTTTTTTTTTCTTTAAATAAAGACAGGGTCTCACTATGTTGTCCAGGACGGTCCTGAACTCCTAACCTCAAGCAATCCTCTGCCTCAGCTTCCCAAAGTGCTGGGATTACTGGCGCGAGCCACCATGCCTGGTTAATAAACTGTTCTCACTTCAACATTACAAGTCCCAGAATTTTGGGATTCTCTATTTTCTTCTTTATTCCCACTTACAAATAGTCCAATTCTATTCTAAACCCAGATCTCTTTCCTGTAGTCAAATGCAGATGTTAATAACAAAGGCACTCTAGTAACATTCTGTTTTGCAATCTCATTACCTAAAATGATAGAAAAAAATAGTATTGTCAACTGTTCACAGGAAACAGTATTATCAAATGTTTTGTCATGATATAATATAGATCTTCATTTTTCCAGCTCCCAAATATAGTTTTCTTGCGGCCAGCCCCTCACCTAGATTTGTAGATTACCCACAGCTTTTATCTTGAGCAAATTTATATATAGGCCTCAACTTTTAGTGCAGAGCAAGCAATCTGAGAAAGCTGTTTAGCCCTTAAGGATGACACATTCTCCAAACCCATCTTTAGATATGGTTATAGAGGAAAATGGAAGAGAAAAGATCTCTAGAGTGTAAAATCAAGGACCATGGAAAACAATGAACTGGAAAACAATTCCCCAGGAACACAACTGGGGCATAAACACAACAGATTCCTTATCCCAGAGTAAGGGGATATCCTGTCCCTGTCCAACAGTGTATACTGAGAGTGGGGGGATGTGCAGAAAAGAGTTAACACAGCAGGCCTGAGACCGCTTTCCTGAGAAAGGCCTGCTTGCAGGCGGATCACCTGAGGTCAGGAGTTGACCAGCCTGGCCAACATGGTGAAACCCCGTTTCTACTAAAAATACAAAAATTAACCAAGTGTGGTGGCACATGCCTATAATCCCAGCTACTCGGGAGGCTGAGGCACAAGAATTGCTTGAACCCAGAAGATGGAGGTTGCAGTAAGCAGAGACCGCACCATGGCACTCCTGCCTGGGTGACAGGGTGAGACTCTGTCTCAAGAAAAAAAAAGAAAAAGAAAAAGGAAAAAAAGAAAGCCCTGCTTGCAAGGTAGGCTCTCTTGGCTGGCATCTAGGAACTTCAATTTCAGGAGAGTTCCCACCATTCTCTAACTGATAACAGTGCCTATCCTCTTTGTACAAACAATGTAGTTTATGCTTTCTTTCTGGGAGTCAAGAATTTTGGGACATGGTAGGCAGAGGATACCTACATGACCAGCCCCCAGTAAAAACCCTGAGCACTGAGTCACTAATGAGCTTCCCTGGTAGATAAAACTTTACAAATGTCACAATTTGATGCTGAAGGAATCAGGCCCATCCTGTGTGACTCTGTTGGAGTGGAAATTTGGAAGCCTATGCCTGGTTTCTTGCAGATTTCACCAAAATAGGCCTTTTCCCTTTGCTGATTTTGTTTTATATTATTTGCTATAATAAATCATAGCTGTAGGCTGGGCACGGTGGCTTATGCCTATAATCTCAGCACTTTGAGAGGTTGTGGCAGGTGGAACACTTGAGGTCAGGAGTTCAAGACCAGACTGGCCAACATGGTGAAACCCCGTCTCTACCAAAAATACAAAAATTAGCCAGGCGTGGTGGCATGTGCCTGTAGTTCCAGCTACTGAGGAGGCTGAGGCAGGACAATCGCTTGAACCCAGAAGGTGGAGGTTGCAGTGAGCTGAGATCGTGCCACTGCACTCCAGCCTGGGTGACAGAGCGAGACTCTGTCTCAAAAATCAATCAATCAATCAATCAATCAATCATAGCTGTAAATACAACTTCATTCTGAAACTTGTGAGTCCTTCCAGCTAATAACCAAACATGGGGGTGTTCTGGGGAACCCCCGACATAAAACAGATAACCTGTCTTTTTAGTTCATAGATCTCTGGATTAGAATGAGTCATAGCTGGCCCTGATGTAGATAAGCCTTTGGGTTCAAGATTAAGGCTGTGACTAGATAAGAGAGAGTTTTCGGGTGTGGGAAAAAGTAAGCGTATTTTGTCTGAGGGAGAGAAATAAATCACAAGGACAGGGTGTGGTAAACTATATTATTATTCACAACTATTTTCTCCTTCCCTTTAAAAATCTTATATATCCCTGCCCACTACCATGTGACCTGGAACACTTCCCTGTAATCAAAGTATACTTCACATCCCATCGTCTGAATTGATTATATGACTTGCTTTGGCCAATAAAAGGTGCGTACAAGTGATAGTGTGCCAGGTCAGCAGAAACTTTAAGAGACATTGCATGATTCTGCCTCCTCTTTTCCTACGTCACAAGAAAAATCTTTCCCAAATACGGACTATTCCTTCGCAACACATAAAACTACGACAGCCAAACTGCAGCCACAACATGTAATATTAATTAGAAATAAATGTTTGTCATAAGCCAGTGAGATTTGGGGGTTGTCCAAAACCTAGTGAAAGCTGAGCATATACTTAATCTCAAAATATGTATATTTAAAATATTGACATAAAATATACTTTCTAGTGTAAACTATTTTTGTAGTAGCACAAATTCCAAGTCTATCTAACTTACGTTTTGGAGCTCTTTCAGGAATTGGAATGTCACTGATTTTCTCTTCTTTGGCAGATTCCTTATTTTCTGAAGACTTTGGCTTTTTTCTTTGGCGCAGCTCTACAGGTGGTCCTTAAAATATTTAAGACATTATTGCAATGTGTGTATAAAATTGTTTTAATCTGTATCCTGAGCCAATTAACCTTTATTATTCTAAAGCAAAAGTACCACTAAGACCTATTAGTATCAAAGATAACCTTTTCATAATTATTTTGGCACCCCTGCAAAATTATCTTTTGTCTAAAAAAAGACAATTTAAGTTCCACTTCCCAATCTGTGTTTTGACAATCCTAATAGTAAACCAATGTGCTCTTCTCCCAAGATGATGGAATTTTCAAAACATCCCAAAATAAGTAAGCTCTTTTCCAAACTGGGGGTCAAGGTGTTATTCACCTCATAATTCTAGTTACCTTAAAGTATCAAATGCATAATTTATGGTTTAACTGTTCTTTAAAAATCAAAACATAGCCGGGCGCTGTGGCTCACGCCTGTAATCCCAGCACTTTGGGAGGCCGAGGTGGGCGGATCACGAGGTCAGGAGATCGAGACCATCCTAACATGGTGAAACCCTGTCTCTACTAAAAAAAAAATACCAAAAAATTAGCCTGGCATGGTGGCAGGCGCCTGTAGTCCCAGCTACTTGGGGGGCTGAGGCAGGAGAATGGCGTGAACCCAGAAGGCGGAGCTTGCAGTGAGCCGAGATCGTGCCACTGCACTCCAGCCTGGGCGACAGAGCGAGACTCTATCTCAAAAAAAAAATCAAAACATAATACATTCATCATAAACTACACTTCTGTTTTTAAATAACCCTAAAAGTTCTGCAGAATTTCAGTGCTGTGTTATCATTAGCATTGTACAATCTTATAGATTTAGGTATTAGAAAATAGGCTGAACCTACAAAGATACCTATATATGAGAAGGTCTCAAAATAATTTCCCAGGATTAGACTATCTTCCTCTTCTAGCTCCAGTTTCAGAAAATGTGATGCAGAAGTTACCTCCAAACTAGTAAACTAAACTCCAAGATGAACAGGAATGTACTATATACAATTTATACTTTTCCTCCCTAGAATTAATCATCTTGTGGGATAGATTATGATACTGTAAGTACAGAGTGTTCCTGCCAAGTTATAAAGTGATACAATAATTTATCTTTCTCATGGAAGTGGAAGACAGTTTTCTTCCTTTCTCTTAGTAATAACTTCAGGCTATGAAATGTGAAAATAAACATAAAAGTCAAAGAAGGAGAAATGAATCAGTTGCTGCTGATCAGATGGATGTTCTCTAGCTTTACTGTGGAAAATGAATAAAATAAATGTATCTTAAAATAGCTTCATAGCAAACTTGTATGTTCACTAAAATATCTTTAAACACTGGCATAGTGATAAAAAAAAAGCTGTACATTTAGTGGATTCAGACTGATGAATCTAATGTTTACCCATTTCTATACTACCATTTATTCTGTAGTCATGTTAAGTAGTGAAATCAATGAAAATATTTTAAAATGACATTATTAGGCCGGGTATGGTGGCTCACACCTGTAATCCCAGCACTTTGGGAGGCCAAGGTGGGTGGATCACCTGAAGTCAGGAGATCGAGAACAGCCTGGACAATATGGTGAAACCCTGTCTCTACTAAAAATAGAAAAATCAGCCGGGTGTGGTGGTGCACTCCTGTAATCCCAGCTACTCAGGAGGCTGAGGCAGGAGAATCACTTGAACCCAGTAGGTGGAGCTGCAGTGACCCGAGATCGCGCTACTGCACTCTAGCCTGGTGACAGAGGGAGACTCCGTCTCAAAAACAAAACGAAACAAAACAAAAAAAACAAAAAATGACATTATTAGAAAAACATACCCCAGACTTTGAGTATTTCTGTATATAAATCTAGGTCAATTAGTAAATATTACTATATTCCTTCCTCATTATGCCTCTTTAATATTCCCCTGCTCTAGGTTAAAGTAAAAGTTAGAAGCAGTCAACAAGAACGCATATTTATGCAAAATCAAATATAAGTCTTCAAAAGCAAATTATTGTTTTTAATTTTATTTTAAAAGAATACAAGGGGAAGATATAACTACAAGAACTTTCCTTTGCAGGTACACCTGCATGATTAATCACGTAATAGCATTGGACTTTAAAACATTTAATTGGATAATTTCAGAAGTCAAATTAACAAATCTATTGAGATAGTCAACAAATATACTATATGTGACCAATGGGCTAGGTAGGTGGGTCTTTTCCATTAGAGTCTAAAAATACACACTTAGTGATAAATTGGGAGGGGAATAGTCACATAAAATGTGTTCTTACAAAAAATTATCATTTTCCTTTTTAAAAATGTTCTTTATCAAATAAATCGCTTTACAGGACTTTAATTAAACATGTTCTCTTTGTGTCCATAAATGATTTTTGTTTATAAAAGTACAACTTACACAAACATTTTGCATAGATTTTCAAGTAATTTATGAAGTATACAAATCTCAACAATCATCTCTCAAGAACTTATATTAGCAATGATCAAGGACCATACAAATATGTAATCTATAAAAGATCTATAATATTATATTTTCCTGATTCTAAGATGCCATACGTTTGAAGATACTACTTAATAGGTTTTTCAAGGGGAAAAAAAACCACACTGTCATACTGAATGTGTGCACTGATTTTAAGACATATCAATTTTAGTGGCATTAAACTGTAAGAGCCAAAAGTACGACTCGATAAATACAGTATTCATTTTAGCTCATCTCTTCAACCTTATCCCTAAAGCTAACTTTTCATATAATTTCATAATGGAAAAACAAAGTCACACATCTCTAGGTGGAAAAAAAGCAAAGGCCAAAGCAATGGACAAATGAGATTATCAGTTCTGACAGGAAAGCTCTGCGATGTAATTCAGGTTTCCTTTTCACTATCTTTTTTTTTTTTTTGAGACGGAGTTTCACTCTTTTTGCCCAGGCTGCAGTGCAGTGGTGCCATCCCGGCTCACTACAACCTCCGCCTCCCGGGTTCAAGCAATTCTCCTACCTCAGCCTCCCGAGTAGCTGGGATTACAGGCATCCGCCACTACGCCCAGCTAATTTTTTGTATTTTTAGTAGAGACAGGGGTTTCATCATGTTGGCCAGGCTGGCCTCAAACTCCTGACCTCGTGATTTGCCCGCCTCGGCCTCCCAAAGTGCTGGGATTACAGGCGTGAGCCACCACGCCCGGCCACTCCTTTTCACTATCTGATATTTTTAGCATTGTAAAGAAAAAGTCAAACTAAATGAAGATGATTACACATCCACAAAAGTAACCTGCTATTTCAGACTTCAGTCCAGTCATCTTCATATGAAACAGTAGGGCTACAAACAGACTTTCAAATGTCTATCCAGGCTAGACATAGCAGTTTCCAAGTGAAATGTTAATACTGCTCTACTCAAGGTTGTCACTTCTTTCTTTGCTCTAACATTGCGTTCAGAAAGCATAAATATAAACACCCTGGCCCTCTACTGCATCAAGGAAGACATTTTTTTAAAGACCAGATTCCCAGAGTATTTACTTGGACAATGAAGAGGATCCAAGTGAATGTGAATGGTAAGCAAGATGGGACGCGGAGAACACCTGGATACAAGTAAAATACACAGACTATTTAGTCTAATTTTAACACAGCGAACAAAAGATAATACGGATTCTGGGGGAAAAAAAGTATAGAGTGACAAATAAACATAAAACACTCAGAATGCCTGGCACATAGACAGACAGGTTTGCTATATGTATTATTATTACTAGCATTATAATAAATGAAAATTTACTCATTCATTGTTGACTATTATATCCTTGCATCTAATAGGGTATGAATACACATATTTATGGAATTAGAAATGTGTTGAATAAAGCAATATTTTAATAAATTACAACCCATTAATTGTCCCATGTAAGATGTATTTAACTGCTTTTGAATTATATGTAATTCTACAACCAAAAATCATTTATCATTTTATTTATTTTATTTTTGAGAGGGAGTCTCACTCTGTCACCCAGGCTGGAGTGCAGTGGGGCGATCTCGTCTCACTGCAACCTCGGCCTCCTGGGTTCCATCGATTCTCTTGCCTCAGCCTCCCGGGTAGCTGGGACTATAGGCATGCGCCACCATGCCCGGCTAACTTTTGTATTTTTTAGTAGAGACAGGGTTTCACCATATTGGCCAGGCTGGTCTCGAACTCCTGACCTCGTGATCCGCCCACCTTGGCCTCCCAAAGTGTTAGGATTACAGGCGTGAGCCACCTTGCCCGGCCTTAATTTTATTTTTTTTTAGATGGAGTCTCACTCTGTCACCCAGGCTGGAGTGCAATGGTGCAATCTTGGCTCACTGCAACCTCCGCCTCCCGGGTTCAAGTGATTCTCCTATCTCAGCCTCCTGAGTAGCTGGGACTACAGACACTTGCCACTCCACCCGGCTGATTTTTGTATTTTTAGTAGAGATGGGGTTTCACTGTGTTAGCCAGGCTGGTCTCGAACTTCTGACTTCAAGTGATCCACTCGCCTTGGCCTCCCAAAGTGCTGGGACTACAGGCATGAGCCATCATGCCCCGCCCATTTATCATTTTACATCACGTAAGTAAAATTTACAAAACGGTACAATCTTTTAATATTGGCTCCACAGATCTATTTAAGTACAACCATAGTCTAAAATAATTTTTCATTTTGCATGATGTATTAAAGACTTTCAGTATTGTAGTACTGATTTTTTAATGCAGTCTTAACTTTTTTAATGCTTTAAGTTAAGCATGAATGTACTCATAGGAACCTACAAGCTAGTATATCAACCTACCCCCATAAATTTGCAATTAGAAAAGAAAAATACATCAAGAAATATTTCAAATGATGATATACTGTAACCACAGACAGAACCAAGTAAACAAATGGAATTACATTCTTTCTCACCAACGACAAATAGCTTTGTTTTTGAAGCTGTTTTTAGTTAGAATGTCTTAAATTCAGACCAGCTTTAACACTCTGAAAACTCAATGGAAACAAATATGAACCAAGCCTGCATAGGGACAGGTCAGCAAGTCACACATCAGTAAACACTTCTTATGCTTAATTTTTAAAAATTGCTTTCCGCTGAATCCTTTAAACTCCTTCCTTGCACTCTTGATTCAGAAAGGCTTGAGTCGGCTGGACCCGTGGCTCACGCCTGTAATCCCAGCACTCTGGGAGGCCGAGGTGGGCGGATCACCTGAGGTCAGAAGTTCAAGACCAGCCTGACCAACATGGAGAAACCCCGTCTCTACTCAAAATATAACATTAACCGGGCGTGATGGCGCATGCCTGTAATCCCAGCTACTAGGGAGGCTGAGGCAGGAGAATCGCTTGAATCCAGGAAGCGGAGGTTGCGGTGAACCGAGATCGCGCCTTTGCACTCTAGACTGGGCAACAAGAACGAAACTCCGTTTCAAAAAAAAAAAAGGCAGGGGGGCTTGAGTCTAAATTAGATCGATTTACTATCACATCCACAGCTCCACTCATAAGGTAAAAAGTTGTGTTTTCCACCAGAATGCAAAAATCTAATTGCTTCTCACTTCCTGAAACTAGTAGGGGTTATCATGAAGTTACTATGCCATGAGTATTCCTTGTATTGTTTATCACTAACCGATAAGTTTCATCTAACTTCCCATTTTTGTCTCATACTTATCATTTTCTATAAATAAAATACTGCTGAATGAATTACTTATCTTAGCATTGATCCTGAAGGCGGCATGGAAACCTTTCTCCAGCTCACCCACTTTGACCCTCAAAGGCCTCCTGGCCTCATCATCTCCCAAAACTATAATAATTAGATGGCTCTGCTCTTTACCATTTTCCCCTGAACCTAAGTGAACTTGGCTTTCTTCAGTTTCTGCGTGTTCGCCCATTCCCAATTAATCTTGCCACGTTTATCCCAAATCCCTGCCTCTTTATCCCCGTGGTGAATGTTCCCTCGCCCCCTGTGCCTCTGGGTTTGTCAATATCCACAGCCCTTTAAAAATCGCATTCCAAATATGCACTGAGTACCTAAACCTGATCTTCGAAACCAAACTGCGCCTCCCACTTCACCAAGAATCTGATCAGGACCCTCCCTCTTTCCCAACCACTCCCGGCACAGCTTTCTCTCTTGCTACGGATTCCCAACTTTCAGCTCCACCTTTGCTTCCCAATTCGGCCGACAAAACTTCGGGCCATTTGCTCCGCTCTCCTGAATTTCTCCGCAGTCCTCTCCTGGGCGCCGCGCTCCTTCCCGCCCTGCCCGCGCGGCCGCCACCGCGACCGCGGCCACCAGCAGCTCCAACCCAGACCTCCAGCGCCCCCGCCCCTCCTTCCCGAGACCACTGGCAGCCGTTGGCGCGCTGGACCCCGCGGCAATCACCTTCTTCCTCCGCCATCGTTTCTGCGAAGGCTAGGGCGCCCTGCGGCTCCCGCGCGGCCCAGACTCTCCCTCCCTCCGCGTCGCCGAACCCCTCGGCCTCCGGGGGCCCGCTCCTGGCCGCCGCGCCCCCACTTCCTGACCCACCCCCCTCCGGTGTCGCCGCCAACCGCGTCCCCGCAGGCGGCCCGGGAACCAGAGTGTTGGGAGAGGGGAGCGGCCGGAGCGTTTCGCTGGGGCGCCGGGGCCTGCGCGGGCAGGAAGGAGACTCCACGCCGGGAGTGCAGCCCACAGCTGTAGCTCCTGGCCGCCGCCTGCCCTGGAAAGCGAGACTGGTGGGTCTCGCTGCAGCCCCGCCCCTCGTCCTACTCTTCCCAAAAAGTGAGGGCATGCTTTCCGCCACTTTTGTGACTCCGCGACTTAGCGAGTCAGAGACGATCATCAGCGACACCTCCCAGGTCCAGCCTCCATTCCCGCCCCATTTTACATGGAGGAAACTCAGATCTAATGTGGTGGAAGTCACAAAGCCGGTCAGAGGCAGAAGTGGAACCCGGTGCTCCAGAACTGCCATCGCTGCCTGCGTTCTCGCTGGGATTTCAGAGTGCAGCAGCAAAACGTTCTCAGTTGGCGCTTTGGTTTCGTAGGCCACTTGACCATTACAAGAAAGAAGCTTGTGCTTGGAACTTGTTTTAAATCACCAAAACTGGTTTAGCAAATATGTTGCATTTCATGATATTCTGGGGGGGGGGGCGGGGAGATAATACAATGGTCTGGGGTAGAGCAGTGTGCAATTAGATATTACAGAGCAATAGGGAATAATTTTAATTTGTTAAACTGTGTTTAACTTTCATTATATCTAGCATTCTTCAACAAACACCGGGATCTTTTCCCCAACAGTACTCAGAAGTAAATTTAGTAAATGAAATATACCCATTTTAGATCGGGAGAAACAGGCACGAGAATTCACTGAAGTCATGGGGTAATTATGGACACCCCATTATTAGCAGGCAGCAAGATTCTCCTAATAGCACCTTTAAGTTAGGATATTTGGGGAGAGGCTATCATTTTTCAGTGATGTGCAGAAACGGTTCCAGGAACTTTTTTTTTTTTTTTTTGAGACAGAGTCTCGCTCTGTCGCCCAGGCTGGAATGCAATGACTCGATCTAGGTTCACTGCAACCTCCGCCTCCCAGGTTAAAGCGATTTTCGTGCCTCGGCCTTCCCAGTAGCTGGGACTACAGGCGCAAGCCACCACTTAATTTTCATATTTTTAGTAGAGATGGGATTTCACCATGTTGGTTGGCCAGGCTAGTCTCCAACTCCTGGCCTCAAGTGATCCGCCCACCTTGGCCCCCCGAAGTGCTGGGTTTACAGGTGCCCACCACCACGCCCGGATAATTTTTTGTACTTTTAGTAGAGAAGTGGAGGGGTGTGGTTTCACCATGTTGCCCAGGCTGGTCTTGAAATCCTGACCTCAAGTGATCCACCGGCCTCAGCCCCACAAAGTGCTGGGATTACAGGCATGAGCTACCACGCAGGGCCTCCAGGAACTCTTTTTATGTCTGGTTCCCCGTAAAGATGTTTTTTGCCTTAAAACAACACTTTACCAGGAGTTAGAAACAGTGGACCAGAAAAGGCCTGGTGCCAGAGCCAAGAGAGCACAGAATATAAGGACCCTGAAAACCACAGGATATGGTAGGGTCCCTGGACATGAGCAACAGTACCTGAGTATGCTGCTTATCAGATCAGCTGACTGAAAGAGCTGCACCTCTTGGAAAACATATAGTAGCTATTGAGGTCTGCTGTTTTCTAAGTCTAGAGTCTTAATATCCTACAGTTTCTTCACGGTCACCTCAAGTTGACTAATGGACTAAATTTTAAGTTTGCCTGACCTCTACAATAACAGGGGAAAGAAAAATGATAGAAAAAAAATAGCTTCTTAAAATAACAAATGGAAATATAAGATAAGATAGAGATAATTATGCCCTAGTAGAAACATTCTTCTCTTGAACCCTAAAAACCCACATTAGGGCCGGGCACGGTGGCTCATGCCTGTAATCCCAACACTTTGGGAGGCTGAGGCAGGTGGATCACCTGAGGTCAGGAGTTCGAGACCAGCCTGACCAACATGGAGAAACCCCATCTCTGCTAAAAATACAAAATTAGCCGGGCGTGGTGGCGCATGCCTGTAATCCCAGCTACTCGGGAGGCTGAGGCAGGAGAATTGCTTGAACCTGGGAGGTGGAGGTTGCGGTGAGCCGAGATCATGCCATTGCATTCCAGCCTGGGCAACAAGAGCGAAACTCCATCACACAAAACAAACAAACAAAAAACACATAAGGATAATGAGAGTGGAGCATCTTATTCTCAAACCAGTGTAATCTTACTGTGAGAAAAATAGGCTGTTTTTATTAAAAATCTATATTTCATTCAAGAAGAATTAGAACCTGAACTACTCAAGATGTTGCCTTGCAGCAGGCATTACAGCTGAGTTTTCAGTAGGCCATTTCCTAATTCCTAAGGCCAGCTGTTTCCAGATGGCTAGTGGACATATGGTTGTAAGATGATTTCAGACGATACTCTGATTGTTTTATCACTGCAAAACCATGGGCTGCTAGTTTCTTATGCAAGATGTGAAGGAGCATTTCATTACATTTTGCGTCACCCTGACCAGTCCTAAAGAACCCAAATTTTCCCAAATTGTCTTTTACTTATGAGCTATTCAAAGAGCCGTGTGATTTTCCGCCTTCTCTAGAAGTTTGAGGACCTCTTCTCTATGCAATGGATATTTTAAGGACATAATGTGAAATGTTCTTTGTTTTAAAAAGTTAAGTCTTTAGCAAATGTAGTTTAGGAGGCTTTTATAGTAAACTGAGTAAGAAAATAAAGGCCTGGTATGAGGCAATGAAAATAAAAATGTTCAAAGAGAATGAATTCAAAAGATGCTGGAAATGAAATCTACAGGGCCTGATGACAAATTGGATGTGATAAATGATGAGTCGAACATGATTTCTGATATTTCCATCTTGAAATTAATCATGTGCTTTCCATGTTCCCAGGAAAAAGTGCTGCCAAGATGTAAGAACAATATAAAACAGAAGGCCTTAAAACTTCTCTACTTGAAACCAAAAAAATACATGCAGTCTATTTTTAAAACATTCTTCTGAGGCTGATCGAGGTGGCTCATGCCTGTAATCCCAGCTTTTTGGGAGGCCAAGGCCGGCAGATCGCTCGAGCCCAGGAGTTCAAGACCAGCCTTGGCAACATGGTGAAGCCCCGCCACTACTAAAAAATACAAAAAATAGCTGGGCATGGTGGCGTGCACCTGTAGTTCCAGCTACCTGGGAGGCTGAGGTGGGAGGATCACCTGAGCCAAAGAGGTTGAGGCTGCAGTGAGCTGTGATCAAGCCACTGCACTCAAGCCTGGCTGAGAATGAGACCCTGTCAAAAAAACAACAGCAGCAAAAAAACAAAAAACAAGAAACATTATTCTGGCATATGCTTCACCTCATTAGTAGTAAAAGAACATAATTAGTTAGAAATCCTTGTGTCGGTTCAGCTTCTATGAAAGATATGGAATTGTGTTTCATCTTTATTATGTAATAAAATATTAATTATCTGTTGATTAAAATCTTTTTTTTTTTTTTGAGACGGAGTCTCACTCTGTCATCTAGGTTGGAGTGCAGTGGTTCGATCTCGGCTCACTGCAACCTCTGCCTCCCGGGTTCAAGCAATTCTCCTGTCCCAGCCTTCCGAGTAGCTGGGACTACAGGTGCCTGTCACCACGCCCAGCTAAGTTTTTTCTATTTTTAGTAGAGATGGGGTTCACCTGTCCCAGCCTCCTGAGTAGCTGGGACTACAGGTGCCTGTCACCACTCCCAGCTAAGTTTTTTCTATTTTTAGTAGAGATGGGGTTTACCACGTTGGTCAGGCTTGTCTCGAACTCCTGACCTCAGGTGATCCGCCCACCTTGGGCTCCCAAGTGGCTCCTGCCTGTAATCCCGGTGGCTCATGCCTGTAATACCAGCATTTTGGGAGGCGGAGGCGGGCGGATCACCTGAGGTCAGGAGTTCAAGACCAGCCTAGCCAACATGGCAAAACCCCGTCCCTACTAAAAATAAAAAAATTAGCTGGGCGTCATGGCAGACGCTTGTAGTCCCAGCTACTCGGGATGCTGAGGCAGGAGAATCGCTTGAACCCGGGAGGCAGAGGCTTCAGTGAGCCAAGATCGTACCACTGCACTCCAGCCTGGGTGACAGAGCAAGACTCTGTCTCAAAAAAAAAAAAAAAAAAAAAAAAAGGCCAAGCAAGGTGGCTCACACCTGTAATCCCAGAAATTTGGGAGGCCGAGGTGGGCGGATCACCTGAGGTCAGGAGTTCAAGACCAGCCTGGCCAACATGGTGTAACCCTGTCTCTACAAAAAAACACAAGAATTACCTGGGCGTGGTGTGAGTGCCTATAGTCCCCGCTGCTCAGGAAACTGAGGCAGGAGAATCTCTTGAACCTGGGAGGCGGAGGTTACAGTGAGCCAAAATATGCCACTGCACTCCAGCCTGGGTAACAGAGCGAGACTCCATCTCAAAAAAAAAAAAAAAAAAGCATTCTATTTAAATATTCTTGAATTGGATATATTAGATGTTTTAGGACATTTTCTTTATTTCTTTTTTTTTGAAATAGGGTCTCATTTTGTTGTCAAGGCTGGAGTGCACATGTGCAATCATGGCTCACTGTAGCCTTGACCTCCCAGGCTCAGGTGATCCTCCCACCTCAGCCTCCCAAGTAGCTGGGACTACAGACACACGCCACCACGCCCAGCTAATTTTTCTGCGTGTGTGTGTGTGTGTGTGTGTGTGTGTATTTTTCTGAATATAGACATATTCTGTGTGTGTATATATAAAATATACATATATACATATATAAAATATACGCATATACATTACATATATATATTTTTTTGTAGAGACATGGTTTCACCATGTTGCCCAGGCTGGTCTTGAACTCTTGGGCTCAAGCAATCCACCCTCCTTGGCCTCCCAAAGTGCTGGAATTAGAGGCATGAGCCACTGCACCTGGTCAGGACATTTTTTTGAAAAACAAATTTTCTTATAGTTAAAAACTACTCTAGGTAGAGATTTTTGATCAACTTGGTCATATGAAGCAATACTCATAAAGCAAAACATCATTGGAACTAAGTGGCCTGTTATCAAGTTTGTCCCAGGCAAAGAAAACATAGGTTGCTGACTTTGTACCAAGACTCTTGCCTCTCTTCTTTCAGATAGTAAGCCCTTTAAATATTTGTGAATTATATTAGGGTTTCCAGATAAAAAATTCAGGACACTTTAGTATGAGCATGTCCCATGCAATATTTGGGACATGCTTATACCAAAAATGATTTGTTATTTATCTGAAATTTCTATGTAATTGAATATCCTGGGTTTTGTTTTGGTTTGGTATTTTGTTTTTGCTAACTCGAACAACCCTATTTATAGAGATTGAGACTGCCACATTAGAAGACACCTACCTGCTATTAATTGCACTTAGGCCTTCTTGGTATGTGTAAATGGTGGATTAAATACTTTCTTATTTTGAAAAAGGGATGCAATTGGATAGCAGGTGGACTCTGAGTACCTCAATTCAGTTAATTCAGAAAAAAATCTGCTATTCCTAAAGCCCTGACAGATGAAGTTGTTTCTGCTGTTTTTCCACCCTACAAAGAGCTTAGGCCAGACCTGGATGCTCAGGCCAGATCCAGTGCAGTCCTGGAGCTGTCCCTGAAGTACTCTTCAGCCAGACAGCCACTGCAGATCATTTACTAGGCATGTCCAGACTGATGCATCGAGGATGCATCACATTCCAAATTGTAGGTATCTTAAAAGCAAAGGAGCACAATGATTTTTGGAAAAAAAAGTTTTCTACCAAATTTGTGACATCACTATAAAAATGTATGTGTATAGAGGGGAACAACACACACTGGGGCCTTTCAGAGGGCGGAGGGTGGGAGGAGGGAGAGGATCAGGAAAAATAACTAATGGGTACTAAGATAAATACCTGGGTGATGAAATAATCTGTACAACAAACCCCCATGACACAAGTTTACCTGTGTTACAAACCTGCACTTGTACCCCTGAACTTAAAAGTTAAAAAAAAGTATGTGTAACATGGAAACTACTATGACATTTCTTTTTCTTTTTTTAAATACAGTAAAGGCTGGCTCAAGTGCCGTGGTGTTCACAACTAATTGATCACAACCAGTTACAGATTTGTTTCTTCTCCATTCACACTGCTTCACTTGACCAGTCTAAAATAAATACAGTTAAAAAACATCAATTTCCCATCAATTATAATATGATTTAAAAACAGAACAAATTTTAAATCCTGTTAGAATCCTGGATGGCACCTTGGCTGAGAATAGAAACCTGAAAAGCCAACAGCATGATGTGTCCAGTAGATGGCAGACGCAGCCAAAATCATAATGTAGAGGTACATTTCATACCAAACTGTCTTCTTTGTGCACTTAAGTGAAAAAGTGACTCTTTGAATTTATATTCCCATGTAAAAGCATACCATTAATAATTAGATTACCACTAACATTTTAAAAATTGACAAAATGGTGCTAAAGAAACATAATATTGGCCGGGTGCGGTGGCTCATGCCTGTAATCCCATCACTTTGGGAGGCTGAGGCAGGTGGATCACCTGAGGTCAGGAGTTCGGGACCAGCCTGGCCAAAATGGTAAAACCCCCTCTCCACTAAGAGTACAAAAAATTAGCCAGGCGTGGTGGTGGGCGCCTGTAATCCCAGCTACTCTGGAGGCTGAGGCAGAATTGCTTGAAGCCGGGAGGCAGAGGTTGCAGTGAGCTGAGATCGTGCCATTGCACTCCAGCCTGGGCAATAAGAATGAAACTCCCTCTCAAAAAAAAAAAAAAAAAAAAGACAGAAACATAGTATGTGCTATTTAGCAACATTTACATTTATAAAAATTCTTTAAAAAAAACATATAGAATCGGCCAGGCGTGGTAAAAAAAAAAAAAAAAAAAACATATAGAATCAGCCGGGTGTGGTGGCTCACGCCTGTAATCCCAGCACTTTGGGAGGCTGGGGCAAAAGGATCAGGAGGTCAGGAGTTCGAGACCAGCCTGGCCAACATACTGAAACCCTGTCTCTACTAAAAATACAAAAATTAGCTGGGCTTGGTGGCACATGCCTGTAGTCCCAGCTACCCAGGAGGCTAAGGCAGGATAAATGGCTTGAACCTGGGAGGCAGAGGTTGCAGTGAGCCGAGATTGGGCCACTGCACTCCAGCCTGGGCAACAGAGTGAGACTCTGTCTAAAGAAAAAAAAAAAAAAAATATATATATATATATATAAATATATACATATAAAATCACATTAGTTTCCACATGAAGGAATAAATATAAATTTATTAATTCAGCAAATATTGTATATATCTTAAGCACTGACTAGTCACTAGTGAGGAACAAGAAACACACTGCCATTAACGATATGGGAAGCTGGTTACAGGGAGACCTTACTGTGAGCCTATTTCATCAGGAAACGTCTTCCTTAGGAAGATTTCTTTTTGTTTGTTTGTTTGTTTATTTTGAGACGGAGTCTTGCTCTGTTGCCCAGGCTGGAGTGCAGTGTCACGATCTTGGTTCACTGCAACCTCCGGCTCCCAGGTTCAAGAAATTCTCCTGCCTCAGCCTCCAGGGTAGCTGGGATTACAGGTGCTCACCACCACGCACGGCTAATTTTTCTATTTTTAGTAGAGACAGGGTTTCACTATTTGGCCAAGATGGTCTTGAACTCCTGACATCAAGTGATCCTCCTGCCTCGGCCTCCCAAAGTGCTGGGATTACAGGGATGAGCCACCGCGTCTGCCCAGGAAGATAAGATTTCTAAGTGGGCAACAGTTAAGAGAGAGATAGCAGAAAAAAATGTTTCAGGTAGAGGAAACAGACAAAGGTGTATCACTCCCACACAAACAATTGGAAAATGTATCACAGAATATAGAGCATGAGGGGAAAAAGTGCCTTGCAAGAAAGCAACAGAGGAAGGCTGGAATCAGCTTATGCAATGTCATGCAGGATGTACATGAATGGCTTTTTCCCACAGCAAATGGGAAGCTATTAAAAGGTTCCAAGAGCACATGATCAGATCTGTGTTTTTAATTTTAAAAATTATTTAAAACATACTTCCAATAGACAGGAACAAAATTTGATGCATGGAGTTCAATATTAAGGCAAAACATGGGTGAGATATTATTGTCTAGGATGATGAAGGAGAGGAGGTTAAGAATGACCTCCTGGGCTGGGTGCCGTGGCTCACGCTTGTAATCCTAGCACTTTGGGAGGCAGAGAGGGGTGGATCACCTGAGGTAAGGAGTTCGAGACCAGCCTGGCCAACATGATGAAACCCCGTCTCTACTAAAAATACAATAACCAGCCGAGTGTGGTGGCAGGCGCCTGTAATCCCAGCTACTCAGGAGGCTGAGGCAGGAGAATCGCTTGAACCCGGGAGGCAGAGGTTGCAGTGAGCTGAGGTAGCACCACTGCACTTCAGCCTGGGTGACAGAGCGAGACTCTGTCTCTAATAATAATAATAATAATAATAATAATAATAATAATAATAATAATAAAGAATGACCTCCTGGGCCAGGTGCAGTGGTTCATGCCTGTAATCCCAGCACTTTGGGAGGCTGAGGTGGATGAATCACCTATGGTCAGGAGTTTGAGACTAGTCTGGCCAACATGGTGAAACCCCGTCTCTACTAAAAATACAAAAATTAGCTAGACGTGGTGGCATGCACCTGTAATCCCAGCTACTCCGGAGGCTGAGGCAGGAGAATCACTTGAACCTGGTAGGCAGAGGGTGCAGTGAGCCGAGGTCGCGGCACCGTACTACAGCCTGGGCTACAGATGGAGACTCCGTCTCAAAAAAAAAAAAAAAAAAAAAAAGAATGATCTCCTTAAGACCTGGCAGTATATGGTGCTGGTTAGTGAAGTAAAAAGAACCCAGAAAGCAGCAGGATTTTGGATGTGGCAAGATAAGTTCCATTTTAAGCATGTTGGGTTTGAAATGCATGGGACACATCCAGATGGAAATGTCCATTACAGTGCTGGGTAGAGGAGTCTATAGATCCACAGAGGAGTGTGGTAATAAATGAATGAATTTGCCCAGAGAGAATGAATAGATGAAGATGACTGAGGATAGAACCATGATTAACACCAATCATGTAGGAAAGAATGAATCACAAAGGAGGCTGAGAACCAGAACAAGTTGAGTATTTTACATTGATCTTTAAAAATGTTTGTAGTATTGACTCTGCTAAGTTTCAAAAGGGTTTCAGTTATAAGACACTAGCTCAAATTCAAGTGTAAAACAAGCAGATTTATTATCCATGTATCAGCATTCACTTTTAGAATAGCAACAATATAAAGCAACTGCCAAATTAATGGCAAGCTGGATATAAAGTAAAAAGGCAGACCAAAGGAGCACTAGAAGCCCTACTCTGATGCTGTAAACAAATGAGCTGTATTTATGCAATGTTAGGAAAAGAGCCAGAGTAGATGAAGGAGCACCTAGGAGAGTACTAACTACATTGACCAGTCTTCAAGTCTACTTCTCTTCCAGATCCCTTCATTTTTTTTTTGTTGTTGTTGTTTTTGAGATGGAGTCTCACTCTCGTTGCCCAGGCTGGAGTGCAGTGGCATAATCTCAGCTCACTGCAACCTCTGCCTCCCGGGTTCAAGAGATTCTCCTGCCTCAGCCTCCCGAGTAGCTGGGATTACAGGTGTGTGCCGCCACGCCTGGCTAATTTTTATATTTTTGGTAGAGACAGGGTTTCACCATGTTGGTCAGGCTGGTCTCAAACTGCTGACCTCAGGTGATCCACCTGCCTCAGCCTCCCAAAGTGTTGGGATTACAGGCATGAGCCACTGCCTGTGTGGATGTTTGTCCCTTCCAGATGTCACGTTGAAATGTGATTCCCAATGTTGGAGGTAGGGCCTGGTGGGGGGTGATTGGATCATGGGAGCAGATGCCTCCTGAATGATTTAGTACCATCCCCTTGGTGATAAGTGAGTTCTCAGTTCATTTGAGATCTGGTTAAGAGTCTGGGGCTGGGCAAGGTGGCTCATGTCTGTAATCCCAGCACTTTCAGAGGCTGAGGTGGGAAGATCGCTGGAACTCAGAAGTTCAAGACCAGCCTGAGAAACATGGCAAAACCCGATCTCTTAAAAAAAAAAAAACAGAAAAAAAACCAACAACAACAACAACAAAAAAAACGGCTGGGTGCGGTGGCTCACGCCTGTAATCCCAGCACTTTGGGAGGCTGAGGCGGGTGGATCACCTGAGGTCGGGAGTTTGAGACCAGCCTGACCAACATGGAGAAACCCCGTCTCCACTAAAACTACAAAAAAAAAAATTAGCCAGGCATGGTGGCTCATGCCTGTAATTCCAGGTACTTGGGAGGCTGAGGCAGGAGAATCGCTTGAACCCAGGAGGCGGAGGTTGCGGTGAGCCGAGATTGTGCCATTGCACTCCAGCCTGGGCAACGAGTGAAACTCCTTCTCTAAATAAATAAATAAATAAATAAATAAATAAATAAATAAAGCTGGGATGGTGGCACGTGCCTGTAGTCTCCCAGCTACTTGGGATGCTGAGGTGGGAGAATCGTCTCAGCCTGGGAAATTGAGGCTACAGTGAGCCATGATTGCGCCACTGCACTTTTGCATGGGCAACAGAGCAACCTTTTCTAAAACAAACAAAACAAAAGGAATGCCACATAATAGCTACCATGGCAAAACTGGATGAGTCTGTAATGTTACCCAACATGCTGTTGGCATTGTTATAAACAAGGATAAGATTCTTGCCAATAGAATCAGTGTGTGTATTGAGCATATTAACCACTCTAAGAGCTGAGATAGCCTCCCGAAATGCATGAAGGAAAATGATCAGAAAAGGAAGCCAAAGAGAAAGGTACCGGGGTTCAACTGAAGCACTAGCCCACTCCACCCAGAGCAGCACACTGTGTGAGAACCAATGGAAAAAAGCCTGGGCTCCTGGAACCTATGAATTCATGGCATTATAGTAACAGATGTAAAAAAGTGGGACGTCGACTGGGCGCGGTGGCTCACGCCTGTAATCCCAGTACTTTGGGAGGCTGAGGTGGGCGGATCACAAGGTCAGGAGATCAAGACCATCCTGGCTAACATGGTGAAACCCCATCTCTACTAAAAATACAAAAAATTAGCCCGGCGTGGTGGCGGCTGCCTGTAGTCCCAGCTACTCGGAGGCTGAGGCAGGAGAATGGCATGAACCTGGGAGGCGAGCATGCAGCGAGCCGAGACCACGCCACTGCACTCCAGCCTGGGCGACAGAGCAAGACTCCATCTCAAAAAAAAAAAAAAAAAAAAAAAAAGTACATGGATGTTCATTCTGTCTACTTTTGTTTTCCTCGACAGCTGGAGAATGCAGGGAGAGGAAGAGTATACACATAAGAGGTGGAACTTTAAGGTTCTTCCACATATCCCAGTCCTCTTTTCCCTCATTCTCCCATCCTTCCTCATCACCCTTACTCCACTTCCTTCTGCCAATTTTCTTTTCTGCATGAAGAGAGCAGCTGTACCAGGTGCTGTACCAAGATGAATAACACTAGCTTTGCTCAGGCAACTTTGATTCTACTTAAGGTAGGTAACAGCCTGAAAAACATGAAATGCCTACCAGAGATATTAGAGCAAGGAAAACTTGGGTGAGGACTCCAGCTTATCTAGAGAACTTTACTATACGTGATGGCAAAGACCAAAAGTATTAATATAAAATGGCTTCATTCTTATAAGGTGATGTTGGCAAGGACTAGGGCTGAAAGACTTTCCTGGGTTAACTAAGCTACACTCAATGAATGCTTATGAAGAACATACTGGGTGAACAGAAATATAGACATTTGATGTAAATGTCATGAAAAGAAAAAAAGTGCTAGACATTGAGGGAAATAAAGGTACAGCATAATCCCTGCCCTTGGGGTTAGAATCTAATTTCAGAACTGAAACATACTAACAACAGAGTTTGCATGTCAAGTGATACTGATAATATATGTTGCTATAAAACGTTAGAAATTTTTTTTTTTGAGATGGAGTCTTGCTGTATCACCCAGGCCAGAGTGCAGTGGCATGATCTCGGCTCACTGCAACCTCTGCCTCCCGGGTTCAAGCGATTCTCCTGCCTCAGCCTCCCAAGTAGCTCGGACTACAGGCACCTACCACCGCACCTGGCTAATTTTTGTAGTTTTAGTAGAGATGGGGTGTCATCATCTTTGGCCAGGCTGGTCTTGAACTCCTGACCTCGTGATCCACCTGCCTCAGCCTCCCAAAGTGCTAGGATTACAGGTGTGAGCCACCATGCCAGGCCATCTTGAGTAGATTTATCACTGGTAGCTTTTATACATAAGTTTAGAGAAAAACCCTACCACCATCTTAGGAAGAGATGGCTTATCTATGTACTTCCATCAGTACAATTCTTCTAATAACAAAACAAAAAAAAAATCGCAAACATTGAGATTAAACAGGCAAGTTTTATTATCAAATGTTAACTCTACAAAAACTCAGTAGTATTGTAGTAAGCATTACTGCCTATCTTAAAGTCTTTCAGAGCTTTGGGCAGCTTTGGGCATCTTAAGGCATCAAGTATACAGAAATTTCTTTTCGATCTTAAGTGCCAGTTATCACCAATTTTCACACAAACCTTTTTTTTTTTCTTCCTATTGCAGTTAAAGGGCCATTGCCAGTCAGCTGAAGAAGGAAATGTTTGCTTCTCCCTTTAAGGTGTTAAAGTAATGCACAGAAAATAAAAATAGCAGCCTCATAAATCTGCACGGCATTGCATTCAAGCAAAGGACAATATGAGTAACTTAGAGAAATATCCACATTCAATGCACTTAATGAAATCCTGTTTTCTTTGGAGTTACATGAGGCAGCAGTACTAGCTAGTGTCTAATATTGCACTTTTATAGCATAAACACAGCTAAACATAGTGTTAAACACTGACAGCATCAGTACCTGTTCTAATTGCATCAGTGTTTACCTCTCAGTCTAGCATGCTGACTATAGTCCTATGCTTTAAAAGGTTATAATTATTTGACAGTTAAGGCATTAGAGGAAAAAGGTTTAAGGCTATCATAATATATATAAGCATTCACTTCTGTTCAGTTAGTGTATTGTTTTCTAGAATACACTGTTCAAATTGTCTCACTTCTGGGATATTAAAAACTATGGAATTTCTCTTATTAAAGTCCAAACCATCAATAATGAAAAAAGTACAATATAAAATAATACATATGAAGCCACAATATTCAATTACAGTTCAAACTAGAAATTACTAACTACATGTAGCTGCTTCATTTTTCGTTTTGCATTTTGGCCCCTAATTCATTATTTACAACTGATACCTGCTGAGAAAAAGATCCAAACTTTTAAACTTTGTATGTTTTGTGGAGGGTGCACAATTTCTTCTAATTTATCTTCAGGTGTTTTAAAATTTAATTTGTTTTTAATCATAAGATATCATCATGGCCAAGAGACTGGGAAAATAACAATTTTATTCTTTCTCCTAAGATTGTGATTTTATTATTCCAAGATCTTATGCTTGAATTACTTAGCAAGAAGGCATGATTATGCAGAAGACAGGGAAATGAAGAGAAAAGAGCGGGAATATACAAAAATGAAGCTTCCTTAACAGAGTTCATGGTGGAGATGGTAGACACTGGTGGAGTTTTTATCCAAGACTTAAAACTTAGGAAACACCTATGATGCCACTTTAACTGGAAGTAATGGAGACATCTGATTCCAAATTCACATTTTAAATGCCTATTTGCAATCAGCAAAGAGCCAGGTATGCTGCATGCTGCTTGCTGTAAGTTACGATTTGGCTTCACTAGCTCAAATTTTTTCACTCCACCAAAAGATAAGGCACAGGCCCGTTTGTCCAATCAAGTTTGCTGAAAATACTGCAGCCTGAGTGTAGACAAACTTCCCCTGAATTTGCTAGAAGTTTTCTTGTGTCTGGAGGTTTCAAGATCACCATACATCTTTCAAACACTGAAAAAAAAAAAAAAAAAAGTGAATAAAAGGAAATGTTATAGTCTCTAAATGTCATTCTCAGCAGCCACAAAAATGATTTCAAATTCCACAAGGACTTTGTGGAAAAAAAGCCTTAAGATGGTCCAAGTTATTATTTCACACAGACATAGTTGGCATTTACATGGCAAGGGCTTTGGGAGTACAGCACTAGCCAAGGAAGTTTCCATGGTTTACACAGTAGTTGGCGTTCTGCACCACTCCTACCCTTTGTAGTATCATGTGTTTAGTTTAACATGTATGGTTTCCGACTCCCTGCTCAGCTCAGCTCCTTTCTGGAGAGACTATTTCATTCATTCCTTAGAGGTTCAATATCATTACCAAAATAAACAAAACAATTTAGACAAAATTTTAAAGTTAAATTCTAGTATAAGAAATTCCAAATAATTTCTAAGACACTTAATAAGAAGCAATAAGGAGCCGGGCATGGTGGCTCATGCCTGTAATCCCAGCACTTTGGGAGGCTGAGGCAGGCAGATCACATGAAGTCAGGAGTCTGAGATCAGCCTGGCCAACATGGTGAAACCCCATCTCTACTAAAAATACAAAAATTAGCTGGGCGTAGTGGTGTGTGCCTATATTCCCAGCTATGTGGGAGGCTGAGGCAGGAGAATTGCTTTAACCTGGGAGGTGGAGGTTACAGTGAGCCAAGGTCATGCCATTGCACTCCAGCCTGGGCAACAGAGGGAGACTCTGTCTCAAAAAAAAAAAAAAAAAAAAAAAAAAAAAGCAATAAGGCATGACATAACAGCAAACATATGGGCTCTATATGCCTGTGACTAGTTGATGATTAGCACCTTTATATGGATCATGGATAAATTTATTTCATCCCCACATACAACCTTTTAGATTACCTTGTTATCCCCATTTTAGAGAAGGAAAAACTGAAGCACAGAATGATTAAGTTAGTAATGGGCAGATGCAGGATTTAAACTAATACAGATTGGTTCCACTATGTTATTTTACTTATATACCATACAACCTTAAAATAAGAACTTTTAGTAGGCATTATATATTGTTTTGAAACAGGGTCTAGCTCCATCACCCAGGATGGAGTATGGAGTGATATGATCCAATCATAGCTCACTGCAGTTTTTTTTTTTTTTTTTTTTTTTTTTTCAAAAAGAGATGGTGCCTTGCATTGTCACCCAGGCTGGAGTACAGTGGTGAGATCAGAGCTCGTTGCTGCCCCAAATTCCTGGGCTCAAGGTATCCTCCACCTCGGCCTCCTGAACAGCTGGGACTACAGGCACACCACTATATCCAGCTAATTTTCAAATTGTTTGTAAAGACAGATTCTCACCATCCTGACCAGTCTGGTCTCAAACTCCAGGCCTCGAGCAATCCTCCTGCCTTGACCTCTCAAAGTGCTGAGATTACAAGTGTGAGTCACAACACCTGGCCCTAGGCTAAATAAAAGAGATATATATATATTTTAGAGATGGGGTCTCCCTATGTCGTCCAGGCTAGTCTCAAACTCAGCCTCAAGTGTTCCTCTTGCCTGGCATTCTAAAGTACTGTAAAGTGCTGAGATTACATGTGTGAGCCACCACACATGGCCATTATGCATACTTTGACATGTAAATGAAAAACAGGAATGTTTTAGACTTCAGTCTTATTTCATATGGCCAGTATGAAATGTCTAATGGAGTTTTACTGCTTAACAATGAAACTGAAGACTCCTAACTGCTAGCAAAAAAAAAAAAAAAAGTCTCAGAAGCACATGAAGATTAATTTATTTCAAGATTAAATCTGCCTTAATAACATAGATTCTACAAATGGTACAAATCTAATATCAGGTATTTAAAAAACATGGAAATATTGGTTAGGATGCATCTTTTAAATGTGGTTTCCAAAGTGACCACAATTTGGCACTCAGTTTAAAATACCACATGCTGAAAGGCTTCTCCTTTGACACTAAATTCAGATAAGAAAATCAATGACCCAACACTATTGATCAGTATCTATTTTACCCCTCTTTTGGCAGTAGCACCTGAATTGAAAACAACTGCCCCATCACCTAATCTCAAGCCCCTAAGAGGCAGTTTTACCACTGAGCCAAACAAGGGGCCCAGACATGGCCAGTTAGAGCCCTGCATATCCCAGGTCATTGTGGTTTTAGGATGAACGTAAGCCAGGCCAGTGAAGGCCAAGTGTTGCTAGGGGTATCTCAGAGAGTGAGTTTGGATGAGCAAACCCTTGGATCCAGCTACATCAGTCAACCCTGGGACTGTCAGTTATTAGAGTCAGTGAGTACCAACTTCTTCATTCCTATCACATTTATACTAGGAAATAGCATCTTTGTAGATGCTGAAAATTAAGCCTTCATATTCTGATAAAATGTGGAAATGCCAGGAAAAGTTAAAGTTAAACGTTTAGCCTTCTCGAACCGTTTTTTAATGCCAGTGGAGTTTGACTGTGTAACAATGAAACTGAGGCCAGGAGCGATGGTTTATGCCTGTAATCCCAGCACTTTGGGAAGGTGAGGCGGGCAGATCATGAGGTCGAGATGGAGACCATCCTGGCCAACATGGTGAAACCCTGTCTCTACTAAAAATAATAAATAAGCTGGGAGTAGCGGTGTGTGCTTGTAGTCCCAGCTACTCGGGAGGCTGAGGCAGGAGAATCGCTTGAACCCGGGAGGTGGAGGTTGCAGTGAGCCGAGATTGCGCCACTGTACTTCAGCCTGGGGATAGAGCAAGACTCTGTCTCAACAACAACAACAACAACAAAAAGAAACTGCAGACTCCTAACTGCTAGCAAAAAAAAAAAAAAAACAATCAATCTCAGAAGGAGATAATGTTTCCTCTTCCCGTTTAGCTATAGCAAACAAAGTTGAGAATTACAACTGCAGACATTTACAAATCTGATTTCCCTTTCAAATAAGATCTGTGTTAAAACATGTTTTTATTTTGTAATACACTGTCATTAAAGTATTACATACAAAGAAGTCTTTAAAGATATCTGGATTTCACCACTGGTGCTATATGCTACAGAATGAACCTATAATCCCTTAAAAACCCTGCAATTCTACAGCCAGGCATGGTGGAGAACACCTATAATCTCAGCTACCAGGGAGGCTAAGGTAAAAGGCTCACTTGAAGGCTGGGCGTGGCGGCTCACACCTATAATCCCAGCACTTTGGGAGGCCGAGGCAGGCGGATCACGAGGTCAGGAGATTGAGACCATCCTGGCTAACATGGTGAAACCCCATCTCTACTAAAAATACAAAAAATTAGCTAGGCATGGTGGTGTGCGCCTGTAGTCCCAGCTACTCAGGAAACTATAAGTACTTCCTATGTGTTTTTACTGTTATTCTGGACTCAGATTATCTAAATGGAAAAAATAAGATCTTATAAAAAGTTTGTTCTTTTTAATCATCTTACACAAGAACTTGCAACATAAAGTTACAAAATGATCAAATACAGTTTTTATATTTTTTCATGTAATTAACTGGTAACCGTCCAGACAGAGGTAAATACTGTGTTATTTTTGCATAAAATTTCTCAGTAGGAATTTCTCATTATTTAGAAAGTTTATGTAATCTGAACTCTTTAGAACAGATCCTATGGAAGGCCTAGAAAACACACCTATCAAAAAAGCAAAGCCCTGTTGCTTAAGGCTGACAGTCCAATAACAAAAAAGGGAAAGATAACACTGATCTAAGTACTACACTCCAGCCTGGGTGACAGAGTGAGATTCCATCTCAGAAAAACACAAAAAAACCCTATGTCCCTATGATTATTATAATCATGACAGCAAAAGTTATGTATTAATATAAAACTTTAGTTTGTAAAACTTGTTTTCATTCATTAACTCTCGCTCTGTCGTCCAGGCTGGAGGGCAGTGGCACGATGACAGCTCACCGCAACCTCGACCTCCTGGGCTGAAGCCATCCTTCCACCTCAGCCTCCCGAGTAACTTGGACTACAGGCATGCATGACGACACCTGGCTATCTTTTAATTTTTTGTAGAGACGAGGTCTCACCACATTGCCCAGGCTATTCTTGAACTTCCAGGCTCAAGCAATCTTCCATGCACAGGCATAAGCTACCATGTACAAGCCAAAATATCATTAATAGATTTAAATTTGGGGGCTGACATTGCCTTTGAGACCTAACAGATACGAAACTTGGAACTTGGCCAGGCACAGTGGCTCATGCCGGTATCCCAGCCCTTTGGAAGGCTGTGGCAGAGAGACAGCTTGAACCCAGAAGTTCAAGACCAGACTGGGGCAACATAGTGAGACCTTGTCTCTATGGGGACAAAAAAAAGAAAAAAAAAAGAAAAAGAAAAAGAAGAAAGCAACTTGGAATGTAACAGTAACTGGAGAAAAACACCCTTTCTGGCGATCTGAGGAAGCATTTCTTCCAGCCCGACACCCAATCTCCTTCCCAGAAAGGCTTGTGGGCATCTTGAATGGTTAAATGAAGCATATCTCCACTGATTCAGTGGGATAGTCAACGTGTGTTGGCTGGGTTGATGGGACAAGGCAAGAGAAGACAGAATAGTGTGACTTCTTTACCAGACCTCGCTGTGGGTGTTAGCTTTCTTTACCTGATCCTATAGCCAGCCATGAGATCAATCGCTCAATTCTTTTTTTTTTTTTTTGAGATGGAGTCTTGCTCTGTCGCCCAGGCTGGAGTGCAGTGGCGTGATCTCAGCTCACTGCAACCTCCACCTCCCAGGTTCAAGCAATTCCCCTGCCTCAGCCTTCTGAGTAGCTGGGATTATAGGCACACACCACCACACCCAGCTAATTTTTTTCTATTTTTAGTAAAGACAGGGTTTCGCCACGTTGGCCAGACTGGTCTCGAACTCCTGACCTCAGATGATCCACCTGCTTCAGCCTACCAAAATGCTGGGATTACCGGCATGAGCAACCGCACCCGGCCCTCTTAACACACACACACACACACACACACACACACATACACACACACACACATTTTTTTTTGAGTCGGAGTCTTGCTCTGTTGCCCAGGCTGGAGTGCAGTGGCGCGATCTCGGCTCACTACAAGCTCTGCCTTCCGGGTTCATGCCATTCTCCTGCCCCAGCCTCCCGAGTAGCTGGGGCTACAGGCGCCCACCACCACACCCAGCTGATTTTTTGTATTTTTAGTAGAGACGGGGTTTCACCGTGTTAGCCAGGACGGTCTCGATCTCCTGACCTCGTGATCCGCCCGCCTCAGCCTCCCAAAGTGCTGGGATTACAGGCGTGAGCCACTACACCCGGCCCTCTTAACATATTTTTAAAAATACTGTTAGTTTCCTGTCACTGCTGTTACCATAAATTGGGTGGCATAAAATAAGAGGTATTCATTCTCTAACAATTCTGGAGGCCAGGAATGAGAAACTGTGTCAGTGCGGCTGTGCATCCTCTGGAGGCTCCAGGGAGCAGTCAGGTCCTTGCCTCTTCCAGCTGCTGGTAGCTGGGAACACTCCTGGGCTGTGTCAACAGCTCTCTCATCTCTGCCTCCCTCGTCACATTGCTGCCTCCTCTTCTGTATGTGTCTCTGTCTGATTTCCCTCTGCCTCTTTCTTACACGAGTGATTGTATCTAGGGACCACCCAGATAATTCATGATCTATTTTCCTCTCAAGAACCTCATTACAGCTTTTTCCATAGAAGGTAATAGTCACAGGTTCCAGGGATCAGGATGTGGACGTATCTCGGTAGCCACCATGCAGTCCACTGGAAGCACTTTGCCATGCTACAGTTTGGTTAACAGAAAAGCGTCCTCAGAGTGAAGGCAGAAGGCCTGGATCTTTTTGTTAGCTTGATCATTAGCTGTATGACTTGTGTAAGTTGCCTAACCTCTCTGGGTTTCATTTCCTCATCTGTCAAATGGGCCCATGATGCCTCTTTGCAGGGTTATGGTGGGTCTCAAATGAAACTGTGGATATAAGTACTTATAAGAACATGAGCCACTCGGTTATGATAATGAATTTGATATTGATAAGGAGGCGGTAAAAAAATATATATAAAACAATGCAAGGTTAAGGGGAAAGAAACAAGGTTCAAAATTGCATGAGGGTATGAGAGGATGAAAGGAAGTATTTATTATGCTTGTTTCTGGGTGGTGAGATTATTAGTGACTTCTTTATACCTGTCTCTCTGTTCCAAATTCTTTGCAATGAGCACCCAATACTTTTATAATCCTATCTCCTAGAGTTGGTAAGATAATTAAATAAGATAAATTATGCCAAGTATTTCACACAGTAATCTATGCTTTTTTTGTTTTGAGACAGGGTCTTGCTCTTTGTCACCCAGGCTGGACTGCAGTGGTACAATCATGGCTCACTGCAACCTTGACCTCCTGGACTCAATTGACCCTCCTACCTCAGCCTCCGGAGTAGCCGGAGGTAAATGCCACCACACCTAGGTAATTTTCTGTATTTTTTTTCGTAGTGACAGGGTTTTGCCATGTTGCCCAGGCTGGTCTCAAATTTCTAGGGCTTAAGTGATCTGCCCACCTGAGTCTCCCCAGGTGCTGTGATTACAGGCATGAGCCACTGCTCTTAGCCAGATCTGTATTTTTAAAAATTTGCAATAGAGAGGCACATTAACCTGACTTTATTATGATGAAAAGATGCAGACATCTGGATTTGAACACAGCGCCCGATCTGTTATTCTGTCATGACTCCAAATATATAAACACAGGGTAGAAAACTAGAGGTGGTGAGTAATGGTTCGTAGTCAGTTTAGGACATTTCTGGTGTAATGTCAAAAGCTTCCATTTCCAGTCATTTCTTATTCAGTATACTTATTTAAAAATATAGACTATGTGTTAATCAAATTCATAAACAACATGGTGTTCAACAATGAACATGTGAAAAGAAAATATGGACCAAAATGGATATCAACAGGCTAGAACAATGTGTTCTCACCACTGAGACAAAGACTAGAGAACACCCATTACCACCGCAAAGCATTCGTACGTGACACTCCTTGGTAGGACCAAGATATACTGAAACCTCACCGAAAATGACAGATCTGAAAAAAATCTTCACTTCCAACTTAGAACTGGGGTTTCCACACTTCAGAGCAAAGGGCTAAGATGCAAATTCTTATTTCTCAATGATGACAAAGTATTGGCAACCTCATTTCCAGTTTAGAATCCACATTATTAAAACCCACAGGGTCCTCAGCCATGAAAATGTTAATAGAATTGGAAAATGACATGCCAGCATGCCAGCTTCAGAAAACTCAACTCAAAAATGATGAAAAACCAGTATCAATTCCCAAATACATCCCTACAACTACATCTCCCAAGAAGCCTCAAAGAATGCCAGTATCCTTTAAGAAAAGATTGTGGATTAATGGGGACTGAGGAGAAAACATTAATCTGGAAGACTATTTTCAAAGAAAATTATCAGGGTTCCTTTTGTCTACATTTAGTTCTAGAAAAGGAAAAAGACACGCAACAAAAACTTTCCAATCATTTTGGATTAAAGCACATTTAAACGTATGCCCAAATCTACTTAAACACATAATGCTAAGTGAAATAAATAAGCCAGTTACCGAAGGACAAATCAGTCTGCTTAGGAAGGACTACCTAGAATAGTCACATTCACAGAGACAAAGTAGAATGGTAGTTACCATAGGCTGGGGAGAAGGAGGAATGGAGAATTCTTGTTTCATGTATACAGAATGTTAGTTTGAGAAAATGAGAAAGTTCTGGAGCTGGACGGCGGTACCTGGCTGCACAATAATGTGAATGTACACTTAATGCTACTGGACACTTTAAAATTGTTAAGTTTTGTTGTGTATATTTTACAACAATCTTTTTAAAAGAGGAAACAGGCTGGGCACGGTGGCTCACGCCTATAATCCCAGCACTTTGGAAGGCTGAGGTGGGCAGATCACAGGGTCAGGAGTTCAAGACCAGCCTGGCCAACATAGTGAAACCCTGTCTCTACTAAAAAATACAAAAAAAAAGCCAGGCATGGTGGCAGGTGCCTGTAATCCCAGCTACTCGGGAGGCTGAGGCAGGAGAATCACCTGAACCCAGGAGCAGAGGTTGCAGTGAGCTGAGATTATGCCATTGCACTCCAGCCCGGGCAACAGTGTAAGACTCTGTCTCAAAAAAAATAAAAATAAAACATAAAAGAAGAAACAGGAAAAAGTATACCCAATCCAAAAGAATCACTACATGACTCAGTGATTATACTCCTGGGTACACACCAAAGATAATTAAAAACAGATATTCAAATAATTATACATGAGTGCTCACATCAGCACCATTCACAATAGCCAGAAAGTGCAAACAATTAAAATGTCCATCAGTGGATAAATAAAATGTCGTATGTCCATGCAATGAAATGTTATTCAGTCATAAAAACAAATGAAGCATTAACACGTGCTACAAGGGTGAACCTAAAAAGACAAACACAGAAAAGGTCACATGTATGATTCCATTTACATGAAATATCCAGAATAGCCAAATCCATAGAGACAGAAAGCAGATTAGTTGCCAGGAGCTATTGGGAGAGAAAACAGGGAGTGACAAAAATGTTTTAGAACTAAACTGAGGTAGTAGTTGCACGATTTTGTGAATATACTAAAAACCACTGAGTTGTAAATGAGTTTAAAATGGTTAATTTTATGTTATGTAATTTTTACCTCAATTAAAAAAAAGAATACCCAACTTGTACTCCACATGAGAGATAGTAAATTAATGTCCAAAGGGAAAAGTTTTCCCTTGCCCCACAGTAACAAACAACTCTCATCCATTAATGTTGCTTAGATTCTATGTACCTAGATGACAAACTTAATTCTAGTCTCCATTCCTTCCAGGATATCTGATATTTTACATTACACTAAAGAAAAGAAGGATTCTCTCAGTTGATTTCTAAATGCCTTCAGAATCTTGATCTCTGTTTGGCCCTTTATAATTTAACTTGCACATCATAAAGCCTTACCTTCTTTTCTGAGGATGTTCTAACTGCTGGGGCCCTTAAATACAAACCCATTCTTTGGGTAGAGTCCTGGCCTGGTCATTTGTGTGTATAAGTCCATCCTCGGTTGCATACTAAAATGCAAGTTAAAACAAACAAGATCAAAAGACGGACAAACTGTCACTATGGATAATATTTCAGCTAAATAGATCTACCAACAAAAGTATAGGACATTTAGATAGGAGGAAACAAACACAGGTACAAGCCATATACATATCTACTAACCCAAATCTTTATTTCTTAACATGTTTAAATACCATAAAAGTCCCTTCTAGGATGGACATTAGATTGAAAACATGGATTACACACACATACAAAACACCATACCACAAGAACTTAGGAGGCCAATTTCTTCAGATCTTGCCTAGTACTGTTTTCATGCTACTGCAAGTATGATTACATATCAAATATTTGAGCACTAGTTATTTGCAAGGGATTGTACAATAAGCCCAATACCCAGTATCTCCAAACAATGCAGTGAATTTTAGATAGTGTTAGATGTATTTGTAATATCAGTCTAATTCTCTCAGCAGGGCAGCAAGTAGTGAGAGGTCCAAAGAAACAATAATCAGTACTTGAAGAGAAACAAAAACTAGCATCTATTGAAAATGTAAAAGGCATTGATGGTAAAGGGTAGTACAAAGAGCAAATGAAAATGTTAAAGGACTTATGTAAGGATACCTGAGAGTCCATTCAGTATGAAAACACATCATCTAAAATATACACACGTTTATGGACCAGAATGACATCCTCATTACCAAGTATTTTCATGGTAGTTTGTAAATCCTTGGTCTTTGTGGCTTTACCTCCACCCCAGATGAAGTATGGAAGACACAAAGAGTAGTTTTTTGTTTGTTTGTTTTGAGACAGAGTCTTGTTCTGTCACCCAGGCTGGAGTGCAATGTCGCATTCGCAGCTCACTGCAACTTCCACCTCCTGGGTTCAAGCACTTCTCCTGCCTCAGCCTCCTGAGTAGCTGGGACTACAGGCATGCACCACCATGCGTGGCTACTTTTTGTATTTTTAGTACAGACAGGGTTTCACCATGTTGGCCAGGCTGGTCTTGAACTCCTGGCCTCAGGTGATCCACCTGCCTCAGCCTCCCAAACTGCTGGGATTACAGGTGTGAACCACTGTGCCTGGCCTAGAGTAGTTTTATGTAAGAAATTTTGTTAAAGGTTGGAGGAAAATACATAAAAAAATTATATTTGATCAGAGACCATCAAATTTCTTCAGCTTCAGAACAGATAGAAAAGAAAAATAGGCTAGCTGCGGTGGCTCATGCCTGTAATCCTAGCACTTTGGGATGCCAACGCAGGCGGGTCACGAGGTCAGGAGTTCGAGACCAGCCTGGCCAGCCTGGCCAGCATGGTAAAACCCCATCTCTACCAAAAAAATACAAAATATTAGCCAGGCTTGGTGGCACACGTGTAATCCCAGCTACTTGAGAGGCTGAGGCAGGAGAATTGCTTGAACCCAGGAGGTGGAGGTTGCAGTGAGCCGAGATTGCGCCACTGCACTCCAGCCTGGGCGACAGAGTGAGACTCCGTCTCAAAAAAAAAAAAAAAAAAAAAAAAGAAAGAAAAAGAAATTTTATTTACTCAACCAATTATTGCCTGGATATTTGCTTAGTTATGTAGTTATTATATAATTATATATAAAATAACTAGAAGTAAAATTAAAACCTCCCATTAAGCCAGCAACAGCCAATACATGCACTCTAGGTAAACACAGATTACACTTAAGTGAACAGTTTTCAAAAAATGTCATCCACTGATTTTATCATCTTGGTTGCCAAATCTAAAGAAGATGGAACCCCATAGTGAATTCAACTGAGAACACGAAACAAGAAGGCATGTACTCTTCAAGACGGTAGAAAATACACGTTTTATGTAAGAATGATACAAACTTGGGTTAGGTATAAAGATTTTTGAGTGCATGCATTATGACTGCCTCAAAGCTCAAATTACTGAAGAAGATATCAGAATAATTTGATACGTTGAATTAGATAACCGAAGTTCCTATGTAATCCTAACTCACTGCTCCAGTTCATAAATTCCAAGCACTTCAGAAATGAAGGCCAAATGCCTTGAGATGAAATAATATTGCACAATCGTTATGTTTCTGGTTATACTAGACAACTCTATTCCAACCTTGAATGGTTCTAAGAAGTTACTACAAAGAAAAACTGCTACAGACTGAAGTTATGTTATCTAAATTTTGAAGAATGTGAATCTTTTAGTCATAAACATAGAAATAATCCCGATTGCATGGTTGTGGTAAAATAAATACCCACAATGCCAGGCATGACACTTTTTTTCTGAAACAGAGTCTCGTTCTGTCACCCAGGCTGGAGTGCAGTGCAGTGATCTTGGCTCACTGTAACCTCAGCCTCCTGGGTTGAAGCGATTCTCCTGCCTCAGCCTCCTGAGTAGCTGCGACTACAGGCGAATGCCACCACGCCTGGCTAGTTTTTGTATTTTTAGTACAGACGGGGTTTCATGTTGGTCAGGCTGGTCTTGAACTCCTGACTTCAAGTGATCCACCCACCTCAGTCTCCCAAAGTGCTGGGATTACAGGCGTGAGCCACCATGCCTGGCCAACACTCTTAATAATAAAGAGCAATTTTGCTTAATCTCATTACTAATTTATATGTAAGGCAACCTAATTCTATTCAGTGTGAATGTAAAAGTTTGTTAGTCAAACAAATGAAAAAGAAATTAATTCAGCTGAGTACTAAAACCTGAAACTTTCTTTGAACTTTCTTCACTTGGAAAACAATGGAAAAAATAAAATACACAAGTCAAAATGTTTTCTCCATAATAAGCAACCTTTTCAATAAGCTTTTAGTAAAATCTTCCTTTTATAATCTAATGAATCAGATAGGAAGTTTAAAAAGTAACTTTTTAACCCCTTTCAAAGTCTTCCAAAGGCAGCAAAATTGCTTAGGGAGGAGTGAGTATCTACTGACCTCCACCTTCCTTCAGCTTTTCACTATCAGCCATAGATTTTGTCAGAAAGTGTCCTTCATATGTTTAAAAGCCCCTGAGAAAATGACAGCCACTTGGTAGGTTTGGGCTGGTAGCATCGCCCCTGAGATAATTTTAGCTGAGATCACAGTCCTCCATGACTCACAGATGCCAAGCTCGTAAACCCATTCTAATCACCAAATAGCCTCTACAGACACAACCCTTGTAATGCTGTACTGAAAATGCTCAAGGGCTATTTTAGAATGTGACTATTATTCCGAAAACAGCTTCTCCACTCCAAAGACTCAAGCAACGTTCAGATCCAGGAGGAAAGAGGACAATTTTTGCTATTAGTACAATAAAAAGACTATAAGTTACTTATTTTTTAGAAATGGCAGGAAAGAAGGAATTTAAGACTTAGGTAATTATGTGACTTGAGGAAAGAAAGCTATCTGCTTAGATGGAATGGCAATGTTCACTGTTAAAGAACTCTTACTAAAAATCATCTCATTCTTTAGCATATGTGAGAAAACAGCTGATGGACACAGACTGGGGTAGAAAAAAACTGCCAAGAGCAAACATTAGTCACGAGAATAAACATGAAAGGCTCGCCCAACACCTGAGAGCTCATTCTAAGGTGTTACCACCTAAAGACTCATGAGTGTCCTAGGAGTTAGGCAATTTTTTTTTTCCAGGTTATCCAGAGGCCTCTGGCCATGTTTAAATACTCACCTTTAAAACCCATGTTTAAGTACTTATTGGTTTAGTCAAGGATTTGACACTTCACTTTGAATAAAACCCCTTAGCCAATCCTATTCTAGATGTAAACACTCATACTGCTGCATGTCCTAAAGAGCTTTCCCAAAGTAGCTCACTTTTCAAAAAATAACCAACAGATTAAGTTGGAAGACTTAAGACAGCATGGAAAAAGCCTTAATTTCTGACAAGGGGATGAGTCTGAAGTTGGTCCCCACAGTGACTCCAGATCTATTTGTTTCCATAAGCAAATCCATTAGCATATATACACACACGAGTTTCATAGAATCTGTTTCTTTCCTGGCTGCATTCTTTAGGCAAATCAACTTAAGTAATAAGGGCACTGAGGATTATTCTCCTTCAAGCTACTGACCTGGTAACCTTGGAAGAAGTTAAGAATTTCCTTAACTCCAGTATTGTAGGCCAGGCCCTGCATTCTGACCACCGTGCCAGGCTGTGGAGGGACACCGCTAAGATTAGCAGCTGTAGGGAAGTAGCCAAGACTATTAGGCGAACCTGGGGGGCTAAAGGGAGAGAAAGCACAGTGAACCAATAGGAATAGACAATGTTGAATACTTACTATAAAAACATTAGTTACTTAAGGAAACAGAATTTCTCAAGGCAACCTTTCTTATACTTCTCAGAGCTGTCTTTCCTAAGACAGGTGAAAACACCACAGCAGTTCTGTCTCACATTTCCACGAAAGCCAAAAGTTGAAAGGCAGTGAGATTAGTGCAGAATTACATACAGGGCTTCCTCACATCCCTGAGATTCTTAAGAGAAGGACAGAAGTAAGCCTCATGTCAACTCCACCGCAAAGCACCACTTCCGAGGCCCAGCTCTCTGATGATTCACCGGCTAGCTACCAAGAACACTAAGGCATGAAGAGGCACGTATACAAAGAACTAAAGGGAACCACAGCCACAGAGACCAGAAGTATCCAAAGTGATTGCACCAAAGAATAGACTGTTCTACCTATATATAGGAGCATGAGGAATAGCACAGCAGTACTACAGCAAATCAAAGTACTAGAGTGCCCATGGGTTATATTTTCCTGCCTTTTAAAAAATGGGGGTGGCGGACGTTGGAAGAGATACATAAAAATTAAATCAATCACCATTAACACAAGGGAGAAAATTGATGAGTGGGTCTTCCGGTATATCTGCAACCATAACCTCCAAGGAACACCAGCCAAGTAAACACCCAACTTTATGTGACAACTTGAGTCATTACCATATTATGCAATTAGTTTCACCCTGTTCCCACCCACTCTGTTTTCTACCTCAATTGGTGGCCATTATTAAAAATTTTTATTACACAATTCATTTTACATAATATATAGTTTAATATAATTAAAACTCATAATTGAAAATATATAGGGAATTTTTTAAAAGTCATCAGCCTAAAGAGTAATATAGACTTGCAACTTTGGATTATTAACCTTTATTCATCTTTCTGAGTTGGTAATTGTCCCATTTCAAGGGTAATTAAACACATAATAGAAGGGACTAAAAGTCTTTGAGATTATCTATCATACATAATCCTAACAGATAGCTTAATAGGAATGGAGTCAGATGTGCCTCCAGTCCCAGACTCTGTCTATAATTAGCACAGCAAGCTTAAATCACTTAATTCCTTCATTTGCTTACTGGGGGGTGATCAGCACTTTCCTAGTTTCACAGAACTGCTCTTCAGCTTCAGTGACTTAACATATCAAATTACTTCATAAACCATAAAAATGCTGTAACATTACTTCATTCTTGCTATTTCCGTCACCATCATATTTCATCATTTTAAAAATAATGGGAGCCTGAACTATTACTTTACATTAAGCTGCCCTCAACCTTCTATGTTGCTAAAGCAGTGGTCTTTAACTAATTTGCAAGTAAGAATCAGCAGGGGAGTTTTTGTGTTTTTTTGTTTGTTTGTTTTTTAAACAACTCTCTATTATGAGATACTACCCCAACAAATTAAAAATTAGAAACTCAAGAGAGCCAAACCCAGACATTGATATAAATATATTTTAAAGGCTACTATGTGATCACAATGTGAGATTTCAAGTCAATTTATGGGCAACTGTGAGACTAGAGAAAGAAGAAATGCTAAACTTTTGGTCTGAGTAGGACATTCGCCACTATTCAGTCATACCTCTTCATTTTTGCAGAGGTGGAAACAGAAACTAAGAGTTAGATAATTTCTCAACAGGTCACATAAGTTACCTCTTGCCAAACTATAAGAATCACCCAAACTCTTGACTTCTGGTTCATTACTTTCCTCCTGTACAACTAGCATTCACTCAAAGATGATGTTTGCTCAGAAAGATAGCAAGTCTAATACTCAAAGACCATCGGGACTTCTGCACATATTTGATTACTTAGACTTTTCCAGACTAGATATAAAAGGTCATTTTCACAGCATACAACTTACTTTCACAGCTTTATCCTGCCATATTCTATTCCACTTGCCTAAAGATCTTCTATAAATTAAGCCTGAGGTCTCTAGTACTCTCAAAATATAATCCAGATAAAACTAGCCAAAGTAAATGTTGCACAACTAGAAATTTAAGCTTATAAATGACAATTATATTCCGCATCTAAGGTACCATCTATTCTGATGAAGCTTAAATACAACACAATTTGGATTCTTATCCTTATTTTTCACAGCTATGATTACCTGCTGTATACAAGGAATCGTAAGAAAAATTTAAAAAGTCATATATCTACCTGACAGGACATGAAAGTAAGAATTTTTCATCAACCTAAATTCTAGGCCGGGTGCAGTGGCTCATACCTGTGATCCCAGCACTTTGGGAGGCCAAAGTGGGGAGATCACTTGAGGCCAGGAGTTCGAGACCAGCCTAGCCAACATGGTGAAATCCCATCTCCACTAAAAATCCAAAAAAAAAAAAAAAAAAAAAAAAAAAATTAGCCAGGCATTGTAGCTCATGCCTGTAATCCTAGCACTTTGGGAGATGAAAGTGGGTGATCACTTTAGGCCAGGAATTTGACACCAGCCTGGCCAACACAGTGAAATCCTGTCTCTAAAAAACAAAAAACAAACAAACAAAAAAACAAAAAAAATTAGGCCGGGCACGGTGGCTCACGCCTGTAATCCCAGCATTTTGGGAGGCCAAGGTAGGTGGATCATGAGGTCAAGAGATCGAGACCATCCTGGCTAACACGGTGAAACCCCATCTCTACTAAAAAATACAAAAAAATTAGCCGAGCATGGTGGTGGGCGCCTGTAGTCCCAGCTACTCAGGAAGCTGAGGCAGGAGAATGGCATGAACCTGGGAGATGGAGCTTGCAGTGAGCTGAGATGGCGCCACTGCACTCCAGCCTGGGCGACAGAGCAAGACTCCATCAAAAAAAAAAAAAAAAAAAAAAAAAGCCAGGCATCATAGCACATGCCTGTGATTCCAGCTGCTTGGGAGGCTGAGGCACGAGAATCACTTGAACCCAGGAGGCAGAGGTTGCAGTGGGCCAAGATCGGCTGCACTCCAGCCTGGGCAACAAAGTGAGGCTCTGTCTCAAAACAAAAAAATCCTAAATTCTAAATCTTAAGGTCTTTTGTGGATTACTGAAATAAGAATCAGCAAAAATAATTTACATTATAAAAATGGCAAGATAAAGACAAATATGAACTTATATGTAGAAAAATAAAAAAGAATTTACTAAAAAACTACTAGATCTAATAAGCCAGTTCAGCAAGGTTACATAAGATCAATACACAAAATAAATCAACTGCATTTCTATACACTACAACAACCAAAAATAAAACAATTCCATTCACTATAGCATCAAAAATAATAGACTTAGAGAAACATTTAAAAGTGCAAGAGTTGCACACTGAAAACTACAAAACATTGTTAAAAGAAAAAAGATCATCTAAATAAATGGAAAGGCAGCCCATGTTCATAAATATGATTTTTTTTTTTTTTTTTTTTTTTTTGGAGACTGAGTCTCGCTATCACCCAGGCTGGAGTGCAGTGGTTCAATCTCAGCTCACTACAACATCTGCCTCCCAGATTCAAGCAATTCTCGTGCCTCAGCCTCCCAAGTACCTGGGATTACAAGCATGTGCCAACACATCTGGCTAATTTTTGTATTTTTAGTAGAGACAGGATTTCACCATGTTGGCCAGGCTGGTCTCAAACTACTGGCTTCAAGTGATCTGCCCACCTCGGCCTCTCAAAGTGTTGGGATTACAGGCGTGAGCCACCATGCCTGGGTAAGAATTAATATTGCTAAAATGGCCATACCACCAAATTGATCTACAGGTGCAATGCAATAGCTATCAAAATTCCAGCTGTCTTTTGTACAGAAATTGACAAAACTGAACCTAAAATGTATATGGAAATAAAAAGGATCCAGAATACTCAACAAAGAAAAAGTAGGATGACTTTTTCTTCACAAATTCAAAACATACTACAAAGCTACAGCAATCATTACAGTACAGTACTAGCATAAGGAGAGGCATATAGACCCACGGAATGTAACTGAGAGAACAGAAATAAACCTTTACACTTATTATCAATTGGTTTTGTTTTTGTCTGTTGAGGCATTTTATTTGCATGTATTATATCCCCAAGAACATGAATCCCAGGGTTTTCCCTCATGTGTGTTTTCATCTTGCTTCTTCATGGTCTGTGATGCCAGCCGAAGTTGTCAGTATAATGAAACCAAACTGATGACGTGGAAGCAGATAATTCTGCCACTTTTCTAGATCTTTGAGTTGCACGTGAAATCTGAGGATGATCACACTTGTTTAACTTGCCTGTGAGGTTCACAACAATTTCCCCAGCTCTGTGATCTCAAATGACTTCAAATTCGCCATTGTAACCATGCTTCATCATCAGTCAGAAACTGGACAATAACACTGGGCACAGCCTTCTAAGAACCTGATGTTTGCCTCTTGTTTTGACATTGTTGATGCTCTTAAGAGCAATGGTCAGGACATTCAATGTGCACCATTTTGATGGCACAAAAACAGCTGGTCATAGATTTTTGATAAGAGTTATTAGAATGCAATTTGATGGGAAAGAGGTGTTTTCAATAAGTGGTGCTGGAACAATGGACTATCAACACGTAAAAGGATGACTTTGTTTTTCTCTAAAGGGATGATTTTAGACCCCTACCTCACACCATACAAAAAATGAACTCAGATCGAATTATACCTAAATCTAAGAGCTAAAACTACAAAACACTTACAAAACATAGTAGTAAATCTTTGTGACCCTGGGTTAGACATCACACCAAAAGTGTAAGGGAAAAAAGAATAAACTAACAATCAAAATTAAAAACTTTTATACTTTAAAGGACACTACCAAGAAAATGAAAAGACAACCTACAGAATTGGAGAAAATATTTGTAAATGATGTCTTATAAGATCTCATATTTAGAATATATGAAAAAAATTTACAAGTGAAAATAATCCAATTTAAAAATGTGCAAAGGATTTGAGTAGACATTTCTCCTAAGATGTGCAAATAGCTAAGAATCACATAAAAAGATTCTCAAAACCAATGCTCATTAAGGAAATGCAAATCAAAATCATAATGAGATAGCAAACCCACACCCAAGAAAATGGGTAAAATTAAAGACAGTAAGAATTGGAAAGCAATTACAGAAATTAGAACCTTTATATATTGTTAGTGGGAATGTCAAATGGTGAAGCCACTTTGGAAAACAGCTTGGTTGGCAGTTTCTTGAAAGCTAAATAGTTACTGTATTATCCAGCAATTCCACTTCTAGATATATACCCTAGAAAACTGAGAACCTATGTCCACACAGAAACATGAATGCATATGTTTCAAGTAGCATTATTCTTAATAGCCAAAAAGTGTAAAAACTCTAAATAGCCATCAACTGATGAATGGATAAACCAAATGTGGTATGGCTCTACAATGGATTATTTCACCATAAAAGGGATGATATATGTCACAATATGAATGAAACTGAAATATTATCTGGAATAGGAAAATCTATAGAAATAGAAAATGGATTGATAGTTGTTTAGGGGTGGGGAGAGGGGTCAGTGAAGAGATAGAGGACAGGCAAATGGGAGTTTCTAACTAATGGGCATAAGGTTTCTTTTTGGAGTGACATAATATTCTAAAATTAGACTGTTACATGATTACCTAAAGATTAGATTGTAAAATTATTCTACAATTGTAAATTTTGGAACTCTGTAAATATACTAAAAATGACCGAACACCTAAAATAGGTAAATTTTATCAAATTATCTCAAAGCTGTAATAAAAATCATGTGTACAGGCTTTATGGCAGTAGTTTAGAGAAATATAAGGATTAAGCATGAAATTTTCTAATTGCACGCCAAATAAGAATAAAAAGTTCTTAAAAAAGAGCTATGCCAATTAGTAACTCATCTGAAGTTATGTTCAATAATGTCACTGTTTTAGATTTTTACCTCCATTATACCTTTACATTTCAGATTCTCAAGTGCCAGTATTTATTAACATATCATATATACATTGTGTCAATAATGTAACTTGTACTCAAAAGATATAAAAGTTCAAAAATTGATAGGACCATAGAGGAACCGAAGGGTTAGGGACAAATGACCAAGTCAATGTAACAGTGTATTCAAAGGTCCTACAGTTTTGGAGACTGTACCACATCAAATAAACTAACAAGGAGACTGTCCTTGAGCTGGATAAGCAACCTTAGGGTAACCTGAACAAAGAGCTGAAGGGATGTGAGAGGAAATGAAGGGAAAGAAATTAATACTAGAGGGGCTGTTCCAAAGGCTTGTATCCAGAAAACTGCTAGAGCATCACAGTTGCAAAGACATTGATTACTTAGGATCACAGCCAAGGCTCCTTCAGTAAGCTGCACCAAGATCATGTTAGGAAATTACTGAATGAAATACATGAGTTAATATATTATAAAGTTGCTGAAGACTTCCTCCACTGCAGCACTTAATATCCTCTGTACATATATAGGTAACGTAGGCCAGCCCTGGTGGCTCATGCCTGTAATCCCAGCACTTTGGGAGGCCGAGGCGGGTGGATCACTGGAGGTCAGGAATTCGAGACCACTCTGGCCAACATGGCAAAACTCTGTTTCTACTAAAAATACAAAAATTAGCCAGGGTAGTGGGTGCCTCAGGAGACGGAGGCAAGAGAATCGCTTGAACCCAGGGGGCAGAGGTTGCAGTGAGCCGAGATTGCACCACTGCACTCCAGCCTGGGTGACAGAGGGAGACTGTGTCTCAAACAAAACAACATATATAGGTATTAAGTTTTTCCAAGCACAATGTAAATAAAAATTCCATTTCCCTGATAAGTTATGATATCCTTTCCTTTAAAATTATGAATTTTACCATTCAATCTTCCTTTGCTTTGACTACCTGCTCCCAGCCCATTGTTTTGTTTTTGTTGGTTTTTTTTTTTGAGACTGTCTCCCTGTCACCCCGGCTGGAGAGCAGTGGCACAATCTGTAACCTCCATCTTTCATATTCATGCCATTCTCATGTCTCAGCCTCCCAAATAGCTGGGATTATAGGCATCTGCCACCATGCCTGGCTAATTTTTTTATTTTTTCAGAATGGAGTTTTGCCACGTTGGCCAGGATGGTCTTGAACTCCTAACCTCAGGTGATTTGCTCTCCTCAGCCTCCCAAAGTGCTGGGATTACAAAGCCACCATGCCCAACCCTATTGTTTTGTTTTCTGAGACAGGGTCTCACTGTCAACCAGACTAGAGTGCAGTGGCACAATCACAGCTCACTGCAGCCTCAAGCTCCCGCACAGCCCACTGGTATGCCAATATCAATTTAATTGGCCAAGATTCTGTTATTGGACTATCCACAAATTTCTCCCTATGCTATATTTTCCAGACCCTGACATATATTGTCTATTTTTATAATATACAGTGTAGCCTAATAAATCATATAAAATTATATGTAAAACAAGATATGAACATACTGGATGCCAAGATGCCCACCACATCAACATACTCATAATATATGCTATATTGATAATAAGACTTATAATACTCTTCCTCCATTTAATAATCACAAAATACAAACATTGGTAATACTAATTAATATTATCAGGTGATTTCTAAAATAAAGGTAGTCAGAAGTATGAGAGTATTGATAACATTCACAATTTGAGGATTTGCCATATATAGATATATATGGCTTTTTTTTTTTTTAAAGACAGGCTTGTGCTGTCTCCCACACCACAATGAGCACGATCACAGCTCATTGCAGCTTCAATCTCCAGGCTCAAGCAATCCTCTAGCCTCAGCCTCCCAGGTAGCTGGGACTACAAATGGGTGCCACCATCCCAACTTAAATTTTTTGCATGCCCAGGATGGTCTCGAACTCCTGGGCTCCAGCGATCCTCCTACCTTGGCCTCTTAAATTTCTGGGATTACAGGCATGAGCCACCATGCCCTGCAGACTTGCTATAATTTCACTAAAAAAGAGAGGCCAAAGTATCATATGTATGGTTAGAGAAATTGATTAAGTGGAAGATTAGAGAATTACAGTCTCCCCTCTGAATGAGTGACTACATATTGTTTCACATTTTTGAGAAACCCTGCAGAAAAATCTAATTATCACTGCTTTGTAAAATGACCACACAGAACCATTTTACCAACATTAACATCCCTAGTGTTACAAATACCACATATTTGGGAGTAACTGGAGACATACTGTTTCAATCCTTGCCAGTGTAAAACCTAAAGTCAGTTTTCATGTAGGGAACCTTTAAACTGACTTTAATTTTCATCTGAAATTAACAAGGTTAACTTTTCGAGATTCTTCATGGATTTAATAACTACAGCAGTCTATGGACTGATGACTACCTCTGGACGCTGGATTTCTGTTAGTGCTCCTAAAAGTCCATACAGGCTTCTCCAGGCCTGCACTTCTACCACTCAGAGAAAGTCTAAGGAACCAAACAAATAAATAGGAAAACACTTTGGCACAAATAAATAAATCTCCCAACAATCTATCTCACCCAAATACCTGGCAAATTTATGTGCTGTCAAAAAAGTTTGGTAACTAAACTTAAATTTACCCCAAGGCGTGCGCAGTGGCTCACACCTGTAATCCCAGCACTTAGGGAGGCCGAGGCTAGTACAGCACCTGATTTTGGGAGTTCGAGATCAGCTTGACCAACATGGACAAACTCCATCTCTACCAAAAATACAAAATTAGCTGGGCATGGTGGTGCATGCCTGTAATCCCAGCTACTCGGGAGGCTGCGGCAGGAGAATCGCTTGAACCTGGGAGGCGGAGGTTGTGGTGAGCTGAGATCGCGCCATTGAAGTTTTTACATTAGCAAAGGGTCATTTCCTCCCTGAAAGCCATTCTGAACTCTCACTGACTAGTAGGAGAGAGTGAGTTGCCCACGGCAGTTGTTCTCCCTTACATCATTTAGAAACCTAATCCAAACTAAAAAACCTGATAATCATAATCATGACCACCCACAAAAATTACCTGACACTTCTCTCATATTATAATATTGCTTCATATTGCATCACTATTACTATTATTTCTAGCATCATTTCATTGGATGCTAAATTCTTGTCTGCATTTGTGATACTAAATATTTAACTTGTAAGAAAACTTTTAAATCAAGAATTCTTTTTTCTTGGTCCTATGAGAACACTTGCAACAACAAGCAAATTAGAAAGTAAACTGATTCCCATATGTTACCATTGGGATAAACTAGGCGAAGTGTACAAGGGATCTCCATGTATTATTTGTTACAACTGCATGTGAATCTCAATACAAATTTCAAGTAAAAAAGTAAACTGGAATAAGAAGAGCAAGTTCAAAATAGGAAATGTAAGCCTCTCTCAGAGGCTTGGTATTCTTCTGGTTCAACTACAAAGAATTCCAGGATAGAACACAGTAACACAACAAACCAAAGATCAATGTGTTTAGTAACACATACATATTACTAAATATACATATTCATAGGCCGGGCGCGGTGGCTTACGCCTGTAATCCCAGCACTTTGGGAGGCCGAGGCGGGCGGATCACTTGAGGTCTGGAGTTGGAGACTAGCCTGACCAACATGGAGAAACACCGTCTCTACTAAAAATACAAAATTAGCTGGGCATGGTGGCACATGCCTGTAAATTCAGCTACTTGGGAGCCTGAGGCAGGAGAATTGCTTGAACCCAGGAGGCGGAGGCTGCAGTGAGCTGAGATTGTGCCACTGCATTCCAGCCTGGGCAACAAGAATGAAACTCCGTCTCAAAAAAAAAAAAAAAAAAAAAAAAAAAAATATATATATATATATATATATATATATAAAATAATGAATATATTGAATAATGAATATATATATGTATATACACACATATATATATTCATTCATTAGGTTATAACAAAAGCTGGTTTTAAAACAAATGGTTACCCCAAGAAAGACAATGGTTATTCCTCACCATAAAGCTTTTATACAAGCATGCGCAGTCTACTTGTGACTACATCACTCATTAAAAAAAGTAAAACTTCCTGTGCTTCCTTTGTTGGCGCAAAATGTTGTTACTTGGCTGGGCATGGTGGCTCACACCTGTAATCCCAGCACATTGGGAGGCTGACGTGGGAAGATTGCTTGAGCTCAGTACTTTGAGACCAGCGTGGGCAACAAAGTGAGACCCCGTCTCCACAAAAAGTCAAAAAATTAGCCAAGTGAGGTGGTGCATGCCTATAGTCTCAGCTACTTGGGAGACTGAGGCGTGAGGATCGCTTGAGCCTGGGAGATCAAGGCTGCAGTGAGCCATGGTAGCGCCACTGCACTCTGCCCTGGGTGATAGAGCCAGACTACATCTCAAAAAACAAAGACAAAAAAGTTGATGTTACTTGTAATTTATAATGTCGTACGAAAAGCAAGAGATGCATAGAAGGTATGTATGTCATTCAGTCTTTGAAGAATCAGCATGTCTCCCACCTATGCAACAGCTTTGATGCAAAGGAGAATATTCTTTTCTGAGAAAAATGAGAGGTCAGAAGAAAAAGTAGGGCTTGATGTAATGAAAGAGAAAAGATGTGAGGTAACTGATTTTGCACTGATAATCAGAGAGGACCCAAATAGAAAGCCCTTCTAAATACTTTTCTGCCCTAGCTAAGGTATGAGTCACTGGAAAACTGAAACCCTCTTCTGAGGTAGAGAAGGGGGTGAAAAGCCCAAAAAGAGAAAACAAAACCACATGAGGCATACATGCTTTCATTTCACCTGCTCTTCCAGATGCTGTTGTGACAGCATCATTTATTTTTATTTTTTGAGACTGAGTCTCGCTCTGTCACCCAGACTGGAGTGCAGTGGCATGATCTTGGCTCACTGCAACCACCGCCTCCCAGGTTCAAGCGATTCTTCTGCCTTGGCCTCCGGAGTAGCTGGAACTATAGGTGCCCACCACCATGCCCTGGCAATTTTGGTATTAGTAGAGGTGGGGTTTCACCATATTGGCCAGGCTGGTCTTGAACCCCTGACCTCGTGATCTGCCTGCCTCGGCCTCCCGAAGTGCTGGGATTACAGGGGTGAGCCACCACACCCAGCCATTTTTATTATTTATTTTTTGAGACGGAGTCTCGCTGTGACGCCCAGGCTGGAGTGCAGTGGCACAATCTTGGCTCACTACAGCCTCCGTCTCCTGGGTTCAAGCAACTCTCTTGCCTTAGCCTCCCTAGTAGCTGGGATTACAGATACTGACCACCACACCCAGCTACTTTTTGTATTTTTTAGTAGATGGAGTTTCACCATGTTGGCCAGGCTGGTCTCAAACTCCTAACCTCAAGTGATTTGCCCATCTCAGCCTCATAAAGTGCTGGGATTACAGGAGTGAGCCACCATGCCAAGCCAGTTTTTTTTTTTTTTTTTTTTTTTTTTTTGAGATGGAGTCTTGCTCTGTCACCCAGGCTGGAGTGCAGTGACATGATCTTGGCTCACTGCAAGCTCCTTCTCCCGGGTTCACGCCATTCTCCTGCCTCAGCCTCCCAAGTAGCTGGGACTATAGGCACCCATCACCACGCCCGGCTAATTTTTTGTATTTTTTAGTAGAGACGGGGTTTCACCATGTTAGCCAGGATGGTCTCTATCTCCTGACCTCGTGATCCGTCCACCTTGGCCTCCCAAAGTGCTGGGATTACAGGCGTGAGCCACAGTTTTTTATTTTTAGTAGAGATAGAGTCTCACTTTGAGACTCAGGCTGGTGTCTAACTACTGGCTTCCAGTGATCCTCCCACCTTTGCCTCCCAAAGCGCTGGGATTACAGGCATAACCCACCACTTATGGCTTTTTTTTAATGGAAGAAATTTAAAAATAAAGAAAAACACAAGAGCTTCTGATTAATAATATCCCTAGAATATGCTGTTTCAGATTTCCCACTTATCAGAGTGGAGGCCAAAACCTACTTGAGCATTTACATAACAAAGTTTTTTAATAGCCTCAAATGCCCAGTAGTTATGCCAGGTTAGAAATTAATGTTTTTCACCGAGCGTGGTGGCTCACACCTGTGATCCCAGCACTTTGGGAGGCTGAGACGGGCAGATCACCTGAGGTCGGGAGTTTGAGACCAGCCTCACCAACATGGAGAAACCCCTTCTCTACTAAAAACATAAAATTAGCCGGGCATGGTGGCACATGCCTGTAATGCCAGCTACTCAGGAGGCTGAAGCAGGAGAATAGCTTGATCCCGGGAGGCGGAGGGTGTGGTGAGACAAGATCACGCCATTGCACTCCAGCCCAGGCAACAAGAGCGAAACTCCGACTCAAAAAAAAAGAAATTAATGTTTTTCTATCAAAATTATAAAACATCTTTGGCATATGCTTTTTAAATCATACCAGATTTGCAGCATAAATAAGAGCATATAATTCCCATGCTTGAATGCTTTCATGTTGTTATGTAGGTAATTTCACTAAAAGTGGGGAAATGTAAAATAAAATAACACACTCTAGGGGTTAATTTGGAAGTATTAGCTTATATATAACGCACCTGACCTTCCTTTTTAAAATTCCACTTCTGTAAAACTGTCTTACAGAAATACAAGCATGTTCCCTGTAACCCCAGCACTTTGGGACGCTGAGGCAGTGGATTACTTGAGCCCAGGAGTTTGAGACCAGCCTAGGCAAAACGGCAAAATCCCATCTTTAGTCAGGGAAAAAAAGTTTGAGAAAGAGAGAGAAAATCAAGTATTTAAAGATCAACATGAGCTTTAATAGAGAAAAATTAAAAGTACAGATATCTACAAATAAACTTAAATTATATTTTTACTCTTTGGACATTTTGAGGAATTTACAAGAATGAGGTAAATATACACAGAAGTCACTGACACATTTTCAAGTTTTAAAAAAAAGAAAGAAGGAACGATTAGACAGTACACATTAAGATGTCACATTATTTAGAAGCATACACGTGTATTACCAAACTGATAGTAACGGTTACTTCTAGACTCAGAGGTGTATAAAATGGGAGTCTTTACTTTTACTCACTACACTCCTATACTCAGACTTAATAATGAGCACAATACAAATTTTAAAACTACTGGTAGAAAAAAAAAAATTGACCTACAGGCCCACATCCAACATTACAGGAGCTATTAAGCCATAAATGTCAGTTCCTTCTGCCTTTGGGGCTTCAAGATTCATGGTCTCATTTCCAAGAAACTCCTTCCTGTACCACTACTCAGGTGGCAAGTAGTGATGGAAGTGGATATTCTACAATTACACTGTAGGAACAAGAACACTGGCAGACATTCAGAGACACCAAGGATTCCATTCCTGACATTCTGATGACATAAGCAATTATCACAGGGTCCAGAGAGGGTGGCAGATTGGGGCTGGGCTACGTGTCTGGCACAGTATTCCATCATGAACAGTTACTCATGCTTCTTAGCCTTTTCAAACCTTCAGAAGACAGCTAGCTGACAACTGTCATAGCCTTTTTCTTATTTTTCTTCTCCAGTGGAATAAAAAATATTTTCAATAGCATTAATGTTTTAAAAACTTCTAACAAAATAAAAAACATAATTAAAAGTGGCTACAAACTTGCCTGTTATTATGAGACCCCTAACTCTTACTCCTTAGTGGAAAATTCTGTATTGGACAGGGAAGAAAAATACAATGCAACATAGCTGTAGGATCAGACAGGTTAGGTCCAAGACACTTATTATAAGCCTCATTTACATGCTCGTGCATGTACTCCAAATATTTCTTCTAAATAGCTTGGAAAGAAACTAACATTCAGTCTCCCAACTCCCAGACTGACAACATTCTCTCCATTATATGCTAGTATGCTATGTCCGAGAAATTGAACACAACTAAAAAGACAGACTTAAAATATATAGACTCTAAGAAAACACTAAATAATCTAATTCTGGATTGGTTTATAGATTTGTTTAAAGATTTAGGAGGAAAAGAATATAAGCCCTGGAATATTTAAAGCAACAGTTTTTATTCACTGTGCCATAACATGAACTCATACTACTTCAAAATAGCATTGTTCCTGTTATGAATTTTCCTGTTTTATGATTCATTCATCTGATATTGCCATCCTATTGCAGTGATCACATCACTACTCACTTGGGGTCCTATGACAGGAGAGGTAAAAAAGGAAAGCTGTAGACATAGGTGACCTAAAAGATCATGCTGTCAGTATATGGTTAAAAACTATACTGCTTTTGCTTTGTCTTGAAACAACCTTCTTGGTCAGAGATATGACCAGAGGCTGTGGCCTGCCACGCTAACCTTCAACATGGCAGACAATATTCTTTTGTGAGCTCTTGCACTGGCTATCAAAGGAGTCCTTTGTTTCTGCCCCTCATTTCCACCTCTGTCAGAGCCTTACCTGGGATAGTACGCTGTGTAATTCATGAAGAGCTGAGTGCCTGCTGGGTAGTACGCTGTGGAGGGCTGCAGTGCTCGTGGATTCAAAATCACAGAGGGCTGGTAAATGGCAGCTTCTGTAGGAATAACTGCAGCAGGAGCTGGAAATGTGTAGGAGGGAGGAGACAGGCCTAGATATGCAAAGAGAGATTCTTTGAGACATATTTGTAACAGCTGACATGCACGTGCTAGCACTAAAAACATAGTCACTGTTCCATCTACACATTTTAAAGAAAGAGACCACAGTTCTTTATCCTATCCCAAGCAATTTCCTTTTGATTATACAGTTAATGCATAGAAGTATCTGAATTCCACCCTGTCAACCTAAAAAACAGTTCTTTGCCTGAAATTCGGAAACACCAAAATCAAGTGGATTTTCATGTCTTCTCAACCATTTCACAATATGTAATTTTTTTCCCTCATGTTCCTGAGTGCCAGTTACTACAAACCAACTCTCAGAGGAAAGAAACAAGGAACTGATGTTTAAGTTTCATACTAGAGGCTACTAAATATTTTAAATTTTAAGTTATGCTTCTACTCCCTCTTGCTACCTACCCGTCAGTACAGCATCAAATGAGAAGTGTTATGATAAACCTCTCTTGGCCACTACCACATATTAGGTCAAAGCATAGACTGTGCCAGAAGGAACTGACCTAAAAGAAACAAGCAGATCAATTCTGCATTATTCTCACCTAAAGGCTAGCCACATGATGGGCTTTGAAGCTAATTTATATCTTCAGACCTTTAAAAAGAAAAAAATCCAACCTGGGAAATAGTCCCAAAGGAATTGATGCCTAAGTCTTCCTGGGAATCAACTAATAAAAAGCTGGCTCAGATTAAATTAAAAAATGGGCCCCAACTGCATTGTCTTCTGGTTATCAAACATCTTCTAGGTTTAGAAACAGAAGACCAGTGGCTGGTCACTAGCTTTCACTTGTGGAATGAACACAACTATCCGGGCCATTTATACCCAATAGAAGAGTTAAGTTGAGATGCTGAATGAATATGGGGTCCCTGACTTTAAGCTTCATACCTAGAACCACCACATTTTGCAATCAGCAGAGGCCCAAGAAATAACTTTTTCCCATAAAAATCTCCAAGCTGACTTCAAATTGTCTTTTGTTCTTATGAGTTTCTACATTTCCATGGAGATGAATAAGACAGCAAGCTAAATATGGGCGTATAGAAAAAAGACTAACATATTGATCTCATATTTAACTTGAGTGCCTCTTTCATACTCATCAAAAACTGTGCAAAAGACCAACAATACAAATTGAGGCACCTAAGTCTCACAGAAAGTTATACAGCCTGTGCTCATATTCTGATTTCTTGAATTTTTTTTTAGTAGAAACAGGGTTTCGCCATGTTGGTCAGGCTGGTCTCGAACTCCTGACTTCGGGTGATCTGCCCGCCTTGGCCTCCCAAAGTGCTGGGATTACAGGCGTAAGCCACCGCGCCCGGTTCATATTCTGATTTCAAAACTATCAAGCGGTTCATTACAGGACAGTGCCTCACACCAATAAGACAAACACACATGGCTGGGTGTGGTGGCTCACGCCTGTAATCTCAGCACTTTGGGAGGCCGAAGCGGGCAGATCACAAGGGCAGGAGATCCAGACCATCCTGGCCAACATGGTGAGACCCCATCTCTACTAAAATACAAAAAATTAGCTGGGCATGGTGGCACACTCCTGTAGTCCCAGCTACTCAGGAGGTTGAGGCAGGAGAATCACTTCAACCTGGGAGTCAGAGGTTGCAGCGAGCCAAGACTGAGCCACTGCATGCCAGCCTGGCAGAAAAGCAAGACTCCGTCTCAAAACAAAACAAAACAAAAAAAAACCACACATGCATAAACACACACACATAGTAGGTGTAAGTCTGTTCAGCTTCAAAACAAAGGTAGAAATTTTCGATAACCAAATAGATTGGGCTGCAATGTTTTGGGCATTCCTCAAACAAAAGGATAGCTTTTTTTTTTTTTTTTGAGACTGAGTCTCACTGTCGCCCAGGCTGAAGTATAGTGGCGCAATCTCAGCTCACTGCAACCTCCGCCTCCCGTGATCAAGCAATTCTCCTGCCTCAGTAGCTGGTATCACAGATGTGCGCCACCACTCCCGGCAATTTTTTGTATTTTTAGTAGAGAGGGGGTTTCACCATGTTGGCCACTCCTGACCTTATGTGATCCACCTGCCTCAGCCTCCTAAAGTGCTGGGATTACAGGTGTAAGCCACCATGCCCAGCCTAGGATAGCTAATCTTATATATCTAAAGTAGTGTATATGCACTGACTACAAAAATGAAGTTAACCATAAAACATTCCTTCTTAAGAAAGTAAGTTAACAAACTTTAAGAAGTTGCATAAAAGTTAAATGAAACATAAACTCGTTATGTTGCTCAAGCTGGTCTTGAGCCCCTGGCCTCAAGTGATCCTCCCACCTTGGCCTCCCAAAGTGCTGAGATTACAGGTGTGAATCACTGTACCTGGCTGACACATGGATTTTAAATCTTTTTTATTTGGAGGCTTGTGAGGAAAAATGGGTAAAAATGAAAGTCTTCAGAGGAAAAATCTGTAATGACCAGGAGGAGGGACAAGTGAAAGGATATTCCAAAAGCAGAATTTGGGTCACACATGATGCTTTATCTTACAATGTTTGACAGATTATCACTAAAGGATATCGTAAAAGCTACTGACATTACCAGTGGTTTATATACTGAAGACATACAACTGAGATTACTGTAAGATCTCTTAACCCAATTATAAATTTCCAAAACTTCATACTTATTAATGATCAACTCTAAGATATTCACCAACAGCAAGCAGCAGGTAAATGGAATATTAGCATTTAGAAATTCAAAATGCTAAAAGATAAAAAGGATTAAGCCCCACTGAATGTTCTACAAATAATACTTTACCAAACAAGATCATTAGTATAGGTCCATCTTATTAGAAAGTGAGGTGCCCAAATCCCCCGCTTTATTGGAATCAAGCACATAATCCAGTTTACTTAGTTATCTTTGAACTGTACTGCAAATACTATATTCTTTAAACATACCCAACAGGCCTAAGAAGGTACATCTTATTTAAAGGAAAAATTGTGTAAAAAAGACTCAAATTTTAACATCAGATCCCCATATGTTCCTTATTCACTAACTAGAACTTCGTAGACTACAGGGCTTATTCCCCTCAAATAGGATTCCAGATGGCTTGCACCCAGGTGCCAATGAGCGAGAGCATGGCTTAAAATTAAGCACTGATCCTGTGATCCAATGGAAACTTTGGCTAATTAATCTATGTGGTTTTTTTTGTTTTTGTTTTTTGTTTTTGCTCACTTGCTCATTCCAGATATCCTGGAGAGCAACAGAAATGCTCAAAAATGTTAAAAAAATACTTGATGCTCAAAAAGTTAAATGCAACATGTGCATCAAACTGCCCTTCTTAAAGGTTAATACGTTTTAAAAAATAAAATAAAAAGAATCCAGCCATACTTTTATTTTGCCTTTAAATGCGTACTAAAATTATCTATATAGCCAGGTTGCCTCCCAGAGTCAGTGCTTATCTGGAGCACACTAAGCTTCAGAAATCAAGTGCTTATCACTGGAAAAGCAGGAATATAATTTGAAAGGAGGTATTTGTAGCATCTCTAATTATGGGTGTCCACAACCAAGGTCTTAAATGATTACCAGGTACTACTGATTACAGATGGGAGAGCCTTATATAACCACCTCACCTGCCTCAGAAAGAACCAGGGGCACAGAAAGTTACGAAAGCAGCTTAAGCACCTACCAGCATATAGCGTAGAATAGCGCCAAGACCCAAGAAAAACTTACATGGTAACTTACATGGCGGTGGGGATAAGCCATTTCGATTTAAAGTGCCCCCCATTAACACAAAGTTCATCTCCTCAGCTGAACACTGAAAGACTTCAACATATCTGTCCTTCATGTTTTTTTTATGACACTTCTGTGCAGCCATAAATGCTCTGTCCGCAGACTTCATCTGGATAAAGGCATCTCCTGATGGGCGGCCCTGAGTGTGTGGGGGAAGAATAAAAACAAAAGGAGACTGTCTCCTTCAACAAGGAAATGGTTGCTTACAAAACATGCAAAGTGACAATCACCCATAATACAGATATTTTAGCCACAAAATCCGGGTGATGGTGTGATCTGCTGGAACCTGACTTGCATTTCATCACCTGATCACCAGAATGGCCAACAAAACCTTTAAGAAACAGTTTTGAGAGCTCATAGCTGAAAATGAGCCTTTTTCACTTCTGTTAATTAGTATCAGATTTACAAGGGTTTGAAAGGGTCTCCTTGTGACTGCTGCTTCAAAATATAGGATCGTATACTAGTTTTTTTCTCTTCTGAAAAATTCGATTAAATCTCATTCAATTGAGAAAAGCTAGTAACAGAACCAGCACTGGAGCTTTAGGTACCCTCCTACAGGAAACTGAACCGGTATTCTTTTTTGGCTCTCAGTTCCAGTCCATCACTGACCTGCCATATCCCTTTCAATCTTCCCTCATCCCTGAGACCTAGGTTGGAATGTGGCTTGGGGGCAAGGAATTTGGGAGGTGCAAGGCCCAGTGATGATTTGTGAGAGCTGTATGTATCATCAGCCTTGCTTGGGAGCCCTTCTCTCACTCCTTACAGCTCTACCTTGGTCAAACAGGTATTACTAACAGACATTTTCTATTAGTAATAGCTTGCTAAAACCCCCTATTTCAAACCAAGCCTGTAGATTTGTGTTCCACAGAGGTAGAACGCCTTAGTTTTATTGAGCACGAATGTTTTATGGGGGAGAAAAAGACATGATCAGCTTACAGGACTACTTTCTTATTTTATGGTTTTCTCAATAAGTCTCTTAAGGACTGTGAAATTATTACCATGCAAGTTACCATTAGAGTTACCACACCAGGGAAACTAGCAACAAACCCAGTCCAAGATGGAAACCTAACATCCTCAAGGCACCTAAGAGTTTGTGCATCATCTAAGAACCTTTTCCCAAGTGTAATCACAATAGGTCACATGAGGCAAAGAGAGACAAATACTGTTGTTAATCAAAGAGTAATGGCCTCTGGGTTATTAGAAGTGGTGACTCAATAAGAAACCAAATAATTCCCTGGTGATGCTTAAATGTGGGCAATTTTATTCAAAAGAACTGCTACCAGTGAAGCATGCTGAGAGGGTCAGATAACAAGTTGCATAATTTAATATCAATATTGACTGAAGACTTAGAATGAGCATGTGCTGATGCAGAAAACTGGTATAGAAGGCAAGGGCTCAGGATGGTTTCTGATTCCTTGTATCCAATGGTACAGGCTTTCCAGTGAGACAAGATTACAGTTATGAAAGTGACCAAATCTCCAAGTGAAAAGGTGAGAAATTAGCAATTTAGGGGAAAAAAATTCAGTATTTTCAATATAAGCCTACATTCAACCCTTAATCCTCAGAAAACATTTTCAAAAATTAATACAGCTTTGCATTTAATTAAGAGTCCCAGGCCAGGTGCGGCGGCTTACGCCTGTAATCCCAGCACTTTGGGAGGCCAAGGCGGGTAGATCGCCCGAGGTCAGGAGTTTGAGACCAGCCTGGCCAACATGGTGAAATCCTGTCTCTACTAAAAATACCAAAATTAGCCGGGAATGGTGGTGGGCACCTGTAATCCCAGCTACTCGGGAAGCTGAGGCAGGAGAATTGCTTGAACTCAGGAGGCAGAGATTACAGTGAGCTGAGATTGCTCCACTGCAATCCAGCCTGGACGACAGAGTGAGACTCTGTCTCAAAAAAAAAAAAAAGTTCCAAAGTTTCAACTACAACCACCTGGCTTATGGGTTTGTAGAATTGTATCTTGCTTATGACAGCACAAAATACTGTTAAATTTTCCAGCAAATATAATTTTCTTTAACCAAAAATTAGGTGACAATAAGCTAGGAAATACTTTACATTTGCATATGGAAGAATTCAGTTAGATTTTTATACAGGCTTCTCAGCAACTCATTCATTAATACATTTGAGAGCCTGTTATGATCCACACATACTGTTCTTTCTAGGTGGTATGGATTCAAGTCCTCACTGAGTTTGGTTCCTATTGAATGTAATTTGATGTCTAACATGTATATATTAAATATGAAATAAGCCATTTCTAAATAGTCTATGGATACAAAATATTCTGGAACAGATATGATTATTTGTTAAAATAAGCATCATCCATGATTGCTGTAACACTACAGCAGAGTTGCAGAGTTGAACAGCCAAAATAAGAAAAATTGTGTCAAGACTGATAATATATGTCATGCCTACTTGACGCTATTGATAATGTGATGGATATTTGTGATGAAGAAATCAAAGCTGAATTTGAATTATTATACTAACGACAGCATTATTTTCAGTTCATTCTAAAGACCTCTTGTATTTACAGTTAAGTCTTTCCTTAAAGACTTAGTGTGTAACTGAGGATTACGTACTTTTTAATTAGATGTGAGACTAATTTTATTTATCAAAGACTAATTTCATCTAAATTTATCTCAGACTAATTTTATTTATCAAAGACTAATATCTAATATTAGATATTTCTAATAGATTATCTAATATCTAATATTAGATATTTCTCATATGTAGTGAGAAAAAGCAAATAAGTTTTCCACTAAGTATCTTTCTTACCTGGTGATTCAAAACCATGTGAACCCCATGAGTACGAATATCTGTGGCGAACTCCCCCAGGAAATCCAGGATGTCCTCAATTGTGGCTGCATAGGGAAGACCTCGAAGGCGTATACAGTCTCTAACATTTGTAGGGGGCACAAATTGCTGAGGTAGTACTGGAATAATGGGAGGGGTTGGAAGTGGAATGAGAGGGGCCGAGGAGAATCGATTCAGCACCTGTACTCAAAGCAAAACAGAAGTAATTTAGAGCTGTGCTACTCCCCTGCTTTCTGCAGATCAGCAATGGCATCACTGGGAAGCTCGTTAGAAATGCAGAATCCAGCTCACCCCAGACCTAATAAATATGAATCTTCATCTGAACTGAATCTTCAAGTGATTCAGAAGTACATGCAAGTTTGAGAAGTAATGGAGAAAGGGATTCATGCATTCCAGCAGGGAAAGCATGATACTCATTTTTGTCAAATACACTGTGAGGTGTACACCACACACAACACAAAACACTTAAACAGTTAGTGTCTACCTGTAACAATGTATCACTATCTGTGAGGGATATTATCCCTAAAGCTGCCACTTTTATACAATTCTGAACATATCACTAAATGTGGACTTTTGTAGCAAAAGTAGAAATATATCATTTCACTAAGTACACAGTATTCCCCTCATTACCTTCATACTCCACCTCCAAACCAAAGAAATAGAGAATGACCCAGTAAAAGAATCACAGGCCAAACAATCACTTTGGATTATATTAAAATATAATGCTGAATAATAGCACAAGACAGAATGGGTGGGTATAAAGACCTGAAAAGAATCATTTGTTGACCGTAAAGATGAATAGTAGTTTAGTTTCCCTGTGAATTTGAGACAGTGGTAAGACAAAAGATCTTGAATATCTTCTAGATTCATGGAATTCAGCTATCTTGGAAATGGATGATGATAGGTTAGGCGAATTTTAGACAAAAGACTGCCCTTAGGCAACACTCATATTACAAGGCTCTTGTCCACTTTTGTCTCAGAGCATGCCAACTAGTTCATAATACTAGAAGTCCTTAGGCAAATGCCATCTGTGGCATCTCCAGGTTTTCTGAACAACTTAATCACTCTAGCCTTTAACATCCCATAAATTGACAATATAGAAGAATCAATGAACCCTTCCCCAAAACATGCACTAATTTCCCCACTCACACCCTGCTCAGTTGCTATCTGAGTAAGAGGGGACAAAAATCAAACCACACCACCAGAGAAACGGCATGAAAAAGAGACAAGAAGACTTTAATAAGAAGTTATATAAACAATCCAGACACAGCAAAAACATTAGAAGAACAAGAATAGAAAATTAGTGTAGTAATAGATAAACTCAGGACAGGAAATGGTGAAGCATCTCATAATACCTGACAATTAAGAGGTGCTCAAATATTTACTGAATAAAATGACTAGTAATGAAGAAAAGACAGTGGAAGAACCTATGACTAGTTCAAAACTTATTAAATAAATCAAGAAGGATGGAGAAGTAGAGAAAATGCACACCCAAAAGCAACTCATAGTAGAATCATAGAGAGGCAGCCTACTCTATTTCCAAACCAACAGAGTAGCCCAGGCTCTGCAGTAGCTTATTCTAGGCCATGATTTCATAAGACAAACTCTCTTTCCAAATAAAGATCTGCAACCACATCGAGTTTTTTCTCCTGGTTTGGGAAGAATGTTTGTCATGTTTGAAAACTCAAGCACATTTTAGAGATTCAGCACTTATGACATTTTCAAAAAGGTATAAATTTTTTTTTTTTTTTTTTTTTTGGTAGCGGGAGACAAAGTCTTGCTTGGTCGCCCAGGCTAGAGTGCAGCGTGATCTCGGTTCACTGCAATCTCCACCTCCCGGGTTCAAGCGATTCTCCTGCCTCAGCCTCCCGAGTAGCTGGGACTAAAGGCGCACACTGCCATGACTGCCTAATTTTTTTTTGTATTTTCAGCAGAGATGGAGTTTCACCTTGTTGCCCAAGCTGGTTTTGAACTCCTGAGCTCAGGCAATCCGCTCGCCTTGGACTCCCAAAGTGCTAGGATTACAGGCGTGAGCCACTGCGCCTGGCCAGATTTAAATTTTAAATTGTAAGAATGTAGCTAGTTTAGGGTTCAAGAGCACCAGTACAATGGAACACAAAAATAATTTAGAATTTCAATTATACTTATTTTAAGTACAAAAATAATTTTGGCATTCTAGTAGGTAAAAAGGTTCTTAACTTTGCATAATTATTTAAAATCACAACATATAATGGGATGCAGAAGCTACACAAAACTCTGATGAACTCACAGAAATAATTAAGTAAGTATCCTAAATACTTACAAAGCAGACCTGTGGAATCATATGAATCACTATTCTACTATGGGACACAAATAGAGCAAGTTGGAAAAGCAGTCTATACCATTTATGCTACAAAGGCAAACTGACCCCTGAAGACATGTTCAATTGGTAGCTGGCAAGTCAAGAACAGTCGAAAAGCTTGAGATTCTATAAATGGTTTAATGCCTAGATCTTAGTACATTTTGAGGAAGTGATTGCCTCATTTTGTGCCTCAAAAATGCTGAAAGTTGCCAGGCGTGGTGGCTCATGCCTGTAATTCCAGCACTTTGGGAGCCCGAGGTGGGAGATCATCTGAGGTCAGGAGTTCGAGAACAGCCTGCCGCGAAACCCCATCTCCATTAAAAATTCAAAACTTAGCTGGGTGTGGTGGCAGGCAGCTGTAATGCCAGCTACTCAGAGGCTGAGGCAGGACAATTGCTTCAACTGGGGTAGGCGGAGGTTGCAGTGAGCAGAGATTGCGCCACTGCACTCCAGCCTGGGTGACAGAGCAAGACCCCATCTCAAACACACACACACACACACATGCTGAAAGCTAGTAAAACAGGACAGAGCTCACCAGCAGGGTATGAAACCGATGAAGCCTTTTGGGAAATAACATTTGGCAACACATTAAAAACCTTAAAAGCTCACACTCTATATCCAATGCTACAGAAATCAAATTGATGACAGGTTTTTAAGCATTTTACATAGAAATTTCTTCTGGTAGAAAAAAATCAATCTAAGTGTACACTAGAGGAATTTCTAGATAAAGTATGCACTTCCATGAGATATTTAAAGATGAAACTTTTCAGACATAGGTAAGCTTTCATAGTTTTAAAACAGAATACAAAAATCCAGCTATAGCAGTATCCCATTTCTGTAAAAATACGTAGTATGTGTTGTGTGTGTGTACAGGATAACAGCGGCTATCTCTTGGTTATAGAATCAAGACTATTTTCATGCAGTTACACTTTTAGTATTTTGCCAGTTTTATTTTAACATAATGAGCAATGTAGGACTATTTTCAGAGATAAAGAACAGAAATTAATGCAAAGGTACAACATACTTGTTTTTAAAACCAACCTGCTGAACTTCAGCTGCTGTGCTCCTGAAGAGTTCAATGTATCTTTTACCCAACAAGTCTTTATGCTTCCTCAACGCATTCTGTGCATATTCCTCACAGGCAAAGAGGACAAAAGCGTCCCCTGTTGGCCTACCATCTGGGTAGGTGACAAAGAGGATGCCTTCCTTTCCCCCAGTAATAGGGCAATGCTGTCCAAAGAAGGCCACCACTTCTTCAGCTGTGGCCGTGAAAGGGAGCCCCCGCATGCGGACAATGACTTGATTTTCCTTGGAGAGAAACTGGGCTACCTCATTGGAAGTACCTAGGGAAAACAAATATTAGGAAGCAGGGAGAGAAATAGTTAAGACATCAACTTTACCGATTTTAAAGTGATAAAAGTCCTGCCAATGTCTTGAGTTCATAATGAAGACCCATACTCCTACTGAACGCAAAATAACATCCTAGAAATCAGAATTTTCTAAATTTGAAACTCCTCCCCTTTTTCATAAAACATCCTTCTTAATTTAGGAAGCTGGCAAGACAATTAAATCACGGGCCAATCACTAGTAAGTCATTGTGGTAGTTAAAGGCACAGGTCCTGGAGCCAGAATGCCTGGGTCCAATCTTGGCTTTACTGCTTACTAGGGCATAATCTTAGTCAAGTTCAACTCCGTGCCTTACTTTTCTTGTCTGTAAGATTGCCTATGTCATAAATTATGAAAATTAAGTAGGGTAATAGATATAAAGCACTTTGGGTTAAAAAAATCTTTTCCTGATTACTCTTTTGCTCCCAAGAAAACCATCTGCAAGTAACTCAATTACCTTTTTTTTTTTTAATTAAGAAAGGTTCAAACATTCTTAGTAAAAAGAATAGTATAATGAATATATGGGGTACCTACTTTCAATATTGATCAACATTCTGCCCAACATAAAACATTTTGTACAGTGTTGTCATATAGCAAATACTTAAATGCATATCTTTGAAACTCATACACTAGTAACATTTTCCCTAATAGCACGTTCTTCTTTTTGCTTCTTTTTTGTTTTTTTTTTGAGACACAGTTTCACTCTGTCTCCTAGGCTGGAGTGCAGTGGCACGGTCTCGGCTCACTGCAAACACCGCCGCAGAGATTCAAGTTGATTCTCCTGCCTCGGCCTCCCAGAGTAGCTGGGATTACACACACACACACACACACACACACCCCTCTCCTGGCTAATTTGTGTATTATTAGTAGAGATGGGGTTTCACCATATTGGCCAGGCTGGCCTCGAACTCTTGACCACAAGTGATCCGCCTGCCTTGGCCTTCCAAAGTGCTGGCATTAAAGGCATGAGCCACCAAGCCCAGCCCCTAATAGCAAATTCTTATCGCAGTGCCCATATACAATGAAATCCCAGAAATGATATAAACAATTGACTTTGCCATCTCCAAGTTGCAATGCATCTATCATGAAATGTCAGGATTTAGGTAAAACCACAGCAACCCCAAATATATTTGACCCCTAACAATATCAAACATTGCTTGGGAACTCTGGAAATGCTCCTAAATTTGAAGTCCTGAATTTTGAAGCCTTAGAGTTTATCTAAAGATGAACTGGAGCAAAAATATACCAGCAGATTGTGTTAATAGGATGCTGTTCCGGTAAGTTCTATAGCTGCAAAATTTTCACCCAGGCTCTGTAATGTAGGAATACAAATGTTCTTTTACACAGTGAAAGTCATCTTCATATAATTTGGCAATAGGTGTCAAATGGCTGTTGAAAAGGTCCAAAATTCTTTGATTCAGCTATCCTGCTTTTAGAGATTTATCCCAATGAGTGGCGCATACAGAGATTTTAAAATATTGACAACATATTAAAGTCAAAAGTTGGAAATGAGTTCTAAATGCTCAACAGGGATATTTTATTTATTACAGACAGAATCTCACTATGTTGCTCAGGCCATTCTCAAAATACACCAAGGCTCAAGCAATCCTCCCTGTCTCAGCCTCCCAAGTAGCTGGAATTACAGGCACAAGCCATGTGCCCAGCTCCAACAGAGATGTTTCAAAATATTATGGTACATATAATACTATGTAGCAATTAACATTTAAGAAAATTGAGTAATGTAGGATGATGTTAATATACATTAAAAGGAAATTATAAAACAATATGAATGAGCAACAGAAACTTACAAAGTAGATATATATATAGAAAAAAATCAGACAAAAAGCAGTCAACGTTTTATGCATGTTACTTCCTTTAAAGTTATTAATCACTAAATAACTGGATAAAAACCACATCTGTTCCACCCTGTTTTTAACCATATTACTGTAAATACACATCCAAAAATACTACGAGACCCAAAACTACCATGTTTCTGGTGACTCATGTGTTAAGTTTAGAGAAAAATTAGAAGCACATGTGCAACAATCCCAGGTATTGCAGCGTGGCCGTTTGAAAGCAGTTTTCTGACTCTTTTCAAGAATATCATTTCCTGGCCGGGCACAGGGGCTCAGGCCTGTAATCCCAGCACTTTGGGAGGCTGAGGCAGGAGGATCAATTTGAAGCCAGGGGTTCCAGACCAGCTTGGCCAACATGGTGAAACCCCATCTCTATTAAAAATACAAAAAGTTAGCCAGGCATGGTGGCACACACCTGTAAACCCAGCCACTACGGAGGCGGAGGCACAAGAATTGCTTGAGCCTGGGAGGCAGAGGTCGCAACGAGCTGAGATTGTGCCACCGCACTCCAGTTTGGGTGACAGAGCGAAACTCTGTCTCCAAAAAAACAAAACAAAAAAACCTAGCCTTTCCATATGCATACAACTTCATATCACCTTTTCACCTTTGTATAGTACTATTTTTAATGGCTATTTAACTATAGTAAGTTGGCTCAAGCCTTAGGACAAGTGTTATACATTAAGCTCACTGTTATTATCGGAAGCTTCTACCTCTGGGGAAGAAAATCTATTCCCATGTTCCATTAGAAAATAAAAACCATTCATGACCCTATTCACCTACTCTTGCTAAATTTAAGTATGCAAAATTTTTAGATTCTTATTAACTAAAGCCACATTATGTAAAAGGCACTTACCACCAGCAATTTTAAGGAAATCTTCACCTGTTGCTTTGTAAACCTGAGAAAAGACAGAGAAGTTAGTGTTTCTGAGCCTTCCGTCCTATGTTAATTCTCATTCACGATGTCCAGGGGTTCAGGTTTTGAGGACATACCTCAATATACCGGGTCCCCATGTGATGTTTGTGCCTCTGTAGTGCTAGGTCTCGGTGCTCCTCACTTACAAACCTAACCAGAGCTTCTCCGTTCCTTCGACCCTGAGCATTCAGACAAAGTGCTGCACCTCCCCTTTGAGAATAATAAAACAGACAGCAGGTAGAAAAAAAAATACAGTGAGGAAAAAAAAGATAGAAAATCCATTATCCCTTTGGGATTGTTAAGTAAAATAGATATTTAAGAAAACCAACTTGGCAATATTGAGTCCTTTGAAGAATCTTGCAATATCTTGATCTGAAGACTGCCATGGTAAACCTCGTGCCCTGACTACGGTGTTATCATCAATAAGTTCCATCTTGCTGCTGTGGATGAAGCAAAACTTCAGGTTGCATGATAAATGCTAGCAAGTCAGACACCTATTACCCCCTGCAAGACAACTGCCTAGTTACACAGGATGTATTATTTGGTGTTCAGACAGACTAGCAATACTACTTGATTTTCCTTATAACCTCAAAAATTATGTGGGTACAACTCAAAGTACTGTTTAGGTGGTTCATTATAGAAACATGGCTGCCTGTGCAGGCCCAACACAGCTAGCTCACTCAGCAAACCATCTATCTATCAAAGCTGAGGAAGGCCAGGCGTGGTGGCTTATGTCTGTAATCCCAGCACTTTGGGAGGCTGAGGTAGGTGGATCACCCGAGGTCAGGAGTTTGCGACCAGCCTGGCCAACATGGTAAAACCCCGTCTCTACTAAAATTACAGAAATTAGCCGGGCATGGTGGTGTACGCTTATAATCCCAGTTACTTGGGAGGCCAAGGCAGGAAAATCACTTGAACCTGGGAGGTGGAGGCTGCAGTGAGCTGAGATTGTGCCACTGCACTCCAGCCTGGGCAATAGAGCAAGACTCCCTCTCAAAAAAAAAAAAAAAAAAAAAGCTGAGGAAATGTTTGCTTGGCACCCTCATGTCCTGAAAGTTCCTAGAACCCCAAAAGATAGGTTTGAATTCATTCTCAAATCTAGACAGTATACATGTGGGGTTTAAATCCAGTTTAGCAGCCGAATTTAGGATCAGAATAAAGCTGACAATTAACCCACATGAGGAATGTGTGTGCATGGTAGGAAGTCTGCCATTAAAATATCCCCCAGATCAAACCAGGGAGCCATCCCAGAGAATGTCCATAGAAATGCCTGTGAGTCCCTACACCTTAATGACTCATTTGCAAATCACTTATTATATATTTTGACACCTTTTGATGTCTTATCCCTCCCACGTTCACATTTTCAGTTCTCCTAGGACATTTTCTTAATAAGTCACTTTCTCCACAACTAATCGGCCTCAAAGTCTCTCTCTATGGGCAAAGCTGTCAGAAGTTTCTATTCACTTCAGAGACCAAGCACACACTCAATTCATTAGAGTGATTTACAAACAGGTCTACCTGCGATCACTAACAGACACCACTTCATACTTCTCCCCAGCTATTTCCTTGGCTTTAAAGTAGAAACCTATATAGCCAGGCACAATGGCTCACACCTGTAATCCCAGCACTTTGGGATGTCAAGGTGGGTAGATCACATGAGGCCAGGAGTTTGAGACCAGCCTGGTCAACACGGCAAAACCCCATCTCTACTAAAAATACAAAACTTAGCCAGGCATGATGGTACACATCTGTAATCCCAGCTACTGGGAAGGCTGAGGCACAAGAATCGCTTGAACCCGGGAGGCGGAGGTTGCAGTGAGCAGAGATCACACCGCGATATTCCAGCTGGGCAACAGAGCAAGTGTCTCAAAACTAAAATAAATAAATAAATAAATGTACTTATAGAATGTACGTAAAATTTTATCTCAGTAAAAATTGTGAACTCTATTAAAGCCTACAATTTCTCCTTTGGAAATTTTCTAAATGAAAGATCGGATAGTTTGGGGAGACCAAAATAACAATCACAGATATGAGCATATAATATACTTAAGGTCAGGGTGACTAAAGATGCCAGTAAGTCATTACATTTTATTCCCAATATCAAGCTCTAAGTAATACAACCTTCTTTTACAGATGACCGAACAGCAAGAAAGGATAGCTAAAAGGATTAGTAAAGTTTCTCAAATATAACAAGAATTAAGAGGCACAATATGAACAAAAACAAGTTAAAGGCCGGGCGAGGTGGCTCACGCCTGTAATCCCAGCACTTTGGGAGGCGAGGCGGGCAGATCACGAGGTCAGGAGATTGAGACCATCCTGGCTAATATGGTGAAACCCCATCTCTACTAAAACTACAAAAAAATTAGCCAGGTATGGTAGCGGGAGCCTGTAGTCCCAGCTACTCGGGAGGCTGAGGCAGGAGAATGGCATGAACCCGGGAGGCGGAGCTTGCAGTGAGCTGAGATCGTGCCACTGCACTCCAGCCTGGGCGACAGAGCAAGACTCTGTCTCAAAAACAAACAAACAGACAAAAAAAAAAAACAAGTTAAAAAGCTCAAATAAATAGTACTCAAGCACTTACCAAGTTCCACTTTCAAACTTGTAATTCACTCTCTCTGGATCTGAAAACCTGTGATCTAAAAATGAGAACATAAAAGTCATCATTTTAGTGATTAGGGAGACAAAGTTGTAGGAGGAAATTTGAGTATAGGTAAGAGAAAAATAGTATGAATTCTGGGACTGCACTACTATAAAAGCAATACTTACTATAAGGCTCTGAAATCATTGCTAAAATTATATTCCCCATATCTTCAACTTGAGAGGCTCCATATCGAGAGACTGAACTACTCTTCTCAAAATTTAAATCTGTGAGATTAAATTAAGGAAACACTTTGGAAAGGTAAAATCAGGTTACTTCTAAATCAAAATTAAACCTATACCAAGCCAAGAGGAAGAAGATGGATCTAGCTGAGCTTCCTTTAGAAATCTCAGAATGGCTGCCTCCCATCAGTCAGTCATTCAACTTAGGCTCCAACTGCCCTTTTGGGTAAAAGAGGCAAATCAATCCAGTGCTGAGATATTACCAGGAATACAATTTTTATTTACCCAGTTGTAGCAAATGAATACTGAGCATTTTCATTTCATTTTGAATCAAAGTATGCAACAAAGTTAATTAGAATATTTCATCCTCTGAATCTTTACAGCACACACAAGGCAATGACCATGCCGACTTCATGATATGGTGACATTATCAACACTACAAGGTATTAAATGACTTTTTTTTTGGCCTAATGTTTGAAATGGACACCACAGATTATTGATGTGACATTACTTCCACAATGCCACTTTTGCTTAGAAATTCTATTATAGAACACTTTTGGAGCCCTGTAGGATAGTCCACCTTTGATGACAGCAGATGCTAGTTCTAGACAGCAAATTTTGGAAACAATTCAAGCACTCAGAGCCAACACAGGCCAATGTGCTTCTTTACCAAAAGTATACTCTTTGAAACACATAGCTCAAACTTGGTTTGAGGGTGAAACCAGGAATTCACATGAAGTTTTGCGAATCTCTCTAAAATAAGGATGTATTTCCATCAAATAGAGGCATACCTTGAAAATATGGTAGGCTTGGTTCTACACCACTGCATTAAAGTGAATATCACAATAAAGCAAGTCACACAATTTTTTGTGTTTCCCACTACATATAAAAGTTATGTTTTGACTGTTCTAAGTATTCAATAGCATTATGTCTTTTAAAAAATGTACATGCCTTAATTCAAAAATGCTTTGTTGCAGATGGGCACAGTGACTCACACCTGTAATCCCAGCACTTTGGGATGCCGAGGCGGGAGGATCTCTTGAGACCAGGAGTTCGAGACCAAGCCTGGCCAATATGGTGAAACCCCATCTCTACTAAAAATACCAAAATTAACCAGGCGTGGTGGTGCATGCCTGTAATCTCAGCTACTCAGGAGGCTGAGGCAAGAGAATCGCTTGAACCCGGGAGGTGGAGGTTGTAGTGAGCTGAGAACACCCCACTGCACTCCAGCCTGGGCGAGAGGTAGACTCTGTCTCCAAAAATAAAAAACAACAGAACAACTTTGTTGCTAAAACATGTTAATCATCTGAGCCCTCAGTGAGTCAATCTTTTTGTTGGTGGAGGATCTTACCTAGATGTTGATGGCTACTCATAGATCAGGGTGATGGTTGCTAAACGTTGGGATGGCTGTGGCAATTTCTGAAAATAAGACAACAATGAAGTTTGCCACATCAATTGCCTCTTCCTTTCATCAAAGATTCGGTAGCCTGTGATGCTGTTTGAGGGCACAGGCAGAGTTGACTTACTGTAATTCTTGGTTTTCTTTGGTTTTTTGTTTGTTTGTTTGTTTTGGTTTTTTTTTTTTTTTTTTTTTTTTTTTTTTTTTTGAGATAGTCTCGCTCTGTTGCCCAGGCTGGAATGCAGTGGCACAACCTCAGCTCACTGCAACCTCTACCTCAGCCTCCCGAGCAGGTGGAATTACAGGCACGCGCCACCATACCCAGCTAATTTTTGTATTTTTATAGAGATGGGGTTTCACCATGTTGGCCAGGCTGGTCTCGAACTCCTGACCTCAGCTGATCCACCTGCCTCAGTATCCTAAAGTGCTGGGATTATAGGCGTGAGCCACTGCACCCGACCTCATTTTTGTATTTTTTAGTAGAGATGGGGTTTCACCATGTTGGCCAGGCTGGTCTTGAACTCCTGGCCTCAAATGATCTACCTACCTTGGCCTGCCCAAGGGCTGGGATTACAGCCATGAGTCACCACCCCGGCCAATTTAGCATAATTCTTCAGAACGCTAGGATTTTTAGGACGGTTAATGACCATTAGCTTTAACTTAAAAGTCACCAGCTACATTAGCCTATAACAAGAGAATCAGCTTTTGAAGCAAAGCATTGATTTATCCTCTCTAGCTATGTTAGTCCAGGATGGCATCATCTTCTAAGAGAAGGCTGTTTCTAGTACATTGAAAATCTGCTTAGTGTAGCTGCCTTCATCAGTTAGCTAAATCTTCTGGGTAACTCACTGCAACTTCTCCATAAGCACTTTCTGCTTCACTTTGAATTATGTCGTAGAGCTGACTTATTTCCTTGAATCTCATAAACCAATCTCTGCTAGCTTTTCTTCTGCAGCTTCCTCACTTCTCTCAGCCTTCATAGAATTGAAGAGACTTAAGGCCTTGCTCCAGATTGCGCTTTGGCTTAAGGAAATGTGGTAGCTAGTTTGATCTATCCAAACCACTCACACTCTCTCCATATCATAGCAATAAGTATATTCCATTCAAATTACACTTTCCTCTCTTCTATAAATGACAAGTGGTACCCAGCCTTCTCATCTTTGCTCAGGTAACACCCTATAATGTTTTGCTTTCTTATCATTCATATATTCACTGGAATATTCAAGAAATTTTCCTTTACGCAACTTGACAAATCATTTGGTGCATAAGGCCTGGCTTTTGGCCTCCCTTAGCTTTTGACATGCCTTCCTGACTAAGCTTAATCATGTCTAGCTTTTGATTTAAAGTGAGAGATATGAAACTCTTACTTTCATTTGAAAGGTTAGATGCTGTTGTAGGGTTAATTGGCTTAATTTCAATATTGTGTTTCAGGGAATAGGGAGTCCCAAGGAGAGGGAGAGAGATGGGGTAACCACCAGTTGGAGCAGCCGAACACACACAACACTGACCAATTAAGTTTGCCACCTAATATGGCCCTGCTTTATGGTGCCCCAAAACAATTACACCAGTAACAAAGATCACTGATTACAGATCGCCACAACAGAATAATGAAAAAGTTTGAAAGGTGACAGAGAGACAAGTGAGCAAATGTTGTTGGAAAAATGGTGTCAATAGACTTGCTGAATGCAGAGTTGCTACAAACCTTCCATTTTCTTTTTTTTTAAACAAAACAAAACTGGCCAGACACGGTGGCTCACGCCTGTAATCCCGGCACTTTGGGAGGCCGAGGTGGGAGGATCATTTGAACCCAGGAATTCAAGACCAGCCTGAGATAGCGAGTCCCCATCTCTACAAAATAACAAATTGGCCTGTCATTGCATCTACTCAGGAGGCTGAGGTGGGAGGATTGCTTGAGCCTGGGAGGTCGAAAAGTACACCACTGCACTCCAGCCTGGGTGACAGAGCAAGATGCTGTCTCAAAAATAAAAGATGAAAATTTAAAAAAAGACAAAATACAACAACTGTGAATCACAATAAAGTGAAGCACACTAAAACAAGGTGCACCTGGGTGAGCAGACCCTAATGTGCTCCGCAAAACCTAACATTGACTTTCTAGCCCCTTATAGCAAACGGTTATTGACCTGTGACCTATTACAGAAGAATGGAGATTGCAAAAAGATGGCCAGATACAAAGGATGCCACAGGAATGTTTGTCAATCAATCTCAAAAAAGAATATGGGGAAAATTTAGACTTGAAAGGAGTATAAAAGTATATTCCATTCAAATTAAGCTTTCCTCTCATCTATTAATGGCAGGATTACCTAGCCTTCTCAACAGTGCTCAGGTACCACCCTATAAGGAAAGCACTCTTATCTTAATCCCCTAACCAAATTAGGCCACAAATGACCCACCAAAACTGTTCTAGGCCACAATCGTCAATTTAAGAGTTCATTAGATACTATTCCTAAAATGTTATGCTATTTTCTCGACTGTTGTAACATTTCCTGGGTGTAGGCCCCCATCTTCCTCTGATCTCTTTCCACCTATCAACATCTCTATAGCTTCCAAGGATCTGCTGACTTAAATGGTGGCATTTACTGGACACCATTTTGTGCCAACCACTCCCTATTTCTTCCAATTCTCATAATAACCCTGACAGATAAATTACAGCAAAACCAAACAGTTGTAGAACTAAGATTTAGTGAGGCTAGGCATGGTGGCTCACGCCTGTAATCCCAGCACTTTGGGAGGCCGAGGTGGGTGGATCACTTGGAGGTCAGGAGTTCGAGATCAGCCTAGCCAACATGGTGAACTCCTGTCTCGACTAAAAATACAAAAATTAGCCGGATGTGGTGGCGGACGCCTATAATCCCAGCTACTCAGGAGGCTGAGGCACAAAAATCGCTTGAACCCTGGAGGCAGAGGTTGCAGTGAACCGAGATCATGGCCGCTGCACTCCAGCCCGGGTAACAGAGCAAGACTCCATCGCAAACAAACCACTGGGATTGAGTGATGTTCAGTAGTTCACCCAGTCACCTGGCTGATGGGTAATGGAGGTGGGATTACACGAAAGCTATGATTTGACTATTGAGCAATAGTGTGAGAGAAGTTTTATAAATTCATAGATAAAAGCCAACTGAAGAAGACAGAGATCAAAAGTAAAAATGTAAAGCATTCCTGCCTGGTTAGAAATAGACTTGTAGCTGAAGAATCATTTTAATGAATTCTACTTTTTAACTCAGAAAATGTTCTTGACATTTGGCTACTACCTTGGTGCCACATAACACGTCCCAACATGTCTCCCTTTGAGCCATCGCACACCAGGATCAGCGTCACACCAGGATGAGTGGTGCTGAGCTGTGTAACAACTTGTAAAAGTCACCCAACCTCCTGAATGCCCAAGCCATCTCCTTACACACACACACACACACACACACACACACACGCACACAGCCTCAATAGGCCAGTTTCTTCAATCTATGATCCTTAGCATCACTGAAAACGAGTAACAGAGAGGAATGAGAAAAAAAGTTTTAGTAGCAATTCTTTCCCTTATCAATTTATAAGTATATATTGGATTACTTGCTGCACGTCTGATCTTGAGGAAAGGAAAGATGAGTCTGTGCCTCCTAATTTATAGCTCCTCATGCAACTTACTCATTCTGCCCTCAAGGCAGTCACAACAGTACAAACAGGCTTAGCCAGCTTCACAAATGAGAAATGCCTCAAGGAAATGAGGAAGGGTACAGGCAGAGGCAGTGGGAACAAAACTCATCATTTCAGGCTGCAACTGAGCAAGTAAAACTTTATATGCATGTTAGAGGAGTCTAGAGAGACTTGGTCTATATATTAACAGGAGGGACACTTTCCTTATGACCACCACTGGTGAAACAGGCTTGAGGATTTAATCCACACTTACATTAGCTGAGGATATAATTCAGAGAGAAATTTTATGGTTTATCAATATTAGCTTATCTACTTTAAAAAGTTATCCTTCCCAATTACCTAAAAATGGTCACATCTGGTTTCAGAACATCCAATTTTTACTTGTAAATATCTTTTTAAACTAAGTTTTTAATAAGGTAATACATTAACTCAGACAAGTTTAAACTATTTTATAATTACTCCAATTTGAAGTGTCATCTGAAAGCCATTTTTCCTTGCCATAAGAAAAATGTCACAAGACATTAAATCCATTCCTTTTGTTTACTTTCATTTATTGTATAGTAACACAATTTCATGCTGCCAGACTTATAATACCTATGCTAATGAACAAAGGAGTAGCTGATAAAATACAGCAAGAAAAAAAGAGAAAAGTTTATTAGTCTTCTAACTAAAAACTGAATTTTCTAAAATCATGTGATAGAGATGTTACTCTTAAAAGAGTTACCTTTATGGGCCGGGCGTGGTGGCTCACGCCTGTAATCTCAGCACTTTGAGAGGCCAAGGTGGGCGGATCACAAGGTCAGGAGATCGAGACCATCCTGGCTAACATGGTGAAACCCCCGTCTCTACTAAAAAAATACAAAAAATTAGCCGGGCGTGGTGGCACGCGCCTGTAGTCCCAGCTACTCGGGAGGCTGAGGCAGGAGAATGGCTTGAACCCGGGAAGCGGAGCTTGCAGTGAGCCGGGATCGCGCCACTGTACTCCAGCCTGGGCGACAGACGATGACTCCGTCTCAAAAAAATTTTTTTTTTTTTTTTTTTTTTGAGACTAGGGTCCTGCTATGTAGCCTAGGCTGGAGTGTGGTGGCTATTCATAGGTGCGATCCCGCTGCTGATCAGCACAAGAGCATGAGTTTTAACCTGCTCTGTTTCTGGGACAGTTCACCCCACCTTAGGCAACCCTCCACTCCACTCCCGGAGGTCGCCATATTGATGATGAACCTACTGTGGATACTGGATGGGCATACCGCACTGCAGCCCAGAACTCCTGGGATTCAAGCGACCCTCCAGCTTCAGCCTCTGGAGTAGCTGGCATTACAAGAGTGTGCCACCAAACCTAGCTGTCTGCCTAATTTATTTTTTCGAGACAGGGTCTCACTGTTGCCCAAGCTGGAGTGAAGTGGCGTGATCTCGGCTTACTGCAACCTCCGCTTCCCGGGTTCAAATGATTGTCCAACCTCGACCTCCCAAGTAGCTGGTATTACAGACGAATGCCACTATGCCTGGCTAATTTTTGTATTTTTTGTAGAGACAGGGTTTCACCAGATGGTCAGGCTGGTCTCAAACTCCTGAGCTCAAGTGATCTGCCCACCTGAGCCTCCCAAAATGCTGGGATTACAGGCCTGAGCCACCGTGCCCAGTTTGGTTGCATAATTTTAAATGTAAGTTCTACATATAACCTGATATATTTTAAAGTGAGCTTTGAAGGAAACAAAAAATGTCACCATAAGAAAATACAATGAGAAGTCAAGACAACCAAAACTATTTAACACCAGCAATAAAATGCGGGGGAAAAACATCTAAAACCTAGGTATGAGCTGAGAGGAGTGAAAAATATAAAAATAAAATTAAAAAAAAAAAAAAGATGCCAAGTGTGGTGGCTCACCCCTGTAATCCCAGCATTTAGGGAGGCCGAGGCGGGTGGATCACTTGACACCAGGAGTTTGAGACCAGCCTGGCCAACATGGTGAAACTAAAAGTAAAATACAAAAATTAACCAGGTGTGGTGATGCACATCTGTAATTCCAGCAGTTACTTGGGAGGCTGAGGTATGAGAATCCTTTGAACCCAGGAGGCAGAGGTCACAATGAGCTGAGATCGCACCACTGCACCCCAGCCTGGGTGAGACGCCGTATCAAAAAAAACTAAACAAAACAAAACAAAACACACACACACACACACACACAAAAAACCCAAAAAACCTCACAGACACAGATACACACATACTTAAAACCCTAGTTTTGTCTTCTCCCAACCAGCTTTCTCAGGTTGAATACAACCTTAGTTTTAAACCTTACTTCTCAGCTTACTTTTTTTTTCTTTTTTTTTTTTTGAGGCAGGATCTTCAGGCTTGAATGCAGTGGCGTGATTACAGCTCACTATAGCTTTGACATCCTGGGCTCAAGTGATCCTCCCACCTCAGCCTCCCAAGTAGCATGGACCACAGGAGTGTGCTTATTTTTAAGCACCTAGCTAATTTTTAGATTTATTTTTGTAGAGACAGGGTCTCCCTGTGTTGCTTAGGCTGGTCCTGAACTTCTGGGCTCCAGTGATCCTCTTGCCTTAGCTTCCCAAAGTGGTGAGATTACAGGCATGAGCCACTGCACCCAGCCTCTTACTCTTAGAGGGTAAAAAATAAGATCCCTACCTAACAAATATTACTTCTTGGAGATATTATTGTACTGAAGAGTCACACAGAAGGATTTCCAACAAACCTAGTAAGTCAATTATACCCTAGAAGAAAGAAGATGGAGATAGGGTCTCATTCAACAAAGGAGATGAAAAACTTTACTTTGGAAAAAGACATTTATATGGGATAAACAAATTAGGAAAAGGAGACTCCTTGGTAACAAGTCTTCCGAAGCTTTCTAAAACAAAAGGATTAACTTGGAATTTCCAAACTCCCATTTTAAAAGTAAAATATTTTATTTTTTTGAGATGGAGTCTCACTCTGTCGCCCAGGCTAGGGTAAAATGGTGCGATCTTGACTCACCGCAACCTCCGCCACCCAGGTTCAAGCGATTCTCATGCCTCAGCCTCCTGAGTAGCTGAGATTACAGGTACCCACCACCACACCCAGATAATTTTGTATTTTTAGTAGAGACGGGGTTCCGCCATGTTGGCCAGGCTGTTCTCAAACTCCTGACCTCACATTATCCACCTGCCTCCGCCTCCCAAAGTGCTGGGATTACAGGCGTGAGCCACTGTACCAGGCCAAAATATTTTATAATTAAAACAAACCACACGTAATTAACATCAGTCTGAGGGCTGGCAAGGAATATGCAGTATTTCTAGTCACTTCACTCACTGCAGATGACAGGCCAGTGTCCATGCCGATTTGGCTCATGTTATGCCAATGTGATGCCAGAGATAATTCCTTCCACCTCCAGCTAACAAGGTCAACTACTGGTCCAGCTTAACTGTATACTTGATTTTATATATATATATATCCCTTTCATACACAGAAAAGTACCAATGAGGATTCGGTGTTTGCCTTCACCTTTACAGCAGGGCAGGGAAGGTTTGTACAATTATAAAGCCCCAGCTCATTTCACTGTTAGAATAAACTCCTAACCTTCAAGTTTACCTGTACTAACATGTAGCTGATGCTTTGAAAGGTCTACCTCTAGTCTCACATAAGGTTAAAAAAATTTATATGTGTAAAATGGTTTACATAAGGTTTTAAAACAATAAGGAAGTCCTTTTCAAAGTCCCTTGCCAGCCGTTTTTCCTGTTCTGAGACACCCGACAACCTGGTGGGGTCCACAGGATCAGTCAACATTGCAGAGTGTGGGGCAGGCCAACCACCAGCTAAGTGGCAGCACACATTATCTCATTAATCCTTATACAATAGTCTTACCCATTTTAAGATGGGGAATCTGAGGCTGAAGATTCAAATAAGTTGCCCCCAGTGTTCATGTTCTTAACTACTATCCTATTATCCCCAATTGTAACCTACAGGAAAAACAGGCTAATGTCACACACTGATAATAGAGCACACATATGTGCACACACACCCAAATCCTTTACACCCCCCAAGAAGTGATGAAATATACACACCCTAATAACCTTTGAATGGGTAGGCATGAGCAGTTTAGTGATTTTTTTTTCCTGATAATGGAAATTTGCCCTAGTGAAATGGCAATCATAATCACGTCAAACAGCACATACAAATGCAATACCCTATCATGGAATACATATTTTACAAAATTAACTTTACTGCTTTAATGGTTTGATATGTGCCGAGGAAACACAGGATATTAACTTAAAAGGGAGATAACCTATTTGAGGTAGCCAACGTGCCTCAAATGATTGTATACATTCTAAAATATTTCACCTTGTATATTGTTGGATGCTAGAGCATATAACTTAAAGACAAAGCCTCTAAGCCTCAGTTTCCCTAGTGATAAAATGGGGATGAAAGCTCCCCACTGAGCCGTTCATGGCATATGTAGTAAGAAGTCAATTGATAGTTTTTTTCACCTGTCCTCCTTACCACACTTTCAGAAAAATAAGATCTTAATAAATGCTTGGCAAAGGGAAGTAAACACAATATTAGAAGTCTTGATTAGTGAGAATAAGTAAGTTCCTGACAAACAGCTAACAAAAAGCAGGTTAAGAAATCAGGAAGTAATTCCATCCAACATTAGTGGGGAAAAAAATGGGTTTAAAAGAAAATGAATAAAAGAAGCCATTTACACAAATGTCCTTTCAGCAGGAGATAACTAGTATTAATTTCCGTAAGGGATCTAAGATAATTTCAAAAAAAAAAACCACAGAAGCCCCCGTCCCTATCATCTCACACCCTCACCATCCTCACTTGATTAAGTAAAAAGCTTACAACATGCAATCCAGTTTACCTGCTAGATGAGGTCTTCTCAGCTAGCATCACATAATTCAAAAGCAGACAACAATGCAACTGGAATAACTCAAAGGCCTAACACCAACATCAGAAATGTGTTGAGGGCCAGGCGCAGTGGCTCACGCCTGTAATCCCAGCACTTTGAGAAGCCGAGGAGGGCAGATCACCTGAGGTCAGGAGTTCCAGACCAGCCTCGCCAACATGGTGAAACCCCGTACCTACTAAAAATACAAAAATTAGCTGGGCATGGTGGCACATGCCTGTAATCTCACCTACTTGGGAGGCTGAGACAGGAGAATTGCTTGAACCCAGAAGGTGAAGGTTGCAGTGAACCAAGATTGCGCACTGCACTCCAGCATGGGCAAGACAGAAACTCTGTCAAAAAAAAAAAAAAAAAAAAAAAGGCGTTTTAGAACAAATACAAAGACAAAAGAGGGAAAGAAGTGCCAAAAATAAGAACCAGAACTACACTCAATTCCTGGTCAAGTGTGGCGGCTCACGCCTATAAAACCAGAACTTTGGGAGGCTGAGGTGGGTGGATAACCTGAGGTCAGGAGTTCAAGACCAGCCTGTTTAATATGGTTAAATACTACTAAAAATACAAAAATCAGCCAGGCGAGGTGGAGGGCTCCTATAGTCCCAGCTACCTGGGAGGCTGAGGCAGGAAAATCGCTTGATTCTGGGAGGTGGAAGTTGCAGTGAGCCAAGATTGCATCATTGCACTCCAGCCTGGGCAACAGAGTAAGACTCCATCTCAAAAAAAAGAAAAAAAAATTCCTAAACCCTTTTGTCATCAAAATGGTCCTACTTTTTCATTTACATAGCACTTCACTTACAAAGCTTTCATTTTGGAATACTCAAGATTAAAGTTTGGCTCGGTAGACACAAGTAACTCCCAGGAAAGCAAAGCTGCTGTGTAGCAGGGTATACTCAGCTCAGACTTTGTGACTCTACAACTTGGGTTTTAGTGTCCTCTTCCATTAGAAATACACAACATTGGCCTGGCACAGTGGTGCAGGCCTGCAGTCCCAACTACTTGCCTAGGGTGCAGGAGTTTGAGGCCACAGTGAGCCACGATAGCATTACAGCACCAATGCACTCCAGCCTGAGCAAAAGTGAGACTTTGCCCAAAAAAAAAAAAAAAAAAAAAAGACCACACTATAATTTTCTTTCATCTTCCATAAATGCCTTGAAATACTGCATATTATTCAAGTTCCACATACTGTTTTTTTAAATGCAAGGCCTCATTGCTTTCCCTCACCATTCCCCCTGGAAAAAAGTCTGCCTTAAACACAAAAATTGCAGTGAGATATAAAAAATGACACTCTTCCCATATGATCCAGCAGTCACACTCCTTGGTACTTACCAAAATAAATAAAAAACCTAGGCTAGGAGTGGTGGCTCACGCCTATAATCTCAGCACTTTAAGAGGCCAAGGCGGGCGGATCACGAGGTCAGGAGATCGAGACCATCCTGGCTAACATGGTGAAACTCCGTCTCTACTAAAAATACAAAAAATTAGCCATGGGCGGGCGCCTGTAGTCCCAGCTACTCGGGAGGCTGAGGCAGGAGAATGGTGTGAACCTGGAGGCGGTGCTTGCAGTTAGCCAAGATCGCGCCCCTGCACTCCAGCCTGGGCAATACAGCAAGACTCCGTCTCAAAAAAAAATAAAAATGATTTAAAAAACCTATGTCCATATGAAAACCTGCACGTGATGTTTATAACAGCACTATTCATATTTGCAAGAACTTGAGAGCAACCAAGATGTCCTTCAGTAGGCGAATAAACAAACCATGTTTGGATAAACAAACCGTGTATGGATAAACAAACCATACATCCAAACAATGGAATTCAGTGCTAAAAAGGAACTATAAAGCCACAAAAAGACATGGAGTAATCTTAAATGCATATTACCGGCTAAAAAGACAATCTGAAAAGATTACATACTACATGATTCCAACTATATGACCTCCTGGAAAAGCCAAGACTACAGAGACAGTAAAGATTGGTGGTTGTCAGGGGTTAAGGGAGAGGGAGGAATGATTGGCCAAAGTACAGAGGATTCTTAAGGCAATAAAACTATTCTATTAGGGATAAAAGACTTTAAGGTAGCAGGTAAAAAAAAACAAAACAAACAAAAAAATTCTATACTATGCTATTGCTACAATGTATTTTGATACCACAATGGTAGATAGATGTCATTATACGTTTGTCAAAATCCATAGAATGTACAAGACCAAAAGTAAACCCCAATGTAAACTATGAACTTTGGGTAATATTGACATGTCAATGTAGGCTCATCAGGTGTAACAAATGTACCACTCTGGTACAGCACTTTCACAGTGAGGGGGCACGGGGAGAGAAGGAGAGGAAGGGAAGGAGCAGGGAGAGGAAGAGGGAGAGAATAACAAGGGTTCTATAGGAACAATATACTTTCTGCTCAATGGTGCAGCATGTAGACAGTGGGGGAGTGAGTGAGAGTGTGTATGTATGTGTGTAACAAGGGTTATATAGGAACACTATACTTTCTGCCCAATTTTGCTCTAAACCTAAAACTGGTCTAAAAAATAAAGTTGGGGTCGGGTGCAGTGGCTCACGCCTGTAATCCCAGCACTTTGGGAGGCCGAGATGGGTGGATAACTTGAGCTCAAGAGTTGGAGACCAGCCTGGCCAACATGGTGAAACCCCATCTCTACTAATAATACAAAAATTAGCCAGGCATAGTGGCGGGCGCCTGTAATACCAGCTACCTGGGCGGCTGAGGCAGGAGAATCGCTTGAACCCAGGAGGCGAAGGTTGCAGTGAGCCGAGATCACGCCATTTCACTCCAGCCTGGGTAACAGAGGGAGGCTCTGTCTCAAAGAAAGAAATAATAATAATAATAAAAAGTTGAGATTACAGGTATAGCAGATGCACCTGTAATCCAAACTTCTCAAGAGGCTGAGGCAGAATTGCTTGAGTTCAGGAGTCTGAGACCAGGCTGGGTAACATAGCACGACTACATCTCAAAAAAATAAAGCCTACTAATTAAAAAATAAATGAGGCCAGGATATGGTGGCAAACACCTATAATCCCTGCATTTTGGGAGGCCAAGACAGGAGGATGGCTTGAGGCCAGGAGTTTGAGAGAAGCCAGGGCAAAATATGAGGACCCATCTCCAAAATTTGAAAAATAATTTTTTTTTAAATCTCACTCTGTCACCTGGGCTGGAGTATAATGGTATGATCTCGGCTCACTGCCTCTTGGGTTCAAGTGATTCTTCTGCCTCAGCCTACTGAGTAGCTGGGATTACAGATGTGCGTCATCATGCCCGGCTAATTTTTCTATTTTTAGCAGAGACGGGGTTTCGCCATGTTGGCAAGGCTGATCTTGAACTCTTGAACTCAAGTGATCCACCTGCCTCGGCCTCCCAAAGTGCTGGGATTACAGGCATGAGCCACCGTGCCCAGCCAAAAATGGATTTTTGTTAAAAATTTTAAATTTACTTGGATGTAAAGTTAATAAAGCATGTTTCCAAAACACTTAGAATATTGTGACATCACTGAGGGTCCAAATTGATATTTCTGTATCCTCGTTTAAAACAACCAATCAAGGATACAAGTATTTCACGACAAAAAAAATTAAACACTTCAACCTGCACATTCTCTTATCTGCTCTTCTCCAGGTGTTTACAGAAGCCCCTTTCCCTCCCCCACTGGTTTACCAGGTGAAACAGGTAATTCCTCAAGAGCAAATGACCTTCTGTCCACTTGGCAAAACCATCAAGAATGTTTAATGACTACAGATCTCCCAATTCAGCGTCACTTCCATATTGGCAAGGAAAATGTTTAATGCTCTGAAAGAACGGAACAATTCAATTCAGACATTGTAGAAATACTTTGCATAGATGAGCACAAGTTGATATTCAGATTGGACATAATTGCTTTTAGCCTCAGAAATTGGTCTGGTAGCCTAGACAGGGAAATAAGTATTCCTCTGAATAGTAGTCATAAAATAACTCACCACAGCAGCAATATAACATAAAAACCGTTGCTAAGAAAGCTTATTAGCATTTCTAACTTGTTAAATGAGAAAGACATGTACAAGTACGATATTAAATATTAAAACATTTAAGAATAAAATCCACTTTTTTTGAGACAGGGTCTTGCTCTGTTACCCAGGCTGGAGTGTAGTGGCACAATCATAGCTCACTGCAGCCTCGACTTCCTGGGCTCAAGCAATCCTTGCACCTCAGCCTCCTAAGTAGCTAGGACTACAGTCTCATGCAACCACGTCCAGCTAATTTTTTTATTTTTTGTTGACATGGGGTTTCTCTATATTGCCCTGGCACAACAATCCTTAATATACTTCCTTTCCTACTGAAGTTATCTTTTTCGTTTGTTAAAATATTTTTATTTCATTTTACTTTTTGTAGAGATGGGTTCTCGCAATAATGCCCAGGCTGGTGTCAGCACTCCTGGTCTCAACCCATCCTCCCTCCTCAGCCTCCCAAAGTGCTGGTATTACAGACATAAGCCACCATGTCCAGCCAGAAGTTGTCTTTTTCTAAATTAAGATAGCTTATTAGATTTTTCCTCCACTGCCTTCTAATTTTTCAGTAGGTACTCTGGTTCTCTATTTTGTGGAAGACCAACTATCCACATTAAAAAGTTTAATATATACTTAAGAACTGAATTGTGTCCTCCACCTCCCCCAAAGTCCTATGTTGAAGCCCAACCCCCAATGTAACTATCTGGAGAGAGGGTCTTTAGAAGTTAAGTTTAAATGATGGTCAAAGGGTGGAGGGGTCTAATTAGATAGGGCAGTGACCTTGTAAGAAGATAACTCCTCCTGCTATCCCCCCAGAAAAGGTGGCTGGCTACCTGCAAGCCAGGAAGAGCCATCACCAGAACCTGACCATGCTGACACCCTGATCTTGGACATCCCAGCCTCCAGAACTGTGAGAAAGTAAATTTCTTTTGTTTAAGCTCCGTGGTCTATGGTATTTGTTATGGAAGCTTGAGCTGTCTAATACAACATTCAACCCAACAGAAAAACCAGTGAGAATTTTTCTGGTGTACTAACCTTTTTAACAAAATTCTTGTAAGAATTCTGTCACAATGAGCTTATTCCACCCTCTTCCCAACACTACTGGTCATGCTAAGCCAAAATTCCAGCTAACTGACTCCAAGAAGAAGGCAAATGAAAACGGATTTGACCTGTTTACAAGTAGTTATGAAATATATGCGAGCAAACTTCAATCAGGAAAAAAAATCGTGAAGTAACACAAAAACCAGGTTTTAATTCCTGAAAATGAATGAGAAAGTTTGGGAATAAGCATCTACAACCCACAAGCTACTGAAGTTAACTTAGTTTTAACTTCATGATGACTCTCACAGTGGCTTTTGGGAAGCCACTCAAGGTAACAATTACTCAACTTTACATCTGATATATTAGCACACGCCTGCTTATTAGTTAGCATTTGAAAGACTTAATGAATGTAAGATGACGGGTCATTCATGATTATAGATTTGTAATTATAAAATTACTTTTACAATATATCATGCATCAAATATATTATTTTGGTAACTAAAGAATGTGGGGGACAATCCAGACCCCATTTTATCATCTCCAAAGATGGCTTATTATAATCAGCATAATCTTGTATTTGAAAAACTCAGGGGAGGCTAAAAGCGGGACCAGTGAACAGCAGTTTGTAAAGGGGATATATCCACCAATTAAAAAAATTATTGACTTCATTCCAAAGAAGCCAAAATAAACCCTAAAATCACAGTAACCAAGAAAAAGTGGCCTTAGAATCTGCACTAAAGTCTTCATGTTCTTTCTGCAGCACACACACACATTACACAGCTGAAACTGAATCCTATTCTACATGTGATCACCCCACCAAAAAATCCATCTCCAAATCCGTCCAACCATCTGATTAATTATAACCACTTTCAAAGATGTCTATAATTGTATTTTAGTTTCTCAGCAGAGTAAACAAATTTTGGATAGGCCAATTTTATCCATATGCTGACAAAATTTAAAATGTTTGAAAGTTTCTTGAATTACCTTTTCTGGAACTATCTTTTCAAATGATTCTTGAGTAATGATTTAAAGGATACACTCTGTCATTGTGGCAACGTCCAGTTTGTCAATATCAGGTGAACCAGGGCAACATTTCTTGAATTCTTTTCGAAGATCAAAAAAGGAATAGAAGCATTCAGGTAATAGTACATTCTGAGGAAGGACAAGGTAGATAATGTTAACTAGGTGAATTTGGTTCAATGTTTCTCTCACAATTAGGAACCTAAAAATTGAATATAAGCATATTTTACAATGGAAAAATTTAAAATTTAATGTAAAAGTAGATTTATTTTTAAAAGTTGGTCCTGTTTCTATATTAGATCCTATGTACAAGTCTCATGAAAAAAATTCCTCTTGTTTTAAGGCAGTGGATTACAATGTTTGTGCTCCAGTATGCATTCCATTCAAAACAATTCTGAAGCTGTGATACATTTGTGCTGTTATACTTCATATTTTCTGGCTGTTAATACTAATTTTTTCCAGCCATAACCATTTTAGAACATCTGTATTTTCAGGCAGCACTAGCAGCCCTTTCAGTTTTCACACAGGTGTGGGATTAGATTGTAAAACTGGGTAGTTCTAACTATTGGGTTCTAATAATGCATATTTTCAGTAATAAGTGAGATTAGAATAGTAAATTCCTGATTAACTGAAAAGGCTTATTTCTGTGCCAAATAATAGTCCCACATTAGTCTTCTTGAACAATATTGTAGCTGTACCTGTGAACTCAAATTAGACTTCAAACACAAACAAAAACAAACTCACAAATCCCAAAGGCAAAGGAGAAATGGTTACCTGCTGTTCTTAGCTATTAGGACCACTACCGTGGCTACGAAGCAAAGCTCAACTGTCTGGACAAATATTACACTATTGTTTCCTTTGTTTTTTTTTTTCTTAACAAAATAACCCAGCATTGGATAACTTTTAAAGATAATCCTTTTAAAAACTCAATTCAGATTTTTCTTAAAATTTTGAAATTGTGTTAATTTGCTGGGAATTTTTACCCATTTTTACATTAGAACATCAAGGAAATTAAGACTTTTAAATGTTAAATGTTCATGCAAAATATCTCCTCTCCAAGTTCCTTCTATTGGATTTTACTAGATGTGACCTGTTCATGCTGTATTTTGAAATCAGTATTGCTGCATCATGGTCACAGCTTTTAAAAAAGTTAACAACCAAAAGAACCATGAAACCTCCCTATTACCTACAAAAATGCTCATTTAAAAGCTATTTGTAAGGACAATAACTCACATGTTCAACAATAATCAGTTTAAATTGTTGTGTCCATTTAAAATACTGAGTATTTTATTTAGTGGTTATAACAATGTTGATGTTCTATTAAATAATGTAGGCTAAAAGGCTTACGCCGTATGAATGCTCTTTGTAAATAATGCTTGTCTACAGAAATCTAGAAGAATATATCCAAATACATTCATGTTAGAGAAAAACATTTTAATATATTGAGTGGCAGGATTATTTCATGTTTTGCCATTTTCCCTTTTCTTTAACGAATATACAGAATTACTTTCACTATAACATTAATTGTTTTAGTTTCTGTATTTAATCAAAATTCTAATAGCTGTGGCTGAGGAAAAAGTCTTAATTTTTCTCCAGATGTTTTCCTACACCCAAAGCACTCCACCTAAATAATGAAAACAGCTATTTTCCTCTGGCCCAACAGGGAAAAGATTAAGTCTTGTCCTTCCGTCATGTGAGTTTGGGAGTAAAAAAGTAATCCTTACATATTACTATTTCTGGTAAGGATGTAGCGACTAGTCTAGCATTTAATTTTTTAAAAAAATTCTTCCCCTTTTGTCAAATAATTACTAAGACTCGTATAAAAGGAATGATTTTCTGAAGACATAACAACTTGAGTTACTCCTTCAAACTTTTTGAATTGTCATAATATATTAAACGAAATAAAATCTGCACTTACTTGCCTGGGTCGTCATTTGTCAGTCTACATCTTTCATTGCAAGCCTTGCCTTATACAGGTACCTAAATATATTCTACTTCCATCTTTTCAAGCTCGGTGCCTGCCTACCACAATAAAAAGTTACAGCTCAAACTAATTTAAGTTGTTAAGAGACAGTGTATTAACAATGATTGGCTACACTGGGTGGGTTGTCTCTGCTGTTCCTTTTCCCACAGCCCCTCAGTATTTATCCCAGGGAGAGAAATCACATTTTACCTATAGTAAGACTGTATTTCTCTCACTCTGTAATCCTCTCTCTGTCAGAAAAATGAGCAAAGGTAAAAGATGAGGCTGACCCTTTTGTTTTGATGCAAGAATGTTTTGAACATTGACTTAAAATCAGACAAAGTGAAGAGTGCTACGATTGTGGTTTCACTAGATATAAGGTTATCTTATTTAAGTAGCCTTTTTAATGAAATGATTAGAAATACAACTTTAAATGTTTAATTCTTTTTTCCTTCCTTTCTAGGATATAGCATTTCCAACACAAATGAGGATATTATGACATACTAAAGAATAGTTCTTTCCTCTCTTTGTAGTTATTTTAAATGTCAAAAATTCACACTCTGTATTAGCTTCGGAAAAGGGAAGTGTCATGCATCTTGAAAATTGGACGTAAACAAAGAGACTATTTTAAGTCACCAAAGAGTATCTTTGTATATACATAACACCAAATTTACCATTTTAATAATTTTTAAGAGTATGGTTCAGTAAAACATTAAGTACATTAACATATTTTGCAACCATAAACACCATCCATTTCCAGAGCTTTTTCATCTTCCCAAACTGAAATTCTGTACTCATTAAATAACTCCCTATATGCATCTTTTTAAGAACAGAGAAACTTGAATAAACCAAAAATTTTTAAAAACCTCCAGTCACCCCAAAGCTCCAACCATTTTTTTCCCAGAAGCCAGCACTCTTACCTTCTTGGAAGCCTCAGGATGCAGGATTTGCCTGACATGAAGCTGCCCATCAGTACAGAGACAGAAGGAAGTCCCTACTCCAATATTCAGTTCATTGCTCACTGACTGGTTAAACTGCAAGAACAAGATACACATAGGGATGCAACTGATGCACGATTTACAAACTCTGCAAAGTAGCTCCCCTTGGTGATAGCCAGAGAAAACCGCAATAAGGGCCCTGATGGGTGACACCGGTGCTGGGGCAACCTTGGACAGACTCCTTTCCCACGAACCGTCTAGCTTCCTCGAGGTAGGGAAGCTTTCCAATCAATCCGCAGTTCGCGCCCAGGAGAAACTTGTCAATGCATTCTCCCTTCTGTTTTTACAAAAAAAATTCATTCAAGACTTAAGTCAGATGTCTCATTTCATCAGCAGGTTGCCTGCAGATTACATCATTCCCTAGTGTTACTTTTTATATGTTTGGATGTGCCAGGCTTAAGAAAGATGCCAGCTTCTAATAAACAAATACGGGTATTGGGTATACAGATCTGGAAAGTCTTGGATGAATACACCCCAGGAAGGATAGCTTTCTCCTATAACTCGAAGCTCGTGTGCTAGGGCAGAGGTCGTGAGAACGCAGAGCATTCATCTGTGCACAGGTGTTTAGCGCCCCGCCCTACCCGATCCGGCACCCGTCAGCACCCCGGAACAGCCGGTTTTTAGGTCACCTCAGTCCTAATAAGGGGATTCCATCAGTTCCGCAGTGACACAACGGGCAGCCTTGCACGTTCGGACCTGAAAAACCTCCCTGGCAGTGGGACCAAGGCCACTAAAGAAATAATGACGGACCGAGCCTTTCGTTGGGAGTTCAGAAGCCTGAAACCAGGCAGGCACCTTCAGGTTCCAACCCACAGTGCTACTTCTTGCACACCCGCCGGGCCCACCTGCACGTCTACGCCACAGCGCCCCCTGCCCGAAGGCTGTGGGCCCAAACCCCGCAGGGGAGCGGCGCGTCTGGGGTCTGGACCTGGAGATGGGGGCGCTAGGATTCAAACTCCGCACGTCAATCAATTGGCAAAATGGAGCTGACTCTCCGGCTCCAGTAACTACTCAGGAAGCAACTCGAAAACTAGTGAATGTCGGTCCCAAACCCTGGGGGCTGGGAGATGAAGAGAAGCAGCGACCCCCGCCCAAACGGTGCGCCCCGGCCCTCAGGCTGGGCTCCCACCCACGCGGCCGGGCAGGCGTCTCGCCACCCTGCTCCGGGAACACGCGTGGGCCGCCCTGAGAGGGCGTAGGGTGCGGTGGGGTTGGGCCCAGGCTGGGGTGGGTGGCGTGACCCGGGGTTGTCACCTGTCGGAGGGCTTGGTCCAGCTGCGACGCCGAGGACAGGCTTTCGACGTCTATTTTAGTTTCTTCTTTGCAGTCCTCCGTCAGTTCCAACTGATCCGGTCTAACTAGCACTTCGTGCAACTGTCCCACCTCCGAAGGTAGAGAAGCACGGGTCAGTTTCCCCCAATTTCGGAGCCTCTTTCTGCACCCTCCTCCCTCGCTCCCCTGCTGGGGCGGCCCGCGCCTCTCTTGGGGTCCGGACGCAGAATCAAAGCTCTCGACTCGCCATCGGTTCCGGTGCGTTCCTGCCCCCCGCCCCACCCCCCACCCGATAGGTCGGAAAAGCCCTGGAAGTGGACCCCGGGGCCTCCGAGACCCCACCTCGTCTCGGCGGAGCGTCCCCCGACGGGCAAAGAACCCGGCTCGGTAGCGCCGGCCTCTCCACCTGAGCTAAGTTGCGGAGGACTGAAATGGCTCCAAGGCAGTTGGCCAATAAGTTTGGTTTTACTCTAGCTTCCCTAGGCCTCGGGTCCAGACTCACAAGTGGGCAAACAAGAGCACTTATTTACTTACCTCCACCCCCCTCCCCGCCCAAACCTCTACCACAAACTTCTTGCCCCATTCCTTGCATTTAGACGAAAATGTGGAGAAATACCTTCTTGTTGGCCAGATCCACGACTTTCCAGAACAGCAGGATCAACTCCTTCTCATCCGAGCCTAGCTTGGCCCCGGTGGCCCCAGCAGTGATCCCAAAAAGCACCACCAAGTAATCCGGAGAGGCCGTCATGACGATAGGTGGGGAGGGGGAGAGGGGGGGTCGGGAGGCGGTAAGGTGGTGTGGAAGTGAGAACGAAAAAACCTGTGCTAAACCCTCTTCTAAGAGAAAAAGAAAGAGCGCCCACCCCCCTTCCTTGCTACTGCTAGTGCAAAAGGCGGTAACCAACCACCCAAGCCCACACCTGGTCGGTGCTCCACGCCCAGGGCAGGAAGGGGGGTGGGAAGGAGGGCGCAGGAGGCCTGCCCTTTTTGTATTCAGTTGCCCGGGCGTCTATGCAAAAAGCCTGGAGCAAGGCTGCCCCCCCCGGGAGGCACGCAATGGCTGAAAGCTTTTCTGTTTTGGGATGTGGCTTTACCTGCCCGCCCCTTCCCCCTCCCCCACGTGGTGCAGGTAAGAGACACCTGGCGGCGCCGGCCCATTGGCTCCTTCAAACCACGACGTGGCAGCGGTGGGGGAGGAGGCCGCTTCGGGAGGGGGAGGAAGGGGCGGGAGACAATGGCTGGATGAATGGAGAGGCGAGGGCAGGGGAGGAGGAGGGGGAGACGTGAGGGGCAGGGAAGAGGCGGTTGACACCCAGAGGGTAGACGAGGCCAGACGGGGAAAGGGCTCAGAGAGGTAAAGGGCTCGGAGTCGCTGGGGGGAGGGGTTCCCACTGGAGGTAACTGAGAGGTGCAGGGGGGCTCGGAGAATACCGGCTGCAGGGAACGAAGCCGAAGGTTCTGAACGGTCAAGCGAAAAGGCCAGGTGCAGGGAGGCGAAAGGAGGCCAGAGGTGAGGCCCGGGGCGCGGAGCTGCCCAGGGCGCGGCGCAGGCGGAGGACGAACTGCTGAGGGAGGGACCTGCCAACCGCAGCCAGGAGGTGGCGGGGGCAACTGCAGATCCCCGGAAAAGCAGCTCCTGAGCCAACACAACTTTCAGTGCAAACAGCAGGAGAAATCCTGCGAGCCCCCCCTTCTCCGGGCCGGAGCCCGGGTGCACGCTCGTCCCAAACCCGCCGCGCTGCCCACCTTCCGGAGAGGAACCCCGCGCGCGGCAGAGCCGGACGCCAGGGGCTGGACGCCCAACCACCTAGTCACTCCCCAGGACGCAGTTATCGCGCGCAAAGCAGCTGGGGGACCCCGCAAGGAAACTCAGGCACAATGGAGCCCGCTTCTTTTTCTGTCAACTCTGAATGCTATGTCTGGTTTGGTCCTGGCTGCTAGTTCGAAGCTGGAACATCCTCCAGAGCTGGGGCCCATTTCCTTTTATTTGCCTTGGGCCCCAAATGAAAAGCATCTATCCGCATGCCTAATAAAAATTTTCTTAAATCGGGCCACGCAGGCTTTTTCCCAGGTTCTGCGCCCTGACCCCATTCCCTCTGCTCATGCTTTTGGCATTGTATTGGAGTGTGTTGACTTGACCAAGCTCCCAAACAACCTCCCTGCTCCACCTCAGCTTGGTCTGCCCAGAGGCTCGTACCCCAACCATCACCCCCCAGCCACCAGATCGGTGGCAGTATGTTGTTGGGTCTTGTTGACATTTTAGAGAGAAAAGCGCCAGAGGTGAAGTTTTCTCGGGTTTTATATCTCAAAGCGATTTGTTCTTGGGAACAGAATTCTGTCTGAAGTATTAATAATTCGGCTCTAGGTGTCCAGCCCCGTTCATATTCATGATGTGAAACGGGCAACCATGCACCTATCCCTGCAGAACCCACTCCGGGTACAAATCCGGTAACCTTTCAAGACGCGTGTCAAGGGAAGCTGGAGACCTGGCTTTCCCAGTGGGGGTTCAGCTCCCGGGAGGGGGGAGAGGAGCCCGAGGCCCGCGCCGTCTCGTTTCCTGGTAGGAGAAGGTGCAGGCGGAGGCGGGGCCTCCCGTGATACAGGTGGCAGCTCTCGTCCCCTGAGAGCGGGCGAAGGCCAGGGTCCCACACTCGCAGCGCTGCGACGGCGCTCGGGACCTCCCTCGTCCACTGCTTGAGTTCCAGAGGTGGGTGCTTCCCTGTCCTGAACTTCAGAGTGCGGAGTCATAAATGGGTTCCGGCTGGCTTACTGCAGTAGCCTCGCTCCTCCCCAGCCCCGGTAACTCCGAGCTACCCGTCCAGGCCCTCGGGCGTCGCGGGGGCAGGGACTGGGCGCGGAACGAGGCAGGGAGGGACCTGGAAAAACCACCCAGATTGCATTGCAGTGGGCGAGGCCGCCTGGAGGAGCCGGTTCCCCCTAACCACCTCCCCGTGGGGCTCTCGGTGCGCGGTTCCCAGGTGCTCAGCTCTGCTGGGCCCAGGAGGTGCCGCCTCACAGGGACGCGGAACCCCGTGCGTGGCCCCCGCCGGGTGGAACAGATAGCGCGGGGCGGTCCGGAGGCTCGTCGCCAAGCAGGTGACTCTTGCTGAAAAAGTGGTTGGAACACTTGAGGAAACCCGGCCCCGCCTGTTCTTTCTAGGTCTTTGGAGTTTGGATTAATCATTTGTGTAGCCCGTTTGGATAAACCGAAGACTTTATTAAATCAGCGCGTTTAACAGGAATTCCGCAGTAGTATCCACATTAGAATCTTGAGTCTTGGAGTTGAACATATTCACACAGACTTGCCTTCTTCCTGTTTAGTTTATGCCTTGTGTTCCGTTATTGGAACGCTAAGCTTGTGGGAGTTGTTTACATCCTACTGCTCAAGGTCATCGCTAAGGTGTGATTTTTCACAAAAAGAATTTGCAACCTCCGGCATGAATGACTTAAGGGAAGTCTAATCCCGGTTTCTGATTTTTTTTTTTTTTTTAATTTAAAAGTTAATCTTTCTGGGCCGGGCGCGGTGGCTCACGCCTGTAATCCCAGCACTTTGGGAGGCCGAGGCGGATCACGAGGTCAGGAGTTCGAGACCAGCCTGACCAACATGGTGAAACCCCGTCTCTACTAAAAACACAAAAATTAGCCGGGCGGGGTGGCGCGCACCTGTAATCCCAGCTGCTCGGGAGGCTGAGGCAGGAGAATCGCTTGAACCTGGGAGGCGGGGGGTTGCAGTGAGCCGAGATCTGGCCATTGCACTCCAGCGTGGGCAACAGAGTGAGACTCCATCTCAAAAAAAAAGGTTAATCTTTCCAACTAGATTTTCAAGGATGAGGATTTTGTTGTTGTTGTTGTTGTTGTTCTCAAATGTATTCCCAGGGCTTGGAACAGAGCCTGACATATACTAGGCACTCAACAAATATTTGTTGAATGATTGTAATGAGTAACACCCATTTTTGCAGATCTTTGTCTTCTGAGCCTAGGGCATAGGTCATCACTGCAGGGGTGAGATTGTCAAAATGGGAGTCTACAGGTAATTTAAGACTTAAATGTTTAAAGAGTATGTGCTCATTCTTCAACAAACTTACTTTTGTTAAATTAAAATGGTAAAATGTGGTGGAGGGGTTGGAATATATGTAATTCAAGACAGTTCTGAATACAAAAATGTTTTACTGTCTATCACCACCATCTATAAATCTAATTCACTAAGGATAATCTGTGTAAGGTGGCTGGAAAGAACCTTGAGGAGAGAGGCTTATTTAAGTATTGGCTCAGGACCACACCTAAAATTCTCAAAACGTTGAGATTCTGTTGTTTTGTTTTTAAGCGCCAGAGACCCAAGTTGAGGAACAGCCTATAAAATAACTGGCCTGTACTCTTACATACATGAAAGCCATCAAAGACAAAGACTGAAGAAGAACTTTTGCAGATTAAAGGACTTTAAGAGACATGATCCTGAACCAGAAAAAGTAAAAAATAAAAAAATAAAAAGATCTGTAGATTAGATAATAGTTTTATATCCATGTTAATTTCCCATTTGTTGTAATATTACTGTGGTTGGGCAAGAGAGTGTCTTTGTTGGTGGAAGTATCTACTGAAGTATTTAGGGGTAAAGAGGAATCATGTCTGTAACTTATGCTCAAAAGGTTCAGACAAAATATATGTAAAGGGAATGATAAAGCAAACGCAATAAAATGTTAACATTGGGGAATCTGTATAAGGGAATTATTAACTTTTCTGTAAGTCTAAAATTATTTCAAATTAAAAATAATTTTTTTAAGCCTCAGAGGACATTTTGCTGCCACCGCCTTGCTGGTGGTTGACAAGGCTCTGTGTCATGACTTTTTTTTCTGCTAATCTAACTACTTGTACTGTAAAATAAACCCATTTTCTTTGTTTTTTCCTTAGTGAATGAAAGAGGGTGAAAGAAAAGGTCACCATTTTCTGTATAGTAATCCGTTCATATACTTTAAGGTCGTTCTTAACTCACCTTTCCTAGACTAAATAACTGCAAACTCTTTAAAGTTTTCATTGTGAATCTTACTTTCCTGCTCTTTAATTATCTTCATTACCCTCCTTTGACCCTTTTTCTCATCACTTTTAGAGAGCAGCTCTTGAACTGGACAGAATACAAATGTGTCTGCTGGGGCTTCACTGTTGACACAGTGGTACCTATATGTCATAATCTTTTTTTATTTTTTTGAGATTCAATTATTTTTATTCCAGAGATATAAGTAAAAATGTAAGGCCGGGCATGGTGGCTCACACCTGTAATCCCAGCACTTTGGGAGGCCAAGGCGGGCAGATCACCTGAGGTCAAGAGTTTGAGACCAGCCTGGCCAACATGGTGAAACCTCGTCTCTACTAAAAATACAAAAAAAATCAGCTGGGCATGGTGGTGCACTCCTGTAGTCCCAGCTACTCGGGGAGGCTGAGGCAGGAGAATCACTTGAACCCAGGAAGCAGAGGTTGCAGTGAGCCAAGATTGTGCCACTGCACTCCAGCCTGGGCAACAAAGGGAGACTCCATCTCCAAAAAAAAAAAGGTAGGCCGGGTGTGGTGGCTCACGCCTGTAATCCCAACACTTTGGGAGGCCAAGGTGGTTGGATCACGAGGTCAAGAGATCGAAACCATCCTGGCCAACGTGGTGAAACCCCGTCTCTACTAAAAACACAAAAAATAGCCGGGCATGGTGGCGCACACCTGTAGTCCCAGCTACTCGGGTGGCTGAGGCAGGAAAATTGCTTGAATCCGGGAGGCAGAGGTTGCAGTGAGCCAAGATGGCGCCACTGCACTCCAGCCTGGCGACAGGCGGAGACTCCATCTCAAAAAAAGAAAAAAAAAGTGAACAGATATATTGACATAAAATTCATAAAACATATGGGTATATTAAAAACTGGAAACTCAGGTTGCCTTTGAGGATAAGAACTGAGGGCCTATGTGTCAAGAATACTTTGCAGTTAGGCCGTGCGCGGTGGCTCACGCCTGTAATCCCAGCACTTGGGGACTCTGAGGCAGGCGGATCACGAGGTCAGATTGAGACCATCCTGGCTAACACAGTGAAACCCCATCTCTACTAAAAATACAAAAAATTAGCCGGGTGTGGTGGTGGGCACCTGTAGTCCCAGCTACTCCCGCGGCTGAGGTAGGAGAATGGCATGAACCTGGGAGGCGGAGCTTGCAGTGAGCCAAGACCGCACCACTGCACTCCAGCCTGGGCAACGGAGCAAGACTCCGTCTCAAAAAAAAAAAAAAAAAAAAAAAAAAAAAGAATACTTTGCATAGTTTATAGTTTATACTATTGTGGTATTTGAATTTTTTTCCTTGTACATGTATAACTTTTTAAAAAGAATGAGAAATGCCGTATAAGTGCAACTATTTTTACTATAAATCTTTATTTCCATAAAATTATAAGTTAAGTGTGTGGTCAATAGCTCCTATTATATAGCTATGATATCTTTTGAATTTGTTTACCTGGTAACACTAGCTCATGTCTGTAAATCCTCTGGAACTCCCAAAATGATTTTACATACATCACCTAATTTGTAAGATTACATTAGCTTTTCTGGTTTTCTTGTCTTACTATGTGATTATCATATTGAACTGCAGTGTTTTTTTTTTCCCATCATGTCAACACACACAAAATAGGAAACCAGTAGTTGTAATTTTCTTCAGCAGTTCTTAATGGAATTTATTTAATAGTTTAGCACTTTTCTTTCTTAAGTATTGGACCAAGCTGTAATGGAATTATAAGACTCATGCTTTCAAAACAGAGCCTTCTGTTACTCATGTGTTTATCCTGATGGCCATATGACCACGCAAAGCTCCATCACGATATATGTCATAATCTTATTACTTGCAGTGCAGTTCCCCTTTTAAGACTACGTAACAGCACTACATTTACTGACTCAAGGTTCATTTGAGATCTCTAGATCTTTCTTTCTTTTTTTTTTTTTTTTTGAGACAGAGTTTCATTCTTGTTGCCCAGGCTGGAGTGCAATGGCACAATCACGGCTCACCACAACCTCCGCCTCCCGGATTCAAGCGATTCTCCTGCCTCAGCCCCCCAGTAGCTGGGATTACAGGCATGCGCCACCATGGCCCGCTAATTTTGTATTTTTAGTAGAGACGGAGTTTCTCTGTGTTGGTCAGGCTGGTCTCGAACTCCCAACCTCAGGTGATCCGCCTGCCTTGGCCTCCCAAAGTGCTGGGATTACAGGCGTGAGCCACCGCGCTCAGCCCTCTAGATCTTTGTTAGTGTTTTAATTGCACATACTTAGTTATTCTCTTGTACTTATAAGAAAATCTAAGCTGGGCGTGGTGGCTCACGCCTGTAATCCTAGCACTTTGGGACACTGAGGTGGGCAGATCACTTGAGTTCAGGAGTTGGAGACCAGCCTGGCCAACATGGTGAAACCCCGTCTTTACTAAAACACAAAAATTAGACGGGCATGGTTGCAGACACCTGTAATTCCAGCTACTCAGGAGGCTGAGGCATGAGAATCACTTGAACCTGGGAGGCAGAGGTTGCAGCGAGTTGAGATGGGGCCACTGCACTCCAGCCTGGGCAACAGAGCAAGACTTCATCTCAAAAAACAAAACAAAATCTTCTACAGTGAATCAAAGTATGAAAATATTCTCAAATTATATAGCGGCAATGCTTGCACAAATCTTTTTATGTACTAAAAACCACTGAATTATATACTTTAAAAGGGTGAATATTATGGTATGTGAGAATTATATTTCAATTTTTAAAAAAGCAAATCAAAGTAGAAACCTGTGTTCTGAGGCTACCAAAAGCCACTGATACTCTTAGTTATTCATACTAGATGCATTTGTAAAAGACACCACATTTTATACTCCCTGGACATGTCTAGCCTCTGAAGTGGAGAGGCAAGGAGAAGTGATGATCAAGATAAATATATAAATTATAATTATCCATTACTCTGTGCATTACACATTTAAAGAAATTACTGGCCTGAACCTTTATTATAGCGATTATTACAGATCATGAGGAAAAGTATGGGTTTAATAGTTGGCTCTGCCATTTGCTACCTTGTGGCCTTGGGCATGTTCCTTAACCTCACAAGAACTCAGTTTTACCTGTAAAAATGGGGACTTTGATGATGTACACTTCATAGGTTTTAAGGAGAGAGATTTTTGCGTACAAAAGCTTCCTAAGGAAAACAAACCTGAGAACCAGGAAGGTTACTACTGAAGAGGAATCTCCAAGTGAGGGGGGTTCTTTCCAGACAACCACAAAGGCTGATGATTCTCTGGCCTTAGCGTAGACAAAAGACACCATTGAGGCATTTGAGCAAGACTTTACTGACTGCTATGTCATAGGAAAATACACAGAAAAATACAGATAGGGAAATGCGCCATTAATCTGCACAGCATGGCTTATAAGATCCCCCTGATCCTTGGGGATCACAAAACTGATCCCATTTAACTGGGCATCCAGGTAAAAAGAGATGCCACCAAGAGAATTCCTCCCTCCTTACTGCTGGCCTTTTGCCATCAAGGTATCAATTACCCCTGTCCCTGAGCCCCTTGCCCAGGAGTAAGTCCCTGTCTCTTCCAAAGCCCAAAGAGAGGAAAGCACAGCAGCACGCCTTATCTTTTAAGTCAAGGTGGGGTTGACAAGGGTGAATGTTTAAAGAAGGAAAGGAAGTTTTGTTTCTCTTCTTTCCTAAGGCCCTATGCATCCCTGTAGCCTGCCTACTCACCTATCCATTTGGCTGATAAAGGGCCAATTTTATTATTCTGGCAAAATGTAACCTAAAAACCAGGAAATAGTTGTCGCCCTGTTTTATGTCTGTTTGAAGTGTGTGAAATGGCCAGGTGTGGTGGCTCATGCCTGTAATCTCAGCACTTTGGGAGGCCAAGGCGGGCGGATCACCTGAGGTCAGTTCAAGACCAGCCTGGCCAACATGGTGAAACCCCGTCTCTACTAAAAATACAAAAATTAGCTGGGTGTGGTGCACGCCTGTAGTCCCAGCTACTCAGGAGGCTGAGGCAGGAGAATGGCGTGAACCCAGGAGGTGGAGCTTGCAGTGAGCCGAGATTGTGCCACTGCACTCCAGTCTGGGCGACAGAGCGAGACTCCATCTCAAAAAAAAAAAAAAAAAAAAAAAAGAAGTTGAATCTCTTCCTCACACCACACAGAAAAACGAATTTAAAATAAATGTCCATTACACACCAGACTATTGATAAAATAAAAATAAAAAATAAATAAAATGATGGACCAAAATGTAAGAGTTAAATCTATAAAATGGGAAAAATGGAGTACATCTTCATGATTTTGTATTAGGCAATGGCTTCTTAAATATGACTCCAGAAGAACAAGCAACAAAAGAAAAAAAGGATGAATTGAAATTCATCAAAATTAAAAGCTTTAGTACATCAAAGGACATGATCAGGAAAATGAAAAGACACCCCACAGAATGGGAGAAAATATTTGTAAATCATATATCCGATAAGGGTCTAGTATCCAGAATATACAGATTTTTTCTTTTTCTTTTTTTTTTTTTTTTTGAGATGGAGTTTCCCTCTTGTTGCCAGGCTGGAATGCAATGGCACGATCTCAGCTCACCGCAACCTCCACCTCCTGGGTTCAAGCGATTCTCCTGCCTCAGCCTCCCGAGTAGGTGGAATTACAGATATGTGCCACCATGCCTGGTTAATTTTGTATTTTTAGTAGAGATGGTGTTTCTCCATGTTGGTCAGGCTGGTCTCGAACTCCCGACCTCAGGTTATCCACCCACCTTGGCCTCCCAAAGTGCTGAGATTACAGGCATGAGCCACCACGCCTGGGCCAAAAAAAATTTATAACTAAAAAATGAAAGTTCTACTTGCTGTAGCTCTTGGGGGAAAAGAAAAACAAAAGACAAATCACCCAGTCAAAAAATGGGCAAAATATTTGAATGGACATTTCTTTAAGAAATGTACACCAGTCACAGTGGCTCACACCTATAATCCCAGCACTTTGGGAGGCCGAGGTGGGTAGCTTACTTGAGTCCAGGAGTTTGGACCAGCCTGGGCAACATGGCGAAACCCATCTCTACAAAAATTAGTGAGTGTGGTGGTGCTCAGCTGTGGTCCCAGCTACTCAGGCGGCTGAGGTGGGAGGATGGCTTCAGGAGGTCGAGGCTGCAGTAGGCTGAGATGGCCCCACTGCACTCCAGCCAGGGCAACAGTGTGAGACCCTGTCTCAAACAAACATATATATATATACACACATACACAAATGGATAAGTACATGAAAAAATGTCCACTAGGAAATACCATTTTTATCTACACTAAACTGGCTAAAAATAAAAAGGCAGACCCAAGTGTTGACAATATATGGAGAAATTGGAACCCTGATTCATTGTTGGGGGGATTGTAAAATGGTACAGTCACTTTGGGAATAGCCTGACAGTTCCTCAAAAGGTTAAACAAAGAATTACAATATGGCTCAGCAATTCCAGTCCTAGTATATACCCAAGAAATGTGAAGCCATATGTCCATGGAAAACCTTATACACAAATGTTCACAGCAGTATTATTCATAATAGCCAGAAAGGAGAGGATCGCTTGAGCACAGGAGGTGGAGGTTGCAGTGAGCCAAGATGGCGGCACTGCACTCCAGCCTGGGTGACAGAGTGAGACCCTGTCTCAAAAAAAAAAAATTAGCCAGAAAGTAGAAGCAATCCAATTGTCCATCAACTGATGAAAGGCTAAACAAAATGTAGCACATCTTCTCTAGAAAAAAAAAATTAGTCATTTATCTATAAAAGGATAAAGAAGTACTGATACATGCTACAATCTGGATTAATCTTGAAAACTTTATGCTTAGTGAAAGAAACGAGTCACAAAGGCCACATGTCATATAATTCAATTTATATGAAATGTCCAAAATAGGCAAATTCGTAGTGACTGAAAGTAGATTAATGGTTGCCAGGGGCTGGAAGCAAAGGAAGAATGGGGAATTTCTTCTAATGAATACAGGGTTTCTTTTGGGGTGATGAAATGTTCTAAAATGACAGTGATGTTGAGTTTACAACTCTGATACACTAAAAACCACTGAGGTGTAAAAGGATGAATTTTATGGTGTGTGAATAATATGTCAATAAAGCTGTTATAAAAAAGAACTTATCATATAGCATTAAAATTATGTCTTCATATGTATTTCTTCCTCTTACTAGAATTAGACTACATGGTAGGCAGCAAATACTAACAAGAAAGAAATTAAGAGACAAAAAAAGAATAAAAATGACAGAAGAAAAAAATCAAACTAAAACAAAACAAAAAAATAGAATTAGACTATGAGCTTTCTTCATCCTTACACATGGTTAGATACTCAACGAACACAATAAATACTTGATGATCCAGTAATTAATTCATTGATCTAATCTTTGAAAGAAGTTTAAGACATTAACAGGCAGTTGGAAGGGAAGATTATTCTCTGCAAAGGCAGTGGCTGAGCACAGAGAAGGAAGGGCAGTAGGCTTGAGCAGCCAGCAGTTCTTGATTGGCTAGGAGAAGCAGGGAAGGAAGCAGTACAGATAAGGGTGTTAAGGGCTGTACTACCTACTAAATTTGCTCCATATTTAATTGTTGTTAAATATTGTTAATTCATAGTGCTTGGCTGACTAAAAATATTTTCAGAGAAAATGACGATTCAGTCTCTTTCCCCTGCACTTTTTCTTGTCTCCTTAGTGTAATCAAAAGCTACAAGTGAGGCTGGGTGTGGTGGCTAACACCTATAATCCCAGCACTTTGGGAGGCCGAGGCAGGCGGATCACTTGAGGTCAGGAGTTTGAGAGCAGCTTGGCCAACATGGAGAAACCTCATCTCTACTAAAAATATGAAAATTAGACGAGGTGGTGGCGTGCGCCTGTAGTCTCAGCTGCTTGGGAGGCTGAGGCAGGAGAATCACTTGAACCCGGGAGGCGGAGGTTGCAGGGAGCCAAGACTGTGCCACTGCACTCCAACCTGGGCAACAGAGCGAGACTCCATCTCAAAAAAAAAAAAGCTACAAGTGAGATTGTGCCAATTGGAACAAAACAAGAAGTAAAAGTTTCATCTCTGATGGGCTCTGGCCAGCGCTGCCCCCCGGGCCTTCTGCTCTAGAAGCCCATGGTGATCCTCATGTGCCATTCACCTGGCTACTTGGCCCTAATTTCACACAGTTCGAAGCCAGAAACCTGCTGTTTGAGCCTACCTTCCCAGAGTCCTTCCTTCTTTCATGAATTGAACAAACATTCATTGAACACCTGCTTTTTGCCAGAGATTATGTGAGGCATGGGATATGGCAGCAAATAAGTCAACTTTGCTGTCAATATATGTCATAGTAGTCATTGTTGAGTTGAGGCATTTCTATTTGGCTATTAGTAGCATTGGTTTAGAAAGAGCCTCAAAACCCTCTCTAGTGGACTTCTTGTGAGAACACTACCTTATATTTGAATAGAACTATTCAAGGATTTCACATGCAATATTCCATTTGATACTAAAATCTATTTTAAAAAAAGAAGAGAGGGCAGGTATTGTCTTCATTTTGCAGATGAGGCCAATGAGATTCGGATAGGTTAAATGATTCCTTCGAGTTCACACAGCTAGTAAACAGCGAAGCCTGCTTGGGAACCCAGCTGCGACTTCTAATTGGTTGCTTTTCCCGTTACCCCTTATGGAGACCAGAAGATCCAGCTTCTTAGGAGGCAGCTGCCTCTGTCTGTGTGTAAACAATAAGGCAGCAAAAGACTGTTGGGTTTGCTCTTTTTAAATTTTTAATAAACCATCACTGTGTTTATTATCAATTTAATAAACAAGCAACCATCAAGAAGCAAAGTAATGAACCCAGCAGATAGGGACATTGTGAAAATATGTTTCTATGAGACTTGTAAGTGCACAGTTAGTGAGAACAGAAATCAAATTTTTAGCAAAAGATGTAGTTCCTGACTGGTGGGGGCCACCCAGAACTCTCTCCTGGAGATCCTTCTCATTTACCTCAGCTGTGAGCCTCTGTGTGAATGATTTCCAAATTCAGTTCAACAGGTGTTGAATCAATGACCTACAGAATGTCCCACGCACTCAGAATATAAACAAGAATGAAGCTCACCTCAGGTTTCAGAGCTCCCAGGCTGCATTAGGAAAACAAATAATTAAAATACAATGTGTGCTGCTTAAGCACAGGAGTTTGAGATCAACCTGGGCAACATAGGGAGAAACCGTCTCTACAAAAAATAAGAAATTAGCCAGGTGTGGTAGAGAACGCCTGCGGGGGCTAACGTGGGAGGATGGCTTGAGCCCAGGAGAGGTCGGGAGAGGTCGAGACTGTAGTGAGCCATATTGGTGCCAGTGCACCCTAGCCTGGCTGAGAGAGCAAGAACCCATCTCAAAAACAAAACAAAACAAAACACCCCCCCCAAAAAAACCCACCACACACACAACAAAATAAAACCAATGTGGGCATGGTGGCTCAAGCCTGTAATCCTAGCACTTTGGGAGGCCAAGGTGGGTGGATTACTTGAGCCCTGGTATTTGAGACCAGCTTGGGCAACATGGTGAGACCCTGTCTTGACAAAAAATAAAAAATTAGCCAGGCCTGGTGGCGCATGCCTGTACTCCCAGATACTTCGGAGGCTGAAGTGGGAGGATCACTTGAGCCCATGAGGTTGAGGCTGCAGTGAGCCATGATCATGTCACTGCACCCCAGCCTGGGCAACAGAGTGAGACCCTGTCTCAAACAAAACAAAACAAACAAAAAACAACGAATACATCTCATAATGGGCAAGTGCTCTAACGATGTAGAAGTTTTTCTAAAAAATAAGGTGAGGAAGCACTTACGTGTAGTAAACATTACTTTATAATTCTACATCTGAAATCGTAAATCTTTCAATCTCTAAGCTTTCCAGTTTCCTTAATGAAAATAAATAACATTTTTATTTAATACTTATGATGCAGTGGACATTATGCTAACTGCTTTACAGGTAGTATATCTCATTTAATCTTCATAACAACCTTATTTTTTTTTTTTTCATTTTACAGATCAAGAATCTGAGGCTCAGGGAGGTTAAATGACTTGTTCCAGGTCCCACAGCCAAGAAGTGGGAAGAGCCAATTTGGTCTCCTAAGTGCATCCTCTTAATTGTGATCCTGTATGGCCTCTTTTTCTCCTAATGCAATGTTCTCTGATCTTACCTCCAAACTTTGGCCTCTGTTTTCTCCGGTCTCTCAGCCGTCACCTATCCTTCTCTGTCTATCCTCCTACCATGCCAGACCACTCACAGGTACCCCCTGGTGTGTGGTGTGGTATCTCTTTGCCTTTGCACACATGTTCCCTCTACCTGGATGAGCCAATCACAGAGCCACCAAACTCATTTGTAAATCTGGCCAAGTGAAAGATGAAAATGAGCCACAGTAGTATACAGTATATTTGAAACAATGGCCGGGCGCAGTGGCTCATGCCTGTAATCCCAGCACTTTGGGAGGCCGAGGTGGGTGGATCACCTGAGGTCAGGAGTTTGAGATCAGCCAGGCCAACATGGCGAAACCCTGTCTCTACTAAAAATACAAAAAAATTAGCCAGCTGTTGTGGCGGTTGCCTATAATCCCGGCTACTCATAAGGCTGAGGCAGGAGAATCACTTGAACCCAGGGGTTGGAGGTTGCAGTGAGCCAAGATTGCGCCACTACACTCCAGCCTAGGCGAAAGAGGGAAACTCCATCTAAAAGAAAAAAAAAAAAAAGAAAAAGAAAGGAAACGTTAATGTCATTTCTATAACACTGAAAAAATTTAAGAGATTACGGAAGTGGAAAACTTATGGTAGCATTTATAAGTGAAAAGATCTTATTCATAGAATGTAGGAACACATTCTAAGTGCAGTTGTAACATTCACATAATTTCATCCTGTATTGTAGGACAAAGATATACACAGTTAATACTTCAAGTTATTATTTCTATATATGGCATTCTTAGACTATAACAAAACAAAAATTTTAATGTGTTTCAATGCAATGTCTTTAAAAATAAGCATATGTATGTGTGTGTATGTGTGGCACATATATATGTATATATACATATAGTCTCTTAAAACCTAAATCATAAAGCGAATCTGGGTCACATCATCAGTTTTGTGAACAACAAAAATTAAAATATAAGATATAAATCAAATGCTGTTAAATCACTATCTAGAGGAAAATTTCTTTGCACTTAGATGCTTGTAGTAATAAATTTTGTTAAAGCATAATGAATTAAGTATCTTTCTAAATACTGTAAAAAGAAACAAAGTATCTCCTTATTTTACAATCCAGTTTTGCCGTATCTTAAAATTTTGCCACATTGTATGTAAAATTAGGGACTTGAAAAATCAGTTTTGTTAATTTTTTGTTTTTAAGAGACATGCGGTCTCACTATGTTGCCCAGGCTGGTCTGGAAATCCTGGGCTCTGCCCGCCTTGGCCTCCCAAAGTGCTGGGATTACAGGCGTGAGCCACTGTACATGGCCAGTTTTGTTAATTTTTAAAGAACTGCATTGGTTTGCTTATCAATTCTATTTTTGGTTTTTATCTTATATAACCAATGAAATTAACAGCTGGCTTGGGAAAAAAATGATAAATCACTAGCTTAGTAAAATAAAAGGAAAATTCAAATTAACAAAATCATGGACAGAGAAAAGCCAACATAACTCAAACATATTTTAATGACAAAATGTTATTTTAAGCTATAAGCTTATAAAATATATTAAAGAAATGGAAGAGGATAACTGCTTATAATAGTGTAAGGATACTACACTCAAGGCAGCTGGAGAGAAACCATGACGATACATACAACAGAGAGAGAAATAGGTACTTATCAAATGAGTAATAGAACAACAGCAACAACCCACCATTTTATCCACTATTTCTGGAAGTGGAAAGGGGAAGAAGGGCATGGTGACTCAGGCCTGTAATCCCAGCATTTTGGGAGGCCAAGATGGGAGGATCGCTAGAAGCCAGGAGTTCGAGACCAGCCTTGTCAACATAGTGAGACCCCCCCATCTCTATTTATTTTTAACAACTAAGAATATATTATCTTTTAATAAAAATATATATAAAAAGAAAAGAGGTAGAAGTCTTCTGGAGCAACATTTAGAAATGTCAAGATTTTGTTTTTGTGGCTTCCATTTGACCCAGCAACTGTAATTTAGATATTTTTTACTAAAGAAGGTTTAAATATGAATTTTTTTTTTTGAGACAGTCTCGCTCTGTCGCCCAGGCTGGAATGCAGTGGCACAATCTCAGTTCACTGCAACTTCCACCTCCTGGGTTCAAGCAATTTTCTTGCCTCAGCCTCCCCAGTAGCTGGGATTACAGGCGCTTGCCACCAATGCCCAGCTAATTTTTGTGTTTTTTGTAGAGATGGGGTTTCGCCATGTTGTCCAGGCTGGTAAAAAATATTTGAACTCCTGAGCTCAAAGTGATCTGCCCGCCTTGGCCTTCCAAAAGTGCTGGCATTACAGGTGCGAGCCAACACGCCCGGCCGGTTTTTAAGGAAACAGTCTGTCCTGGTTCTTTTTCTGCCTCTCAAGCTGGGCCTTTTTAGTAGTGGCCATTGCTGTGTCTCCTCCTCTGAATGCCCATCTCACTGCACCGTCTTTCTCTTGTCCACTGTCTGGCTTCATTTGCTGATGACTTCCAAGTCCCTGGTCATCAGTACAGACCTGTCTTCCCAGTGCTAAGATCCTCTAGTTCAGAGGCTGGGCTTCAATCCTGATTCTATCACCCACTAGATAGGTGACCTTAGGTGACTTATTAAGCTTATCTATTAATTCTTCGTCAAATCTGAAAACAAAATTACCTCTGCTGGGCGCAGTGGTTCATGCCTGTAATCCCAACACTTTGGGAGGCCAAGGTGGGGGGAATCACTTGAGGCCAGGAGTTCGAGACCAGCCTGGCCAGCATGACAAAACCCGTCTCTACTGAAAATACAAAAATTAGCCGGGTGCGGGATTACAGGAATGAACCACCACGCCCGGCAGTGAATTGAGTTTTAACCAGCATTCTGGATGATTCTGAAGCATGACTCTCAAGACTTCAGAAGTATACAGAACTAAATTAGAATCACCTGGAGAGTTTTTGAAATTTCCCCATGCCCAGCCTGCAGGCATACCTATTAAACCAAAATCTGGGGTGGAGCCCAGGCCCCAGTGTTTTTCAGAGCACCCCAGGTGATTCCAATGTGCACCCAAGATAGAGAACCACTGCTTAGGCTCAAGCTAAAGTAATTTAATAGCATTTATTTATTTATTTATTTATTTATTTATTTATTTTTGAGACAGAGTCTCGCTCTGTCGCCCAGGCTGGAGTGCAGTGGCACGATCTTGGCTCACTGCAAGCTCTGCCTCCCGGGTTCATGCCATTCTCCTGCCTCAGCCTCCCCACAGCTGGGGCTACAGGCGCACGCCACCACGCCTGGCTAATTTTTGTATTTTTAGTAGAGATGGGGTTTCACCATGTTAGCCAGGATGGTCTCGATCTCCTGACCTTGTGATCCACCCGCCTCGGCCTCCCAAAGTCCTGGGATTAAAGGTGTGAGCCATCGCGCCCAGCCTTAATAGCTATTATTTATAAAGCTCTTAAAATGTGCCAAACACTGAACTTCCTTTTTTGCATTTCCATATAGGACTTTGGTGTTATTCTTCCCATTCTACACAAATTAATATTGAGGTTTAGCAACGTTTTGCATCTTGCCTGTAGGCACTGAGTTAGGAAAGCCAGGATTCAAATCAAGATTTTCTGACTCAAATTCTGGGCCACAGCTCACTCACTGTCAGATAATACAGAGCCTTAGAGTTATCATTAGGGTATGAGCAAGAATGGTCAGTGGCAATGTGAGCCCAGAGGCTTCAGAGGAGGTTTACGGAAAAAGAAGCATTCAGCTCTCCTGGTAGAAGAGCTCAGGCTCAAAACTCAGACAAACCTGCCTTTACTGCTGCCTCTGCCCAAGGCCTTTCTTTGTGACTTACCCTTCATGAGCCTCAGTTTCCTCAGATATAAAACAAAGATAACAATACTTACTTTGTGGAATTGCTGTGAAAAGTAAATGAGATAACACCCATGGAAGTGTCTGGCATGTACTAAGCACACAATAAATGTTTGTATATCCCTAGCCAACAATAAATTCCAATCCCACTTTAGCACAGCCTGTTAGGGCCTAAGGGTTGTTGTGGTGGTGATTGCTGTGAGAATGAAACTTGGGAGTATTAACTTCTCTGTTCATCAGTATTTCCTAGTAGTTGACTCTATTTCCATTTTCTATTCCTAATTCAGTCGCTAGTAAGAGCCAATACTTCCTTCCCTCCCTGCCGCTGTTTGAATCAGCCCCACCCAAGCCTTTGCTTAGATGCGTGAAATGAATCACCTCCCTTTTCTAGTTTGACAGTCCTTCTGCCAAATCCCTCCTCTTCCTCTTCTGATTAGGTCAGATCTGTCTTCCTCACCTCACTAACCACCCCCTCTTGTGGTCCATCACCTACAGGTCTTGCCTACACTTAAGGCCTAAGTGTAATTACAGGGTTGGCCTGCACAGTCTTGGGTTGATGGCAGATGTTGTGGTAATAACCTCCTGGGTCATATGACCACTCTGTCTACTGGATGGTTTTTGTTTGTTTGTTTGTTTGTTTTTGGAGACCCTGTCTCAAAAATAAACTCCCAGCCTCCAGGAAAGGGTCCAAATGAAGTGACCCTCTAACTTCTCATTCTCCACCTAGATTAACCAGCCTCTTTTTCAGCATCCTACCACTCCTGGTTAGAAAGGCTTGTTTCTCTAGACTCATATAAAACTTAAAGGGATTTTTTTTTTTTGAGAAGGGGGTCTCACTCTGTTGCCCAGACTGGAGTACAGTTGTGCAATCTCGGCTCACTACAAACTCTACCTCCCAGGTTCAAGTGATTCTTGTGCCTCAGCCTCCCAAATAGCTGGGATTACAGGCAGGCACCACCACGCCTGCCTGGGTAATTTTTGTATTTTTAGTAGAGACAGGGTTTCACCATGTTGGCCAGGCTGGTCTCGAACTCCTGGCCTCAAGCGATCTGCCCGCCTCAGCCTCCCAAAGTGCTAGAATTACAGGTGTGAGCCACCGTGCCAGCCTAGAGAGGGAATTTTGTACCCATGTCTTTCGTTTTGTACATGAGGAAGCAAATAGCTCTAGGTTAACTGGCAAGTTGCTGATGGAGTCCAGACTATAAGACAGGTTTTCTTACCTTCTGCAAAGCCCTCTTGCATCAGGAAGCTGTTTCACAGTGGAGACAGCCCTGGACTAGAGTTGCAGTCTTGTATGGTGTCCATGGAACCTTAAAGCAAGATCTATTTTAGTCTTCAACTTATGGGTCTCTTTGGGCCTCAGTGACTTTCTTGATATATATATTTTTAATTTTATTAGAGACTCAGTCTTGCTATGTTGTTCAGGCTGGTCTAGAATTCCTGGGCCCCAGTGATCCTCCCACCTCAGCCTCCCAAAGTGATGGAATTACAGGCATAAGCCCCCATGCCCAGCCTATTTTTGTTAATATTTAAAAATTGTGTATTGGCCAGGCACAGTGGCTCACACCTGTAATCCAAGCACTTTGGGAGGCCAAGGCAGGCAGATCACTTCAGGTCAGGGGTTCGAGACCAGCCTGACCAAAATGGTGAAACCTCGTCTCTGCTAAAAATACAAAAATTAGCTGGGCGTGGTGGTGGGCACCTGTAATTCCAGCTATTCAGGAGACCGAGGCAGGAGAATAGCTTGAACCCAGGAGGCACAGGTTGCAGTGAGCCGAGATCACGCCACTGCACTCCACCCTGAGCAACAGAGCGAGACTCTGTCTCAAAAATAAATAAATAAATAATTGCTTTATTGGCCTGAATGTGGTAGTTCACGCCTGTGATCCCAGCACTTTGGGAGGCTAGGGTGGCTGGATTGCTTGAACTCAGGTTTTCTAGACAAGCCTGGACAACATAGTAAGGACTCATTTCTTTTTTCTTTTTTTTTCTTTTGAGATGGAGTTTGGCTCCTGTTTCCCAGGCTGGAGTGCAATGGCATAATCTCGGCTCACTGTAACCTCTGCCTCCCAGATTCAAGCGATTCTCCTGCCTCAGCCTCCCGAGTAGCTGGGATTACAGGCACGCACCAGCACGCCTAGCTAATTTTGTATTTTTAGTAGAGATGGGGTTTCTCCATGTTGGTCAGGCTGGTCTCAAACTCCCGACCTCAGGTGATTGGCCCGTCTCGGCCTCCCAAAGTGCTGAGATTACAGGCATGAGCCACTGTGCCCAGCCAAGACCTCATTTCTTAAAAAATAAAATAAAATAAAACCGTCTGGTTGCAGTGGCTCATGCCTATAATCCCAACACTTTGGGAGGCCAAGGCAGGCAGATCATTTGAGGTCAGGAGTTTGAGACCAGCCTGGCCAACATATTGAGACTCTGTTTCTACTAAAAATTACAAAAATAGGCTGGGCGTGGTGGCTCTTACCTGTAATCCCAGCACTTTGGAAGGCCAAGGTGGGTGGATCACCTGAGCTCAGGAGTTCAAGACCAGCCTGGCCAACACGGTGAAACCCTGTCTCTACTAAAAATACAAAAATTAGCCAGGCATGGTGGCGTGTGCCTGTAGTCCCAGCTACTCAGGAGGCTGAGGCAGGAGAATCACTTGAACCCAGGAAGTGGAGGTTGCAGTGAGCTGAGGTCACGCCACTACACTCCAGCCTGGGTGATAGAGCGAGACTCCATCTCAAAAAAACAAAAAACAAAAAACAAAAACAAACAAACAAACAAATACAAAAATTAGCCAAGGGTTGTGTGGTGGTGCGCACCTGCAATCCTAGCTACTCAGGAGGCTGAGGCAGGAGAATCACTTGAACCCAGGAGGTGGAGTTTGCTGTGAGCTGAGATTGAGGCACTGCACTCCAGCCTGGATGACAGAATGAGACTCCATCTCTAAATAAATAAATAAATAAATAAAATAGAATAAAATAAAAAGATTGTGTATTAATTAAAATGTGATCATAGTAGGAACATATAGAAAAATAAGAAAAGGGGCTGGGTGTTGTGGCTCACGCCTGTAATCCCAGCACTTTGGGAGGCTGAGGCAGTTGGATTTCTTGAGCTCAGGAGTAAGAGACCAGTCTGGGCAACATGGCGAAACGTCAGCTCTATTCAAAATACAAAAATTAGCTGGGCGTGGTGGTATGTGCCTGTAGTCCCAGCTACTCAGGAGGCCTAGGTGGAAGGATCCCTTGAGCCTGGGAGGTGGAGGTTGCAGTAAGCCATGATTTGCCACTGCACTCAGCCTGGGCAACAGAGTAAGACTCAGTCTCAAAAATAAAAATAAAAAATTTTTTAAAAAGAAGAAAAATCAAGAGAAAGGGACAGAAAAGAAGGTGGGGGAGAGAAGCAACCAAAAGTATGTGACAAGAAGAGAGAAGGAAAAGGGCAATAAAATCTGAGGTGTGGAATGCATAAGCGTTGTGTATCAGCCTTGTTGGTCAAAGGCCACCCTTACCATCTGGTTCTGTTGCAGCCATAATCATGTGGAGAACATCACCATACCCACCATTAATCCCAATTGCCCCACCCCACAGACCTAAGGCACTAGTACTCTTCACTCCTTTCCTTCCCCACCTTTTTGTTTTTGAGATGCAGTCTTGCTCTGTCACCCAGGCTGGAGTGCAGTGGCATGATCTCAGCTCACTGCAACCTCCCTGGTTCAAGCAATTCTCCTGCCTCAACCTTCAGAGTAGCTGGGATTACAGGCATGCACCACCATGCCCAGCTAAATTTTGTATTTTTAGTAGAGATGGGGTTTCACCATGTTGGCCAGGCTGGTCTCGAGCTCCTGACCTCAAGTGATCCACCCACCTCAGCCTCCCAAAATGCTGGGATTACAGGTGTGAGCCACCGAGCCCAGCCTGCCTCTCTTTAATACTGTCCCCCATCAATAGCTAGTCCAAAAGAGTCAGGGAAAACTCATGGTGGTCTGTGTTGGAATTTTTGGCTCAGAAATATAAAAATGTTGCAATGTTCAGTGTAGAATTTAGGTTCTACTGCCTCTCAAGGTAGGAGACACTCTTGAGATTTCATTTTGGGGAATGCGTTGCTTGGCTGATTTCATTAAACCTTCCAGGGTCAAATATAGATATACTCCATTTCTAACTCACTCAAAGCACAGTGAGTCAACCTGGGGACTGTAAGAGCAAGGCCGGATCTTTTTTCATTACCCTCTTGTATTAGTTTGTTTTCACACACACTGCTGATAAAGACATACCCAAGACTGGGAAGAAAAAGAGGTTTAATTGGGCTTACAGTTCCACATGGCTGGAGAGGTCTCAGAATCTTGGCGGGCAGTGAAAGGCACTTCTTACATGGCGGCGGCAAGAGAAAATGAGAAAGAAGCAAAAGCAGAAACCCTTGATAAACCCATCAGATCTCATGAGACGTATTCACTATCACGAGAATAGCACAGGAAAGACTGGCTGCCAGGATTCAGTTACCTCCCCCTGGGTGCCTCTCACAACATGTGGGAATTCTGGGAGATACAATTCAAGTTTAGATTTGTGTGGGGACACAGCCAAACCATATCACCTTTGGAAAGTTTATAATGCACAGGCAAGAACCAGGAGCCAGAGATACAACCTGACTTATTCATTTTTTTAATATAATTTTTTACTGAGATAATTACAGATTCATATGCAGTTGTAAGAAGTTATACAAAGAAATCCAGTGTACTTTGGGCTGGGTGCGGTGGCTCACGCCTGTAATCCCAGCACTTTGGGAGGCCAAGGTGGGCAGATCACAAGGTCAGGAGATCGAGACCATCCTGGCTAACACAGTGAAACCCCGTCTCTACTAAAAATACAAAAAATTAGCTGGGCGTGGTGGCGGGCGCCTGTAGTCCCAGCTACTCAGGAGGCTGAGGCAGGAGAATGGCGTGAACCCGGGAGGCCGAGCTTGCAGTGAGCCAAGATCAAGCCACTGCACTCCAGCCTGGGCAATAGAGCGAGAATCTGTCTCAAAAAAAAAAAAGAAAAAAAGAAAGAAATCCAGTGTACTTTTTATTCAGGTTTCCCCAGTGGTAACATTTTGCAAAACTGTCGTACGGTATCATAGCAGCTATTAATATTGATATAATCCGTTATTCAGGCTTCTCCAGTTTTATTTGTACTCATTTGCATGTATGTGTTTATTCAGATCTATGCACTTTTATCACAAGTGAAGGTCCATGTATCCATCAAGTCCAGATACCGAACAGTTACATCACTATAAAGATTATTTATGCTGCCCTATTATAACCATATGAATCTCCCTCCTGCCCCACTTCCTCCCGCCATACCTAACACCTGGCAACCACGTTCAAATTCTAAAATTTTGTCACTTCAAAAATTGTATATACATATAATAATCATAGCGTATGGAACCTTTTGGCATTGGCTTTTTCTACTCAGCATAATTTCCTGGAGAGTCATCCCAATTGCTGCATGTATGGATAGCTTGTTCCATTTCATTGCTGAGTTCATTTGCTTTTTTTTTGAGACAGGGTCTAGCTCTGTTGACCAGGCTGGAGTGCAGTGGTGTGATCACAGATCACTGTAGCCACAACCTCCTGGGCCAGAGCAATTCTCCCACCTCAGCCCCCCATGAGTAGCTGGGACTATGGGTGTGTGTCACCATACCCTGCTAATTTTTGTATTTTTAGTAGAGATGGGTTTTTGCCATGTTGCCCAGGCTGGTCTCTGGGCTCCTGAGCTCAAGTGATCTTCCCACCTCAGCCTCCCAAAGTGTAGGGATTGCAGGCGTGAGCCATGGTGCCTGGCCCTCATTCACTTTTTTATTCTGTGATTGTAAACAACTACCTTTGGAGTTTGTGCTTTTCTACTTGTAGGGCCTTTGAAATTACCTTAACCCACCTAAGCCTCCATTTATTCATCTGTTTGTTGTTTTTTTGTTTTGTTTTGTTTTGAGACGGAGGCTGTATCCCAGGCTGGAGTGCAGTGGTGCAATCTTGGCTCACTGAAACCTCCACCTCCTGAGTTTAAGTGATTTTCCTGCCTCAGCCTCCGGAGTAGCTGAGACTACAGGCATGCACCACCATGCCTGGCTAATTTTTGTATTATTATCATTATTTTTGAGACGGAGATTTGCTCTTGTTGCCCAGACTGGAGTGCAATGGCGCAATCTCCCGCTCACTGCAACCTCTGCCTCCTGGGTTCAAGCGATTCTCCTGCCTCAGCTTCCCAAGCAGCTAGGATTACAGGTGCGTGCCACCACAACCGGCTAATTTTGTATTTTTAGTAGAGACGGGGTTTCTCCATGTTGGTCAGTCAGGGTGGTCTCGAACTCCCAACCTCAGGTGATCTGCCCGCCTCAGCCTCCCAAAGTGCTGGGATTACAGGCGTGAGCCACTGTGCCCGGCTAATTTTTGTATTTTTAATAGAGACAGAATTCTACCATGTTGGCCAGGCTGATCTGGAACTCTTGACCTCAAGTGATCCACCTGCCTCAGCCTCCCAAAGTGCTGGGATTACAGGCATGAGCCATTGCACCTGGCTGTTGTTGTTGTTTTAATGATGGGAAATTGACAATAGTATAGTTTTCCCCAGGATTGATATAAAGATCAAATGAGATGATAAGCATAATGATGCGTTGTGAACTGTGCACAACACATGTAGAATGTTATGATAATGGCCTTATTATGGGTCCTCCCATAAAGGAAGCTCCTGTTTTAAATTTTGTTTTCCCTGCTTCTTCCAGACATATCAAATTATTCCCATTTTGGGATTTTCTTCCAGCCAGCTAAACCGAAGGGGAATAGGGATTTGACTTTCAGGCCTCCCTTGAGGAAACTGCTTACTTGCCGCAGAGAGAGAGAGAGAGAGAAAGCATGAAGCTTTCAGGGCTCTTTTCAATTATTCTCAAACCCATTCTGATTGCAGGATACTCTGTGCGATTTGCACAACAGCATCCAAATTGATCAAAACAACTCCATTATTACATACAAAACCAATTTATAAGGCAGAAAAAAAAATCCCTCTAATTCTGTGTGCGCAGCCTAAAATCACATTCACAAACACACATATCCGTGAAAAAGAGCAGGATGTCTAAGTGTGGTTATCTCTTTTTGAGTTTTTCTGTAAATATTCATTTTACGTCCTACTAGAGCTCACTAGAAGACAAGTGATAACTTCTAAAGATTGAAGAAAAAATTTAGGGGAGATAAACTTAAAATCAGAAAATTCTACTTATTAACCTTTTTTCTTTTCTCAAACAAGGAGAAGGTACTGGTGGGAATGTTTCTGCCCAGTTCATCTTTTTTTCTTCTGAGACTGAGTCTCACTCTATTGCCCAGGCTGGAATGCAGTGGCATGATCTCGGCTCACTGCAACCTCTGCCTCATGGGTTCATCTTCTACTCGAATTCAGGTAAACCAGAATTATCTGAGAATTCCAATATAGATTCCAATTTCCTCTCGTACTAATTTAATAGATTTGGCATAGGACCAGGAAACTGTTTTTTGTTTTTGTTTTTTAAAGTTCATTGGGTCATTCTGATGTCGGCCAGGTTGGAAACTTCTATTTGAGATTTTTCTTCAGTGCCCTCTCATGGACTTTTCCTGACATATCTGGGTATTTCTCTTTCCTGTAAAATCTGTCCTTATGGAAGTTTTCCTTTCTATCAAAACCTAGTTCCACTGGGTTTTCAACTTCCTTCCTCCCCTGGAACCACCCTTGTCAACGTCATGATCACTTCTCTCTCTCCTCTTAACAGCGCAGCAGCATTTGACTTTGTTGACCATAACCTCTTGACCTGAAATACCCTCAACCCTTATTTCTGAAATGTTAGACTCTCCTATCTCTCAAATTCTTTTTTCTCAGCTCCTTTACTGGCCCCACCTCCCCTGCCTCACTCTTCAGGGTCCTGGATCCTGGAGCCCTGGCTGGGCTCTCTTCTGCTTTGTCTGTACTCTGTTCCTAGGTGCTCCTGTTTAGGTAGCTGGCTTTAAATACTATCCATATGCTAACAGCATTTACAGTTCTACCTCTTCCGGAGCTGCCTGCTTGACATCTCCCTTGGATATCTACTCAGCATTTCAAATTCATCAAGTTCAAAATAGAACCCTTGGCCAGGTATGGTGGCTTCTGGCAAAGTGCTATAATCCTAGCAAGTTGGGAGGCTGAGGCAAATGGATTGCTTGAGCCCAGGAGTTCGAGACCAGCCCTGGCAACATTGTGAAACACCGTCTCTACTAAAACCAACAAAATCAGCAGGCATGTTGGCATGCGCCTATAGTCACAGTTACTTGGGAGGCTGAGGTGGGAGGATTGCTTGAACCCGGGAGGTCGAGGCTGCAGTCAACCCTAATCCCACCACTGCACTCAAGCCAGGGTGACAGAGTGAGACTCTGTCTCCAGAAAAAAGACACACACACACACACACAAAAGACAACAACAAAAAAACACGACAACAAATATAGAACTTCTTTTTTTTTTAAGAGACAGGATTTTGCTATGTTGCCCAGGCTGGTATTGAACTCTTGGCCTCAAGCGATCCTCCCTCCTTGGCCTCCCAAAGTGCTGGAATTACAGGCATGACGCACTAGGCCCAGCCCAAAAATAGAACTCTTGTTTCCCCCATCGACACCACCAGCCTGGTTCTACAGTCTTCCTCATTTAATTGAACAGCGCCACCATCCAGGCAGTTGTTCAAGAGAAAAATGTAGCTCTTATCTTCCTTCCACTTCTCACCATCTTTCTGCTACTTCTCGAGTCCATGCCACCATCATCTTTCATTAAAACTATTGCAACTGTTCCCTAATCGGTTTCTCTGCTTCCATTCTTGCCTCCTTAGAGCTGATGCTCCACTGAGCACTATTTAAAATGTAGTCTGGGTGTGGTGGCTCACACCTGTAATCCCAGCACTTTGGAAGGCCAAAGAGGGAGACTGCTTGAAGCCAGGGGTTCAAGACCAGCCTGGGCAACAGGGTGTAGTGGTGCCTATCTGTAGTCCCAGCCACTCAGGAGGCTGAGACAGGAGGATTGCTTGAGCCAGAGAGATGGAGGCTGCAGTGAACCATGATTGTGCCAGTGCATTTCAGGCTGAGTAGGCAGAGCAACACACTGTCTCTTAAAAAAGAAAAAAAATATAAATGAGGTCAAACCACTCTCTTGTTTAAATCCCTCTAACGACTTTGCATAGCAAATAGAATAAGATACAGCCCCTTATTTTGTTTTTGTTTTTTATTTTTTATTTTAAATTTAAAAAAAATTCTTTTCATAGAGACAAGGTCTTGCTATGTTGCCCAGGCTGGTCTTGAACTCCTGGGCTCGAGCACTCCTGTAGCCTCAGCCTCCCAAAGTACTGAGATTACAGGCATGAGCCATTGTGCCCAGCCCAGCCCCTTATTTTGAAGCCTACAAAGTCTAAACAATATATCTCTGAGCCCCCACAATGCTGGCTCCTCTTCCCACAGATCATTGCTTTGCAGACTCCGTGGCATTTCAAGGTTGTCGAGCCTTGGCTCAAACATCACCCTTCCTGAGAGAGACTTTTCCTGAGCTTCTAATCTGAAGAGTCCTCCAACCAACAAGAAAGACTCTCTTCTTTCTTGTCACCTGATTTATTTTCTTCATTGCCCTTTCACTATCTGAGATTTTTTTTTTTTTTTTTTTTGAGACGGAGTCTTGCTCTGTCACCCAGGCTGGAGTGCAGCGGCACAATCTCGGCTCACTGCAAGCTCCGCCTCCCAGGTTCAGGCCATTCTCCTGCCTCAGCCTCCCGAGTAGCTGGGACTACAGGCGCCTGCCACCACGCCCGGCTAATTTTTTGTATTTTTAGTAGAGACGGGGTTTCACTGTGTTGGCCAGGATGGTCTCGATCTCCTGACCTCGTGATCCGCCCGCCTCTGCCTCCCAAAGTGCTGGGATTACAGGCGTGAGCCACCGCGCCTGGCCTGAGATTTTTTACTTATGTATTTGTTTGCTTATTTATTGTTGGTCTAGCCCCACTAGCATCAAACCCCATCTCCACAAAGCACATGCTCTATTAACATGTATTTAATAAATCAGTCATTCACACCACAGCATACGTGACTCCAAGTATTCCATTTTTCTTTTCTTTTCTTTTTTTTTTGAGACAGAGATTCGCTCTTGTTGCCCAGGCTGGAGTGCAACGGTGTGATCTCGGCTCACTGCAATCTCTGCCTCCCGAGTTCAAGCGATTCTCCTGCCTCAGCCTCCTGAGTAGCTGGGATTACAGGCATGCGCCACCATGCCCGGCTAATTTTGTATTTTTAGTAGAGACGGGGTTTCTCCATGTTGGTCAGGCTGGTCTCGAATTCCTGACCTTAGGTGATCCATTCGGCCTCCCAGAGTGCTGGGATTACAGGCGTGAGCCACCGTGCCCGGCCAGTATTCCATTTTTCTTGCGCATTTCATTTTAACTGGGATCAAAGCTTTAAGGTAAGGAAAGCGCAGCCTGGTAAGATTTTGGACATTAATTTACTGACTGAGGAGAATTTCTCCACCACTCCCCTGAAAAATCATACCTCCATTTCTACAGGCCACCCCCATTTTCTGTCTGTACTTGCTTCTGGTCTCCCTCCAACTTTCCTGGGAGGATCCCTCCGTAGACTGTTCTTCACTGGGTGGATTCACCCGGCTCTAAGAGATGTGTAAACGTCCAGGCTTACAGATCCTATTTTGCAGTAGCCACACCTTGGATATCCTTGTCAGAGGCAAAATCAGGGTCGGGGGTGGGGAGGGTGTGGGGGAAGTGGGAGTGGGGGCTGAGTTTCTTTCATGCGGCAGCTCAGCAGTCTTCAGTAGCCTGCTGCCACCTCAGCTCCAGGTCTGTCCACACCCTTATTCCGCCTACCAGCTGTGCCCAGCCCTTGCTTCCCGTACCTTTTCTGGCCCGTATTTTTTCTTGCTTTTTAGTTGGCGAGATGCCTAATTCAACCTCCAGCGTCTCCATTTCTGGAAACATTTCACAGTTGCTGCTGCCACAATTCTGCCCTCTAGTAGCTGAAACTGGAAACGCACGTGTCTGAGCCAGCCGCTATAGGAGCCATCATCTCAGCTATTCCGGAGGCTGAGGCGGGAGGATTGCTTGAGCCTGGCAGGTCGAGGCTGCAGTGAGCCGTGACTACGCCACTGCACTCCAGCCTGGACGACAGAGGGAGACCCTGTCTCTAAAAATAATAACAATAAACATGGCCGGTCGTGGGGGCTCACGCCGGCAGGCGGAGGCCGGAGGATTGCTTAAGCCCAGGAGTTCGAGCCCAGCCTGGGCAACATGGTGAAACCCGGTCTCGACAAAAAGTTTAAAAAATTCGCCGGGTGTGGTGGTGCATGCCTGTAGTCCTAGCTACTTGGGAGGCTGAGGTCAAAGGATCGCTTGAACTGGGAAAGTCGAGGCCACAGTGAGCTGAGACCATACCACTGCACTCCATAATAGACAACTGGAGTGAGGCTCTGTCTCTAATAATAATAATAATTGCTGTGCGCAGTGGCTCACGCCTGTAATCCCAGCACTTTGGGTGGCTGAGGCGGGTGGATCACGAGATCAGGAGTTTGAGACCAGCCTGGCTAATATGGTGAAACCCCGTCTCTACTAAAAATACAAAGTTAGCCAGGCATGGTGGTGTATGCCTGTAATCTCAGCTACTCCAGAGGCTGAGGCAGGAGAATGGCTTGAACCCAAGGGGCGGAGGTTTCAGTGAGCCAAGTCACGCCACTGCACTCCAGCCTGGGCGACAGAGCAAGACTCCATCCCAAAATAATATTAATAATAACAATAAAAAATAATAATTAAGTTAAATAATACAGTAAGACACATCTCTGACTGGAAAGACGGCACTTGCCTAGCAGCTCCCTCCTTCCTTGGCTACCCTTTCAGGAGGAACTTAAATGGTGGACAGTCTCTTAACTCAAGGGCGTTCAGGAGAACTGGCTAGAAAGAGAACTGTGGCATGGTGAAGGCAAGGTATTTCTGCATTCAAGCGACACTCTCCACCACCTCACCCCCTCAACGGTATGTTCCTTTCTTTTCTCCATAGCCTGTGTTCACGACAGATACTCCCAGGGACAGACAGAATGTTTTTTTGTTTTTGTTTTTGTTTTTGAGACGGAGTCTCGTTGTCGCCCAGGCTGGAGTGCAGTGGCGCGATCTCGGCTCACTGCAAGCTCTGCCTCCCGGGTTCACGCCATTCTCCTGCCTCAGCCTCCCGAGTAGCTGGGACTACAGGCCCCCGCCACCTCGCCGGGCTAATTTTTTGTATTTTTAGTAGAAACGGGGTTTCACCGTGTTAGCCAGGATGGTCTCGATTTCCTGACCTCGTGATCCTCCTGCCTTGGCCTCCCAAAATGCTGGGATTACAGGCGTGAGCCACCGCACCTGGCAGAAATTTTTTTGTTTTTTGTTTTTTATGAGACAGAGCCTCACTCTGTTGCCCAGGCTGGAGTGCAGTGGCATGCATGATCCTAGCTCACTGCAACCTCCACCTCCAGGGTTCAAGCAATTCTCCTGCCTCAGCCTCCGGAGTAGCTGAGATTACAGGGGCCTGCCACCACGCCCAGATAATTTTTATAGTTCTAGTAGAGACAGGGTTCCACCATGTTGGCCAGGCTGGTCTCACACTCCTGACCTCAGGTGATCCACCCACCTAGACCTCCCAAAGTTTTGGGATTACATGTGTGAGCCCCGGTGCCTGGCCCCAGATTGAAAATTTGATACCCCTTCTAGTTAACAGCTATACTGTCAGTGTTTGTTCGACATTTCCTTAGTGAGGGTGAAGAGAAACTAGTTTTCTATTAATAAAAATGACTCAAACTAAGGGATTTATAATGTAATTTTCCAAGCCCCCAAACTTCGTGGGAAGTATAAATTTTTTGCCATCCAGAGTTAACCACTATCCTGAGTACTATTACTATAGATTAGATTTGCCTGATGTTGAACTTCATATAAATGGAATCATATAACATGTGTTTTTTTGTGTCTGGCTTATTTTGTTTAGCAAGTTTTTGAGATTTATCCACCTGGTTGCATGTAATAGTTCTTTTTACTGATGAATAGTATTCTACGGTATGGATATACCACAATTTGCTTATTAATTTTCATATGGATGGACATTTAGACTGTTTCCAGATTTTTTTCAGGCAGTTTTGAATAAAGCTACTATAAACATTTGTGTACAACTCTTTTCATAGTTGTACATTTTATTTTGTCTTGGGAAATTACCTGATGAGTAGAATTGCTGCATCATAGAGTATACATTTAAATTCATTAGGAATTGCCAGTTTTCTGAAGTGGTTGTATCATTTTACATTTTGGGAGACATATTAAACCTGTTTTGTTTGTTTGTTTTGGGTTTGGTTTTGGTTTGGCATTGGGTTTTTTGAGGCGGAGTTTCGCTCTTGTTGCCCAGGCTGGAGTGCAGTGGTGCGATCTCAGCTCACTGCAACCTGAGCCTCCTGGGTTCAAGCGATTCTCTTGCCTCTGCCTCCTGAGTAGCTGGGATTACAGGCATGCGCCATCACGCCCAGCTAATTTTGTATTTTTAGTAGAGATGGGTTTTCTCCATGTTGGTCAGGCTAGTCTTGAACTCCCGATCTCAGATGATCTGCCCGCCTTGGGCTCCCAAAGTGTGGGGATTACAGGCGTGAGCCACTGCGCCTGGCCCTGATTTTTAATTTTTAAAACATAACACAAATACAGAAATAAGGCAAACACTTTGCTTTATATAATTTATTAAGTTGTATGTTAGTTTTCTTCTTTCTTTCTACATGAAAGAAGACAGAATCTTGCCAGTCACTCCAGAAGCCATTCATATTTTCATATACCTATCCCAAACAGAAATCCCCTCACCACAAAAACTATTTGCTGTCCTGACTTTTATGTTCATTGTTACCTTCTTTCTTTCTTTTTTTTTTTTTTTGAGACAGCGTCTTGCTCTGTCACCGAGGCACCCAGGTTGGAGTGCAGTGGCATGATCTCTGCTCACTACAAGCACCGCCTCCTGGGTTCACACCATTCTCCTGCCTCAGCCTCCCCCGTAGCTGGGACTACAGGTATCCACCACCACGCCTGGCTACTTTTTTTCTTTATTTTTAGTAGAGACAGGGTTTCGCCCATGTTGCCGGGGCTGGTCTTAAACTCCTGGGCTCGAAGGATTCACCTGCCTTGGCCTCCTGAAGTGCTGGGATTACAAACCTGCGCCACTGTGCCCAGCTTAATTGCAACCTTATAATATAGTTTGTTTATCATTATTCTCTGCCTGCTGTACTTCCTGCAAATTGATAATGGAATCCAGAGGTTTTATCAGATTCAGGTTTGATTTTTTTGAAAGAAGACTCCCGCATAGGTGTTGTCTTCTTCTTCGAGAAGCATATAATATCTGGCTGGTTCTCTTTTTGTGTTGCTAGCTTCCATTGTAGCGCATTTCATAACAGTTGCAAAATGATGATATTCCAATTCTATCAATCCTTCTTCATTTATTGTTGGAATGCTTCCATAAGAAGAAACTTCCCCTCATCACTTACTTGACTACTCCATGGTATATTCATAGGAAAGGCAAGATAAATTATTGAGTCTTTCCTTTCACTTACCAGTTTTCAAAATATAGAGTTGATTCCCAAGCATCCTGCCATGAAGATCGAATTTTTCCTTGATATCATTAGGAACATATGAACTTAAACATTTTTTTTTTTTTTTGAGACAGAGTCTTACTCTGTAGCCCAGGCTGAAGTGCAGTGGTTCAATCTTGGCTCATTGCAACCTCCACCTCCTGTGTTCAAGAGATTCTCCTGCCTCAGCCTCCCAGGTACTTGGGATTACAGGTGCCCCCCACTACATCTGACCAATTTTTGGATTTTTAGTAGAGGTAGGCTTTCACCATGTTGGCCAGGCTGGTCTTGAACTCCTGACGTCAAGTGATCTGCCTGCCTCAGCCTCCCACAGTGCTGAGATTTCAGGTGTGAGCCACCGCGCCTGGCCATATTTTAATTTTTATTGACAGTCAAGTTGTTTCATCAATGGCCAATGGCAACATCTTCAAATTAGCTATCAAATCCTTTTTTTTTTTTAAGTTTTATTTTAGGTTCAGGGGTACACGTGCAGGTTTATTATATAGGTAAACTGCATGTCACAGGTGTTTGATGTACAGATAATTTAGTCACCCAGGTAATAAGCATAGTACCTGATAGATATTTTTTCTGATCCTCTCCCTGCTCCCACCCTCCACCCTCAAGGAGGTCCTAGTGTCTGTTGTTCCCCTCCTAATACCCACGTGTTCTTGTTATTTAGCTACCACTTATGAGTGAGAGCATGTGGTATTTGGTTTTCTGTGTCTGTGTTAGTTTGCTTATGATAATGGCCTCCAGCTCTATCCTATTGCGCAAAGCACATGATCTCATTATTTTTTAAGGCTGCATAGCAGTCCATGATGTATATGTACCACATTTTCTTTATCTAGTCTGCCATTGATCCCAAATCCTTTTAACATCATTCTACCCATTTTTTGTTTTGTTTCTTTAAATGAGACAGTCCTGCTATGTTGACCAGGCTTGTCTCAAACTCCTGGCCTCAAGTGATCCTCCTGCCTCAGCCTCCCAAAGTGCTGGGATTATAGGCATGAGCTATCACACCCAGCGTCTATCAGTTTTTGGTAGATTTTTTTCCCCTTCTCTGGTATGACATGATTCATCTTATACAGTTCCTGCCTTGATCCCCAGCTTTTTTTTCCCCAAAAAAGTTTTGTGTTCTTTCAGCGGGAAATGGTATTCTAAGACCACAGTTTTGTTTTTTTTAAATTTTTTTATTTCCATAGGTTATTTGGGAACAGGTTTGGTTACATGAGTAAGTTCTTTAGTGGTGATTTGTGAGATTTTGGTGCACCCATCGCCTGAGCAGTATACACTGCACCCAATTTGTAGTCTTTTATCCCTCAACTCCTTCCCGCCCTTTCCCTCTGAGTCCCAAAAGTCCACTGTGTCATTCTCATGACTTCACATCCTCATAGCTTAGCTCCTACTTATGAGTGAGAACATATGATGATACATGATGTTTGGTTTTCCATTCCTGAGTTGCTTCACTTAGAATAATAGTCTCCAGTCTCATCTAGATTGCTGCAAATGCCATTAATTCATTCCTTTTTATGGCTTAGTAGTATTCCATCATATATATATATATATAACAGTTTCTTTATCCACTCAATTGATGGGCATTTGGGTTGGTTCTACATTTTTGCAATTGTTAATTGTGCTGCTATAAACATGTGTGTGCAAGTATCTTTTTCTTATAATGACTTCTTTTCCACTGGGTAGATACCCAGTAGTGGGATTGCTGGATCAAATGGTAGTTCTACTTTTAGTTCTTTAAGGAATCTCCACACTGTTTTCCATAGTGGTTGTACTAGTTTACATTCCCACCAGCAGTGTAGAAGTTCCCTGTTCACCGCATCCACATCACCATCTATTATTTTTTTTATTTTTGATTATGGCAATTCCTGCATGAGTGAGGTGGTATCGCATTGTGGTTTTGGTCTGCATTTCCCTGATCATTAGTGATGTTGAGCATTTTTTCATGTTTGTTGGCCATTTGTGTATCTTCTTTTGAGAGTTCTCTATTCATGTCCTTAGCCCAATTTTTGATGGGATTGTTTGTTTTTTTCTTGCTAATTTGTTTGAGTTCACTGTAGATTTTGGATATTAGTCCTTTGTCAGATGTATAGATTGTGAAGATTTTCTCCCATTCTGTGGGTTCCAAGACCACCGTTTGGATGTTAGAGTTGTTTATTGCTATTGGATTGGTCATTGTTTCTCCCTTCCTTCCTTCCTTCCTTTCTTTCTCTCTCTCTTTCTCTTCTTTCTTTCTTTCTTTCCTTCTTTTTCTTTCTTCTTTTCTTTCTTTCCTTTCTCTCTCTCTTTCTTTCTTTCTTTCTTTCTTTCTTTCTTTCTTTCTTTCTTTCTTTCTTTCTTTCTTTCTTTGTCTTGCTCTGTCACCCAGCTTGAAGTGCAGTGGCATGATCTTGACTAACTGCAACTTCCACCTCCCAGGTCCAAGCAATTTTCCAGCCTCAGCCTCCTGAGTAGCTGGGACTACAGGCACATGCCACCACGCCCAGCTAATTTTTGTATTTTTAGTAGAGACAGGGTTTCACTATGTTGGCCAGGCTGGTCTTGAATTCTTGACCTCAAGTTATCCGCCCACCTCAGCCTCCCAAAGTGTTGGAATTACAGGCATGAGCCACCGCACCCGGCCTCTTTTTTCTTTTTAATAAAGTACATCTTAAGTCATACTGATACTTTCATTCTAGTTCTCAAGGTCATTGGCTATAATAGAATGAGAATATTATATAATTTTTCATTTGCTTTATTCCTCCTTGTTATAAAACTCAGGTTTATTGAAGTATAATTGACATATAAATATACCATTTTAGGTGTACCATTTGTTAAGGTTTTTAAATGTGTGTGGTCTTGTAACGATTATCACAATAAAAATACAAAACATTGCCAGCCAACCTGGCAGGGTGGCTTATGACTGTAATCCTGGCACTTTGAGAGGCCAAGGTGGAAGGATCACTTTAGTTGAGGAGTTTGAGACCAGCCTGGGCCATGTAGGGAGATCCCTTCTTTTTTTTTTTTTTTTTTTTTTTTGAGATGGAGTCTTGCTCTGTCACCCAGGCTGGAATGCAGTGGCTCAATCTTGGCTCACTGCAAGCTCTGCCTCCTGGGTTCAAGCAGTTCTCTGCCTCAGCTTCCCGAGTAGCTGGGACTACAGGGGCATGCCACCACACCTGGCTAATTTTTGTATTTTTAGTAGAGACAGGGTTGCACCATGTTGCCCAGCCTGGTCTCGAACTTCTTACCTCAAGTGATCCGCCCGTCTTGGCCTCCCGAAGTGTTGGGATTACAGGTGTGAGACACTGCATCTGGCTGGGAGACTTCTTCTTTACAAAAAATTTAAAAAATATTAACCAGGCATGGTAATACACACCTGTGGTCCTGTGGTCCCAGCTACTCTAGTGTTTGAGGTGGAAGGATTGCTTGGGCCCTGGAGGTTGAGGCTGCAGTGAGCTGTGATCATGCCACTGCACTCTAGAGAGCAAGACCTTGTCAAAAAAAGAAGGAAAAAGAAAGAAAGAAAGAGAGAGAGAGAGAGGGAGGGAGGAAGGAAGGAAGGAAAGAAGGGAGGGAGGGAGGAAGGAAGGGAGGGAGGGAGGGAGGGAGGGAAGGAAGGAAGGAAGGAAGGAAGGAAGGAAGGAAGGAAGGAAAAAACAAAAAAACAAAAACCAAAAAAACATTGCTAGCCCAGACTCAATGTGGGAGGGAAAGGGAATGGCACAAATAGTGGGAGGTGTGGTTCATTGGAGACTTGGCTAAACATCAAACTTCTATTTTAGGCTCTTTCCTTTCTTTCTCATTCTACGTACTCTCCCAGGCAATTTCATCTGCTTCCATTCCTTTAATTACCGGCTCAGGCTGACTCCTACATCCTTATCTCCTGAGCTCTAGATCTGACTGCAGACATATCCTCCTGGAGGTGCCACATTATCTTTTCCCAAAACTGCTCCTTCCCTCATCTTAGATAGTGCCAATTATCCAGTGATTTAGCTCTTATCTTAGACTGTGCTACCTCTCCCTCAGTTCCCACAGCCAAGAGATTTCAAGTCTGTCAATTACCTTTTGAATATTTCTGGAATCAGTCCCTCTAACTACATTTTTTTTTTCAGTTAATGCCTGTGTTATCTCTCTTCTAAACAACTTTTTTTTGTTTCTGTGATGTCTTCTTGTTCTTCTTCTGTTTTTTTTTTTTCTTAGGTTGAGTCTTGCTCTGTCACCCAGGCTGGAGTACTGTGGTGCGATCTTGGCTCACTGCAACCTCCACCTCCTGGGTTCAAGTGATTCTTGTGCCTCAGCCTGCCAGGTAACTGGGACTACAGGTGTGGGCCACCACGCCCAGCTAATTTTTGTATTTTTAGTAGATATGGGGTTTCACCATGTTGGCCAGGCTGGTCTCGAACTCCTGGCCTCAGGCGATCTGCCCACCTCAACTCATGGTGGCTCATGCCTGTAGTCCTAGCTACTCGGGAGGCTGAGACAGGAGAATTGCTTGAACCCAGGAGGTGGAGGTTTCAGTGAGCTGAGATCATGCTACTGCACTCCAGCCTAGGTGACAGAGTGAGACTGTCTCAAAAACAATTATTTTTAAGTAGTCAATTAATTTTTTGAGAGCATCTACTATACTAGTTACATAGCAAACAATAAATATTTAACATGTGAATCAATGAATGAATACTAAAAATTTTTATTTCCTACTGTACTGAACTACAGCCATTCACTGGATGCCTCAAATAACCTCTTCGTATAGGCTGAATGTTTGTTCTCCCCAAAATTCATATGTTGAAACTTAATCCCTAATATAATAGTATTAGGGATGGGGCCATTGGGAGGTAATTAGGTCATGAGGGCTTCACCCTCATAAATGAGTTGAGTGCCCTTATAAAAGAGGCCCAAGAGAGCTTGTTTGCCCCTTCTGCCACGTGAGGACACAGCAAGAAGATGCTGTCTATGAGGAACGGGCTTTCACCAGATACCAAATCTACCAGTGTCTTGATCTTGGACTTCCCAACGTCCAGAATTGTGAGCAATCAATTCTGTTGTTTGTAAATTACCTGGTCTAGTGTATTTTGTTTTAACAGCCCAAGTGGACTAAGACATCTCACATTTCCCAGCCTTTGTTTGCACGGGCTCTAACTTCCATTTGAATGATCCTTTCTCTTCTTGTCTGCCTGGAAATGTGCTTGTTCTCTAAGATTCACCTTAAATGAAACAATCTCTTTGAAATCTTCTATCTCCCTTCCCCATCTTGTCCTACAGTATACTCTGTGCTCCTCTGTCATACTGCTTTATTGACCAAACTCTACACATCAGGCTCCCCAGAGCTGATTCCTGTTGCTTGTAGCAAAAGTATCCTTACTGATAAACCAAGATACACATGCTTCCTGCTCTCCTAGACCTCACTTTCTAGAAGAGATACCAATATAGCATTAAAAATTCAACTTCCAGTATTGTAGGTTTGGTGACTAAACCTCCATTTTTATCAGTTTGGACCACTAGCTTGAAAATTGAACCACTAATTTAAAAGAGTTTCTATTGGAAATCTTGTGCCGAGTTTTGAAAATGAATAAACTATAGAAATGTATGATACTTCTTGTGGTCCTTCTGTTTATATATTTCAACAAATATGCACTGCACTGTGAGAGATCATGGAAGAATAAAACCTGCTTCCTGGACAGTTTTTATTCCTGTCCTCCAGTATTTATATATTTCTTTTGAGTGAGACAGGCATTTAAATAACTAATTATGATAGAAGGCTATATATATAATAAACATAGCTTTTTTAAGAAGGAGGGTATGTTGTGAATTTTTTTAGACAGGGTCTAGTGTTGTCACCCAGGCTGGAGTACAGTGGCCTGATCATGGCTCACTGCAGCCTCCATCTCCTGGACTCAAGTAATCCTCCCACCTCAGCTTCCCGAGTAGCTGGGACGCAGTAACGTACCACCACACTCAAGTAATTAATTTTTTTTTTGGAGACACAAAGTCTCATTATGTTGCCCAGGCTGGTCTCAAACTCCTGGGCTCAAGTGATCCTTGTGCCTTGGGCTCCCAAAGTGTTGGGATTGTAATCCCAACAGTGGCATGAGCCATTGAGCCTGATGAAGTGACTTTTTTTTTTTAAATAAGATTTCACACCTGTAATCCCAGCACTTTAGGAGGCTGACGCAGGAGGATATCTTGAGCCCATGAGTTTGAAATCAGCCTCGGCAACATAGACAGACCTTGTCTCTAGAAAAAAAATTAAATTAGCCAGGCGTGGTGGCACATGCCTGTGGTCCTAGCTACTCAGAACACTGACATGGGAGGATCACTTGAGCCCGGGAGGCAGAGGTTGCAGTAAGCCCAGCTCATGCACTGCACCCCAGCCTGTGAAACAGAGCAAGACTCTGTTTAAAAAAAAAAAAGTAACTTCTCTAAAGACCAAGAATCACCAAGAATCATCTCCACCCTTCATGATCCCTGTCATGTGGTGTTTACAAAAGAGTCTCAATAAGTATTTGGTTGACTCTCTGGTATATATAAATTAATTGACAGGTATAAAAAAGGAGCCTTAGCAGAGATTAAGAGAGAGAAGATGGGTTGTAAATAGATTCTTGAAATGTCCTACAGCAACAGCTGAGATAATGACTACCTGGAGCCTTAAAATTTCAGCCTGAAATTGCTGGTATGCCATATATGTCATTTTATTTTATTTTATTTTTTAATTTTTTTTGAGACAGAGTTTCACTTTTGTTGCTCAGGCTGGAATGCAATGATGCAATTTGGCTCCTGCAACCTCTGTATGCTGGGGTCAAACGATTCTCCTGCCTCAGCCTCCGAGTAGCTGGGATTTCAGGCTCGTGCTGCCATGCCCAGCTAATTTTTGTATTTTTAGTAGAGACGGGGTTTCACCATGTTGACCAGGCTGGTCTCGAACTCCTAACCTCAGGTGATCTGCCCACCTCGGCCTCCCAAAATGCTGGGATTACAGGTGTGAGCTGCCGCACCCAGCCATGTGTGTCATTTTAAATGTTGCATAAACAATATCACCTAAGCACTGACTCAGATGAACATTTGTCTTAGTCACCTGTATTACGTCTCTGAGCACACAAGGGTTTCCCTGAAGGTCTCCAAAGACATCAGTTAGTCATGCCCAGAAATCAGAAATGAAATTAGTTTGGGAGAGTGGCATAATGGATCAGAGTTCTATTAAAAATATGTTCATTTTTATAAAAAAATTTTCAAGAGAATTTAAAATATTTTTCTTAGGAAGAATATTAATATTTTTCACAAGGGTTGTTTTCGATTTTCAGGTTTTTTTTTTTTTAATCTTTCAGACCACCAAGCCTAGATGTGAAACTGAAGAAATGCATCTTTAGGAATAGGAGTTAATTTTAGCAACAATAAGCAAAAAAAAAAAAAAAAAAAAAAATGTACAATTTTTAAATTTTTAAACTTGAAGCTTAGAAGTTAATTATTAAGAGTTAAGGCCAGGGCCGGGCATGGTGGCTCCCGCCTGTAATCCTAGCACTTGAATCACTTGAACCCAGGAGGCGGAGGTTGCAGTAAGCCGAGATCATGCCACTGCACTCCAGCTTGGGCGACAGAGCAAGACTCCATCTCAAAAAAAAAAAAAAAAAAAAGAGTTAAGGCCAGGCGAGGTGGTTCACGGCTGTAATCCCACACTTTGGGAGGCCGAGGAGGGCAGATCGCTTGAGGTCAGGAGTTTGAGACCAGCCTGGGCAACATGGTGAAACACTGTCTCTACAAAAAAAAATAAAAAATAAAAATTAGTTGGGCATGGTAGCATGCACCTATGGTCCCAGCTGTTCAGGAGTCTGAGGTAGGAGGATTGCCTGAGCCCCGGAGGCAGAGGTTGCAGTGACCGCACGTCACACCACTGCACTTCAGCCTGGATGACAGAGTGAGACCCTGTCTCAAAAAAAAAAAAAAAAGTTAAAGTGTAAGTCTTCTTATAAAATCTAACAATTCTAGCAAAAATTAAAAAATGGAAATAATTTTTTTCTTTTAACAGTTAAAGACTGTTTTTGATCCACAAAATGCTTTGTGGGGTGGAATGGCATACAAGACATGCCAGTTTGGTAATTGCCTGCTTGCACACACCCAGACATCTATTTTCAAAAGCTAGTGAAAGGCGTTTCATCGTAGAGGCCTGAATAGTTTTGTGATTACGTAATGCTGAAGTTAATTTCAGAAATCACTTAAATCAAGGTGGGGATTAGCAAAGTAACCCAAAAAGATCAAAATGTAAGAGTCATGTCCAGATATGTTTTCAAGGCTCAAGTCAGAAGCTTTGACTTTTACCCTCTCCTTCTTCCGAGCGGCCAAACTGGCTTTTCTGGCAGGCTTTGTTCAGATGAGTGACAGTTGGTAATATTTCCATTTGGGTAAAATGTCCATTGAATTTTTGGTCTCTTGTTCCCACCCCTTAACTCTTTAATTTTTTTCTCTCCTTTTATTTCCTTCCTTTCTCCCTCCCCTCCCCTCCCCTTCCCTCCCCTCTCCTTTCCTTCCTTTCCAACAGAATCTCACTCTGTCATCCAAGCTGGATTTCACTCTGTCACAGCACACTGCAGCCTCAACCTCCCTGGCTTAAGCGATCCTCTCATCTCAGCCTCCTGAGTAGCTGGGACTACAGGCACATGCCAGCATGCCTGGCTATTTTTAAAAATTTTTTTTATAGAGATGGGAGGATCCCCCTATGTTGTCCAGGCTGGTCTTGAACTCCTGGGCACAAGCAATCCCCTTGCTTTGGTCTTCTACAAGTGTTGGTATTACAGGCACGAGCCACCGTGCCCGGCCTCATCGCTTTCTTCTGTCCTTTGGCTCTGCTTGGTTTCCTTGGACTCTGTGCTTGCCCTCCCCAGCCTCTCCCTCAGAACTCTTTCTGCCCTCACTGTCATGCTTTCCCATGCATGGCCCTCTAGTTCCATGCCTGTTTTTCTATGTAAAGTGTTTAGGAGGTGTCCTGGGTTGGGAAAGGAAAACAGAGTAAATTTGCATTTCAACTGCTCTGGGTCAAATATTCATTAGTGTGGCAAATCTTTTTCTTTTTTCTTTTCTTTTCTTTCTTTTCTTTCTTTTTTTTTTTTTTGAGATGGAGTCGCGCTCTGTTACCCAGGCTGGAGTGCAATGGCATGATCTTGGCTCACTGCAACCTCCTCCTCATGGGTTGAAGTGATTCTCCCTGCCTCAGCCTCCCAAGTATCTGGGATTATACGCATGCACCACCACGCCTGGCTAATTTTTGTATTTTTAGTAGAGAAGAGGTTTCGCCATGTTGAACAGGTTGGTCTCAAACTCCTGGCCTCAGGTGATCCACCAGCCTTGGCGTCCCAAATTGCTGGGATTACAGGCATAAGCCACCGCACCTGGCCAGTGTGGCAAATCTTAACAAACAAGTACAAGTATTTGTAGTGTGCTTGCTAAGGATACAGAGGACATATAAAATGTGAGTGACTCTCACACCATAAGAATGACTATTTTATTTATTTATTTATTTATTTAATTTATTTATTTTTGAGACAGAGTCTCGCTCTGTCACCCAAGCTGGAGTGCAGTGGCACGATCTCAGCTCACTGCAACCTCTGCCTCCTGGGTTCAAGTGATTCTCCTGCCTCAGCCTCCTGCATAGCTGGGATTACAGGCACCCACCACCATGCCCGGCTAATTTTTGTATATGGGGTTTCACCATGTTGGCCAGACTGGTCTTAAACTCCTAACCTCAAGTGATCTACCCGCTCTGGCCTCCCAAAGTGTTGGGATTATAGGCATGAACCACTGCACCCTGCCAGGATGACTATTATTTTTTAAGAAAGAAAAATAACAAGTGTTGACACGGATGTAGAGAAAAATGGATCCCTCATGCACTGCTGGTAGGAATGTAAAATGATGCAGCGACTGTGAAGAACAGTTTGGTGGCTCCTCAGAAAGTTAAGCATAGAATTTCCTTGTGACCAGCAACTTCACTCCTAGGTATATACTACAAAAAATTAAACACTGGGACTTGAACAGATACTTGTATATCAATGTTCATAGCACCATTATTCATAATAGCCAAAAGTGTGAAAGCAACCCATGTCAATTTACGGATGAATGGATAAACAAAATGTGGCATATGCATGCAATGGAATATTATTCAGCCATAAAAAATGAAATTCTGATACATGCTACAACATGGATGAACCTTGGAAACATTATACTAAATGAAAGAAGCCAGACACAAAAGAACAAATATTGTATGATTCCACTTATGTGAGGTACCTGGAGTAGTCAAATTCATAAAAACAGAAAGTAGAATGTGATTACCAGGGGCAGGAGAAATGGGAAGTTGTTGTTTAATGGGTACAGAGTTTCTGTTTGGAATCATGAAAAATTTTGGAAGTGGAGAGTGGTACTGGTTGTACAACATTGTGAATATACTTACTTAATGTCACTAAATTGTACATTTAAAAATGATTGAAAGTTCTGTTGGACAAGAGGTTGTTGTAAAAAGAAAAATAATTTTTGGTAATGATTGCAAGGATAAGTTTTATGTTGTGTTATTTTAATGTGCGTGCCCGCGCGCACGCGCACACACACACACACACTCTATGTAAGTGGTTTGTTGCCAGCCCAGACTGGGTTCCACTAAAGAATCTTCTGGCCAGATGTGGTGGCTCACGTCTGTAATCCCATTGCTTTGGGAGGCTAAGGCAGGAGGATCACTAAGGCCAGGAGTTTGAGACCAGGCTGGGCAACATAGCGAGACCCCCATCTCTACAAATAATTTTTTTTTTTAGAGACACGGTCTCACTCTGTCACTCAGGCTAGAGTGCAGTGCTGTGATTGTGGCTCATTGTCGCCTCAGTCTCCTGGGTCAAGCAGTCCTCCCACCTCAGCCCCCTGAGTAGCTGGGACTACAAGCACACAACCACCATGCCTGGGTAATTTTTTTCTTTTTTTGAGATGGAGTCTTGCTCTGTCACCCAGGCTGGAGTGCAGTGGCATGATCTCAGCTCACTGCAACCTCTGCCTCGCCTGGGTAATTTTTAAACAGTTTTTTGTAGAGACAGGATCTCACTTTGTTACTCAGGTTGGTCTCAATCTCCTGGCCTCAAGTGATCCTCCCACCTCAGCCTCTCAAAGTGCTGAGATTACAGGCCACTGCACCTAGCCTACAAATAATTTAAAAAAAAAATTAGCCAGGCATGGTGGCACACACCTGTAGTTCTAGCTACTCAAGAGGCTGAGGTGGGAATGTGGCTCGAGCCCAGGAGTTCAAAGTTACAGTTGAACTATGATTGACCACTGCACTCCAGCCTGAACAACAGAATGAGGCCCTGTCTCTAAAAAAATAAAACAGAGCATCGTCTAACGAGAGCCAACTTTGGGCTTTCTGAACAGCTCTGTGTCTGCCCTAATTCTAGGATGCACAGGAGACTGAATCTGTCTTCCCTGACTTCTGTCTGAAATGGGAATTCCTGTCAAGTGGAGTAGTTCCTAGAAAGCTCTACTTTATAAGAGCCAGGACCTTGGAGAAAGCCCACAGCTATGTATTGTAACTGTTCATGACATGGCACTTTCTAGAGTTATCATATTGGAGAACATTAAATTAAAAAAAAAATTTTATTACCAAAAAACACCTGTTTACTATAGAAAATTTAGAAAATAAAGGTAATCAGGACATAAACATCACCTATAATCTATAATTCTACCACCTGAAGAGAAATCACTCTAACATTTTGTTGTGTATCTTTTCAATTAATTCTCTCTCTCTCTCTCTCTCTCTCTATATATATATATATGTATATGACTGCCTTTAATTTAACAATTTATCATTCATCGTTAAAATATCTTTTGTTAGGAAAGATTTATTTATTACGTTGTTTTTTTTTTGAGATGGAGTCTCGCTCTGTCGCACAGGCTATATTTATTTTATTTTAAGATGGAATCTTGCTCTTGTCGCCCAACCTGGAGTGCAGTAGCGTGATCTCAGCTCACTGCACCCCCGCCTCCCAGGTTCAAGCAATTCTTTCTAAGGATTCTCCTGTCTTGGCTTCTCGAATAGCTGGGACTACAGGTACGCACCACCATGCCTGGCTAATTTTTGTATTTTTAATAAAGATGGAGTTTCACCCTGTTGGCCAGGGTGGTCTCAAACTTCTGGGCTCAAGTGATCTGCCCACTTCGGGCTCCCAAAGTGCTGGGATTACAGGCATGAGCCACTGTGCCCGGCCACTTTTGTGGGGAAAGATTTGGATAAAACTTTTGATTATTGAATTAAATTTATTTTATCAAGAGGTTTTTTTTTTGGCTTTAAGTAATTTATTTTGTAATACTTTTAGAATTATAAAATTAGGATTTTATAATTTTTAAAATGATAAAATTAGGATTTTATAATTCTAAAAGTTGCAATAGATAGTACAGAGAGTTTCTATAAATCCTTCACCCAACTTCTTCTAATGTTAACATCTTACATAACCATGACACATTTATCAAAAATAAGGAATTTATATTGGTGCATTCCTAAAGTGCAAACTTTATTTGAGTTTTACTAGTTTTTCTACTAATCTCTTTTTTCTGTTCCAGGATCCAACATAAGATACCACATTGCACTTAAGACAAGTATTTTTTAGAATATCTAATACTTTCAGGATATTGTAGAGTGTTTAAAAATAAAGAAGCTGTAGCCCTGCTCCCAAAGAGTTCTCAGTCTACTAAGAGAGGTGATATGGATATATAATCCCAATAGTGCAGGGCAAATGACAGGAACTATATTAGAAGGAACAAAGGGCTAGAGTGAGTCCATTCAGGAGGCTACAAATGCTTAGTGAAAGAAGTGGGCTAGGCTTGGACACATGGAGGTGGGAAGATCAGAGTTTTTCAGGGATTGTAAGTTCAGTGTGTCTACACCACAGACTACATCATTATTTCTCAGGTCTGACTATGAATCAAATCCATTTCTGTGGCTTTTTAAAAATTCAGATGTCTGGCCAGTTACGGTGGCTCACGCCTGTAATCCCAGCACTTTGGGAGGCTGAGGCGGGTGGATTACCTGAGGTTAGGAGTTCCAGACCAGGCTGGTCAACATGGTGAAACCCTGTCTCTACTAAAAATACAAAAAAATTAGTTGGGCATGGTGGCACATGCCTGTAATCCCAGCTACTTGGGAGGCTGAGGCAGGAGAATCGCTTGAACCTGGCAGGCAGAGGTTGCAGTGAACCGAGATCGTGCCATTGCACTCCAGCCTGGGCAACAGAGCGAGACTGTCTCAAAAAAAAAAAAAAATTTAGATGTCTGAGCCCAAATCCCTTCCACCTTCTGAATCTGAATGTTAGAAGGCTGGGCTGAAAAACATTTTAGTTTGTTTAAGGATCTGATGTGCAGCCAGGATTGAGAACCACAGGATTATAAGGAGAAATATTTGTTGAAATACACATTGCCAGCCAGGCGTGGTGGCTCATGTCTGTAATCCTAGCACGTTGGGAGGCTGAGGTAGGAGGACTGTTTGAGCCCAGGAGTTCAAGACCAGCCTGGACAACATAAAAAGACCACATCTCTATTTAAAAAACAAATACTATATATAAAAATATATTTAGTATATATATATAATATATTTAGCATATATATGAAATATATTTAGCATATATATATAAAATACATTTAGCATATATATAATATATTTAGCATATATATATAAAATATATTTAGCATATATATATATAAAATATATTTAGCATATATATATATATGCACATTCCCAAACTAGGTATTTGGAGCATTGAGAAATTAATAATAATCTGTTCTATTTTGCCCTAGACTGGCAGAGTTACCATTTAACTACTTAGTATGACAGACTAAGAAATACCAAATTACTTGCTTTCCCCTTTCTTCTTTTTTCTGATTTTTCCCAAATGTGATGACTGTGAAACAGATTGACCTAACACAAGACTTAGGAGAAGTGCAAAAGAGTTATACATTGACAAAAGTATGATTTTTAAAATTATAAATGTAGAAATAAAATACATATAATCATGTATTATTATTTTGATTTAAATATTAAATACCGTTGAATATAACACATATATTGTGGTACTTACAACTGATGTCTGTTAAAAATGTGGATCTGGCCGGGCACGGTGGCTCACGCCTGTAATCCCAGCACCTTGGAAGGCTGAAGTGGGAGGATCACTTGAGCTCAGGAGTTTGAGACCAGTCTGGCCAACATGGTGAAACCCCGTCTCTACTAAAAATACAAAAAAATTAGCCGGTCATGGTGGCACGTGCCTGTAATCCCAGCTACTCGGGAGGCTGAGACAGCAGAACCGGTTGACCAAACCCGGGAGTCGAAGGTTGCAGTGAGCCTAGATTGTGCCACTGCACTCCAGCCTGGGCAACAGAGTGAGACTCCCACTCAAAAAAAAAAAAAAAAAAAAAAAGTGGATCTGGAATTTTATACTGGATTTTTAATTCTGAGAACGTTTCCACAATGATATTTCTATGTGTTTACCCACAAAAATAGCCTTGTTGTTTTATATCTGTCTCTTTCACAAAATTAGGACAGTGTTTTATATCTGTCTTTTTCACAAAACTGAACATCTTCCGAGTAAATCTTTCCTAAATGAATGAATGAATGAAGTTGAGAGCAATGTTATAGAAAAGTCAGGTCAACAGCAGGTACATGGTATTACATATTTATCTGTTTGTTTGTTTATTTATTTATTTTTCACATACCAGTCATCTTTTCCTTGGAGGTTAATTCCCATTAGAATATGAAAGGATTCAGCAACTATCGAGACTGTCTCCCTTATGGAGGGGCTCGGGCCAAGAAGGTCGTGTGGGGGAGTGCGGAGTGTGCCTTCTTCTTCAGTGATACTTGAGTAGCTGCTGGTGCTTGAGCTCCTTGTAGGAAAGTCAGTAGCTGAAGAGCATCTAGCCTGCCAGCACCATGGTAAACCCAGAGATGCTCCCCTTCTTCACGTTGATGTACTTGTTGTAGTACCGGTAGCAACCTCTTTGAAACGCTCTGGCAATGCCCCTAGGGCTGAAGTCCTACATCAATTAGAATACCATGTTTATTAAAGGATAACTAATAAAACTGTGTCAATTTGAAAATAACTAAAACTCTCAACAATCCAGGCACAGTGTCGTCGTACACTTGTAGTCCCAGCTACTCGGGAGGCTGAGGCAGGAGAATTGCTTGAGCCCAGGAGGTTGAATCTAGACTGGGCAATACAGCAAGCCCTCATCTCTGAAAAATAAAACACTTTTTTTAAAAAAAAACACCTCTTAAGACCTGGCGCAGTGGCTCACACCTGTAATCCCAGAACTTTGGGAGGTCGAGGTGGACGACCAAGGTGGGCGGATCACTTGAGCCCAGGAATTCAAGACTAGCCTGGGCAATATAGTGAGACCTTGTCTCTCCAAAAAAAAAGAAAAAAAAAAAATTAGCTGGGCGTGTTGGTGTGTGCCTGTAGTCTCAGCTACTCATGAGGCTGAGGTGGGAGGATTGCTTGAACCCAGGATGCAGAGGCTACAGTGAGCCGAGATGGTGCCACTGCACTCCAGCCTGGGCAACAGAGCAAGATCCTGTCTCAAAACAAACAAACAAACAAAAACACCTCTCAAAACTAACTGCAGAGGGATTCTTTAGGCATGATTTTTTTTTAAATCGTAGCTAAAAGGCTGAGAAGTGATTGGCAATTCTTTACAACTTAAAGCAACAAAAGATTTTTTTCTAGAGGAGGAGAAGTTTTTTGCTCAGATTAGTGTATTAGTCCATTTTGTGTTGCTATCAATGAATACCTGAGGCTGGGTAATTTATAAAGAGAAGAGGTTTGTTTGACTCATGGTTCTGCAGGCTGCATGAATGCCCAGCTAATTTTTGTATTTTTGGTAGAGACGGGGTTTCACCATCTTGACCAGGCTGGTCTCGAACTCCTGACCTCAGGTGATCCACCCACCTCAGCCTCCCAAAGTGCTGGGATTACAGGTGTGAACCACCGCACCCGGCCCACTTCTGTTTTCTTATAAATTATAAATGCTGGAATATTCCTGTTGCCTATCAGTGACAAATGACTGCACTATTGACTGGATCTTTTGTTTATAAGGTTATCCTCTGAATTTCTCACCTGTGAAATGGACAAGTAGTGCTCAGATTGTGTTGGACTTCTTACTTCGTGGTTGTAGTGTAGCTTGTGTCATGGCAGAGATCCTGTTATCTTTTCAGTATTCAGGATCCCTAAATTCTTTTTTCAGCCACCTTTGAGAGTGATCTATGTTTGTTTGTTTGTTTGTTGCTTTTTTTTTTTTTGAGACGGAGTCTCGCTCTGTTGCCCAGGCTGGAGTGCAGTGGCGGGATCTTGGCTCACTGCAACCTCTGCCTCCCAGGTTCAAGCGATTCTCCTGCCTCAGCCTCCCAAGTAGCTGGGATTACAGGGCGCACGCCACCACGCCTGGCTAATTTTTGTATTTTTAGTAGAGATGGGGTTTTGCCATGTCGGCCAGGCTGGTCTCAAACTCCTGACCTCAAGTGATCCACCTGCCTCGGCGTCCCAAAGTGCTGGGATTACAGGCGTGAGCCACTGTGCCCGGCTGAGAGTGATCTATTTGAATCATAACAGAAGCATGTATCTTTGTGAAAAGCTGAGTTCACTTTGGTTTTTTTTGCTATGTGATCTACTGGAGCTCCTGGGCACAAAAGTAATGGTTAGAACTGGGATGCTCAGGACCTCACTTCTGCTTAGAACACTTGCTTTGTCACACTGGCCTCTTAAGCACTTTGGTGAAGCAACAAATAAGTGGAAAAAGGCCCCAGGCATTACATTATATAAGGAAAACATCACTGAGCTGTCTGACCAATTTGGTCCCCTAACTGGGATACATATTTGGGTTTGGAGCAGGTCAAAGGCAAAGATTACACCTGAAGAAAAATGTTGCAGGGGGCTCCACCTCTAAAATAGAGCCTCACAGTTTAACCTCCCCCTGGTGGCCACATACAGTCAGTAGAGTAATCTGCAAATTACAATTCGGTCCTCCCTCCCTGCCCTTTACATAGGCAGCTTCTTGAGGAGTTTTTTTTTTTTTTTTTAATTCTTTTTTTTTTTAAATTTATTTTTTTATTGATAATTCTTGGGTGTTTCTCACAGAGGGGGATTTGGCAGGGTCATGGGACAATAGTGGAGGGAAGGTCAGCAGATAAACAAGTGAACAAAGGTCTCTGGTTTTCCTAGGCAGAGGACCCTGCGGCCTTCCGCAGTGTTTGTGTCCCTGATTACTTGAGATTAGGGATTGGTGATGACTCTTAACGAGCATGCTGCCTTCAAGCATCTGTTTAACAAAGCACATCTTGCACCGCCCTTAATCCATTTAACCCTGAGTGGACACAGCACATGTTTCAGAGAGCACAGGGTTGGGGGTAAGGTCACAGATCAACAGGATCCCAAGGCAGAGGAATTTTTCTTAGTGCAGAACAAAATGAAAAGTCTCCCATGTCTATTTCTTTCTACACAGACACGGCAACCATCCGATTTCTCAATCTTTTCCCCACCTTTCCCGCCTTTCTATTCCGCAAAGCCGCCATTGTCATCCTGGCCCGTTCTCAATGAGCTGTTGGGCACACCTCCCAGACGGGGCGGTGGCCGGGCAGAGGGGTTCCTCACTTCCCAGTAGGGGCGGCCGGGCAGAGGCGCCCCTCACCTCCCGGACGGGGCGGCTGGCCGGGCAGGGGGGCCGACCCCCCCCCACCTCCCTCCCGGACGGGGCGGCTGGCCCGGCAGAGGGGCTCCTCACTTCCCAGTAGGGGCGGCCGGGCAGAGGCGCCCCTCACCTCCCGGACAGGGCGGCTGGCTGGGTGGGGGGGCTGACCCCCCCCACCTCCCTCCCGGACGGGCGGCTGGCGGGCGGGGGGCTGACCCCCCCACCTCCCTCCCGGACGGGGCGGCTGGCCGGGCAGAGGGGCTCCTCACTTCCCAGTAGGGGCGGCCGGGCAGAGGCGCCCCTCACCTCCTGGACGGGGCGGCTGGCCGGGCGGGGGGCCGACCCCCCCACCTCCCTCCCGGACGGGGCGGCTGGCCGGGCAGAGGGGCTCCTCACTTCCCAGTAGGGGCGGCCGGGCAGAGGCGCCCCTCACCTCCCAGACGGGGCGGCTGGCCGGGCGGAGGGCTGACCCCCCCCACCTCCCTCCCGGACAGGGCGGCTGGCCGGGCGGGGGGCTGACCCCCCCACCTCCCTCCCGGACGGGGCGGCTGGCCGGGCAGAGGGGCTCCTCACTTCCCAGTAGGGGCGGCTGGGCAGAGGCGCCCCTCACCTCCCAGACGGGGCGGCTGGCCGGGCGGAGGGCTGACCCCCCCACCTCCCTCCCGGACGGGGCGGCTGGCCGGGTGGGGGGGCTGACCCCCCCATCTCCCTCCCGGACGGGGTGGCTGGCCGGGCTGAGGGGCTCCTCACTTCCAGTAGGGGCGGCCGGCAGAGGCCCCCTCACCTCTGGACGGGGCGGCTGGCCGGGGGGGCTGACCCCCCCACCTCCTCCCGGACGGCACGGCTGGCCAGGCGGGGGGCTGACCCCCCCACCTCCCTCCCGGATGGCACGGCTGGCCGGGCGGGGGGGCTGACCCCCCACCTCCCTCCCGGATGGGGCGGCTGGCCGGGCGGGGGGCTGACCCCCCCCCACCTCCCTCCCGGACGGGGTGGCTGCCGGGCGGAGACGCTCCTCACTTCCCAGATGGGGTGGCTGCCGGGCGGAGAGGCTCCTCACTTCTCAGACGGGGCAGCTGCCGGGCGGAGGGGCTCCTCACTTCTCAGACGGGGTGGTTGCCAGGCAGAGGGTCTCCTCACTTCTCAGACGGGGCGGCCGGGCAGAGACGCTCCTCACCTCCCAGACGGGGTCTCGGCCGGGCAGAGGCGCTCCTCACATCCCAGATGGGGCGGCGGGGCAGAGGCGCTCCCCACATCTCAGACGATGGGCGGCCGGGCAGAGACGCTCCTCACTTCCTAGATGTGATCGCGGCTGGGAAGAGGCGCTCCTCACTTCCTAGATGGGATGGCGGCCGGGCGGAGACGCTCCTCACTTTCCAGACTGGGCAGCCAGGCAGAGGGGCTCCTCACATCCCAGACGATGGGCGGCCAGGCAGAGACACTCCTCACTTCCCAGACGGGGTGGCAGCCGGGCAGAGGCTGCAATCTCGGCACTTTGGGAGGCCAAGGCAGGCGGCTGCTCCTTGCCCTCGGGCCCCGCGGGGCCCGTCCGCTCCTCCAGCCGCTGCCTCCCGGGCGGCGCTCGCCAGCGCGGCGGCAAAGACTGAGACAGCTCCGCTGCCCGCTGAACTCCATCCTCCCGGCGGTCGGGCGGCGGCGGCTGCCTCTTTTTTTTTTTTAAATTTATTATTATTATACTTTAAGTTTTAGGGTACATGTACACAATGTGCAGGTTAGTTACATATGTATACATGTGCCATGCTGGTGTGCTGCACCCACCAACTCGTCATCTAGCATTAGGTATATCTCCCAATGCTATCCCTCCCCACTTGAGGAGTTCTTTATACCACTAGAGTACAGAGCTTTAAGACTTTTGTTTTTGGTTCAAGAAATCTCTCCTAGAAGTGGGAATAATGTTAACACCTTAATTTGAAAGCAGAATGAACAAGAATAAAAGAGAAATTATAGGTTCCAGTGAATAAAACATAGTTAATAGTTGGGGCATTTATCAATGATGCCAATGTGAATCAATAAATGCAGAACTATGAAAAACAGAAACGGCAGCTCTGCAGGAAAAGAAATGCAGTCATGCTTTGCTTAACGATGGGGATACTTTCTGAGAAATGTGTCGTTAGGTGATTTTGTCGTTGTGCAAACATCTTTTTTATACAAAGCCTATGGCTCCTAGGCTACAAACCTGTGCAGCATGTTACTGTACTGAATACTGCAGGCAACTGTAACACAATGGTAAGTATTTGTGTACCTAATATGTCTTTTTTTATTTTTAAGTCAGTCTTGCTCTGTCACCCAGACTGGAGTATAGTGGTGTGATCTCAGCTCACTGCAACCTCTGCCTCCTGGGCTCAAGCGATCCTCCCATCTCAGCCTTCCTAGTAGCTGAACTATGGGCGCATGCTACCACACCCAGTTAATTTTTGTATTTTTTGTAGAGATGGGGTTTTACCATGTTGCCCAGGCTTGTCTCGAACTCCTGAGCTCAAGTGATCCGCCCACCTCAACCTCCCAAAGTGCTGGGATCACAAGTGTGAGCCACCACACCAGGCCCTAAACATATCTAAACATAGAAAAGGTACAGTGCAAATACAGTATAAAAGATAAAATACAGTACACCTGTGTAGAGCACTTGCCATGAATGGAGCTTGCAGGACTGGAAGTGGCTCTGCGTGAGTCAGTGAGTGAGTGGTGGGTGAATGTGAAGGCCTAGGACATTCAACTCCTGTAGACATTATACACACTGTATGCTTAGTTTACACTAAATTTATTAAATAATATTTTTTCTTCAATAATAAATTAACCTTAGCTTACTGTAACTTTTTTACTTTATAAAGTTTTTAATTAAAAAAATACTTTTTGACTCTTTTGTTTTAAGACAGAGTCTCCCTCTGTTGCCTAGGCTGGAGTGCAGTGGCGTGATCTCGGCTCACCGCAACCTCCGCCTCCCGGGTTCAAGCAATTCTCCTGCCTCAGCTTCCCGAGTAGCTGGGATTACAGGTGACCGCCACCATGCCCAGCTAATTTTTTTTTTTTTTTGAGACAGGGTCTCACCCTGTCACCCAGACTGGAGTGCAGTGGTGCACGGCTCACCGCAACCTCTGTCTCCCAGGCTCAAGCGATTCTCCTGCCTCAGCCTCCTGAGTAGCGGGGATTACAGGCGCATGCCACTCCTGCCTGGCTAATTTTTCTATTTTTAGTAGAGACAGGGTTTCACCATGTTGGCCAGGCTGGTGTCAAACTCCTGAGTCAAATGGTCCACCCACCTCGGCCTTACAAAGTGCTGGGATTACAGGAATGAGCCACTGCACCTGGCCAACAAAACTTTTTGATTTTAACAACTCTTAGCGTACAACATAAACACATTATACAGCTGTCTAAAAAATGTTTTCTTTCTTTATATCCTTATTACCCTATTCTTTATATCCTTATTATTCTTTTTTCTTTCTTTATATCCTTATTACCTTATTCTTTATATCCTTATTCTTTGTTCTATTTAAATTTTTTTTTCTTTTTAAATTTTTTTGTTAAAAACTAAGACACAAATACACGCATTAGTCTAGACCTACACAGGGTCTGAATCATCAAAATCACTGTTTTTCTCCTCCACATCTTATCCCACTTGATGGTCTCCAAGGGAAATAACACACATGGAACTCTCATCTCCTATGATAACAATGCCTTCTTCTGGAAAAACTCCTGAAGGACCTGCCTCAGGTTGTTTTACAATTAACTTAAAATTTTTATTTTTATTTACTTATTTTTCTGAGACAGGGTCTTCTCTGTCACCCAGGCTGGATGGAGTGCAGTGGTTTGATCTCAGCTCACTGCAGCCTTGAACTCCTGGACTCAAGCAATCTTCTCACCTCAGCCTCAGCCTCCTGAGTAGCTGGGACTACAGGTGGGAGCCACCCTGCCTGGTTAATTTTTTTTAAAATTAGAGACGAGGTCTTGCTATGCTGCCCAGGCTGGGCTTGAACTCCTGGGCTCAAGTGATCTGCCCATCTCAGCCTCCCAAAGTGCTGGGATTACAGGTGCAAGCCACCACCGCTGGCCAAAACCTCTTTTCTTTATAAATTATCCAGCCTCAGTTATTCCTTTATAGCAGCACAAATGGGCTAAGACAATATGCATATACTTTTTATTTTGAAATACTTTGCCTCACAAAAAGTTGCAAAAACAGTACTCAGTTCCCATTTATTCAACTTCTCCCAATGAAAATTAATGTAACTTAAAAAAATTTCTACTTGAATTTTTCTTGACCCTGTTGACTCTTTAGTCATCTCTCCTTTTGCCAGTTGATGTGAACGTAGGGAATTTACACTATTTACTCTGTGTTTCTGCCAACATTTCTTCTCATCTTCTAATTTGCTCCCTTTTCTTTCTGTTCTGCTCTCCTTCTCTGCTTGTTTTTATGGCTATTCTCTTTAATGCCTCCTGTTTCATTCTTCTGATACTCACTTTATACTTAAAATGTCTTGGCTGGGCATGGTGGCTCATGCCTGTAATCCCGGTACTTTAGGAGGCTAAGGCGAATGATCACTTGAGTTCAAGAGTTCAAGACCAGCCTGGGCAACATGGCAAGACCTTGTCTCTACAAAAAAATACAAAAAATTAGCTGGTGTGACGGCAAGTGCCTAGTAGTCCCAGCTACTGGGGAGGCTGAGGTGAGAGGATCGCTTAAGCCCAGGAAGTGGAGGTTGCAGTGAGCTGAGATCACACCACTGCACTCCAGCCTGGGCAACAGAATGAGACCCTGTCTCAAAACAAAAACAGGCCGGTCGCCGTGTCTCACTCCTAGCACTTTGATCCCAGCACTTTGAGAGGCCAAGCCAGGATGATCACCTGAGGTCAGGAGTTCAAGACCAGCCTGGCCAACATGGTAAAACCCCGTCTCTACTAAAAATACAAAAAATTAGCCAGGCGTGGTGGCACATGCCTGTAATCCCAGCTACTCAGGAGGCTGAGGCAAGAGAATTGCTTGAACCTGAGAGGTGGAGGTTTCAGTGAGCCGAGTTTGCACCACTGCACTCTGGCCTGGGCAACAGAAACAAAAACAAAAACAAAACAAAAACAAAACAAAAGTCTGAATTCCAAAGAGACTTGGAGCATAGTAAAATGACAAGATGTGGTGTGTGTGCATACCCACACACAGAGACCTGTTCATAAATTGGGGGTGAAGCAAAGATGGCACGGAAGTATAGGAGTTACTCTCATGCCCCTCTCCTCAGTAGAGTCCATCTCACCAGGTCCACAGCCATCTCCCTTCCCAGAAGTCCTTGCTCTCCTTGCCATGGACCAAATAGCCCCCTTGATTGTAGCCACCGTTTCCATCAGGGGCAGAGGTGGAACTCACCATGGGTGCAGAGGATGAGCTGGATAAGTGTGTGCTGTGTGCTTCAGAGATTCTGTAGACCCTTTAGTTATGTGTACTCTCTATTTCCCAATTGTTGCTCTTAAATCTTTGATAAAGGTTTTGTAGTGAGTAGGCTTAAATGTACAACAGAACAAACAAGTTAAAATGTTATTATTTCTATTTGTTTGCACAAAAATTGGCTAAATAAAACAAATTTGGTATGATTTTCATTATCGCTATGTGCCAGAAATTTTAGCCAATTGATATAGTTTGGATGTTTGTCCTTTTTTTTTTTTTTTGTAGAGACAAGGTCTCACTATATTGCCCAGGCTAGTCTTGAATTCCTGAGCTCAAGTGATCCACCCACCTTGCTCGTCCACCTCGACCTCCCAAAGTTCTGGGATTACAGGTGTGAGCCACTGCACCAGGTCTTAAGAGGTGTTTTTTTTAAAAAATGTTTTATTTTTCAGAGATGAGGGCTTACTGTATTGCCCAGTCTGGATTCAACCTGATGGGCTCAAGCAATTCTCCTGCCTCAGCCTCCCGAGTAGCTGGGACTGCAAGTGTACGACAACACTGTGACTGGATTGTTGAGAGTTTTAATATTTTCAAATTGACACAGTTTTATTAGTTATCCTTTAATAAACATGGTATTCTAATTGGAAGTTAACTGGCAAAGCTCCAGTGTAAACACTTGGTTCCTGTCACACATGAACTCAGCTATACACATTCATTTTAGGAATAAGTTCATGAAGATTCAGAATGATTCAAGCTCACTTAGGGCATAGTTCATGTCTCTGACCCTTGTGTTATTATATATAGTTTGAGTTTTAGCAGATTTGATATAAACAATTATAGCATAGTAATATGTAATATGATATGATAGCATAATGTTTCTTGTATAGAAGAAATAGAATTTGAATTACTTCATTCTTGACATTCTGTATGACCACCTGACTTTTAAATTTGTGTTTAAAATTTAAAACACAGTGAGATAGGAGGCCAGGCATGGTGGCTCATACCCGTAATCTCAGCACTCTGGGAGGCCGAGGCAGGCAGATCACCTGAGGTCAGGAGTTCAAGACCAGCCTGACCAACATGGTGAAACCCCATTTCTACTAAAAATACAAAAATTAGCTGGGCGTGGTGGTGCACACCTGTAGTCTCGTTTACTCTGGAGGCTGAAGCAGGAGAATCGCTTGAACCCAGGAGGTGGAGGTTGCAGTGAGCCGAGATTGTGTCACTGCACTCCGGCCTGGCAAGAGTGCAAGACTCTCTCAAAAAAACCAAAAAAAAAAAAAAAAAACACACACACACACAAATAATCCCACAAAAAAACAGTGAGATAGAACATAAACTGCAAGTTGTGATATTTTGATTTGGTAAGTATAAGTGTTAGTTCATATATGAAGTATTTTACCACATTTGAATACATCATTACAATTAAATGTAGTATTCTTTTAAAATTTTTAATAGTTTTAAATCTAGAAAAGGAGTTAAGAAAATCCAAAGTTACATCAGTGGTACAATTTAGTAGTTGCCTAAATTGTACCTTTTGCAGGTGGTTTGCTTTTATTAAAATGTGTTTATTAGTTACTGGACAATTATTTACATAAAATGTTACAGTATCAGTGTGTAACCGATGGATCAAAGTTCACACTGGAAGGTAGGTATGAGATCTTTTGAATATCAACAGTTGTGCTGTTTTCCTTTTTTGTACTATAATATTTATTTTTATTTTTTATACTAGTATACATATATATAAAGTTCAGTAAAGGTAACTTTTCGTTGTCTCTATTTCTTCTCTGGTCATTGTAGTCATTTATTTCACTTCTTTTTTTTTCTTTTTTTTTTTTTGAGACGGGGTCTTGCTCTGTCACCCAGGCTGGAGTGCAGTTGTGCAATCTCAGGACTCACTGCAATCTTGACCTCCTGGGCTCAAGTGATCCTCCCACCTCAGCCTCTCAAAGTGCTGGGATTACACAGGCATGAGCTACTGTGCCTGACCTATTTCATTTCTTGATTATTAAAAATAATCCACTTTGAAAGGCTGAGGTGGGCAGATCAGTTGAGGCCAGGAGTTCCAGACCAGCCTGGCTGGCCAGCTTAGTGAAACCTTGTTGAAACCTCATCTCTACTAAAAGTATAAAAATTAGTCAGGCATGGTGGTGGGTGCCTGTAATCCTGGCTACTTGGGAGGCTGAGATGAGAGAAGCACTTGAACCCGGGAGGTGGAGGTTGCAGTGAGCTGAGATTGCGCCACTGTACTCTAGCCTGGGCGACACAGCGAGACTCCATTTCAAAAAAAAAAAAAAACCCACTCATGATGTCAAAAATGCTAGATGGCCCACCTCCTCTCTCCAGATCCTCCCCTTCCTTCTCCTTGGGTTATTTGTCCCAAATTCACCATGTTCCTGCTACTTTTATTCTTTTGTTTTTGTTTTTGAGACAGAGCCTCACCCTATTGCCTAGGCTGGAGTGCAATGGCACGATCTCAGCTCACTGTAGTCTTGACCTTCTGGGGTCAAGCAATCCTCCATCCTCAGCCTCCCAAGTAGCTGGGACTGCAGGTGCAAACCACCATGCCCCTATAATTTTTGTATTTTTTGTAGAGACAGGGTCTTGACATGTTGCCCAGGCTGGTCTCAAACTCCTGGGCTCAAGTGATCCTTCCTTCTCAGCTTTCCAAAGTGCTGGAATTACAGGCATAAGCCACATACATCTGGCCAACATTAAAAAAAATATATTAATAGATGAAAATGACACATCTTCTCCAAGACTTGGTAGGTTGTATTAGTTTAAAAATGTATTAGCAAAATTTAATTTAATTTGACAAATATAAAAGTCAAAGAAGGGGTAATTGTCTTAAAGAATATCAATTCAGTTTCATCTGGTTCAATAAAAAATAGTTAAGGATAAACTATGGGCCAGGGACCCTGATGGATACTGGGAATACAAAGATGAAAAGGACATGGTCTCTGTCCTCAAAAGAGCCAGCGGTGAGAGGAAAGACACATACACAGGTCCTTTTAATATAATATGCTAGGTGCAATGTTAGAGGCAAGCTCAGGCGTATGGAAGAACTTACATTACTTACTCAGCAAATTCAGGAAAGGCTTCAGGGAAGAAGTGAGCTGAGCTTTGAAGAAAGAATAAAATTGGGCTGGACAAAGACACTAAGAAATGCAAGGCTGGCAGGGGCTCAGGCCCTGGGCAAAGGCTCAGAAGTGTAAATTAATATGGTCTGTATATTGCTATAATATATATTAATACGGTATGTGTGCAGAAAGCCTAAGAAATTGGATAGAACTAGAACATAAATGTCAAGGCAGAGAGTGATAGGAGACAAAAAGAGGGAGGAATGTCTTGATGGTCTTATCTATGATGCTAAAGAACCTGGACTTTCTGCTGTGGTTGGTTTTAAGCAAAGTTGGATTTCGATTTTAGAAGCCAGGTGGCCAGGTGTGGTGGCTCGCGCCTGTAATCCCAACACTTTGGGACGCTGAGGCAGGCGAATCACTTGAGGTCTGGAGTTCGAGACTAGCCTGGCCAACATGGTGAAACCCCATCTCTACTAAAAATACGAAGATTAGCCAGGTGTGGTGGTGCACGCCTGTAATCCCAGCTACTTGGGAGGTTGAGGCAGGAGAATGGCTTGAAGCCGGGAGATGGAGGTTGCAGTGAGCTGAGATTGCACCACTGCACTCCAGCCTGGGTGACAGAGTGATACCCCATCTCAAAAAAAAAAAAAAAGGGATTTTAGATGCTAGGTCTAGTGGCTCATGCCTGTAATCCCAGCACTTTGAGAGGCCAAGGAAGGATGATTGCTTGGGCCCAGGAGTTCCAGTTCAGCCTGGGAATCATAGTAAGACTCCGTCTCCACAAAAGCATTTTAAAAATTAGCCAGGTGTGGCCAGGCGTGGTGGCTTCCGCCTGTAATCCCAGCACTTTGGGAGGCTGAGGCAGGTGGATCACCTGAGGTCAGGAGTTCGAGACCAGCCTGGCCAACATGGCAAAACTCCATCTCTACTAAAAATACAAAAATTAGCCGGGCATGGTGGCTCAGGCCTATAATCCCAGCTACTCGGGAGGCTGAGACAGGAGAATTGCTTGAACCTGGGAGGCGGAGGTTGCAGTGACGTGAGATCGCGCCACTGTACTCCAGCCCAGGCAACAAGAGTGAAACTCCATCTCAAAAAAACAAAACAATAAAACAAAACAAAACAAAAAACCAGGTGTGGTAGCACGTGCCCATAGTCCTGGGTACTCTCAGAGGCTGAGGTGGGAGGATGGCTTGAGTCCAGGAGGTTGGAACTGCAGTGAGCCATGATTGTGCCACTGTATTCCAGCCTGAGCAACAGAGCAAGACCCTGTCTCTAAAAAAAAAAAGTAAAAAGTACTAGATTTTAGATAGTCTACTGTGGTGAGGTGGCGGATGGCTTAAAGAGGGACAAGACTGGAGGGAGGCAGTGTAGTCAAGAGGCTAATGAAATAATCTGATGAAAAGGTGAGAAGGGAACAGGCACGGTGGCTCATGCCTATAATCCCAACACTCTGGGGGGCCGAGGCGGGCGGATCACGAGGTCAGGAGTTTGAGACCACCCTGGCCAACATGGTGAAACCCCATCTCTACTAAAAATACAAAAATTAGTCGGGCATGGTGGTGCGTGCCTATAATCCTAGCTGCTCTGGAGGCTGAGGCAGGAGAATTACTTAAACCTGAGGGGCAGAGGTTGCAGTGAGCCGAGATTACACCACTGCACTCCAGCCTGAGTTACAGAGCGAGACTCTGTCTCAAAAAAAAAAAAAAAAATGTAGTGAGAAGGGATTGAACTTGATGAAGCCAGTGATATTTATCTTTGTATATCTAGTGCCGGCTATAATTCCTAGTATAAGGAATGAGCTAAAATAATATTTACTAATTGAGTTAAATTTATGTTTCCTCTTCTACATTCTAATGAAATCTCCATCTTTTGGCTTTAGAACCACATTTCTAGTGACCATTTTAATGCATACTGGACTTCTAGACAACAATTCTGTAATTTGTACAAAATATAGCAAAAGTATATATAGTGCTAAATAAAATAGAAAATCTGTCTAACATGATAATAATTCATTCCACAAATATTTATTGCTGTTTCCCACACTTTGCTTTTTTCCTGGACCAAGAGATGTGGATAAGAATATAGATTTTATTTTATTTATTTATTTTTATTTGTGGTTTTTTTTGAGTCAGAGTTTTGCTCTGTCACCCAGGCTGGAGTGCAGTGGCGCGATCTCGGCTTACTGCAACCTCCGCCTCCCAGGTTCAAAGGATTCTTGTGCCTCAGCCTCCCAAGTAGCTGGGATTACAGGCATGTGCTTCCATGGCCAGCTAACTTTTTGTATTTTTAGTAGAGACAGGGTTTCACCATGTTTGCCAGGCTGGTCTCGAACTCCTCAGTTCAGGTGATCTGCCTGCTTTGGCCTCCCAAAGTGCTGGGATTACAGGTGTGAGCCACTGCGCCTGACTGGAATATAGATTTTAAAGCATTGTTTTCAATCATTGCAACTAAAAGAAAAAAAAAAACAAAACAAAAAACTGAAGCCAGATGGTCTATCAACTAAGTAACACTCAGTGCAGGAAATAAGCAAATCTGTAGCTGTCATTGCCTATAAAAGATTATATACCTTGCTGGGCACATGGTATGCACACAATAAATACTTGTTGATTGATCTGTTGCAATATGTTTTGAAGAGTTCATGAAACCAGTTTAGTGTGAAATTAGAGTTTTATATGAATGTATAACAGAAGACCAAGGTGTCAAAATGGGGAGAATTAGGAGAAAGGTAGGGTGAGAAGTCAGGAAAAGAACAAAGAATCATACGCAGCACTATAACAGGTTAGATTATTATTGTGAACGCTGAACATCTGAGACAGGTCTCAGTTAACTTAGAAAGTTTATTTTGCCAAGGTCGAGAATGCACGCACGTAACACAGCCTCAGGGGGTCCTGACATGTGCCCAAGGTGGTCAGAGCACAGTTTGATTTTATACATTTTAGGGAGAAATGAGATATCAATCAACACATGTAAGATGAACACTGGTTCTGTCCGGAAAAGACAGGACAACTCAAAGCAGGGAGGGGGCTTCCAGGTCATAGGTAGGTAAGAGACAAATGGTTGCATTCTTCTGAGTTTCTCTTTCTTTTCTCTTCTCTTCTCTTCTCTTCTCTTCTCTTCTCTTCTCTTCTCTTCTCTTTCTTTCTTTTTCTTTCCTTTCTCTCTCTCTTTCTTTCTTTTTTTTGGACAGGGTGTCACTCTGTTACCCAGTCTGGAGTGCAGTGGCGTTATCTTGGCTCACTGCAACCTCTGCCTCCAGGGTTCAAGTGATTTTCCTGCCTCAGCCTCCCGAGTAGCTGGGATTACAGGTGCATGACATCATGCCTGTCTAATTTTTGTATTTTTAGTAGAGATGGGGTTTCGCCATGTTGGCCAGGCTGGTCTTGAACTCCTGACTTTAAGTGATCCACCTCCCTTGGCCTCCCAAAGTGCTGGGATTACAGGTGTGAGCTATTGCGCCCAGCCCTTTTGAGTTTCTGATTAGCCTTTCCCAAGGAGTCAATCAGATATGCATTTATCTCAGTGAGCAGAGGGGTGACTTCGAATAGAATGGGAGGCAGGTTTGCCCTGAGCAGTTCCCAGCTTGACTTTTCACTTTAGCTTAGTGATTTTGAGGCCCCAGGATTTATTTCCCTTTTACAAAGGCTTTCCATGAGTATTCCTCTCGCTTCCTCCCACTTCCTCCTGTAGATTCCATTTCTCTAATCATTTCCATGCCCTTCCCAAGGTCATATTAGAAGGGAGCAGGGAGAGAAGTCCAACCCTCTTTGGCAGTTAGCTGAAAAAAAGGCTGCTTGTCTACTTAATGAGCATGGGAAATGGGAATCTGAGGACAGAGATAATCATTTTGTTAAAAAAATCCTCCAAGCGAGAGTCACTATAAGGTCATGGAGACAAGGATATAGGTTGGCCCAAGGCTGCAGGAACAAGAGACCCATAGGACACAGGTGAAAGTTGGTCCCAGGCTAACACATTTTCATTAGAACAGACATGAAGGCAAGGTTAGGGGTCCACGGAAAGACCGGTTCATTCCAGAACCCTAAGGATGGACAGGGGGGCCACTGTTCACTCCAGTATCTCCTCTGTTCTCAAGTGGGTAATTGTGATGAGATGGGACCAAGGTTAAGAGTACACAATAAGACTGGTTCATTCCAGAACCTGAAGGATGAATGGGGGACATTCTATTCAGGATAACAGGAAAATAAGAGGGGACATCTTCTTTTTTCCTTTTTTCCTCCTCTGTTCTCTTTGCAGGTGGGTAGTGACATCTCCATATCACAGGACATGCCCCTCAGATGCATTCCCAAAAACCAGGAAAAGTTTGATTCCCCCAAACCTTAAAATAAAAAAAACTAATTTTCCTTTGGAATACTGTTTGGCCTAAAAATAGACTGGGAGAAAATTACAAAAGTCAGCCTTAGAACCCAATGCCCTTATGCAGGAAATCTTCAAGTTTGCCTCCGCAGTTTTTATAACCATGATCAGGACAAGGAGGACAGGGCTAAAAAGAGGAGGGACCAGAGGCAGGCTCAACTATTGGCCACTTTACAAGCTCTCCAGCCCCCTCCAGGTTGCCCTCAGAGAACCCTCCCAGGTCACTGCCATTGGTGCAGGAAGCCAGGCACTAGAAGGCAAACTGCCCCAATGGGGTAAATGGGAAAAAAACCCACATGGCTTGCCCCCTCTGCTACAAGCTCGGGCACTGGAAACAGGACTGCTCTGAGGGCCAAATGGTCCCTGGGGCAGAATCCCAACCCCTGATGACCTTGAGCTGAAGGGGCTCTCTATTTTGGCTGGCTTGCACATCAGACATCACCATCAACAAAAGAAAGCCAAGGGAAATTCTGGAGGCAGCAAGTAAAATGATAAATTTCTCTTTTGGGTTCAAGAGCTGCCTATGGCCAGGTGTGGTGGCTCACGCCTGCAATCCCAGCACTTTGGGAGGCCGAGGTGGGCGGATCACCTGAGATCAGGATTTCAAGACCAGCCTGGCTAACATGGTGAAACCCCGTCTCTACTAAAAATACAAAAATTAGTTGGGCATGGTGGCACGTGCCTGAAATCCCAGCTACTCAGAGGCTGAGGCAGGAGAATCACTTGAACCCGGGAGGCAGAGGTTTGATGAGCTGAGATTGCACCATTGCACTCCAGCCTGGGCAACAAGAGTGAAACTCTGTCTCAGGAAAAAAAAAAAAAAAGCTGCCTATTCTGTGCTAACCTCCTCTGAGCAACTCTCCTCCAAATCCTTTTGGGTAATGGGGGCAAATGGCGCCCTTTCCCTCCAAAAGAAAAGATTCACACCACTTTGGGTCAAGATGGTGCTTGCTTAATATTTACCCGACCTCTAAATTCATGTTTCCCTCTAATAGCCCTATTACTCCTGGGAAGGCTACCTAAATCTTTAACCAATAATTTCAACCTAGATAGTTCTACTTCAGGGTTTAGAAATAGCCCACACTTATTCAGACAAGTTCTAGAAAAAAAAAATCTAACTGAGCAATCTCTTGAGCGGGGGATAACTTCTATGGTATATAGATAACCTCCTTATCTGCTCCCCTTCACAACAGAACTTGCACAACAACATGTAGTGAAACCATAACCTTATTACTATTTTTTTTTTTTGAGACAGAGTCTCGCTCTGCCACCTAGGCTGGGGTGCAGTGGCACAATCTCGGCTCACTGCAGCCTCCGCTTCCTGGGTTCAAGCAATTCTCCTGCTTCAGCTTTCCAAGTAGCTGGGATTACAAGCATGCACCACCATGCCTGGCTAATTTTTGTATTTTTAGTAGAGACGGGGTTTCACCATGTTGGCCAGGCTGGGTCTTGAACTCCTGACCTCAGGTGATCTGCCCACCTTGGCCTCCCAAAGTGCTGGGATTACAGGCGTGAGCCACTGCACCTGGCCAGAAAATGACTCTTGTCTACTTTAAAGGTTAAAAGGTAAAGAGGTATTTTTGGTAAGGAACATTATAAAGAAAAGAGATTTTGTGTGAGAGAGGATCTTGTATGATGCATTCTTGTCCTAAAGTAAAATGACTAGTTGTTTAAATGGGGGAGATGTTTGGGATATGTCAAAGGGTCCAGGCATGTCATGGATGGTCTATGTAAGTCATGAGGAGATTTGCAAAAGGGAATTTATTTAAAATGTAGTTTTAAAGGGCATTAGGCCTGCTAAATCCTTCATAAACTGCTACTATGAATCTTAACTGTGCAACTTGCCTGCTTTAAAGCTAGGTAAGGCCTGGGGACATACAGAATTAGCCATGCCCCCTAGCTATGCTGCAAAGAGTCTTATCTGCACTTCTGTCTAGTTTCCTAGGCTCCACATCTAGTACCTACTGGGTTTTTCATCAAAAGTAAAAGTTGCTAAGCATTAACAATGTAACATGTACTTGAGAGTATTGGAAAAACAGTTTTACATGCAACGTGTGTAGGGAAAGTAGAATGTATTTTGGTAAAAGAGTATACGAAGGCATGGGAATGTGGATTTTTTTGCCTAGTTTATAAGGCTAAATGATTGTTTTAGTTAGATAGGATAAAGCTAAAGGTTTAAGCAAGTTGTGGAAGGTTTGTGAAAGATTAATCTTGTAAAAGAAATTCTGTGTAAGCATATTGGCTAAAAGTAAAGAGGTATTATTCAGTTTATCTGTAAATTAAACATTTGGATAAAAGCACAACAGAGTTTTATTGGAACATTGATCTGGTCTTAAACAAAAAAACTGTAAAAAATTATAAAATGTTTATGAGAATCTTACTTTATGGTCAAACTGATTAAGATTGGATAGATTTGTCTATTAAGAACTGGGTTTGACATCAACAGCATTATATACTGATGCAAAGTGGGTCTCTGTTTCTTGTAATCAAACCATTCTAAATTGAACAACTACTTACAAAGTGTTCCTATAAGCTCAGTGGGACATGTCAATCAAATAAAATATGATAATGATCTTAAATGAACCAACAATAGTGTTGCAGAAATAAAATACAAATATAAGAAAGATGGCCAGGCACAGTGGCTCATGCCTGTAATCCCAGCACATTGAGGGGTTGAGGCAAGAGGATCCCTTGAGGCCAGGAGTTCCAGAATAGCCATGACAACATAGCAAGGCCCTGTCTTTACAAAATTAAAAGTTAAAAAATTAGCCAGGCATGGTGGTGCATGCCCATAGTCCCGGCTATTCTGGAGGCTAAGGAGGGAGGATAGCTTGAGCCCAGGTGTTCAAAGCCATTTGTACTACAGCCTGGCTGACACAATGAGGCCCCTGTATCAAAAAAAAAAAAAAAAAAAGAGTGAAAGAAAGAAGAGGAGACTAGAAGCAAAGAGTTCATTAGAAAATTTATTAAGATAATTCATAGGAGGGGGTTAAAAGTCTGAATTTTGGCAGTGGAAATGGAAAAGAAAGGAATGAGAAGAGACTTTAAAAGGAAAGAAGTTATGAAATTTTGGTTAAATAATGGTCTCTAATGATTACCATGAGTGCCTGAAACTCAATGTTTACTGGTTATCTGACAGTCTAAAATTCTAGTCCATATCAATGACAGAAATAAAGGGTGAACAAGATGATGAGTTGAAAAAGCAGAGGAAACCCCAGACATTGCATGGTTTTAGGCTTTAGCCCTACCACTCTCGTGAGCCTCCTGTCTAGGAGGGCCATTAGTGTCTCAGGATGTCATATAATTGAACTCATACTGTATGCAGGCTTTACAGATTGGCTTATTTTACTTAGAAATATGAATCAAAGTTTTTTCCATGTCTTTTTATGGCTTAATACCTTCTTTCTTTTTAGTTTTGAGTAATATTCTATTATCTAGATATAACAGTTTATTTTTCCATTCACCTACTAAAGAAAATCTCTGTTGCTTCCAAGTTTTGGCAATTATGAATAAAGCTGCTATAAACATTCATCTGCAGGTTTTATGTGGATATGAATTTTCAATTCCTTTGGGTAAATACTAATAAGCATGGAATATTGGATTGTGTAGTAAGAGTATGTTTAATTTTGTAAGAAACTGCTAAATTGTCTTCCAAAATGGTTGTACCATTTTGTGTTTCCACCAGCAGTTAATGAGAGTTCCTGTTGCCCAACATCCTCACCAACATTTGGTGTTGCCAGTGTTTCTTACAACATCCTTGTAAAAGCAACTAGCAAAGTTTTGCTGTGGGTTTTTTTTTTGTTTGTTTGTTTTTTTGATAGGGTCTTGCTCTGTCACCCAGGCTGCACCTTAGGCGCATGCCATCATAACTATTTTTTTCCTTTTTCTTTTTTTTTTTTTTTTGAGACAGAGTCTCACTCTGTCGCCCAGGCTGGAGTGCAATGGTGTGATCTCACTCACTGCAACCTCTGCCTCCCGGATTCAAGTGATTCTCCTGCCTCAGCCTCCTGAGTAGCTGGGATTATAGGCCTGCATCACCACACCCGGCTAAATTTGTATTTTTAGGAGAGAGGGTGTTTCACCATGTTGGCCAGGCTGGTCTCGAATGCCTGACCTGACAAGATCCATTTGCCTCAGCCTCCCAAAGTGTTGGGATTACAGGTGTGAGCCACCGTGCCAGGTGTATTTTTTTTTTCTTTTGGTAAAGATGGGGTCTTGCTTTGTTGCCTGTTGCCCAGGCTGGTCTCCAACTCCTGGGCTCAAATGATCCTCCCACCTCAGCCTCCCAAAGTACTGGGATTACAGGCATGAGCCACTGCACCTGGCTGCTGTTTTAACCTAAGAAGTGAAGAAATTCTTAACCTAAGGAAATCCTAAAACCACTCACTAAGCAGTAGAATTAAAATGGGATAAGGCATCAAGCTTGATCAGTCAGTAATAAAGCTATAGGGCCCATGATCTGGTAGTGATACAACAATTCCAGTTTATAGTAAAGATCTGAAAGAATAGATGACCTTATGAAACTAACTATAAGTTTGTATAATAGGTTTAGCAATTAATAATTAATAAAGTATACATTTCCCCTCCAGCCTCCAGTTGACTCCCCAGTAGGTGGCAGTAGATTGCAACTGGGCCTTGAAATTGCCTGAGATTTTCATTTCTGGCCTTGTACTAATAAAACATTTGCCTGGCATCTAAATGTTCTTTTCTTTTCTTTTCTTTTTTAAGACGAAGTCTCCCTCTCTTGCCCAGGCTGGAGTGCAGTGGTGAGATCATAGTTCACTGCAGCTCAAGTAATCCTCCCTGCTCAGCATCCTAAGTAGCTGGGACTACAGGTGTGCACCACTGCACTTGGGTAATGTTTTTTTTTTTTTTTTTTTTTTTTTTTGGAGAAATGAGGTCTTGCTATAAAGTTTCAAGATGACTTTTGAAAGCCTCATTTCCTTTTTTTTTTTTTGAGATGGAGTCTTGCTCCGTTGCCCAGGCTGGAGTGCTGTGGTGCAATCTCGGCTCACTGCAACCTCTGCCTCCCAGGTTCAAGCGATTCTCCTGCCTCAGCCTCCTGAGTAGCTGGGACTACAGGCCTGTGCCACCAGGCCCAGCTAATTTTTTTTTTTTTTTGTATTTTTAGTAGAGACGGGGTTTTGCCATGTTGGCCAGGCTGGTCTGCAACTCCTGACCTCAGGCAATCCGCCCACCTTGGCCTCCCAAAGTGCTGGCATTACAGGTGTGAACCACCACGCCTGGCTGAAAGCCTCATTTCTTAAAAAAAATTAACAATGAACTTTATTAAAACAGCTGAATTTTTAAACTCATCATCTTGTTCACCCTTTATTTCTGCTATGGGTATGGACCAGAATTTTAGAGTGTCAAATAATCAGTAAACATTGAGTTCTACATGCTCATGCTAATCATTAGAGACCATTAATTAACCAAAATTTCATAACCTCCTTCCTTATAATGTGTATTCTCATTCCTTTCTTTTCCATTTCCACTGTCAAAAATCCAAATCCAGACTTTTAGCCCCCTCCTATGAATTATTTTTTATTATTATCATTTTTTTTTGTGAGACAGAGTCTCGCTCTGTCGCTCAGGCTGGAGTGCAGTGGTGCTTCTAATAATGTTCTTGTCCTCTGTTTGAAATACCCTTGTCTCCTCTTTGCCAGCTAACTCTATTCATCTTTCAGAACTTGGAAAAACTTTCCTGTTCACCACACCCAATAGGAGATAGGGGTTCCTGTATGCTATTACTGTGTATTTTATCATGTCACTTATTTTTGTATTATAATTAACCTTTCCTCCAGAAACTGCAGACCCTTTGAAGGAAGAGACTACATCATTTTCATGGTTGTATTCCCTTGCCTAATAGTAGCTGGATATGATAGGCTCTTTATGTATTTGTTGAATGAGTGAATAAATGAGAATTGGGATGGTCAATGACTCCTTATGGAAATGGAATTTGTTGTTTTTGTGCAGGCGGTGTTTTTTTGTGGTTGCTTGGTTGGTTGTTTTTTGAGACAGGTTCTCACTCTGTTGCCCAGGCTGGAGGGCAGTGGTGTGATCCCAGCTCACTGCAGCCTTGATCTCCCAGGCTCAAGTGATCCTCCCACATCAGCCCTCTAAGTATCTGGGACTACTGGTACAGCCACACACCTGGCTAATTTTTGTATTTTTTTGTAGAGATGGGGTCTTGCCATGTTGCCTAGGCTGGTCTCGGACTACTGAGCTCAAGCAATCCACCCGCCTCAGCTTCCCAAAGTGCTGGGATTATATGCATGAGCCATCTTGCCCAGCCTGGAAAAGAATTTGAACTAGATAGTTTCTCAAGAATACATAAGAATTAAGATGGTCAGAGAAGACGAGAGAGAGTTCAACACATTCAAGAGTATAACAATTTGAGCCAAGGCAGAAAGCCTAGTATGTTTAGTGAGTGGATGACTTTAAATGAAGGCGCTAAAGACAAAATGGAAGAGGTCAGTTGGGGTCAGATGGAGGAAAGCCTTGAATTCCACTGTGAAATGTGTCTTGTAACCTGGGAATGAACTAAAGAATTGAAACTGAGCACTGGCGGGGCGCGGTGGCTCATGCCTGTAATCCCCTTACTTTGGGAGGCCGAAATGGGCAGATCACTTGAGGTCCAGGAGTTCAAGACCAGCCTGGCCAACGTGGTGAAACCCTGTCACTACCAAATAATACAAAAATTAGCTGGGCATGGTGGTACACACCTGCAGTCCCAGCTACTCCGGAGGTTGAGGTGGGAGAATTGCTTGAACCTGGGAAGCAGAGGTTGAAGTGAGCCAAGATCATGCCACTGCACTCCAGCCTGGGTGACAGAGTGAGACTTAGTCTCAAAAACAAAAACTAAAAAGAAATAAAGGGGCCAGGTGTGGTGGCTCATGCCTGTAATCTCAACACTTTGGGAGGCCAAGAGGGGCGGATCACCTGAGGTCAGGAGTTCGAGACGACCCTGGCCAACATGGCGAAACCCCATCTCTACTAAAAATACAAAACTCAGCCAGGCATGGTGGCACACACGTGTAATCCCACCTACTTGGGAGGCTGAGGCAGAAAAATCGCTTGAACCTGGGAGGCGGAGGTTGCAGCGAGCCAAGATCGTGCCACTGCACTCCAGCCTGGGAGACAGAGACTCCATCTCAAAATTAATTAATTAATTAATTAAATTTTGTTTAGAAAAGGAAACTGAGCATTGACTATTTTGAAAGAAGAATAAAAGTAAAGAAAAGATTTATCAGAAAGTTTACTCTTCCCATGGTGTTTACAACTAATTGAAATACGAGACTAGAAGCAAAGAGGTCATTAGGAAAGTTTTTTTTTTTTTTTTTTTTTTTGAGACGGAGTCTTGCTCTGTCGGCCAGGCCGGACTGCAGTGGCGCAATCTCGCTTCACTGCAAGCTCCGCCTCCCGGGTTCATGCCATTCTCCTGCCTCAGCCTCCCGAGTAGCTGGGACTACAGGTGCCCGCCACCACGCCTGGCTAATTTTTTTATTTTTAGTAGAGACGGGATGGCCGTCAATCGGCCGGGCGCTGTGGCTACGCCTGTAATCCCAGCACTTTGGGAGGCCGAGGCGGGCGGATCACGAGGTCAGGAGATAGAGACCATCCTGGCTAACACGGTGAAACCCCGTCTCTACTAAAAATACAAAAAATTAGCTGGGCGTGGTGGCGGGCTCCTGTAGTCCCAGCTACTCCGGAGGCTGAGGCAGGAGAATGGCGTCAACCCGGGAGGCGGAGCTTGCAGTGAGCCGAGATCGCGCCACTGCACTCCAGCCTGGGTGACAGAGCGAGATTCCGTCTCAAAACAAACAAACAAACAAACAATAACCCTTTGAATCTGAAGACCAAAATTAAAGCAAAATAAAACACTCAAGGATTCCAAACACTTATGAAGTTTCTAAATGCACACTCTTAAACTCTGTACTTAAGCTGGGCATGAGTTGGTTAAATCTGTATTTTGTTTGTATTTTTTTAGAGACAAGGTCTCACTCTGTTGCCCAGGCTGTAGTGCAGTGGTGTGATCATGGCTCATAGCAGCCTTGAACTCTTGGGCTCAAGTGATCCTCCCTCCTCAGCCTCCGGAGTAGTTGGGACCACAGGTGCACACCACTGTGCCTGGCGAATTTTTAAATTATTATTATTATTTTTTTAATAGAGACAGGGCCTTGCTATGTTGCCATGGCTAGTCTCAAACTCCTGGCCTCAAGGGATCCTCCTGCCTGGGCCCCTCAAGGTGCTGGGATTACAGACATGAGCCACTGTGCCTGGCTATCTTTCTGGTATTTGTATTTTATTTCTGCAACACTATTGTTAGTTCATTTAAGATCATTATCATATTTCATTTGGTTGAAATGTCCCACTGAACCCATAGAAACACTTTCTAAGTAGTTGTTTCAATTTAGAATGGTTTGATTGCAAGAAACAGACTTGAGGTTTACAACAAGGAACATTAATCTCAAACAAGATTGGTAACATGGTTGAGCCTCCCTCAGTGAACCTGCTTCTGGACTCGGGGCAGCTTTGTGATCTCAGCATAGGTGATCATCAACAGTCATTCTTGTCTAGTCCTTTGTCATTAATTTGGCTCAGCTCCATTCCATGTATCTATATCCTCTGTCCTACTACCAGCTGGTAATTTCACTCGAGCCTCTCATTGTTCAGTCAGGTCACACGTCAGAAGTTGCTGGCCAATTGAGAGCTCCCTCCCCACCTTGCGCCAGGTGACTATTCTTGGCCAAATTAGCTGGAGATGGGAGACTAGGTGAAGTCCACTGCACAACCTGCAGAAGATTTACATAGGAGTAGACTCCCTGATGCAGGAGGGAAAGTGGATCCAGAGAGAGAGAGAGAGAGAAAGAGGGAGAGAGAAGAAGAGACAGAGAGCCCAATTAATACTTGCTCATCAAGTAACATAAAGTTCTTATGTAAAAGCAACTTTTTAGACAGCTCACTTCATGCTACCGGCCATCTTTAAATCTACCTAACCTTTGTATTTATGCTTAAAATTTTTGTTTTTATTTATTTATTTTTTTTTGAGACGGAGTCTCGCTGTCGCCCAGGGCGCGATCTCGGCTCACTGCAGGCTCCGCCCCCCGGGTTCACGCCATTCTCCTGCCTCAGCCTCCCGAGTAGCTGGGACTACAGGCGCCCGCCACCTCGCCCGGCTAATTTTTTGTATTTTTTTTTAGTAGAGACGGGGTTTCACCGTGTTAGCCAGGATGGTCTCTATCTCCTGACCTCGTGATTCGCCCGCCTCGGCCCCTCAAAGTGCCGGGATTACAGTCACGGCGCCCGGCCAAAAAAATTTTTTTAAAGAAAGAATAATCCAGCCAGGTGTAGTGGCTCATGCCTGTAATCCCAAAGTTTTGGGAGGCTGCGGTGGGAGGATCGCTTAAGCCCAGGAGTTCAAGACCAGCCTGGGGAACATAATGAGACCCCTGTCTTTACACACACACACACACACACACACACACACACACTAGCCAGATGTGGTGGTATGTGCCTGTAGTCCTAGTTATTAGGGAGGCTGAGATGGGAGGATTACTTGAGACTAGGAATTCAAGGTTACGGTGAGCTATGATTGTGCCTCTGCACTCCAACCTGAGCAACAGAATGAGACCCTGTCTCTCTCTTAAAAAAAGAAGAAACAAACAAACAAAAAATTCATAAGGCTTATGTCACTAGTTTTCAAGAGCATAGAAATAAAGTGAAGAGCAAGTTTAGATTAAGCTACAATTGCTTGTAATTAAGACCTAAAAAGTTACAGAAGTTTCTTTTCTGTGTACTTCTCAAGAGTTTATTGATTTATTATTTTAGAGGTGGGGTCTCACTCTGTGGCCCAGACTGGAAAAGGTTTATATTATGCCCCGACATGCATGGTTAAGCTCTAAGAGGCAGATAGGGTTTGCAGCATTTCCCAAATGATTTTTGATCACAGAAACCTTTTTTTCTGTGGAGCTTCTTGAGGGAACATGCTTTGAGTCAGTCTAGATCTGCTGAATATGGTACAGCAATTACATAAAGAGAAAAGGCCATGTGTAAGGCGTATGGTCTGCATACTGTGGGCTTGGTACTGGGTGGTGGAACTGAACCACAGAGCTTTGCCTGTCTTTGAAATAGATAGGATCCCAGAAAGGTGTGTTCATGGCTTTCTGAAAAAACATTTGGAAAATAGCTGGGGTCATTCAGTCTTTCAGGGCAGCTGGCACTAATGGGTATGCTTATTTTGAGATATGTCTGTATATAATAGTTTACAGTCTGTGTTTCTTGAATCTGTAGCTAATCTCTGGACTACATACTGAAGAATGATGTGGAAGTGTCACAGCAAACCCTTGGCCATAGAAAATTATAATCAAGTCTCATAGAAAAAGGTGGCAGCTGTTACTTTTGATTGGTGCCCTCAGAAAGGCAGGCAAATGAAGGCCCATTGTGTTCCTGATGCTGGATGAATGTCTTGCAGCTGGCAGTCTGCTAGACTCCCAAATCAGTTGTTCTTTTCCAAGAGAACTGTTGATGTACTTGGTCTCAGGAGAAGTTAAAATGCTTGGCAGTTCACTCAGACCTTCTTCTTGCTCTGTGTACTTGTGTAAATGTCAGTCACCTTGAAAGGGAGCTCATCTGTTATCAACATTGGAATTGTGGGCTGGTTACATTTCTTCTACCACCTTTGTCTTTTTTGTCAAGTTGCTCCTGGCAAGTATTCGGATTTTTATAAATTGCTTTTCACATTGAAGATAAATTTTGTTTTTCTTCAAATTGCTCTTTTCACTGTCAGGTGCTGGAAATCAAAGAAGGAAAGATACAGTAGCTGGTAAAATAGCAGTAGCTACTATGGGCTGGTTACAGAGCACTGTCCTGGGATACTTTATAATCTGATGAGCAAGAGAGGCAAAAATGAAAGAACAAAAACAGAAAAGTACAATATAAGCATTTGACATATAAATGATGTGCAATATATAATTCTATATGGGATCTGAAATAGGACAAAATAAATTAATTTGTTCAATAAGTATTTTTAGTGTTTAGTATGTGCCATGTACTAGGGATGTATTAATGAACGAGATACAATCACTACATGGGAAGCAGCTCAGAGGTTAGAAGAGGGACACTGACCTCTTCTGGCCACAAACAAGTTGGGTACTAAAGCTTAAGCTGTGGAATATACTCTGAAGTCACAAATGAGAGAACATCAAATCTACTGAGGGATAGGAGGAGCCATTGGGGGGAAGTAGGTATGTATATGCCATATTTGGTTTATGCATTTATTTGCTGATGGATATTTGAGTTGTTTGTACATTTTTGGCCATTGTAAATAGTGCTGCTATGAACATGCACATATAAGTATTTGTTTAAATACCTATTTTCAGGCCGGCACAGTGGCTCAAACCTGTAATCCCAGCACTTTGGAAGTCCATGTCAGGAGGACTGCTTGAGATTAGGAGTTAGAGACAAGCTTGAGCAACATAGTGAGACCCCCGCCACACAAACACCCACTCTAAACAATTTAAAAAATTAGCAAGACATAGTGGCATGTGCCTGTAGTCCCAGCTACTCAAGAGGCTTAGGCGGGAGGACGGCCTGAGCCCAGAAGTTCAAGGCTGCAGTGAACTATGATCATAACACTGAACCCCAGCCTGGGCAACAGAGCAAGATCCTGCCTCATTTAATAAATAAATAAATAAATACCCATTTTCAAATATTTTAGTATATACCTAGCAGTGGGACTTGGGGTTATATGGTAATTCTATGCTTAACTTTTTGAGGAACCATCACACTGCTTTCCACAGTGGCTGCACCATTTTACATTCCCACCAGCAATGTACAAGAGTTTCAATTTCTCCATGTCCTTGCTAACACTTGTTATATAAAAAAAATTCTAGCCATCCTAATGGATATGAAGTGGTATCTCACTGTGGTTTTTTTGTTTTGTTTTGTTTTTCTTTTTTTGAGACAGAGGCTCGCTCTGTTGCCAAGGCTGGAGTACAGAGGTGTGATCTCGGCTCACTGCAACCTCCATTTCTCAGGTTGAAGTGATTCTCCTGCCTCAGCCTCCTGAGTAGCTGGGAATACAGGCATGCACCATCAAACCCCGCTAATTTTTGTATTTTTAGTAGAGATAGGGTTTCACCATGTTGGCCAGGCTGTTCTCGAACTCCTGACCTCAAGTGATCCACCTGCCTCAGCCTCCCTAAGTGCTGGAATTACAGGTATGAGCCACCTCACCCAGGCTCATTGTGGTTTTGATTTGCCTTTCCCTAATGACTAAAGATACTGAACATCTTTTCATGTGCTTCTTGGTCATTTGTACACCCTCTTTGGAAAATGTCTGTTCAAGTCCTTTGCCCATTTTAAAATTGGGGGGTTTGTCTTTTTGTTGTTGAGTTGTAAGAGTTCTTTCTATATTCTACGGAGTAGATCCTAATCAGATATATAATTTGTAAATACTTTCATTCTGTAGGTTGTTGTCTTAGTTTGTTTGTGCTGCTATAACAGAATATCTAAGAATGATTCATTTATAACAAACAGAAATTTATTGGCTCACAGTTTCAGAGCTCAGAAGTCCAAGATCAAGGCACTAACATCTGGTGAGGGCCTTCTTTCCGCATCATCATGTGGTGGAAGGCCACCAAGCCCGGCTAATTTTTTTGTATTTTTAGTAGAGACAGGGTTTCACCATGTGTTAGCCAGGATGGTCTCAATCTTCTGACCTCGTGATCCGCCCGCCTCAGCCTCCCAAAGTGCTGGGATTACAGGTGTGAGCCACCGTGCCCGGCCTTACCTCATCTATTTTTTGACAAGCTAATGACCTCGTTGAGACAGAAGCCATCAGAAAGGAACTCCCTCATTTTCCACATAGTATATCCTCATCTGCATTTGTACCCATGGACTCTTTCTTCCCCTGGTTACCAGAGAGTAGGTGTTCCTTTTAGCAAAGGTCACTATTTGGTCACCAGGTACCACCTCTACCTATTAAATACTTTGCTGTCTCAGATGTCCCCTCTGTCTCTTCATCATCATGGTTACTCTCCTCATTACTTTATTCCCATAATTCTACACATTCTGTTATCCCTCATCTTAAAAACACTATTTCTTGACCTGACAGGCTCCTCCAACAACCATCACATTTCTTTGTTCTATGCAACAAAAGTTTGTGGTATTTTTTGCAATTTTATAACTTTATTTGATGTGTTTGATGATCAGCAGTTAGTTCTCATCCATACTGACTGTAGATTTTTGAAAGTGGTAATGTGTACATAGGTAACCAAAGTATAGAGCTCATTTGGTGAATCTTCATCTTCATTACGTTCCTGGAAACTGCACATGGATACGGTATGGGACATTACTTATACTTATTCCTTTGGCCCAGACAGCTTTGTTGAGCCTGGTATCAACGCGCACATCTGGAGTTCCCATCTCCTTCACGGCAAATTTCTGGATCTCTTTGAGTGCTTGAGGGGCATGCTTCTTTTTTTCTGAGATGGAGTCTTGGTCTGTCACCTAGGCTGGAGTGCAGTGGCACTATCTCAGCTCACTGCAACCTCCACCTCCGGGGTTCAAGCGATTCTCCTGCTTCAGCCTCCCGAGTAGCTGGGATGACAGGCGCCCAGCACCACGCCCGGCTAATTTTTGTATTTTTAGTAGAGATGGGTTTTCACCATGTTGGCCAGGCTGGTCTTGAAATCCTGACCTTGTGATCCGCCTGCCTTGGCCTCCCAAAGTGTTGGGATTACAGGCATAAGCCACCACGCTCGGCCGAGGGGCACACTTCTTGAAGTCCACTCCATGGATGTGTTTGTGAATGCTGATGGTGTATTCTCGGGTCACCACCTCATTGATGGCAGAACTGCCCTTTTTCTTTTTGCCACCCTTCTTTGCAGGAGCCATCCTGCCAGGCCCAAATTGGAAAGGAAGCCAACAAAAGTTTTTTGAAAGAGTTATTTATACAACTTTTCTCTACTCCTCGGTTCTTATTTATCTGTAAAAATTCTATTTTTTGCCAGGCACGGCGGCTCACGCCTGTAATCCCAGGACTTTGGGAGGCCGAGGTGGGTGGATCACGAGGTCAGGAGATTGAGACCATCCTGGCTAACACGGTGAAACCTCGTCTCCATTAAAAACACAAAAAATTAGCTGGGCATGGTGGCGGGTGCCTGTAATCCCAGCTATTCGGGAGGCTGAGGCAAGAGAATGGTGTGAACCCAGGAGGCAGAGCTTGCAGTGAGCTGAGATCGTGTCACTGCACTCCAACCTGGGCAACAGAGCGAGACTTTGTCTCAAAAAAAAAAAAATTCTATTTTTATTTATGCTTTTGGAGACAGGGTCTTGCTCTGAAACCCAGGCTGGAGTGCAGTGGTATGTTCTTGGCACACTGCAGCCTTGACCTCCTGGGTGCAAGCAATCCTCCCACCTCAGCCTCCTGAGTAGCTGGAACCACAAGTATGCACCACCAAGCCTGGCTAATTTTTGTATTTTTTGTGGAGATGAGGGTTTCACCATGTTGTCCAGCTCAAGCAATCCTTCTGCCTTGGCATCCCAAAGCATTGAGATTACAGGTGTGAGCCACCACACCTGGCCTATTATTATTATTATTTTTTGAGATAGGATCTCACTCTGTTACGCAGACTGAGTGCAGTGGCATGATCATGACTCACTGCAGCCTCGATTTAGGTTCATGTGATCCTCCCATCTTAGCCTACTGAGTAGCTGGGGCTTCAGGCACATGCCACTGTGGGCAACTAATTTTTTATTTTTTGTAGAGATGGGGTCTTGCTATGTTGCCCAGGCTGGTCTCAAGCTCCTGGATACAAGTGATACTCCTGTCTTGGCCTCCCAAAGAGCTGGGATTACAGGCATAAGCCACTGTGCCTGGCAAACATTCTATTTTTTTTTTTTTTTTTTTTGAGACAGAGTCTTGCTGTGTCGCCCAGGCTGGAGTGCAATGGTGTGATCTCGGCTCACTGCAATCTTTGTCTCCCAGGTTCAAGCGATTCTCCTGCCTCAGCCTCCTGAGTAGCTGGGATTACAGGCACCTGCCACCACACCCAGCTAATTTTTGTACTTTTAGTAGAGACGAGATTTCACCATGTTGGCCAGGATGGTTATTTTTAATAGGTAATATACATACATGGGAATAGATTCCCTTCTCTCTCTGTACACTAGCCATCAAACTCCCCTTCCTGGAGGCAACAAGTATTATCAGTTTCTTACATAATGCTTTCATAGGTAGCCTATAAATTCAAGCATACATTAGTATTTTTGCATAAAAAATAGCATGCTATGCACGTTATTCTTAACTCTTTTTTTGGTCTAATTCTCCCTTCAGTTTTATCAGTTTTTGCTTCAAGTTTTTTGAAGTTCTGCTATTAGATATATAAAGATTTAGGCTTGTCACAAATTCCTGATGAATTGACCCCTGTATCATTATGACATAATGTTAATTATCCTTGGTAATATTCTTTGCTCTGAAATCTATTTTGATATTAATGTAGTCACTCAGCTTTCTTTTGATTAGTGTTGGCATGGTATACATTTTTCCAATATTTTATTTTTAACTCATTAACTCATTTGTGTCTTTATATTTAAAGTGCATTTCCTGTAGATAGCATATAGTTGGGCCTTATTTTTATTTTTGTATTTTTTTTGGAGATGGGGTCTCATTCTGTCAGCCAGGCTGGAGTGCAGTGGCATGATCTTGGCTCACTGCAACCTCCGCCTTCTGGATTCAAGTGATTCTCCAGCCTCAGCCTCCTAGGTAGCCAGGACCAAAGGTGCACACCACCACATCAGGCTAATTATTTATATTATTTGTAGAGAAAAGGTCTTGCTATGTTGCCAAGGCTGGTCTTGCACTCCTGGGCTCAAGCAATCCTCTTGCCTCGGTCCTCCAAAGTGCTGGGATTACAGACATGAGCCACCATTCCTGATGGTTCTTACCTTTTTAAAAATTAATAGGTTTTACTTTTTAGAGCAGTTTCTTTTTCTTAGAGACAAGGTCTTGCTTGGATGGATAAACTATGTTATATCTAGACAGTTTTATTCAGCAATAAAAACAAATGAGCTATCAAGCCATGAAAATACATGGAGGAAACTCAGATGCATATTACTTAGGGAAAAAAGCTGGTCTGAAATGGGTCCATACTGTATGATTCTAATTATATTACATTCTGAAAAAGGCAAACTATATAAACAGTAAAAAAGATCAGTGGTTGTGAGGACAGAGGGAGAGATAAAAAGGTGGAGCACAAGGAATTTTTAGGACAGTGAAACTATTCTGTATTAGACCGTAAGGGCAGATAAATGGCATTATATATTTGTCGAAACTATACAACACTAAAAGTAAATCCTAATGTAAACTATGGACTTCATTTAATAATAATGTATCACTACTGGTTCATCAATTGTAGTAAAAGTACCAAGCTACTGCAAGACAATAATAGAGGAATCTTTAAATGGGGAAAGAGAGAGTATATGGGAACTCTCTGTACTATCTGCTCAATTTTTTATACAGTAAAACTGTCAGAAGTGTTTAAACCAAAGAGATTCCATCTTGTATATAGGCTGGGTGAAACGAGGCTGAGACCCACTGGGCTGCATTCCCAGACGGTTAGGGATTCTAAGTCACAGGATAAGATAGGAGGTCAGCACAAGATACAGATCATAAAGACCTTGCTGATAAAACGGGTTGCAGTAAAGAAGCCGGCTAAAACCCACCAATACCAAGATGGTGACAAGAGTGACTTCTGGTTGTCCTCACTGCTATACTCCCACCAGCACCATGACAGTTTATAAATGTCATGGCAACGTCAGGAAGTTGCCCTATATGGTGTAAAAAGGGGAGGCAAGAATAATCCACCCCTTGTTTAGTGTATAATCAAGAAATAAACATTAAAATGGGCAACCAGCAGCCCTTGCGGCTGATCTGTCTATGGAGTAGTCATTCTTTTATTTCTCTACTTTCTTAATAAACTTGCTTTCACTTCTATCTATGGACTCATCCTGAATTATTTCTTGCAAGAGATCCAAGAACCCTCTCTTGGGGTCTAGATCGGGACCACTTTCTGGTAACAAAACTGCTCTAAACTTAGTCTATTAATTTTAAATAGCTAACTCACACTACTTTTGGGTCACAAAGGATATCAGGAAGACCAAGGAAGATGGCAGATAGGAGACAGGGCTGATGTGCAGCTCCCCCTTGGATGGACAGAACAGCGTGTGAAGACTCACACCATGGACACTTGCTCCAGGAACCACTGCAGAAGTGAACCAGGAAGACCAAAAGAAATCACAGATCCTTTGAAAGAAGTGGCAGGCCGCTGCCAATTCTTCAAGACTGGTGAAAAACTGTGAGTTCCCAAAGTGTGAGAGGTAGAAAACCTGCATCTGGACACACATCCCCACTGGGGAATCCAAAAATCCAGATTATGGAAGAGGGATTTAACCGTACCTAGAGCTGAAACAGATTTAGCGTGAAATATAAAAGTAGAAGCAGCAGTGGGAAGAGCCAAGTAGGCACTGCCATTCTCCAGTTCAAGCCCAGGGAAGACAACCCCGACTATATCTCATAGGGGCCCTCAGGGAAAGTAGCTGGTAGAATTCGGGAGGGGTCACAGGGTGAAAGAAACTTCTAAATGAACTCTGTAATAATTTTGACTGGGCATGAACTCTCTTGAGCAGAATCCAGGGGCAAACGAAAACTGCTGCAGATAGGAGAGCAGGAGTTATGGTGGAGAGTGTGGGCAGGTGGGGTGAGGCATGGCTTGAAAGCCATATTTGCTTTCTCAGTGGGGAAACTTACAGCCTGGGGCTAGGTCTGACTCTTGCCTGAAGGTTGCCTGGAGATAAAGTTGGTGCTGTTAGCAGGGCCACAGTAGAAATGAGACTGGCCCCGTCAACTGCGTGGGAGCTGGGTGAGGCCTATCACTACTGGTTTTCTCCCACTTCCCTGGCAACAGAGACAGCCATAATCCCCTCTGGAACATAACCCCATTGGCCCTATTCTATTCATCTAGCATGATGAATAAACAGTACCTCACCTCTCAGTACTAATGTTGAATGTAAATAGCCTAAATGCCCCACTTAAAAGATACAGAATGGTAGAATGGATAAAAATTCACCAACCAAGTATCTGCTATCTTCAAGAGACTCATCCAACACATAAGGAATCACATAAACTTAAGGTAAAGGGGTGGAAAAAGACATTCCATGCAAATGGAAACCAAAAACAAGCAGGAGTAGCTATTCTCATATCAGACAAACAAGATTTTAAAGCAACAACAGTTAAAAAGAAGACAAAGAGGGACATTATGTAATGATAAAATGATTAGTCCAACAGGAAAATATCATAATCCTAAATATATATGCACCTAACATTGGAGCTCCCAAATTCATAAAACAATTACGACTAGACCTAAGAAATGAGACAGACAGCAACACAATAATAGTGGGGGACTTCAATACTCCACTGATAACACTAGACAGGTCATGAAGACAGAAAGTCAACAAAGAAACAATGGACTTAAACTATACCCTAGAACAAATAAGATTTAACAGATATTTACAGAACATTCTATCCAACAACTTCAGAATATATATTCTTTTCATCGGTACATAGAACATTGTCCAAGAGAGACCATATGATAGGCCACAGGACAAGTTTCAATAAATTTAAGAAAATTGAAATTATATTAGTACCCTCACAGACCACAGTGAAATAAAATTGGAAATTAACTCCAAAAGGAACCCTTAAAACTATACAAATACGTGGAAATTAAATAATCTGCTCCTGAATGGTCTGTGGGTCAACAGTGAAATCAAGATGGAAATTAAAAAATTATTTGAATGATAATAGTGATGCAACTTATCAAAAACTCTGGGACACAGCAAAAGTCGTGCTAAGAGGAGAAAGTTCATAGCATTGAATGCCTACATCAAAAAGTGTGAAAGAGTACAAATAGAAATCTAAGGTCACACCTCAAATAACTACAGAAACAAGAACAAACCAAACTCAAACCCAGCAGAAGAAAAGAAATAACAAAGATCAGAGCCAAATTAAATAAGATTGAAACAAATAAATATAAAAGATAAATGAAACAAAAAGCTGGTTCTTTCAAAAGAGATAGACAGTTAGTGAGATTAACCAAGAAGACAGAAGATCCACATAAGTTCAATTAGAAATGAAACAGGAAGTATTACAACTAATACCACAGAAATACAAAAGATCATTCAAGGCTACTATGAACATCTTTACACACACAAACTAGAAAATCTAGAAGAGGTGGATACATTCCTGCATATACAGCCCTCCTGGATTAAATAAAAAAGAAACAGAAATTCTGAACAGACCAGTAACAAGTAGTGAGATTAAAACAGTAATTTAAAAATTGCCAATGGAAAAAAAGTCCAGGACCATGTGGATTCACAGCTGAATTCTATCAGACATTCAAAGAAGAGCTGGTACCAATCCTATTGAAACTATTCCAAAAAATAGAGAAAGAGGGAATCCTCCCTGAATCATTCTATGAAGCTAGTATCACCCTTATACCAAAACCTGGAAAGGATATAACAAAAAAAGAAAACTACAGACCAATATCCCTGGTGAACACAGATGCAAAAATCCTCAACAAAATACTAGCTAACCAAATCCAACAGCATATCAGAAAGATAATCCACCACAATCAAGTTGGGTTTCATATCAGGGATGCAGGGATAGTTTACCATATGCAAGTCAATAAAATGTGATACATCATACAAACAGTATTAAAAACAAAAATCATTATTATCTCAATAGATGCAGAAAAAGCACCTGACAAAATCCAGCCTCCATTTATGATTAGAACCCTCAGCAAAATCATTATAGATGGGACATACCTCAAGGTAATAAAAGCCATCTATGACAAACCCACAGCCAACATTACACTGAATGGGGAAAAGTTGAAAGCATTCCCACAGCAAAGTGGAACAAGATAAGGATGCCCACTTTCACCGCTTCTATGCAACATAGTACTGGAAGTCCTAGCCAGAGCAATCAGACGAGAAAGAAATAAAGGGCATTTAAATCAGTAAAGAGAAAGTCAAACTGTTGCTGTTCGCTGATGATATGACAGTATACCTAGAAAACCCTAAAGACTCATCCAAAAAGCTCCTAGATCTGACAGGATACACAATCAATGTACACAAATCAGTAGCACTGCTTTACATCAACAATGACCAAGCTGAGAATCAAATCAAGAACTCAACCTCTTTTACAGCATCTGCAAAAAAAATAAAATAAAATACTTAGAAATACACCTAACCAAGGAGGTGAAAGATCTCTACAAGGAAAACTACAAAACACTGCTGAAAGAAATAATAGATGACACAAACAAATGGAAACACATCCCACACTCATGGATGGGAAGAATTTTATTTTATTTATTTAATTAATTAATTAATTTTTTGAGGCGTCTTACTCCGTCACCCAGGCTGGAGTGCAATGGCACAATCTCAGCTCACTGCAACCTCTGCTTCCTGGGTTCAAGCAATTTTCCTGCCTCAGCCTCTCAAGTAGCTGGGACTACAGGCACATGCCACTACACCTGGCTAATTTTTGTATTTTTAGTAGAGCTAGGGTTTTGCCATGTTGGCCAGGCTAGTCTTGAACTCCTGACCTCAAGTGATCTGCTCGCCTCAGCCTTCCAAAGTGCTGGGATTACAGGCATATGCCACAGCGCCCGGGCCGGAATTTTGATATAGGAGTTAAAGAGAAATTATTTAGGCAGATAGTGAGGGTGAGGAAGTTCTCAGTAAGGTTTTCCTTTTAATGAAAAGCAGCCCCCAAATCATCTTGTTTCTAACAAAGAGCAGCCTGTAAAATGGAGCTGCACACATGTACAAGCAAGCTGGAAGCTTGCATGGGTGAATGCCAGCAGTTGTGCCAATAGGAAAAGGCCACCTGGGACTAGGCATGTTCAAAATGGTGGCTCCATCTTCCCTTTTCTTTTCCAACCGTGTGTGCAGTAGGGAGCAGACAACATGGTACTGACCAAGTGGAAAGCCTATTTGCATAATAAGATTAGGGTAGGGCAGCCAGCTTCCTCGCACACTATGTAAACATCACACCCGGTCCAACCAATCTGTGGGCCCTATGTAAATCAGACACTGCCTCCTCAAGCCTGTCTATAAAATCTGGTGCACTCCCCCGTGGGCTAGAATTCCCATTAGGGAGCTGCCCCCATGTCTGTCTGTCTGTCTGTCTCTCTCCCTCTCTCTCCCTCCCCCCCTTCAAGAGAGGGAGCTGTTCTCCTTTCTCTTTCTTGTGCTATTAAACCTCACTTCATGTGTGTGTCCACATCCTCGATTCCCTTGGTGTGAGACAACAAGCCTTGGGTATTACCCCAGACAATGATGCTGCTTCAGAATCAATATTGTGAAAATGACAATACTGACAAAAGCAATCTATAAATTCAATGCAATTTGCATTCAAATACCATCATCATTCTTCAAAGAACTTGAAAAAAAAATCCTAAAATTCATATGAAACAAAAAAAGACCCCAGATAGCCAAAGCAAGACTAAGCAAAAAGAACAAATCTGGAGGCAACACACCCTCTGAATTCAAACTATACCACAAGGCTATAGTTACCAAAACAGCATGGTACTGGTATAAAAGTAGGCATGTAGATCAGTGCAACATAATAGAGAACCCAGAAATAAAGCCAAATATTTACAGCCAACTGATCTTTGACAAAGCATACAAAAACATAAAGTGGGGAAAGGACACCCTATTCAACAAATGGTGCTGGGATGATTCGCAAGCCACATGTAGAAGAAGGAAACTGGATCCCCATCTGTGCCTGATACAAAAATCAACTCACAATGGATCAAAGACTTAAATCTGAGACCTGAAACTAAAAATTCTAGACGATAACATAGGAAAAATTCTTGTACACACTGGCTTAGGCAAAGAGTTCATGACCAATAATCCAAAAGCAAATACAACAAAAACAAAGGTAAATAGATGGGACCTAATTAAATTAAAAAGCTTCTGCACAGCAAAAGAAATAATCAGCAGAGTAAACAGACAATCCATTGAGTGGGAGAAAAATCTTCACAAACTACGTATCCAACAAAGGGCTAATATCCAGAATCTACAAATAACTCAAACAAATCAGCAAGAAAAAAATAAATTATCCCATCAAAAAGTGGGCAAAGGACATGAATAGACAATTCTTAAAAGAAAATATACAAATTCACCGGACACAGTGGCTCACGCCTATAATCCCAGCACTTTGGGAGGCCGAGGCGAGCATTGTCTGAGGCCAGGAGTTCAAGACTAGCCTGGCTAACATGGTGAAACCCCATCTCTACTAAAAATACAAAAATTAGCTGGGGGTGGTGGTGCACGCCTGCAGTCCCAGCTACTCAGGAGGCTGAGGCAGGAAAATTGCTTCAACCAGGGAGGCAGAGGGTGCAGTCAGCCAAGATCGAGTCATTGCACTCCAGCCTGCGCAACAGAGCAAGACTCCGTCTCAAAAACCAAAACAAAACAACAACAACAAATATATATATATATATATATAAATTGCCAATAAAGAAATGAAAAAATGCTCAACATCATTAATTATCAGGGAAATGCCAATCAAAACCACAATGAGATACCACCTTACTCCTGCAAGAATGGCCATAATTAAAAAATAAAAAAAAACAGATGTTGGCATGGATGTGGTGAAAGGGGAACACTTTTACACTGCTGGTGGGAATGTAAACCAGTACAACCACTATGGAAAACAGTATGTAGATTCCTTAAAGAACTAATAGTAGAACTACCATTTGATCCAATAATCCCACTACTGGGTATCTACTCAAAGGAAAAGAAGTCATTATATGAAAAAGACACTTGCACACACGTTTATAGCAGCACAGCTCACAGTTGCCAAAATACAGAACCAGCCTAAATGCCCATCGACCAACGAGTGGATAAAGAAAATGTGGTGTATATACATATATATACATATGGGAATACTACATATATATATATATATATATATATATATATATATATATATATATATATGGGAATATATATGGGAATACTACTAACTCAACCACAAAAAGGAACAAAATAATGGCATTTGCAGCAACCTGGATGGAGCTGGAGACCATCATTCTAAGTGAAGCAACTCAGGAATGGAAAACAAAACATGGCATGTTCTCACTATTAAGCAGGAGCTAAGCTATGAGGATGCAAACTCCTAAGAATTATATAATGGACTTTGGGGACTGGCGGCGGGGAAGGGTGGGCGAGGGAGTGAGGGATAAAAGACTACATACACATTGGATACAGTATACACTGCTCAGGTGATGGGTGCACCAAAACCTCAGAGATCACCACTAAAGAACTTTTCCATGCAACCAAACATCACCTGTTCCCTCAAAACTGTTGAAATAAAAATAAAAATGTAAAAAAAAAAAGGATATCAATGCTAAGAAAATCAGACTGTAAAAATGACAACTATAAAAGCACTATATAGTACATTGGTTAAGGGAGAGCTTAGGGGAAAATTTATATAAATACATATAGTAATAAATAAGAAATATGAATAAAAATAAACATCAGTGGTAGAAATTAGAGAACAGCATATAAGCCTAAACACAGAAGAAGGGGGGGGGCACGGTGGCTCACGCCTATAATCACAGCACTTTGGGAGGCTGAGGCAGGAGGATTGCTTGAAGCCAAGAGTTTGAGACCAGGCTGGGCAACGAAGCAAGACCCTGTTTCTAAAAAAAAAAAGAGGCAAGAATCAGAAAACAGAAAAATATTAAAAGCAATAAATATCAATGCAAGAACAAATAATAAAAGATAAACTATAGCTAGCTAATAGAGGAAACTGGATGGCTGAGGAAGGATGTGGAGAGGAGATTTACTTTAGAAATTCATTTATTATTAAATATTTCAGACATACCAGAAGGTACAAACAATAATATAAGGCATGCTTGTGAAATTAACATTAACCTAAATAACAAAACATTACCAAGGCATGTGAAGCCTTTCTGTTCTTCTCCATTACATCTCCTTCCAGTTTACCACTATCTTGAAATTTTAGTTACTCCAATACATGACTTTATAATTTCATGACATATGTACACTCCTAAAATTTTATATTCTTTTGCACGTTTTTAAATATATAGATGTTATTTTACACTATATATTTTTTATTTCCTTTTCTAAGAGATGGGTGTCCCCACTGGCCTCCAACTCCTGGGCTTAAGAGATTCTCCTGTCTCAGCTTCCCGAGAAGTTGGGACCACAGGAACACGCCACCGCACCCGGCTTGCGATGAGAGGAGTTAAACTTGTTTTGTTTTGGTTTGTGTCTTTTTTTTTTCTTTTTGTGAATAACGGGGTCTCGCTATATTGCCCAGGCAGTTCTCCAACTCCTGGGCTCAAGCGATCCTCCCGCTTCATCCTCCCTAAGTGCTGGATTACAGGCGTGAGCCAAAGCGCCCACCAACCCTGTTTTTTGGGTTTTTCATGCTAGTAAACATAGCACTGGTTCATTCTTCGTACCTGCTATATACTATTATATAAATACGCCACTATTTACTTATTACTTCTGTCAATGGCACTTATGTTTCCTGCTCTTTTGCAACTTATAAAGTTTGCTATGAATATTCTTGTATTTGTAGATACGTGGGCGAGAATTTTCCTAGAAGAGTGGTAGGCACGTGTAATTTTACAAGCTATTTCCTAGTTGCTCTGCTAAGGGTTTGTGCCATTTAGACTACCAAACCCGCTGAGTTTATCTCGTTGCTCCAAAGCTCATCAACACCCGACAGAGAGGCTTACTTTTCATTCTGCCTCCTGTTTTATTGTTCATGGTACTTCACGTTACACAATTCCTCGAATTTTATTTCAATTACTCCTCACAATCACCCTGTAGGTTAGGTACGATTTTTCACATTTTACAGATAAGAAAACAAAGAATCTCTTCGTTGGTTGAAACAACAGTTTTTCTTCTATTTAAATCAATGTCTTACTTTTCAACCTCGCTCACTGTTATCTTTTTGCTCCCAGCGCTGGAAAAAGTGGGACATCCCCTTCGGTGGGTGTACGGGGTTGGTATCCAAAGTTGGCAGCTTTCCCTCCCCCTCCTCCATCCACCGTCTCCAAAACCCCGTCTCCGCACTTCGCCACCCGGAGACCGCTGTAGCTCTGTAACGCGGAGGAACGACAGGGTTTGAACCACTGGAGACCCCGTAGTCCCCATCTCACTTCCCTCTGCCCCCCCTCTGCGTTCTAGGGGGCGCCCTCCGCCGCGCTGGAAAAGGCGGGGCCGGCAACTCCGGGCAACAAGATGCGTTGGGATAGGCCGAGGTTTGCGGCGCTAGTGCTCTGGTCACCGGAAGTCCCTCTGTTTCTCCCTCTCCTGAGTCGCTGTCGCGGAGGCTGGAGCGCTGCCCCGGAAGTCCTCCCCCCTGTTCCCCGCCCGCGGCAAACATGGCGGTGGACTCGGCGATGGAGCTGTTATTTTTAGATACTTTTAAACACCCGAGCGCTGAGGTAAGGCTTGGCGACTTGATTCTGACGCTGCTTCTTGACTTGGGATCTTTACAAAAAAACCGTTAGGCGTTCTCCACTTTTCCTTCTGCAGATTGCTTCTTTAATTTCTCGCTTACACACAGACACCCTCCCCCGAGCTGTGTGAGCATCGCGTCTGAGGGAGGGCTGCAGCAGCCCCTTCATTTCCTTGCTTTAACTTGGGCCCTCCGTGTCTTTGGTCGAGTTGGCTTTTCTGCTTGCATGGCTTTATTTTTTATTTTTCCTGTCAGGTTTGGGCCTTGAGAAGGATCAGGGTTCTCAGGTTTACCTCAGATGGCGTTTGGGAGGGGTCTTGGTTTGCCAGTAGTGTTTGACAGTAGTGCCGGAGTCTGAGCAGTTTACGTTGGCTTCGTGGTTTCCGAATCACGATGTTTCTAAATCCTTTCTCTTTGGCCTCTTTTCTGTCGGGAATTATGTTCCCCAGTTGTGACACTTACTTGGTTTAGGATTACGGTGCTCTCCGATTTGGCCTGAAACTTTAATACTTGTCTCTCGGAGAGATTTCACACATTAGGAATGAGATGCATTCACGGAGAATACTTGCGAAGAGGGGAGAGTTGAGAGAATTATAGTTAAACTCATCAGCAGACATCTCCTTTGAGGTTGGAGGTGGAATGTTGTGGAGTAATATTTCTGTACAAAACTACTTGAGCGCCCCTTAATGTACAATTGGCCCTGCAATATGTAGATTAAACATAGCTGGTTAACTAAAGATTCCTGAAAGCAGACCAAAAATGAACTTGAATGAAGTCTACGGAGAAATTGTTAAAAAAAAAAACGAACTTCACATTTTTCTGTCTTAATGTAAGCTTAATTTAGAGAACTGTTCTTTCTTTGGAGATTATTTTTTTCCTTTTATTTTTATCAAGTGTGCTCTTGTATCAAGCTTTTTGAGGACAGATATAATTTCTCTTTTTCTCAGCTGTATCTCCAGTGCCTAGGACAGTATTAGCAAAATGTAGGTGCTCAATAAATATTTGAATGGAAAATGTTTAAAATGTTCTTTCTTTTATGAGATAGTAATGATAGTGGGTAGTGATTGTATCATAATGCTTTACTTGGCAAAATAAAAAGTTGACAGCTGTGATCTAATTTAACGAATGGTTTATAGGTTTGTAAAAGTCAAAAGTTGGAGAACTTTGAGTTAGCATTTCTTACTGACAGTTAATTTATGGTCTGACATTTAATGTGGGTCAGTTAGCACTGTTTGTTCAATGACTATATCTAACATTCTAGCCGAGATTTAGAAAACCCTCAATGGAGGCAGTAGTTGGATCAGAACAAACTTATGGTGTATAGAAATAGAGAACAGTTAAAACTGAAAGAGCCTGGCGCAGTGGCTCATGCCTGTAATCTCAACGTTTTGGGAGGCGGAAGCAGAAGGATTGCTTGAGTCCAGGAGTTTGAGACCATCCTAGGCAACACAGTGCAACCCCTGTCTCTACAAAAGAAAATTAACTAGTTGTGGTGGTTTGATCTTGTTGCCCCAGCTACTCGGGAGGCTGAAGTGGAAGGATCATTTGATCCTGGGAGTTCAAGGCTGCAGTGAGCTAAGATCACACCACTGTGCTCCAGCCTGAGCAACAGAGTGAGACCCTGTCTCGAAAGGAAGAAAGAGAAAAAGGAAAAAGAGAAAGAGGCATGTGATGAATTAGTTTAGTACTATTCTAGTTTAGGAAAATTGGCCTTCATTAGTTTATCATGTATTTCTATTCTTTTATTCATTCTTAGGTAAACATTGAATACCTTGAGAGCATAGGGCAGATGGTAAATGCTTTCTTCTGGGGTGATTGGGGAAGGCTTAGCAGAGATCACATTTAAATCAAGTCTTGAAGGAGGAAGTAGGGGTTTGTGGGTGATACGAAATATTGAAATGTTTGTTTTCAAGAAGTTATAACTCAGTATTGGAGATTAGATTCACAAAATTGTGATTTGAGTTAGAATGTGATGATCACATAAAGAAGCACAGTGTGAATTCGTTGGGGTTTATCATCTTAGTTTACAAAATGCCCATCAGTATCTGACGTATTAGAACTAGCTCCCTTTGTGGGTATAAATAAAAGATACAAGATTTCAGAAGAGGCAGAGATAACTTTTCATTTGAGTGTATCAGGAAAGACTTCATCAAGGTGTTTGGCTTATGAACTTGGTCTTTGGTGAAAGGGGCAATATTTCACAGTTGTAGTTAGGAAAGGAGGGCATTCTACTGGGGTAGTCAGTCGTCTGTTAGGGTATGCTTGAAGTAGCAGTGTGAAGTGGCACCCAAGGCAATTCAAAGACAGATCATGGAGCTCCTTGAATGCTCGACAAAGAATTACAGACTTTAGGCCAGGCGCAGTGGCTCACGCCTGTAATCCCGGCACTTTGGTGAGGCTGAGGTGGGTGGATTGCCTGACGTCAGGAGTTCGACACCAGCCTGGGTAACACAGTGAAACCCCGTCTCTACTAAAATACAAAAAATTAGCTGGGCGTGGCGGTGTGCGTCTATAGTCCCAGCTACTCGGAAGGCTGAGGCAGGAGAATTGCTAGCACCCGGGAGGAGGAGGTTGCTGTGAGCCAAGATCACGCCACTGCACTCCAGCCTGTGCGACAGAGCAAGACTCTGTCTTTTAAAATAAATAAATACATAAATAAATAAAAATTATGGACTTTATTTTGTAGGAAATGGGTAGTTTTTGAGCAGGCGAATCATACAATTAGTAAGATACATTAGATAGATTACTTGATCAATAATACTTAAAATGGTTCAGAGAAGGCCAGGCGCCGTGGCTCATGCCTGTAATCCCAGCACTTTGGGAGGCCGAGGCAAGCGGATCACGAGGTCAGGAGATCGAGACCATCCTGGCTAACATGGTGAAACCCTGTCTCTACTAAAAATACAAACAAATAGCCGAGCGTGGTGGCAGGTGCCTGTAGTCCCAGCTACTCAGGAGGCTGAGGCCGGAGAATGGCGTGAACCCGGGAGGCAGAGCTTGCAGTGAGCCGAGATTGTGCCACTGCACTCCAGCCTGGGTGACAGAGCGAGACTCCGTCTCAAAAAGAAAAAAAAAAAAAATGGTTCAGAGAAAATAGAGGTGAGGTGACAAAATCAGAGAGAAAAAGTGAGATGTTATGAAAACCTGAGTTAGCCAATGGGCAGTAAGCATTGTTTAACATTTATTGAATGCTTAATTTGTGCCAGACACAGTGGGCTTTGATAACTTAAGTAAATCATCTCTGGTCCTTCCATCAGTTTTTTTTTTTTTTTTTAAGACTAGGTCTTGCTCTGTCACCCAAGCTGGAGTGCACTGGTGCGATCACAGCTCACTGCAATTTCTCCCACCAGGGCTCAATCGATCCTTCCATCTCAGCCTCCCGAGTAGCTGGGACTACAGTTGTGCACCAACACGCCTGGCTGATTTTCATATTTTTTTGTAGAGACGGTGTTTTGCCATGTTTCCCAGGCTGGTCTTGAATTCCTGAGCTCAAGCGATTCTCCCACCTCAGCCTCCCAAAGTGCGAAGATTACAGGCGTGAGCCACTGCAGGGCCCACGCTGAGTTTTCAAAGGTAGTCATCTACATTTTATAGATAAGGAAACTGAGCCTGAGAGATGAGGTGACTTTCCTAAAATAGCATAGCTAGATTAAGATCCACCATCATACATTTTTCTGGCTCTAAGGCAGTGCTATGCTGTGTCCCAGTGGAACTACGTAGGAGAGGATTTATACAAGTTTTGGATATGTACAAATTTCGAGTATAGAATTGACAGGATGGCAACTGATTATGTGAAGGAGATAGGGTAGTTAAAAATGGTAAAATTCTAGTTTTAGAGACAGGAGAACTAGTGGGACTAATGATGGTAAGAGTGTGGAAGTGAGTTTGATGGGAACGGGATAATTAGCCAGATTAATTTGCCCCATAGGAAGTTGAGAATCTGTTTAACAATTATTTATGAAAAACACTTTTGAAGGTGAGGGTATGGCTTTAGGAGGGGCAATACAAGTCAGAACAAAGCCCATTGCCCTTGATTTCAAAGGAATTTGTAATATGGTAGAGAAGAGACATTTATTAGTTTCACACAGGGAATCTTTATTGCCAGCTGCCATTAACAGCTCTTTTTTTGGTATTGTATTTGTTTTACCAATAATTTCCTCTTCTCCACATAAACAATTGATACACATTTATAAGGCCAATCCACTGAGTTCAGAAGATAAGCAGTTAAACTTATTAAAAGACAATTTGATTGTGAGGGAATAGTGTTCCCGTGAATGAAAAAACACTTAACATTACAAATCAAGAATGCAAGATAAGCCAGGTGTGGTGGCATGTGTGCCTGTAGCCCCAGCCTGGGAGGCTGAAGTGGGAGGATCACTTGAGCCCAGGAGTTGGGAGGACAGCCTGGGCAACATAGCAAACGCGGTGGCTCATGCCTGTAATACCAGCACTTTGGGAGGCTGAGGCAGGGGGATCACGAGGTCAGGAGATTGAGACCATCCTGGCTAACCTGGTGAAACCCTGTCTCTACTAAAAATACAAAAAAAATTAGCCAGGCGTGATGGTATGCGCCTGTAGTCCCAGCTACTCAGGAGGCTGAGGTAGGAGAATGGCGTGAACCTGGGAGGTGGGACTTGCAGTGAGGCTAGATCGTGCCACTGCACTCCAGCCTGGGCGACAGAGCGAGACTCTGTCTCAAAATAAATAAATAAATAATAAAAAAATATAAAAAAGCACACTATATCTCTAATGTTAACATATACAATATTAGAAAAAGTTGTTTAAGTTAAAATCAGATTTAAGCAAGGTTATTTGGTAAACAAGTATATGAGTGGAAAGCTATTGTATTTGTATATTCCTGTTGATGAGTGAATTAATTTCCTTTCTGTATCTCTCCCTATTGTAATCAGCTTTTACTTTGTATTTTACACTGTAATTAACAGCTGTCTTTATATTAATATTTTTCCAAATCCTCTAGTGAATATTATGCTTAAATGTATACACCCGTTGCCCACGTTAATATTACAATACTGTAATACTGTTTTGTGGTTTCGTTTTTCACCTAACAATGTGTTGTACATCTTTGTGAATCAAGAAGTAATACACCTATATAATATTTCAAAAGTAAGCTTATTTTTTTAAATTTTCTTTTTTTTTTTGACTAGGTAATACATGTATGAGGTACAAATACAAAAGGTACAAAAGAGTATGTGGTAAAAAGTAAGTCTCATCACTGTCCCCTAACCATCTTGTTTCTCTCCTTAGATATTCTATATAATATCCTTTTTTATTGGCTGTGTAATATTCTTTAAGTGGTAATGCTATATATATTTTTTGAAACAGGGTCTTGCTCTGTTGCCCAGGTTGGAGTGCAGTGGTGTGCTTATGGCTTACTACAACTTTGACCTGGGCGATCCTCCTGCCTCAGCCTCCTGAGTAGCTAGGACTATAGGTGCACACCACCATGCCCGTCTAGTTTTTAAAGTTTTTTTTTTTTTTTTGGTAGAGATGGAGTCTTGCCGTGTTGCCAGGCTGGTCTCGTACTCTTGGCCTCAGGTGATCTGTCTGTCTTGGCCTCCCAAAGTGCTACGATATTAATGCTATTATTTATATACTAAATTCTCATACATTTAGGTTTCTGACTTTACAGTGGTGTGTAATATTCTTGAAGCTAAATTGTTTTACACATTTTTAGTTATTTTTTTAATAGTACTTTCCAGTGTGGAAGTGCTGGGTTAAAATACAGTCCTAGGAGACTAGGTCGATACTGGAAAATCCTGTATTTTAGAGGTCATTTAAAAATTACTTCAGGAAACCAATTAGGAACTCATCTGCAGAAGTGAAAAAGGAAGTGGTAGCAGTAGATGTGATAGCTAAAGGAGAGGGTAGAAAGAGAAGATAATTGCAGGGATAGAAGAATAAGGAAGGGAAACAGTTATGCTGTGACCTTTAAACATGCAGGTAAATGACTCCTTCCAAAGATAATTGTGGCTCAGAGTTGTGGAATCTGACCAGTCTTCTTCATATTCCTGTTACTTTCCTGATCATGAACCTTCCATGATTTCCCATTGTTAACCTGTTTTCCTAGGCTTTGTTTTTAATTCTCTGAAAACACAATTCAATAACCATTAATCAAGTGCCTATTAAAAATTCATTTATTAAATGAATATGCTAGGCACTATGAATATACAGTAAACTAAGACATAGGTCTGTCTTCTTTAAACACATAGTCTAATGGGAGAGATAAGAGGCAATTACAATTCAGCTAGATAAAGGACTTTAGGCACTAGGAGGAGAGGCACCTATCTAGATTTGATCTGGCTCAGCTTTCAAGAGAAAGTTTACTTGTAAAAGGAGTTGGGGCAGAAGGATGTGATAGATTTCAAGCAGAGAGAACATCATGAGTGAGGGCATAAAAATGAGAAAAGCATGGTAAGCTAGGGATATAAGTTTGGAGCAATAAAGAAGCCAGTCTTGTTTATAAGACCTAGGAATTTGGCTTGGCAACAGTAAGATCAGGGGAGTGGTACATTTATAGTTTAGAAAGACCATACTTCAGTAGGAGAATGTGTTGATGGGAGGCAAGAAAGAAGCACAGGATGCAAAGGCGTAAGAATGATACAATGGACTTTAGGGACTCGGAGGGGGAAGGTTGGGACGGGGGTGAGGGATAAAAGACTACATATTGGGTACAGTGCACACTGCTTGGGAGACAGGTACACTAAAATCTCAGAAATCACCGTTAAAGAACTTATCCATGTAAACAACCACTTGTATCCCAAAAACTATTGAAATAAAAATTTAAAAAACAAAAATTAAAAAAGAAGCACAAAATCAATTAGGATCCTATTGCTGTAATTCATATTGGAGTGATGTAGTATATGGAACTAAAGGAGTGACAGCCGGAATGGAGGAGAGCTTTAATCAATAGGACTTAGTGTTTGAATAGATAGATGATATAGAAGAGAGAGGATGAGAAGTCCAGGATAATAATGTCTTGGGCAATATGTGGATGGTGATGCCATCACTAATGTAGGAGAATTCAGTTTGGATTTGTTGAGTTTGGTGCACAAGGGACATTGAAATGGAGAGGCTGAGTGGGCAGTTGGATATAGTAGCCTGGGGCTCAGGAGAGAGGTCCTAGATGGAGATACAGATTGGGAATTGTCCTCTGGCTGTGGATGAAAATCTTGTTTTTGTAATTCTGTTGGTTGTTCTTAGCTACTCTTCTCTGCTTTCCTCCCCTGTTTTGCTATTTTGCCCTCTAGCTATGATGAACTATGTTTGCAATTTCTTTCTTTCCCTTTTTTTTTTTTGACAGAGTCTCGCTTTGTTGCTTAGGATGGGGTGCAGTGGTGCCATCACGACTCACTGCAGCCTTGACCTCCTGGGCATAAGTGATCCTCTCACCTCAGTCTCCTGAGTAGCTGGGACTACAGGCATGTGCTACCATGCCCAGCTGATTTTTTAATTTTTTGTAGACACAGGATCTTCCTATATTGCCCAGGCTGATCTTCTTGAACCCTGCCCTCAAGTGATCCTCCTGCCTCAGCCTCCCAAAGTGCTGGGATTACAGGTGTGAGCCATGGCTCCCAGCCTGCACTTTTGTGAATGTTCCATGTTCTCTTTTGCATTCCTTTTGTGCATGCCTTCTCCCTTGTTTGCCTACAACCTGGGCTGGGGACCTAAATACCCCTCTGAATTTTCATAGCATCCTTTGTGAGTCTGTATCATGGCAATTTATCTACTTGTCTACCACAACAGATTGTCTGTTCCATAATGGCAGAGATTATGTCTTGTCTTTGTAGCCTCAGAACTAGCATACTTTGGAACATAGTCGACATTTAATAAATATTTAGAAATAAATATTTAACAACTGGTAGCAGCAAATACAGAAACTCTTTTATATACAAACAAAATAGATTTTGAAAGGCTATTTGTAAATCCTTAAATTCATTGTTGGTAAGCATGATATTCTTTATAGCGAGACTCAGTCTTTCTAGATGCAAATAATGTGAGCCATTCTTCTCATGATGGACTTTGACCACTTGGTAATAACAGTTGACTGAAGTAATAGGAAAAGTTGACATAAAATTGTCCAAAAACAATTTGAAAACTCTCTTTTTAATTATTGAAAACAAGAATTATATTTGCCTAATCCTGTGTCAAATGATAGATGTAAGTATATACTAGATATAATTTATGCTGTTTCTTTTTTTGTTTGTTTTTCTTTTTTCCCCAGGATGGAGTCTTACTTTGTCACCCAGGCTGGAGTGCAGTGAGGCGATCATATCATAACTTAACTATAGCCTCAAACTCCTGGGCTCAAGTGATCCTCCTACCTCAGCCCCCTGAGTAGTTAGGGTTACAGGCATGCACCTCTGCTTCTATTTTTTTTTCTATATAATAAACTCTTAGTTTGTGGTTTTGTTTTGTTTTTTAATTTTAGGAGGGGTTTATCTCGGCTATTCAGTACCTAAATGCTTTCCCTGATCCCTTGATATTAGTTGGTATGTAAGTTTAACAAAGTAAGCTGATCTAAGTACAGATTTGCAGTTTCTTATCTATAATTCAGAAACTCAAAAATGGCAAAAAACTTACACCAAAAAACACAAAACCCTACCCTGAATTCATTTGGCCATGCAGTCTAATCTGAACTGATATGGTGCTTGTTATAATCTTTTTTTTTCTTTTTTTTTTTTTTTTTTGAGACAGAGTCGCTCGCTCTGTCACCCAGGCTGGAGTGCAGTGGCGCGATCTCAGCACACTGCAAGCTCTGCCTCCCGGGTTCACGCCATTCTCCTGCCTCAACCTCCCAAGTAGCTGGGACTACAGGTGCCCGCCACTGCACCCGGCTAATTTTTTGTATTTTTTAGTAGAGACGGGGTTTCACCGGGGTCTCAATCTCCTGACCTCGTGATCCACCTGCCTGGGCCTCCCAAAGTGCTGGGATTACAGGTGTGAGCCACTGCGCCCGGCCATAATCTTTATTTAGTGTGAATGTTGATACGTGTGGCTGCAGAATATTAATGTTTTGATTACAGGGTGCTGCTGCAGAAGCCACTGGGGGTCTAAAGTAATATGCAATATTTGGATTATATTATCTTTCTAGAAATCAAAAAGTCAGGATTCTGAAAGGCATTTGGCTCCAGAGATTTCAGATAAGGGACTCTGTGTCTATATTAGTCTAAGCAAAACATCAGCAGGGAAGTAAATGCATGGCAGAAAATGTTAGGCAAATTGAGAAACTTAAGTAAGTACATCTTATCAGCTATTTATACAACACTGTAAATAATATATTTAATGATATTTAATGATATGGAATGTTAAGTTTACATGTGACATTGTGAATGAATAAAATTTGAATAGAGAAACTGTTTTACATAATGTTCCGAACCCCTCCCCCTCCGGCTTTTTTTTTGTTACAGCAAAGTTCTCATATAGATGTGGTTCGTTTTCCATGTGTGGTTTATATCAATGAAGTCCGAGTCATACCCCCAGGAGTAAGAGCCCATAGCAGTCTGCCAGACAATAGAGCATATGGGTAAGTCAACTCTCTTTTTAAAAGTATTTTTTGGTTAAAGATTGTCTTAGAAACATATTCTTAAATGCAAAAATGTAAGGGAATATTTTACAAGTGATAAAATCCTGAAGCTATTCAATTATGGTTATGCTGCATTGTAATTGGCTCTATATTTTCTGTATAATGCATATATCATCTTAAACCTGAAAACAGTAATTATTTGACCTGTGTACTAGATAAGATTTTTCTTTATTCATTTTTTTTTTAACTGATGGTGTTAGGTTTACGTTTTCTAAAATATCCTGGGGTGGTGTAACCAGGTAGATGAAGTATTTTTAACCTGATTTTTCTCTTGAAAATAAGTGGGAATTAGTTGAAATATTTATAAGTGTATCTTACTATTATTATTATTATTATTACTCCTTTTTTTTTTTTTTTTTTTTTTTGAGATGGAGTTTTGCTCCTGTTGTCCAGGCTGGAATGCAATGGCGCAATCTTGGCTCACTGCAACCTCTGCCTCCTGGGTCCAAGTGAGTCTCCTGCCTCACCCTCCTGAGTAGCTGGGATTACCCCACCACCACACCTGGCTAATTTTTTGTATTTTTAGTAGAGATGGGGTTTCACCATATTGGTCAGACTGGTCTGACCCAGCACTTTGGGACTGGTAATCCCAGCACTTTGAGAGGCCGAGGCAGGAGGAACACCTGAGGTCAGGAGTTCGAAACCAGCCTGGCCAACAGGGAGAAACCCCGTCTCTACTAAAAATACAGAATTAGCCAGGCATGGTGGCGCATGCCTGTAATCCCAGCTACTCGGGAGGCTGAGGCAGGAGAATCGCTTGAACCTGGGAGGCGGAGGTTGTGGTGAGCTGAGATTGCGTCATTGCACTCTAGCCTGGGCAACAAGAGTGAAACTGTCTCAAAAAAAAGAAAAAGAGTTAAACTAGCTACTTTGTGGTGGGTGTTATGGGACAGATTCAAAGTTAAGGGCTCATTTCTTCATAATTGTGGAAAATAGTTCATTATTTGTAGAAATAGGTATAAAGTCTTCATAGGCATCTTTCAAAAATTAAAAGATACACAAGAAAGATCTTTAATGTTTATAGTGAAGGATCATTATAATTGACTTCATATCTTTTTTTCCATGTTTAAGAAAATTAACTCAAGTTTCCCTATACGTTTCTTCCTGATTTTCCTGTAAAGGGAGCTTTGTGTAGAATGAGGAAGATTGGATAATGATAGTATATCCAACAGTCTTCTCTAATTGTACTGCTTTTGGCCAAAAAAAGTTTGTCATTTATTGTTCCATAACAAATTTTAGCAAATATAGCAGCTTAAAACTACACATTTATTATCTCACATTGTTTCTGAGGGTCAGGATTCTGGGAGTCGCTTAGCTGGCTCAGGTTCTTTCATGAAGTTGTAGTCAAGATATACACTGGGGCTGAAGAATTTGCTTGGTAGTTCATTCATGGGGCTGCTGGCAGGAGGCTTCACTTCTTTGCCAGGAGATCCTCTCCATGGGCTTGTTCGTGTCATGACATGGCTTCTTCCAGAGTGAGTGATCTAAGAGTGAGAGGGCATGCCCAAGAAAGAAGCCACAGGCAGTGTGTTTTATAACTTAATATCAGAAGGTGACATATTATCATCTTTACCATATTCTGTAGGTTACATATTCTGCTGCTATAGTGTGGGAGGGGCCTACATAGGGTGTACACCTTACCACATAGGGTGTGAATACCAGGAAGCAAGTGTCATTGGGGTCATCTTAGGGACTGGCTACCATAGCAAGCAAACTGGATTTCGGCAATTAGCTGCCATTGGTAGGATTATTTGTTGCATTTTCCGTTATCTTAACCCTCTTCCTTTTTCTTAGCTGGAGATGTGTGGCTTTTCATGTTGTAATAACTCTAAACATAAAGTATCAGAAACAAATTTATACATCATTAGTATGCTACAGAACAGTAAAATAAAGTATTAACGCAGTAAAACAAATGTAAGAGTGAGGGCCAGGCACGGTGGCTTATGCCTGTAATCCTAGCACTATGGGAAGCTGAGGCAGGTAGATCATTTGAGGTCACGAGTTTGAGACCAGCCTAGCCAACATGGTGAAACCATGTCTCTATTAAAAACACAAAAATTAGCCAGCTGTGGTGGTGCACACCTGTAATCCCAGCTACTCAGGAGGCTGAGGCAGGAGAATCGCCTGAACCTGGGGGGTGGAGGTTGCAGTGATCTGAGATCGCACCACTGCACTCCAGCCTGGGCAACAGAGCGAGACTCCATCTTAAAAAAAAGAAAAAAGAGCCAGGAAGACCGAATCTGAAAGTTGAAAGCAGTGTTAGAGATCAAGTGATATTTGTGGGCATACTTTATAATAGTGTTTTTTCTCATTATAAAATTTAGAAATGCTTAGATAAAATTAAAATCCCTTTAATCCCTTTATTCTGGTAGGGTGTGGTGGCTCAGGCCTCTAATCCCAGCACTTTGGGAGGCCGAGGCAGGAGGATCACTTGAGACCAAGAGTTTGGAGACCTCATCTCTACAAAAAATTTAAAAATTAGTTGGGCGTGGTGGCTCATGCCTGTAGTCCTCGCTGCTTGGGAGGCTGAGGCGGGAGGATTGCTTGAACCCAGGAGTTAAGAGTTGCAGTGAGCTGTGATTGTGCCATTGCCCTCCAGCTTGGGCAACAAAGCAAGACTGTTTCAAAAAAAAAAAAAGTAATAACAATAATAATTATAATTCCTCTATTCCAAGAGCATCTTAACATTTGATATATATTTTTAATGTGTGTGTGTTTGTATGTGTGTGTGTGTTCATACATATATATGTGTGCTTATATATGTATTTTATTATTACTTTTTGTAAATATAATACCTTATGTGAGGTTAGGTTTTTTAGAGTCACCGAGTTGTAAGATAACTGGCTAGTGCAGTCAGATTTCCTTTGATTCTTTAAATCGTTTTTCAGTGACCAGGACCTGAGCCTTTAGGGTCTCAAAAGTAAAGAAAGAGTTTGTATTTTAGCTCTTTTTCCTTTTCTTGAGATACTGAAGTCCAAGGTCTAGTTTAAAGAAGGGCCAGGAGGGGTCAGGTGCAGTGGCTCACGCCTGTAATCCCAGCACTTTGGGAGGCTGAGGCGGGTGGATCAGCTGAGGTCAGGAGTTTGAGACCAGCCTGGCCAACATAGTGAAACCCCGCCTCTACTAAAAATACAAAAATCAGCTGGGCCTGGTGGCGCGTGCCTGTAGTCTCAGCTACTTGGGTTGCTGAGGTAGGATCACTTGAACCTGAGAGGCGGAGGTTGTGGTGAGCTGAGATCGTACCACTGCACTCCAGCCTGGGCGACAAGAGCAAGACTCCGTCTCAAAAAAAAAAAAAAAAAAAAGAAAAGAAGAAAAAGTAAAGAAGGGCAAGAGGAAGAGACTAGAGTTGTTGGGTGCATATGATTGAATTTGGGTAAGGCAAATATATGTTGTTATTTTGCTGTTACTTTTTAGTGTTTTATGTATTCCTTTATTTCATTTATAATATATCAGGAGTACTTTTACATCATTAAATATTACTTGATTTTATGATTTCTAATAGCTACATAGTCTAATGAATGACTATAGTATAAATATATTTGATTAGTCTCCTATGTGGGGACTATTAGATGGTTTTTAGTTTTCAAATTACAAGTAATAGTATGATGAATATCCTCTTGAAAAAAATCTGTTCGCATATCAAGGTTTCTGTAAAAACACTTTCTAGAAAAAAGTGCATCAAATGGTGTGTCTTTGTCCATTTTGTGTTACTTTAACAGAATACCACATACTGGATAATTTATAAAGAAATTTATATCTCAAAGTTCTGGAGACTGGGAAGTCCAGTATCAAGGTGACAGCAATCTGGCAAGAACGTTCTTGCAGCTTCATCTCATGGTGGAAAGCAAGAGCCAGAGAGCCCAAGAGAGCAAAAGGGAGCTGAACTTGCTTTGTTAACAAGCCTACTGTCACAGTAACTAATCCACTCCCCAGATAACAACATTCATTCATTCATGAGGGCAGAGTCCTCATGATCCAGTCATGTCTTATTAGGCTTGCCTCCCAACACTGTTGCATTGGGGATTAAATTTCCAGGACATGGACTTTGTGGGGTACGTTCAAACGGTGGCTTGATGTGAACATTTTCTTAGTCTCCTGAATTTTATTGCCACATTGCTTTTCAGAATGATGATGCCTGTTTGTGCTTCTACCAGAAGTGCATACAGGAATCTCTTTGATAGTACTCTAGACATTATAGTTATTAACATTTGGATTTTTATATAAATGAACAAGAATAAAGTATGTGGTTTTCAAAGTCAAGATTTTAGTTGAATTTAAGGAATTTCAACCAAGGGTGCTATGGTATAGTATCTTTTACATAAAGTGTAGTAAGATTTTAGTCTAATGCAAATTAAATAGGCTCTGATATTAACCAAATAATCTATTTTTAGAAACCCCAAAATATTTTTGTAAATTGCTGCTGTACAAATATCAATTGGCTTTAAGTCACAACTTAGGGCTGTGATGCTAAAGTTACTATTATAGTCTTGTATTAATGTGGATTAAGTTGAAATTGTAATTACACAACTTGAAGTTAGCTAATCCCTGATTCTTTTGGTAACGAAAGGAAACAGGCATGCCTGAGTCCCAGCACTTTGGGAGGCTGACATGGGAGGATCACTTGAGCACAGGAGCTCGAGACCAGCCTGGGCAACATAGTGATAACTTGTCTCTACTTAAAAAAAAAAAAAAAAATTAGCCCAGTGTAGTGGCATACACCTGTAGTCCCAGCTACTTGGGAGGCTGTAGCAGGAGGATTGTTTGAGTCTGGGAGCTCGAGGCTACAGTGAGCTGTAGTCACGCCACTGCACCCCAGCCTGGGCAAGAAAGCAAGACTCTGTCTCTAAAAAGAAGGGGAGGCCAGGCGCAGTGGTTCACACCCAGCACTTTGGGAGGCTGAGACGGGTGAATCTCCTGAGGTCAGGAGTTTGAGACCAGCCTGGCTAACATAGCGAAACCCCATTTCTACTAAAAATACAAAAAAATCAGCTGGGCATGGTGGTGCGTGCCTGTAATCCCAGCTGCTCAGGAAGCTGAGGCAGGAGAGTCACTTGAACCCAAGAGTAGAGGTTGCAGTGAGCCGAGATCATGCCTGCCATTGCACTCCAGCTTGGGTAACAAGAGCGAAACTCTGTAACACCGTCTCAAAAAAAAATGAATAGTGATAGCATGCAAAAAGTACTTGATTAAAATTTGATATTCAGTAATACTTAAAATCAGCTGTTGGCTACTTGAGATTGGATGTGAATAAAATTACATACAATATCATAGTTAACTATATTTTTGTTATTTAAATCTTAGGAACATCATATTCTAATTCTAGAATTGCTCTTAACTTTGTACTTACTATGTTATTTGTTTTAATTTAGGAAGTGTTTGTTACAAAGGCTGATGTTTCAACTTTGTTTCATTTACAGAGAGACATCTCCCCATACATTTCAATTAGACTTATTCTTCAACAATGTAAGCAAACCAAGTGCCCCTGTTTTCGATAGGTTGGGAAGGTATGTACCTGCTAGGTAATTTCACCAGAAACTCATGAGTTAGTAAGCAACACCTTTTGATTGATTCTTTAGATAGAAGAAAAGGATGTATCTGCTGGTAGACCCAAGAACACAGGGTTTAATTGTGTCATGGTGGTATTAAAGAAATGTCAAACTCCTAAGGAGATGCTAAATTTATAAAATAAAAATTTAAATGTGTGAAATAGCCATTGTTTGTTAACTTGTGACTCGTGCATGTGTTTCTTATATACATGATACTTTCACACATGATAGTAACCTTCTAATTTGGAAAATATCTTTGATTCTTAAATTATATAGACACATTGAGAGCTAATATTTTATGTGTGTCTTTCATATCACACTACTGTGCAATTTATAATTCCATAGCCACATTTTGTAAAATGAAACTTTTGTTAGTAGATACCCCCTTTTTTGATTATTTAGTACATGCTAGGTAGTTTTTTTCAGGTTAGGTATTATTAAACCTGTTGTTGTGATGTCTGCAAACAAATGACCATTCAATGGGTTTACTTAGAACTCATAAAATAAAAAAAACTAAAGGCAGCTTAAAAATGAGAAAATGTCTGTTTCTGTCAGGAATTAACAGTTTCTTAGACATCACTTATTCTGTTATTGACCCCTCTCTTATTTATTATTAAATTATGTCAATAATTTAACTTTTTTTTTAAATGAAGGGCAACCTTAGATAATTTGAAGCAGGTAATTTTTAGTATTTGGGGGTGTTTTTATGTCAGTACCTACTTAATAAAAACAGGTGCTTTTCTTAAATTTTGGTTGTAGTCTACATTTTTGTATGACTGTAATGCAGTGGTTCTCTACTCTGGCTGTACATTAGAATTACCTGGTGTGCTTTTAAAAATTTATTGATGTCCATACTCACCCCAAAGCAATTAATCCAGAATCTGGGATTGATTTTTTTTAATCACATTTTGGGGACAATACATTAAACTCAAACTTTGTGGTTTATTGAATCAAAACAAAAATCTAGCATTTGATTATATTAAAATATTTGAATCTAGAGAGACGTCTTCATGAACTGTGATGTTCAGTGTTTGAGCTTACATATTTATTTCTACTCTCTTGACAGCCTGGAATATGATGAGAATACTTCCATCATCTTTAGACCTAACTCAAAGGTAATTCTGGAAGTCAGTTTTCAGCTTGTCATTACTATTTGCTCTCAACTCCATTTAAAGTTTTTGATCCACATAAATCAGTGTTGCAGAGTGTCATATCTTTTTTTTTTTCTTTGTGTTTTTTGAGACGGAGTCTCGCTCTGTCACCCAGGCTGGAGTGCAGTGGCGCAATCTTGGCTCGCTGCAAGCTCTGCCTCCCAGGTTCACGCCATTCTCCTGCCTCAGCCTCCCGAGTAGCTGGGACTAGAGGTGTCTGCCACCATGCCCGGCTAATTTTTTGTATTTTTAGTAGGGACGGGGTTTCACCGTATTAGCCAGGATGGTCTTGATCTCCTGACCTCGTGATCCAACCGCCTCGGCCTCCCAAAGTGCTAGGATTACAGGCGTGAGCCACCGCGCCCAGCTCAGAGTGTCATATCTTATCTGATTCTTCTAGCACCTAGACACTATTTTATAATGCAGTAAAGACATTGTAATGCCGTTCTCTACCTATAAAGCTCTTTCTTCCTCTTTCGAGTCAAGAAGAGGCCAGCATTTGTGCTTTACCATCTTTCATTTAGATAGGCAAGTTCAGAAGACGACAGGCAGGCAAATTGTTATTAGACACTACTGTGCCTTAAAGTTTCTTTTAAAAGTACATATTTCATATTTCTCCTTTCTTATCAAAAATATGCCTTTTTTCTTGATATGCCAGATGCCATGCTGGAAGCATTTAGTGGCAGATTTGAAATGCAAAAATAATTATGACCTGGTATGGGACTACTCAGCTTGCTGTTTGGTTTTGGGGGGGATGGGTATTAAATCCTTTGCATCCTGTTTAGACTAAAAATTATCATTGTTATCTGTTTATCTTCCTTCCAGTGGGATTTCTGTTCAGTCTATCAATCCTTGGCCAGTCTTTGAACCCTTCTTCTGGTCCCCAGTTTCCCTGTGTAGTCTAACAAAGAAATATTAATTTCTTTTTTCCTTATCGTGCCTCCAGAAGGGGCCCCGGTAACACTTAGAACTTTGTCTTTACCCAATATGGTGGGGTGGAAAGAGAACTCAGAAGTCAGGGCCTTTGGTTTCTAATGCAGGCTCTTCTTCACATGCTCTGGTTTTCTTATTTCTTAAAAGGGAATGACAATATCTGCTCTCATAATTGTGAAGATGTAGCTATTAATGTAGATAAGCTCTAGAAAGCATGAAGTTATTTTTTCTTATAGGGAAATATTGAGGGTTAATGGCATTGGCAAAAGCCTTTAATCTTTTTAGGAGAAAGTTTCTTTGCAAAAACAATTTATTTAATGCCTCTGGGTTCCTTTACTTTTTTTTTTTTTTTGAGACCAAGTCTCGCTCTGTCGCCCAGGCTAGAGTGTGCAGTGGCGCAATCTTGGCTCACTGCAGCCTCCGCCTCCTGGGTTCAAGCAATTCTCTCCCTCAGTCTCCTGAGTATCTGGGATTATGGGTGCCGCCACCACCCTGGCTAATTTTTGTAATTTTAGTAGAGACGAGGTTTCACCATCTTGGCCAGGCTGGTCTTCAACTCCTGACCTTGTGATCCACCCACCTTAGCCTTCCAAAGTGCTGAAATTACAGGCGTGAGCCACTGCACCCGGCTAATTCCCTTACTTTTTAATGTACAATGTGGGTACGTAAAATATACCTGCATGTATGAATTTGGCTTCTGAGAAGAATGCTATGTAGTTTTATGGACTTTATCATTCTTGAGACTGAGCATCATTTGTGCTTTTGGTCCCTTCTACGACCCCTGTACCTATTGGGGTTTAATTTATTAATTAGCAATAACTCCTACTTAATTTTATTCTCATTTCTTTTCTCTTGGATGGGAGTCTGGTTATACTTTTTGAACAAGGTTGACATAAAGCATAGGACTGGGAGATGTAATCTTAGGACAGGTGCAGGTGTAGTTATGGTAGCTCTGGAGAACCACACTAAAAGCTGTGCCTAGGTAAATTTCACTTTGTGTTGACTTTGCATTTTCAGCATACTTTTAAAGACTTTAGTTGAACCACAATCTAATTTGGTATCAGCTAACTTCTAGCATTTTAAAACATGACTTTGAAAGATTTTTTTTGCCCTCCCTGAAAATCAGGTGAATACTGATGGTCTGGTGCTAAGAGGCTGGTATAACTGTCTGACACTGGCAATATATGGATCAGTGGATAGAGTGATAAGTCATGACAGAGACTCTCCACCACCACCACCTCCACCGCCACCACCTCCCCAGCCACAACCAAGTTTGAAAAGGAATCCAAAACATGGTGAGAATTTTAAATTTGCTTTTGCAAGTGAAACTTATATCCGTGGTTTAAAAAAAAAAAATAATTCGAAGAGCACTCTTTTACCTTTTGTTTTTGTTTTATTTCTTGAGAGGGAGAGAGGAAGAGAGGGGGAGAGAGGGAGGGAGGAGATGAGAGGGAGAAGCAGAGGGGCAGAGGGGGAGAGAAGGAGGAAGAGGGGGAGATAGGAGGAAGAGAAAGAAAGAAGAGGAGGCAAGAGGGAGAAGGGGAGGGAGAGAAAGGAGGGAAAGTGAGGGATTGGGGTGGGAGAGAGTGAGCAAGCACACCTCGTTCACCTTTTGAACCTTGCTTAAGACTTGACAAGATAGCTATCTGTTAGTCTCCCATTCTTGTCTAAGAGTTTCTTTTTATGTTGAAGTGGTGACATTTTATTTTCTTCCTCTGTTTTCCTAGAGAACTTTTAAAACTGATCTGAGGGAATTTTTTCCCATTTAAAATATCTTAATGATAATGCAATCTAGTGACTATTCATGGTTTACTATTAAAATTATTTGTAAATGAATTGAAAAATAGGCAGGGAGTTTGTTACATATTCCCGGAATACTTATATAAATGACATTTTTTTTTCAAGAGTGCATTTAAAATTTATTAGGTATCTACATCTTAACTAATGTAGATTTCTTCCACTTTTGAGAACCTTTTGCTCATTAACTGGAAACAAGAAAAATAAGAACTTCAGTGGCTTTCTTTCAGAAGATAGGCAGCTGGACTCATGTTTCTCAGAATCTCTTCTCCTCACTCCAGTGTTAATCACTGTAAGAAGTTGACCACAAGGCTGAGAGCAGTGGCTCATGGCTGTAATCCTAGCACTTTGGGAGGCCGAAGTGGGAGGATTGCTTGGGGTCAGGAATTCAAGACCAGCCTGGCCAACATGGCGAGACCCTATGTCTATTTAAAAAAAAAGAAGTTGACACAATGAGATTCATAGCCAGCTGCAGTGATATGCATCTGTGTTCCCAGCTACTCAAGAGGCTGAGGCAAAAGGATCGATTGAGCCCAGGAGTTCGAGTCCATTCTGGGCAACATAGTGAGACTCCCATCTGTAAAAATAAATAAATAGGCTGGGCATGGTGGCTTATGCCTGTAATCCTTACACTTTGGGAGGCTTGCTTGAACCCAGGAGTGTGAGACCAGCCTGGGCAACATAGGGAGAACCTGCCCCTCCCAAAAAAAAAAAAAAAAAAAGAAAGAATTAGCTGGGCACGATGGCATGTGCCTGTGGTCCAGCTACTCTGGAGGCTGAGGTGGGAGGATCTCTTGAGCCTGGGAAGTTGAGGCTGCAATGAGTCATGATCATGCCACTGCACTCCAGCCTAGGCAACAGAGCAAAACCCTGTCTCAAAAACAGAAACCCACACACAAAATAAATAAATAAAAGGAGTTTCAAGAATACATTTTGAAATTGTAATTAAAGTCACTAAGGAATAATATTTTGCTTTATAATTAGCATGTTTGTGACTATAAATAACCTTTGTTTCTCTGAATCCTGATATAGTAATGTGGTGTGAGCTCTTTTTTTTCTGATGGTGGTCATACACTGTACTTTTCTTATATCTTACCTGCTAAGCATAGTTACTCTTTCAGTTTTCTTTTTCTTTCAGTCCTTCATTTTTCTGTGCTTTTTTTTTTTTAACCAAACCGTGAGCTCCTTGTGGATAGAAAGTATGTTTTACATATATTTGTGTTTTCAGTCTTATCATAGTGTCTGACATATGTAGTGGTTACTCTAAAAATTTGTTCAATTTACTGATTTGTTTTAAAATTGACAAGCACATATATATACATGTGTTTTTAACTTTTTATTTAAAAAATTTTTTTAATTTAATTTTTTTGTTTTTAGAGACAGGATTTTGTTACGTCACCCAGGCTGGAGTGCAGTGGCCTGATCATAGCTCACTGTAACGTCGTAATCCTGGACTCAAGCAGTCCTTCCACCTCAGTCTGTGGAGTAGCTAGGACTATAGACGTGTGCCACCCTCCACCCCAACTCATTTTTTTGTAGAGATGGGGTCTCACTATGTTGCCCAAACTAGTCTCAAACTCCTAACCTCAAGTGATCCTCTTGTCTCAGCCCTTCAAATACTGGGTTGACAGGTGTGAGCCACCACACCTGGCCCCTTAACTTTTTACTTTGAGATAATTATAGATTGACAGGAGGTTGCAAAGAAATGTACAGGGAAGTCCTGTGCACTCTTTAGCCTCCCCCAGTGATAACATCTTTTATAAATATAGTACAATATCAAAACCAGAAAATTGGTGTTGGTGTAATCTATGGAGCTTATTCAGATTTCACTAGATAGACACGCACTTGTTTGTGTATGTGTAACTCTGTGCGTTTTTATGTCATGTGTACAGCCTTGCATAACCAACACCATGATCAAAATACTTATCTGGGCTGGATGCCGTGGCTCACGCCTGTAATCCCAGCACTTTGGGAGGCCGAGGCGGGCAGATCACTTGAGGTCAGGAGTTTGAGACCAGCCTGGCCAACATGGTGAAACCTCATGTCTACTAAAAATACAAAAATTTGCTGGGCATGGTGGTGCATGCCTGTAGTCCCAGCTACTTGGGAGGCTAAGGCAGGAGAATCACTTGAACCCTGGTGGTGGAGGCTGCAGTAAGCCAAGACTGTGCCACTGCAATCCAGCCTGGGCGAAAGAGCAAGACTCCGTCTCAAACAAAACAAAACATAAAAAGAAACAAAACCCCAAAATACTTAACTACACCATTGCCCCAAGATTCCCTATTACCCCTTTATAGCCCTATTCATCCCACCCATCTCTAGCCTTTGGCAGCCACTAATCTGTTCACCATTTCTATAGTTATATTATTTTACACGTTACATCAATGGAATCATGCAGTATCTTTGTGAGATTGACTTTTTTCATTCAGCATAATTTCCTTGAACTTCAACATATTATATATAAATAGTTTGTTGTTTTTTATTGCTGAGTGGTGTTACAAAATATAGATGTACCAAAATTTAACTGCTCACCTGTTGAAGGACATTTGGGTAGTCTCTGTTTTTTGGCTATCACAAATAAAGCTGAACATTCCCTTATTTTTTTGGCATGAAAACAAAATCTTCATTCTCTGGGATTATGCCCAAGCCTAAGAGTGTATACATTATGTTTTGGTATGTGAGAAGTCAGAAATTCTAATGTTACCAATATAGATTAATTAGCAAAATTTCTGTTAAGATGCCAGGAAGGAAAAGTTTATAATCAGTTAATTCTGAAGATGAAAGTCTGAAATGATGACAAGTATTTTTTCAGTATGTGGGAAGTCAGAAATTCCGATGTTATTAATATAGATTAATTAGCAAAATTTCTGAGACACCAGGAAGGAAAAGTTTATTAGTTAATTCTGAAGATGAAAATCTCCCCAGTGATGAAAAGTATTTTTTCCATTCATTTCCTTATACTTTAACATGATTATCTTTGTTCTACTTGGGGATTGATTTGTTCTAGGACTGCCTGTGTATACACAAATCTGTGCATACTCAAGTCCTGACGTTGGCCCCGAGGAACCTGCATATACAGACAGTCAGCCCATTATATATATGCAGATTTTGCATCCCTCAAATACCATATTTTAGATCTCTCTTTGCTTTAAAAAAATCACATGTAAGTGGACCCACACAGTTCAAAGCCATGTTGTTCGGGGGTCATCTGTAATTTGAAAGTTCTTTTTCTGTCTCCCATAAAACACTAGCTGATGGGGAGAAAGAAGATCAGTTTAATGGAAGCCCTCCAAGACCACAGCCAAGGGGACCAAGAACTCCTCCAGGACCCCCTCCACCTGATGATGATGAAGATGATCCTGTGCCTCTGCCAGGTATAAATAAAACCAGTGCTAAGGTTTTCCCCCCTAGTTAATAGTACATTTTTGTTTTTGTTTTGAGATGGTCTCACTCTGTTGCCCAGGGTGGAGTACAGTGGCTCACTGCAGTCTTGACCACCTGGGCTTAAGTGATCCTCTCACCTCAGCCTCCTAAGTAGCTGGGACTACAGGTGTGCATCACCATGCCTTGCTAATTTTTAAAATATCTGTAGAGATGGGGTCTCACTATTTTGCCCAGGCTGGAACTCCTGAGCTAAAGTGATCCATCTGCCTTAGCTTCACAAAGTGTTAGGATTATAGGCATAAGCCACCGTGCCTGGCTAATAGTGCTTTTTGATTAAGAAAAGAAATCAGGTGCCAGTAATCAAATCTTGATGCAGTCTCCCCCCATGCTGTGCAGTATTTCCTTGTGTTTTTCTTTTTCTTTTTTCTTTCTTTCTTTTTTCTTTTTTTTTTTTTTGAGACAGGTTTTTGCTCTGTGACCCAGGCTAGAGTGCAGTGGCACCATCTCAGCTCAGTGCAGCCTTGAATTCCCGGGTTCAAGAAATCCTCCCACCTCATCCTCCCCAGTGGCTAGGACCACAGGTGTATACCACCACGCCTGGCTAATTTTTTATAGAGAAGAAGTTTCCTATGTTGCTCAGGCTGGTCTTAAACTCAAGTGATCCTCCCGCCTTGGCCCCCCACAGTTTTGGGATTTACAGGTGTGACCCACAGTGCCTGGCCACTAATTGTATTTTTCTTTCTGTCAGCCAGTTAACTTGTTAAAAAAAAATTTGTTAATTCATTTGAAGCTGTGCCAAAATAAAGTGTTAGTTTGCTGTAGTGATATGTACAAAAGAGTACCAGTTAAAAATCACTAGTATTGGGCTGGGTGTGGTGGCTCATGCCTGTAATCCTAGCACTTTGGAAGGCTGAGGCAGGAGGACCTCTTGAGCCCAGGAGTGTGAGACCAGCCTGGGCAACATAGGGAGACCCTGTCTCTATTAAAAATAAAAATAAAATAAAATAAAAATAGGCCGGGCGTGGTGGCTCACGCCTGTAATCCCAGCACTTTGGGAGGCCAAGGTGGGTGGATTACCTGAGGTCAGGAGTTCGAGACCAGCCTGGCCAACATAGTGAAACCCCATCTCTACTAAAAATACAAAAATTAGCCGGGTGTGGTGTTACACGCCTGTAATCCCAGCTACTCAGGAGACTGAGGGAGGAGAATTGCTTGAGCCTGGGAGGCGGAGGTTGCAGTGAGCCGAGATCATGCCACTGCACTCCAGCCTGGCCGACAGAGTGAGACTCTTGTCTCAAAAAAAGAAAATAAATAAAAATAATAAATAAAATAAAATAAAAATAAGTATGTACTGGAAAAGACAAAAACGTGTATAGTTACTTAAAAGCTAAAAAGAAAGGGAATGGCTTAACAGTATACTTTATTATTGCTCACTGTAGAAGTTGTACAGTGTATACTCAATATTTTTTAAACAGTGAGTAATTCTTTTTTTTTAAGGGTATTTATAAACTATATCAACCAAAATATTAAGTAGTTGCCATATCCAGTCTTGCTGCCTTTTGTCATTTAAACCATTAAAATAGTCTGTGCCTTAAATCTCAATTTTTCAGTGTCTGGTGACAAGGAAGAGGATGCTCCTCATAGAGAAGATTACTTTGAGCCCATTTCTCCTGATCGGAATTCTGTTCCCCAGGAAGGGCAATATTCTGATGAAGGAGAAGTAGAAGAGGAACAACAAGAAGAAGGAGAAGAAGATGAAGATGATGTGGATGTAGAGGAAGAAGAGGATGAGGATGAGGATGATCGACGAACAGTAGACAGTATTCCTGAGGAGGAAGAGGAAGATGAAGAGGAAGAAGGTGAAGAGGATGAAGAAGGTGAAGGTGGGTTATGTTAGCTAGGACTTTGGGGTTTAAGTACTAGAAACTAACTCGATACAGCTTTGAAAAATGCAAAAGAATTTCTAGCAAAGATAAATGGGTTCCAAGAAACCCAGGGTCAGAATGTAGCTAGGCCTCAAGGCATGACTAGAAATGAGATTTCCATCTCTCCTCTGCTTTGTGTGTTTACTTTAATCTCCCCTGTTTAACCAGCCAGCCTAAACTGCCTGACTGTATCTCAGTTTTCTGTTTGACTTGCTACAGTATGAGTTTCCCTTTGACAGCATCAGCTTTTGCCAGGAAAACAGGGTCATGTAACAAATACATGTTGGTTAGGGATTTGGTGGCTGTTTTCAGAGTAAGGAGTGGTAAAGCTAGGTGGAATTCCTAAAGATGTCTGCCACCTAGATATTTTAGCAAATGCTACATTATTTTTAAAAATTCAAGGGAAAAATCTCAATTACACAAGTACATGTGGCAGTATGATACAGTCCTTTAATTAGGCTTTATTTTTCCTTTGAAAGCAAAAAGTGAGAGATACTCAAGCTAATTGGCTCTTAATTTGCCCAAGAAATGGCATTTAATGTTAAAGCATTTATGCAGAATAACAGATAATCTGCCTTGGCTTTTTTCTACAGATAGTAAAAATGAATGTCATTTCAGAATCATAGGGGCTCTTTTAAAAAATATCAAATAGCTAGATTATCATGTGATTTTTTTTTAACTTTCCCCATTCACAGATTATCAAATAATTATTTCTAGATTTATTGTATTTGGCAAAAGTAGTTAAATGTTAGGCAGGCAGTTTTCTTTTTTTCTTTCTTTTTTTTTTTTTTTTTTTGAGACAAAGTCTCATTCCATGACCCAGACTGGAGCGCAGTGGTGCGATCTTGTTTCACTGCAACCTTCACCTCCAGGGTTCAAGTGATTTGTCCCTCAGCCATCTGAGTAGCTGGGCTTACAGGCACGCACCCCTACGCTCAGGTAATTTTTGTATTTTTAGTAGAGATCAGGGTTTCACCATGTTGGCCAGGCTGGTCTCGGACTCCTGACCTCAAGTGATCTGCCCGGCTTGGCCTCCCAAAGTGCTGGGATTACAGGCATGAGCCACTGTGCACAGCCATATTTTAAATGGACACATTTTCTATCAAAATATAATGGAGACCTACAAAACTGTGTGATAGGTAAATGCAGAGAAATAAAAATTCTGGAATGTGAAATTGTTATAAAACGAATCTACAATGGTTTTGCTGAAAGTATTTGGTTTAACCTGATGATATTAGTTCTTACTTAACTTAAAACAACCAGTTTTTTTTGGTCTTAAAAATAATCTCTCAAGAGGACAAGCATAATTTCTTTCCTCCTGAGATAGATATTTTTGTTACTTTGAGGCATTTCTAATTATATTTCTGTGAGGAAAAGATATCTGTTACAGTTAGTTGTAAAACTGAACAGATACAGAGGAATTTGCTTAAAATGTTTGTCCAGTTTTCAGGTCTCACCCCTTTCAGGAAAAAAAGAAGTTTGTCCATAATTCTATTAGAAATTATAAAATGTTGTAAAATTGTGGGTAAGATGTTGGGGCAGAAGTTGGTTTTGTTGAGGAAATCATTTTTAATGTTTTATTAAAACTATTTCTTGTTCAATCAGAATTTATGTATTAGACAAAGATGATGTAATACTTAAATATTATTCATACTAATTTTCAGGGGATGATGGTTATGAACAAATTTCCAGTGATGAAGATGGAATTGCTGACTTGGAACGTGAAACATTTAAGTATCCAAACTTTGATGTTGAATACACTGCTGAAGACTTAGCTTCAGTTCCTCCTATGACATATGATCCATATGACAGGGAGCTTGTACCACTCTTATACTTCAGTTGTCCATACAAGACTACTTTTGAAATTGAAATCAGTAGAATGAAGGATCAAGGTCCAGATAAAGAAAATTCAGGGGCAATCGAAGCCTCAGTGAAGTTAACAGAACTCTTAGATTTGTATAGAGAAGATAGAGGTGCAAAATGGGTAACAGCTTTAGAAGAAATTCCAAGTTTAATAATAAAAGGGTTAAGCTATTTGCAATTGAAAAACACAAAACAAGACTCCCTTGGCCAGTTGGTAGACTGGACCATGCAAGCTTTAAATTTACAAGTAGCGCTTCGCCAACCTATCGCCTTAAATGTTCGACAGCTCAAAGCTGGGACCAAATTAGTGTCCTCACTAGCAGAATGTGGGGCTCAAGGAGTTACAGGACTGCTACAAGCAGGAGTGATCAGTGGATTATTTGAACTTCTGTTTGCTGATCACGTATCATCTTCTCTTAAGTTAAATGCTTTTAAAGCTTTGGACAGTGTCATTAGTATGACAGAAGGAATGGAAGCTTTTTTAAGAGGTAGGCAGAATGAAAAAAGTGGTTATCAAAAGCTTCTGGAACTCATACTTTTAGATCAGACTGTGAGGGTTGTTACTGCTGGTTCAGCTATTCTCCAAAAATGCCATTTCTATGAAGTCTTGTCAGAGATTAAAAGACTTGGTGACCATTTAGCAGAGAAGACTTCATCTCTTCCTAACCACAGTGAACCTGATCACGACACAGATGCTGGACTTGAGAGAACAAACCCAGAATATGAAAATGAGGTGGAAGCTTCTATGGATATGGATCTTTTGGAATCCTCAAATATAAGTGAAGGGGAAATAGAAAGGCTTATTAACCTCCTAGAAGAAGTTTTTCATTTAATGGAAACTGCCCCTCATACAATGATCCAACAACCTGTTAAGTCTTTCCCAACGATGGCACGAATTACTGGACCTCCAGAGAGGGATGATCCATACCCTGTTCTCTTTAGGTAAGACATGTTTGCCTTTTGGGAAATAAATTTCACAAATCATTGGAGACAATTTTATGTGGTTGATTTTGCTTTTTATCTGATTGTAGGTAACTTATTTATGTGTAAGGATACTTGATATTTCAAAACGGTTATTTAGTAGTGGAACTGAGAAGTATGTTACTGTGGGTGAGCTTATATTGTGTTAGTTCTTAAAGCAAAAATGGGAACTTCAGTGAAAGATTTTAGTAATTAACAATGATGCTTGTATAAGCATGTCTATGAGCAAGAATAAATGAGAAACTGCTGACTTGCTTCTGGGAAGGTGGTAACAAAGGAATGGTGTAGGAAGGAGAGCTCTTCTGTGTGAACCCATCTGTACTTACTACTCTTAATACATTGTAAGTTAAAATTATATTTTACTAGCTTAATTTTACAGTGCTGGTTAAAGATGTCTTTAAGTTTCCATTACTACTTGTTTCTGCCATCTACCTCTCTCATCTGTTGATACAGTTTTGCCATTGTTAGGACCAGCATCCCTAGTAGATTTTTTATTTTGTTTTGAGACTTTCTTTCTTACCATTTGCCTGTAAATAATTTCCTAACATAAAAATGGAAAAATGGCATTTGAATTATTTTATTACTTATTTTTGTGATTAATATTTTCATTGATTTGGATGGAGCATAGTGCATTCCCAGGGGATGGGATATGTGTCCAGTCTAAAACCTCCACTTATCCAAGTTCCTGTTTTTAGCTGAAACTGTTACACCTTGTCTTAGTTTTGAGTTTCCTAAAAGGATAACTTGAGTCAAAGTCTTGGGTGCAGGTTCTTTGAAAGATTATCCTAGGAAGCAGAAATGCCTGAAGAGAGTAAGATAAGGAGAAAAACCAGTAAAGGAAGTGTTATTATACTTATTGCTGTGGACAGCTGGGGCTCATCCTACTGGGGATCCTCCGAAGAACTGGTTAAAGTGTATCTCCTGCTTATCCTCCTAAAACATTCAGGCTGGGCATTCGTCTACCAACTCTCCCCTTTGGTTCAAGGATGCCCACAAGAAACTTTTAACTCTTTTATGCTTCTGAGCTGTTCCTGCTTGTGGTCCGAGCACCCTTTAATCCCTTTGGGGGGAACCCTGAGAAAGAAAGGTAGAGAGGCCCAAAGTGAACACTTGAGGCCAGATACTGGCAACCCTCACAGATTGTGTACTGGGAAATCAATGGGTCAGTGATGGGAGGTTGGGGAGCAGTAATATGTAAGAGATGGGCAGAGAATGCATTTAGGCAGGATACTTAGAAGGAATAGAAAGACAAAATGAGAAGCAGGAGAGAATAGAAACTAAGGAAGCAAATAGTTTTAGGAACCAGTGAATGGTTTGTTGTGATACTGTGCAGAGGTTCAGAAGATAAGGATAGGAAATCATGTATTTTGTAACATAGATTGCAAATGGGGCTCTGGCAAAAGTAGTTTAATGTAGCAGTGGGAGAGGAAGTGTAGATGAAAAACCACTGGCCAGTAAGGATTTGAAATGGTGTAGGCCACTGTTTTAAGAAATGTGGGTGGATCACCTAAGGTCAGGAGTTTGAGACCAGCCTGGCCAACATGGCAAAACCCCATCTCTACTAAAAATAAAAAACTAGAGCCGGGTGTGGTGGCTCACGCCTGTAATCCCAGCACTTTGGGAGGCTGAGGTAGGCAGATCATCTGAGTTCAGGAGTTCGAGACCAGCCTGACCAACATGACGAAACCCTGTCTCTACTAAAAATACAAAAATTAGTCGGGTGTGGTGGTGGGCGCCTGTAATCCCAGCTACTTGGGAGGCTGAGGCAGGAGAATCATTTGAACCTGGAGGTTAGAGCATGCGGTGAGCCAAGATCTGGCCACTGCACTCCAGCCTGGGCTACAGAGTGAGACTCTGTCTCCAAACAAACAAACAAACAAACACCGGCCAGGCATGGTGGCTCACGCCTATAATCCCAGCACTTTGGGACGCCAAGGCAGGTGGTTCACCTGAGGTCGAGAGTTCAAGACCAGCCTGACCAGCATGGAGAAACCCCATCTCTACTAAAAATACAAAATTAGTGGGGCATGGTGGCGCATGGGTGTAATCTCAGCTACTTGGGAGGCTGAGGCAGGAGAATTGCTTGAACCCGGGAGGCAGAGGTTGCAGTGAGCTGAGATCTCACCATTGCACTCCAGCCTAAGCAACAAGAGCGAAACTCCGTCTCAAAAAAATAAATAAACAAGTAACAAAAACACACACACACACAGACACACACAAAAACTAGCCGGGCTTTGGTGGAATGTGCCCGTAAACCCAGCTACTTGGGAGGCTGAGGCAGGAGAATCCTTTGAACCCGGGAGGTTGGAGGTTCTGGTGAGCCGAGATCGGGCCACTGCACTCCAGCCTGGGCAACAGAGTGAGATGCTATCTCAAAAAAAGAAAAACTAGCCAGGTGTGGTGGTGCATGCCTGTAATCCCAGCTAACTCGGGAGGCTGAGGCAGGAGAATCGCTTGAACCCAGGAGGCAGTGGTTGCAGTGAGCCGAGATCGTGCCACTGCACTCCTGCCTGGGCGACAAGAGCGAAACTCCGTCTCAAAAAAGAAATTTGGCCAGCCTGGGCAACATAGGGAGACCGCTACAGAAAATAAAAAATCAAAAAAAAAATAGCTGGGAATGGTAGTGTGCGCCTGTAGTCCCAGCTGCTCAGGAGGCTGAGGTGGGAGGATTGCTTGAGCCTGAGAGGTTAAGGGTGCAGTGAGCTGTGATTGTGCCACTGCACTCCAGTCTGGGCAGCAGAGTGAGACTGTGTCTCAAAACAAGAAATTTGGCTAAGAGAAAAAGTAAGAGACAAGGCAGCAGCTAGAAGGAGATGTTGGAGTCAAAAAGGAAGGTTTTTATTTTTTAGGAGTGGGAGAGGCTTGAGCATATTTGTAGGCTGGGAATAATGACTCATTTATAATAAAAAGTCAGTGGAGAGGGAGATGTTTATGATGTAGGAGTAAACAATAACAATTCCTGGGGCAAGGCTTGGTGGGAGATGAGGACAAGAGTACAAGTGTAGGAGTTTGGTTTTGGGCAGGAGAAAGGGAATCTTGTAAGTATGCAAATATAATACATTTGTAGTCTTGGAGATTGTAAAGAAATTTAAATACTTCTTACTAACAACTTTATTTTTAGTAGAATAGGTGATGTTTTCAGTCACTGAGAAGAAGCTAGTAATTAAATACTTACTGAGTGTTTTTTTCCCACCATATGGAGGAGGTATATTTGGGTATCAGACAAGAGGAAATAAAGGGCCCAGAATGGTTGTGCTAAGGAATTTGGATTTTATTTGTAGAATATGGAAAGGTATTGAATATTTTGGAGTAGCAGATCTGATATGATCAGAGTAATATTCTCAGATTTTGTGTTGCAAGATGTATTGCAATGGAAAAGAAATTAGAGTTACTAGGAAGATAAGATAGTCTGAGGTTTCTAGGTACTGGGTTTTAAGTACTTTGCCCTTAACAGGTAATGGAAAGGCAAATATTGTGCTTATAGTGACAGAGATTGTGAAATAGCCATTATATTATATAATAGTACTAGGACTTGGCAACAGGACCTAGTAGGCGAAGGGAAGTGAGAAGAAGCTAGAGATTTCTAGCCAGGGTAGCAATTGGAGCTGTGGTTTTATTGACAGAAACTGGTAAATTAGGAAGGAGAGTGAATTTTGAAAGGAAAAATAATTGTACTTTGGAGGGTTTGTTTTTGAAGTGGTGGCAAGGCTCTATTGTCCTATGTCAGGTTCCCCAAGAGCACCAAGATTCTCTAGGAGGACTCACAAAACTCAGCATATAATACTCAGCAAAGGAAAAAGGTACCTGGGAGGAAGTTGGGAAAACCAGTTGCAAGCTTCCAGAGTCCTCTCACAGTGGAGTCACATAGTGCCTGCCTAATTCTCACAGCAACAGGTTGTGACATGTGTGAAGTGTTGCCTGTTGAGGAAGCTCTTTAGAAACTCGGCACCCAGGCTTTTTTATTTTTTATTTTTAAATAGCAACAGTGACATGTTTTGATACATGTATACATTGTGGAATAATTATATCAAGCTAATTGGCATGCAAATTTTTTTATTGTGGGTAGTCATGTAGGCACTCACTGCCTATCTTATACCAGAATTCCAGACTCCTAGAAGGAAAGCAGGTGTTCAGCATAACCATATTGTTTGCACAAATAATTTAGGCACAAGGAACCATTCTTATCAGTTAGGGGTGCGGGAATCCTCTTGAAATCTAAGTTCCCAGAAGTTAGCCAGTAGCCAACCTTGCAAGCAGACCTCTAAGGATGTGCAGTCTGAGGCTTGCTATTTTAACCATTCTCTGAATGGTCCATAAGGGGGATGCTCTTGGAGCATAGTAATTCTGGAGTTTTGTCTTCTTGAAGGTTCTGTTTGCCTTTGTAGTAAGCAGTTACTGGTGGGTGTTTATTATTGTGAAGTAGAAGCCTGGGTTTAAATAGTAATAGGACTGAAGAAGCAGTTTCAGCTTTTGACAAAATTAAGTTCTGGCCTGTCATTTACTTTTTAGTAGTATTTTGATGGGTTTATGAAAGCTATTGTGTTACCATTTGCAGTGACTAAAATGGAAGAGAATGAGTCAGAATTATAAATAATTTTATTCTTTTTAACTTTCAGAAAATTATGATATTCTTAATAATTAAAAATTAAGAAGTTTTCATTAAGCTGGTTCTATCTTGTAGTCAAGAGATGTTTTGACAGATTTTTACCCCATTTTTGAGTATTTGAAAAAATACGATGTTTTGGTTCTTTTTTCTTTAAAATCTGGTTAAGTTTCATTTTTAAAAAGTTGAGGAATGAGATCATGTCCTTTGCAGGGACATAGATGAAGCTGGAAGCCATTATCCTCAGCAAACTAATGCAGGAACAGAAAACCAAATACTGCATGTTCTCACTTACAAGTGGGAGCTGAACGGTGAGAACACATGGACACAGAGAGGGCAGCAACACACACTGGGGCCTGTTGAAGGAGAACAGAGGGTTGGGGGAGAGCATCAGGAAAAATAGCTAATACATGTGGGCTTCATACCTAGGTGATGGGTTGATAGGTGCAGCAAACCACCATGGCACACGTTTACCTATGTAACAAGCCTGCACATTCTGCACATGTACTCCAGAACTAAAAAATTTAAAAAAAAAAAAGAGATAAAAAAGTAGATTTTGGAAAAGAGTTTAGGGAGAATGAGGCAAAAGGATCACTTGAGTCCAGAGAATTGCTTAAGACCAGGAGTTTGAGTCCAGCCTGGGCAACATAGCTAGATTTCGTCTCATAAAAGAGTGCTATGTGTGGTAATACTAACTGCTTAAATGTTAAAAATTGACAATTTGAAAGCTTTTTCCCTAGAGATACTAATTCAGTCTACTGTAGTAAATCTGAGTATACTATATTTTTCTATAGTACAGTCATCCCTCACTGTCTGCAAAATTGGTTCTCAGACCTCCCTTGGATTCCAAAATCCAAGGATGCTCCAGTCTCTGATATAAAATATAAAATGATGTAGTATTTGCATATAACCTATGCATATCCTCTTGTATACTTGAAGTCATGTCTAGATTACTTATAATACATAGTACAATATAAATGCTCTGTAAATAGTTGTTATACTATTATTGTGTAGGGAATGATGTAAGAAAAAAGTCTGTACATGGTCAGTACAGATACATTCTTTTCTGTCTTTTTTTTTTGAGACAGAGTCTTGCTCTTTCACCTAGCCCAGGCTGGAGTGCGGTGGCATGATCTTGGCTTTCTGCAGCCTCAACCTCCTGGGCTTAAGCGATCCTCCCACCTCAGCCTCCCAAGTAGCTGGGACTACAGGCATGGGCCACCATGGCCAGCTAATTAAAAAATTTTTTTAGAGACAGGGTCTCACTATATTGCTCAAGGCTGGTGTGAAATTACTGCGCTCAAGTGATCCTCCAGCCTCAGCCTCCCAGAGTGCTGGGATTACAGGTGTGAGCCACCACAGCCAGCCCAGGCTTTTTTTTTTTTTTTTTTTTTTGATGCAGGGTCTCACTCAGGTTGGAGTGCAGTGGAGCAATCATGGCTCACCGCAGCATTGACCTCCCTGGGCTCAGCCTCTTCAGTAGCTGAGACTACAGACATGCGCCACCACGCCTGGCTAATTTTTGTATTTTTTGTAGAGACAGGTTTTTGCCATGTTGCCCAGGCTGGTCTTGAGCTCCTGGCCTAAAGTGATCTGCCTGCCTCGGCCTCCCAAAGTGCTTGGGATTGTAAGTGTGACCAACTGCACCTGGCATCAGATGCACTTTTAAAAAATATTTTCGATTTGCAGTTGGCTTAATCCACAAATGCAGATGCGGAGTGCTGACTGTATATACTATATTTTTCCTAGATACATGAATTTAAATATACCAATATGCCATGAATAAAGTAGGACCATGGTGAAAAAGGAGCATTTGATAAGTGTCCTGGAAAGAAGGCCCAAAATTTAAAGAAAAGCTTGTCAATAATTATTTATTTAACATCTGTTGAGTGCTAACTAGGACAAAGCCTCACAGAACATTCACTCTTATTTGGCCTCATCTAGAGAAGACTTGCCACTCACATTATGTTTTCAGTTAAAGCAGTATATTACTGAGGATAAGGATTATGGTCATTAAAAATTTTTATCAGTGTCTTGTCTGAATATTGAGTAAATGAAGAATGCTTTGCACTGACTTGACATGTATCAATTAACTCTTCCACAGATATCTTCACAGTCATCACTTCTTGGAGTTGGTTACCTTGCTTCTGTCAATTCCAGTAACAAGTGCTCACCCTGGTGTGCTGCAAGCCACAAAAGATGTTTTGAAGTTTCTTGCACAGTCACAGAAGGGTCTTCTTTTTTTTATGTCGGAATATGAAGCAACAAATTTATTGATCCGAGCTCTGTGTCACTTTTATGATCAAGATGAGGAGGAAGGTCTCCAATCTGATGGTGTTATTGATGATGCATTTGCCTTGTGGCTACAGGACTCAACACAGACATTGCAATGTATTACAGAACTGTTCAGCCATTTTCAGCGTTGTACAGCCAGTGAAGAAACAGACCATTCAGATCTCTTGGGAACCCTGCACAATCTTTATTTGATTACTTTTAATCCTGTGGGAAGATCAGCTGTTGGCCATGTTTTTAGTCTGGAGAAAAATCTCCAAAGTCTTATTACTCTAATGGAGTACTATTCCAAAGAAGCCTTGGGGTAATTTCCTACTTACTCCTTAAATTTTCTATGATGTTAGAAAATCAGATTAACTAATGGTCTAGTTTCTTAAAAGAAGGTGTTATTTTGAGAGGGAAAAACTATAGTTTTGATATAACACAAAACTTGTTAATTAAAGGTTAGAGTGACAGAAATCTCTAAAATATAAGATGTGGCTATAAAGTAATACAGTGGACTCTTTAGCACCTTCCTTCAGTTAACCCATGGTGTTAAAGATTGCAACTGTAGTACCCCCTGCTGTTTTATGCAGAGGGGAATTCTAAGGCACAGGAATACGTACCTTAAGGTATATATTCCTTTTATTCCTCTTACACTTTCTTGCTGGCTCCTGCCCTTGCATTCTAAACCATGCTCTGGATTCAGAATTGCTTTGACTAGATGGGTAAATTGAGAATGATAATGGTTTGAAGAGCCTTCTTGGTAAGGCAGAGGGTTTTATTATATGAGAAGAAAGACATGCCTTATTTCTGGTTCATGTCACACAAGGCAAATGGCATCCAGATAACTGCCCTCACTATGAGGACTGGGTGTATAACTCCTTGAGTGACAGATCTTTTGTGGGGTGCTTATGAAAAGCAAACAGCAATGACTTTCATGCCTAGCTGTATCTTAACAGGTTTATAGTGGAATACTGAGTGTTGAAGGCAGGTGATCATACTCGTTCCTATTTATCCAGATTGGACAAATATTTTGAAGGAGACTAATGAAGTATACTTCCTAACCTTTCATTACTAATGAAGTATACTTGTTAATATTTCATTGTTTTTCTGATCTTATTTCTTAATAGAATTTTACTTTCCATGGTGATATGTATGCTTTTTTATATACTTTTAAGTAAAGTAATGGTTTCAGGTGAATTGGATATGAACTGTAAAATCTGATTTCTTGTCTTCAGACAGTTAGTCATGTTTTATTGTAAATGTCCTTGATCTCTTTAAAGCCAAGTAGAAGAAAATTTTTAAAAATTGTTCCTAAAAAATTGTTTTTGTATCCAAAACTTAAAAACCTTATTTTGTTTCAGTGATTCCAAATCTAAGAAGTCAGTAGCTTATAATTACGCATGCATACTTATTTTGGTGGTGGTTCAGTCTTCCAGTGATGTTCAAATGCTAGAACAACATGCAGCATCTCTCTTGAAGCTTTGTAAAGCAGATGAAAATAATGCTAAATTGCAAGGTATGGTACTTAAAGTTATTTTAAGCATTTGTAATATGTGAAGGAACAAACCTTTGAATATCTGTAATTAGTCCTTCATCATGTTTCGATAATATACCTAGTAATACTGTTTTTAACTTCCTGAAATTACTTTTTATGAAGACAGTTTATAAAAACTAAAGGTTGATAAAATGTTTTAGTATATAAACAAAATAGTTTTTACAAGTACCTTTTCTGGAAAGTCATGAAAATTGGTGGTTTGTTGAAATTTCTAATCAAAATGGAAGAGTTTAAAGACAAACTCAAGGCCGGGTGCGGTGGCTCATGCCTGTAATCCCAGCACTTTGGGAGGCCAAGGCGGGTGGATCACCTGAGGTCAGGAGTTCAAGACCAGCGTGACCAACAAGGTGAAACTCCATCTCTACTAATAATACAAAAATTAGCTGGGCGTGCTGGCACACGCCTGTGGTTCCAGCTACTCGGGAGGCTGAGGCAAGAGAATTGCTTGAACCTGGGAGGTGGAGGTTGCACTGAGCCAAGATTGCACCACTGTGCTCCAGCCTGGGCAACAGAGCAAGACTCCATCTCAAAAAAAAGACTCAAAAGTTTAGTTTTGGGTATAGTTTTCCTTTGTGTGTTTTGCTGTGTATGTATTTCTACATAAAACACAAACTACAACTTAGAAATCTAGTTGTGGAGTAACACATTTGTGCTATCCTCAAAAGTAAATAATAGTAAATATGAATATTATTTTTTAAAGTATATAAATGTGTATCGAATGACATTTATGGGAAACCTTATGTGGGCAGCCTTGACAAGTTTAATATACCTAATCATAAGTTTTAAATTATTTTATTTTGGTTCCTCGTTTTCTGACCTTATCAAGTAGAAAATTTGATAACGTTGAGTAAATATTGTAAAAATGCTTTAAAATAGCATGTGGCCTCTTCTTTTCTTTTTAATCCTAAATTTTACTTGTGATAGCTCCAGTAAAAGTTGGGTAGTAAACTCAACTTCCCATTCTGGGAATAGATTTTTTTCCTGAAGAATGCGTTTATAAAAGGAGGGCACACAGTGTCTTCAAAGGTATTATTAGTGCTTTAGTACTTTTTCTGGGTGTTGGGTATTCTGGTATTTGTTTTATTATTATTTCTTATATCTTTGAGCTATATATTCTATATATAAGAAAGATTTAATTTTAAAATGCATGGGGAAAATTGTACAGCTGTAATTCTGGTGGAGGAGTGTAGAACCAAGGAAAGACCTGGCTACTATTTTCTATTTCCTATATGGCATCTGGAACTGGTATTTCACTTTTTACATTGGAGTGCTTTTCTAGAAACATTTTTGGTGATAGAATATAGGAGTTATGGTATAGCTTCTGGGAGAGTTTTGAGTTTGTTTGCAGTAAATGGCAGATTGTATTTGTGTTTATTCTATAAACAAAGTTTGCTGTCATTCTTTTGGGGTGATAGTAATTTTATAAAGGCAAATTTGGAAGTTGACAGAATTAAAATTTCATGTTAGAGGAAAAGGCACTCAGCAAAATATCTCCCCTTGGGTTTCATTCCTTTAGAAATTAATAAATTTTGTTTATACTTTTTTTGGGTGGGTGTGAGAGGCAGTGGCAGAGATAGGTGAATAAACACTATGTTACATTAATTTATAAGCAGTCTATTTTGTAGGTATGTACATTTTTTTTGAGACAGAGTCTCGCACCGTCTCCAGGCTGGAGTGTAGTGGTGTGATCTCGGCTCACTGCAACTTCCTCCTCCCGGGTTCAAGTGATTCTTCTGCCTCAGCCTCCCTAGTAGCTGGGACTACAGGTGCGTGCTACCATGCCCAGCTAGTTTTTGTATTTCTAGTAGGGACTAAAGTAGGGATGGGGTTTCACCATGCTGGCCAGGATGGTCTCCATCTGTCGATCTCGTGATCCACCCGCCTCAGCCTCCCAAAGTGCTGGTATTACAGGCGTGAGTCACCACGCCCAGCCCTATTTTGTAATTTTTTAATGTTGTAAATTGTTATAAAAATTCATTTTAATTATATAGACTATTTAAGCATGTAAACATCTAAATTTGCATAAACCAGATAACTAAGAGTAGGCATTTCTTTCATTTTAAAACTAAATTGTTTAAGCTGGGCGCGGTGGCTCACACTTGTAATTCCAGCACTTTGGGAGGCTGAGGTAGGTGGATCACTTGAACCCAGGAGTTTGAGACCAGACTGGGCAACATGGTGAAACCCCATCTCTACAAAAAATACAAAAATTAGCCAGATGTGGTAATGCACGCCTGTAGTCCTAGCTACTTTGGAGGTTGAAGCAGGAGGATTGATTGAGTTGAGGAAGCTGAGACTGCAGTGAGCCGTGATCACACTGTTGCACTTCAGCCTGGGCAACAGAATGAAAAACTTGTTTAAAGAATTAGATACAAGTTGTAATCCCAGCACTTTGGGAGGCTGAGGCGGGCGGATCACGAGGTCAGAAGTTCGAGACCAGCCTGGCCAACGTGGTGAAACCCCGTCTCTGCTAAAAATACAAAAATCGGCCAGGTGTGGTGGCAGGCGCCTGTAATCCCAGCTACTCGGGAGGCTGAGGCAGGAGAATTGCTTGCATCTAGAAGGCAGAGGTTGCAGTGAGCCGAGATTACGCCCTTTGTACTCCAGCCTGTGCAACAAGAGCGAAACTCCGTCTCAAAAAAAAAAAAAAGAATTAGATGCATGTCCATCCCTGCATGAAGTTTAGATGATTGAAATCAACATGGACCTAATAATGATTTTCTTTGGAAAAAATATTTACTTTCTTTGTTATAAAGCCTTCTATTTTTAAATATTATAAATTATTTTTCTTTTTAAGAACTTGGCAAGTGGCTTGAACCTCTGAAAAACCTTAGATTTGAAATTAACTGCATCCCAAACTTAATTGAGTATGTTAAGCAGGTAAGTGTAAAACTTAAAAGTGCTTTGACTTTTTGAAACTGTGTGGTAGTACATGGTGATACTGCATTGAATCACTTGTGTAGATAATGTAGACATTGTTAAGTGTCCTTGATTGATTTATTAGACTTTGTAGGTACAGGTTGGTATATGCATATAGATGGACGTGCGATTATATGCATATGTGAACACACGTGCACATAACCCTGTGTACTGTACTACTTTTCACTACTGGATTCTGTCCTATTTTTTCCCTCTGAAATGGAAATAGTATCACCTACCATCTTGATGACATTTATAAGTGTTTTAAATGCTGTAGTCATGTAACATATAACTGTTTAGCTAAACTTTAATTTCTGAAAAAGAATTTCACTCAAAATATTTAGGTGAAAATTGATAGGGCCCATTCCAGATAATTGCAGTGGAGGCAAGTTCTCTTTGTTAATTTGGTATGGTTGAATCTGCAGTTGAAATAATTCATAACAGTTAAAATTCCTAAGACTCATAATGCAGTTTTAAAATTTTATATTCAATTTAAATAATTCATAATGAAAAAAATTACAGCAGTGTTTATTAGTCTTGGAAGTTTTTTCATCTCTGTTCCTTAGTCGAGCCATCGTGTAGCATAGGAAGAAGGTTAGAAGCACTCATATACACATAAAAAGTTCAAGTTAGAAGAGCAGAATGGACCTTGAATTATCTCTCTCATTTCGCAGGTGAAATCTGTGCGTGAGTGTGTGCGCACACGCATGCATGCACGTGTGTTTGCGTGTGTGTGTGTGAGAGAGAGAGAGTATATAAGCCATCTTGGTTTTGGAATTGCAGTGTATATTATTAAAATAATTTTTGTATATTGTTTAATTTGTTGCTGTTGGGACCCACAGCAAAGTGTTTTTTGGGTTTATCTGCTTCAGATTTTTCTTTACTGATTTCTCTGCCTTTGTCTTCTTGTACTCCAACTCTCCTAAGAGTACTTTTACTTCCTATGGTGCCATCATATTCTTCCGTGTTCTTACTCTGAGCCTCAAATGACATCTAGAACTTTTCATTACATTTTCTTTTATTTAGGAGAAGTACAATTAATATCCTGTAAATTTAGATGGTCATGTATTCTGGGTACTTGTGCATGGTTGAGTGAGTATTAACAAGATGTTCAATAAATGGCGATGGTTTGAGTAAAATTATTTAATCAGTAAGAAATTTAGTTCTAGAAATGTGAATTACATGCTGTAGTTAAGAGTTGATTTTTATGTAAATCTTTATCCCATTAATTATGATATTATAAGTGGTTCTCATCCCAACATGGTCTATAAAAAGTTGATCCAAGACTGAAACTTCACTCTGTGTCTCCCTGCTGCCTTATGTAATTTGTGGAATTACAAGGAAAAGGATTAGAATAAAAGAAAAGCTAAAATGAGGTAGTAACTTTTTTTTTTTTTTTTTTTTGGTCTAGACTCTACTATGAGCTAAGAGATAGTAACGTTTTTTGAATGTTATTTCTTCCAAGGTTTTTTTGTTTTGTTTTGTTTTGTTTTGAGATGGAGTCTTGCTCTGTCGCCCAGGCTGGAGTGCAGTGGCTCAATCTCAGCTCACTGCAACTTCCATCTTCCAGATTCAAGCAATTCCCTGCCTCAGCCTCCCAAGTAGCTGGGATTACAGGCACGTGCTACCACGCTTGGCTAATTTTTGTATTTTTAGTAGAGACAAGGTTCCACAATGTTGGCCAGGCTGTTTTCAAACTCCCAACCTCAGGTGATCCACCCGCCATGGCCTCCCAAAGTGCTGTGATTACAGGCATGAGCCACCACACCCAGCCCCAAGTTTTTAAACAATTGATAATGCTGTTCTGTGAAAGCTAAGAAAACTGAAACATAACTATTTGTTACCTAGAAACATAGCATAGGCAGGTGCTAAGGACATAGGCAATTGTATTTGTTTTTCCTCTAACCTGTGCCCCACCTGGCTACAATACTAGACTCTGTTGGTATCTGCATTTAAAAAAATGTATGCCATGTAGGCCAGAAACATTCCTTGCTGCTTCCTCACTTTTGAATGAAGTTTAGTACTCAAAGCGCTTTTTATTTTTATTTTTTTTGAGACAGGGTTTCACTGTGTCACCCAGGCTGGAGTGCAATGGCACAATCACAGTTTACTCTAGTCTTGACCTCCCAGGCTAAAATGATCCTTCCACCTCAGCCTCCTGAGTAGCTGGGACTATAGGCACGCACCGTCATGCCTGGCTGATTTTTTAATATTTTGTAGAGGCAGGGTCTCACTATGTTGCCCAGGTTGGTCTCTAACTCCTGGGCTCAAGCAATCCTTCCACCTCAACCTCTCAGAGTGCTGGAATTATAGGTGTGAGCCACTGCACTCAGCCTCCACAGGACTTTTTAAATATAGTCATTGCTTCATTTTTGGCAGAGAAGATGTATGAAAAGAGTATATAGAAAGTAGCCATTGTAAACTCTTAATACAGGGAGTTTCATACATTTCTTTATGTTATCTTTGTTCTAGTTGATTCTTTTCAGTGAATTTGTGCATTACAGTTCTTTTTATTTACATAATATTGTATATAGTACAACATATGCCAGAGATCAAATAATCTTGATAAATTCATTTAACTCTAGGGCCTTGTTCATGTTTTAAATTTACTTAATAAATATAAAATATTGTATGTTCTTAACTTGAAGCTCATATTTTCAAGTAATTCCTTGTCTGGAATTTTCTGTTGATCTCATGGGTACTAAGAAACGAAATATTCTGTTCATTTTCATTTTTAAAGAATATCGATAACTTGATGACCCCAGAAGGAGTTGGCCTTACCACTGCCTTACGTGTTCTCTGTAATGTTGCATGCCCACCACCTCCTGTTGAAGGTAATGTGGCTACTGTATTTTAAAAACTACGATTCTTAAGCCTAGAATAAATATCATTTATTAAATATTTAGTTAATTATTAAACATCATTTATTTAATAATGAAAAATATCATTTTAAATTAAAGTAATTAAATATTTGTCATAATAAAAATCATTTATTATAAATATAATTATCATAAATATTAAATATTCACTTTAATAATTCTTAATCAGTTATTAACATATAAGTAATTAGTTTTGTTTCTTTTTCTTATCCTATATAAAGGTCAACAGAAAGATCTGAAATGGAATCTTGCCGTTATTCAGCTTTTTTCTGCTGAAGGAATGGACACGTTTATTCGAGTTCTGCAAAAATTGAACAGTATTCTGACTCAGCCTTGGAGGCTCCATGTCAACATGGGGACTACCCTTCACAGAGTTACTACTATTTCAATGGCTCGCTGCACACTCACTCTTCTTAAAACTATGTTAACGGAACTCCTGAGAGGTGGATCCTTTGAGTTTAAGGACATGCGTGTTCCTTCAGCGCTTGTTACTTTACATATGCTCCTGTGCTCTATCCCCCTCTCAGGTCGTTTGGATAGTGATGAACAGAAAATTCAGAATGATATCATTGATATTTTACTGACTTTTACACAAGGAGTTAATGAAAAACTCACAATCTCAGAAGAGACTCTGGCCAATAATACTTGGTCTTTAATGTTAAAAGAAGTTCTTTCTTCAATCTTGAAGGTTCCTGAAGGATTTTTTTCTGGACTCATACTCCTTTCAGAGCTGCTGCCTCTTCCATTGCCCATGCAAACAACTCAGGTATCACTTCCATATAACATGCATCTTATAAATGACTGCAGTAACACTTTTTAAAAAGCCAGTGATTTTGTTAAAAAACAAAAACCCTCATCTCCCTTCCTCCCAAAAAGACATAAAATAACCGGATGAGGGGGAGATAAAACTGAAACAAGTTGGTCATTGAGGAAATATGGGGGTAACATTTTAAATAAATTTTTGTTAAAGTGAGTTTTATTTTGCTGTTATGTATGTTTGTACTTACATTTTTCTGTTATTTTAAATCCTTTCCCCCACACCTTACCATGTGTTAGAATTTGCCAATAACTAGATTGCTTCACCAATGGACTCTGCTCAACTAACTGCTAACCTGAGAACAATAAGATTTTTTAGACTCATTGAATTCAAGCAAATGTTTAACTGTATAATAGAAAATTAAATGTTTTAAGCATGCAGTAAAAATGTTCTTTTCATAACATTTCTTCCTGAACAGTTTTTGTGACTATAAATAAATATTAAAAAATCTACGTACACACACATTATACTTTTTTAACAGGTTATTGAGCCACATGATATATCAGTGGCACTCAACACCCGAAAATTGTGGAGCATGCACCTTCATGTTCAAGCAAAGTTGCTCCAAGAAATAGTTCGCTCTTTCTCTGGCACAACCTGCCAGCCCATTCAACATATGTTACGGCGTATTTGTGTTCAATTGTGTGACCTTGCCTCACCAACTGCACTTCTGATTATGAGAACTGTGTTGGATTTGATTGTAGAAGACTTGCAAAGGTATTTTCATTTTGCATTAAAAATTTTTTCCTCAAATTATTTTTGACACATATATTTTTTCCCTTACAATTTGGAAACTAGGGTTTGGAATGCCCAGATAACATATATACATGTAAATATACACATATACCTACATATGCACACATATGAATATATGAATACTTGTAGACTTTTAAAATTAGAAAGCTTTATTTCATCATTTCATGTGCAAGATATCTTGAAGGTCTTGATTTGGGATTTTCAAATGGTGAATCCTAAAGAAGTACTCTGATTTAAGAAAATATATTATTAGAAACCTGAATTTATAAAATTTTTGCAGTCATTGTAAAATTCCAGAGAATTTGTCATTATACCCAAGGAATTAAATGTTTTATGCAAAATTTGTGTAAGTTGATGTGTATTGAGAAATAAATACTAGTTAAACAATGCCTTAAGGTCAAGAACTTTGTTTACTAAATGTATCGATTTTATTTCAGCACTTCAGAAGATAAAGAAAAACAGTATACTAGCCAAACCACCAGGTTGCTTGCTCTTCTTGATGCTCTGGCTTCACACAAAGCTTGTAAATTAGCTATTTTGCATCTAATTAATGGAACTATTAAAGGTGATGAAAGATATGCAGAGATATTCCAGGATCTTTTAGCTTTGGTGCGGTCTCCTGGAGACAGTGTTATTCGCCAACAGTGTGTTGAATATGTCACATCCATTTTGCAGTCTCTCTGTGATCAGGTATTTATAGTTATTTTATAAAGTCTCTCTCTGCATGTGTATGTGTGTGTGTGTGTGTGTGTATTTAAGCATCTTGATGTAAATTTTGGCTGTGAATGAACAGCTGTCATCTATGTTTTATTATTCCTGCTGTTGTTCATGGGTTCTCTGAAGAGCTTTTTTCTTTCCTTTATAAGATCATAACCTTGGGTAATTGCTTTATGTGCCAGTGTTTCCGTATTTTTTAGGGTCTAATTCATTTTCCTTCCAATTACGTTACACACCAAGTCATTCTTTTTTTTTTTTTGAGATGGGGTCTCATTCTGTCGCCCAGGCTGGAGTGCAATGGCGTGATCTCAGCTCACTGCAGCCTCTGCCCCACTGGGTTCAAGTGATTCTCCTGCCTCAGCCTCCTGAGTAGCTGGGATTACAGGCACACACCACCACACCTGGCTAATTTTTGTATTTTTAGTAGAGACAGGGTTTCACCGTGTTGGTCAGGCTGGTCTTGAACTCCTGACCTCAGGTGATCCACCTGCCTCGGCCTCCCAAAGTGCTGGGATTACAGACGAGAGCCACCATGCCTGGCTACACCAAGTCATTCTTAAATTTCATAGCTTGGTTGAATTAATATGTTCTCTTGTTGGGGCAATCTTTGAAGGCTACTACACTTTTAGTGTGTTTCAGACTACTTTGCTTATAGATGTTGGCTAAAGTAGTAGTATTTTTTCCTGTTGTCTGTATTATTGACTTCCAGTTTATAGTTTCATGGGTTAATGAGAATTGTTTTAGCTTTTAAAGCCCATTATGATTGAGATCTTTGGAGATTTCTATGCCTAATGGCATTTTAGCTTGTCAGAATGCTCTTGCTAAGTGGTCATCAAATGTGATTTTTTTTTTTCAGGCAGAATAGAGTCCCATGTTGGAAGACTGTCTTTTTCTACCTTAACAAATATTCAGTTTGGTTACATTTAAGACTCAGGTCAAGAAAGAACTTTTTTTTTTTTTTGTATGACTTGTTTTCACAAAGAAGGGGACCTGGTAGAAAGGGTATTCTAAGTCCTTGTACCTCAAAGTGTCCATTTGGTTGGTATTTCTTGTATAATCCACTTTGGGTTGCATGACTACATTGAATAGCGCTGTGGCATCCTAGCTGCCTTGGTCACACGAATCTCATTGATGGCCTCACTTTGCTGTGTTTTCCTTCTGATTCGAGCCTTGTTGTATAGTTTAAGCCAAGTTGAATACGAGTTTGCAGTATATTGAAGTAATTAAAGATGATAAAACATAATGAAAAATGCTCTTGTAAAATTTAGTTTACTTCTGGCCGGGCATGGTAGCTCACGCCTGTAATCCTAGCACTTTGGGAAGCTGAGATGGGTGGATCACGAGATCAGGAGTTTGAGACCAGCCTGGCCAATATGGTGAAACCCCATCTCTACTACAAAAAAACTAGCTGGGCGTGGTGGCATGCATCTGTAGTCCCAGCTACTTGGGAGGCAGAGGCAGGAGAATTGCTTGAATCTCATAGTAGGCCTAGGTTGCAATGAGCCGAGATTGCGCCACTGCACTCCTGGGCAATAGAGGGAGACTTCGTCTCAAAAAAAAATTCAGTTTACTTCTATAAAGAGTAGCAGGAGTTTTTAGAGTTATCATTAGCTAAACTTGCTTAGCATTGGAAAACTTGAATTTAGAAGTATATATATATACTTATATATATACACATATATACATATATACACATATGTATATACATATATACACATATACACATATGTACATACATATATACACATACATATATACATATATATACATATATACATGTATATATATAAAGTAGAGGGAAATATTTGATTGAAAGACTGTGTTTAAATGTTCATCTCCTCTATCCATCCAACTTTCTGATATTTTAAATTGCAGGGGGCTTTTTGTTTTTTTGTTTGTTTGTTTTTGAGATGGAGTCTGGCTCTGTTGCCCAGACTGGAGTGCAGTGGCACAGTCTTGGCTCAGTGCAACCTCCGCCTCCTGGGTTCAAGTGATTCTTCTGCCTCAGCCTCCCAGTAGTTGGGATTACATGTGTGTGCCACCATGCTTGGCTAATTTTTGTATTTTTGGTAGAGAGGGTGTTTCACCATGTTGGCCAGGCTCGTCTTGAACTCCTGGCCTCAGGTAATCCACTTGCCTTGGCCTCTGAAAGTGCTGGGATTACAGGTGTGAGCCACTGTGCCGAGCCTTAAATTGCAGTATTAATGTATATTAAACTTTATTTCTGGCTGGGCACAGTGGCTCATGCCTGTAATCCCAGCACTTTGGGAGGCCGAGGCAGGTGGATCACCTGAGGTCAGGAGTTCAAGACCAGCCTGACCAACATGGAGAAACCCCGTCTATACTAAAAATACAAAATTAGCCGGGTGTGGTGCTGCATTCCTATAATCCCAGCTACTCGGGAGGCTGAGGCAGGAGAATTGCTTGAACCTGGGAGGCGAAGGTTGCAGTGAGCCGAGATCATGCCATTGTACTCCAGCCTGGGCAACAAGAGTGAAACTCCGTCTCAAAAAAAAAAAAAAAGAAAAACTTTATTTCTCTGAAAAGTTTCTTTATAAACCAAAAAAGATACAAATGAATAAATAATACAGTAAGTTAATTATTTTAGTACAAAATACTTTTTACCTTTAACCTATTGAAAACAGAAACTATACTTACTGCAATACTGAAAGAAAAAAAATTTGAAAGATGTTGTTTTAAAGTAAAAGTAAATCAAAATATTTAAATATTTATTCCTTTAGGTGTGTATCCTTGTATTAACTTTTTTAAAAGGGAAAAGTAATTTCATTATTCTTAATGTGTTTATATGTTTGGGATGGGACAGTAGCAACAATATTTTAATGAGATAGTTATTGAATATTAATTGCTATGTATTTCTCAAAAGTGCTAAGTGATGGTGATAATTATTTAAAAAATCGATTTTTTTTTCCCTGCTCCCCACAGGACATTGCACTTATCTTACCAAGCTCTTCTGAAGGTTCTATTTCTGAACTGGAGCAGCTCTCCAATTCTCTACCAAATAAAGAATTGATGACCTCAATCTGTGACTGTCTGTTGGCTACGCTAGCTAACTCTGAGAGCAGTTACAACTGTTTACTGACATGTGTCAGAACAATGATGTTTCTTGCAGAGCATGATTATGGATTATTTCATTTAAAAAGGTAATGATTTGTCTAATTTAATATACTCTCAGATTTAATTTTTTCATTCTGTCACTGCTCCTTCACCCCACATTAATTCATACCTATTGTAGAAAGTTGAAGAAATGATTTCTTTCGTGGGAGAAATTTTGTGTGTATGGAAAAGATTAATTAGCAATGAAAGGTCATGCTAATAATAGAATCTTTTGGATTAAAGATATAAAATGAATAGATACACAAATTACTGTGGGCATGGTACAGTATCTGGAAGGAAATCTCACTGTTCCAGGGATGGTAATTCATGCCTTAAGGTCTTTGTTTCGTTGTTGTATCCTCAGAAGTGATGGATGCTAGAGGGATTTTATAGACCTTAAAGCTAAAATGCAGATTCTGTGTACAGTTCCTCAGTATCTATGGGGAATTGGATACCAAAATCTACAGATGCTCAAGTCCATTATATAAAACGGTACAGTATTTCTCTTGTATACTTGAAATCACCTTAGATTACTTATAATACCTAATAATACAGTGTGAATGTTATGTAAATAATTTTTTGCTGTATCTTAAAATTTGTATTTTTTTATTCATATTGTTATTTATTTATTTATAATATTTTCATTCCATGGTTGGTGGAATCCGTGGATGCAGAATCCATGGGTATGGAGAGCTGACCATATTTTGTTTTCTAGAGGAATGGCTGGGACAAAATTAATCTGAAATTATATAAATAGCTGAGCATGGTGGCTCATACCTATAATTTCAGCACTTCAAGAGACTGAGGTGGGAGGATCACTTGAGCCCAGTAGTTCAAGAGTTCAAGTTTAGCCTGGGCAACATAGGGAGACTTATCTCTATAAAAAAAATTTACAAATTAGTTGGGCATGATGGCACACACCTGTAGTCCCAACTACTTGGGAAGCTGAGGTGGGAGGATTGCTTGAGCCTGGGAGGTCAAGGCTGCAGTGATCATGCCGCTGCAGTGATCATGCCACTGCAGTCTAGTCGGGGCAACAGAGGGAGACCTTGTCTCAAAAAAAAAGAAAAAGAAATGATATAAACCTCAGACTGCTCACTGTCTCAAGTATAATTTCTACTCTAATTTTTCTGCCGATGCCCTGATGTTTTTATTTGCTGGGAGAAGGAAGAGGGAAGATACCTGGCTAGTACTTATATTTATTAAACTACATGGGATTATGAGATAGTAAGGAGGAGGAAACATACTTTTGCCTCTTTCTCATTAATTCTTGCAGCATTGGTTGAAAACTTACATTGCAGGTACTGTGTTTGGTGCTGGCTCTTCCTTTCTGCATCTCCTTGTCCTGATGTACCTGCATCTTCTGTATTCGCTCTCAGTTGATGGCACCTGCTTCACATCCATTCCTCATGCTCTGCCCCCATCCAGTCTCTCACCAAAGCCTTTAACCTTTTTCCTATTGCCAAGATATTTACTCCATGTCCTTTGAAACTCACCTCATACACTGCACTTCCAAAAAAGCCAAAAAGCTTTCCTAGTTGGGTTAGGTACTCCCACAAAGATTTTTTGTACACCTGTGCTATCGTATTATCTATGATTTTGTTGGGTTTCCTAGACTTAATGTTTCTGGTCCTTTTTTCTTATCTGTAACCTTGTCCTAAGTCCTCTTAACCTATTCCCTTTTTCCCTTTTAGCCCTTATCTCTCTGCTAAGCTCCAAGTAACCCATTAATCTACTTGACATTTCTACTTGACTATCTAATGGCATCTCATTAAGTCCTGTGGATTATTTCTCCAAAATACATCCTGAATCTGATCCCTCTTCTCCACCTCTGTAGCTATTACCTTTATCCAGGCCACTATCATTTCTTGCATAGCCCATTGCAATAGCCTCCTAATTGGTCTCCTTGCTTCCACCATTTGGCTCTCTAAAATTCGTTCTCTCAGAAGCCAAAGTAATCTTTTAAAACTTAAAACCGGATTTCTGCTGAAATCCTTCTAATGGTTTCCTATTGTACCTCAATTAAAATCCAAACTCTCTATAATGATCTGTAAGGCTCACCAGGATATTAAAAACCCTTGAACAAAGATGAAGACCTGAAAGAGGTGAGGAACAAAACATGGTAATATCCTGGGGAGAACAATTGCAAAAGCATGCTTCATATGTCTGAGAAACAGCTCTGAGGCCACAGTGAGAGCCCTCAGAGTGAGCAAGGAGAAAAATGATAGGATGTCTGGTTATGGAGGTAATGGGGGTACAGAATGGGAGAAAGATCATCAAGGGCCTTTAGGCTTATGATACGGGCCATTGTCAGGTTTTAAGCAGAGATACAGCATGACCTGGGTTTTTTTTTTTTTAATTTTATTTTTTGTTGAGATGGAGTCTTGCTCTATCGCCCGGGTTGGAGTGCAGTGGCACAATCTCAGCTCACAGCAACCTCTGCCACCCGGGTTCATGTGATTCCCCTGCCTCAGCCTCCCAAGTAGCTGGGACTACAGGCATGCACCACCACACCCAGTTAATTTTTTGAATTTTTAGTAGAGAGCGGGTTTCACCATGTTGGCCAGGCTGGTCTTGAACTCCTGACCTCAGGTGATCCTCCTGCCTTGGCCTCACAAAGTGTTGGAATTACAGATGTGAGCCACTGTGCCCAACCTGTTTTTTTTTTGTTTTTTTGGTTTTTTTAAATTAACAGGTCACCATATACTTTTTCTTATATAGTCCTGTGGCAGGTTACACTTTTTTAAAAAGTTTTTTTGGAGATAATTTTAGACTTTCAGAAGAATTGCAAAAATAATAGTGTAGTGTTCAGGTGTGCCCTTCACCCACCTTACACTTGTATTATCCTCTTACATAACTGTATAATACTTACCAAAACTAAGAAATTAATGTTGTCATACTACTATTAACTAACATACAGATTTTATTTGAATTTTCTATTACTATGTTTTTTCCTGTTCCAGGATCCAATGTAAGATCTTACATTGCATTGCATCCTTTGTCTCCCCTTTCCTTATCTTTCATGACCTTGACATTTTTGGAGAGTACTGCTCACTTGTTTTGTAGAATGTCCCTCAATTTGAGTTTGTCTGATATTTTCTCATAATTAGATTGACATTATTCTTTGTTGATAGGGATATTACAGAGGCAATGTGCCTTTTTCAGTGCATCATATAAGGAAATACATGATGTTTCTATATATTACTGATGATACTGACCTTGATCACTTGGCTGAAGTGCTATCTTCTAGGATTCTGCACTGAAAACTTATTAATTTCCCATTTTTAATTACTAAATATTTTGGAGACTATACTTTGAGATATTATGATATCCACATATCCTATTTATGCCAAAAACTTTCATCCACCATTTTTAGTATCTGTCAGTGTAGATCTTGGCAAGATATGGCAGTTATTACTGTGGTGGTGTAATGGTGATTTTCTATTCCCTTCATTCCTTTTTACTTACTAATTTTCCTTCCATAAGGAAGAGTTGTTGCTTCTCCTGCATTGGTTTATCCAGATATTTATATCAGTGTGAATTCATAGACATTAATTTTTTTCATTGTATATAATTCAATACTATCCTTACTTATTTTGTTGTTCATCTTATTCCAACTCTGGCCACTAGGGATCTTTCAGGTTGGCTTCTGTGCCCTTTTCATATGCTCTTGACTTTTTTAATTTATATATTTGTAAAATTTTACTTTAAGTTCTGGGATACATGTGCAGAACGTTCCGGTTTGTTACATAGCTCTGACTTAAAAAAAAATTTTTTAAGTACTTCCTATTGCTAGTACTACAAGGTGTTCCAGGATCAGCTTGTATTTTCCCTGTTCCAGCCAAGATGGACTTGTTCTCCAAGGAGCCCCTGGTTCCTTTTATTGGAGAATATTTAGAAACCAGGATCTGGGCTCTGGGTGTGTTTATTGCTCTTAGGATGTCACTGATTTTGGTGTGTCTCATTGGATAGAGCTGGGAAATATACGTATGTGTCCTAATTCATCACACATTTACATACATTTACTTTCTTTTTACATTTTATCTACATAAAACAGATACATATTTTAAAATTAATTTATTTAAATATTAAAAGTTTTAATTATAAAATTTATTTTAAAACAATAAATTTATTAATTTATATATATGTTTTTGAGAAAATTAATTCATACTAATACTTGGTGGGTGTTTTTGTCTGTTTGTTTGTTTTGAGATAGGGTCTAACTCTGTTGCCTAGGCTGGAGTGCAGTGGCATGATCTCGGCTCACTGCAGCCTTCGCCTCCCGGGCTCAAGCACTTCTCCTGATCCTCCTTCATTTGCATGAAAAAGACATTTCATGCAACTTAAAAAAGACAAAGAGGGATATTATATAATAATAAAAGGCCTTGTCCAATAGGAAAATATTACAATCCTAAACATATATGCACCTAACACTGGAGCTTTGAAATTTATAAAACAATTAATCATAGACCTAAGAAATAAGATAGACAGCAACACGATAATAGTGGGGGACCTCAATACTCCACTGAAAGCATTAGAGAGGTCATCAAGATAGAAACTCAACAAAGAAACAATAGATTTGAACTATACCTTGGAACAAACGGACTTAACAGTTAGATACAGAACATTCCATCCAACAACCACAGAATATACATTCTACTGAATAGTGCATGGAAATTTCGTGCACTGCCTCAACCTTCCAAGTACTACTACAGGCACAAGCCACCATGCCTGGCTAATTTTTGTATCTTTTGTAGAGCCGGGGTTTCAGCTGGTGCCCAGGCTGGTCTCGAACTCCTGGGCTCAAGTGATCCACCTGTCTCTGCCTTCCAAAATGCTGGGATTATAGGTGTGAGCCACCACACCTGGCCCATACTAATACTTTGACTTTGATCCAGTACCAGAAGTGAATTCTAGCCTTTTCCCTTTCTTGATTATTTTATTCTCTAACAGTGAGAAATTCAGCTCTCATTATCTATATTTGCTTATTTGTTTAGCCCTAGTTTACAAATGAAGTAGCAGTCTCAAACTCATTACTAAACCATACTCCTGTGGGAAACAAATTGAGCAATCGGAGTACAGTGTTGTATATGGTTCTTTTTGTCTTTAGCCTTAGTGTATCCAGTCAAAAAACTGTTTTTCAGTTATTTATGTCAGCTTATTTCTTCCCTGTCTCCTTCAGTTTGGTTATATGGTTCATTTGTAATATAGTTAGATTCATTGGTCATAGTCTGCATTCTTATTTTTTCCCTCATATCCTTATTGGTTGTTTTTTTTTTTTTTTTTTTTTTGAGATGGAATCTCGCACTGTCCCCTGGGCTGGAGTGCAATGGTGCGATCTCGGCTCACTGCAACCTGCGCCTCCTGGGTTCAAGTGATTCTCCTGCCTCAGCCTCCCGAGTAGCTGGGATTACAGGCGCCTGCCACCATGCCTGGCTAATTTTTTGTATATATTTTGTTTTTTTAGTGGAGACAGGGTTTCACTATGTTGGCCAGGCTGGTCTCGAACTCCTGACTTCGTGATCCACCTGCCTCGGCCTCCCAAAGTGCTGGGATTACAGTCATGAGCCACTGCGCCCAACCCCTTGTTGATTTTTTAAAAAATTATATCTAGTCAAATTTATGTTTTATGGTGTACAGTTCTATGTGTTTTGACAGATGCTTAGAGTCATGTAGTTCTTATCGGTGACTAATTTTCTAGCAATCTGGGTTGTTTTCAAATTTTGGTGGTTATGAATAAAGCTTTGCACACAGGTTTTTGTGTGAATCTCAGTTTTCATTTCTCTTGGGTAGACACTTAGGAGTGGGGTTACTGGGTTGTATGATAGGTGTGTGTGTTTAACCTTAAAAGAAACTACCGGAGACTCCGTCTCAAAAAAAAAAAAAAAAAAGAAACTACCGAACTGTTTTCCAAAGTAGAGATACCATTTTTCATTCCCACTAGCAGTGTATTAGAGCCCCAGTTGCTCCTCATCCTCCCCAGAACTTGGTATTGCAAGTTTTTAAATGTTAGGCATTCTAATAGGTCCCCAGCTTTTGATAGACCACGGAAGTATGACTCACTTAAAGATTGTGTGTAGTGGTTAGTAATGGGTGTAGTCCAATTTTGAACCCATGCTTTTTCCATTAACATTTTTATTTTTGAATTTAATCTATTTCTCTTTGTTGTTGCCCAGGCCTAGTGCAGTGGCACAATCTCGGCTCACTGCAACCTCCGTCTCCTGGGTTCAAGTGATTCTCCTGCCTCAGCCTCCCCAGTAGCTGGGATTACAGGCGTGCACCACTACGCCTGGCAAATTTTTTATATTTTTAGTAGAGACGGGATTTTACTGTGTTAGCCAGGATGGTCTTGATCTCCTGACCTCGTGATCTGCCCGCCTCGACCTCCCAAAGTGCTGGGGTTACAGGTGTGAGCCACCGCGCCTGGCCAAAAGGTTTATAAATAGGGAACTGGCAAGTTTTCTGTGTTAAGTTTTTTTTTTTTTTTTTTTTTTGAGATGAAGCCTCACTCTGTCCTTCAAGCTGGAGTGCAGTGGCGTGATTTCGGCTCGCTGCAACCTCTGCCTCCCAATCGTTTAAGTGATTCTTCTGCCTCACCTCCTCCCGAGTAGCTGGGATTGCAGGTGTGTGCTGCCACCCCCCGTTAATTTTTGTATTTTTTTTTAGTAGAGACCGGGTTACCCTATGTTGGCCAGGCTGCTCTTAAACTCCTGACCTCAAGTGATCCACCACCTTCGGCCTCCCAAAGCGCCCGGATTACAGGCGTGAGCCACCACACCCAGCCTCTTGTGTTAAATTTTATAAAATGATTATTTGGGGGAATTTTTTTTTAAGATCTTGAAGCTTAGCTTTAAAAGGAGTTGGTAACTATTGACGGTTCTTTGTTATATTTGTGTACAAAGACACACCAAAGTACTTCTTAGCATTTTTAAAAATGATGGAGTAAGTTTTATTCTGTCTGAAGTGAGTTCATTTATCATACCAGTTTTATATGCTCATATTTTAAGATAATATCTTCTCTTTATTTTCTTTATTTACAGTTCTTTAAGGAAAAACAGTAGTGCTCTGCATAGTTTACTGAAACGAGTGGTCAGCACATTTAGTAAGGACACAGGAGAGCTTGCATCTTCATTTTTAGAATTTATGAGACAAATTCTTAACTCTGACACAATTGTAAGTATGTGTGTGTTTGTGTTTGTGTATATATGTATGTATGTATTTGGTGTTTCTTAAATTTGAAATCTTTGGCCAAGTACGATGGCTCACATCTGTAATCTCAGCACTCTGGTGGGCTGAGGTGGGAGGATCTCTTGGGGCCAGGAGTTTGAGACCAGCCTGGGCAAAATAGTGAGACCCTGTCTTGAAAAAAAGAGAAATACTTTGCCGTAAGTTAAATCACTTTATATATTAAATATCCAACATAAAAAAGATCACTTTAGTTCATTTTATTTTATTTTATTTTATTTTAGATAGAGTCTCACTCTGTCATCCAGACTGGAGTGCAGTAGCACAATCTCGGCTCACTGCAACCTCCACATACTGGGTTCAAGTGATTCTCCTGCCTCAGTCTCCTGAGTAGCTGGGATTACAGGCACCTGCCGCCATGCCCAGCTAATTTTTTGTACCTTTTTAGTAGAGATGGGATTTCACCATGTTGGCCAGGCTGGTCTTGAACTCCTGATCTTAGGTGATCTGCCCACCTCGGCCTCCCAAAGTGCTGGGATTACAGGCATGAGCTACCGCACCTGGCCAAGTGCTTTCATTTTAAAATAATTCTTAGATGAGTGTGGTGGCACGTGCCTCTAATCCCATCACTTTGGGAGGCTGTGGTAGGATCGCTTGAGCCCAGGAGTTTGAGATCAACCTGTACAACACAGCAAAACTCTGTCTCTAGAAACAACAAAAATTAGCCACACGTGGTGTGCCCACCAGTAGTCCCATCTATTTGAGAGGCTAAGATTGGAGGATAGCTTGAGTCCAGGAGTTGGAGACTGAACTTAGCTATGATTGTGTCACTGCAGTCTAGTCTAGGTGACAGAGCAAGACGCTGTCTCAAAAAAGAAAAAAATTTATGACATTGAGTTACCTTGCTAGGGCAACTCAGAATAATGAAGTTTTGTTAGTCTCTTTGTTATTTACTTATTTTTGTTACTTAATTTACTGATTGTTTTGGATGTTGTGATTTTGGGATAACTGTAAAGTTTATTATGCTTTAGTATTTTTGGTCTATCGTACAAATATGAATTAAAGATTATTTTCCCCACTCTAAAATCTTATTGTTAAAATTTAATTAAGATTTCTCTCATTAGTATTTTCCAAAGTCATGGTATATTATGAGCACAATTCCAGAAGCCATTAATATGCCTGCCTTACTTAGTTTGGTGGCATGTGCCTCTAGTCCCAGCTGCTCAGGAGGCGGAGTTGGGGAAATCACTTGAACCTATGAGTTCAAGGTTGCAGTGAGCTATGATCGTGCCAGTGTATTTCAGCTTGGATGAAAGAGTGAGACTCTCTTTCTCTCCCTGTTTTTTTCCTGAGACGAGGTCTCACTCTGGTGCCCAGGCTGGAGTGCAGTGGTGTGATCATGGCTCACTGCAGCCTTGACTTCCTTAGGCTCAGGTGATCCTTCCACCTCAGCCTCCTGAGTAGCTGGGACTATAGATGTGCACCATCACACCCGGCTAATTTTTGTATTTTTAGTAGAGATGGGATTTTGCCATGTTGCCCAGGCTGGTCTTGAACTCCTGGGCTCAAGCAATCCACCTGCCTCAGCCCCCAAAAGTGCTGGGATTAGAGGCATGAGCCACCATGCCTGGCCAACTCGTCTCTTAAAATAAGAAAAATAGGCCGGGCATGGTGGCTCACTCCTGTAATCCTAGCACTTTGGGAGGCCAAGGTGGGTGGATCACTCGAGGTCAGGAGTTCGAAACCAGCCTGGCCAACATGGTGAAACCTCGTCTCTACTAAAAATACAAAAAATTAGCTGGGCTTGGTGGTGGATGCCTGTATCCCAGTGCTTGAACCCCGGAGGCAGAGGTTGCAGTGAGCTGAGATTGCGCCATTGCACTCCAGCCTGGGCAACAAAGTGCGACTCCATCTCAAAAAAAAGAAAAAAAAAGAAAAAGAAAGAAAGAAAGAAAAACAGGTTAGGCAAGGTGGCTCACACTTGTAATCTCAGCATTTTGGGAGGTTGAGGTGGGAGGATTGCTTGAGCCCAGGATTTGAGATTAGCCTAGGTAACATAGTGAGACCCCATCTATATGAAAAATTTTAAATTACCTGGGCATGGTGGCACGTGCTTGCAGTCAGTCCCAGGTACTTGGGAGGATGAGATGCAAGGATCACTTGATCCTGGGGAGGTCAAGGCTGCAGTGAGCTATGATTGTGCCACTGCACTGCAGCCTAGGTGACATAGCGAGACCCTGTCTCAACAGCAACAAAAAAACAAGGCTAAAGATTTTATACAATGTTTAGGTAGGCATACGGCCCTCTACCATAAGTGTATGTGACAATATGGATGGTTTTCTTATCATGAAGCAAGATTTATTTTGCTGGAAGGATTTTCTGGTATTGAAATGTTATCACTCCAGAATTCACTTTATTATGTAGCATACTTTTTAAAGCAGAAAATATTAACTTTTCTATGTGACAGAATATAGTCTTAAATATGATAGTTACTATTTTCTTTAGTTGTTTGTGTTATCTTCAGAAAGATAATTTCAGGTTTCATCAGTTCTTTGTTATAGCAAGCATTTTATTAATTCTTGAGCATCAATCAGTGTGTCACGTCCTACAACTGCCAGTGTTTTGCCATTCGGTATTTTGTTGAAAAGTCTTGGTGCCAGTAAAATATATGTTTGCTTATTTAAATATTTTGTGAGTCTTACTCAAAGAAAACATACTTCACCTTTCATCTAAATCCTTAAAACTAGCCATTTGTACTGATGTAAAAATGAAAACATTGAAGGAAAGATTGCAGCATATGGCTTAGATAATATGAATAAGTGTGGATGCATCTTTGTAAATTTCTCTGTTCTCAAATTTAACTTATGTGTGACATTTACAGGGATGCTGTGGAGATGATAATGGTCTCATGGAAGTAGAGGGAGCTCATACATCACGGACGATGAGTATTAATGCTGCAGAGTTAAAACAGCTTCTACAAAGCAAAGAAGAAAGTCCAGAAAATTTGTTCCTTGAACTAGAGAAGCTTGTTTTGGTAAAAAAGAAAAAAACAGAGCGTTCTTAAGGCCTATTTTCCTCTCAGTTTGACTAGTACAAGTATTTCGTAGTGACCTTTTTTAAAATAGTGAATCTTTAGCTGGGTGTTTGTACCATTTCAAATAACTCTTTGAATTAATAATTTGAAGTGAAGTCCTCCATCCTGTTATGAATTTTAAGGAGTACATGAAGACGGTACTTTTTGAATTGTCTGTTCCTTGGAAGCAGGGTACCCTCTGCTGCTATTGTTTAGAAATAAAATGACAAGTGTTTTGGTGTTTGTTTTATTTTAATGTGTTTAATGTTAATAATTTCTGGACAGTGTTCCAAATTTCTTAGTAATAATACATATAGCCTTTTCTACGAAAGAGTCAGTAGGTTTACAGACATAAGTTTTACCTGCACCTTCTTATTCTGCCTTTATTTGTATCTAGGAACATTCAAAAGATGATGACAATCTGGATTCTTTGTTGGACAGTGTAGTTGGACTTAAGCAGATGCTGGAGTCATCAGGTGACCCTTTACCTCTCAGTGACCAGGATGTAGAACCAGTACTTTCAGCTCCAGAATCTCTTCAGAATCTGTTTAACAATAGGTAAAATACACAATGTTTTATGATTGAATAGCTGTTGGTTTTAAAATGGCTGTAGTCTAGGGGGTGCCAGCAAACGTTTTTTTCTATAAAGGGCCAGATAGTAAGAATTCTAGGCTTTGCAGGCCATACAGCCTCTGTTGTGTATTCTTCTTTAGTTTTTTTTTTTTTTTTTTAATTTATACAAACTATGCTAGCTTGCAGGCTGTACAGAAACAAACTAGCAGATAAAATCAGGGCATTGTTTTATTTTACTGAAAGGTCAAAACTTGTTACAGCAGAATTAGTTTTCAAGTTATTTGTTTTTGAGGATACTTAATTTTTAATTGCTTTTGGGAGTTTCTTTTTTAGGTACTACTTTTAATAATACTTTAGAAAGTAATAATTTTAATTGTACCTTCCACAGATTTTACTTGAAGATAAGCTAAAAGACTGGGCATATTGGCTCACGACTATAATCCCAGCACTTCGGAAGGCTGAGGCAGGAAGATAGCTTGAGCTCAGGAGTTTGAGACTAGCCTGGGCAACATAGGGAGACCCTCTCTCTACAAAAAAATTTTTTTTAATTAGCTGGGTGTGGTGGTACACACCTGTGGTCTCAGCTACTAGGGAGGCTAAGGTGGGAGGATCACTTGAGCCCAGGAGATCAAGGCTGCAGTGAACTGTGATCGTGCCACTGCGCTCCAGCTGGGTAACAGCAAGACTGTGTCTCAAAAAAAAAAAATTGAAATTTGATTTTAGAATTCTGCTTTTCACCAGATACTTTTCTTGTTCCAGGACTGCCTATGTGCTTGCTGATGTCATGGATGATCAGTTGAAATCTATGTGGTTCACTCCATTTCAGGCTGAAGAGATAGATACAGATCTGGATTTGGTATAAATTATTACTAAATATTTAGAAAAACGTTATTGTTTTTTCTGTTTCTTTATATATTGTTAGCATTATAATAGTTTCCATATTTTATGGCTGTTAAAGTCTACTTGGAAGCAAGTCCTACATTATTTTTATGCCACTTGCCCACTTCATGGCATCCAGAAAGTTTTTTCTCCTGCTTTTTTTGCTTCTTTCTAGTTAGTGATCTGTATTTTGAGGTTGTGACTTTTTTGCTAATTTTTTTTTTTTTTTTTTTTTTTTTTTTTTTGAGACAGAGTCTCACTCTGTCACCCAGGCTGGAGTGCAGTGGCACAATCTCAGCTCACTGCAACCTCCGTTTCCCGGGTTCAAGTGATTCTTCTGCCTCAGCCTCCTGAGTAGCTGGGATTACAGGCCTGTGCCACCACGCCTGGCTAATTTTTTTGTATTTTTAGTAGAGACTGGGTTTTACCATGTTGGTCAGGCTGGTCTCAAACTCCTGACCTTGTGATCTGCCTGCCTTGGCCTCCCAGAGTGCTGAGATTACAGGCGTGAGCCACCATGCCCAGCCAAAAAAAAAATTTTTTTTTAATATAGATAAAGTCTCACTCTGTTACCCAGGCTGGTCTCACTCCTAGCCTCAAACAATCCTCTCTCTTTGGCCTCCCAAAGCGATGGGATTACAGGCGTGAGCCACCACATTTGGCCAGAGAATGTAACTTTTTTAAGGGAAAAATCACACTTTTGCATAAGTTCTATGAAGCACTTTGTTTTCTTACTTGACGGGGTATAGAACAGGGAAAAGTATCCCATAAAACAACAGTTTATTCTTGCATTTGGGTTCAAGGAGAGGAATGGTTGTGCTATGGTGTGGCTCTCAGTTTGGAAACTTGTGAAGAATGTATTTGTTATAGTATAGTATGAATGGGAATTGACATTCTTAAACATAATGCTGAATAGGTAAGAGTATAATTAACTATTTAAAATTTATTGCAGTCTGTTCTATGCTTCTCAGAGATGTGGTAAGGCGAATTATTTTAGCCACATCTTATTATACAGTACATTGTTCCTTTTCTTTATCAAAGAAACATACTGGTGTTCATCATATACAATAAAACTAAGAGAATGATTTGCTTCACATTTGTATTTAGTGTGTTGAGGGCTGCTTTTCCTTTTTTAAAAAACCACATACAATTCAATTAAAAGTGCATTAAAAATTAATTTCTTTTTAGTGCAAGCTGTTCAGTGGTTCTTTAAAACTGTCCTCTCCAGTAGAATTTTATGCAATAATGCAAATATTTTGTAGTCTGCCCTGTCCAAAACAGTAGCCTCATGTGCCTGTTGTACAATTGAAATGTGGATGACTAGGGAACTGAATTTTATTTTGATTTAATTTTGATTAATTTAGATAGGCACATGTTGTTAGTGGCTACCACGTTGGGCAGCACAGGTATAAAATATTTGTTAAAAGTTACTAATTTTTTAACTTTAAGTTGAATCACAACTGTCTTGTGATGATAATTGTAACCCTCTGGATTAGAGAAATTTTAGGTATCTTACATTTGATAAATTTGAATAAAACCTAAGTAAACTGAATGTTGATTTCCCTGAAATTAAACTTAGATGGGAACCTCATTAAATGCATAGAGCTTTTGGGAATCTGTGGCACAGAATCTTTTTGTAATAGAAATGTTGACTATATAAGGCTGGCAGAGTATGTTATTTTCAGATTCTTTTTTTGGAAAAGTTCAGGAGATATTACAGTGTTAATTTATATAGACAAATACTGAGTTTCCTGCTCAGGCATCAAAGTTCTCCTAGATTAATAGCCCTGCTTTGAAGAATGCCACACACAAAAAAAGTAGCATTACTAAGGTGTGTGTGTGTGTTTGTTTTTAAACTACCAATGCCATTTGCTTTTTGAAAAGATGAAAGAGGTAGATCTATAATTTATTTCTTATGAGAGGCAAATATAATTTATAGGTAATAAGAATTTCTGTAGTCAAATGTTATGCTAATAATTACATTTAATATGTGTTTTGTTTCATTATTATGACTGCAGGTAAAGGTTGACTTAATTGAACTCTCTGAAAAATGCTGTAGTGACTTTGATTTGCACTCAGAATTAGAGCGCTCATTTTTGTCAGAACCATCATCTCCAGGAAGAACCAAGACTACTAAAGGATTCAAACTTGGGAAGCACAAGCATGAGACCTTTATAACGTCAAGGTAAAATTTATTCCACTGAAGATCTCAAATGTCATCACATAAGCTTATGTATTTTAGTATATTTTAAGATAGACACATGCGGCCGAGCGCGGTGGCTCACGCCTGTAATCCCAGCATTTTGGGAGGCCGAGGTCAGGAGATCGAGACCATTCTGGCTAACATGTTGAAACCCTGTCTCTACTAAAAATAAAAAAAAAAAAATTAGCTGGTCGTGGTGGTGGGTGCCTGTAGTCCCAGCTACTCGGGAGGCTGAGGCAGGAGAATGGTGTGAACCCGGGAGGTGGAGATTGCATTGAGCCGAGATCACGCCACTGCGCTGCAGCCTGGGCGACAGAGCAAGACTCTGTCTCTCAAAAAAAAAAAAAAAGACACATGCTATTAAACTAGAAAGGAAATTAACATAGCATTCGAATCATGAACATTGTTTGAATTTTTTAAATTTAAACGTAATAATTTGGCCAGGATATACCCAGTACATTTGTTATATTGTTTTCTACAAGATTTTGGAAGGTTTGAATAAGAAGTGAACTGGATTATTTTAAAACATTGTTATTCATAACAATGAAATGTGAGTACTTTTCTTAGCTAGTTTGTTATATTATCCCAGAAGTATGATAGATACTTGCAAAGTTAGCAGAATTGGAGTACAAAAAAACTGAAATATAATTTTGGGTATTATAAAGATTATTTTTGCTAGAAACCTGAAAGAAAAATGTTTTATGGCATGTTTTTGTTTTAATAGTGGAAAATCTGAATACATTGAACCTGCCAAAAGAGCTCATGTTGTGCCACCACCAAGAGGAAGGGGCAGGGGAGGATTTGGACAGGGTATACGACCTCATGATATTTTTCGTCAGAGAAAACAGAACACAAGTAGACCACCATCTATGCATGTGGATGACTTTGTTGCTGCTGAAAGTAAAGAAGTGGTTCCTCAAGATGGAATACCTCCACCAAAACGGCCACTCAAAGTATCACAGAAGATTTCTTCCCGTGGTGGGTTTTCAGGCAATAGAGGAGGACGGGGTGCTTTCCACAGTCAGAATAGGTTTTTCACACCACCTGCTTCAAAAGGTAACTAATTAGTATGTATTTTCTAATGGGTTAGAATATTGGAATGTTAAAATATTGAATGAAAGTGATTTAGATGGAAGAGATTCAGATAAACAGTTTTCCTGTTGCTGCAGTTGAGCCACCTCTGGACTAGTGGTACTGTTTGCAGAGTACTCTATTGGATAGAAGAAAGAAACTTTTTTTCAATGAACCTTTCATGCATTGTACTTTTAATAATGAGTTTAGAAGTCTTGGCTAATTATTCCCCCCGGCCTTTTTTTTTTGAGACAAGAGTCTTGCTCTGTCGCCCAGGCTGGGGTGCGGTGGTGTGATCTCAGCTCACTACAAACTCTGCCTCCCTGGTTCAAGTGATTTTCCTGCCTCAGCCTCCCAAGTATTTGGGACTACAGGCATGCACCACAATGCCCAACTAATTTTTGTATTTTTAGTAGAGATGGGTTTTCGCCGTGTTTGCCAGGCTAGTCTCAAACTCCTGACCTCAAGTGATTCACCCCCCTTGGCTTCCCAAAGTGCTGGGATTACAGGCATGAACCACCGTGCTCAGCCTTATTTTCCTTTTTACATTGAGAATTATACATTTTCTGAGTAATACCCTTACATTATTTTCACAATTATACTTAACAGTTTTCTTAAGATTGTTCTGTGCAGTTCACCATTGATCTGCCTAATCTGCTTGTTTTCTAATGTTATATTTAGTCTGTTTGAAATTGTTACAAGATTTTTTTTTTTGGAGACAGAGTTTTGCTCTTCTTGCCCAGGCTGGAGTGCAATGGCGCAATCTCGGCTCACTGCAGCCTCTGCCTCCTGGGTTTAAGCGATTCTCCTGCTTCAACCTCCCGAGTAACTGGGATTATAGGCATGCGCCACCACACCCGGCTAATTTTTATATTATTAGTAGAGACGGGGTCTCACCATGTTGGCCGGGCTGGTCTCGAACTCCTGACCTCAGGTGATCCACCCACCTTCGGCCTCCCAAAGTGCAGGGATTACAGGCGTGAGCCACTGCACCTGGCCTTACAAGATTTTAGAAACTAGGGATACTTACAGAAATTATACTTTAGTAGTGGATTGATAAACATGTTTTCATACCTGCTGAGTTAGGAGGGTGAGAGTGAAAGAGAATCTGTGTTTATATTAATAACAAACACTTAGATTAGGTGTGTCAGGAACTGTTATAAGCACTTTACATATTATAACCTCATGTCAACCCCATGAGGCAAGTTCTCTTAGTACTCCCAATTTGCAGAAGAGAAAATTGTCAGTCAGCTGACCAGGGCACATAAATACAAGTGGTAGAACCAGTATTTGATCCCTGGCAGTTTGGCTCTAGAGCCTCTGCTCTTAACCACTGTGATGTTGCCACTATATAGTACAGTCAGTTTGCAGAATTTCAGTTTCTTTTCCATTCTTTTGAAGATTAAGAAAAATCTGTCACTTAAAAGAATCCAACTGAAGTTGTGAAAAAAGTGATTTTGATTGTGCTGTTTGTGTTTAGGAAACTACAGTCGTCGGGAAGGAACAAGAGGCTCCAGTTGGAGTGCTCAGAATACTCCTCGAGGAAATTACAATGAAAGTCGTGGAGGCCAGAGCAATTTTAACAGAGGCCCTCTTCCACCATTACGACCCCTTAGTTCTACAGGTATACATCCTTGCTACTTGATATTGCTGAGAGAAGGGAAGTAAATTCCTCCTTTAAAATTGTTGATATCATATACAGAGGGGGCTAGGGGTGCTAATCTCCCCATCTCCTTGCTCCACACAGTCAAAAATCTAAGTATAACTTTGACTTCCCCAAAACTTAACTACTGCTAGTATACTGTTGACTGGAAGCCTTACAGATAACATAAACAGTTGATTGACACATATTTTATATGTTATATATATATTATATAATGTGTTACAATTAAATAAGCTGGAGAAAAGAAAATGTTATTAAGAAAATCATAAGGAAGAGAAAATACATTTACTATTAAGTGGAAGTGGATCTTCATAAAGGTCATAACATTCCATAGGCTGAGGAAGAGGAGGAGAGGTCTTACTTTCTTAGGAGCAGCAGAGGTGGAAGAAAATCCTCATATAAGTGGACCTAGGCAGTTGAAACCCATGTTGTTCAAGGGTCAACTGTACTCTCATTCTGGAAGAGAATATTTTAGAGTATAGACTTAAAGTTCTAAAGTTTATATCCTTGAATGAATGCCCAATATACATCTTCTGTAAAAATAATCAAATTTTTAGTTTCTGAACTGTTTGTATAATCTGAACAGTTTCATGGTGATGTGCTCTTATTTTTATGTTTCAGTAATGAAAGCCAATGCTTAAGGTATCTTTCTGACCACAAAGTATTTTAATAACAGAGATACCTTTATACAGCATATATTTTTTTGGTTATAGTATTGTCTTAGGTGTGTAAGCACATAACCTTTTTTTTTAAAACATTTATCTAGTCCAGAATTTTACTTATCAGAAGTAGCTTTTGGTTTCAAATGCACATTTTTAAAAAATAATAGTTTTATTTAGGATATAATTCTCATATACCATATAGTTTACCTGTTTAAAATGTATAATTCAAAAATCTTTGGCCCATTCACCGTGCTTGCACGTGAGCTTTAAAAGAGAATAGAGTAATTCTTGGTTTGAGCTCAGTGTCGTAGATTAGTATTTATAATCTTGGAAAAGAAAGGACATTGGAACTAAAAACTGTATTCTTTCTTTTACAGGTTACCGCCCAAGTCCTCGGGACCGTGCTTCTAGAGGTCGTGGGGGACTTGGACCTTCCTGGGCTAGTGCAAATAGCGGCAGTGGAGGCTCAAGAGGAAAGTTTGTTAGTGGAGGCAGTGGTAGAGGTCGTCATGTACGCTCCTTTACACGATAAAAATCCTTTTGGGAACATCTTAACTGTATATGAACATTTCACGAGGACAATAAAAATAAGACATTGAAGGACCAATTTAGACTTAGCAGTTATCTGGAGACATCTGAGAGAATATTTTTATCTGAAGAAAGCAGAATTTGTTTGATACCTAACAAGATTTCAATAAAAATCCAAACTTTGTATGTACGTTTGTATATATTTTCCCTTTTTTGTATGACTATTTATTTAGAAAATTTCTAGGTGAAAAACTAAATGATGTTTTGTATTTTTCTTGCCTATAGCACAGATATTCTCAAACTTTCTCAGCTCATGACACTATTTAGTGCCTCAGTACTTTTTTCACAGCATACCTGGTCCAAAAGAAATATCTAATACTTGTGTTTATTAAGCAGTTAGATCCAACAGCTTAATAAGAATGTACATCATCACCACTAGTAACTGTGGACACTGCATGTCTCAAACCTTGGAATCAGTATCATTTTCTTTTCCTCTCTGCTTCTTGCACAGTACTTTTTATCAAACTGCTGAAAACCCAGTTTTGTAAAGATATGTTGTTATAGAAAGGAATATAATGCTATTTAATGTTGAAAATGTAAACTACCTCAAAGTAGTAGTTTATGTGATGTCCAACAGGTGTTGCTATGTTTTTCTCAAAAATTTTAAAATATTGTGTGGCACCCATGTTAATTTGCTAAGGTGCCCTGCTACACAGTTTGGGAACCATGGCTGTACCAAAAGAAACAAAATACTCCTCTCCTTTGTATTAGAAATCTGAACTTTGCATTTCAGCTTTGGACCTACTGACACTATTTTATTATACAAATTATTTAAAGCCTAAAATAAGGAATATCCTAATACTATTATTTTGGGAATCAGAAACATCTAATAAAGCTGGACTTTATACATAGAAATAAAGCTTACAACTTTGAGAAAGTAGCCATATTTTCCCCAAGATACGTCTTAACACACTGAGTCTATATAAGTGGCGTAAAATACAGAGTTATCTTAATCAGAAAAGGAGTGTATGAGTCTCATTCCATCCTTTTATCAATCTCTGTTTTGGAGAACTATTTGTGAGTGAATACAATCTTCATTAAGAAAACACTTTGAAGAAAAGCTTAGCTGTAAAGAATCAGAGGTTTAGGTGAAAGGTTATGGCAATCTTTTCATAACTAGTGGCCTTGAAAAACCCAAGTCTTGAGCTGCTGTAAGAAAATACCATAGACTGGGTGGCTTAAACAATAAAAATTTATTTCTCAAAGTTCTGGAGGCTTGGAAGTCCAAGATCAGGGTGTCAGCATGGTTGGGTTCCAGTGAGGGCCCTCTTCCTGGCTTGTATGCAGCTACCTTCTTAAGTGCTCACATAGTCTTTCCTTGGTGCTTGCTTGGAGAGAGAGCGAGCTCTTGGGTCTTTTTCTTCTTACAAAGGCACTGTTCCCACCATGCAAGTCTCATCCTCATGATCTAATCTAAATCACAGTACCTCCCAAAGGACCCACCCTTTTAGTACTACTACATTGAGGGTTAGGAGTTCAATATATGAATTTAGGGAAACACAAGACTCAGCGCATCAAGGTAACTTAAATCCCCTTTGATCCTGAAACCTAACAGGCTCATTTTCCCCAAAGATATATTTTACACATTAGGTAAAATTCGAAATTTGCCCCAATGTCTGACACAAATACATGTAAAAAATAGTTAATGTTTCTTAAGTAACTGTGTTTCTTAAATAAGAACATGGCCATATATAGAAACATAATTTCTTGGTTTGTTTTTTAGCATTAAGCTGGATATGATCTTTGAGAAATATCAGAAAGCTGTTTTTGCTGTTTGAGTTAATACCCAGTAATTCAGGCCAATAAAGGTAATAAATTATTAGTGTAGAAACAAATTAATGCCAGGCAAATTTAAAATGTCTTGAGTGACTACAAGTCCTAGATAAATGAGAAGGGAAGGAATCCACCATGTTGACCAGCCCTTACATGCAAAAATCACTTAGTCCTTATAACAATCCAGCATAGGTGGTATTATCCTAATTTTACAGATGGAGAAAGTTGAAGAGCTTGACTCAAGCATGGTAGAAACAGGATTTAAAATCAGGTTGGGTGGTTCATGCCTGTAATCCCAGCACTTTGGGAGGCTAAGGCAAGAGGATCACTTAAGCCCAGGAGTTTGAGACTAGCCCTGGCAATATAGTGAGACCCTGTCTCTAAAGAAAATTTAAAAATTAGCTGAGTGAAGCTGGGCGTGGTGGGTCATACCTGTAATCCCAGCACTTTCGGAGGCCTAGGCAGGCGAATCACCTGAGGTCGGGAGTTTGAGATCAGCCTTACCAACATAGTGAAACCCTGTCTCTACTAAAAGTAAAAAAAATTAGCTGGACATGGTGGCACGTGCCTGTAATCCCAGCTACTCAGGAGGCTGAGACAGGAGAATTGCTTGAACCCAGGAAGTGGAGGTTGCAGTGAGCAGAGATCAAGCCACTATACTCCAGCTTGGGGGACAGAGCAAGACTCCATCTCAAAAAATAATAATAAAGAAAAAGCTGAGTGTGATGGTGCATGCCTGTAGTCTCAGCTACTTGGGAGACTGAGGCAGGAGGATCACTTAAGCCCAGGAGGTCAAGGCTGCAGTGAGCCATGATTGTGCCACTGTACTCCAGCCTGGGTGACAGAGTGGAAAAAAAAAATCAGATTGGAGCAGGGCACAGTGGTGGGCACCTGTGGTCCCAGCTACTCAGGAGGCTGAGGTGGGAGGATTGCTTAGGCCCAGGAGTTCATGTCCATCCTGGGCAGCAAGAGCAAGACCCCCATCTCTAAGAAATAATAATAAAATCAGGTTGGCTACCTCCTAATTTCTTACCTCTCCATCTTGGAGAAGAAGCGACTTTTCAGGTTAAGTGTGTTAGAGATCAAAATTAGTAATTCATCATACGGCAGTGGAGTTTCAGAGACCCAACACTGTATTTTAGTTATTTCAGAAGTGAGCCTCAAACAAGACATTTCAGGGAAAATTTTTGTTTGTTTGTTTGTTTGAGACAGAGTCTCACTGTCACCCAGGCTGGGGTGCAGTGGTGCTTTCCCTGTTTACTGCAACCTCTGCCTCCTGGGTTCAAGTGATTCTCCTGCCTCAGCCTCCCGAGTAGCTGGCATTATGGGCACCCACCACCATGCCCTGCTAATTTTTCTATTTTTAGTACAGACTGGGTTTCACCATGGTAGCCAGGCTGGTCTTGAACTCCCGATCTCAAGTGATCCACCTGCCTCAGCCTCCCAAAGTGCTGGGATTACAGGCATGAACAACTACACCCGGCCTATTTCAGGGAAAGTTTTGAGCGGCATTTAGAAATTAATGAAAGATGCAGAATTCCTTCGAGTACAAATTTAATCTGTAGAAGAGGAGTTGATAGAATGATTTGTGTTTATTTCCTAAGAATAAGAAAAAATACTATGAAATATTGTTATGCTTTATTTAAAAAGAATGTTGCAGGTAGTATTCTGTGTGAAGGAGTAGTAGGCCCAGTTAGATTAGCTTTATTTCTTTTTAAAAAAGTAATTGCAAAAACCTGCAGGATGAGAATGTGAGAATGTAGGAACTAGAGTATGTCTCCTACGCGTCTTCTGTGTTCCATATACCCTAGTACAGTGTGGGGAATATAAGGGTGACTAAGATATTTTTTGCCCTCAGGAAACTCACAGTCTAATAATGGAAACAATTATGTAAACGTCTTTTTTTTTTTGAGACGGAGTCTCGCTCTGTCACCCAGGCTGGAGTGCAGTGGTGTGATCTTGGCTCACTGCAACCTCCGCCTCCCGGGTTTAAGTGATTCTCCTGCCTCAGCCTCCTGAGTGGCTGGGACTACAGTGGGGTCCCACCAGGCCTGGCTAATTTTTTGTATTTTTAGTAGAGATGGGGGTTTCATCATGTTAGCCAGGATGGTCTCGATCTCCTGACCTCGTGATCTGCCCTCCTCAGCCTCCCAAAATGCTGGGATTACAGGCATGAGCCACCGTGCCTGGCCACATCATTTTTTTAAAAGAAAAGTTAATGAGATCTTAAGTGTATGAAGTGTATGTGGAACAATTCAGAATTCTTGAATAATCCAACCATTACATTTCTAACATTTTATTGTAGGTTTTCAAAAGTAACTATTTTTAAAATAGTATTTTAAGAAAAGGATATCTTGGCATTAAAATTGTATAAAATCTTTTTGGAATTGCTTTTGCATAAAGACTAGTTTTTTGGGTTTTTTTGTTTTGTTTTGTTTTGTTTTGTTTTTGAGACGGAATCTCACTCCATCACCCAGGCTGGAGTGCAGTGGCATGATCTTGGCTCACTGCAACCTCTGCCTTTCAGGTTCAAGTGATTCTTGTGCTTCAGCCTCCCAAGTAACTGGGACTACACTACAGGCACAAGCCACCATGCCTGGCTAGTTTTTTGTATTTTTAGTGGAGACGAGGTTTTGCCATATTGGCCAGGCTGGTTTCGAACTCCTGAGCTCAAGTGATCTGCCCTCCTCGGCCTCCTAAAGTGCTGGGATTTCAAGCATGAGCCACTGTGCCTGGCCTAAAGACTAGTTAAGCAGAAAAGATTATATATGCAATTTTAATTTTTATTATTTTAAATTCATAGGACAGATTAGGAGGTAATGAGTAGGATCTTGTAAGCGTCATATAACTTCATAATCTAGAGAAGGGGGTGCAAACTAAAGTACTAGCAATACACATTATTGTGTTAACCAATCTCCAGAACTCTTTTTTTTTTTTTTTTTTTGAGACAAACTCTTGCTCTGTTGTCCAGGGTAGAGTGCAGTGGCACGATCTTGGCTCACTACAGCCTCCGCCTCCCAGGTTCAAGTGATTCTCCTTCCTCAGCCTTCCTAGTAGCTGCGATTACAGGTGCACGCCACCAGGCCCAGCTAATTTTTGTATTTTTAGTAGAGATGGGTTTTCACCATGTTGACCAGGCTGGTCTCGAACTCCTGCTCAAACTCCTGATCTCAAGTGATCTACCGCCTCGGCCTCCCACAGTGCTGGCTTAATAGGTATGAGCCACTGTGCCCGGCCAGAACTTTTTCATCTTTCAAAACTGAAATTCTATACCCATTAAACAACTCTGATTTCCCTGTCCCCCCAACCCCCGGCAACCGCCATTCTCCTTTTCGGTCTCTGTAAATTTGAGTACTCTAAATACCACATGTAAGTAGAACCGTATAAATTTGTCTTTTTGCAGCTGGCTTTTTTCACTTAGCATAATGTCCTCAAGGTTTATTCATGTTGTAGCCTGTGTCAGAATTTTTTTTAAAGACTGAATAATATTCCATTGTGTGGATATGCCACATTTTGTTTATTCGTCATCGGTTGATGGACATATGGGTTGCTTCCACATTTTGGCTATTGTGAATAATGCTGCTATGAACATGAGTGTACAAATATCTTTTCAAGACCCTACTTATAATTTTGGGGGGTATATATCCAGAAGTGGAATTGCCTAATGACATGGTAATTCTGTTATTTTTAATTTTTGAGCAACCACCATACTGCTTTCCACAACAGCTGCACCATTTTACATTCCCATCAACAGTGCAAAGGGGTTCCAATTTCTCCACATCTTTGCCAACACTTGTTATTTTCTGTTTTGTTTTGGTTTTCATAATAGCCCTTTTAATGGTTGTGCTTCTGACTTTTAGGGAGAAGCCAAAAATCTGGATTATTGTGTAATCAGTTTTCAAATATGCAATTAATTCAATTTAAAAATTAAAAACATTTTGTGAGCAAAACAAAAAATTATGCAGGACAAAATGTGCCCAGAGAGTTTCAACCTGAAGAATTTGATGATAGCATCTGTTTTAGAAATCACAATGGAATTTCTCTAAAGAGTTATTTTTATTTGGGAAGGTGAAATGTACCAGGTAAATCTGTGATGGGACATGATGTTGTGGAGAAGTTCTTTGTGACCAAAAAGTCTGGTTTTGAGAACCAGTTCTATGCTCTACTAATTAGCTGTGCAACTTTAAATCGCTCCTCTTATCCTAAATTTCTTTCTTTTTTTTTTTTTTTTGTTGAGACAGAGTCTCGTTCTGTCACCCAGCCTGGAGCGCACTGGCGTGATCTTGGCTCACTGCAACCTCCACCTCCTGGGTACAAACGATTCTCCTGCCTCAGCCTCCCGAGTAGCTGGGATTACAGGCGCCCACCCCCATGTCTGGCTAAATTTTGTATTTTTAGTAGAGACGGGGTTTCACCATGTTAGTCAGGCTGGTCTTGACCTCCTGACCTCAAATGATCCGTCCGCCTTGGCCTCCCAAAGTGCTGGGATTGCAGACATGATCCACCGCTCCTGGCCTATCCTAAATTTCTTTATCTGCTCTGCCTACATCAGTAGGTTATGGGGATTAAATAAGATTTGTATTTGATTTTTTTTTTACATGTAGAGCATTATTACTTTAAATTAGATCCTCCACTACCTAGACAAAAATATACTTAACATGCCTTACTTGCTAAGTTATTTCTGAAGCCAGAAATTAGTGCCTGCTTGATAAATAAGTGGAAATTATGTAAGTAGAATTATACTAATGTTTAATAGCTCTACTGAACAATATTGATGTGGTTTTAGGGAGACTATTAGTTTGGGGACAGTTTTATAATGGTTTTTTGAACATAGATTCTAAGTGAGGATAGTCCAGTTTCTGTCTAAGTAGAATTTCCAGGATACTCAGGGCATATGGTAATATTTTTTAAATGTAAGGAGGTGGTAATTGCAGGGAACAGTGAGTAGTCTACTTTGGCCAGTGTAGGAATGTAGGGACAGTGTAGAGGGGATGGAGGGGAAGGTATATTTGGAGACTGGGGTCAAATTATGAAAGGTCTTATTTGCTGTGCTAAGCCTTAGGGAGTAACTGAACTTTTTAAATGTGAGTGACATTTTCAGATTTGGTACTTTTATGAGCTTCTATCAGCCAGTCACTATGAAAGATGTTTTCACATAACTCCCAATCAGAAGTATTCTTTTAAAAAGGGGACTGATGGGGGCAGTGGCTTATGTCTGTAATCCCACCATTTTGGGAGGCTGAGGCAGGAGGACCACTTGAGCCCAGGAGTCAGAGACCAGCCTGGGCAACATAGTGAGACCCCCCCATCTCTACAAAAAATGTAAAAATAGCCCAGGTGTGGTGGTGCACATCTGTAGTCCCAGCTACTCAGGAGGCTGAGGTGGGAGGGTTGCTTGGGCCCGGAAGTTCAAGGCTGCAGTAAGCTGTGATTGTGCCACTCCACTCCAGCCTGGGTGACACAGCAAGACCCTGTATCAAAAACTAAATAAATAAAAATTGAAAAAGTAAAAAAATTAAAAGAGAACTACTTTGGTGCAGCAGAGAGGAAGGATTAGAGAGGGAAGAGCCTGAAGGCCGACCAATAAAGAAGTTACAGGCCGGGCGCAATGGCTCACGCCTGTAATCCCAGCACTTAGGGAGGCCGAGATGGGCAGATCATGAGGTCAGGAGATTGAGACCATCCTGGCTAACGCGGTGAAACCCCGTCTGTACTAAAAATACAAAAAAATTAGCCAGGCGTGGTGGTGGGCGCCTGTAGTCCCAGCTACTCGGGAGGCTGAGGCAGGAGAATTGCTTGAACCCATGAGGCCGAGTTTGCAGTGAGCCGAGATCACACCACTGCACTGCAGCCTGGGTGACAGAGCGAAACTCCCTCTCAAAAAAAAAGAAAAAGAAGTTACAGCAAAGTTCTCTATGAGCAATTCTCGAAAAGCAATCCCTAGACCAGCAGCTCAGCATCACCTGGAGATGTGTTAGAAATGCATATTCCTCCAGCCTGGGCAACATGGCAAGATCCTGTCTTTACAAGATATATATTAAAAAATTAACCAGGTGTGGTGGCGTGTGCCTATAGTCCCAGATACTGGAGAGGCTGAGGCAAGCGGAGCCCTTGAACTCAGGAGGTCGAGGCTGAAGTAAGCCATGATCACGCGACACTGCACTTGAGCCTGGGCAATATAGGGAGATTTTGTCTCAAAAAAAAAAAAGCATTAATGAATACTCTTAAACATGACCCCAGGCCCAGGAGGGGAGGGGTTGGCAATGTGTGTGTGCTTTAACAAATCCTGCAAACAATTCTGTTAAAGTTTGATGCACCCTAAGGTTTGAGAACCACTGATCTATATCAATGGTTTTCTTTTTTTTCCTTTTTTTTTTTTTTTTTCTTTTTGTTGTTGTTGTTGAGACGGAGTCTCGCTCTGTTGCCAGGCTGGAATGCAGTGGCGCGATCTCGGCTCCCTGCAACCTCTGCCTTCCGGGTTCAAGCTATTCTCCTGCCTCAGTCTCCCGAATAGCTGGGACTACAGGTGCCTGCCAACGTGCCAGGCTAATTTTTGTATTTTTAGTAGAGATGGGGTTTCACCATGTTAGCCAGGATGGTCTCGATCTCTTGATCTCGTGATGCGCCCGCCTCAGCCTCCCAAAGTGCTGAGATTACATGTCAATGGTTTTCAAATTTAGGAATCATCTGGGGAGGTCTTTAAAAATGCAAGTTTTGGGGGCCTACACATCTCTTTTTAAAAAACTTCTCAGGAGATTCTAATAATTAGCCAGGTTTGGATACAGTGACCTAAATGAAAGTAATGTCCTCAGCTAGGATAGTGGTAATGGAGACAAAGGGATCACATAGAACAGATATTTGTCAGATACTGTAATACTGCTAGAATTAAATTAGGCCATGATGGCATAAAACTCAATAAAGCAGTTACTGTTCTGAAATAACTTTCTAATGGGAGAAGAGAGGGGCAGGTGCTTGGGAGCAGAATGAGGAAAATGTAGGTAGCATTTTGGAACAGCAGAATTGAAGCTCAAACGTCTGGAGGTTTCCGGATGTGATAAGTAGTGCCACAGGCTCCAAATGGATCACAGAGGGTGAAGGTGAAGATGAAACGACAACTAGATTTGGCAATTTGGAAGATTTTATAACCTTTGTGATGGCAATTTTATTGGAATGAGAATTTGAAGGTAAGGTAAGCAGAATCCGTAATGCTATTTGTTGGCATGATTGAGAAATGAAAGTATAGGCGATGGGTACTTTTTCAATTTGAACTGAAGAGAGATTGCTAAAAACTATGTGTATCAAAGCCATCCGCTCCTCAACTGTTTACATATAATGATTGACTTTGGATATGTGGCCTTAGACTGTTATCTGCAGAGTCTAGTTATGTTTTTTGTGCTTCCACACTTTTGACTACAGACTTCTTTGAAATTCCATTTCTGATTATTGTGTTTTAAGTTGTTATATCTACTTTCATATCTGAGATGTTCTGTCGCCAGGCTGGAGTGCAGTGGCGCAACACGGCTCACTGCAACCTCTGCCTCCCGGGTTCAAGCAATTATCCTGTCTCAGCCTCCTGAGTAGCTGGGATTACAGGTGCCCGCCACCGTGCCTGGCTAATTTTTGTATTTTTAGTAGGGACGAAGTTTCACCATGTTGGCCAGGCTGGTCTCGAACTCCTGACCTCAGGTGATCCACTCTCCTCGGCCTCCCAAAGTGCTGGGAGCCACTGCGCCCAGCCACATATTCTTGAGTTTAAAATGGAATAAGGTTTTGAGGTATTCATTTAGAAAAAAAATGCTGAATTACATGACTTATTTTAAAGCAATAGACAAAACTAAAATATTAGTTAAATAAACATTCTTAAACTTTTTTTCAAGTTAATAAATCTTGACAAATTATTTGAGTTGACAAACTGTGTTGTATTCCCCACTGAAGGTCTCTTGGTTTGCTAAGAGATACTTTAGGCATATTTTGGTAAAGCTTTGGTCCTCTTTAAGTCTGCAGCTGCTTTCAGTTGTTGCCTCTAGGAAGGATGCTTTTAGATGTTCTGGTAATCCTGGAATGGTAGAATTGCTATTTACTCTGATGAAACATTTCACTTGGTCCTTCCAGAACAAGTTAGGGTCCTCTGGAATCACTGTTCTCTTTAAGCTAAATAAGGAATCAAAAATAATTCACCTGAAAGCCCAAGTCATATAAAATAAATATTATCCAAAACTGTTCTATAACCATGTGAAACTTATTAATTTTTTTTTAATTGAAGTGAAGTCTCACTATGTTGCTCAGGCTGGTCTTGAGCTCAAGCTGTCCTACTGCCTCAGCCTACCAAGTAGCTGGGATTACAGGCACGCATAAGCACACCCAGCTAGCATGTGAAACTTTAAAAAACTGTTCAATAATTTTCCCTCCGAAACTTACTTCGATGAAAAAGTAAGAAATTAGTAATGAATAGAGCTAGGTACTAATCCTGCCTTTGCCATTCATTAACTTCTGTGTGATATGAACAAATCACTAGTGGGGTGTTATTTTCTCATATTCTGAAACATAAAATAGAAGTAGGAATATGTGTGGTGGGAGGTGAATATGAATCAAAAGAGAAATGTATTACAGATATTTATTATAGAGTTAAAGTAAAAAATAACAGTCCAGAATTGATCAAGTGTAGTGGCTAGGAGACAAGTGGGATCACAACTGAAAAAGAAGGGTAATCAGACTAAAAGGAGGTGTCCAAATTATTTTTCTCCTCTCCACTCCTCCCACCCCAGCTGTAATGTTGATGCTGCTTAATCAATTAACTAACATTACCAATAAGTAATAACCAATTAATGTGTTAATTCAACATTATAGTTACAGAGACTTTTACCTCCAATATTTGTTACTGTTAACCCCAAGGCATAGTATAATATCCTTATAAAAATATTTAGGGGTGACATACTTGGCATTGAATGATTAAAGAAGGAAATGAAACGAATACCAATATATTCATTTCCAAAGATATATGTATCCACATAATTGGACAAAGACTTTGATTTTTTTCTTTTGAGACAGGGTTTCATTCATGTTGCCCAGGCTGGTTTTGGACTCCTAGACTCAAGCGATTCTCCCCACTCAGCCTCCCAAAGTGTTGGCATTACAGGCATGAGCCACCACACCCAGGCCTAAATTGCATTTTATTAGTTTCCTTTAGAGATAATCCAAAATCAGACTATACACTTCTGCAGAAAAGTACTTTTGAACTACACATTACAGTGTCCTTTGCATTACCAGGTACTTCATGTTTAGTATTTGTTGAGTAACAGAAATCTTGTTTTTTAAACTTCTTTTTTTTTTGAGATAGAGTCTTGCTCTTTTGCCCAGGCTGGAGTGCAATGGCACGATCTTGGCTCACTGCAACCTCCACCTCCTGGGTTCAAGCAATTCTTCTGCCTCAGCCTCCCCAGTAGCTGGGATTACAGGCACTCACCACCATGCTCAACTAATTTTTGTATTTTTAGTAGAGACAGTGTTTCACCACGTTCACCAGGCTAGTCTTGAACTCCTGACCTCAAGTGATCCGTCCGCCTTGGCCTCCCAAAGTGCTGGGATTACAGGCGTGAGCCACCACGCCTGGCCTTTTTAAACTTTTTACTTGAACTAATGTTTGACTTACAGAACACTTGCAAAAACAGAACAGAGTGTTCATGTGTACACTTCTTCCAGCTTTCTTTCTTTTCTTTTCTTTTCTTAAGAGACAGTGTCTCACTATGTTGCCCAGGCTGGTCTTGTCTCAAGCTCCTGGCCTCAAGTGATCCTCCTGCCTTGGCCTCCAAATAAATATCAACAAATATTTATTGAGTGCGGTCTGTAAGACTAGTACAGTTCTGGCTGGGTGCTGTAGCTCATGCCTTTAATCCCAGCACTTTGGGAGGCCGAGGTGGGCAGATCACGAGGTCAGGAGTTCGAGGCCAGCCTGGCCAATATGGTGAAACCCTGTCTCTACCAAAAATACAAAAAATTAGCCAGGCTTGGTGGCGGCGCATGCCTGTAGTCCCAGCTGCTTGGGAGGCTGAGGCAGAAGAATTGCTTTAACCCAGGAGGCAGAGGTTGCAGTGAGCCAAGATCATGCCACTGCACTCCAGTTGGGTGACAGAGAAAGACTCCGTCTCAAAAAACAAAACAAAACAAAAAAGACTAGTACTATTCTAAACACATGGGTACAGCAGAGAATAAAGCAAAGATCCTGCCCTCATGTAGCTTATATTCTGAGAGTAATAGAAAAACAATTAACAAATAAGTATATGTTAGGGAATGGAAAGTGTGATGAACTCTATAAAGCAGGGTAAGGGAGATACAAGATGAGACAAGAGAGCAATGCACTGTCAGATAAAGCCCTTTGACAAGTTGATATGTGAGTAATGATCTGAAGTGAAGGATCAAACCAGATGCAAATCTGCAAGAGGAATGTCCCAGGTCACCTTTAGCCAATCTGTTTTAGATTTTCTGAACTCCCCAGATGATATTAAGGTAGGCTGCAGACACTATGAAGCTAGCTTGTTTTCTGGTTACCCTTACTCTTTATGTGTCCCAGTCCAAAGAAGAGGGGGGTGCGGTTTACTAAGGTGCCCAACCTTGGCAGGTCCCCATTTCAAATTCTTGTAACGCTGGCTCCAGGAGCTGCCAAAAGCACAACTCAACCTATGAGGTGCTCTTTATGACTGGAAAAAGTCCCCAGGATAAAAGCTCCTTAAGCACATTACTCTTTTTTTTTGAAACAGGGTCTCTCTGCTGCCCAGGCTGGAGTGCTGCGGCACCATCTCGGTTCATTGCAGCCTTCACCTCCCAGGTTCAAGCGATTCTCCCGCCTTAGTCTGCTGAGTAGCTGGGATTACAGGCGCGCTCCACCAAAACCAGCTAATTTTTGTATTTTTAGTACAGACCGGGTTTCACCATGTTGGCCAGGCTGGTCTCGAACTCCTGACCTCAAGTGATCCGCCCGCCTCGGCCTCCCAAAGTACTGGGATTACAGGCACAAGCCACCGCTCTCAGCCTCAAATTACTCTTTTAAATGGCTGTACCTATTTACACTCCTACCAGCAGCCCAAGAGTTCCCATTGTTTCACATCTTCATTTCACCCTTGATATTTTTTAGCTTTTACTTTTTGTCAAACTGCTGGATAAAACTCAATAAACAACCTTTAGCCATTCTCTCTCCTTTCAGATTAGCCTTTCTAATACCATTTTTCAGGGATAGTTGACTGTGTTACCGCCTAGCACTTAGAAGGTGCTCAGTAAATACTCATTGAATGATGTAACTTTCCTACTTAACATGCTTTAATGCTTTTCCAAGTCCGGAGGCGGCTCCCCTTTTCTGAGAGCCTAATAATCACGTATTCGTTTCTATATTCCCAGAACCTAACAAAGAGTTTGAAAATTATCCTGCAGGCACCGCTAAGTCAATGTTTTTTCGGATGAATGAATAACCAATAGGATATCGTATACTTCTGCGATGCACGCATTTCTATTATCGCACACACCGAATCATACCGTATTTATTACTTATCCACGCAGATGGTGAGGTCTGTAGCCTCGGCATCTACACTGTGTCTGAAAGTAGGCACTAAACCAGTATTTTTTTAATTGAACCGTAAACTTGAATCAAACTTGGAAGCATTTAAAGCCAAACGCAAAGATACATGCGCAGTGATGCAGTAGGGTCGTCCAATCAGAGTAGGGCAGGACAGGGCAGTGCAGCGGCTAGGTAGTGCGCACGCGCGGCGGGCTCGTCCGCGATTGGCTTCGCCGAGGCGGGATCCTTGAGCTTCTCCGGCGGCGAGGGGATAGCTGGTTACCAGAAGGACTTCTTTGCAGGGCCAGTGGTTTCTGTCAGATTTTCGCCGGTGCGTCCTGCAGGGGGAAGCTCGGGAGGCTGCGACAGCCTGTAGGCTCGTGCGGGACAAAGCAGGGAGTGGCGCCGGAGCAGGCCAACGAGGGAGGAGGGAGGGAAGGCGGCAGGAGCGACCGAAGTGGCCTTCTGCGGGCCTGCAGCTTTGGTCTGAAGTGCCAGGGACGCCCTGGTTGCTGGCCCCGGGGGCCTTGGAGCGAAGGGCGGGCGGTGGGGGTTTAGGGTTGTGCGTTTGTGTGGGAGGGATGGTTCTGGGCAGTGGCCCCTGGGGCCGCCACTGCGGTCGCTTTGCGCAGGCTCCTCTTGGCTTTTGGGTCTCTCCCTCACTCCTGCACTGGGAATTTCCTTCCCCAGGGCCAGGGGGTGAAGGCTCTGCGAGCGTCCTGGAGAGTGTCGGTACGCCTTCTTTAGGGGCTTTTACCTCTTCACTGGTCAGGTTTTTCTTGTATTTCCTTAAAACCTTTTAATCGATTACCTTATGGAAGATTTTCTAGGTAGGAACAGATGCTTCTCGACTTACTACGGGGTTGAAAATATCCCAAATGGAAAATGGATTTAAAACACAGCTAACCTACTGAGTATTAAAGCTTGGCCTAGCCTACTTTTGTTATCAAAAAAATTATTTTCAGCTGTTTATTTTAGATTTGGGGGTACATGTGCAGGTTTGTTGCATCGGTATATTACGTGGTGCTGAGGTTTGGATACGATTGATCCTGTCACCCAGGTAGTGAGCATGTTACCCAATAGTTTTTGAACCCTTGCTCCTCCTTTCCTCTCCCTTCTAGTTGTCTCCACTGTCTATTGTTGCCATCTTTATGTTCATGAATGCCCAATGTTTAGCTCCCATTTATAAGTGAGAACATGCAATATTTGATTTTCTGTTTCTGCTTTAATTCGCTTTGGATAATAGCCTCCAGCTGCACCCATGTTGCTGCAAAGGACATGATTTCATTCCTTTTTATGGCTGCGCTAGCCTACCTTAAACATGCTCAGAACACTTACCTTAATCTACAGTTGGGCAAAATCATGAACACAGACGGTTGTGTGGTTACTTGTACAGTTTCTACTGAATGCTCATGGCTTTCTTAAAAGTCGAAGAATTCTAAGTGACACCGTCCTAAATTAGGAACCATCTATATAGCCGGAGTCTCAAAGGAGCAATTTAAGGCATGAAGTGAAATAATTACTACCTAATGTAGTTGGAAGTCGACAAGCAGCAACAGCAGGGAGAGACCGTTGCTGGTTCTTGGTAGAGTTGGTGTACTTACATTCTTGCATCCTCGACGTTTGATGGTTGCACATACCTCTCTTTAAAGCCCAGACGAACCCAAAGATTCTGGTCATTGTCCTGTATGTTGAACTACCCCTTCTCTATCTCCTTCACAGGACCTTCATCATTTCTACTCTCCGATAATACTAATTATAACAGATAACATTGAGTGCTTACTATGTGTCAAGTTTTGTTCTAAGTGCTTTACATATTTCATTTAATCCTCCCAACAGTCCGGTGTGTAAGCATGATTATGGTACCCCCTCTTAAAGATGAGGAAACTGAGACACATGGAGCCAAAGTAAACTGTGCAAGACCATTAGAAAGTGTCAGTCCACATTTATATTCAGGCATTTGCTTTCAAAGTTGTGTTCTTATTTACCACAGTGTAGTGCCAAGTACTTGTGGCTATCTGGTGTATTACAGTTGTCAGCTTGGCCTTACCATTTTACTTGGAAGGACTGAAACTAATAGGTGTTATAGAAGTTGTAGCATCACATCAGGGCTACCAAATGGCTTTATTTCTAGGACCTGGGGAAAGGGCTCAGACAGCACTAATTAATTAATTAATTTATTATGGACAGGACAATATGAACATACAGAACCAGTTTAAAAAGCTATAAGGGTGCAATGGTCTTTTGGGGGGAAATGTACTGATTTCTGCATTTTACTTTGTATCAACAAATTAAATGGCTTGATGGATGCCCAAGGTCATATGTAAGTAGCAGAGTTGGGATTCTAGCCAGGCAGCCTGGCTGGCTCCAGAGTCAGTCTGTTTTCTTAACCACTGCTCTGTGCTGATGGTTGTATGCTTGCATTATCATTTTTATTAGTTTACAAAATAGGAGGATTGAAAAATCAGAAATCATGTATTAGATGTAGAAGGATTTAGGGTAGTAATTCTTCGCATTTAGTGTTGAAAGAAATTTTAGCATCTAGTTCATTCTTTATTTTATAAATGAGAAAATTGGTGTCTAGAGAGTTAAATAGCTTCCCCAAAGTTAAGCATCCCTGAAATAGCAGAATCTGAACTACACTCTGGTTTCCTTCATTTCTACTGTTGATGTTTCTAACTACTGTATTTTTTAAGTGTTCCTTTTTAAAAAGTGTCAGAATTTTCACAGTATTAGAGGGGAGTCTGACTAATGTAGAGAACAGAACTGATTACATTTCATGATGTGGACATCATATTTTTATTAATGCTATCTAGAATTTATTAGTTTAAGAAGGCTCATTATCTTATTTCAGTTGAGCTATAGTCACTAAAATCTTTAGTTTTAAATTTCAGCTTCTATTGTTCTATTTCATTTGACCATTAAGTAACTGAGTCTAAGTGCAAGGCCTAACATCCATGTCGTCCTGTGACAGTTACCGTTAATCAATTTCAAACTTGTGTCAGTTATATATTTAGAGGCCTGTAGTATTCTGCTTACCCATTATAAAAAGGAAATTAGTTTAATGAAGTTATTTTGGCATGACTTGTTTGGTCAGAATTTGTACTGACTTCTGGTATTGGTAAATACTGCTTCTAAAGCAGTCAAAAACCATCTGTTTCATAATTTGCTTTAAGATTAAAGATTATACTAATAGAGATCTATTTTGTCCTTGAATAAGAAACAGAAGAGAGTGATCTCTCCTACTCATTCCTCAAACTATATAAAGGCTGGTTATATATAAAATATTTACATGTTTCATTATTTTAACATTGATGAAATTGGGAAATGTCTAACCATCAATGATAGTGTATCATGGTTTAATTGGCTACACTTTTTTTCTTGGATACATAAAATAATGGTACATCTTACAATTTAAAAAATTTTTATTTTTAAAATTTTTATTTACTTTTAAAAATTTCTTTTATATGGACTAACAATCAAGAGTATATCTTACAATTGATGGCATTTTAGATTTGATGAAATATGGTAATTTAAAAAAATCTAATTAATGATACTTTTCCCTATTACAAAGGTAACATTTTCATTGTAAAAAATTTGAAATATACAGAAAATAACTCAGAATAGAATAAAAATTACTGGTATTCTAACCAGACCTAGAAATAATTAGGGTTAATGTTGTGGCATGTATTTTTCTAGTTTTTAAAAAACGATTGTGTATTTTAATATATAACATGTATATTATATCTACTTTATAGCAGTATAATTTACAGTGTGCAGTTAGATGTGTACATTTTGATGTTTTCATATACAGATGTATATATACTCCTGTAACCATACTACAATCTTATATAGATTATTTCTATCACCTCCAACAAGTTCTCTCATGCTCCTTTGCTTTCTAGTCTTTTAAATGTACATACACCCATTATTGTTTTTATTTTTCTTTTCTTTTGTAAAAATTAGAATGAGGCTGGACATGTTTTGTGGCCATTTTTCCTTTGATTTATTAAAACATATTTCTCTTGTCATTAAACATTTTTTTAAAGTACTGCCCCCCCCCGCCACCCATTAATGGTATCATTCACATAACAAATACTGAACCTCTTCTGTGTATTTGGTACTGGCGATATACTGATGAATTGTACGTAAGATTTCATGCCTGAGTTAATAGCTCAGAGGGAATGATAGGGCAAATTTCATTGCAGTGTGAAAAGTGCTTGGGTAGTGCATATACAGGAAGGTCTCCAGTCCAGTCTTTGGGAGGAGATGAAGAGGGCTCATGGTTAAGACTCCTAGATGATAAGGTAGAATTAATTAGGCAAAGAAAAGTGGGAAAAAGCATTCCCAACATTATATAAGGGAAAGTTTGTTCAAAGCCTAGAGAAAAAGAGAACATGGCTAGCTTGGGGAATAGTACTGACTCGATTTTGGTGGTATATGAAGAGAGTGTTCTGTTGTGTGGGTGTACCATAATTTATCTTGTACTTCATTATAGACATTTGTTTCCCTTTTTCCCCCTACTGTAATTGATACTAGCATCATTATTCTTTTTTTTTTTCTTTGTTTTCTTTGAGACAGAGTGTTGCTCTGTCACCCAGGCTGGAGTGCAGTGGTGCGATCTCAGCTTACTGCAACCTCTGCCTCCTGGGTTCAAGCGATTCTCATGCCTCAGCCTCCTGAGTAGCTGGGATTACAGGCGTGTACCACCACACTTGGCTAATTTTTTTTTTTTTTAGACGAAGTTTCGCTCTTGTTTCCCAGGCTGGAGTGCAGTGGCGCTATCTCGGCTCACCACAACCTCTGCCTCCCGGGTTCAAGTGATTCTCCTGCCTCAGCCTCCTGAATAGCTGGGATTACAGGCATGCGCCACCACGCCTGGCTAATTTTGTATTTTTAATAGACACAGGGTTTCTCCATGTTGATGAGGCTGGTCTTGAACTGACCTCAGGTGATCCACTCACCTTGGCCTCCCAAAGTGCTGGGATTACAGGTGTGAGCCACTGCACCTGGCCTCAAATTCTTATATTTTTAGTAGAGACGGGGTTTCACCATGTTAGCCTGGCTGGTCTCAAACTCCCGACCTCAGGTGATCCACCTGCCTCGGCCTCCTGAAGTGCTGGGATTACATGCGTGCGAGCCACTGTGTCCTGCCCAGCTGATTATTCTTATACGTAGTTACTTAGTATTATCTCTGATAGTTCCTTAGGTTAAATTGCCAGAATTGGAATTTCTGGGTGAAACAGATAATGTTGGTAGTCATGTTCATCCTTGCTGATGGCTTATGTTAAATAGTGTTTTGTGGTGTTGCTTTGAATTGGAATGCTTGCTACTATCCATTGCAGAAACATGATGTATGTATGTAATGTCCTTGTTTTCCATCTGTTCCCCTATCCAGTCCTAGTGGAAATAAGATTGAGTGAAAGTTGGGAAACCTGGTTCTAGTCTCTTGATTTATATTTTAAAAAATTCCACTGTTTTCAAATGAAGTAGGATAGTAAAAACAAGTAGAATTATAAAAATACCTTTTAAATTGCCAGATTTCATTCATTCAAAATATTTGTTAGTGATGGTAATGTATCTGTCACTGTTGCCAGACACATTATAGTCATTAGTGGTGGAGAAAACAAGCATGAGATTGCTGCCTTCATGTGGTTTATGGATTAGTGGAATAGGAAAAAGGCAACATGTTTGATATTTGTATGTGAATTGTATTTCCTTGCATTTTGAAATTTTTATTTAAATTGCTTTAAAGAAGATATCATGCTTATAGTATTATCAAAATTGACATATACTTAAATTTACACCATTTGTATTAGTCTGTTCTCACACTGCTAATAAAGAGATACTCAAGACTGGGTAATTTATTAGGAAAGAGGTTTATTGGACTCACAGTTCCACATGGCTGGGGAGGCCTCACATTTATGCCGGAAGGCAAAGGAGAAGCAAGCCACGTCTTACATGGGAGCAGGCAAGAGAGTTTGTGCAGGGGAACTCCCATGTATAAAACCATCGGATCTCGTGAGACTTAGTCACTACCACGAGAATAGGCCCTGCCCTTGACATGGGGATTATTACAATTCAAGGTGAGATTGGGTGGGGTCACAGCCAAACTGTATCACCGTTCAGTTTAAATCTTAAATTCTTTTCAATAGCCCTTGATGAAAAATAAAATCTTACTAGCTATTGAACTTATTTTCTTTTTCTTTTTTTTTATTAAAAAAAAAAAAACAAGAGATGGGCTCTCTTGGGCTCAAGTGATCCTCCCACTTTGGCCTCCCAAAGTGCTGGGATTACAGATGTGGGCCACTTTGCCCAGCCTGAACCTGTTTTCTCAGGCTTATTCTCATATGTTTTGTTTTTGTTTTTTCAGTTGAAGTCTTGCTGCTATGTTGCCCAGACTGGTTTTGAACTCCTGACCTCAAGGGATCCCCCTCACCTCAGCCTCCTGAGTAGCTGAGACTACAGGCATGCACCACCAAGCTCCTCTTATCTTTTTTTTTTTGAGACAGAGTCTCGCTGTCGCCCAAGCTGGAGTGCAGTGGCGTGATCTGAGCTCACTGCAAGCTCCGCCTCCCGGGTTCACGCCATTCTCCTGCCTCAGCTTCCAGAGTAGCTGGGACCACAGGCGCCCGCCACCACTCCTGGCTAATTTTTGGTATTTTTTTTTAGTAGAGATGTGGTTTCACTGGGTTAGCCAGGATGGTCTCGATCTCCTGACCTCGTGATCCGCCCGCCTCGGCCTCCTGAAGTGCTGGGATTACAGGCATGAGCCACCGTGCTCGGCCTTTTTTTTTTTCTTAATTTTAATTTTTAATAGAGACGAAGCTCCTAGGTTCAAGGGATCCTCCGGCCTCATCCTTTCAAAGTACAGGGATTACAGGCATGAACCACCACGCCGGCCCCTTTTACCTTTTTACATATGTCATGGTTGTATTACCAAACCAAACTTGAGACGGCCTGCCTGGCACAGCAAAGCTCTCCACAGACATTGGGATTTGCAGCAAGAGAAAGTGAGGCGTTTATTGCAGGGTGCCAAGCGAGGAAAAATGGGTAGCTAATGGTTAAGACCCAAACTCTGTGATGGCTTTCATGTAACTATTTTTAAAGATGGGGAGGCAGAGGTTACAGGCAAAGTCATAAATCAATGCATCATTGATTTGGCCTAAAAAGGTGAGACATCTTGAAGTGGGGGCTTGCGAGTCATAGATGTATTAAAAGATTCTCTGATTTGGGATTGGTTAAGGAAGTGAAGCTCTGTCTAAAAACTTGGGGTCAGCAGAAAGGAATGTTGAGCTCTGGCTTGTGGGTATGACTTCCTCCAGGCCTCTGAAGAAGAAATTCAGAACAAAGAATAATAGCAGTTAGAGTTCAGTCCTGTTTCCCCTAATCTGAGGTCTGTGTGCCAGTAGACAGTATTTTCCATTTGGTGGTGGTCTGGATTTCTGAAAAACAACTCAAGGACATATGTTAAGATGTTACCTTTAGTTTCTAGAGGGAACCAAACATTTTGTCAATCTAACTTCCCTCACCATTATTTTAAGCTATTACCTTCTTGCTAATCATATTGCTCATGTACTTTTCAGGGCTAGCTAAGTGCCTGGAATTTCCTTTGAAGGAACTGAAGATTTTCCTTTTGTTTCTATGCTTGGGGGGCCAGGCAGGCCCATAAGAGGGGTTTCTGTTCCATCTTAGTTGTAGTTTTGAGCTATTTTTATATTTGGGGGTGATTGTAATTAGATTCGTGGATAGTTAACTGTTTTGGGTATTTTTCAGGTCACGACTGCTGAATATGAGACGATCTGCAGCACCAAGTCAGTTGCAGGGGAATTCCTTCAAAAAACCAAAATTTATACCTCCAGGAAGAAGTAATCCAGGTCTGAATGAAGAGATTACAAAACTGAATCCAGATATAAAATTATTTGAGGTAAGGCAAAAAAAGACTCATGATATAGATAATATAGAGAAGCATGTATGTTTAAGAAAATGCCATTTAAAGAGTTAACAGTATTTTCTGCCTGTAGGAATTTTCAGTATCTCTGAAAACATCTTCTAAAAACCTTGGAAATGAAGATTACATAATTTTTTTTTAAAAGGAATAACAGGCTGGGCACAGTGGCTCATGCCTATAATCCCAGCACCTTGGGAGGCAGAGGCGGGAGGATCACTTGAGCTAAGGACGTCAAGACCTGCCTGGGTAACATAGTGAGACCCTGTCTCTACAAAAAATAAAAATTTAGTGGGGTGTGGTGGTGTGCACCTGGAGTATCAGCTACTCGGGAGGCTGAGGTGGGAGGATGACTTGAGCCTGGGAGGTCAAAGCTGCAGTGAGCTGTGATTGTGCCACTGCACTCCATCCAGCCTGGGCAACACAGCAAGACCCTGTCTCATTCAATCAATCAATGGAATAACATGTACTTGAGTCTATAAAATAAACTTTTGGTAATGATAAGTAAGTACCTCTTTGAGGGAAGGGGTGGAGATTCTAATCAGTGTTCTTTTTAAAGTTACCACATAAATAAGTGAAAACTTCTTTAAGGTCATTTAAAGAGGAAAAAATACATAATGATTTGTATCACTATTCCAAACATTTTTTCTCACTTTTATCTGTAAAAAGTGAATACTGGCTGGGTGCAGTGGCTCACGCCTGTAATCCCAGCACGTTGGGAGGCCGAGACGGGCAGATCACCTGGGGTCAGGAGTTGAGACCAGCCTGGTTAACATGGTGAAACTCCGTCTCTACTAAAAATACAAAAACTAGCCGGGCATGGTGGCACGCGCCTATAATCCCAGCTACTCCGGAGACTGAGGCAGGAGAATTGCTGGAACCTGGGAGGTGGAGGTTATAGTGAGCTGAGATCATGCCACTGCACTCCAGCCTGGGTGACAGAGCAAGACTCCGTCCCCCCCAAAAAAAAAAAAAGTGAATACTGGAAGCAGTCTTAATGTGTCTCATTTACTGTTAAGAAAAAGGATTGTTTTGGTCTTAGGTCTAAGATCAAAGGCGTTAGTATATATGAAAGGCATATAAAGTATAAAGAAGGCATATAAAATGGAGAATTCACACTACCTACTACTCTGCAATTCCCTGATCCTTTTATGTTATAGGGATTAAAGTCTATTAATTTTTTCCCTCTTCTTTTTTATTGTGGTTAAGCGTATGTAACATAAAATTTGCCACATTACCATTTTTAAGTGTACAATTAAGTGGCATTAATGACTTTCACACTGTTGTGCAACCATCACCACAATCTGTTTCCAAAACTTTTTCATTACCCCAAACAGAAACTCTGTACCCATTAAACATTAACTCCCCATTCTCTCCACTCAGCTCCTGATAACCACGATTCTACTTTTTGTCTCTATAAATCTGACTGCCCTAGGTACCTCATGGAAGTGGAATCATACAATATTTGTCCTTTTGTGTCTGGCTTATTTCCCTTAGCATAATGTTTTCAAGGTTCATCCATGTTGTAGTGTGTATCAGAACTTAATTTTTTTGTATGGTTGAATAATCATTATATGGTTTTACCACATTATGTTTATCCATCCATTCATCTATTTGATGCATGCTTGGGCAGTTTCCACCTTTTTGCTATGGCGAATAATGCTGCTGTGAACATTGGCATCCAAGTTTCTGTTTGTGTTCCTGTTTTAATTCTTTTGGATTATAACTAGAAATGGATTTGCTGGGTATTATGGTAATTCTGTGTTTAGCTTTCTGAGGAACCGTCAAACTGTTTTTCATAGCTGTACCATTTTACATCTTCATCAGGAATGTGTGATGGTTGTAGTATCTACATCCTCAGGAACACTTGTTATTTTCCATTTAAAAAATTTTTTTATTATTGGCATCTCAGTAGTTGTGAAGTGGTATTTCACTGTGGTTCTGATTTGTATTTCCTTAATGACTAGCAATGCTGAGCATCTTTTCATGTGCTTATTGGCCATTTGTATATCTTTGGAAAAATGTCTATTTAAGGTCTTTGCCTGGTTTTTAATGGTGTCTTTTTTTGCTGAAAAAACCTTCTAATTTTTGACTGCTTTTTTTGGTCTGTATGTGTTTGTTTTATCCTATATTTCTTTCCCAAGTAGATTGTTTAGCACTTACCAATGTAAAAATTCTGGCACACTGTAAGGAGAAAACATAGGCTTTTGTTTTCTTAATAAGGTTTCTTTCTTTCTTTCCTTTTTAAAATACAGCTTTATTTAGGTTTGATAGAGTTTGGATATTTGTCCCTTCAGAATCTCATGTTGAAGTGTGACCTCCAGTGTTTGAGGTTGGCCTAATGGGAGATATTTGGGTCATGAGGGGCGGATCCTTCATGAATGGCTTGGTGCTGTTTTCATGGTAATGAGTGAGTTTTCGCTCTGAGTCCACATGATATCTGGTTGTTTAAAAAGAGTGCGGCATCTCCCCCCTCCCTCTTTTGCTCTCCCTCTTGTGATTGAGATGCAGTTTCCCCCTTTACCTTCTGCCCTAATTATAAGCTTCTGGAGGCTCTCATCAGAAACAGAAGCTGGCACCATGCTTCCTATACAGGCTGCAGAACTGTGAGCCAAAATAAACCTCTTTTCTTTATAAATTACCTGTCTCAGGTATTCCTTTATAGCAATGCAAACTAATACAGATATAATTTAAATACCATACAGTCTACTTACTACAACTCAGTGGTTTTTATTATATTCACAGAATTGTGCAGCCATCTCCACAATCAATTTTAGAACATTTTCATGACACCAAAAAGAAACTTTTTATCAGGAATTTATTTCTTATTGCTGAAATATCAGTTTTCTCTTGCTGCTGAAACAAATTACCACAAATCTAATGGCTTAAAACAACACAAATGAATTATCTTATAGTTCTGTAGGTCAAAAGTTCAACACAGATCTAAGATCAAGGTGTTGGTAAGGCTATATTCATTTCTGGAGATTTTAGGGGAAATCTGTTCCCTGGCTTTCTCCAGCTTCTACAGGTCACCACATTCCTTGGCTCATGGTCCCCTTCTTCCGTCTTCATAGCCAGGGAAGCACGTTTGAGTTCTCATGTTTCCTTCTCTTTGGTTTTCTGCAGCTAGAACTCATTTGATTAGGTTAGGCCCACCTGGG